>NC_000004.12:75171381-76421381 GCF_000001405.40 Homo sapiens | reverse complement strand
CACTCCTTAGGGCGCCCGGGCGGTGGTGGGGACTTCGACGCTCGGATGCCCCAGCGACGGCGTCCGGCGGGCGGAGTCGCAGGCGCGGGAGGGGTCCCCGCCGGGCAGCTGCCGAGCACCCCCCTCCTCCCCTCCCCCAACTACGAAGCCTCGCAGAGCGTCCTAACCGTCACCCACGCGGCTCGCGCGGACTGGGCAGCGCCCCGAGCGCCACAGCCGCGAGGAGTGACGGGCGCGGGCAGCTTCCGGCGCCGCAGCCGAGGAGGAGGAGCCGCCCCGCAGCCTCCGCGGGGCCTAGGGGCGAAGAGTGGGGAGCCGCCCCGTCCCAGCCGCCAGGTCGACGTAGGTGGGGCCGCTGCGCCCGCCGGCGCCCCGCGGAGATGTGGCCGGTGTCTTAGGATTAGGTGTTGGTTGCAGGTACAAGCGGGGCGCGGCCCGGGAGACGAGGATGGTGGGGTGGGAGTGGGGTTCTTCTGAGGACCCGGAGCGACTCGTGTTCATTTCTGGAATCTTCCGGTGCCTCGTGTTTGTTCTGCACATGGAAGATGCCCAATAAATTGTTTCTTTACTGGAATGAGCTGCTGTTGTTTTAGGGGATTGCAAGACCCCTGGGGACGGTGGCGCTGAAACCTGGACCTTGAAGAACACAGGGGCCTGCGCAAACTGATTTGATTTGTGGGGAAGAGAATCACCGAGTAACCTGCCCCAACGTGACTGCTGACTCTGTGTCTACCGCGCTGCCGCGAACAGGGGGAGGAGATGGGGAAGACTTGGTGGTAGAGAGGACAGCCTCGCATCCAAGACGGAATGGTGTTAAATGCCGGCGCAAGGGCCCTTTCAGCTTGAGCCCTGTCTTTAAACCACATGTGGGGGTCAGAGCTTTCCCTCATTATCAGCATCAATCAGCAACACAATGAGTTCTGGAAAGTCTCCATCCTTTTCCACAGCACTCTGCTCCAGGCCCCACTCAGGCTGCTCCAGGTTTTGTTTGTGCCTCATGCTGAACTCCAACGTCAGGGGAAAGTAGAAGTGAGGTCGGCTGTTGCCCAGGTTTTTTGACTGGCAACCAGTTCTTGCTGCTTCTCTCAGCAGGAGATTAAGGCGTTGTGGCCGGGTATGGCGGGGGCGTGTGGGGAAAGGACCAGGGCTTCCACATATCCCAGAGACATGCTAGGTAGGACTGTTTCTCTGTGCGGAAGCTCATCAGGTAAGGGTGCAGGAGTGCTGAGAGAGATGTGGTCCTCCTATCTCTGTACTGCGCTCATTGCTTTTAATCTTAGTGCGGTTATCTTACTTGTGTTGTGGGTGAAATGGTTTCCATGCCATAGAGTTAATATTATACTCCCAAAACAAATTGAGGACAGCAATTTATTTGTATGTATGCAAAGCCCTTACTGTTGTTGTGCATTTACAATGAGGACTTAGTTTTATCTAGTATGTTATGAGTGAGCCACTTTAGACCTCCACCATTTATTAAACAGGGCCTCTTGTGATCCACCCGTCCCCCAGCTAGATGGCCCCAAATTATATGGTAGGCTGAGCAGTGGCCACTCAAATATGTCAGGTCCTAATCCCTGAAACCTGTAAATGTTACCTTATAAGGGAAAAGTGCCTTTGCATACGTGATTAAGTAGCTTGAAATGGAGAGATTATCGTGAATTATCTAGGTGGGTCCTAAATGCAAACGCAAAGGTCCTAAGAGAGAGAGAGAAGCAGATTTGATATAGGCCGAAGAGAAGGCAATGTGACCACAGAGGCAGATATTGGAGTGATGTGGCCACAAGTCACCAAATGCCTGGCAACCAGCAGAGCTAGAAGAGGCAAGGAACTGATTCTCTTGCAGAGCCTCCAGAGGGAGGGAGGGAGCCCTGCCAACACCATGCTTTCTTCCCCATGAGACTGATTTTGGATTCCTGGCCTCCAGAATTATGAAAGAATAAGTTGCTATTGTTTTAAGCTACCGAGTTTTGATAATTTGTTATGGAAACTGTAGGGAACTAATACATATGAGCGTGCTCATAAATCACATACATGCTGTACTGATGAATAGTTTACAGGTCTTCAGCTGGGGCAATAGTGGGGTACAGTAGTGGAGATCACTGTATATTTATCTGAATCCTGTAAATCCTAAAGAAAGGATTTGAATAGGGAATTTGGTAAGAAAAGAAATTTAAGTGGTGCATATGAAGGAGGTAGTCTGGCATTTAAAGCAATTTTTTAAGAGTATTCCTATTAATATATCACTATTTGCTCTGGCTAAAAAGAATAAAGGTAAAAAGTGGCAAAGGCTTTGTCCTTACCTTAGCTGAATCATTATTGATTATCCATTGTGTGTATATCAAGTAAGAGTTGCAGACACCTGGGGATTGAGGTCCAGGCCTGGGGAAAAGAGGGAATGCAGAAGTGCTTCCATGTATTAAAATATGGCTAAAAGCAACCGCTAGTCATCTGGAATTAAGATACTTTGGAGTTTTCAGGATACAGGAAAATTCAGTGTTCAAGTTTAATGATTCACTTCTGGGACCCAGGCAGCTAATTTACACTTCCCACTTTCCTTGATATGGTTTGGCTGTATCCCCACCCAAATCTCATCTTGGATTGTAGCTCCCACAATTCCCGTGTGTTGCGGGAGGGACCCAGTGGAAGGTAATTGAATCATGGGGGCAGGTCTTTCCTGTGCTGTTCTCGTGATAGTGAATAAGCCTCACAAGATCTGATGGTTTTATAAAGGGGAGCTCCCCCTGCACAAGCTCTCTCTTGCCTGCCGCCACATAAGACTTCCCTTGCTCTTCCTCCATGATCGTGAGGCCTCCCCAGCCATGTGAAACTGTGAGTCCATTAAACCTCTTTTTTCTTTATAAATTACCCAGTCTTGGGAATGTCTTTATCAGCAGCATGAAAACAGACTAATACACTCCCCACATCTGCTTTCTTTTCAAACTGCTTTATAAGGTATAATTTACATACCATAAAATTCACCTGTTTTAAGTGGACAGTCCAGTGATTTTTAATAAACTTACTGAATTGTACAATCAGCACACAATTCAGTTTTAGAACATTTTCATCATCCAAAAATGATGCCTTGTACCCTTCTGTAGTCAATCCCCATTCCCAACCCCAGCACCATCTGCTTTTAATGACTGGCCTACTTCAGAGTTGGGTTTTAGTCCCTTTGTTGGACTGCTCCAATGGCTTTATAGCTAGCCCCAGCTTCTCCTAGTGTATTCTCTACTCAGCCGCTGGAGGATCATATGCCCTTGATTAAAATCCTCCAGTGCTTTGCGTTGCGTTTAGAATAAGCCCCAAAGTCTTCAGTATGTGGCCTTTTCAAGGCCCCATGAGCTTTACCTCCGCCAACCTCACTGACATCTTCTCAGGATAGTGTAGGAAAGGAAGTGATAAGCACAGTGTTCCTTTTGGCATGACACATAGTTGGCCTCCATTAGAAGCCCTCTCATCCCCACTTAGCTACCCTGCAGCCTCATTAGCCTTCTTCACTGGGAGTCAGTGAACACTGAGCTCTTCTCATTTTTGGGCCTTTGTGATGGCATTTCTTTTAAGAAGTTATCCCTGGCCACTGTGAGGCTGACCCCTTTCTGTCATTCAGTTCAATGCCACCTCCTTAGGAAGGCCTTCCCTCACCTACCCTAACTAGAGGAGCTGTGTTAGTCTGTTTTCATGCTGCTAAGACATACCCGAGAGTGGGAAGAAAAAGAGGTTTAATTGGACTTACAGTTCCACATGGCTGGGAAGGCCTCAGAATCATGGTGGGAGGCAAAAGGCACTTCTTACATGGCGGCAGCAAGAGAAAATTACCTCCCCCTGGGTCGCTCCCATGACACATGGGAATTCTGGGATATACAGTTCAAGTTGAGATTTGGGTGGGGACACAGGCAAACCATATCATTCCACCTGTGGCCCCTCCAAATCTCATGTCCTTACATTTCAAAACCAATCATGCCTTACCAGTAGTCCCCCAAAGTCTTAACTCATTTCAGCATTAATGCAAAAGTCTTCAGTCCAAAGTCTCATCTGAGACGAGCCAAGTCCCTTCTGGCTATGAGCCTGTAAAATCAAAAACAAGCTAGTTACTTCCTAGATACAATGAGGGTACAGGTATTGGGTACATATAGCCATTCTAAATAGGAGAAATTGGCCAAAACAAAGGAGTTACAGGGCCCATGCAAATCCAAAATCCAGCAGGGCAGTCAAATTTTAAAGCTACAAAATGATCTCCTTTGACTCCATGTCTCACATCAAGGTCACGCTGATGCGAGAGATGGGTTCCCATGGTCTTGGGCAGCTCCAACCCCTGTGGCTTTGCAGGGTACAGCCTCTCTCCCAGATGCTTTCATGGGCTGGTGTTGAGTGTCTGCAGCTTTTCAGGTGCACAGTGCAAGGTGTTGGTGGATCTACCATTCTGGGGTCTGGAGGATGGTGGCCCTCTTCTTAACAACTCCATTAGGCAGTGCCCAGTAGGGACTCTGTGTGGGGGTTCCAACCCCACATTTCCCTTCAGCACTGAGCTAGCAGAGGTTCTCCATAACGGTCCCATCCCTACAGCAAACTTTTGCCTGGGCATCCAGGCGTTTCCATACATCTGACATCTAGGCAGAGGTTCCCAAACCTCAATTCTTGAGGCCTGTGCACCTTCAGGCTTAACACCACATGGAAGCTGCCAAGGCTTGGAGTTTCCAGTCTCTGAAGCCACAGCCTGAGCTGCACATTGGCCCCTTTCAGCCATGACTGGAGCAGCTGGGACACAGGGCACGAAGTCCCTAGGCTGCACACAGCACAGGGACCCTGGGCTCAGCCCACAAAACCACTTTTTTCTCCTGGGCCTCTGGGCCTGTGTTGGGGTGGGCTGCCATGAAGGTCTCTGACATGGCCTGGAGACATTTTCCCATGGTCTTGGGGATTAACATTAGACTCTGTAGAGTCCAGCCCCACAGGGTCAGTGGGTTTTCTCCCCGTGTGCGGAGATGAGAGAGTGTAGAAATAAAGAGACAAGACAAAGAGATAAAAGACAGCTGGGCCTGGGGGACCACTACAACCAAGACGCGGAGACCGGTAGTGGCCCCAAATGCCAGGCTGTGCTGATATTTATTGGATACAAGAAAAGGGGCAGGGTAAGGAGTGTGAGCCATCTCCAATGATAGGTAAGGTCACATGGGTCCCATGTCCACTGGACAGGGGGCCGTTCCCTGCCTGGCAGCTGAGGCAGAGAGAGAGAGGAGAGAGAGAGAGACAGCTTACACCATTATTTCTGCTTATCAGAGACTTCTAGTACTTTCACTAATTTGCTACTGCTATCTAAAAGGCAGAGCCAGGTGAACAGGATGGAAGATGAAGGCGGACTAGGAGCATGACCACTGAAGGACAGCATCACAGGGAGACGGTTAGGCCTCTGGATAACTGCAGGCGGGCCTGTCAGGCCCTCCACAAGAGGTGGAGGAGTAGAGTCTTCTCTAAACTCCCCCGGGGAAATTGAGACTCCCTTTCCCGGTCTGCTAAGTAGCGGGTATTTTTCCTTGACACTGACGCTACCACTAGACCACAGTCCACTTGAAAATGGGCGTCTTCCCAGACACTGGCATTACCGTTAGACCAAGGAGCCCTTTGGTGGCCCTGTCCGGGCATAACAGAAGGCTTGCACTCATCTTCTGGTCACTTCTCACTATGTCCCCTCAGCTCCTATCTCTGTATGGCCTGGTTTTTCCTAGGTTATGATTGTAGAGTGAGGATTATTATAATATTGGAATAAAGAATAATTGCTACAAGCTAATGATTAATGATATTCATATATAATCATATCTAAGATCTATATCTAGTATAACTATTCTTATTATTTTGTATATTTTATTATACTGGAACAGCTCATGCCCTCGGTCTCTTGCCTCGGCACCTGGATGGCTTGCCGCCCACAGACTCCTTGCTACTTATGCAAATTTCTGCAGCCGGCTTGAATTTCTCCCCAGAAAATGGATTTTCCTTTTCTATCACATAGTCAGGCTGCAAATTTTCCAAACTTTTATGCTCTGCTTCCCTTATAAAACTGAATGGCTTTAACAGTACCCGGGTCACCTCTCTAATGGTTTGCTGCTTAGAAATTTATCCTGCCAGATACCCTAAATCATCTCTCTCAAGATCAAAGTTCCACAGATCTTTAGAGAAGGGGCAAAATGCTACCAGACTCTTTGCTAAAGCATAGCAAGAGTTTACTATGCTTAAAGTTCTTACATAGCAAGAACTTTACTCTAGTTCCCAACAAGTTCCTCATCTCCATCTGACCACCTCAGCCTGGACCTTATTGTCCATATTGTTATTGGCACCTTGGGCAAAGCCATTCAACAATTCTCTAGGAAGTTCACATTTTCCTGTCTTCATCTGAGCCCTCCAAACTGTTCCAACCTCTGCCTGTTACCCAGTTGCAAAGTCGCGTCCACATTTTCTGGTATCTTTTCAGCAATGCCCCACACTACTGGTACCAATTTACTGTATTAGTCTGTTTTCACGCTGCTGTTAAAGACATACTGAGAAGAAGAAAAAGAGGTTTAATTGGACTTACAGTTCCACACGGCTGGGGAGGTTTCAGAATCATGAAGGAGGCAAAAGGCACTTCTTACTTGGCAGCAGCAAGAGAAAATGAAGAAGCAAAAGCGGAAAACCCTTACAACCCCATCGGATCTCATAAAACTTATTCACTATCACAAGAATAGCACGGGAAAGACCGGCCTCCATGATTCAATTACCTCATCCTGGGTCCCTCCCACACACGTGGGAATTCTGGGAGATACTGTTCAAGTTGAGATTTGGGTGGGGACACAGCCAAACCATATCAGGAGTCTCAACTCCATCTCTCTTTATACCACTGTTCTTTGTTATTTTCTTTATTGTACTTGACAACTCTCCAAAATTATATTTGTGATTTTTTTCCCCTTAATGCCTTTCTTTCCCCATTGGAATATAAATTCATGAGGGTGGAAACTTGATTGGTCTTGATTTTAAACTTAACAGAATATGGTGATTAATTGGATATGGAATTTGAATTGATGAAGATACTTGAAACACCCAAGAAAGAAGGTTTAGTGAGGAGATGAAAAGAGCAGATTTGGGATAAGGTGAATTTAATACGACTGTAAACATATATGCAGAAATGTTAAAGGAAAAAAACTTAGCTGGGAATGGTGGCTTATCCCTGTCCTAGCACTTTGGGAGGCTGGGACAGACAGATCCCTGGAGTTCAGGAGTTCAAGACCAGCCTGCGCAACATGGCAAAACCCCGTCTCTACTAAAAATACAAAAATTAGCCAGGCATGGTGGTGTGCAGCTGTAGTCCCAGCTACTTGGGGGACTGAGGTGGAAGGATCACTTGAGCCACCACTGCACAGCCACCTGGGTGACAAAGTGAGACCCTGTCTCAAAAAAAAGAAAGAAAGAAAAAAGAAAAGTAAAAACTTTATTCTAATTTATCTAGAGCCAAACATTTTTAACAAAATAGCATGAAACTTGCTGGAAGCAGTTTAGAATTGTTCCTATCTGGCTTTGCTGTTGACTGATATCATCTGTGAGAAGTCATCATATTTTAGGTCAGGTTTTTGTTGGATGTTTTCCATGGGAAATCATAGAATGTCCAAACTGGAGAAGATTTTAGAGATTTTTCTAGTCCAACACTCTACCCAAGAAAGAATACCAGTGGCAGTTGCCATTTCAACAAGTGCTCACCCATTCTTATCTTCAACACCTCTCAAGGAAGCCCTCCACATATATATTCAGGGTGCTCTAGTCTTTAGAAAATCCATCTCCACCTTGAACTAAACTCTGTCTCTCTTTACTTCCATTCATTAGTCTGAATTCTGCACATAGAATATATTCATTTTTTTCTTTTCCTTTTTTTTTTTTTTTTTGAGACAAGGTCTCACTCTGTTGCCCAAGCTGGAGTGCAGTGGTGTGATCACGGCTCACTGCAGCCTCAACCTCCTGGGCTGAGGTTATACTCCCACCTCGGCCTCCTGAGGAGCTGGGACTACAGGTATGGACCACCATACCCAGCTAATTTTTAAAATTTTTTGTAGAGACGGGATCTCACTATATTGTCCAGGCTGGTCTCAAACTCCTGAGCTCAAGCAATTATCCCTCCTTGGCCTCCCAAAGTGCTGGGATTACAGGCTCATTCATTTTTTTAAATGTGGAAAAACTGCTTACATTCCACCGAGATATTCCAAAAATCTTGGTGGTTTATCATTTCGGTATACCTGCTTACAATATATAGATAGACCTGTTTTGACTCACCAGACAGAAGTTTCTCTACCCAATTACTTCTCTAACCAAGCACAAGTGATGTTGCCTGGTCAAGAGCATTTCCAAACAGTGAAGAGCAGTTAAAATGGTCAGAAGATATTTAGCTGGTCTATTTAAGTCAGTTTGGACTGTACCTGGAGAAAGGCCAGGTCTGAGAATATTGATATTAGGTCATATGTGCCTGTAGGTTTACTTGCTACATTATCTTGATAGTGCCAATGAGATCTGTGCCACTAAAATTAAAATTGGGCCAATAGCATATAATTAAACACATTTTGTTGTAAAAACATGATTTAGATAAGTGCTATAGGCTATTTTTTTCTTTTCTTTGAGATGGAGTCTCGTTCTGTCACCCAGGCTGGAGTGTAGTGGCACAATCTCGGCTCACTGCAATATCTGCCTCCCATGTCAAGCAATTCTCCTGCCTCAGCCTCCCAAGTAGCTGGGATTACAGGCACATGCCACCATGGCCAGCTAATTTTTGTATTTTTAGTAGAGACGGGGTTTCCCCATGTTGGTCTTGAATTCCTGGCCTCAAGTGATGCGCCCACCTCAGCTTCCCAAAATACTGGGATAACAGTCATGAGCCACCATGCCCGGCCACTATAGGCTATTTTTAAAAAAATTTTTTGTAGAGGCAAGGTCTTACTATGTGGCCTAGGCTGATCTCAAACTCCTGGCCTCAAGCAGTCTTCCTTCCTCAGCCTCCCAAAGTGTTGGGATTACAGGTATTAGCCACCATGCCTGGCCTGCTCTAGGCTCTTAAAATGTACTTTCACATAAAAGGAAAAAATAACACTTCTTGTTGCCATTGTTATATGTGTGTTTTACATATTGTCAAGGTCTTAAGTGATGAACATGAATTTGTAAATTGAACTTTTGAAATAATAAATTTCAGTTAATGAAATATATATAAATGAACAGATTTTAAATATTTTGTTTTTTCAGATATTAATAGAATAAGTGAAAATAAGAATATCCAGAAGTTAAGGTAACTTTTATTTTACTTGTAGTTATATTTAAGAATTGTGAACATATACAACTGATAATACTATTTTATCTGTATCTATATCTGATTTATTTTAGAAAACCTGAAGCCTTGAATTTGATGGATGCCTAGGCCAGAATATAAATATATCGTAGGCCTACAATATAAAAGCTGCAAGAGCTTTATCTTTGTGGTTTTCAGACTATGTTCAGTGGGGCCCTCTGTGTTCCATAGAGGTGTCTCTGGGGCAGAGAGGAGGGTGTGTGGCGCTTAGATTTAAAGAAACATTTCCACTGCTTAAGAAGGGTTTGAAAAACACAACTGTAATTTCATTTAGTAAGGATGGAAATTGAGACTCAGAGATATGAAAAGGTCTGCCCATGCTCTCACAGTTAACCAATGACAGAATTAAGTTTCCTGATTCTAAGTTCTGTGCATCTTCCATATTGCCTCCCTGCTAGATGGTATTATGTATGGGTGAAATGCGATCGTAAGTAGCTTAATTCCGTATTACATTATAATAGTCCCTGTGTTTAGTCAATGCAGATTAAACCCACTTTCTTTTGTTAGTGGGCCTATATGAAACTCAATATTGCTCTTTATTATGGGAAAATGAGTTAGTTTACATACACTGCTTAAGTTATAAAGATAGTATTGGGATTTTGGGGTGCTTTTTTTGGTTTTTGTTTTTTTGAGATGGAGTCTTGCTCTGTCACCCAGGCTGGAGTGCAGTGGTGATCATGGCTGATTACAGCCTTGAACTCTTGGGCTCAAGGGATCCTCCCACCTCACCCTTCCACGTAGCTGGGACTACAGGCAAGTACCACCATGCCCGGCTAATTTTTTCATTTTTTGTAAAGACAGAGTCTCACTCTGTTGACCAGGCTGGTCTCTAAATCCTGGGCTCAAGTGATCCGCCCACCTTTGCTTCCCAAAGTGTTGAGATTACAGGCGTGAGCCACTGTGCCCTGCCAGATAGTATTGTTATTCATGTTATTGCTGTCCAATTATCTGGTACCTTGTATGTGTTGAGGCAGTTACTATGTAGGAAGGCCGCAGTTACTATGTAGGAAGGCCTGCACGTGAGTTATCTCAGTTAACTCTTATTCTTTTGAGGTATACACTCTTTTACCTTTTAAGCTGTATACTTTTTATCTCCCTCGTATAGTCATAGAGAGGTTAAATATTGTTCTCAAGGTGGCACAGCTAGTAGATCACAGAGCTAGGATTACAACATCCAGAGACTTGAAAGAGTGTGATTGAGAAAACAGACACTGAGAGCATGTGAAGTTAATAAGCAGCTAACAGCAATTCAGGTAGTACAATACTGTTCAACATGAATGGTTCTCCTTATTGTGTTTCTGAGATTGTACCAGCCCAGTATGTTTCTTTGAATCAGTCCCGAGGTACCTCAGAATTTCCCAAGGAAAACATACCTGCAGACTGGTTCTAGAAGAATGTAGATCAGTTCTGTAAGATCCCCAGTCTCAGGTTTCTGTGGAAGGTAGGGTGGTTCATCAACCTAGGAGCTTGAGTCAGTTGAAGAATCCAGGAATCTAAATAGAACATACATCATAAGTCATCTGTACGCAATCAAAATAGAACTTGGGCCAGGCCTGGTGGTTCACGCCTGTAATCCCAGCACTTTGGGAGGCTGAGGTGGGTGGATCACTTGAGGCCAGGAGTTCAAGACCAGCCTGGCCAACATGGTGAAACCCCATCTCTACTAAAAATACAAAAATTAGTTGGGCAAGGTGCCACATGCCTGTAATCCCAGCTACTCAGGAGGCTGAGGTGGGAGGATTGCTTGAACATGGGAGGTGGAGGTTGCAGTGAGCCAAGATTGTGCCACTGCACTCCAGCCTGGACGACAGAGCAAGACTCTGTCTCAAAACAAAAAAAAGGGATTCTAAATCAGTTATTCATTCTATGATAGTCACAGGAGAGGTCCACCTTAAGTAGTAGCCATACAAAAAGAAATCAAGGTGAGGATTATTCATACTAGGAAAAGTATAAGTGCACATCCACCAGGGCCTTTCGACTCCAAGGAGCAGGAGTCAGAACCCAGGAGGTACTTTTAAACGCTTTATCTCAGCTATATAACAAAGCCTAAGGCTTTAGGGAATTTTCCTCCAAAAGTTCCCTCTTTGTGGTCTGTGGTTTCTTAGACCTTTTTTTTTTTGGCAACATTCCAATCAAATAACTAGAGTAGAATAGATACACAGATATTACTTTTTATTTTTATTTTTATTTATTTATTTTTTGAGACAGTCTCGCTCTGTCACCCAGGCTGGAGTGCAGTGGCGTGATCTCCGCTCACTGCAAGCTCCACCTCCCGGGTTCACGCCATTCTCCTGCCTCAGCCTCCCGAATAGCTGGGAATACAGGCGCCCGCCACCACACCTGGCTAATTTTTTGTATTTTTAGTAGAGACGAGGTTTCACCATGTTAGCCAGGATGGTCTCTATCTCCTGACCGCATGATCCGCCTGCCTCAGCCTCCCACAGTGCTGGGATTACAGGTGTAAGCCACTGCTCCCGGCCTAGATACTACTTTTTAAAAATGTAAGGCTCCTTTTAATGTGAACCTGTTCATAATTTTAAATCAGGCAGAACTGTTCATAATAGACCTTCGGCATGTCAGAAGAGGCCAAGATCTCACCTCTGTATTTTACTCAGAGATTTAAAATAAACACATGTAAGTTCATGTTATGATCCCCAATTCAACCAAGTGCAGAGTTTTTTTTTTAACAATTTTATGATTTATTGAAGCAAAAAACCTTGCTTTTTCTAGAAATCTTTAATCATTTCATAAGCTTTATGCCTGAAAATAGGAAAAATATTTCAATTCCTATAGTGTCACAAAAGTAGAGAAACACTGATGACTTGACCAAATTCAGGATATATGGTCAGTCTAAAATAGTGAAAATGAATTACAAATATTATTTAAATGCAGATTTTCATTACTCTAAAATACACACACAAAATAACTACCAGCATTGGCAACAGAGATACTAAGCATCCTCTTTACAAATAAACAGTTGTTTTAAAATTCTTGTTGAAACCCCATCAAAAAGTGGGCAAAGGATATGAACAGACACTTCTCAAAAGAAGACATTTATGCAGCCAAAAGACACGTGAAAAAATGCTCATCATCACTGGCCGTCAGAAATGCAAATCAAAACCACAATGAGATACCATCTCACACCAGTTAGAATGGCGATCATTAAAAAGTCAGGAAACAACAGGTGCTGGAGAGGATGTGGAGAAATAGGAACACTTTTACACTGTTGGTGGGACTGTAAACTAGTTCAGCCATTGTGGAAGACAATGTGGCAATTCCTCAGAGATCTAGATCTAGAAATACCATTTGACCCAGCCATCCCATTACTGGGTATATATGCAAAGGATTATAAATCATGCGGCTATAAAGACACATGAACACGTGTTTTTATTGCGGCACTATTCACAATAGCAAAGACTTGGAACCAACCCAAATGTCCAACAATGATAGACTGGATTAAGAAAATGTGGCACATATACGCCATGGAATACTGTGCAGCCATAAAAAATGATGAGTTCATGCCCTTTGTAGGGACGTGGATGAAGCTGGAAACCATCATTCTCAGCAAACTATCACAAGGACAAAAAACCAAACACCGCATGTTCTCACTCATAGGTGGGAATTGAACAATGAGAACACATGAACACAGGAAGGGGAACATCACACACCAGGGCCTGTTGTGGGGTGGGGGGAGCGGGGAGGGATAGCATTAGGAGATATACCTAATGTAAATGACAAGTTAATGGGTGCAGCTCACCAACATAGCACATGTGTACATATGTAACAAACCTGCACGTTGTGCACATGTACCCTAGAACTTAAAGTATAATAAAAAAATATATATATATATACATATATGTATATAAAGAAGTGAAACTCCTGACTACTCTGGGCACACTGCTTATGGGGTAGCCCTGCTGCACAAGGAGCAGTAAAAAATAATAATAATAAAATTTTTTAATTAAAAATTTAAAAAAACAACTCTTGTTTAAGTGAATAAACCTATGCTGTCTTCTGTAAACTACTAATTTTCTAAGAAAAAAATTCCCCTTTGAAGGACTGCTGCTTTCCAACAGCCTGTTATGAATAACACAAGCATTCATAGTGAGTTATGATGAATAACGCAAGCATTCATCATCTTACGTCGAAGTAGACAAGTGTGGTTTCCACATCAGAATATTCTAAAGCCAAACCTTCCTCTTTCTTCTTTTCTCTACTCTCTAACTCCTATTTTCAATTCTGCTTACCTTGATCTTAGATTCTGTTTCCTGCTTAATACTAAAGTCTTTGATAGTGAATTACTATATGATTTGCCAGTATTTGGTTGTGGTTCTATATCTGTCCTACTCATTCCTTTATGCTTCTGATTGATCTCTAATTCATGATAACATTACTCAGCAATTTGAACTTTCTTAGTGTCATTCATTATCCTGAAGAATCCCAAAATGTATCATGTTAGTGTATCAGTAAAGTTATACAACAAACATTCACAATGAAACTCGTTTAAATGAGAAGGCATCCTTCTTGTACACAGCATAGAGTCGTTTTTTATAAGCCAATTTGAAAATCCTTTTCTTTCAATAGGCAAGGTTTTTTTTTCCTCAAGTAGCAGTCTCTTCTATTTAGAACATTTAAATTGCCTAGCAATCTTGACTAACATTCTATTTGTTATAATTCTTTATGGAATATCTCCCTACCTACTACTTACTTCCTAAAAAACGATAGCACGAAGCATATTAAGGTAGATATGTTCTATCGTTAATTGTAGTTTTGACAGGTGGCATCTCAGTAATCAAAAGGAAGAAAATGTGAGTGAAATAAAAATGAATTCCGTTTAATAAAAACTGTTAAGCTCAGGGTTTTTTTAAATTTTTAGAGACTTTATGCTTACAATCATGAATTAATGTAAAAATGATAAGCAGCGTGTTACATGATCTTCCTCTTCCCATCACTTTAGTGGTCCTCACCCACATCTATTTTGTTTTGTTTTTTAGAGAATGAAGATTTTGATTCATGAATTTGACTCATTGTTTTTCTTTTTTCTATCTTAATTTCTGCTTTTGCATTTATTATTTCCTACTTGTGCTTTCTTTTAGTTCACCCATTTTTCTATGTTTTTGTGTTAGACACTTAATGAATTTACTTTTATTATTTCATTTTTATTGATGTAGGTGTCCAGGGCTGGGAATTTTCATCTTTTTACTATTTTAATGTATGTCACAGATTGATATGTACTATTTTCATTATTATTTTTCAGAAATTATTTAATTTCAGCTTGTGTTTCCCTTATCACACAAGAGTTGTTTAATAGAAGGCCTTTTAATTTCCAGGTAGAAAGACCTTTTTAATTTGGAGATTTTGATTTTAATTTTTAGCTTTATTATACTGTGACCAGAAGGTGTTGTTTGTAACATTTCTACTTTATGGAAACCTACTTTATGGAACCTACTGATTTGTGCCCTAGAATATGACTGATTTTTGTGAATGTTTCATGTGCCCTTGGAGAGGAAAGTATATTGTCTGTTATCAAAGTATAGTGTTTAATATATAGCCAAAAGGTCTACCTTAGTGATTAGTTCTTCTAAATCTTTTATATCTCTACTTATTTTTTGTCCACTTGGCCTGTCTCATACTAATTGTCCGTTAAAGCCTCCCATTATTACTGCGTTTGCAGTTCTTACCGTATCTTCTGTGGATTTATGCTTTATCCAAGTGATTGCTGTGTTATATGGTACATATCTTTATTGTGCAATGTGGCTTTTAACTTCAAGTGCACTGCAATTTGTTTTAGTTAATGCTCTCTGGCTTGAAGACAACTTAGTCTGGTATTAGGATTTTAACCCGTGCTTTCTTGTTGTTTTCATTTGCCTGGCAATTTTTGTTCATCCTTTTATTTTTAGTCTTTTTGAATCTCTGCGTGTGTTTTTAGGCATACTTTTTTGTACATAGCAGGGTTGTTTTTTTTAAAGTCAATTTGAAAATCCTTTTCTTCCAATAGGCAAGTTAAGTCCTCTTACATTAATCAACATGACTGTTTGGTCTAAATTCTGTGGTATTTTTTTCACATCATTCTATTATCTTGTGGGTGTAATTACTGAATGTGTTATATTTGCTAGAGTTTCTTTATTTGGTGTTTCTTCTTTATGTTTCCATTTAAAATTCTTTGTCATTTAAGAAGGTTTGTATTTTTACTCTAGTGGTTACTTTTGTACTTATGCTTTTTATAGTGCACTTTTAAACCTGCTTTTTCTTACTTGACCTTTTACTTTTTCTCAGTTTTAAGTGGTGTCCTTTGACTGCTGTCTATTCCATTTTAAGTCAATGGTCTTTTACTTTCCACTTTTCTCCCTCTTCCTTCCGTTTTTAGTTACATTTATTCTCCTTTGTCATGCACATAATATTTATATCGCTATTCAGTGCCATTACCTCACCTTTGTTTTTCTCAACTCTATAATTGAGTATTTAAATATTCACCATCAGTCCCCTTGCAGTTTTCCCGGTCTTGTTTTTTAAATGTTTGTCTTTATCCTTTTTTTCCAAATTTACTTTTAAAAATTTAGAACCTACACAAAACCTTGAAGATCTTCACCAGTTGTAGACACTGCCACATTTTACAGTGGTCTTCTGGGTGAATGAGGCTCATCTTCTCTAGTAGAATCCTCAGCAGAGGCACACGGCACAGTGTCCCGGTACAGTCAAAACTGCTTTTTTGTGGCTTCAAACCTTTTGAGGGACATCTTGGCTGGCTGTAATATCCTTGGTTTGTCCTTTCTTTCCCTTCTTGAAAGTACTACTACACTCTTGCCTTACTGTGTGTATTGTTTTTTAATAACCTGGTGCCAGTCTAATCTTCTTGCCTTTGTAAATTATTTCATCTTTTTTGCCTGGACACACTGAGGATTTTTTCATTATCTTTAAAGTCTTAATATTGTATTACTAGTGTATGTCTCAGAGTTTATCATTCTTGATCACTTTTCCCTGATATGGAAAATGTGTAGATTCGGGTCTTTATTTCTAGAAAATTTTCTTGGATTATAGTTTTAAATAGTAGTTCTGTTTCATGTTTTTCCTTTAGGAAACCCAGTTGTATTATATTCAACCTCATTTACCTGTCTTCAATTTCAGTCCTCTCTCACTCCTTTTTTTTGTCTTCTTTTCTTCCTTTTTGTGGAGAATGGGGTCTTGCCCTGTTGCCCAGGCAGTTCTTGAACTCCGGGGTTCAAGCTATCCTCCTGCTTCTGCATCTCTAAGTGCTGGGATTACAGGCATGAGCCACCACACCCAGCTCTCACCCTTTTTACTTCTTTATTTTATTTTTTATTCTCATGGTGGCTTTCCTGATTTTCTTCAGTGCCTTTATTAAATTTTTATTACAACCTGTCATCGCTTGTGTACTTTGTGATTCAGTCTTTATTTCTGATATAGTTTTGTTTTTTATTTCTCTGTCTTTCCTAACTTTAATCAACTCTCATTTCATCTCTTCCTGTTTGTTTGTTTGTTTGCTTGTTTTGTTTCTTGTCCATTTTTATTCTTTGGCTTTACATTTCTAATTCAGGGGTGATTTTTCATACCCTAAATTCTTGTTTGAGCCTACTGGGTTCAGTTTGGAGTATTATGTTTCAGTTTTCTTTGGCTTCATGTTTGTTGTTTGTGGGAGAGACTTTTCATCAGCAGAAAAGATTGTATTCATGTTTTCTGACATTTTGCAGTAGATATAGTCTGCTTTTATCTATTCCTATTCATTTTGTGGACAAGGGTCCTACTTTGAGACTGCCTTCTGCCATGCACTTTCTTTATGGGTAGTGGTGTTGGGTGGGAAGGATGGAAGAAGGGTGGTATATCTAGCTTGTGTTTTGCTTCTGCTGGTTCCTTGGTGTTCCTCTCTCATTTCCTTCTTTCCCTTGACTGCCATGTCCCTAGGGGAGACCATTTTTTCTCTCTGTATCTCATTCACCCCAAGAAACCCTGCTTCTCTGAGGCCGCTACTTCTTCAAACCCTTACCCCATTGTCAGGGCTATGGACTATCAAGTTCCAACCTGTGCTTAATATTTTGGCCTTTACTTTTTCACCTCTGGGGATGAATTTATCTGTACTTTTTCTGTCTTCTGCTTACCTCTTCCCTCCCATTTTCTGTACCCCTAGGCTTGTAGTGTTGGTAGGTGGGCTGCGGGAATTGTTTTGGAAAAAGATTTCCCTGTACTTGCAGATTATTTGAAGGTTGTGGTACTCTCTGTCTTCCAGTGATGCTAGGGGTGTGGAGTGCCTGGTTGATTTTATGGTTATTTGGGAAGATGTGAGGAAGATTTGAAATCAGACCACCACCATTGTTCTCCACATTTAGAATTCTCCTCTTAGCTTAAATGAAAATTGTGAGCACTATTTGACATCAGAGAAGTTCTTCAACTTTTATTAGTGACTTCCATTTTGATGATTTGTGGTTTTTGCTAAGGAGATATTTTCTTCCATTATTTGATGGTGTAACCTTATGAGAAACCTCTACAATAATTAGTTTCTTATTTTCAGGTTGTCTTTAATAATGTACTTGGCTATTAAAATCAATAATTTTCACCATAAGATTGTATTCACTTATTAATTTTATGTAATATAATGTATTTCTGTATAAATAATTATTTTTCTGGAGAAGAAATTATTACTAAATTTCAATGTTAAAAAGTCAGTTCCTGTTCTTCTATGAACTTTTTTCACATAGTACCTTGTTAATAAAGATTGAATCTCTGTCTTTCATAGACAGGAACCAAAAGAACCAAAGAGGGAACCATTCATACTTCAAGATCTCTAATAAGAAGTAGCAATATTTAATATGGAATCAAAAGCTTGGGAATCAAATAATGAAGATCTTTTATCAAGTAGTGGTGTCACATCTAATGGAGGTATGTGCTGTTTATAAAACAAAATGGGGAAAAAATAGAATTAACCATGATATTCATTCAAGCTGCTGTTTCTAGTATGTTTTATTTTTAACCATGTGGGTTACAGACCATGATCATGAATGTCTACCATATTGTTTATAATTCTACTTTTTGAAGAAGAGATTCCTTTGTCTTTTAAGGAATTTTTTGTTTTAAAAATGTTTCTACATTGAAGTACTTCAGCCTCAACATGCCCCATGCCTCCCTAATGCCTTCTCTTCCTCCTGTGTCTTCCTAGCCTGCCTTCCTTGGTCTGCCCTAAGTCAGAATTTTGTATCATTTCATTCTTTTTCCTCACCTGCTGCTACATCCAGTCAGGTACTGAGGCCCTGCTGATTTTACCTTTGAAATGTCTCTTGAATCCATTTTTTCCCTCTCCATTTCCATTACTGGTGTTCTGGTTCAGGCCCCCATCACCTCTGATCCAAATTATTTCAATCAAAGGTGATTCCTATGTCAGGAAAACAGACACAGATGGAATAAATAGTTGGAATTTAATACAAGGAATGGTTACATAGGTGTTGAAAGAGCTGCAAAGCCTAAAGGGATGAAACAACACAGAAATTACCAACTGCAAGAAGCTGCTACCAACCATGCCTTTGGCTAGAAGGACAATGAGAAAAGCAGCTGTTGCAAGGGCATGGAAGCTAGAGGTAGAACCACGGAGAGGGCTGCCTGGAAGGAGCTGAAGCCACCACCAACTACCAGATCCTCATCTGAGACAGTGAGAGGACCATGACCTTGGCTTCCCCTCTTCTGCTGCCTCCAGCTCTTCTGCGAGCTCTTCCCATTGCAAACCTATGTGGAAGAGAACTAGAAAGGGAACCTACAACACTCAACAGAGAAGGGGAAGGACAGAGAATGCATTCAAGGGCAATCAGGCAAATGACCTGCACTTTCCCTTCCTTGCCCCTCTCTCCTCATTCTTTTTTTCTTTTCAATTTAATGGTCTATCTCAGAAGCCAGATTCATATAAGTTTTTTCTAGTAGAAATTCAGGTTCAGAATAGGATAATCACAGATGTAACTCATTCTTTTAGTGCATGCAGAGGTTATTCTCAGTTACTGATCTGTTGTTTTACTGGTCTGCTTAAAAACGTTTCTTTCAGCACCATTATTGTATAAACATTTCTGCTTCTCACTATGCTCATATATCCTAAAATGCCATTGTCATCTCCACCTTACCACACCCATCTCCCCTGCCCACCTCCACTTGCTCACTTCCTACATAGCCACATCCTCATACTCATTATTGGCACTGGCACTTAGATCACGGGTTGTCCCTCCCTGCTTAGGTGCATCGTCATCCTGTAATACTGTCCTCATAGGTGACCCATCTGAGATCTTAGACTTACAGCTTTTTGACCTCTTAAATTCTTATTATTTTAACCTTTACTCTAGTTACCCACTCCCTTATTTTGGATCTTATTACCAAGAACTGATAGACTTCTGAAATTCAACCTCCTGTCTTTTATTTTTTAACATAAACTCAAGATTTTATTGTCTTCATAATAAAACAAAAGATGACACTGATAACTGGATTGCTTGGCCGTTTCTCTTCATATCTCAAGCCAGTTCAAGGGCTTGCTTCTCTTAGTTGCCAGCGTTCTCTTAGATCTGCAGCTGGGTTCAATGCACTCAAGGCCTCAGCACAATCTTGATCGTTTTAGTCTTTTTCCAGAAAATTGACTTAGTCTGCCTACCATAGCCACTCTGCTTCCTGTCATCATGCTGCTTTCTCTGGGCATACAGAGAATCCTTGCCCTTCTTGTACTGTGTCACTTTGTGGAGTTGGTGCTTGCCACACTTTTTATAGAAAGTCTGATGGGTGTTTGGGAACATTCACCATGCTTGTGGGAGTGCTACTGGCGAAGAAGTTTGTTTTTCTTTTAAGCTCCTATCTTTCAACCATCTCACTCCTTTATTCCTAGAGTACACCTATTTTCTGCACATGAAGGTAGTGTACCCATATCAAAAATCACTTTTTGAGATTTTAAACACTTAAATGGCTTAGATCCACACCTTGAGACTCTGATTCAGTAGGTCTAGAGTGGAGCTCAGGCACCGCTGGGTTTTTTTTAAAGCTCCCCAGGTGATCCTGATTTATAACAAAGGTTGGGAACAACTGCTTTAGGTTCTGCCATTTTCTCCAAAATTATCAACCTCTTTCTATCTTCACTTTCTTTTGTATCATTCCTTATTTCAGCCAGTCACTTGCCAGTATTCTCAACTTCCTTTCCCCTTTATTATTCTCTTGCACTCTTACAGGAAAAACCAAATCCTTATCAGGCTGACTGCCTTCCCTGTTATTCAATGGGCTGCTGCAAGATTTTGAATTTGCTAGGGAAAATACACAAATGTGGATTTTCCACTTCAAAGTCAGTCTCTTATCTCAATTGGATGCTGCTAAGAAATCTTTCTCATGATCTTAGCCAGATATCTTTCCAGTTTTCCATAATACTTATTTCAAAATCACACCATTCTTTTTTTTGGGGGGGTGGTGGGTGGGTAGTGCAGAGGAAGGAGTATGAGTTTTTTTTTTTACTATTATACTTTAAGTTCTAGGGTACATGTGCACACCGTGCAGGTTTGTTACATATGTATACATGTGCCATGTTGGTGTGCTGCACCCATTAACTCGTCATTTACATTAGGTATATCTCCTAATGCTATCACTCCCCCCTCCCCCCACCCCACAACAGGCCCCGGTATGTGATGTTCCCCACCCTGTGTCCAAGTGTTCTCGTTGTTCAATTCCCATCTACGAGTAAGAACATGCGGTGTTTGGTTTTCTGTCCTTGCGATAGTTTGCTCAGAATAATGGTTTCCAGCTTCATCCATGTCTCTACAAAAGACATGAACTCATCCTTTTTTATGGCTGCATAGTATTCCATGGTGTATATGTGCCACATTTTCTTAATCCAGTCTGTCATTGATGGATATTTGGGTTGGTTCCAAGTCTTTGCTATTGTGAATAGTGCCGCAATAAACATACGAAAATCACACCATTCTTAACTCCCTTCCCCTGTCTTCTGTCTCACTCTCAGATAACATTATTTCCTAATTTCTAGAGAAAATAGAAGCCCTATGCTGGTCCTCTCTTTTCTCCTCATATCCTATGCTGAAGGCCCACTATTTTTCACAGTCCATGCCTCCTTCTCCCATAGCTCAATGGAAGAGTCAGCTTCTTAATTCACTACCCATGCATTTCTTCTCACCCCCCACTGTCAACTCCTCTGCCCCTTCAGAGATCTGGCTCAGAAATCACCCTGCTCATTCATATCTTCAGCCTTTTTCTCTCCGTTTGAACCTTTCCATCAATAAAAACATGCCAAGTCTCTCCCAATCTGAAAACACTAACAAATACATATAACACACAAACCAAAATGACAAAAACCCTTTTCCCCAAACTATCCCTTCCTGATCTCTCCTTCATAGCTGTGCCTTCTGAAAGAAAAATCTGTATTCCCTACCTACGTTTTCTCACCATCCATTCACTCTACAAGCTATTATCTTACAGCTTTTGCTCCCAGTATTCCAGTGAAATCACTCTGGCCAATGTAGCCAGATTCCCCCTCTGCTAAGTCCAATGGACAGCTTTTTATTTATTTATTTTTAAATTTAATTTAATTTAATTTTAAGTTCTGGGATGCATGTGCAGGATATGCAGGTGTGTTGCATAGGTAAATGTGTGCCATCGTGGTTTGCCGCACCTATCAACCCATCACCTAGGTATTAAGCCCGTATGCATTAGCCATGTATCCTGATGCTCTCCCTCCTTCTGCAACCCAATAGGCCCCAGTGTGTGTTGTTCCCCTCCCAGCTTTTTATTTGAAATTTTCTGAAGTTGTAGAAAAATGGAAAGAACAATACAGTGAACATCTTATATACCCTCCAGCTGGATTCACCAGCTGTCCACATTTTGTCATATTTGCTTTATCTCTATACCTATAATATGTATCTTATTTTGCCAGACCATTTGAAAATTAGTTGAAAGCATCATGATTCTTGCTTTAAAACCTGAATGTGCATCTCCTAAGAATAAGGATGATTTTCTCAAATCACATTATTATATCTAAGATAAATACTGTCAATACAGTATTATCTAATGTGTTCATATTTAAATTTCTCCAGTTGTCCTCCCAAAAAGTCTTAGGTATTTTTACTAATCTAGGAGCAAATCAAAGATCATGAATTGTATTTGGTTGTTTGTTCTCCTTATTCTCTTTAAATTTATAACCATTCGCTCTCTCTCTCTCTCTGTATGTTTCTCATGGCATTGGCTTTAAGAGTTCAGACCAGTTATTATAGAATGTATCATAGAATGTCCCCATTCTAGAATTTTAAAAATTGTTTCTCATGTTCAGATTTAGATTATACTCATTTGACAAGAGTTTTACATAAGTTATGTATACTTTTTTTTTTTTTTTTTTGAGACAGAGTCTCGCTTTGTTGCCCAGGCTGGAGTGCATTGGCATGATCTCAGCTCACTGCCACCTCTGCTTTCCGGGTTCAAATGATTCTCATGCCTCAGTCTCCCAAGTAGCTGGATTACAGGCACACACCACCACACCTGGCTAATTTTTTGTATTTTCAGTAGAGATGGGATTTCATCGTGTTGCCCAGGCTGGTCTTGAACTCCTGAGCTCAGGCAGTCCACCTGCCTTGGCCTCCCAAAGTGCTAGGATTACAGCCATGAGCCACCACGCCCGGCCAAGTGATATATACTTTTACAGCCTACACCAGGGAACACATAATGCCACATCCCACTAATTGAAAGTTACATTTCCCCCTTTATAATTAATATGTAATCTATAGTGTATCTTTTGAAACCTTGTGAATATCCTGCTACTAAATAATCCTTCATCCAGTGGCTTTAGCATCAACTAAAGATCTGTGCCTAAATCAATTGTTACATTGATGATTTTCTAATTTTATCATAGTTATTAGCTGACATTCTTCAGGAATAAAACAGCTTTCCCTATTATCATTATAGAACCATCTTTTGTTTTTTTAATTCAAAGTGCTATGATGCATTGCTGTCACTACTGTTTTTGATTCTCAGTTGTATGAAATTTGACCAGCTCCTTAAACTGGCTCCTGTGTCTTTTTAAAGGCATGGCCCCAATTTTTTGCTCTCTGACACATCAAAACGTTTCAGGCTCACCTTGTATTTTGCCTGTTCCCTCAGACCTGGATTCAACTATCTTGCTAGGAAGCCCTTGTTCCTTTTAGGAGGGAATCATATTTAGAAATCAAGGTCTGGCATGCATATTGCTACTGAGGTGCCATTGTGTCTAGGACCTTTCAGTGGCTAAAGCTTGGAAGTCGATTTTTAAAAATCATAAGTTAGAAGCACTGATAACTCAAATTCAAATCCAATACCATAGAGTTCTTCCTTATCATTCATATTTGTGTCTTTCCTACAGTGAAAACACTAATTTCCAAAGACTTCAGTACATTTATTCATTTTCTCTCTTCTACAATACACATGAACTAGTTTCAGAATTATAACAATACTACCAACATTAACAACTTACTAAGTAACTAAGGCTGGCTGTACAGTGTTCTAATGTTAACACTGTGTTCTAATGTTATTTGAAGGAACAATCTTCTTTTCTCTGTGAGGTGGTTATTAGTTTCCTTATTTACTTAGGTTTACTTGTTTCTGTTAGTATTTAATTTATTTTCATTTTGTTTTTAATTTTATTTTTGAATACATCTAACATTTATATGGCTCAGAAATAAAAACTTTGTAAACTGTGTGCTCTAAATAGAGTCTTGCTCCCATCCCTATCTGCACCACTCTGTTTCCACCTATCCCTATACCCCATAGATAACTGCATTTATGAGTTTCTGTTTTATTCTTCCAGGTGGGTTTTTTTTTTCCAAAATTAAGCAAATGCTACAAACACACATAAACACATACACTCTTCCTTCTCCTTTCTTACAAAGAGGAGGGAAATTAACCTCTACCTCCTCAAGGGAAGAATATCGAAGAATTTTTGGACATATTTTAAAACCACCACCAGTTTGCCCCCGATCACAAATTATTTACATTTCACTCACATGCAAATTACATTCACCTTCTCCCAAGAAGGCCCCCAGCAGTCTCATCCTGCTACAGCATCAGCTTAAGGCCAAAATTGCTTTATCCTTTCACATGCGTATTTTCCCCTTGAGACCTTGAGCTTCTTCGGGGTTCAATAAGGGAATCAGTTAGCATAAAGTGTGCACAAAATTATTTTATGAAAAAGTTAATTAATGGGCCAGGCGTGGTGGCTCATGCCTGTAATCCCAGCACTTTGGGAGGCCGAGGTGGGCAGCTCACCTGAGGTCAGGAGGTCAGGAGTACGAGACCAGACCATGGTTTCACCATGGCTAACATGGTGAAACCCCGTTTCTACTAAAAATACAAAAAATTAGCCCGGCATGGTGGCACGCTCCTGTAATCCCAGCTACTCAGGAGGCTGAGGCAGGAGAATTGCTTGAACCCGGGAGGCAGAGGTTGCAGTGAGCAAGATCGCGCCATTGCACTCCAGCCTGGGCAATAACAGTGAAACTCCTTCTCAAAAAAAACGAAAAGTTAATTAATGAATTCTTTAATATTTAGGTTCTTCAAGTTCATTTTTTGTGTCATCTATTCGTGGTACAATAATTGAAAACACATCTTCAGCTGGGACTTTGACACAGGTTCCTTTTTTCCCTAAATATGAAGTGGAACTTGATTCTCCTAGAAAAATCATCCCATCTCCTGGAAAGGAACACTTTGAACGTGTTTTGGAAGAATATTCACATCAAGTCAAAGATTTACAGAGAAGACTAAATGAAGTGAGTTGCCTTCTCTTCTAGCACCTGATGCTATTTGGGGGACAACAGTGAGATCCAGTATGTAGTTGTAAAGCCAGTTATACAACTTCCTGGAAGAAAAAACTAACAAATGGGTTTATTGGTTAAATTTGTTAATTTGACCTGTGCCTTCTATTTTCGGTATTAAAATTGGGCTAATGAAAAGTCTACATATTTATTTTTCTTTTTTAAATAATTATTCAAAACATCTTGGTTTCATGATATAAATTTTAATGAAACTTGAATAACTCAAAATTATAATAAGTAGCATTTGTCTGCATTTATAGTTAATAATTGGCATAGACCTGCTGTCCTGCTATCATGATACCTGATTTCTCTTTACAAAGCAATGGTAGAGGGTAGGTTTTTAGATATGTGTGTATACATTATAGCTAAATAGCATCTAGAAGTTATTTGCTAAAAATTTCAAGTGGACATTACGTAGAATCAAACTGGCTTTACAATTGCATATTTGGTCCCAGTAGTTAACAGTCTAAAAGTCAAACTCATTACTGCCACATACAAAGCTCTTCATGCTCTAACCTCTCCCTGGTACATTTTAGCCTCATATGCTACCCATTCTCCATTGGTACCTATTCTGGTAGTATCAGGCCACTTGCTCTTCCCTAGATATACTGCGCTATTCCAGACCTGCATGCCTTTGCCCAGGCCATTTTCTCTTCTCTACCTTGTCTGCCTGGCAAACTCTTATTATGCACCAAGACTCAGCCCATGCATTTTCTTCTCTGAAGCCTTTCCTCTAGATGACATTAGGTGTGCTCTCCTCTGTACAGTTACTGCCATTTGTGCACATTTATTGCAGTATTTAGTACATCTAATTTTACTCATTACCACATTGTTCTACCTCATCAGATTGTGTGAGCACTTTTAGGAAAAAAAAATCTACAATTTTATTAAGTGTTGAAAATTATGTACCCCAGTATGCACAGGGATACAAAAATGAATAAGGTAGGACTTACAAGGAATTCATAGTCTGGGAGGGGAGCTTGTCATATAAACAGTGGCATTACCTATGATAAATACACTAATGAAGTTGTATATATAGACAAACGAAGCACAGAGGCACTAATGAGGAGAAGAAACAGTGTCTTAATTTGTTTTCTATGTTTATCCCCTAACAGAGTATATGACACTTAATTGGCCTTCAATAAATAAGTGTTAAATCAGTAAATTTCCCTTCTTGTGTAGGTTTTTGTTTTTACTGGGGTTCCTAATTGCCTTTTTCCTTACACTATTTGCCTTTACATATCCTTATTAGAAAAAAACATATCATATAGATTTTCTATATCCTCCTTTGACCCAGGACACTCCAAGTGTCTTCTGACCTTTTGCTCAGTCTAGATTAGTTTCTCTTAGGTATCTTGTATAACTCTTTTCCAAAGACTCCTGCCACTACTTTCCAGGTTGGATCCATGGTTTCCAGGAATCACTGTTTTCTATCTTCTTTCTTTTTTTTTAATTAAACAAAAAGGTATATATATTTATGGAGTACATGAGCTATTTTGGTACAGGCATGCAATGTGTAAAAAAATCACATAATGAAAAATTGGGTTTCCATCCTCTCAAGCATTTATACTTCATGTTACAAACAATCCAATTATATTCTTTTAGTTATTTGAAAATGTACAATTAAATTATTATTGACTATAGTCACCCTGTTGTGCTATCAAATACTAGGTCTTATTCGTTGTATTTTTTTTGTACCCATTAACCATCCCCACTTCTCCTTCACTCCCCCACTACCCTTCCCACCCTCTGGTAACCATCCCTCTACTCTCTATCTCCATGAGTTCAATTGTTTTGATTTTTAGATCCCACAAATAAGCAAGAACATGTGATGTCTGCCTTTCTGTGCCTGGCTTATTTCACTTAACATAATGACCTCCAGTTCCATCCATGTTGTTGCAAATGACAGTATGTCATTCTTTATTATGGCAAACAGTACTCCACTGTTTATAAGTACCACATTTTCTATATCCATTCATCTGTGGATAGACACTTAGGTTGCTTCCAAATCTTGGCTATTGTGAACAGTCTGCAACAAACATGGGAGTGCAGATACCTCTTTGGTATATTGATTTCCTTTTTGGGGAGTATATACCCAACAGTGGGATTGCTGGATCATACGGTAGCTCTATTTTTAGTTTTTTGAGAGACCTCCAAACTGTTCTTTATAGTGGCTGTACTAATTCACATTCCCACCAATAGTGTACAAGGGTTCCTTTTTCTCCATATCCTTGCCAGCATTCGTTATTGCCTAACTTTTGGATAAAAACCATTTTAACTGGGGTGAGTTGATATCTCATTGTAGTTCAGATTTGCATTTCTCTAATGATCAGTGATGTTGAGCACTTTCTCATATGCCTATATGCCATTTGTATTTCTTCTTTTGAGAAATGTCTATTCAAATCATTTGCCTATTTTTAATCAGATTACTAGATTTTTTCCTATAGAGTTGTTTGAGCTCCTTATATATTCTGGTAATTAATCCCTTGTCAAATGAGTAGTTTGCAAGTATTTCTTCCCATTCTGTGGGTTTTCTCTTCACTTTGTTGATTGTTTCCTTTGTTGTGTAGAAGCTTTCTAACTTGTGATCCCATTTGTCCATTTTTGCATTGGTTGCTTGTGCATGTAGGGTATTACTCGAGAAATTTTTGCCCAGATCAGTGCCTGAGAAGTTGACCCCAATGTTTTCTCATAGAGTTTCATAGTTTGAGGTCTTAGATATAAGTCTTTAACCCATTTTGATTTAATTTTTAAATATGGTGAGAGATAGGGATCTAGTTTCATTCCTCTGCATATGGATATCCAGTTTTCCCAGTACCATTTATTGAAAAGACTGTCTTTTCCCTAATATATGTTCTTGGCACCTTTGTTGAAAATGAATTCACTGTATGTGAGTGGATTCATTTCTGGGTTCTCTATTCTATTCTATTGTTCTATGTGTTTGTTTTTATGCCAGTACCATGCTGTTCTGGTTACTGTAGCTCTGTAGTGTAATTTGAAGTCAGGTAATGTGATTCCCCCAGTTTTATTCTTTTTGTTGAGGATAGCTTTGGCCATTCTGTGTCTTTTGTGATTCCATATGAATTTTAAGATTGTTTTTTCTATTTCTGTGAAGAATGTCATTAGTATTTTTATAGGGATTGCATTGAATCTGTAGATTGCTTTGGATTGTATGGACATTTTAACAGTATTGATTTTTCTAATCAATGAACATGGGATATCTTTCTGATTTTTAGTGTCCTCTTCCATTTCTTTCATCAGCATTTTATAGTTTTCATTGTTGAGGTCTTTCACTTCTTTGGTTAATTCCTAGTATTTCATTTTATTTGTGGAACTTGTAATGGGATTACTTTTTTGATTTCTTTTTCAGATTGCTCACTGTTGGCATATAGAAATGCTATTGATTTTTATATGTTAACTTTGTATCCTGCAACTTGACTGAATTTGCTTATTAGTTCTAACATTTTTTTTGGTGGAGTCTTTAGGTTTTTCCAAATATAAGATTATATCATCTGGAAACAAGGATATTTTGACTTCTTCCATTCCAATTTGGATGTCCTTTCTTTCTTTCTCTATGTGATTGCTCAAGCTAGGACTTCCAGTACTATGTTGAATAACAATGGTGAAAGTGGGTATCTTTGTCATGTTCCAGATCTTACAGGAAAGGCTTTCAATTTTTCTCCCTTCAGTATGATACTAGCTGTGGTTCTGTCATATATGACTTTTATTATGTTGATCTTGTAAGTGTGCTTCATTATTTTCTATTCTATACCCATTTTTTTTGAGTTTTGTCCTGAAAAGATGTTTAACTTTATCAAATGCTTTTTCAGCCTCAATTGAAATAATCATATGGTTTTTGTTTTTCATTCTGTTGATATGATGTATCACATTGATTGATTTACATATGTTTAACCATCCTTGCATCCCAGGGATAAATCCCACTTAGTCATGATATATGATCTTTTTAATGTATTGCTGAATTCAGCTTGCTAGTATTTTGTTAAGGATTTCTGCATCAGTATTCATCAGAGATACTGACCTGTAGTTTTCTTTTTTTGATGTGTCTTTGTCTGGTTTTGGTATCAGGGTAATAACTGCCATCATAGAATGAGTTTGGAAGAAGTTCTTCTTCCTCTATGTTTTTGGAACAGTTGAGTATAATTGGTGTTACTTCTTTAAATGTTTGGTATTCAGCAGTGAAGCCATCAGGTCCTGGGCTTTTCTTTACTGGGACTTGTTCAGGTTTTAGATTTCTTCAGGGTTCAATCCTGGTAAGTTGAATGTGTCTAGGAATTTGTCCTTTTCTTCTAGATGTTTCCAGTTCATTGGCATGTAATCACTCATAGTAGCCACAAATTATCCTTTGAATTTATGCAGTATCAGTTGTAATGTATCCTTTTTTTGTCTCTGATTTTATTTATTTGGGTCTTCTCTCTTTTTTTCTTAGTCTTGCTAAAGGTTTGTCAATTTTGTTTATCTTCTCAAAAAACCAACATTCTGTTTCATTGATCTTTTGTATTTTTTTCATTTTATTTCTGCTCTGATCTTTATTATTTCTTTTCTTGTACTAATTTTGGGTTCAGTTTGCTCTTGCTTTTCTAGTTCTTTAAAATACATCATTTAAATTGTTTATTTGCAGTTTTTCTTCTTTTTTGAAGTAGGCACTTAATAGCTATATATTTCCCTCTTTGTACTGCTTTCACTGTATACCATAGGTTTTGGGATGTTGTGTTTCCATTATCATATGTTTCAATACAATTTTAAATGTCCTTCTTAATTTCTTCATTGACTCACTGGTCATTTAGGAGCATATTGTTTAATTTCTGTGTATTTGTATGGTTTCCAAAATTCCCCTTGTTATTGATTTGTAGTTTTATTCCATTGTTGTCAGAGAAGATGGTTGATATTATTTCAGGTTTTCTTGAATGTTTTAAGACTTGTTTTATGACCTAATGTATAGTCTCTCCTTGAGAATCATCCATGTGCTGAGGAATGTATTCTGCCCAGAACATTCCTGTGTCTATTCCTGTGTGTATACAAGGCTGTGTATTCTTCAGCCTTTGGATGAAATGTTCTGTAAATATCTATTGGCTCCATTTGGTCTATAGTACAGATTAGGTTTTATGTTTCTTTGTTGATTTTCTGTCTGAATGATCTATCCAGTCCTGAAAGTGGGGTGTTGATGTCTCTAGCTATTGTTGTATTGAGGCTTATCTCTCTTTTATTTCTGATAATATTTGCTTTATATATCTGGGTGCTGCAGTCATGGCTCCATAGGTATTTTAAATTGTTACATCCTCTTACTGAATTGACCCATTTATCATTATATTGTGACTTCTTTGTCTCTTCTTATGGTTTTTGTCTTTAAATCTATTTTGTCTGATATAAGTATAGCTACATCTGCTCTTTTTTGGTTTCCATTGGCATGGAATATCTTTTTCCATCCCTTTATTTTCAGGCTATGTGTGTCTTTGTAGGTGTAGTGTGTTTCTTGTTGGCAACAGATCATTGAGTCTTGTTTTTTAATCCATTCAACCACTCTATGTCTTTTGATTAGACAATTTAGTCCATTTATGTTCAATGTTGTTATTGATGACTAAGGACTTACTCCTGCCATTTTTGTTATTTGTTTTCTGGTTGTTTTGTGGTCTTCACTTCCTTCTTTTTTTCCTTCCTGTATTCCTCCTAGTGAAGGTGATTTTTCTCTGGTGGTATGCTTTGATTTCTTTATTTTTAAGCCAGTCAAATTTAGCAGTTGGTTTTATACCAACTCTAGTGACACTAATGTTAATAAGTTCTGATAACCCACTACCATGCTTTGATTTCTTGCTTTTATTTTCTGCGTATCTGTTGTATGTTTTTTTACCTTTGAGGTTACCATGAGGCTTGCAATACTCTCTTATAAACCATTATCTTAAAACCATCACTTAAAAAGTGATGACAGTTTAACACTGATTGCATAAACAAACAAATGTACGAAAACCAAACTAATACAAACTCTACACTTTGACTTTGTGCCCCCACTATTTAACTTTTAGTTGTTTCTCTTTGAATCTTATTGTACTATCTATGGCTTGAAAAGTTATTATTACTTTTGATTGGTTTATCATTTAGCCTTTCTACTTAAGAGAAGTTTACACACCACAATTACAGTGTTATATTGTTCTGTGTGCTTACTATTACCAATGAGTTTTGTACCTTTGGATGATTTATTCTTGCTTATTAATATCCTTCTCTTTCAGAATGAAGAACTCCCTTTAGCATTTCTTGTAGGATGGGTCTGGTCTGGTGTTGATGAAATTCCTCATCTTTTGTTTTCTAGAAAAGTGTTTATTTTTCCTTCATGTTTGAAGGATATTTTCACCAGATATACTATTCTACAGTAGATGGTTTTTTTCTTTCAGCACTTTAAATATGTCATGCCACTCTCTCCTGGCCTGTAAGGTTTCCACTGAAAAGCCTGCTGCCAGATGTATTGGAGCTCCATTGTATGTTATTTGTTTCTTTTCTCTTGCTGCTTTCAGGATCCTTTATCCTTGGCCTTTGGGAGTTTGATTATTAATTGCCTTGAGATAGTCTTCTTTGAGTTAAATCTGCTGATGTTCTGTAACCTTCTTGTAGTTGAATGTTGGTATTTTTCTCTAGGTTTGGGAAGTTCTCTGATATTTTCCCTTTGAATAAACTTTCTACCCCTATCTTCTTCTCTAACTCCCTTTTAAGGCCAGTAACTTAGATTTGCCCTTTTGAGGCTATTTTCTAGAGCTTTAGGTGTGCTTCATTGTTTTCTTTTCTTTTTTCTTTTGTTTCCTCTGACTGTATATTTTCAAATACCCTGTCTTCTCACTAATTCTTTCTTCTGCTTGATCATTTCTGATATTAAGAGAATCTGATGCATTCTTCAATACAGCAATTGCATTTTTCAATTCTAATATTTCTGCTTGATTCTTTCTAATTATTTTAATCTCTTTGTTAAATTTATCTGATAGAATTCTGAATTCTTTCTCTGAGTTGTCTTTAATTTCCTTGAATTTCCTCAAAACAGATATTTTGAATTATCTGTCTGAAAAGTCATATATCTCTGTTTTTTCATAATTGGTCCCTGGTACCTTACTTAGTTCATTTAGTGAGGTCATGTTTTCCTGGATGGTGTTGATGCTTGTAGATGTACTTTGGTGTCTGGGCATTGAAGTTAGTTATTTGTGGTAGTCTTCACAGTTGAGCTTATTTGTGCCTGTTCTTCTCGGGAAGGCTTTCCAGGTATTCAAAACCCCAAGCCCAATAATGCTATGGTTTTTGCAGACTCATAGGGATACTGCCTTGGTGGTCTTGGATAAGATCTGGAAGAATTCTCTGGATTACCAGGCAGACACTCTTGTTCTTTTCCCTTACCTTTCTCTCAAACATATGGAGTCTCTCTCTCTCTCTCTGTGCTGAGCCACGTGGAACTGGGGGTGTGGTTATGCAAGCACTCCTGTGGCTGCCACCACTGGGAATGTGATGGGTCAGACCTGAAGTCAGCACTGCCCTGAGTCTTGTCCAAGGTCCTTCCCTTCAGGGTGATAAGATCCCCTAGGCCCTGTGCATGTCTGGACATGCTGTCCAGGAGCCAGGGATTGGAGTCAAATACCTTAGGAGTTTACCTTATGTTCTTTTCTACTGCGGCTAAGCTGACTCAAACCACAATACAAAGTCTGTCCCATTCTTTCCTCCCCTTTCCAAAGGCAGAGGAGCTTCTCCCTGTGGCTACCACCACCACTAGTCCATGGGGTTTCTGCCAGGCCACCACTGATGTTCACTTAAAGCCAAGGGCTCTTTGATCAGCTTGTGGTGAATGTTGCCAGGCCTGGAACTCACCCTTTAGGGCACTAGGTTCCCTTCTGACACAGGGCAGGTCCAGAAATGCTGCCCTGCCCAGGTCCCAATGCATAGTCCTGGACTTAGAGACTCCAAGAGCCTGCTTGTTGCTCTACCCGACTGTGGCTGAGCTGGTACCTAGGGTGTAAGACAAAGTCTTCTTTACTTTTCCCTCTGCTTTTCTCAAACAGAAGGAGTCTTTCACTGTAGCCACCATAGCTGGGAATGTGCTAGGTCACCCCGGAAGCCAGCACATCTCAGAGCCCAAGGCCCAAAGCATACTCTCAGGGTATCACTGCTGGTTATTCAGGGCCCAAGAGCTCTTTATTTTTATTATGTTTACTTTTATTATTTTTTGAGATGGAGTTATGTTCTGTCACCCAGGCTGGAGTGCAGTGGTGCCATCTCAGCTCACTGCAACCTCTCCCTCCCGGGTTCAAATGATTCTCCTGCCTCAGCCCCCTAAGTAGCTGGGACTACAGGCATGTGCCACCATGCCTGGCTAATTTTTTTGTTTTGTTTGGTTTGATTTTTTTTTTTTTTTTTTTAGTTGTAGTCTGTCTCTGTCGCCCAGGCTGGAGTGCAGTGGTGCGATCTCAGCTCACTACAACCTCTGCCTCCCAGGTGCAAATGATTCTCCTGCCTCAGCCTCCTGAGTAGCTGGGATTACAGGCGCGCACCACCACGCCCGGCTAATTTTTGTATTTTTAGTAGAGATGGGGTTTCACCATCTTGGTCAGGCTGGTCTCAAACTCCTGACCTCATGATCCGCCCACTTCAGCCTCCCAAAGTGCTGGGACTACAGGCGTGAGCTACCGCACCCAGCCTATTTTTTTTGTATTTTTAGTAGAGACAGGGTTTCACCATGTTGGTCAGGCTGGTCTCGAACTCCTGAGCTCAAATGATCTGCCTACCTCAGCTTCTCAAAGTGCTGGAATTACAGGCATGAGCCACCATGCCTGGTCCCCAAGGACTCTTTAGTCAGCAGGTAATGAACGATTCCAGGACTGTGTTCTTCCCTTCAAGGCAATGGGTTCCCTTTTGGCCCAGGGTGTATCTTGAATTATTGTCTGGGAGGTAGGGCTTGGAATGGGGGCCTCATGACTCTGCCCACTGCCCTACCCTACTGTGGCTGAACTGGTACCTAACATGCAAGACAAAGTCCTTTTTACGCTTTGCTCTCCCCTCGTCAAACAGAAGGAAGGAGGCACTTTTGTTGTTGCAAGCTACACCGTCTGGGGTTGGGAAAGGGATGGTGCAAGCACTCTCTTAGCCACACCAGCTTGGGTCTCCTTAGGTCACATGCCACCCTAGTTTACTGGCTCTAAGCCCAGCCTAGCACTAGGAATTGCCTAAGAATTGCAGTCCTTGTGTCCTAGGCTGCCTTTCAAGTTTACCTAGGACCCCAGCGCATTTCAGCATGTGGTGGTGAGGCTTGCTGAGAAACTCGAGTTCTGACCACTGAAATGGACCATTCCCCTCTGGCTAGGGCTGGTCCAAATGCTCCCTCTAAGCTCAGCATGGCTTGATTCTCCCCTCTGACGGGGCAGCACTGAGTTAAATATAAAACCCCCCAGTTGCTGTGCTCTCCCTGCCCTATGCAGATTCTCTGCACAGCCACTGCTGGGGGATGGTGGAAGGGGTGGCATTGGAGATTCAAGACTGTCTCTCCTGCCCTCCTCAATGCCTCTTTCCACCATATGAATTAAAACCAGATAATATTTTTAATGGTGGAGGGTGTCCAGGTTCTTGGCATCTTGAACAAAGAATTGGACAAAACACACAAACAAAGCAAGGAAGGAATGAAGGGATTTATTGAAAATGAAAGTACACTACACAGTGTGGGAGCAGGCCTGAGCATAGGAACTCAAAAGCCCCATTACTGAATTTTTGGGAGTTTAAATACTCCCTAGAGGATTCCATTGGTTACTTGGGGGTATGCCCTATGTAAATGGGGAGAATGAAATAAAGTTACAAAGTCATTTACAGCCTACACCCTAAGGAGAGGATATTTCCTGTCACAGCTGAAGTGTGAATCAGCCTTATGTTCCCTGCCTCCAGACCCTATTTTCCTGCCTCACTATTTTTCACTTGACTTTCGTGTTCTTATGATGGTGCTCTTCTGTGTGCAGATAGTTTTTAAAATTTGGTGTTCCCATCGAGGATGGCAGGGGTTAGGGAATGAATGGTGTAGGCTTCTATTCCGCCATCTTGCTCTGCCTCCAGCCTCTCCTGTCTTCTTTCTCGATCTGCTTCTTCATTTAGTCAAAACACATCTTTGTTAAATTCTTAAGAAAGAGATATATTTTATGCATCTTTGCATGTCTGAGAATGACTCTATTTTACACTCGTACTTCATTGATAATTGGCTCGGTAAAGTTGAAAGTAATTTCTCTCAATCTTTTGAAGATACTGTGCTTTTGCATTCAGTATCGCTACTGAGAAGATGTCTGTCTGGTTCTTGTTCCTTTGTAGATGATTTTTTATTTTTTACTTACTTGAATTTCATCTTTAACATCTTTTCTTTGTCTCTGAAATGCCACCATAATGTACTTAGATATGAATTTTTGTTTTTTTTCATTCACCTTGCTAGGGACTCAGTAGACCTGTTCGTCTGTAGATGTGTGCCTTTCAGTTTGGAGGAATTCAGTTGCGTTTTTTTCTTTGGCCGTTTCCTTTCTTCTGTTTTTTCAGTTCTGTCTTTCCAAAGTTCCTGTTGGAAACATATTTTCACCTCGGTTAAATCTCTACATCTCTTACTTTTTGTTTCAAAAATTTGTCTACTTTTTCTACCTTTGGAGGAAATTTCTTGACTTGCAACATTTCTATTGAATTGAACTTTTTTCTTTACAACCATATTTTTAATTTTCGTGACCCTTTCTCCCCTGATCACTTATTTGGCATAGCATCTTATTCTTGCTTTATGCTGATAATGTCTCTTGAATTTCTCTGTAAATACAAGTTTTTGAAGCGTTCTTCTTTTCCTTGCATTATCTTTCTTTAGTTCCTCTGGTTCTTTTTTTTCTGGGTGTTTGCTTGTTTATTTGATCTTGATCTATTTATTACTTTGGGATTTTTCTTCAAGTGTTCAGTGGTTTTTGGTTTTCTGTTTATATTCTACAATTAGGCAATAAAAAATCTGATGGCAAACTTTCTATTCATGGGCAGAATTTGATGGCTTTGCTTTGGGAGGATTAGGTATGGCATCAACTATGTACGGGAGCATCTCCTACAGCATCTCCTATTCTGGGAGATCCCTCAGTGCCTGATCTTAGAAATCTTTGTGTATTTCTCTGTAGTAGGACACCTGGAGTTTTGGATGGTGGTGTTTGCTGCCAGGTATTTTAAGTGGGTAGGAGGTAGGGATTGACTTTTTTATGTACAGAATTTCAACTAATTCTCATGTTTTCATGTAAAAAATGTATTTCTATCTCCATGTTGAGCTGGAAGTAAGATTTGTTTTAGAAGCAGAGTGTTGGTTGTAGAGAATGGATTAAAAGGGGTCAAGCTTGATACAGGGAGACTGGTTAAGGTATTCTCATAATCTAAGCGAGAAATTATTAATTAGACTTTGAACTGCAGCAGTGAGGGAAGGAAGTAGACATAAAAATGAATTGAAAATATATATAGATCTTTGGAAGTTACTAGCTATAAGGAAATGTGTTTCTCTAATGAAGATTAATTTGCATGGCTTTTTTTTTCAGAGCAATGAATTGCATGAGAAACAAAAGTTTTATTTGAGGCAGTCAGTCATTGATTTGCAAACAAAACTTCAGGAGATGCAAATGGAGAGAGATGCTATGGCTGACATCAGGTTGGGATTTGTGAAATTATTTTAAAGTCACATATTTTCATTATGTGAAATTATTTTAAAGTTTTACTGTTTGTAGTAAAACTACTTGTGTGAATATGAGTTTTATCAATGTTATTTATTTTCTTTCATTTATTTCATAGACGAAGGGAGAGTCAGTCCCAGGAGGATTTAAGAAATCAGCTTCAAAATACAGTTCATGAACTTGAAGCTGCCAAATGCCTTAAAGAGGACATGCTGAAAGACAGCAACACACAGATAGAGCAACTACGAAAAATGATGCTTAGTCATGAGGGAGTGCTTCAAGAAATCCGGTCAATCCTAGTTGACTTTGAAGAAGCCTCAGGCAAAAAAATATGTGAACATGACAGCATGTCTACTCTGCACTTCCGCAGCTTGGGCTCAGCTATTAGTAAAATACTAAGAGAATTAGACACAGAGATTTCTTATCTTAAAGGGAGGATATTTCCAGTAAGTGGTGAGAATGCTACTTAAATAATTTTATATTAAAATGCATTAAGAGAATAGCATTAGATGTATAATTTTTAAAATTCTTAAAATAAGCCAAGTTCTCATTTTTCTGAAATAACAGAAGTTACTTCCACAGTAATCTCTCATAATAGGAACTAGCTTGGTTTACCGTATAGCTTCATGAGAGTATAGACAAAGTAAAAGATCTAATAAAATATGGGGATAGAATGTATCTGATTTTAGTATTATTTTTACTTGCATTTAAAGCATTCCTTTAGTTGAAAATCTCCAGATTTTCCAAGCCTTATATTTACCAGTAACTAAATCAGTGTCTCTTTTTAAAAACCAGGTAGAGGATCAACTTGAAGCACTGAAATCTGAATCACAGAACAAAATAGAACTACTTCTGCAACAACACCAAGATAGGTAGGTTTCTGACTGAGGTATGGAAAAGCCTAGCGAAACTAAACCACAGTTTTACAGTGTTTCGGCCACAATTCCAAAATCTAAACAGCTCTGAAACACATAAGTTTTTTTATAGGTTTATAGGAAACTCATGTTAACATTTTGTTTTCCTGACCCTGGTTATAAAATCGTAAGGAAGATGTCATTTGAGATGATTACAATAGGAGTATTGCTGTAGGAGAGAGAGAGAGAGAGATTAAGCTCAGCTCCCAATACAAGGCCAAATGGGGATTTATAGCCAGGGGGCATGGTGAGGGGGTCTGTGGATGGAAAATTACTGAGAAAAGGCATCAAGAGTAGGGGGATTCTTGCTAAATGCAGGCCAAGGGCTTAGATATCAAAGGCAGGGGATGAAGAACTTGATCAGATATCGAGGGTGGGAGGACTAAACTGACTTGGCAAGATTCTTGCTAGGTCTGGGCTAGGCAGGCCAAAGGTTGAGGCATAGTTGAAAAGAGGCCTCAGAAGAGTCTGACTAAAGTTTGGTGAAGGAGAGAGTTTTTGTCACTCATTTGTTGGAAAAACCTGACCAGAGCTAATGTAAACCTTTCCATAGTCTACAATTTAGTGTGAATACTTATAAATTATTGCATTCATGATATGTTTCGTTAATGGGACACTTCCCTAGATCTCATTGGGGGTGTCATATAATATTTACTACTTGCAATTTATTACCATTGTAAAATAAAAAAAAATTCTGAATTCCAAAACTATCTGACTCCCAAAAGATTTGGATAAAGGGTTTTGGACTTGTTGTAGACACTTGTTATTAAAAGAGTAGCATATACAAAAGCAAAGCAAAATACTAAATTTGAGAGTATTGAAAATCATTAATTTTTAAAATAATTCATAGTCAGGAAAATCTTCTGTATCAAATGACAATCACCACATTCTTTTTATAGGATTGAGCAGTTAATAAGTGAACATGAAGTTGAAATAACAGGACTTACTGAGAAAGCTAGCAGTGCTCGAAGCCAAGCCAATAGTATCCAGAGTCAAATGGAAATCATTCAGTATGTGGTTTGAAACTGTTAGTCATTCATCTTCATTTTAAAGATATTATTCTCATTAACTTTCTGTTCTATAATCTTTTAGAACTTGCTTAGTAAGATTTCATAAGAAAGTGAAACATTTTTCTAACATTTAAATGAACAGGAAGTATTATGTAACATAGGTACTGTTATCTGACCATATAAGAAGTATTTTTGCAAGTATTTGGGGCTCCTGGGATTGGCTGTTTTAAGTATTCATATTTGTCCATTCTTACACTGCTATAAAGAACTAACCAAGACTGGGTAATTTATGAAGAAAAGAGATTTAATTGACTCCTAGTTCCACAGGCTTAACAGGAGTCGTGAGTGGGAGGCCTCAGGAAACTTACAATTATGACAGAAAACAAAGGGGAAGCAAGCACATCATACCATGGCAAAGCAAGAGAGAGAGAGAATGGGGATGTGCCACACTTTTAAATCATCAGATCTCATGAGAACTCACTCGCTATCACGGGAAAAGCATGGGGGAAATCTGTCCCCATGATCCAGTTACCTCCCACAAGGCCCCTCCCCTGACACATGGTGATTACAATTCAGATTTGTAATATCCCAAATATCATGTCTTTCTCACATTTTAAAATACAATTATTGGCTGGGCATGGTGGCTTACGCCTATATTCCCAGCACTTTGGGAGGCTGAGGCGGGCAGATCACGAGGTCAGGAGATCGAGAGCATCCTGGCTAACACGGTGAAACCCTGTCTCCACTAAAAATACAAAAAATTAGCTGGGCATGGTGGTGGGCACCTGTAGTCCCAGCTACTCAGGAGGCTGAGGCAGGAGAATGGCATGAACCCGGGAGGCAGAGCTTGCAGTGAGCCAAGATCACGCCACTGCACTCCAACCTGGGCGACAGAGCAAGACTCCATCTCAAAAATAAAAAAAATATAATTATCCCTTCTCAACAGTCCCCTAGTCTTAACTCATTTAAGCATTAACTCAGAAATTCAGTCCAAAGTCTCATCTGAGACAAAATAAGTCCGTTCCACCTATAAGCCTGTAAAATAAAAAACAAGTTTGTTATTTCCAAGATACAACTGGGTTACAGGCATTGGGTAAATGCTCCTATTCCAAATGGGAAAAATAGGCCAAAACAAAGGGGCTGCAGGCCCCATGCAAGTCCAAAATCCAGCTGTGCAGTCATTAAATCTTAAAGCTCTGAAATAATCTCCTTTGACTCCATGTCTCACTTCCAGGGCACACTGATGCAAGGCAGGGCTCCCAAGGCGTTGGGCAGCTCTGCCCTTGTTGCTCTGCATTGTACAGCCTCCGCAGCTGCTTTCACAGGCTACACTGAGTGCCTGTAGTTTTTCCACGTGCACAGTGCAAGCTGCCTGTAGATCTACCATTCTGGGGTCTGGAGGGTAGTGGCCCTCTTCTCACAGCTCCACTAAGCAGTGCCCCAGTGGGGACTCTGTGTGGGGGTTCCAACCCCACATTTCCCCTCCACATTACCCTAGTAGAGGTTCCCCATGAGGGCTCTACTCCTACAGCAGATGTCTGCCTGGACATCCAGGCATTTCCATACATGCTATGAAATCTAGGCAGAGGTTTCCAAACCTCAACTCTTGCTTTCTGTACACCTCCAGGCTCAACACCACATGGAAGCTGCCTAGTCTTGGGGCTTGCACCCTTTGAAGCAACAGCCCGAGCTGTACCTTGGCCCATTTTAGCCATGGCTGGAGCTGGAGCAGCTGGGACACAGGGTGCCATGTACCGAGGACGCACAGAGCGATAGAGAGGGCCCTGGCTTACAAAACCATTTCTTCCTCCTAAGTCACAAGGCCTGTGTTGGAAGGGGCTGCCTAAAGATCTCTGACATGCCCCGGAGACATTTTCCCCATTGTCTTGCACCTCTTCTTATGCAAATTTCTGCAGCCGGCAGCTTGAATTTCTCCCCAGGAAATGGGTTTTTCTTTTCTACCACATGGTCAGGCTGCAAATTTTCCAAACTTTTACACTGTGCTTCCCTTTTAAATAGAAGTTGCAATTTCACACCATCTCTTTGTAAATATATATGACTGTATGCTTTCAGAAACAGTCAGGTGACATCTTGAATGCTTTGCTGCTTAGAAATTTCTTCTGCCCGACACCCTGAATCATCTCTGTCTAGATCAAAGTTCCACAGATCTTTAGGGCAGGGGCAAAATGCTACCAGTCTCTTTGCTAAAGCATAGTGAGAGTGATCTTTACTCCAGTTCCCAAGAAGTTCCTCATCTCCATCTGAGACCACCTCAGCCTGGACTCTTTGTCCATATCACTATCAGCATTTTGGTCACAACCATTCAACAAGTCTCTAGGAAGTTCCAGACTTTCCCTCGTCTTTCTGTCTTCTGATCCCTCCAAACTGTTCCAACCTCTGCCTGTTACCTAGTTCCAAATTCACTTTCACATTTTCAGATATCTTTATAGCAGTGCCCCACTCTCCTGGTACCAGTTTTCTGTATTAATCCATTCTTACACTACTATAAAGAACTATCCAAGACTGGGTAATTTATAAAGAAAAGAAGTTTAGTTGACTCACAGTTCCACAGGCTTAACAAATCATGACTAGGAGGCCTCAGGAAACTTACAATCATGGGGAAAGCAAACACATCTTACCATGGCGGAGCAGGAAAGGGGGGAAGTGCCATACTTTTAAACCATCAGATGTTGTGAGAACTCACTATCATGAGAACAGTATGGGGGAAATCTGCCCCCACAGTCCAATCACCTCCCACCAGGTCCCTCCCCTGACATGTGGGGATTACAATTTGACATGAGATTTGGGTGGGGACACAGAGCCAAACCGTGTGTGTGTGTGTGTGTGTGTGTGTGTGTGTGTGTGTAATATATATGAATATATATAAGTAAAATGTATGCATATGTGTAGAAATAATTTTATTTGAGTTGTATGTTAAAACTTTTTATATGGACATTTTCTATCATATACAAAAGTAGAGAGAAAATAGTGTAATGCACTCCCATACAGCTGTCACCCAGCTTCAGCAGTTTACAATATATTTGAGGTGAAACTTTTGAGAGTCAGTTTTGGAAAATAAAAGACTATTGGCTTAATAATGCCATATAAAATAACTAGTGGTAGTGTCAAAAAGCTAGAATACTCAGGTGTTACTCTTATTCTTAGTTTGCTATTTGCACTTATTCCCCTTCTAAACTCTTCTTAGAGAGCAAGCAAGAAACCAAAACTCTATGTATATGCGTCAGCTCAGCGATCTGGAATCTACTGTTTCTCAGCTACGTTCTGAATTAAGGGAAGCCAAAAGGATGTATGAAGACAAGGTGAGTTTAGGTTTTGCTGGTCTGTTTCTAGAGACTTTAATATCCAGAATCAATATTATATTAGTAATAGTTTATTTGAAAATAAGGAATCAAAGTAATTTCAAATTAAAAGCAGTTTATAAGCTGGAGTAAGAGCATGCTAAATTATATTTTAAACTATTTATAAACTATTTTTATTTAAATTGTGTACTCTGATTCATTCTTAGCAAAATTTTTTGCATAGTTCAAGTGAGTTTCTAAAAAATGCATTAAAAATGAGACCATCTTAATTATTTTTACTTAGCTAAACTTTAGCAAATACTTCCATACCAGCCAGATCCCCCTGCTACTCAATATTTTTGGGGCCTACCTCCTCTCTTACTTCAACTCCTAACTCCTAATCATTGTGAAGCTACCAAACTGAATTAATGTTAAGATTAATTAAATGAATTAATTACATAAAAATTAATTAGGAGGATAAGTCATCTCTCATCATCATGTAATTCCTTTTAAAACCACATTAATATTTGATATTCTGTTTTTTTCTTTCACTTTCCATAGCTAAAGAGAAGCTATTCAGTATCATTGTCATCTGTTTATCCAGAGTTTAGACTTTTGTTCATTTCAACCATTTGTAAAACAGTAAGACCCTAAAAAACAAACAAGGAGCTGCCATTAAGAGGAGTGGTGGTCTTCATTCCCTGTGAGAAGGGTGATCACCCAAGGCGGCTTGCCTGGGACAGTCTCGGTTTACACCCGCTAGCCCAGTGTCCTGTTTTATGAATGCTACCTCTCATCTCCATAGTGTCCCCATTTGGAAGATAAAGTCTATATTTAGTCATCCTACCTATAAGAGACCCTTAGACAGCCAAGCAGAAACAATTTACATACAGTTCTGTCACTTGTAGTCAGTTTCTCACACCTTAGCTATTTGGAGCAGTAGGTTAGAAGAAATAGAGTATAAGGAAGCTGCCATACTCCCTTTATAAAATGAAACCAATTCTATAGGGTAACAGTACATGGAGGAAAGCTCCATATATTGCAGCACGAATTCTTCCAGACATTTGCCCTTCTTTGGGCACCCCATTTTAATTACCGCTATCACTCCAGCCGGCCACAGGAGGGGGCTGTTTCTACTTGGCTCGCGCATGGAAATAAGATACCTCAACATTTATCAAAGCTAAGATAAGGATGGAATTTAGACAGGACTTTACTAAAGTCTAAGCCATAGAGAGTAACATGAAACTGTATAATCTCAGTTATAGATGTGGGTCCTTTACAGCAGTGTCTTCCAAAGTAAGAAATATAGTTCATCTTATGATCCAACACACATGCAACTGAAGCAAGATTCATAAAACAATATTTACTCCTATTACATGTGATGCCAGCTATTTTCTGTTCTCTTCAGATGCTTATTTGAAGCTCACTAAATTGATTTCATAATTTATTGGGGGGTTGCGTTTGAATAACACTGCCTCCTTTTGTAAACCTCCTTGCATAACCCTTAACCTAAATCCTTGTGGCAATGTTATTTCAACCAGTGCCGCCTCTGAGCAACCTTAAGCAACCTTAGACTGCTTAAAGGGTACACTCAACAAACAAAAGGTCAGAGAGGAACACACGCTTTTCTCTGCCTCTCTGAAGCCTGCTTTTTATGTTCTAGTGTCTTTTCTCAGGACAAGCTTTTCCCCTGATGATTTATAGCAGGAATGTCCACCCCAGTCTGGGCAGACCAAGCCTATACCAAAAGGTCATGACCGCACCCTGCAGACAACAGCAGGAGGGGCTGATTTTAGTGCACCATGAGGTGGGAGGGTGCTTTTTCACTTGGGTCTAGTGGAGGTAGGCACTCTGGCAGAAGTGAGAGCTGACAATCTGACAATGAGAGAGGAAATAAGAGAGCTGTTGTGTCACAGTCCAATATAATAATGCATATTCATGAATAATCACAAATCATTTTGGAAAGATTAAGTACTCATTGTCTATTGACAAACTTTTTGAAAAGCCGCAAAGTACTAAATAAAGCTCAACTCACCTGTGGTTTCTTACATGATTGGTAACTGCTATAGCTTTCCATTATACTGTTGTTTGGAAAAATTATCCTTTCAGAAGCCTCACCCATTGTTTGCTAATTTGCATTTGGTCCAATATACAGTATCATGCTGATTTGGACATATTGGGAAATTTTTTCACAAATACTGAAATGTCCATCTAAAATGTATAAAAAGAATTTCTAAGTTTTTATAAGCATTTAAATCTTTGGCATTGTAGAAGCACGAGATCCAGATGAATGACTGCAAGCTTTTTACATGAATGTTTTGGGGTCATATAGATACAAACATGATATTAGAATCATTCTCTTATTTTGCTCTAATGTAAATAGTGGCTGAGCAAGAATTTTGACAGTCTTAAATAGTAAAGAGCTAACGGAAATAAGGAGGGCATATCAGCTTCATTAGTTTTAATAAATCACTGAGATTTATAATACACCACAGTGACCCTAAATAGAGTTGGCACCTAGTTGATGGTTAACTAGACTGTCTTAACAGTAACTCCCTTTGGTTTGGTCAGGGAGCACTGAGAGATGACTGCCATGTAAATATAGCTAAGTACACTCTGGCCTAAGGTGACATTAATTACATGGTGTAGCTGAGCAAGGAAAATCAAACAAGTTAATAACAAGGATTTCACTTGGGATCATAAAAAATTGTATTGTTATAAAATGTTTTTGTTATAATGAATTGAATATAAAATCTAAAAACACAAATTATTCTGCTTTATTTTTCATTTTCATATGACTTGGCATTGCTAAAGCCTATTAAAACCTTAAAATCTATTTTTTCTCTGTTGCTTCAGTGCATATTTCAGTATATACCATTCAAATAACAACAAGGAAAAATATCAAAGGACATAATACATAAAAGCTGTGATTAAAAGTGAGATTCATGGCCAGGTGCAGTGGCTTACACCCATAATCCCAGCACTTTCGAAGGCTGAGACAGAAGGATTACTTGAGCCTAGGAGCTTGAGACAAGCCTGGGCAACATAGTGGGACTCTGTCTCTACAAAAATAAAAACAAAAATAAAAAGTTAGCTGGGCATGGTAGCGTGCGCCTGTAGTTCTCGCTACTAGAAAGGCTAAGATGGGAGGATAGCTTGAGGCTGAGAGATTGAGGCTGCAATGAGCCATGATCACACCACTCACTTTAGCCTGGGCAATAGAGGGTGACCCTGTCTCAGAAAAAAAAAAAAAGTGAGATTTGTGTGAAAGGAAACTAATAAAGGTGTGTTGATATTAAACATCAACATGTTTTATGAGGGGCAGTATTAGTATTTTCTCCCAAGGTCAGATTTCTTCATTTTAAAAAGTGTTTTCATTTTTAAAAATTGATGACATGACAGGTCTAAACAAAACTTTTCCAACTAGAATGCATAAATTAAGAGAAAACTTGTTTTGGAAGTTAATATTTCTCTTCAGATTAACACAGTTATTTTATGCTGGTGAACATAGAAATTGTACTTCAAAAAAATGTGAGATGTAGCTTTCGTAGCTTACAAAAGTGTTTTACTGTAATGCTGTTTTCTATTCTTCTCTTTCCACTTTAGGAGAACCTCCAGAATTCCCCTTTACGAATTTGGACCAGTAGAAGCTGTCACTATTGGCTCTGTAGATTTGGCTTTACCCTTAACTTTCGCTTTTTGACAACAAAAATATCTCCTGATGTTGATTCAGCATTTATTTTTACTACTTTGAAAGCAGTTGGGGCTGAATTTTGTATTAAAAAAGTGATGATTTAGTAGCACTGGCTGGAGCTATATACTGTGCAGGAAGATTCTGTGCAAACCTCTGCATAGTTCTGCCAATGCACCGCCATGCTGGCCTGTAGCATCCCTTATTATTCCATAGCTGTGTCTTTTTGAGCACAGAAAAACAGAAAACACCACCACCAACAGACAAACCAAACCTCGTGTGATTTGATATGATTGGCAATATCTCTAAAATCAATGTGAGATTAGAATGAAATCCCAATACTCATTTGTCCAGTGATCCAAACCAAAAAGTGCATTCATAGATGGTGAAAGGGAAAACCAGTGCTACTACGTAAAAATAAAAGAAAAAGAAAAAATCTTTAATACATCTCAGATGTCAATATTTATTCTGGATATTTTAAAAGGCTTTTCTTTATAGTGTTTTTTACAGCTGTTTATATCAACTCAGCTGCTACTTCAATGGTTTTCCCTTTCACTCTCTATTTATCTTTTTGATTGATTAATATAAATGTTTTTACTCTAAAAAGTGAAAGGTAAAAGCAGACCTATAGCAGCTGAGTCAGTACTGACAACTACAAAACAAATGTTCCTGCAGGGGGCTGGAGGAACTTCTTATACTTAATAGACAGATGGAAAGATAAGACTTGGCTCGTTTCTTTTTCTTTCTTTTTTTAATTTGGTCTCATGTCAAGTTTGATGTTATGAAATGATTATCCAGAAGTTTTTTTTTTTTAAGTGAAAGCAGACAAAAGAGAAAATCTTAATTTAAGCTTTTAAAGCATATATACAAATTATTTTCTTTGCTCAAGGATAGAAATGGTTTATGCCAGGCTAGGAGTAGAAAACATTTATTTTAATCATATGATTAATTCAAATTGGAAATGTTCTTGTTAAATTTATAGCTCAAAAGACAGGTGGAGAATAAATTGTTTCAGCTTTATTAATACTGTTCTTGTGGAATAAAGTATTAGAATTGAAAGGAACATGAGAGATCGTCTAGAATACTCTTTCCAATTACAGATGAAAAAAATGGAAACACAGGGAAGTTATGTAACAGAAACTAGACAAGAACCTAAGGTGTTTGGCTCTTCGCCTGATCATATTGCCCCTCGGATCATGTTCATGTACCCATTCCTTGCCAGGCAAACATAATTGTGTAACAGTAAAGTTTGTGTTTCTTCCCCTTACTGTATTTACTAAGTGTGTACTGATTTAGTCTTTCCTGATAATAACAAAAGTGAAGAGATTTTATCAATTGATATTGTTCATTCATTTTTCTTAGGAAGTAACCTGTGTTACAGAGCTTGAATTTTTATGGGACTTTTTCATTTCTTTTCCTGTATATGCCCCAAAAGGAGCACAAGAAGTACTTTTTTGTTTTTTTAAGAGAGTGTCTCACTCTGTTGCCAAGGCTGGAGTGCAGTGGCACGAACATGACTCATTACAGCTTCAAACTCCCAGGCTCAAGCGATCCTCCCACCTCAGCCTCCTGACTAGCCAAAACTACAGGCATGCACCACCATGCCAGGCTAATTTTATTTTTATTTTTGTAGAGATGGGGTCTCACTATGCTGCCCAGGCTGGTCTCGAACTCCTGGCCTCAAGTGATCCTCCCACCTCAGTCTCCTGGAAAGTACTTCTTTATTAGATTAATAGAGTCTAGGAATACATTTTAGACAGTGATCTAATATTTTACGTGTACTTAATTCTGGTGAAATACTTTTTATACATAGCATGCAGCCAGATACAAAGTCAGTTTAGGAATATAGCCAATATAAATATTAAAGTCTATACTCTGATTTCTGTAGGTAAATGGGAAACTGATAGTCCTATATTAGTACTTTCTTAGTCATATATGTATATGTGGATATATATATAACTTCTATTCCTTATGATTATTATTAAAGAGAGATGTGTGTATGTATGTATAGATAATATAATTCAATATGTGTTGAATAAGTGAAGATCTTTAAAAATAAATAGTAAATAGTAAAACTAGAAAGTTCTCAAGAAAAAGTTAGTCTTAGTCATATGTTCTCTAGTTAAGAAAGTTTTATCATAGTACATCATCCAAACCAGGTTTTATTATTGACAGTAGATTGGAAACCTACTAAATAGCCACCTTAAAGCTAAGAAGGAATATGCACCATTTATGCAGACATGAAAGATTTCCTATTACTAGAAAGTAGATGATAAAATAGTAATGTAGATACCTACTTAAAGTTAAGATATCACCATATAACTAAGTATCAACACGTTCTCATTGTTTTAATATCTTATTATTTAAGTTATGATATTGTGTGGCTCAGCTAAAATCTAAACCCTTAGTCTCCACAGTCTGAGATCCTAGCCTCTTAGCATACGCTGAACCTAGACATAAAGAACTATAGAGGCCGGGCGCGGTGGCTCACGCCTGTAATCCCAGCACTTTGGGAGGCTGAGGCGGGTGGATCACCTGAGGCCAGGAGTTCGAGACCAGCCTGGCCAACATGGCGAAACCCCATCTCTACTAAAAATACAAAAATTAGCTGGCCATGGTGGCGGGCACCTATAATCCCAGCTACTTGGGAGGCTGAGGCAGGAGAATCATTTGAACCCAGGAGGCGGAGGTTGCAGTGAGCCGAGATCGTGCCATTGCACTCCAGCCTGGGCGACAGGGCGAGATTCCATTTCAAAAAAAAAAGAACTATAGAAACGCTATTAACAGTCATGCACTTTATGGCATGTGTCATAGAAATGCATATTCAAACAGATCAAACAGCTGCCTTGTCAGAATAAAATGCACTTTAACATCCTCTAAAATTGGTACTTTTATTCCCATTTTATATTAATAGTTGAACAAAATGAGGGTTAGAATGGTTAAATAAATTGTCCTACTGTAAATATAAATATATATAAATTCATCCTTTAAAAAAGTAGTGGCTATAAAATAATGACAATAGCTAATAACTTGTTACCATTCATTCTTTTATATTCAATGCCTTTTATTACCGAAACTTTGATATTCTGAAGCAAAATAGCTCTTCTAAGTACAATACAGTTCATTTATTTAGGCTCTGCAGCATGTTGTTTATGCCATATCAAGCTTCCTTTTTTTGAAACAGTTTTGCTCTGTCACCCAGGCTGGAGTGCAGGGACACAATCATGGCTCACTGCAGCCTTAACCACCCAGTCTCAAGCAGTCTTCCCACTTCAGCCTCCCAAGTAGCTGGGACCCCAGGTGTGCACCACCATGGCCAGCTAACCTTTAAAAAAATATTTTTTGTAGTGATGGGGTCTCCCTGTGTTGCCTAGGTTGGTCTTGAACTCCTGGGCTCAAGGGATCCTCCTGCCTTGGCCTCCCAAAGGATTACAGGCATGGGCCATTGTGCCAACCCTCAAGCTTTCTTAAATACCAAATTATAGAACATGTCTTCACAGAAGATAAATCTTGAATAGTATGAAAACAGGAGACAGATGTATTACAGGCAATTCCCAAATTCAACAGTACTAAATATTTCATTTTGTCTAATTTCCCTGGCTAAACTCAGCATAGATTTTCTTTAAAAAAAAAAAAAACTTTACAAGACACATCACAATACACTTTTTTTTTTTTTTTTTGGAGATGTAGTTTCACTTTTGTCACCCAGGCTGAAGTGCAATGGCACGATCTTGACTCACTGCAACCTCTGCCTCCCGGGTCCAAGCGATTCTCTTGTCTCAGCCTCCCAAGTAGCTGGGATTACAGGCGCCCACTACCATGCCTGGCCAATTTTTGTATTTTTAGTAGAGACGGGATTTTGCCATGTTGGCCAGGCTGGTCTCAAAATCCTGACCTCAGGTGATCCACCCGCCTCGGCCTCCCAAAGTGCTGGGATTACAGGCATGAGCCACTGCACCCAGCCTCACAACGAACTTTTATTTTTGTTCTCAAAATAATACCATTTGTTTTCCAAAGTCTATATTTATTTTATATTACCCACTGTCATAATCAGACACTGTTCAATTTGTACTTTCCTTTCAGACAGAAGAGCTGGAAAAGCAGTTAGTCCTTGCCAACTCAGAGCTAACTGAAGCCCGGACAGAGCGTGATCAATTCAGTCAGGAATCTGGAAATTTAGATGATCAACTTCAAAAGCTGTTGGTAAGATTATGCTTTAAAATATGAATAAGACTAATTCTGGGAAGTTTTTCACTGAAATATATCACAAAACTCGTTTCCTTTATAAAATTACAAATTTACAAAATATTTGTGCATACATGCAATAGATTATTTTAGACACAATTCAAGTTTTGCATATAAAATATGATATTCTGTATACTTAACTTTTTTCTTAAGCAGAGCTATTACAGTATTAGGTGAAGGAGATCTTGACATAGCCATAGTCTTTCAAGTAGATACCATATTCCATTAAATTGAAGTAGTGTTACACGTTCATTTTAAGGCCAAATAACATTCAAAACACATAAAAATTGTGTATATAGAAATTTGGAATGGACGGTTAGGTGAAGTTGTTTTAAAAGAAAAGGACAGTATGATTGTGCTCATAATGAAGCCACTCTGTCCTCTGTTAGAGGAACTATAGGATGAGAAATTTAGGAAAGGAAATGTTTGGAATCCCCTTTTGCGGTATTAGTGGTATAACAGAATAAATTTCTCGGCTTACCAAACCCCATTCCAGGGAATGGTGCTCTTTGCTGGTAAAGCCATCCTTTGCAGGCTGACAAGGGTTTGATGAGCTGAGGTAAGGATAGAACTGAGAGCTGTGTAGAGAAGCTCTTAATCTTGGCATAATTCTTCAGTTCTTTACCTAACATTTGCATGTTTTTCAGTGTTCTCCTATCTAATTTGAAAATCTTGGAGACTGAATGTCTGAAAGATCCTCAAACCTGGCCTCCCTTTTCATTCTTACCATCACCACCTCTCGTTCAACCCCTCATTACTCATTGCCTGAAGCATGGCAGTCTCCTTACTGATGTTCCCAACTCCAGTTTTTCTCCTCTTCACTCCTTCCTGTAAAGGGCTGCCGCATACATCTCTCTAAAATGTAGCTCCGATGATGTCACTGTTCAACTCAAAATTACTTTCTCCATAAAGTCAGACACCCTCCCTTTCAATACTGTTCATGATCCATCACCCTGCTAACCTTTCCAATCCTTTCTCTCTACCCGGACCCAGTGCACCAAGCAAACACACAGGCCCCTTTCCTGTCCCTTCTTCCTAATCTCTACATCTTCAGGTCTAACTCAAATACTATCCTGAAGCATTTTGATCCCTTTAGTGAGATTCTGTCTGCTATTCCTTATCTTTGTTCCTTTAATGAAAAACCACTTCCAGTTACTTATGTCTATGTCTTAACTTTCTCTTGGATCCTAAGTCATTTGAGTGTAGATATATCTTTGTTTTTACTAGTCTGACTAGAGTTTTTGCTCCTATTCAACACTATGTATTTTTTAAGTGACTGAAAAGGGAGGTAATTCTATTCACAGCCCAGATGCTACTCCAATTCCAGTACCAGCCACTATTCTGCCATCTCTCCATTACTTATCATTTTTCCTTTACTTATCATTTTTCCTTCATGCTTTTGAGCATTTCTTTATTATAGGAGCATACCTGATGTGAGACATAATGTCTTTCTTAGAAAATGCAAGACTTAAAAACAGGATGACTTTTAAAATCTACTGTATTTTCCTTTTCATTGTATATTATTTGAGGTCTAGTCCCTCGAGATAGACTAGTAATGCTAGAAATTTTAAGCAAAATGTTAACTTATTTTTCTTGGAAATAATTGCTCTTAAGCCATTAAAAAGGAATCAGATTCCAAAATCAAAGGTGTCTGAAATCACATAAAAACTCCAAATATGATATAAAGACAATATGTTTTATCTTAATTATTTAATAGCAGGGAGGAAAAAAGCATTCCTCTCTTTTTTTAGGCTGATCTACACAAAAGGGAGAAGGAGCTGAGTCTGGAGAAGGAGCAGAATAAGCGTCTGTGGGACCGAGACACAGGCAACAGCATCACCATTGACCACCTGCGGCGGGAACTGGACAACCGGAACATGGAGGTGCAGCGCCTGGAAGCCCTGCTCAAGGCCTTGAAGAGCGAGTGTCAGGGCCAGATGGAGCGGCAGGTCAGTGCCTGCACAGGCTGTGCCATCGCCAAACAATCTCCTCTGGGGAAATAAATATTTTATGTCTAAATAGAGCTTTTTATTTTTAACATATATGGACCTAAAATGGCTCCTAAAATAAAGCTATGGATTCTGTGAGCAATTTATGAAAACCTGATACTTATTTTTCATTTTATTTCATTTTTTGTTTATTTATTTATTTATTTATTTTTAGATGGCGTCTTCCTCTGTCACCCAGGCTGGAGTGCAGTGGCGCGATCTCGGCTCACTGCAACCTCCACCTCCCGGATTCAAGCAATTCTCCTACCTCAGCCTCCCAAGTAGCTGGGATTACAGGCGTGTGCCACCATGCCCAGCTAATTTTTTGTAGTTTTAGTAGAGATGGGGTTTCACCATGTTAGCCAGGATGGTCTCGATCTCATGACCTCATGATCTGCCCACCTCAGCCTCCCAAGGTGCTGAGATTACAGGCGTGAGCCACTGCGCCCGGCCTATATATAGACACTAATTAAACTAAATGTGTCAAGCTTTATCTCACTTGTACATTGTTGAAGAACTAAACTCTTATCCCATTGCCTTTTCACGTTTACCTAAAAATTGGTAACCTAATAATTGCTTATTTCTGCTGCAGAGAAGCATCAAATTATTGGGCAGCCTGAGAAGCAACAGGGTTGAAGGTTTCTAACAGATTTTTTTGCTTTATTTTTCTCCCAAAAGAGACTTGCCTCTCTTTCCCCAAGTCTCATCACTGATTGAGACTGATGAGTGCATTCCATTCCGGTGCACCCTCCAGTAGCAAAACGTGGACTGCCTTCTTAATAGCAGTGTACTTTCTGTGCTAGGAAGACATGGTTCTAATGCCAGTTACTGCCACAGGGACATAAAAAGCATCCCACAAAAGTGTAAGCTTCTCAGAATGTGAAAGCAAACCAAGGGACTGGTCTTGGCTTAGACCCAGGCAAAGCCATTAACCTACTCTCTGGCTTAACCTGGGCAAGAAGAAAGATGAAAGGACCAACTGGAAGTTAGAATTTTCAGCTTTTCCAAACAAGGATCAGAGAATATGAATGTGTGTGTGGATAAAAGCCATTATTCATTTTTTTCCTCAGAGGTAGAATTAAAGGTAAAGTTGGAGGGAAATTAAAAATAAGGGGTAGTTATTGTAAATTCCGCCACCCTTCCCCCCATTGCCAGGGTTATCTTAATCTAAATCAGTACAGAAAACATCCACAGAGGAAACTTCCCAAGACTGCACTCTAGAACACCGTTGTGGAGGAGCGTTATTATTTAATTAAGCCCTCTCCACCTTGGTCTAATTAGCATATGTCAGTCTTACATATGTTATAAGAGCTAGAGTTCTGACAGCAAAATGATTGAGTTAATTTAACTAGACATGGCTGGGTACAGTGGCTCATCCCTGAAATCCCAGCACTTTGGGAGGCCGAAGCAGGAGATCATTTGAGGCTGGGAATTTGAGAAGACCAACCTAGGGAACACAGTGAGACCCCCATCTCTTAAAAAAAAAAAAAAAGATCTTACTAAACATTGCCTAATTCATGATTTCATGCTTTTAAGTTAACTTGTATCTCTTGAGGTTGCCTATACCTATCCTCCCAAATCTATGAAATTCTCTTTTCTTTAACAATCAGATGGCAGCAATTCAAGGAAAGAATGAAAGTCTAGAAAAAGTATCCTCCTTGACTGCTCAGCTTGAATCCACCAAAGAGATGCTGCGCAAAGTAGTAGAAGAGTTGACAGCCAAGAAAATGACTCTGGAGAGCTCAGAGAGGACAATATCGGACCTGACAACTTCTCTCCAGGAAAAAGAGAGAGCCATCGAGGCTACCAATGCAGAGATCACAAAGCTCCGCTCCCGGGTGGACTTGAAATTGCAGGAGCTGCAACACTTGAAAAATGAAGGGGATCATCTCAGAAATGTGCAGACAGAATGTGAGGCCCTCAAACTGCAGATGACAGAGAAGGACAAGGTGATCGAGATTCTGCGACAGCAGATTGAGAACATGACACAGCTGGTGGGCCAGCATGGACGAACTGCTGGAGCTATGCAAGTAGAAAAAGCTCAACTGGAGAAAGAAATTAATGATAGGCGGATGGAACTAAAGGAACTTAAGGTCTGTAGAGTTTTTTTGTGATTTAACTTCTGAAATATCATTTATTAGCAGGTATGACCTGTACTGAAAAGTGGTTCTTGGTATCTGTGGACACTCTGAAACTGTTGGAAGGTGTTTGTTTCTATGTGTATATGTGTGTTTTTGTGAGAAAGGATAAATACTTTTATCAGATTATAGAAGGAATGGATGACTCGAAAATGGCTCAAAATCACGGGTACAAAAGAAAAAAGATCAGAAAATCTATGAAGTCTTTCCTGATACCACAGGAAAGTATTTTCTCCCTCTTCAGACAGACCTAAATTTGAACCCCGTCTCTCACTACTTAGTTACAGTGAAACATTGGACTGTTTGCTGAATCTTGGCTTCGATATCTGATAAACAAAACCAAACCAAAAAGTAAACAAAACAAAAAACTCCCAACAACCTGTTGGGTTACTGTGAGGCTTAAATCAGAAAGTATATATCAAGGAATGAGCCTATTAATAGTTTCTGGCTATTTAATAATTTAAAATTTAAATAACTTAATAATTTAAAATTTAATAAATATTAGTTTCTTTCCCCTGTTTTGGTCTCCTTCTGAACTTTCTCATACTTTATTTGTACCTGTTAAAACCTGGTTCACATTCTATATTGCCGTGTGTGTGTGTGTGTGTGTTTGTGTGTGTGTTTATGTAGCAGTGTCTCCTTTTCCCTACAAGATTGTAGACTTCTTCAACCAGGGTACACATCTTATTAGCCTTTGTACCTCCTGCCCCATATTTTTGTGCCTTGCACCCAGAAGGTGCTCGATAAATACTTATCAAAATTTAACACAATTTAATGGGTTTTTTAAAAAAATTGATTTCATAGGATTAATGTCACCTTTATCTCTGACTTGGTGAGTAGTAGGAGACAAATCACATATACTGTAGATGCTTCAGTTTCCTCCTTCTAAAAATAGGGCCAGCAATAGATAATTATCCATCTTATGGAAATAAACAAGTTCATTGCATTAAAAATAGAATTTTCTATTGCTTAAGTTTTTACCTGATTATATACATTTTTAAATGGCCAAACTCACCATGAAAAGGGACATAGAAAGGATTCTCAATGGCCAGCCCTACAATGAAACCCTTAGAACAGGTGTGATGCAGGGCAGAGCATATCAGAGGAGAAAGGATGGTTGTTCTACCTTGCTTAGGAAGATCACTAGTGGATTGCTAGTGTGTTAAGGTTCTAAACAGGAGAATCCCACTCTTATACTCTAAAACTTAAATCAATTTAATCCTCACAAAACCTTATGAGGGAGGCACTATTATTATCCCATTTTACAGCTGAGGAAACTGAGACACAGAGAGTTTAACTTTCTGGAGAGCAGCACTACCTTGTGGTTTGAACCTAGGCAGCCTAAGTAGATGTTACTGTGCAGTGGTTCTCAGTGAGAACCGGAATCGCCTGGAGGGCTTTTTAAAGCATGGACTGCTGGCCTGCTCCCAGAGTTTCTGACTCAGTAGGTCTAGGATGGGGTGTGAGATTTGGTGTTTCTGAACAAGTTGCCAGATGACGTGGATACTGCTGGTCCTGAGAGCATCCATCAGGATCTGTGTTAGTGCCTCAAAGGAATGTGGAGCTCCTGACTAGAGGGCCAGTGAAAGCTTCAGAGAGAGCTGGGAACCTGAAATGGGCAAAAACTAGGCAAAGAGAAGGAAGGATGGCATTCCAAGCCCGGGAAGAAGCCTAGTCTGTAATTTAGCCTAGAGATGGTGTGGGAGACATTAAAGGTTTAGGGGTAGGAAGGAGGGGGTAACATGAAGAAGACAGTGTTGGAAGTGGATTAATCTGGCATCAGTATGCAGAAGTGGCTTGGAGAGAGTAAAACTAATTTTCAGTTCCTAAATATGGAGCTGGAGCAGCTTCAGGGAATAATTTCCTAGGTAATTAGAGTTTCACACAGACACAAAGAACATAAGTTTAAAACTCAAGTCCTAATGCCACATCCACTTCCCTCTGTGATCTGATAAGAAAAAAAGGTGGGGGAATCATAGCTGTAGAAGGTATGGTTTCTCTCCTGGTTTCTGTCCCCTCTTCAGAGTGGGTACTGCACACATTGACAGCAGAGAAGCAGAGTGACTTTTATTTCAATAACTGTGGGTCCCCAGAGCTAGACCTTTCTTAAAAACAAATAAATAATAAGACTAAGAAAGGACTGAATTCTATCAGCTGGCCTCAAGAGGTGGAACAGGAGCAGCACTCGTCCTATGTGTGTTGTGATGCCTCAGGTTGTCCCAGGGAAAGCCCTCCCCGTCCCTTACTGCATGAGGTCAGCTGGATTTAGTGTGACAGTTGCCAGGAGTGGCTAGGCAGAGATCAGATAGCCCAGATTAGGGCCTTTACTGCCCAAACCCATCACAGGCGGGCAGTGAGACAAGCCTGGGGCTCCCCACCAATCCTTTTTGAACAGCCAAAAGCTTGTCATGTGGCTATATTTCAGATGTATCATTGGTCTCCACAGTTAAACTGCTGCTATAGCAGTCAAATTGCATCTGCCAGGATACTAAGGCCAGTAGGGCGATAATTTGGGGAAACAATCTGATGACCAAAGAAAGTCAATATTTTTTTCAAATGTCACTTATTCGGAAGGATCTAGGTCAGTTCTGTCCACCAGAAATACAGTGTAAGTGACATATATAATTTTAAGTTTTCTAGTAGACACATAAAAGAAATGTGAAATTAATTTTAATAACATTTTATTTAACTCATATTCAAAATATAGTGTTTTTAATATTATAATCAATACAACAGATCACCAAGATATTTTATATTCTATTTTTATACAAAGTCTTTGAAATCTGGTGTATATTTCACACTTACAGCACATAACTTAGTTTGGCCACATTCCAGGTGCTCCAGAGTCATGTGCAGGTATTGTGTTAGACGACACAGACCTACACCCTGGGAAGAGAGGGGTCCTCCTAGGAAGCCTTACCAACACAGATAGAGACCAGTTAGGAGGCACTGTGGCAATCCATATGCAAAGTGATGGCAGTCCAGACCTGCAGGTTGGGCAGGATTTGATCAACAATTGGGTATGAGGGGCGAGGGACAGGGAAAGACATGGTGACTTTGTGAGTTCAAACTTAGACTGGCAACATGGTAGTGCCTCTAACAGAGAAGAGTCAGAAAGGATTGTAGGGGAAGGCCCTCTGTGAAGAAGGAATAGGAATGTTTGAGTCAGAGTTTGCAGAAGCATGCCATGCTGGGGGTTTCTGACAGTTAGTTGGAAACGCCGAATTAGAGTTGCCATATTCACATTCCCTACCCTAGTCAAAGGACCAGATACTTTCACCACCACAAACCACCCCAGTCTAAGCTCCCACCTCTCTTGTTTGCTCTTCCAGTTGCCTTCTCACTGGTCTCCATGCTTCTCCCCCTACCCCCACGCCAACCACTGTTTTCCTTCATACCAGAGCCAGAGTTGTATTTTTAAATTGTTACACTACATCACTCTCATACTCAAAACTGTCCAATGACTTCCTGACTCACTCACAATGCATGCTCAAGTTCTTACATTGCCTCTGAGCAACCTGATCATTCCCTTGGCCCCTCTCTGACTTCATCTCCTGCTTACCCCAAGCTCACTTCACTCCAGCCCTACTGATGTCCCTGCTCTTCCCCAGACACGTTACCTGTACACAGAGCTCTTCCCAGACTGTCCACGTGTCTTGTCCTTATGCTCAGGAGCACAAGGAGCATCTGCTTAGATGTTACATCATCAGAGAGGCCTTTCCTTGCCAACTGTGGCAGGGTCCCCAAGACCGACCCCAGGTTTGATGATTCCCTAGGAGGACTCGCCAGACTCAGCATATAATCATACACAAGGCTAGGATTTATTACAGTGAAAGGATACAAAGCAAAATCAGCAAAAGGAAAAGGCACACGGGGCAAAATCCAGAGAAAGCCAGGCATGAGCTTCCAAGAGCCTTCTCCGAGTAGAGTTATGCAGGACATGCTTACTTCCTACTCCACCCCCTGCCCCAGCAAGACACCGTGACAACATCTGTCAAGTGCTGCTAACCAGAGAAGCTCATTAAAGCCTCAGTGCCCGGGTTTTTATATTGGAGTTTGGTCCCATAGGCCCCTCTACCTGGCAGGTATCCAGATTCCACGTTCCCAGAAGGAAAGCAGGGGTTCAGCATGAACACATTGTTTGCACAAACAGTTTAGGCACACTGAGCCACTCTTATTAGGGTGGTGGGAACCCTCCCAAAATCCAAGTTCCCAGACGACAGTCAAGGGCCAACCTTGTAAGCGGCCTTTTTGAGGAGAGCACCCAAACCTGCTATGTGAACTCTTTCTGCACACCAGCTTACCTCAAGTAGCAACCCCTCCCTTGCATTCATTCTGTACCCCTCACCTGCTTTTATTATTATTCTTGCCACTTCTCTTACCTGACATATTAAATATTTGTTTGTTTTCTTCTCTTCTTACTAGAGGAGGACATGAAGACAAAGACATTGTTTTGTTTATTGCTATCCAGGGCCAGGACTAGGGTGAGGTAACTGAGGTGCCCAGGTTAGAGGCCCTCACCTAGCTGCTTCACTTGCATTACCCTAGTCATAGCCCTGCTTCTATATCCCTTGCTTGTAAAATAGTTCCTGCCACAAAGAAGGTTCTTAATATGTATTTTTTGAGTGAATGGAGATAGAATAGGAATAATGAAGGGTTGTTGCAAGCAATACTAGGAATTGACATCTAAGGTTAAAAGAAAGTGAAATATTTTCCCACTTTCTATTGATGCTTTATAATAAAATACAAATTTAGTGTCCTGGGAAGTAATGAAAAGATAATAAATATAGATGGAATACAGATAGGAGGCAGAAAAGGATATTAAGTAGGAGACTGTTGTCAGATTTTAGGACTGTGTTAGCAGCTATCAATTATAACTATACATGTACATATTTTTTACTTCTCTATCCTTTGTATTTATCCATATATTTAGATATTAAAAGATAAAAAAGATGCAAAGATCCGGGAGCTTGAGGCCAGAGTGAGTGACTTGGAGCTGGAAAAGGTGAAGCTGGTGAATGCAGGCTCTGAGCGGCTCCGTGCAGTGAAGGACATCAAACAAGAGAGAGATCAATTATTAAATGAGGTGAAAACAAGTAGGAGTGAATTAAACAATCTTTCAGGTATGTTGCTTCAGCACAAATCCTACTAAAAAATAAGAGTCTTAGCAGTGAAGCCAATGTAGACCCTAGCACAATTGCAAAAGAAGGGTGTCTCACTCACATGACAAACATGAATAGTTATGCTGCCCCCATGGAGTTATTCATAGCATGAAATCTCATAGTTTTCATGAAGAGTTCCCACATCTTACACTTACTGACCTTAACTTTAGTCAGCCCTCAGTGTACTGGAAATTCTGTACTGAATTTCTAAGAGAAGTGTGAGGTGTCCAGAGTCCAGGCTTCCAAAAGGAAAACAGGTGTTCACATAAATCACATTGTCTGCACAGTTTTGTGTTTATGAAAGTGGAAAACCTTGAGTCCTTGGAGTCAAATAGCTTGATTAGAAGTTTACTAATGAAGTGACATGTGAAAATAGACATGTGAATTTATTGACAGGAAAAATCCATGGCCTTATATTAAACAGTGAAACACTCCAGTTTATGGTTGGTATGTGTATTAGTCCCTTCTCGCATTGCTGTAAAGAACTACCTCAGACTGGATAATTTATTTTATTTATTTATTTTTGAGACAGAGTCTCACTCTGTCCACCAGGTTGGAGTGCAGTGGCGTGATCTCAGCTCACTGCAAGCTCCGCCTCCCGGGTTCATGCCATTCTCCTGCCTCAGCCTCCCAAGTAGCTGGGACTACAGGCGCCCACCACCACGCCTGGCTAATTTTTTGTATTTTTAGTAGAGATAGGGTTTCACTGTGTTAGCCAGGATGGTCTCGATCTCCTGACCTCGTGATCCACCTGCCTCAGCCTCCCAAAGTGCTGGGATTACAGGCATGAGCCACCCCACCCAGCCCAGACTGGGTAATTGATAAAGAAAAGAGGTTTAATTGACTCACAGTTCTGCAGGCTGTACAGAAAGCATGGCTTGGAGGCCTCAGGAAACTTAAAATCGTGGAAGATGAAGGAGAAGCAAGCACATATTCACATGGCAACAGGAGAGAGAGAGACAGAGAGAGAGCACACAAAGGGGGAGGTGCTACACACTTTGAAACAACCAGATCGCATGAGAACTCACTCACTGTCATGAGAACAGCAAAGGGGAAATCCGCCCCCATGATCCAGTCACCTTCCACAAGGCCCCTCCTCCAACACTGGGAATTACAACAGGACATGAGATTTGAGTTGGGACACTGAGCCAAACCATATCATTCTGCCCCTGGGCCGTCCCAAATCTTATGTCCTTCTTACATTTCAAAACACAATCATGCCTTCCCAATGGTCCCCCAAAGTCTTAACTCATTCCAGCATTAACTCAAAAGTCCAAGTCCAAAGTCTCATCTGAGACAAGGCAAATCACTTCTACCTATGAGCCTATAAAATAAAAAACAAGTTAATTACTTCCAAGATACATGGAGGGTACAGGCACTGGGTAGATGTTCCTGTTCCAAAAGAGATAAATTGGCCAAAGCAAAGAGGCTACAGGGCCCATGCAAGTCTGAAACCCAGCAGGGCAGTCATTAAATTTCTAAGCTTTGAAATAATCTCCTTTGACTCCATGTCTCACATTCAGGGCATGCTGATGTAAGGGGTGGGCTTCCAAAACCTTGGGCAGCTCTGCCTCTGTGACTCTGCAGGGTACAGCCCCCATGGCTGCTTTCATGGGCTGGCACTGAGTGCCTATGACTTTTCCAGGCACATAGTGCAAGCTGTCAGTGGATCTACCATTCTGGGGTCTGGAGGACAGTGGCCCTCTTCTCACAGCTCCACTGGGCAGTGCTCCAGTGCAGACTCTGTGTGGGGGCCCCAACCCCACATTTCCCCTCTGCACTACCCTAGTAGAGGTTCTCCATGAGGGCTCTGCTCCTGCAGCAGACTTCTGCCTGGACATCCAGGCATTTCCATATATCCTCTGAAATCTAAGTGGAGGCTCCCAAGCCTCAACTCTTGCCCTCTGTGCACCCACAGCCCCAACATCACATGGAAGCTGCCAAGGCTTGGGGCTTGCACTCTGAAGCAACAGCCTGAGCTGTACCTTGGCCCCTGTTAACCAGAGTTGGAACTGGAGCAGCTGAAATGCAGGGCACCATGTCCCAAGGCTGCACAGTGCAGCAGGGCTCTGGATCTGGTTCACTAAACCATTTTTCCCTTCTAGGCCTCCAGGCCAGTGAGGGGAGTGGCTTCTGAGAAAGTCTCTGAAATGACCTGGAGACATTTTCCCCATTGTCTTAGCTATGAACATTTGGCTCCTCTTTACTTAGCAAATTTCTGCAGCCTTGAATTTCTCCCTAGAAAATGGATTTTTCTTTTCAACTGCATGGTTGGGATGCAAATTTTCCAAACTTTTATGCTCTACTTCCCTTTTAAATATAAATTCTAGCTTCAGGTTATTTCTTTTTTAATGCAAATGAGCACAGGCTTTTAGGAGCAGCCAGGCCACATCTTGAACACTTTGCTGCTTAGAAATTTCTTCTGCCAGATACCCTAAATCATCTCTCTCAAGTTCAAAGTTCCACAGATTCCTAGAGCAGGGGCACAATGCTGCCAGTCTCTTTGCTAAAGCATAGCAAGAATGATCTTTACTTCATTTCCCAGTAAGTTCCTCATCTCCATCTGAGACTTCTTCAGCCTGGACTTCATTGTTCATATCACTGTCAGCATTCTGGTCACAACAATTTAACAAGTTTCTAGGAAGTTCCAAACTTTCCCACATCTTCCTGTCTTCTTCTGATCTCTCCAAACTGTTACAACCTGTATCTGTTACCCACTTGCAAAGCTGCTTTCATATTTTCAGGTATCTGTAGAGCAGTATCCTACCTCTCTGGTACCATTTTTCTGTATTAGTTCATTTTTGCATTGCTATAAAGAACTACCTGAGAATGAGTAATTTGTGAAGAAAAGAGGTTTAATTGACTCACAGTTCTGCAGGCTGCACAGGAAGCATGGCTGGGAGGTCTCAGAAAACATAATCATGGTGGAAGGTGAAGGGGAAACAAGCACATCTTCACATGGTAGCAGTAGAGAGAGAGAGAGAGAGAGAAGAGGGAGGTGCTACACACTTTCAAACAACCAGATCTCATGAGAACTCACACACTGTCACAAGAACAGCAAGGGGGAAATCCTTCCCCATGATCCAATCACCTCCCACGAAGCCCCTCCTCCAACACTAAGAATTACAACAGGACATGCGATTTGGGTCAGAACACAGAGCCAAAGCATATTAGTATGGTATGAAGTATCATGTACTTCATAAAGTCAGAAGTTACTGAGCATTTACTATGCAAGACACTGTGGTAGAACCTGGAAACCCCACAATGAAGCTCACAGTCTAGTAGGGAGATAAACCTAGATAGAAATGGGTGAATAACCAGTGTGTGAGGCACAGTGAAAGTGTATTGAGTACAAAGATAGCACAGAGGATACAGAATTTACCTCCTGTAGGAAGTGACATCTGTACTGGGTTTGAAAGAGGAAAAGGAATTCAGCAGGTGAAAAAGGGGTGCAAGGGACATTCCAGGCAGAGAGAACATTATGGGCAAATGCATGAAGCCATGAAATATCAAAATGTGACCTCAGAAGTATTAGCTGGAGCAAAAGTGAAACGAATGAGGGCTAAGAAATAAGGCAGAATAGATAGGTAGAGCCGGGTAATGTGGAGCCCACAAAAGATATTAAGTAGGAGATTTTTTGTCAGATTTTAGATGGACTGTGTCAGTAAGTAAATTAGAGAAAAGAAAAGCAGACCAAGCAGTTAAGGAGGATTTTTGCAGTCGTCCCAGATAAATAGAATGAGGACTTGAATTAAGGCAGTGGCAGTGAGAATGGAAGGAAAGAATTAAGGATATTTTTGGAGGTTAAATCAACAGCACTTAGTGGTTGGAGGGATTAAGTGTAGGTTTCAGGATTTTAGTTTGTGGTATTGGAAAAGCAATGTAAGCAACTGGGAGAGGGAACCAGAAGGAAAGGCAGGCTTGAGGGCTGGAGGATGAGATGTAGGCACTGTGAGGCAGTTGGTTTCAGGTGGCACGAGGACATCTACATGGAGATGTCTGGACAAATGGAGCTGGAGCTTTGATCCTTTTCTATATAAATCTAATCATATAAATAGATACATATAAATAAATATGTGTGTGTGTGTGTGTGTGCACACATGTGTGTATTGTAGTATATCAAATGATGAGTTTGTGCCAAGTATTTTCACAGATACTGGAGATAAGTCAGATAAGACAGATGGCAGCCTCAGGTTACTTATAGTGTCATGGAGATTCATCTACCAGCAGATGGTGGTTAAATCTACTCTAGTGAACACGGTCATCCAAGAAGAAGGTTTAAGATGAGATAACTGCAAACTAATTATAATGTTTGGGAAAAAACAATGAGTAATAAGTGGGTAGAGGAGGAATAGGATCCACCCAAGCAGATTAAAAAGAAAGGGTCATATCCCTGGAATTGTGTATGTACATCTCATTTCTGTAACAAAGGAAGATGTAATTAAATGACTTCTCTTCCAGTTCTAAAATTCTGTGATCATTAATTACAAATAAAATATACTTAATTAACAATGGGATAGAAAAAAGTAACCATCTATTATTGATTATCACATTGTATAGAGGAGTATGAAGTCTTAAAAAGGAATTTCCGAAACAAAAGTGAAGAAATGGAAATGACTACAAATAAGTTGAAAATGCAATTAAAATCTGCACAGTCTGAACTAGAACAGACAAGAAATACATTAAAGTCAATGGAAGGATCTGATGGTCATGGTATGCTCTGTTAGATTTAAAATTTTTTCTTCTGTTTTTAATTTAATGGACTAAATTTGTTAAAACAGAAACTCAAATACGTTACCTACCACCTCTTCACAGTGCTAAATGATGTAAGAAATATACAATAGTAGGTATTAATGATGGAGGTTATGTAGCAGTAGTTAATTGTTTTTAGGAAATTGCCATGGAGTTAATTTAATCCCTAAACTATCTGAATCTTTCCTTTCTAGTGGCTATTTCAGTAATTTCTAACAGATCTCAGTATCTATTAACGTCAAGTAATTATTTTTAAGGATATAAATACAAGTTACCTGTAATTTCCATTCAATCCTTTATTTTTCAACATGTACACTATATAAACTGTAGGTCCCTGGCTAGTTGGCAGTTCTTGATTGCTTCACCGTGATAAAAATGGGAAGGAATCCTGGAAATTGAATTGTTAGGTGAGGGGACCTTCTCACCACCCAGATTTATTCCCCTTTTACCTTGCTGCCCATACTAATGCAGAGAGATAAAGAGGTTATCTTCCAGTTCATGTTATTCATATAATTGTTGACATGACCATATTAGCTGACCATAAAAATTAATATTTATCTAATTAAAGTATATACTTTTCCATTTCTCAATATTTTTTAATGTCAGAAGATTTATTTTTGTGCTCGCTTTGGCCGCACTTATACTAAAATTAGAACGATATAAAGAAGATTACCATAGTCTCTGTGCAAGGACGACCACAAATTCTTGATGTGTTTCATATTTTGTGTGGTTTGGCCCTTTGCTGGTTAACACAGATAAACTTGTTGGGTTTGGAGAAGTCACTCGAGAGGTCTTTTGGGGTCTGCTGCCCCTGCTCCCCAGACAGCAACCCAGCCTCACTGTTGGGCATCTTCACAACCACCCCAGGGACATTACAATTATTAAGTTACCTAGAGAACCCTTGTGTTCTCATTCAAATTCTTGTTTCTATTTATTAAATCAGCTTAAAATAAAAAAAAAAACATTTGTTTTAGAAAATTTCCTTTCAAGGCCAACCATGATCCACTTAATCAGACCATAATTCTTCAAAGTGGTGAGCAAATGATGTCAGACTTTTACCCTATTAATAAATCAATATACAGTGTCAGTTTAACCCTGTTTTGACAGTTTAGATAGAAGAACTGTATCTTGTTAATGAGAAGTCAGACCTTTCATTCTGATAGCTTGTTTATAATGAATGGTATATTTTCATTTTTCTTTTTAACCTCTAAGTTATAGCCAGACTGGACTCAAAGCTGTGGCATTTTCAATCCTTTTTCCTCAGCTGACTATAAGAGAAAAAATCAGATATGCTTATGCTGGCAGTTTGGCTACTGAGATGGTAGTGAGTTCCAAGCACATGACAACAATCATGAGAATAAAAATTGAAGGGTTTGTGATATCACTGGACCCTTTAAAAGATACACTAGATGTCTTGTGCAGTATTTTAAGTATGAGGTTCTTGAAAAATCATTTTAGTAATAATACAATATATATTATTATTTATGTGACACCCCCCATGTCTACACACACACACACACACACACACACACACACGTACATATATTATATATTATATATTTCCCTACATGGGTAAGTATGAGTTTAGTCAATGTTATTGTTATTACTGGAAAGCTGGCAACGTATCATGGTCAATGAAATTAATCCCAGTGGCAAAAACCCTACAAAACATGATTATATGTATGTTTCCCAGCTAAAAATCTCTAGTAGTAGTTAAAAGTTATTATATTCCAACATTATAAAAACCGAAGACATTCGTCCATGATCTTTTCCTTGAAACTGCCCAGATACCTTGGAGGATCTTACTTGTCACCTTCTCATAAAGTTTAACCATCAAATTACCATAGTCTCTCAAACTTAAGAACCTAAGGCATAGTTTGCCTCTTTTTTTTTTCCAGCTATGAAAGTGGCAATGGGGATGCAAAAGCAAATCACAGCCAAAAGAGGTCAGATAGATGCCCTTCAGAGCAAGATACAGTTTTTGGAAGAGGCAATGACAAATGCAAATAAGGTGGGTTGCTGTCCTCAGAGTGGGGAAACCAACATGTTCACTCACAGGCAGACCACGAGGCAGAATAAGATGAAGCAGAGATGCAAGTGCAAGGGGAAAAGGAAAGCTTATTTCTAGGTGAGAGAACAAGGGAAAAGTTCCTAGAAAAGCATTTGAGCAGGATGTTGAAAGACAGCTACTATTTTAAACGTGGGAAATGGGAAAAAGAACATTCTTGGTAGAGGCAAGGAATGATTATAAACAAAATACAGTGAGTTCCATTATAATGTGACATACATGTTTGTAAAAATCGCTGTGCTATGCAAAATTGTGTAATAAAAACCACAGGGCTTATGGGAACAATGGGATCAGGAGCACCACACTAACAAATTTTATTAGTGACACATAAAATAATAGGAACCTAATAAAAACAATAGCAGTTTTACACATACTAAATTGTTAAGAAATATATAAATACAACAATAAGTATAGCTCTTTGTCTTGAAAATGACCTGAAGTTTTCTTAAGTATATATGCAGCTCGTATGTTATTGTGGAGGAGTAGGAGGAGAGTTTCCTGTAACACCGGATGTGGATGGATGTGGTTCATAACACATGGTAAAACTGAGGTCGCCGGTAGGTGGGTGTTTGAGGAGTGTGCATGTATGCTTCTTGTGTATTCCTATGCTGCTGTGTTTAGCTGGATTGAGTTTTCTGCCTTGACCTAGTGGTTCTCATGAATGAGACTCATTCACGAATAAGCAACCATGAAGTTTGCCTAATGCTCAAATATTCTCTGGTATATCCATTACTTTGGAAAAAGCGTCTATTTCAGAAGAAGATTTATAACAGAACTGACCATAATAGAGGTGAAAAAGTAAATGACAAGTAGAAAATAAGTGCAACCAAAGTAATTGCTAACTTACTATCCATGATGAGCTGCCAAAATACTTCAGAGTATTTGCAGCTAAATATTAGCAAATATAAACCTACATTTGTGCATACCCCTTATCATATAGACTTATTTCTTCTTTCCAATTTTTTCTTCCCTTCCTTTCTCTTATCCTGAATTCACTTTTTTCTTTCTCCTTTTTTTTTTTTTTTTTTTTTTTGCCTTTGGGAACCTAAAGCAGTGCTTATCCTTCCTGATGGCGCTTATGGCTTTAAGAGGTTACTGCCTGCTGTCAACAAAGATGCCTGCCTTGCCTAAAGGAAAATATTCATCGTAGCTCTAAGATATTCCCTCCAAACAAAAAGGAGAAAGCCTATACAATTAATTCCTCTTTCCTTCTGAAGTCTTTTCTGCCTAATCTACTCAGAAAAGGAAAACTTTTTGCATTTTACAGTAGCAACACCTTCTACCTTATTTACAATAAATGTTTTTCACTATGAAAAAATACATAAAGAAATGTAGACTCAATGCACTGATGTATTTTAACTTGACAACTATACATTTATTATTTTTGTATACATATTCCATGGCGCTTTTTTGGAGGGATGAACTAATTTTAATGAAATGTTGTTTAATAGCAGAGACTATTGTATCAGTAAGCTCACTGTCATCATTGGGCTGTTAAGTGACTTGAGCGCAGGAACTATATGTCCCATTTGTTTTTCTGTCGCAGGTATGCAGTAGGAATTTGTGAAATGAATATTCAACCTTGAAACAAAATAGAAATCCATAAAACTTTCAAGTAATGCATCTTTTAAAAATCTCTGTTGTTTAAAATAAATTTTAGTAAAATTTGATATACGATTATTTGATCCTAATTCACTAAAACACTGTCTTTTTATGACAATATAGTTATTTCATATTTTGTAGATTTTATCAAAGATTTATTAAGACTAGAAAGAAGTAATAATACCAGCAATGATTAAAATAGGAGAGAGTACATAATAACATACTCCCAGCAGCTCCCAACCACAACTCAGAAGCAATTAAATGGCATATAAATTAAACTTACCTAGTTCAGGGTCCTTTAAACAAGAATTTTATATTTCCATTACCTTTCAGCATCTACATCAACAGGTTATTTCTGATGTTTTTCTCTCATATAATTGTAGGAGAAACATTTTCTGAAAGAAGAGAAAAGTAAACTCAGTCAGGAATTGAGTACTGTTGCCACAGAAAAAAACAAGATGGCTGGGGAGTTGGAAGTTCTGCGATCTCAGGAACGCCGTTTGAAAGAAAAGGTTACTAATATGGAAGTGGCTCTGGATAAGGTAATTATTAACTAAACATATGAAGTAATTATCAACTAAATAGTTATTAACCAAATAGAATTGTTCTGAACAAAAGCTCTATGTAGACAGGAACTGAATGTATCAATTTGTGTTGTATCCCAATCACCTAGCACAAAGGAAAACCCTATCCTATTAGAGAAGGCGTTTCTGAATTTTAAAATGTGGTCATAATGCATACTTTTTGCCAAATTTTCTTTTTCAGGCTAACATAGTCACAGGAGCAGTAAGATCAAAGATGTAAGATGTTCCTGATATCCATAGTGACATGAATAAGTAAAAAGGTCTCCATGAGCACCTGATTTACCACCAAAAAGTGACTTGGGTACTTGGTAGAATACAGTCTGTTAATAATGTCAATAAAATGATAAAGTAATGCTAATGGCTGGCACTTTGTGGGGTCCAGAAGGTGCATGTAGGAAACATAGCTTAAAGAATGAGAAGGATCAGTGATACTTTTTGTCATTGCCGTTTATTGTAGAGAAATAAATCTCCCTTCCTGTCACCTAGAAACTCTGGAAGCCTAAAATTGTACCAAAACCATCCTTGATTGCTAAGAAAACAGTGCCTTTATGGTTAGATACAATAATCTGGGATCTCATCTCTGCTACCTTTGTTTCTTAAAACATGCTATATTGACTCTGTGAATTTCAGTTGTGGTTATTTTTTAAAATTTATTTTATTTTATTTTATTTTTTTGAGACGGAGTCTCGCTCTGTCGCCAGGCTGGAGTGCAGTGGCACGATCTCGGCTCACTGCAACCTCCGCCTCCCGGGTTCAAACGATTCTCCTGCCTCAGCCTCCTGAGTAGCTGGGACTACAGTTGTGCACCACCATGCCCAGTTAATTTTTGTATTTTTAGTAGAGACGGGGTTTCACCATGTTGGCCAGGATGGATGGTCTCCATCTCTTGACCTCGTGATCTGCCTGCCTCGGCCTCCCAAAGTGCTGGGATTACAGGTGTGAGCCACCATGCCCAGCCAGTTATGGTTATTTTAATATAAATTTTTATACTTTGGTAAAGCTGTTTGCTCATTCCATCCTTAGTTCATTCATTGTTTGCCCTTCACATACTAAAAGTTACGTATTTGCTGGGGGTATAGAGGATAAAAACATGGCCTCCAGTTGCTCACAGTTCACTAAATAAAACAGATAAATAGATCATTGTAATATAGTTTGGTAGAAGGGCAGGAAGATTTTTTGAAGAGATGGCAGCTCTGCATTCATAGGTTAATAAAATATAAGTGCATAAAGAATGCAAGATAAACCATTTATGATTGCTCCATTTGTAGGCATCTTTGCAGTTTGCAGAATGTCAAGATATAATACAGCGTCAGGAGCAAGAATCAGTGCGCTTAAAACTTCAACACACTTTGGATATAAAAGTAAGGTCATCATAAATATTAGTTTAAGCGAAAATAATGCCGTTCTTTGATATGCTTTTATATTTTCTTGTGTACCTTAGATACACATTCAAGTATATTTCAACATTACTTGATACTATTAATAGCAATGATAAGATGTGTACATTGTTATATACTATACCTATCCTTTTCATATATGGTAACAAATAGAAGCACCACTATCCTTAGTTTAAAATAGGTGAGTTTAAAATAGGTGAGTTTAAAATAGGTGAGTGAAGGTACTAGTGAAGTTTACGAGTACCTGCATGGGAATACCCAAAGCAAGAGTTTTCCATGCTCAGGAGTCAAGCGAGTACAAAACCCTAAGTGCAAATATATTTGCTTGTTTGGGGAATAGCAAAAGTGATGTAATCTACATGACAAAACGTTTTTTTTTTAAATCGTACATTTTACACTGAAATATATGTCTATTTTAAGAAGTGTACTTTAAAGCTACAGACATATTTTAAAATCTCAATAATGGATTTTGCCTGTGAAATCAAAAAATACATTTTGATTTCACATTTCTTTATAATTGTAGGCTGGCAGTTATTTTGCTTACCTCTATATTGTTTTCCAGGAACTTCAGGGCCCTGGATACACCTCAAATTCTTCATTGAAACCACGCCTTCTCCAGCCAGCATCTGTTACTCGTTCTCATTCTAATGTACCATCTTCGCAGTCTACAGCCAGCTTCCTGTCTCATGTAAGTAACCAGTCTTATGATCCATTACGCAAATGACATATGCGTAAGTAATTTTAAATTGGAAAGAATTACGTTAAAAAATAATATCTCTATATCCATAGCATTTTCAATTACTAGATTTTAGATTTATACATTTTCCTATAAATTCAATGGAGTCCAGGTGAATAAAAATATTTTCTTCACTATTTGGTGTTTTCTTATCTTCAATTCTTTGGTTATTTCCATCTCAAGAATTTCCAGATTACAAAGCAAATAGTGAGATGGCTAAAATAAACATCACTTCAAAAGGCAAAGGCAAGTTGGTGGTATATTTAATAGTCTACCAAAATGAAAATTATTTGCTATATGTGGTTTCTTTGTTAACTTATTTATAACAGAATTTTATTAATTATAAGACACTTTTATTCCCTTTAATTAAAATATTAGAAACTTTGGAAATTTTTTAGTTTAATCTTTTATATTTTTAATGCTCAGAAAAAAAATATGTGCAATGTAAAATTCAAGTTTGTTTTCTCTGAAAATATGTATTTATGAAACCACAAATCCCTTGCAACCAGTATTCAACTGTAAAGAAATAAGGCATTCCATAAATCACACATGAAAATCAATTAAATTAGTTAAAAGTCCTATCTTACATATGGCAACAGGATCACCAGTAATCTGTTGTTTCACCTGTACCATTTAAATGAAAATTATGTACTGTTTAAATGACTAAAATGGAATCCTCTCACACACTTAAGATGTGTGCGCTGAAACATAAACTATCATACAACAAAGAGTAGTCTATCAAACAATAGAATAATAATATTAGTGTTAGAAGTTAAGCATGTTTCCCTCTGGACACTGAAATTCAGAGATGCACAGGGGAAGGGCAGGAGACTGCTGCTTTTTAAGTGTTATGAAATCATTTTATTTTTAAAAATATGTACATGTTCCATTGATAAAAATTAAATTAGCCTCCCCTTTCCAAAAGTAATTTTGCACATCAAGCAACAACAAAGAACATTTGACCAGGAGTCATTGGAACCATATTTTTAACTCTTTGTGTGACCTTGGGCGAGTCAGTTAAATATATTGCACCTTGATCTTTTCCTCTCTAACAAGTAGTCTGGACAAGATGACCTCTAGGGTCACCAAGAAAGATTAGCTCTGAAATTCTGTGATTTTTAATTACCCAAAATCTATTAGATTTTTCCTAGCAGCTTAATATATAGATTGTACTTGATTATTAAGAATGGCATCCATCACTGAAAAAGTACTAGTCATTAGCTTGTTTAACTTTAAATTTTAACTTAAGTATTTATTTGTTTATTTATTTATTTTTTCCTGAGACAGAGTCTTGCTCTGTCACTGAGGCTGGAGTGCAATGGTGCAGTCATGCTCACTGCAGCTTGAACCAGCCAGAATCAAGCAATCCTCCTACCTTAGCCTCCCTAGTAGCTGGGACTAAAGGTGCGTGCCACCACGCCTGGCTAATTTTTGTATTTTTTATAGAAACAGAGTTTCACTATGTTGCCCAGGCTTGTCTCAAACTCCTGGGCTCAAGCAATCCTCCCACCTTGGCCTCCCAAAGTGCTGAGATTACAGGTGTGAGCCACTGCTCTTGGCCTCAGCTTAAGTTTTTAAATAATAATTCTAACAGCAAAAATGAACTAGATTTTTAAAATATACTGTCAGACATGCTTTATACAATTAATTCCTTCTCTTAAAAATGTTTATTATATAATTTTACACAATAAAAGTAATATTCATTCTTTGTTTTGTTCACTGATGTTTCCCAAGTACCTATAACAGTGTCTAGCATATATTCAATAAATATTTATCTCATAGATGAATGAATTCACTGTAGAACATTGTCTTCAGGTCTCCATTACTTCCACTGATAAGTCAATTGTAAATCTTGTTGTTGCTGTTTTGGAGGTAGTTTTTTCTCTGACTGTTTTCAAGATTTTCTCTTTGGTTTGGTGTATAACAGTTTGCCTATCATGTGCCTAGATGTGCTGGTCTTTATATCTATCTTTCTTAAGGGTAGTGGTCTTCCTGATGCATGGATTGAAATCTTCATCAATTTGAGAAAATTTTCATCCCTTATCTACTCAGTTTGTTTTCTCTATTTTCTTTTTTCCCTCTGGGACTCTAACACACGTATTAATTGTTTATTCATCATGCCTTATATGTCTTTATATCTTTACACTTTTGCCCATCCTTTTGTCTCTCTGTGCTTTCCTGGCCTATTTTCCAGATAATTAATTCTCCCTTCACCTGAGTCTAATCTATTAAACCCATCAATTAAGTTCTTCATTTTAGAAATTGTGGTATTTAGTACTAGATTTCCATTTAATTCATGTTTTTTAACAAGTTCTTTACAGAAATTCTCAATATTATCTTTTACTTTTTTGTATTGTTAAGTATATGTTATGGTCCACGTGTTTGTGTTTTCCCTTAGATTCATATGTTGAAACCTAAACCCCAAGGTGGAACCAATGGGAGGTGATTGGGTCATAAGGGCTCTGCCCTTACAAATGGTATTAGTGCCCTTTTTTTTTTTTTTTTTTTTTTTTGAGACAGAGTATTGCTCTGTTGCCCAGGCTGGGGTGCAGTGGCACAATCTCAGCTCACCACAAGCTCCGCCTTCCGGGTTCACGCCATTCTCCTGCCTCAGCCTCCCGAGTAGCTGGGACTACAGGTGCCCACCACCTCGCCTGGCTAATTTTTTTTTTTTTTTTTGTATATTTAGTAGAGACGGGGTTTCACTGTGTTAGCCAGGATGGTCTCGATCTCCTGACCTCAGGATCCACCCACCTTGGCCTCCCAAAGTGCTGGGATTACAGGCCTGAGCCACCGCGCCCGGCATTAGTGCCCTTTTATAAAACAGGCTTGAGAGAGCTTGTTTGCCCCTTCTCCCATGTGAGGACACATAGAAGGTGCCATCTATGAGGAAGAGCTCCTCACCAAATGCTGAATCTGCTGGCATCTTGATCTTGCACTTCCCAGCCTGAACTGTGAACAGTAAATTTCTGTTGTTGATAAATTGCCCACTCTAAGATATTTTCCTATAACAACCCAAACAGAGTAAGAAAATAACTGTTTTAAAAATTGGCACATGATAATTATATGATTTGAATCCCCTCCGAGCCTGTGTCGATTTTTTCCCTTGGTTTCTAGTCACTTTGTTGTTTGGTCTCTTTGCTTCCTCTTTAAATAATTGAGTCTGGACACTGTATGTGAAAAAATTACAGAGATAATTTTGGGTTCTAGGCGATTTTGTTTCTTTTTTTAATTTTTAAAAATTATACTTTAACTTCTGGGATACATGTGCAGAACGTGCAGGTTTGTTACATAGGTATACATGTGCCATGGTGGTTTGCTGCACCGATCAACCCGTCATCTACATTAGGTATTTCTCCTAATGCTATCCCTCCCCTAGCCCCTCACACCCTGACAGGCCCTATTGTGTAATGTTCCCCTCCCTGTGTCCATGTGTTCCCATTGTTCAACTCCCACTTATGAGTGAGAACATGCGGTGTTTGTTTTTCTGTTCTTGTGTTAGTTTGCTGAGAATGATGGTTTCCAGCTTCATTCATGTCCCTGCAAAGGACATAAACTCATCCTTTTTTATGGCTGCATAGTGTTCCATGGTGTGTATGTGCCATGTGCCTGGATAGACTGGATAAAGTCTATCCAGGCACATTATCCAGTCTATCATTGCTGGGCATTTAGGTTGGTTCCAAGTCTTTGCTATTGTGAATAGTGCCGCAATAAACATACATGTGCATGTGTCTTTATAGCAGAATGATTTATGATCCTTTGGGTATATACCCAGTAATGGGATTGCTAGGTCAAATGGTGTTTCTGGTTCTAGATCCTTGAGGAATTGCCACACTGTCTTCCACAATGGTTGAACTAATTTACACTTCCACCAACAGTGTAAAAGCATTCCTATTTCTCTACATCCTCTCCAGCGTTTGTTTTTTCCTGACTTTTTAAGATCGCCATTCTAACTGGCATGAGATGGTATCTCATTTTGGTTTTGATTTGCATTTCTCTAATGACCAGTGATGATGAGCTTTTTTTCATGTTGGTTGGCCTCATAAATATCTTCTTCTGAGAAGTGTCTGTTCATATCCTTCACCCACTTTTTGATGGAATTGTTTGTTTTTTTCTTGTAAATTTGTTGAAGTTTTTTGTAGATTCTGGATATTAGCCCTTTGTCAGATAGATAGATTGCAAAAATTTTCTCTCATTCTGTATGTTGCCTGTTCACTCTGATGATAGTTTCTTTTTTTTGAGACGGAGTCTTGTTCTGTCACCAGTCTAGAGTGCAGTGACATGATCTTTGCCCACTGCCACCTCCGCCTCCCGGGTTCAAGTGATTCTCCTGCCTCAGCCTCCTGAGTAGCTGGGACTACAGGCACGTGCCACCATGCCCAGCTATTTTTTGTATTTTTAGTAGAAACACGGTTTCACCATGTTGGCCAGGATGGTCTCAATCTCTTGACCTTGTGATCCACCCAGCTTGGCCTCCCAAAGCGTTGGGATTACAGGCGTGAGCCACTGCATCAGCCTAGTTTATTTTGCTGTGAAGAAGCTCTTTAGTTTAATTAGATCCCATTTGTCAATTTTGGCTTTTGTTGTCATTGCTTTTGGTGTTTTAGTCATGAAGTCTTTGCCCATGCCTATGTCCTGAATGGTATTGCCTAGGTTCTCTTCTAGGGTTTTTATGGTTTTAGGTCTTACATTTAAGTCTTTAATCCATCTTGAGTTAATTTTTGTATAAGGTGTAAGGAAACAGTTTCAGTTTTTTGTATATGGCTAACCAGTTTTCCCAACACCATTTATTAAATTAGGGAATCCTTTCCCCATTTCTTGTTTTTGTTGGGTTTGTCAAAGATCAGATGGTTGTAGATGTGTGGCGTTATTTCTGAAGCCTCTGTTCTGTTCCAGTGGTCTATATATCTGTTTTGGTACCAGTACCATGCTGTTTTGGTTACTGTAGCCTTGTTATATTGTTGAAGTCAGGTAGCATGATGCCTCCAGCTTTGTTTTTTTTGTTTAGGATTGTTTTGACCATATGGGCTCTTTTTTGGTTCCATATGAAATTTAAAGTAGTTTTTTCTAATTTTTTGAAGAAAGTCAATGGTAGCTTGATGGGGATATCATTGAATCTACCAATTAGTTTGGGCAGTATGGCCATTTTCACGATATTGATTCTTCCTATCCATGAGCATCAAATATTTTTCCATTTGTTTGTGTCCTCTTTTTTAAGATTTGTAGAAATCAAAATATTTATTCACATAATTTTAAACTAAAGTTAAAGCTAATAAATCTTCCATGGTAATGATTTAAGTGCAAGTGATGCTTGGCTTTCTTTCACATTCATTTATTTTCTTCTGAGTGAAGGCATATCAGTTATTCTTGAACAAGTCAATACAGCTCTGCAAAAGGGAGTCATTGTTCCTGGCATGTTTTATTTCCAGTTCAGACATTTCAATGAGAATCTTTCTAAATGCTGCCACTCTCTTCGGTTTGAAATTTATCAGTTCTTCTTTTGCAGATTTGGAAAGCTGTTCAAATTTCAGGCAGCACTCCTGCTGGTGTGCCTCAGCCAATTTGACGTCTTTGCTCTTTAACCGGGCCTTATCCAGAGCTTTGTTTGAGTTCTCATAATCAATGAGGGCTTTGGTGTGTCTGTATAAGAGATCCTTAGCAGCTTCGATGTTGAGCATGTAGTATCGTTGGAGCTCTGTTAGCTTCAGATCTTCATCTGATGAAACTTGACCCTCTACTTTCCTAAGTTTGTCAAATAGCACAGCAACCTTCAATAGGTACTTTTTGATGACTGTGGGCTCTTCTAAAGCCAGGCAATGTAAGCAGGCTGCAGTGTGGATATAGACATCGGCAACAATTTTTATGAGATCTGGTCATTTTGTCAGCTTTCACACAAGAATCGTTGATCCTATTGTAATAATTAGTAAGGAAGTTCTTCTCTTGCTCAAAGAAGTCATCTACCTCCCTAACTCCAGTAAAAAGGACTTCTTCAGCACTTTTCACCACACTTTTGAAGAAGCCACCAAACATTTCTTTAGTATTTTTCCACCTAACACTTAGGCTTCCAGTTCTTGTTTCATCTTGGCAAATTCTTCTTTGGTCATAGACCCTTCACCCTCTCCCGGTTTCTGCATCTTCTCTCGAGGACCATTGAAGTCGGGCTTCATAGCAGCAGGTGGAATAATAAGCCCAGCATAGTCTGTTGTTTCAATAAGAGTGTCATGTAGCCACACAAAGTCTTCATGTTGCCTTGTAACAGAAAACTCTGGGCTCTGAAACATGGGCAGTGTGGTCTTTGTGTGCACTGTAAATTTGACTTTATCTCTCTCACTGAGCACATCAGGTATGTCAACCTGAAGCGAGGGATCAACATTCAGGTCCAGAGATACAGATGTCAGCTATTCATCAGCTTCCCAGCTGGGGCACATCAGGCACTGGCTGGAGGACAAGCCTGTAGCTCTTGAGCTCCTGCCCACCAGTCTTCATAAACTCATTTTTGGTCCAAACTTCACTTACAACTCACTGTGGCACAAGACAATACCACCAGCAAAGCTGCCTCTTCAAAAGATTTAATGGCTTACATGTTCGTGTCCTCCCTTATTTCCTCGAGCAGTGGTTTGTAGTTTTCCTTGGAGAGGTCCCTCACATCCCTTGTTAGTTGTATTCCTAGGTAATTTATTCTCTTTGTAGCAATTATGAATGAGAGTTCACTCATGATTTGGCTCTCTGCTTGTCTATTACTGGTGTATAGGAATGCTTGTGATTTTTGCCCATTGATTTTGTATCCTGAGACTTTGCTGAAGTTACTTATCAGCTTAAGGAGATTTTGGGCTGAGGCGATAGGGTTTTCTAAATATACAATCATGTCATCTGCAAACAAAGACAATTTCACTTCTTCTCTTCCTATTTGAATATCCTTTATTTCTTTCTTTTGCCTGATTGCCCTGGCCAGAACTTCCAATACTATGTTGAATAGGAGTGGTGAGAGAGGGCATCCTTCTCTTGTGCCAGTTTTCAAAGGGAATGCTTCCAGCTTTTGCCCATATTTTTTGTTGTTTTCTAAAGTCTTCTCTTTATGTAGCTTTCCGTTCTTTCATGGATACAACACTTTCCTGGTTTGTTTGTTTGTTTGTTTGTTTTGTTTTTTGAGATGGAGTCTCACTCTGTCACCCAGGCTGGAGTGCAGTTGCATGATCTCGGCTCACTGTGACCTCCGTCTCCTGGGTTCAAGCAATTCTCATGCCTCAGTCTCCTGAGTAGCTGGGATTACAGGCACCCGCCACCACACCTGGCTAATTTTTGTATTTTTAGTAGAGATGGGGTTTTGCCATGTTGGCCAGGCTGGTCTCAAGTGATCCGCCTGCCTCGGCCTCCCAAACTATTTGGATTACAAGCTTGAGCCACCATGTCCAGCCAATACTTTCTTGCTTCTCTTTAAGGATATTAACTTTGGTTTTTAAATAATTTTTTGTGTTACCTGAATTATTAATGTTTCTTGGAATTCATTGTTTTGTTTTTGTAGACTTTCTTTTAATGCTTGGTGACCCTTGGATGTCCATTCATATTTAAGACTGAGGCCCTAAAAAGCTATCCAAAGCTTTATGTAAGGTTGTCAGGGCTTTTCAACTGGTAGATGGTTAGGTAATGCTTTTTTATTGAAGGACCCAAAAATTTTCTATAGGTCTTTATTCTTGGGCTGATCAGTTTCCCTAAAGAGGGATCTCTTATTCCTGACTTATAGGTATAAATCTGTCAGAATTCTGTGACGTGAGTGGGAGAGGAAGTCTAGGGTAACTATTAACATATATCTATGCAGTCTCACTTAATACTCATATTTAACATTTGCAACCTTACTCCTGCTATACAAGATAGATATCTCTATGGAGTCCAAAGTCCTTTGGTTCAACCTTACCCAAAGATTAAGCCTCTAAATTCATTTAGGGGGAAAGAATGAGTAATCACCTGAGTATATGGAGACAGCTTCTGGGATTCTAACAGCTTCTCCTATAGACTTAGCCAATCCTCCAATTTTGCTGCCCTGTTTCTTACCCTGGACTTTGAAATACATGAGACTTCCAATTCGTGAGCCTTCCTGGAATACTCAGAGGCATGGTAGCTTGCTTCACATTGGCAGCTTCTGTGCAGGTACTGTAAGTTTTAACTTCATTTTGCTAAATTAATTATGAATTATCCATATGCCTGCCATCTCCCAAAATTTTGTTAGCATTACTAATCTATTATTATCTGTCCTTTCCTCTTTACCCTTCTTAATTCCTTTAGTGTCATTTTAGTGGGGCTTAAGATAGTACAGAAATTAATGCCAAGTTTATAAGCAGAATATTACTGTTTACATTGTTCTACATTGCCCCTTCATTTATTATTTATCTTTATTTTAGTCTCTTTATTTTACAATTCTAATAATAGCTTAGATTTACTGAAAACTCCTTTGCCAGGCACAGTGCAAAGTACTTTGGAGATTAGTTCATTTCCCACAACTACTTAACATGAGGTAAGTGCTATTACTATACCTGTTTTACAGACAGGGGAAATGAGGCTTGAAGAAGCTAAGTGACTTACACATGGTTTACACAGCAAAAAGACACTTGAGTCTGGGCACTGTGGTTAATGCTTGAAATTCCAACACTTTGTAGGGACTGAGGCTGGAGGGTTGCTTGAGACCAGGAGTTTGAGACCAGCCTGGGCAAAGTAGTGAGACCTCGTCTCTACAAAAAATAAAAAAATTATTCAGACATGTTGGCATTTGCTTGTAGTCCTAGTCAGGAGGCCGAGGCAGAAGGATTGCTTGAGTCCATGAGTACGAGGTTGCAGTGCCTGGGCAGCAGAGTAGGACTCTCTCTCTCAAAAAAAAAATAATAATAATAGTAATAATTTCGGCAGGACTTATCCAGACAGCCTGAGTCCAGAACTTATGTCCTTAATTATTATACTGTACTGTTTCTCTACATTATACAGCTGATTGATGTTTATAAAAATAATTTTAAGTTGATGACGTAAATAGATACCCTATATGAACTATTATTGTATTTCATTAGTCTTTGTGAATGAGGATCATAGAGTTTTAAAGATTCAAAGGCAGTTGAAATTATCCAGGTGATTTTCTTGTGTTAAAAGTAAGAAAGTAGGAAAACCAGAAAAGTAATATTATGTGATTTGGCCCAAACTCAAACACCTAGAACATGTTATTACTGTATCTTTGTGTGTGTACACACATACACATATACATACATATACACATATATGTAACTGATAGTTTGATATAGGAGCATTTTAGATTAATATTTCAAATACAGGCTATTTTAACATAAGAAATAAAATATATCTAGGATGATAGAATTGATTTTGGTTGTGTATCAGATTCTATTCCTATGCACTACAATTTGTTACTACTGTGCTTGATCTTTGCCAATGAAATATACATGATGTGGGCAAGATTTTTAGCAATGCTTCGTAACTTTTTTCCTGTTTCCTGTCCATCTATTCCTAATATATTATGTAAATGGTATACTTATATTCCATTTTTATTACAATGTTCTAAAATATAAGAGATGAGTTTGGGGCAGACATTCTCAAAATAGAATGGTTGAATTCAAGCTGAATGAGATCAAGCTGTTATTTTTAGCTTTTTCATTTATCTTCTATCTTTGGAGAATGGAGACAGAACTGGTTGAGGAGTACACTCTCCCTAGGCCTCACTTATCTTACATCATGACTGATGACTCATAAGTTTGCCTGTAATAGACTTAAGGCCATTAGAAAAAACAGTATTGGAGAAGATAGAAGTACATTAAAGATATAATTTATGAAAAATTTTAGAAACAAGTCTAACATAAAATGATTTCAGAGTCAATGTTTTCAGAGTCACAATGTAATAGGAAACTAACCAAACCACAAAATAAACCTTAAGCTTAACAACTTATTGTATAAGCTTGTATTCTTCCCATAGCACAAAAAGCTGTACAAGTTTTACCCTGCAAATGTATGTGCCCTAGAAATAGCCTTAATGTGTCTCCTAAGGCAGCAGTTCCCAACCTTTTTGGCACCAGTGACCAGTTTCATGAAAGACAGTTTTTCCATGGAACAGGTTGAGGCGGGGGGTGATTTTGGGATGATTTAAGTGCATTACATTTATTGTGCACTTTATTTCTATTATTATTACACTGTAATATATAATGGAATAATTATACAACTCACCATATTGTGGAATCAGTGGGGTCCCTGAGCTTGTTTTCCTGCAACTAGATGGTCCCATCTGGAGGTGATGGGAGACAGTGACACCCGAAGGGTGTTGCTTATGTCCAGTCTACTCCCTAATCTCATCTGGTTGCTGTCACTGCAGAAAACACTGCTTCACAAAGATAGGATGTTGGAAATGGAAGCAGGCTTTTCCATGCTTTTGTGGCAATCTCAGAATATTCTGCCTTGACTTTAATCCAGAATATAGGGAGATTTGAAGTTGTCTCAAACATACTTTTAAGGCCACTGTCATTTGCAATCTCAAGAAGCTGATCCTCTTCTAGCATGGACAAAGCCAGTGCACCTGGTTTATTCACAAATGGGTGACGGATCCATTCCTTCCCAGTTTGGGGGCCTTTTGTGGTTGGGAAGTAATGCTTAAACTCTTTTGAAAGCTGAGATAGGTGATCATGCACTAGCTGGGAGAAAGGAGGCCCTGGCACAGCCTCTTTCAAAATCTCTGATAATTTTGACACATGTCAAAAATCCCAATGTTAACTCATTGCTCCCATAATTCCAGTTTGACTTTGAATGCAGCCCCTTTATCTGCCAACTTGAACATAGTTGTTGTTCTCCCCTGAAGTGATAGATTTTGTTGAGCAAGTTGAATATGTCACACAAGTAAGCAAGTTTTGTGACCCACTCTGTGTCACTGAAATGTGCTGCCAGTGGTGATTTTTTCTAAAAGAAATCTCTGGAGCGGCTCTCATAACCCAAAAACTCTGGTCAGTGATCTACCTTTAGAAAGCCATCTCACTTCTGTGTATAAGAGAAGACGTGTATGCTGTGGGTGTATCTCCTCTCAGAGCTGTGTGAAAAGATGAGTTAAAGGCATGTACTTTAGTGTGGTTAATAATTTTAATCACATCCTGCAAAACATTGTTAAGTTCAGGTGACATTTTTCAGCTAGCCAGCATCTCTCTATGGAAGACACAGTGCATAAACTCACATTCAAAATCGACCTCTTTGACCAGAGCAGTGAAACCAGAAAGCTGTCCAGTCATGGCAACTGCTCTGTCCATGCATATACCAACACAAAATGACCAGTTTCCCTGATATGTAAACATTCAAAGACTTGAATAGTTCTGCAGCTGTGGTGTTGGCTGGCAGTAAAAGCACACATAACATGTGCTCCTGCACATCCTCCTGAAAAATACACAGCACAAAACAAGCATTGTTGCCTTGTTGTTAACATCAATAGACTTGTCAATTTGGGTTGTGTACCATGGTGATTCATTAACCCTCTCTAACAATTGTGCCTCACTATTCTCTGCTATTTCATCTGTATGTCTAGTTACGGTGCTAGCTGAAAGAGGAACACATGTCACCTTTTGAACTGCAGCTTCTCCTAAAAGTTCATGACAAATGTATGTAGCAGCAGGCAGGATCAGCTCTTCACCAATAGTAAGGGGCTTCTTCACTTTCTCAATACAGTTAGCCACTAAGAATGATGCTCTCGGTGCAGACACATTTGACGAAGTGGTGGCATTCAATAATTGCTTCTGTTCTTCATGTTCATGGTTTTTTTTCTTTTGAAAAACTCCAAAGGCTTGTCTTTTAATGCATGGTCCTTTGTCTCCATGTGACAAAGCAGTTTTGAAGGTTTCATGGTTTCATTGGATAGCCGGTCACCACATATTATAAAAAGAGGGCTTCGAGAATTTGAACCGTCTATTGCAATGAACCTGTAATTTAAGTAGGACTCTTGGTATTTTCTTTTCAATGCAGCTTTCTTTTCAATGCAGCTTTCTTTTCGTTGGCAGTCTTAGAGCCTTCTGCTGTCTCATCATTGGGTCTTTCCCCCTTTTCAAAGAAGCTTTCCAGTGATGATTGTTTTTATCCATTTTGGCTAGGGTTCTCTTGTGGGCTTACCAAAACTGACTGAGACAAGTGTGCAGTGCAGGAAAGAGGTACAGGCAAAGTGGTAAATCAAATAATGGGCAGGACACACATGGACAAAAATCAGTGTCTAGTTCTGACTTAAACCCTGCCACCAGGTGCAGCTGTACAGTTGAAGTACATCAACTCACTTACCACTATAAAACCAGCCACCAGATGCAGCTTAATTGTTACTTGCCACATACTGATAGGGTTTTGATAAGTCTGTGAGCAATTGATTTATTATGGTCTTTGTGCAGTCAACCCTCTCTGCTAATGTTTTTCATTTTGTTTTTGTTTTTTTGAGACGGAGTCTCTCTCTGTTGCTCAGGCTGGAATGCAGTGGCACGATCTTGGCCCACCACAACCTCTGCCTCCCAGGTTCAAGCGATTCTTCTGCCTCAGGCCCCCGAGTAGCTGGGACTACAGGCATACACGCTACCATGCCCAGCTAATTTTTGTATTTTTAGTAGAGACGGGGTTTTGCTATGTTGGCCAGGCTGGTCTCGAACTCCTGACCTCATGATCTGCCCACCTCGGCCTCCTAAAGTGCTGGGATTACAGGCGTGAGCCACTGCACCCGGCTTTTGCTAATGTTAATCTGTATTTGCAGCCACTCCCCAGCACTAGCATCACTGCCTTAGCTCCACCTCAGATCATCAGGCATTAGATTCCCATAAGGAGTGTGCAACCTAGATCTCCTGCATGTGCAGTTCACAAGAGGGTTCGCACTCCTATGAGAATCTAATGCCACCCCTGATCTGACAGGAGGTGGAGCTCAGACGGTAATGTGAGTGATGGGGAGCAGCTATAAAGACAGATGAAGCTTCACTCACTCTCCCATCACTCACCTCCTGCTGTGTGGCCCCATTCCTCACAGACCATGGGCCGGTACCGGTCCAGGGTTTGGGGACCCTTGTTCTAAGGATCAAAGGACTGGGGTAGGGGAGAGCAGGATCCTTTGTTGGGCTCTGCTAACTTCAGGAAGAGCATGTGTTTATTTCTTTACAAGCCTGATAAGAGTTATATGAAACTATATTTTAGAACCATTTCCTAGCTATTTTCTTCTTTTTTTTTTTTCTTGAGATGGAGTTTTGCTCTTGTTGCCCAGGCTGGAGTGCCATGGCACGATCTCGGGTCACTGCAACCTCTGCCTCCTGGGTTCAAGCGATTCTCCTGCTTCAGCCTCCTAAGTAGCTGGGATTACAGGCGTGCACTACCACATCCAGCTAATTGTTTGTATTTTTAGTAAAGACGGGGTTTCACCATGTTGGCCAGGCTGGTCTCGAGCTCCTGACCTAGGTGATCCACCCGCCTTGGCCTCCCGGAGTGCTAGGACTACAGGCATGAGCCACCACACCCAGCAGTGCTATTTTCTAATTTTAAAAAGTGTATTTTGCTCATTTTATAAATCAAGGTATATTTCCTATGAATTAACCAATGAAGTATTTAACATGAATTAATAAAACCATTATAAGCTATGCAAACATTAAAAAGAAAGATTGATAATTTTGACTAAATAAAATTTAAATCGGCCAGGCATGGTGGTTCACATGGGAGCACTTTGGGAGGCCGAGGCGGGCAGATTGCTTGAGCCAAGGAATTGGACACCAGCCTGGCCAACATGGCAAAACCCCATCTCTCCAAAAAATACAAAAAAACCCAAAAATAGCCGGGTGTGGTGGCATGCACCTATAGTCTCAGCTACTCAGGAGACTGAGGCAGAATGATCAATTGAGCCTGAGAGGTCAAGGCGGCAGTGATCCGTGATCGCATCACTGCACTCCAGTTTGGGTGAAAGAATGAGACTCTGTCTCAGAGGAAAAAAAAAGACATTTCTATTGTTGTAGTGAATACCCAAAAATACAAGGTATAGGACACAGAAGAGGAAGCTTATTAAGAACTTCTGGAAAAGACATAAGGATTCTGAGTTGACTGCCTGCTCAGTCTCAGTCGGCGTTATTGTGTGGCAACCAAAAATGGTTTCAACGATAGCATCCAGATCAAGCAAGGGGGACAGTTCTCTGCTCTGCTCAGAATTTTCCTGAGAACATTTAGCTTGAGGTGTGTGTCAGGAAGTAAGGAGGGGGTGTATGAGTGTAGGATAAAATAAGTATCATTTTTACAAGGTTATGTTATGCTTGTTTCTTATGACCCCAGGTGTTAGAACTGTGACCAGGGTTGGAAGGTGTATGGGTATGGAGGGAAGCTTTTCTTTAAAAGATTTGAAGCTATACAAAAATTAAACTGCCTTCCTTGATCTTTGGTGATCAAGCAAAGGCCAGATAAGCATATTACTAGAATGCCGTAGAGAGAATTCTTCATCACTTTTGATATGGGAGTTGGACTAGAACCAAATGATTTTCAGGACGCCTCCAGCCTTGATATTTTTGTGGTTTTATACCCAAACAAATTATGGGTTATATGTAATGGAATATATAAAGACAATGATGATCAAATCAAGTCCTTGCCTCTGTGGAGCTTACATTTTCACTGGAGGAGCAACACACATAGAAGTTTGAAAGGTAAGTATTGGGATAAAGTCAATAAAAGAATGTCATAGGACTGATTATAATTAATTTCTAAGTGAATGGTAAATTGAATGGTTTTTTTTTTTTTTTTTTTTTTTTTTTTGAGACAGAGTCTCACTCTGTCCACCAGGCTGGAGTGCAATGGCACAATCTCGGCTCACTGCAAGCTCCGCCTCCTGGGCTCATGCCATTCTCCTGCCTCAGCCTCCCAAGTAGCTGGGACTACAGGTGCCTGCCACCATGCCCGGCTAATTTTTTTGTATTTTTAGTAGAGATGGGGTTTCACCATGTTAGCCAGGATGGTCTCAATCTCCTGACCTCGTGATCTGCCTGCCTTGGCCTCCCAAAGTGCTGGGATTACAGGTGTGAGCCACCGCGCCCTGCCAATTGAATGCTTTTTCAAACCTCATGTCAGCCAGCACAGTGGCTCACACCTGTAATCCCAGCACTTTGGGAAACCAAGATGCGTGGATCGCCTGAGTCCAGGAGTTTGAGATCATCCAGGGCAACATGGCAAAACTCCATTCTACAAAAAAGTTAGCTGGTCATGGTGGTGCAGGCCTGTAGTCCTCAGCTACTGGGGGTGCTGAGGCAGGAGGATTGCTTGAGCCTGGGAGATGGAAGTTGCAGTAAACTGAGATCATGTCACTGCATTCCAGCCTAGGTGACAGAGTGGGACTCTGTCTCAAAAAACAAAACAAAACAAAAAAACCTTATGTATTGTAAAGCATCAGTCACTCTCAAAGAACCTAGGTGCCACAATGACAGGGGAGAACAACATATTTATATATGTTTATGGGTTTTACATTGCTCACTTATAATAAATGTCAATGGCTCAAAAATTTTAACAATAATTGCCAAAGCTTATTTGATAAACTTTCTGGTGGGCAGAAGATGGGAAGATAAGAAGTCCAGGTTATAACTAAGGTGAGTGAATATTGCCATAGGATAAGTTTTTCTTTATTAACTTTATGAGGTTTTATTCCATATTGGGTATTATGCATATTAGCGTGAGGGCAAGAACAAAACCAGTGTTTCGTAAAATTGGATCATCTTTTTAGAGACAAATGTTTTTATTCACAATTGACAAAGTGATTCACATCCTTATATTTTTAAGCAAATGAAGTCAAATTTAATAATTGAGTGGAGTCTAATTTATGAAACTTTAGACTGACTCATCATGACAATTTCCAGGTAAGATAGCCATCAGTAAACTGGAAAGACATACTTAGCACACATTCAGTGAGTTGGAACTCTCATATCTTCAGCTGGATATTATATTGGTTTATTAGTGGAGTTGAGAAGAGGAGAATATGAGAATTATATTATACCAGTAACATCAGCTCTTCGTTGGCATAAACCCTAGAAAATTAAAGCCCAGTGAATAAAAAATCTGCAGTGTTCATCCCTCAGCAGCCAATCTGTGTGACAGGTGTAACTTTTCAGTGGGATGGACTCCTTCAGCTAGAATAGCTCAAGGATAGCCTGAGTCTACCTGCTCACCAGTGCACTCTGATCATTTGGTTTCCCCTCTTGATGTGCCTATTGAAAATGTCAGTATTCCTTATTATATTATAAATATTTATTGGGGTACACTATCAATCTGAAAATCTCATATTATTCTTAAACACCAACTAACACAGTTTGAAAATATTGGATGTTTCTTTCCTCATCAGTAAGATGTGGGGAGTAGATTAACTCATCTCTAAATAGCTCCTTAATTCTCAGGTTTTGTTGCTTTATCAAATTAGTTTAGCTTTAAACAAAGTATTGAAAGTTATTTTGTCCAGGTGTACTTGAAAATATTTAATGACATAGTAAGGATGTTCATACTACATTGTTAAAATTTTAAAACAAAAGTAGTTTAAAAATAAATGTAAGTAGTTTGGCCCCATATGTGTATATGTGTCCATGCACATATAAATTAGATATAGTACTCTATTGATTATTTCCTGGTTATTATTGATTATCTCTGTGTAATAAGCTTGTGGGTGATTTTTTTGTTTTCCTCTTCTTGCTTTTCCATAATTTCTGTTTACCAGTTGCATTAATTTTGTGATAGGAAATAGCATAGAAATCTGAAAAAATAAGTGTCTTTGTAAATTGTTTTAACTCAGCACTCTACAAAAGCTAACACACTGAAGGAAGATCCAACAAGGGACCTGAAACAGCTTCTCCAAGAGTTGAGAAGCGTGATCAATGAGGAGCCAGCTGTGTCTCTGAGCAAGACAGAGGAAGATGGAAGAACATCTCTGGGAGCCTTGTATGTGGCTGTGTAAGGCTGTGTGCACACAGAATGGGAAAGCTCATCTCTTGAATGGTTTGCCATTGAGTTATTCACATGTTACTCTCTGGGAGGGTGAGGTTTAAATGACTTTAAAAGTATCTGAAGTTACTACCACAGAAAATAATATGAAAATGGAGGAGTTAAGCAAATGTAAAACAACTTGACACTAAGAGAAAACAATACAGTCATTCTATTCAGAAAATACCCAGTGCAAGGTGTCACCCAAAGTTATGTTTGTAAATTTTAATTCTCAAAAGATTTTATATCCATAATCTTATTGATTGAGACAAGGCAGAGCAGGGTTTATTTATCCCATTTTGTAAATGAGAAAAACACATCTCAAAAGGTCGACGTGTCTGCAGCCACAAGTTCAATGGTGGAGATAAAACTAGAACCTTGAGAACTATATACTCTCCAAGTAGGAGATAATAGGAAATACTTCGTTTTCTCTGTATTCATGCCAATGACTTGATTTGATTATATCATATTAGTAAAAGATTAGATCCAAAAAGAATTTAGCCAGTTCACCAGCCCTTCTTTGCACATAGCTACAGACAACAATGGGAGTCTCCTATTCTTTCAGAGAGTGGGTTTTACTTTTTTGTGTTATCATTTAGCTTAGCTTATCTTAAAGCATTTTAATATGGTATATATATTTTAGTGTTATAATAGCCCATTATTGTAATATTCATTTTCTGATTATATGACAAATACCTAAAAGTAATACTTCCTGAAATGATACCTATATATAAATAATCTCCAGTTTCTTATGATGTCCAATTCGTATTTACCTGAGGTAGCAAAATATTAGCTGAGTTTATCTAATTGTTAATTATTAGTAATAATAGTAAAACATTAGTAACAGTCCAGTTACCTTAGCATAACATTACATTATCTGAAGCACATAATGTCAGAACTGTCCCACTAGCCACTCCAACGAACATTTTCATTTTCAGAGCACTTTCATTTTTGTCATAACTATAATATGCCTTCCAAACCAGGGCAGTATTATTACACTTATTTGACAGATTTGTAAACTTAGGCATATATTGACATGCCTCCTCCTATGAAGCAGAGGAAAAGCCAGAAGTAAAAGTTACAGACCCTTGCTCCCAGCACTGATTATTCTGAGGGATTACCAGGACTTCCCTGATCAGCTTCCACCACTCCAGCCACTAATGATGGGCTTGGACGCTATTGGACTGTATTGAACGTGAATATATTTGATCCCTACCTTTAGAGAGTTTATGTTAATTTGCTATAATCCTATAAATGTCCTTGTCACTAAAGCCTAAACTCAGCGTAAAGCTTTTAAGAATTCATGGGAGGAAAGCATTTCTCTGTCGATGAACTCCAGAGCCCTTTGCAAAATTTGCTTGGAGGCCTAAAATCTACAGCTGTCACTAAAAGAAAAATTGAATATATGTAAGCAATTGATTAGTCTAAAAAAGACATGGATGAAATTGTGCTTTATATGATTAACTGAGAGTTATATTTTCTATACAGAGAGGATAGGGTAAGAGATTGCATTACTGAATCCAGCCTGAGATCAGACATGTGCCATAGGTAAGAAGAATCTGAGATTCTGAATCAAATTAATTGTCCAAATATTTTATATGTGGCCTTGTAATTTGAGAAGTCTGTTTGGACATAAGTTTACATGACACTTAATGGGCATATTGGGTTCGTTGTTTAACTGACTTTAAGAAAGATTTCAGTGAAATGTACTGAAGTAATTTAGTTTCTAGAAATCAACTCAATAGACATTTTTTCTTTAAAATTTGCTGATGTTTATCCATATGAAGCTATTATTATGGTATGCCATATCAAAAATGGAAGACTTTTTCTACATTTACACATATTTACAATGGCTTACATAACTTTTGAGAAAAGGATGATTCAGAAGGAAACTGTAAAAACTTCAATTTAGGACTATAAGCACCTTACTGAAAACCATCCTATTTTCATCAATAATTGAATAGCTGAATTCTTAAATGAAAAATTTTAAAAGCACAAAGAAATGAAATCCATAACTCCAAATAAGACCATAATCAAAGACAGCTTTCAAAAATTGACTTTAGCCAAAAAAGAAAAAAGGCTAATGTTAATTCATTATTTATCGTACTTTAAGACACTATAGCTATTACTTGAAAATCTTCAGTAGCTCCTCACTGCCTACTGCATTAAGTACATGTCCCTCAGTCTGACATTGAAGAATCTCCCAGAGTGGTCACACGAATCTCTCTTGTGACCACTCTGCTTTCACTCCTGTATTATCCTCTAATCAAACCAGACTCCTCCTGATTCCCAAAAGTTCATTTATTTTTGTCTTCAAGCTTTTTCTCCATTCTGTTTCCTCCACCTGGAAGAGCCAATGCCCCATTCTCACTCTTTTGAATCCATATCTATCTAAAAGTAATGTTGAGAGAAGCAATTTTATCATTAAGTTAATGTTTATGATTTATTTATCCAGCTGTCAGATGATACCATTTCACCCTACATAAGAATACATTATTTTTCTCACAAACTTTTGTTATATTGGTAAGGAAATAACATTATTTAAACTGTGATTTCTCCCATCCCTCTACCAACAGAAGCAACAACTCGTTGAGGGACTCCACTGAAGGAAGCAAATCAAGTGAAACTCTTAGTAGGTAGGAAATACCAGCCCCCATTTTCAAAATGTCCCTTTTACGACTGTTCATTATTAATTCAAAAGATCTTTAACTGTCTGTAATGTGCCATGCACTGCAGTAGACCCTTAGAATATAGTGAGCAAGACAGATATGGGCTCTGTCCTCAAGTTGCTTACAATCGTGAAGTCTGTCTTTTGACGGACTGCCTGGAAAAACTTACTTTTGTCTTTTCTGTTTTCACCACCTAAATAGACAGAGATATCCGAGCCCTCTATATATATTAACAATTATGAATGTGAATTCTACTGTTAAGATCTAGTTAGAATAGGGGCTAATTCATTGCTGTATCTTCAGCACCAAGCATAATGACTGCCACCTAGTAGCCATTCAGTAAATATTTGTTTAGTGAATGGATGAAGATAGTATTATAAATATTTTCATACTGTCTCTGCTGCCTGATCAAAATACAGTGAATTTGAATCTTTCTAAACACAGTTGTCCCTTGGTATCCATGGGGGATTTGTTCCAGGACCCCTGCAGAGACTAAAATTTACAGATGCTCAAGTCCCTTATATAAAATGGCATAGTATTTGCATATGACCTACACACATCTTCCCATATTCTTTAAACCATTCTTAGATTACTTATAATACCTAATATAATGTAAATGCTATGTAAATAGTTGTTATATTGTATAGTTTAGGGAATAATGACAAGAAAAAAGGCCTGTACATGTTCAGTATAGATGCAACCATCTTTTTTTTCCCCAAGTATTTTCAATTCACATTTGGTTGAATCTGTGATTGCAGAACCCATGGATGCAGACTAGCCAAGTGTAAATCTTTCTTGTAGCCTAAAAGAAATGTTGTTTTTATTTCCGTCTCACCTGGGTATATGATACTATATCATACCTATTAATAACCACAACTATCAACTGCATATGTTTTATTCTTATATTTTTATTCTTAATAAAAATTCTTATTTTCCAGTTGATTTAGACTTGTCTCATTAGTCTAATCTCATGTATGAGGGAAACATTATTTTCCCTTAGAAATGAAGACTCAGATTGCATAGCAACTTGTCAAAGTCATACTGCTTGAAAACAGTGGAGCTCAGGTTTGAACTCAGGTTTAGCTGGCTCCTGAGCCCGTGTTTATGACCACTGCTTACTGCCTCTGAGTACCCACACTGAGCTACTGGGGATGGAGCCCAGTCCTAGGCATGGGACAAATAGAAGCTACTTCCCTGAGATAATTAAAGCTCTGCAGTAGAGTTTCTTCATGACTAGAAAAATCTGCTTCCTTCAGCAATGAAAGTACTGTAATACTTCTTTATTCTGAAATTATGAAAAATAACTTTTTCTTTATTATGAAAAATAACTATATGCTCCAAAACGTCATTGAGAAAACATGTTTTACATTTCAGTAACTGGGTTAAGAAAATACAGCTAGATTCTCATATCTGCTTATGCATTTAATCTGTTGTGATTAAATGCATATCAACTATCATGGAGCTTCTGGAGAACTCCACTGTACACTTGTGAGAGACTGAAAGTTATAAAGCAAATAACAACCTGATATCATAATGAAAGTAGTTTTGACCTCACAAACCTCCTGAAAGGGAACCACTTTGAGAACTGCTGCCATAATATTCTCATATTGGTACCCAACTCACAGAGAACTATGTAGTTTACTTCAACTTATATGTCTTATAGTTTTGTACACTGATACTACTAATGTTATGAGTTGTTGTTGTCATTGTCATTTATTTATTTATTTGAGACAGAGTCTCTCCCTGTCGCCCAGGCTGGAGTGCAATGGCGTGATCTCGGCTCACTGCAAGCTCTGCCTCCTAGGTTCACGCCATTCTCCTGCCTCAGCCTCCTGAGTAGCCGGGACTACAGGTTCCCGCCACCTCGCCCGGCTAATTTTTCTTATTTTTAGTAGAGACGGGGTTTCACCATGTTGGCCAAATGGTCTCTATCTCTTGACCTCATGATCCACCTGCGTCAGCCTCCGAAAGTGCTGGGATTACAGGGGTGAGCCACCACACCCGACCTAATTTCTTTATTTTTAAATGAGTCATTAAGATTGCATCTCTTAGAATCCATGAACAGATGACGTGGATTTTATAGCTATTAGTATGCAAAAATGGATTTTCTAATGAAGATTATATATTTTCATTCTGTAAAATGTTCATGGATTCTGAATACAAAAAGATAATGCAACTTTGAACCTACCTCTTAGAGTATTTTAGGACTTTAGGGTTATGATTGCCATCTTGAGGTTATATTTTAAACCATCACATTTGCCTGTGTTCACTTGCTTCTATCTATGAATCTTAGTACTGTGTTTGTGAAATGGAATGCTTGCATTACCATTCTTATGCTTCCAGAGAGCCAGTCACATTACACGCAGGAGACAGGGAAGATCCCTCTGGTTGCTTCACATTCACATCTGCAGGTGAGTTTCCAATGAAAGCACAGAAATAGGCCCTACAATGTCTCCCCATTTCCACGAGGGTAAAAGCCAAAGTCATTGCAGTATCTTCCAAGTCCTTTTTAACTCTCTGGCCTCATTTCCTGCTACTCCCTCTTTCATGCATTCTGTTTTATCCACTCTCAAACTGTTCCTTGAACACGTCAGGCAGCTTCCATGTTAGGGCTTTTATGCCCTGTTCCCTTATGTTGCTAAAACCTCAGCTCCTTTAAAGCCTTTGCCCAGGTGTCACTTTCCCAGTGGGACTTAATTGTCATCACCTCATTTAAAGATCACAACCAGCCAGGTGTGATGGCTCATGCCTGTTATTCCAGCACTTTGAGAAGCCAAGGTGAGTGGATTGCTTGAGCCTAGGAGTTCAAGACCAGTCTGGGCAACATGGCGAAACCCTGTCTCTAAAAGTAAATTAAAATAAAATAAAAATCACGATTTTCCCACACTTCCAGTGCTCCTTCTTCCTTTTATCAGTTACTCTTAGCATCTTCTCACATACTGTGTCACCCCTGTGAGACAAGAGCTGTGCAAGGGCAGATGTCTTTAGCCATTTGGTTCCTGGATATATCCCAGGTGCCTGGAGCCTTCCTGGCACATAGCAGGTGCTGAATAAATATTTATTGAATAGACAAAAGGAAAAGCAGAAGAATCAAGATGGACAGCTCTCCATAAAATTTCCAAAGAATTATAGATAAGATGATCTCCATTAAAAATTAAAAAGCTCCAGAAAGAAGAGATTGAAAGTCAACACAATTTGTTGATAAGCAAAGTGGCATAACTCAGACTAGAAATGGAAGAGAAAGATTAAAAACATCAGAGGAAAAAGTTTTAGAAAATGAAAAATAAAATAGATGTGACTGAAATTATAGCCATGGAGAAAATTACACAAAAGGAATTTTTAAAAATAAGGACCAAAAATAATTATACAGAATATGTTAGATTTGGAAGGCAAAGGCAAACCAACAGACACGTAATTGGTCTTCCTATGGAAGAGAACAAAATAAATGAGAAAGAATGAAACTGTGATGATGATTGTTCAACAAAAATGTAGTTATAAATCTGGACTGTAAATTGTAAATAGAGAAAATTGAGGTAAGGTAAAAAGAGATGGGAGAAAGATAAATTTTCATTGTTTTTCTTCGTGTCAATATACAGTCATGTGCTGCGTAATGTTTTGGTCAATGACCATGTCATATACAACAGAGGTCCCATAAGATTATAATAGAGCTGAAAAATTCCTGATACCTGGTGATGTTGTAGCTATCATAATGTCATACCACAGTGTGTTACCTTTTCTATATTTGGACATATTTAGATAAATAAATACTTACCATTATGTTACAGTTGCCTACAGTATTCAGTACAGTAACATGCTCTACAGGTTTGTAGCCTAGAAGCAATAAGCTATACCATATAGCCTGTATACCATCTAGGTTTGTGAAAGTATACTCTATGATGGTTGCACAATGACAAAATTAACTAACAACGCAATTCTCAGAACATATCCCCATTGTTAATTGTAACTATATTTATAATCAAAATGTAATATTCTTAAATAAAATAATTGCAAATTCTTAATTTTTAAATAATCTTTGGCTTGGGGAAGATCTTTGAGGAACTAATATTTTGAAGAAAAGAACATTTATGTGAAGTTAATTCCTTCAGGTTTACTTCGTTTATATGTTTTTTACTATTGTTTCAGTGATTACTCAGGACAGTAAAACATTTATCCTTGCCTTATTATATTGATATAAATGAATGCTTTTACCTTTTCTCATACATTGGCAGTACCTTAGAATATATTAACTGCATTCACTATCCTTCCAACTTTCATACAATTGTCATATATTTTAATTAAAAATATGAATTATAAAAATATGAATACCACATTTAATTATTTGTATTGTTTTGTACAGTTAATATTCATTTAGATATACCCACATATTTACACTTAACTTTCTGGTATCATTTTACTTATGCCTTTAAAGCTTCTTTTAATGTAAATCTGCTGGTGATAAATTCTCTCCATTTTTGTTTTTCTGAAATTGTGTTTATTTCATCCTAATTTTTGAAGAATATTTTTGCTGAGTATAGAATTCTAGATTGGCATTTTTTTCTTCACTTTGAAGATATCACTTTCCATTGTTTTCTAGCTTTCATTGTTTCTACTAAGAAGTCAGCTGTAAGTTTAATTATTGCTTATTTAAATATAGTCTGTTCCTTTTTTCCCCTTTTGCTTTAAGATTGTTTTTGTTTTTGATTGGTTTGTTTTAGCAGCTTTTATTCATTTGTGCAGATATGATTTTTTCATGCAGATAAGAAGAATTCACTTGGAGTTTGAAGTAATGCTGCTTGAATCTATGGAAGTCTATGCCTGATAAGCCCATTATCTGGACCCTATAGATCTATGTCGTTATTTATATTTTTTTCTTCTTGATTTTCTGCCATATCATCTTGTCTCCTTATATGCCTGGTTATTTTTATTGTATGACATATTATATATGAAAAGTTGTACAGATGATTTCATGCTATGAATGAGATTACCTTACTCTAGGGAGCATTCATGCTTGCATTTGGTAGACAACTAAGGCATCCAGGTCAATTTAATCACATTAGAAAGAGGATTTGAAGCTAGACCTCAGGATCCCAAGGGCAGGTCTAATTTCTGTTCACCCTTATTCCCAAGGCGTAACCCTTTTCAGTTCCAACCCCAAATCTTGGGTATTTAGAAGAATGTCCCCCTGTCCCTCCACCATTGGGAACATTTTCTCATGAAAGCTTGACTTTTTGAGAGGTGCAGTTTGCTATTTTTAATTAATTCTGTCCTTTTACTTTTATTCTTGCAAACTTTTAGCAAGTCCATCTGTGAAAAACTCAGCTTCTCGTTCATTCAATTCTTCTCCTAAGAAGTCTCCAGTGCACTCACTCCTAACTAGTTCAGTTGAAGGTTCAATAGGTTCCACATCACAGTATAGATCTGCCAAACCTATTCATTCATCTGATTCTGTTAAAGGTAAGAAAGATCTGATATCATTGACGTGATTAATTGATTTCCTACACTGCTGAACTGTAAGTTCTTTTTACTCAGAATTAAGGTTTTGCATGCTGCTCTTATGTGTAAGCTCTAACTGATTCTGTGTAATTTAAACAGGTCTTTTTTAAATAGAACAGCTATTGTGTACCATGCAAGCCTTAGTAAATGTACATAGATATTATATGTAAACATTATCTCTCTTTTTCTCTAAATGAATAATGAACATTTTTGCCTCTATTTTATTAAAAGATTTTGGATCCTCTTTTAAATGCTGTGAACTACTTTTCTTTCTTATTTACATTCTTTGAAATCATAGCTCTTATTCAGTCTCTGCCTTAGTGAGTATAAGTGCATACCGTACAAACTTTTCAAAATTTTCTCATTTTTAATATTTTAAGTTAGTTTGTTATTTGATAAGACAAATGAGAAAAAAATGTTTGATTTAGAATAAATGCCTGGTAAATAAGTGAGAGTTAAATATTATGTGTTGAATGAACTTGAAATATTTCTCATCATGTATGACAGTGACCAAACAACCCCAGTGTTCTATGACATCATTCCCTTTTGTAAGAGATAAACTAGACAAAGTTGTATTATCATCAAGTTATTTCTTAGTCTTTTGAAATTCTATAGCTTACACATTTCTAGATCCTAAAAAATACCTAATCACATGTTAGTACATTTTTTACATCTTTTTTTCTGTACTTGTGTCCTCTTTCATCTCTTATGTTTCTAAGCTATTCATTTACTATCTTCTTCAATTTTAACTGTGAAATTACTTTCCTGTTCTGTGGTGGGCAAGTGTGTGCAAACCTACCCACAAAGACTGAGGAAGCTGAGAGGCTGAAGAAAGAGACTGACAAATCCAATTTCTCAGAAAGAAACATTTAATAGGGACTTAAGATTGGAGCCATGTCTGTGTCTCTGCAGCAGTGAAACAAGGTGGTGGATCCTTGTACCACTATCCCCGCAGATGCAGGGCCTCTATACCATAGGTAAAGGGTATACTTGCCTCAGAAAGGATGAACAGGACAATTGCTTAAGGGTAGAATTTATGGCAGGTACTTGCTACCTGCCGTACAAGGAAACTGGAAATCTTGGATGCCTTCCTGGAACTGGGATTAATCAGAAGTCAACTTGGCAGATTAGCATCCAAGATGGAGTTGCTTCGGCCTCCATGTTACCTTTTAAAGCTGTGGTTATTGCAGGAATAGAGCAATGCTGCTTGACACTTCATTATTAATTTTTGTTACATAAAGGCATGGCATTTTCTTCTCACCCCCAACCCCCCGCTTATTGTCAGATACTCATCAAACCTATATTTTATATTATTTATGTTAAAAACTTCTGGCTGGGCGCTGTGGCTCATGTCTGTAATCCCAACACTTGGGAAGGCTGAGGTGGGTGGATCACCTGAGGTCAGGAGTTCAAGACCAGCCTAACCAACATGGAGAAACCCCATCTCTATTAAAAATACAAAATTAGCCGGGCGTGGTGGCACATGCCTGTAATCCCAGCTACTTGGGAGGCTGAGGCAGGAGAATCACTTGAACCCGGGAGGCAGAGGTTGCAATGAGCTGAGATCCCATGATTGCACTCCAGCCTGGGCAACAATTCTGTCTCAAAAAAAAAAAAAAAAGAAACTCTCCAAGAAACTGTTTCTCATTCTCTTAAACTGGAGTAATTCCTAGATAATTGCCTTGAATGCTGTAATGAAAAGGGTATTTTTTGATAAGAAAATTAACCATTAAAAATATTGTCAAATTTATACAGCTAGGCAGGGATTAAGATCAAAATTTAAATCTTCAGATTGTCAATTAAGTACTTTTAGAGGTTGACAAAACAGCATACTGGTAAGAGAATAGCTTACATGCTCCTAGGCCTTCTTTAGTTGCCACTGCCACATTTGTTCTAGGTTCAGTGTGATCATGTTGGCATCCATGCCACCCTCTGCCATCATACAATACCATTCACGTTAGGTGACAGAACTAACGTGGGCACTGGCCTCACATACCTTGAAAATGGTGCAGTTTCTATATTAGATCATACTCCCTCAAACCCCAAGTTAATCAAACTACTCAGGCTTGGTACGAAAAGCTGTCATTTATAATGCAGAATGCATCATTAAACTTGAAGTGTTCTTTTCACCCATCTTATTTAATATTATGTAGTTAAATAATGATACATCGGATTGGTTTGAGCACAATCAAATAGGCTAGCATTGCAATATTTAGATAAAACTCATTTTTCTCTCTTTTAAAATCATGTTTTAGAGTTTCCTTTAAGTGTTATAGCTCTTTTAGAATTTGTCATGAAAAAAAGTTCCCTTTATTTTAAAGAAAAATTGTTTAGCCTTTAATTCAAAGATTTCTAAAAGGAAATGTTGAGTAGACTTTTAATATCACATCTAAGCAATTTTCTAATAGATTCACAGTCTCCGCCAATAGAAACAACAGGAAAAACATGCAGGAAGCTTCAGAACAGACTAGAAAGCTTGCAAACTCTGGTAGAAGATTTACAGCTGAAGAACCAAGGTACAGTGTACGTTTTTGGAGAGATCTTCCTCGCTCATGAGAATGTTCACCTTCTTTTCAGATTAAGCCTCCTGTCTATAGACCTGCTGAAAGGGTATTGAATTAACAACTGTAAACTGAAGTCTAAATATAAGGGTCTTAACCATTAATAGCCCCTGGATTAATTGTGTGACCATGGGCAGGTCACTCTTGCCCTGCTATACTCTCTTATCTAATGGGGATGACAATCCTGCCGGCCATCCCTCAGGAGGAGTGGTTTTGAGGTTCTGAGTGGCTTGTCACATGGGACTTTCCCACACACCGTCTTTCTTGTTGCTATTAGGTCTATAGATAAACATTTATACAATAATAGCCAAGAAAAGAGTATAGTCAATAGCAAGAAAGCAAAATAATGGTATTTATCTTTACACAGGATTTAAATTAGCATAGCACTATAAGACACTATGCCACCCAACGAATCACAAAATAAAAAGAATCCACTTCTAAAAATGCTAAAACTATTTGAATAAGAAACTGTTCTAATCTGCAGATGACCAGCAGCTTTTTGGGCATAAGTTCTAAGTACCATGAATATGGGGGAGCCCTCATGATTCATGCTTTTATAACCCGCCTTCATGAATCCAGGAGCCTTTATCAGAGAGAAATGAATTTTGAAGTACATTTTTTATGCCATCTTTTCTATCCCTAGAAAACAATAAATTGCTGGGTAAAGGAAAATACTATTCTAAGAACGAATCTTCATAAAATAAACTTAACCTTATTAATAATAATAGTTGCTATTTACACTTAATTGAGCACTTCCCAACTGTGTGCCAGGCCTTTTACTCAGAGCTTCACTTGCGTTTTCTTCATGTAATTTTCACAACAACATTGGGAAATGGGTACTGTTATTACAGCATTTGAAAATGAGGAAACTGAAGATAAAAGAACAGTCAATAAATTCCAAGTCACAGTGAAGAGTAGATCGGGGACTTGGCCTCTGCAATTTCTGACTCCAAAATCCACATGTTTTTAATATAGTAAGGCTTTAGCAAATTGTTGTTGAAGAAAATTCCAAGTCCCTGTGATAACCCAAGACCCCTATGTATATGAACATTAGGAAAAGCATTTGGTTTTAAGTTTATTGTGAATTTGTGGGGTTTTAGCATTTTTTTTTAAATTTCAATAGTTTGGGGGGAACATGTGGTGTTTAGTTACAGGGAAAAGTTCTTTAGTGGTGATTTCTGAGATTTTGGTGCACCCATCACCCAAGCAGTATATGATGTATCTTTTTTCCCTCACCCACCTCCCACCCTTCCCCCAAGTCCTCAACGTCCATCGTATTATTATTATGCCTTTGCGTCCTCATAGCTTAGCTCCCACATATAATGAGAACATACAATGTTTGTTTTTCTTTTCCTGAGTTACTTCACTTAGAATAATGGTCTCCAACTCCATGCAGGTTGCTACAAATGCCATTATTTTATTCCTTTTTATGGCTGAGTAGTATTACATGGTGTGTATATATATACATATATATATTTATTATATATATATAAAAAATATATATATTTACATATATATGTGTACACACCATGTAAATATATCATATATATATATACACACACCATGTAAATATATATATATATAAAAATATACATGGTATATATATGGGGGAAGAATGGGAGGTGGCTGAGGTGTGTGCATATATATATAATATATTATATTATATATATATACACACCATGTAATAGTCTCTCTATATATATAGATAGATCGATATAATTTTCTTTATCCACTAGTTGGTTGGTGAGCATTTAGGCTGGTTCCATATTTTTGCAATTGTGAATTTTGTTGCTATAAACATGCGTGTGCAAGTGTCCTTTACATATAATGACTTCTTTTCCTCCAGTAGTGGGATTACTGCATCAAATGGTAGTTCTACTTTTAGTTGTTTAAGAAATCTCTGTACTGCTTTCCATAGTTGTTGTACTAGTTTACAGTGTAAAAGTGTTCCCTTTTTACCACATCCACACCAACATCTGTTGGTCATATTTTTAACTTATGTCATATTTTTAAATTATGGCCATTCTTGCAGGAGTAGGTAGTATCATACTGTTGTTTTGATTTGCATTTCCCTGATCATTAGTGATGTTGAGCATTTCTTCATATGTTTGTTGACCATTTGTGTATCTTCTTTTGAGAATTGTCTATTCATGTCCTTAGCCGACTTTTTAATGGGATTATTTGTTTTTTTCTTGCTGATTCGATTGAGTTCCTTGTAGATTCTGGATATTAGTCCTTTGTCAGATGCACAGTTTGCAAATATTTTCTTCCACTCTGTGGGTTGTCTGTTTACTCTGCTGCTTATTTCTTTTGCTATGCAGAAGCTTTTTAATTTAACTAGGTCCCATCTATTTATCTTTGTGTTTGTTGCATTTGCTTTTGGGTTCTTGGTCATGAACTCTTGTCTAACCCAATGTCTACAAGAGTTTTTCTGATGTTATCTTCTAGAATTTTTGTGGTTTCAGGTCTTAGGTTTAGGTCTTTGACCCATCTTGAGTTGAAGTTTCATTCTTCTACATGCCACTTGCCAATTATTCCAGCACCATTTGTTAAATAGGGTGTCCTTTCCCCACTTTATGTTTTTGTTTGCATTGTCGAAGATCAGTGGCTGTAAATTTTTGGCTTTCTTCCTGGGTTCTCTATTCTGTTCCATTGGTCTATGTGCCTATTTTTATACCAGTACCATGCTGTTTTGGTGATGATAGCCTTGTAGTATAGTTTGAAGTCAAGTAATGTGATGCCTCCAGATTTGTTCTTTTGCATAGTCTTGCTTTGGCTATGTGGGATCTTTTTTTTGTTCCTTATGAATTTTAGGAATGTTTTTTCCAGTTCTGTGAAGAATGATGATGGTATTTTGATGGGAATTGCATTGAATTTGTAGATTGCTTTTGGCAGTATGATCATTTCCACAATACTGATTCTACCCATCCATGGGCATGAAATGTGTTTCCATTTGTGTGTGTTGTCTATGATTTCCTTCAGCAGCATTTGTAGTTTTTCCTGTAGCGATTGTTCATCTCCTTGGTTAGGTATATTCCCAAGTATTTTATTTTTCTTGCAGCTGTTATAAAAGGGGCTGGGTTCTTGAATTGATACCAAGCTTGGTCATTGTTGGTGTGTAGCAATGGTACTGATTTGTGTACATTGATTTTGTATCCTGAAACTTTACTGAATTCATTTATCAGATCTAGGAGCTTTGTGGATGAGTCTTTAAGGTTTTCTAGGCATAGGATCATATCATCAGCAAACAGCAATAGTTTGACTTCCTCTTCACCCATTTGGATGCCCTTTATTTCTTTCTCTCGTCTGACTGCTCTGACTAGGACTTCCAGTACAATGTTGAATAGCAGTGGTGAAAGTGGGCATCCTCGTTTTGTACAAGTTCTCTTGGAAAATGCTTTCAATTTTTCCCCTTTCAGTATAATGTTGGCTATGAGTTTGTCATAGATGGTTTTGGTTACCTTGAGGTATGTCCCATCTGTGCCGATTTTGCCGAGGGTTTTCATTATAAAGGGATGCTGGATTTTGTCAAATGATTTTTCTGCATTTTTTGAGATGATGATATGATTATTGTTTTCAATTCTGTTTGTGTGATGTATCATATTTATCAACTTGAGTAGGTTAAACCATCCCTGCATCCCTGGTATGAAACCCACTTGATCATGGTGTATTATCTTTTTGATATGGTGTTGGATTCAGTTAGCTAATATTTTGTTGTGGATTTTTGCATCTATGTTCATCATGGACATATATATATATATATATATATATATATATATATATATATATATTTTTTTTTTTTTTTTTTTTTTTTTTTTTTTTTTGATACGGAGTCTTGCTCTGTCACCCAGGCTGGAGCGCAGTGGCATGATCTCAGCTCACTGCAACCTCCACCTGTCGGGTTCAAGTGATTCTCCTGCCTCAGCCTCCTGAGTAGCTGGGATTACAGGCACATGCCACCATGCCTAGCTAATTTTTTTTTTTTAAGATGGAGTCTTGCTCTGTTGCCCAGGCTAGAGTGCAGTGGCACGATCTCAGCTCACTGCCAGCTCTGCCTCCCGGGTTCACACCATTCTCCTGCCTCAGCCTCCCAAGTAGCTGGGACTACAGGCGCCCACCAGCACGCCTGGCTAATTTTTTGCATTTTTAATAGAGACAGGGTTTCACTGTGTTAGCCAGGATGGTCTTCATCTCCTGACCTCAAGATCTGCCCACCCCAGCCTCCTAAAGTGCTGGGATTACAGGCGTAAGCCACCGCGCCTGGCCACTCCCAGCTAATTTTTGTATTCTTAGTAGTGATGGGGTTTCACCATGTTGGCCAGGCTGGTCTCGAACTCTTGACCTCGTGATCTGCCCACCTTGGCCTCCCAAAGTGCTGGGATTGCAGGTGTGAGCCACTGCACCCGGCATCATCATGGATATTGGTCTGTAGTTTTCTTTTTTTGTTATGTCCTTTCCTGGTTTTAGTATTAGGATGATACTGACTTCATAGAATATGTGGATTTTTGCATCTGTGTTCATCATGGATATTGCTCTGTAGTTTTCTTTTTTTGTTATGTCCTTTCCTGCTTTTAGTATTAGGGTGATACTGACTTCACAGAATGATTTAGGGAAGATTCCCTATTTCTTTATGTTTGAAACAGTTTCATTAAGATGGGTACCAATCCTTTTTTAATGCCTGATAGAATTCAGCTGTGAATCCATCTGGTCTTGGACTTCTTTTTGTTGGCATTTTTTTAATTACTGTTTCAATCTCACTACTTGTTATTAGTCTCTTCAGAGTTTCTGTTTTTTTTCCTAGCTTAATCAGGAGGGTTGTATATCTCCAGGAATTTTCCATCTCCTCTAGATTCTCTAGTTTGTGCACATAAAAGTGTTCATAGTAGCCCTAAATGATCTTTTGTATTTCTGTGGTATAAGTTGTAAAATCTCTCATTTCATTTCTAATTGAGCTTATTTGGATCTTCTATCTTCTTTTCTTGGTTAATCTCACTAATGGTCTAATAATTTTATCTTTTTAAAGAACAAGCTTTTTGTTTCATTTGTCTTTTGTATTGTTTTTTATTTATTTACTTCAATTTCATTTAATTCTGTTCTGATCTTTGTTATTTCTTTTCTTCTGCTGGGTTTGGGTTTAGTTTGTTCTTGTTTCTCTAGTTCCTTGAGGTGTGACCTTAGAGTGTCTATTTGTGCTCTTTCAGACTTGTTTATGTAGGCATTTAAGGCTATTAACTTTCCTTTTAGCACCACTTTTGCTGTATCCTAGAGGGTATGATAAATTGTGTCACTAGTTTCATTCAGTTCGAAGAATTTTTAAATTTTCATCTTGATTTCATTATTGATCCAAAGATGATTCCAGAGTAGATTATTCAATTTCCATGTATTTATATAGTTTTGAGGGTTCCTTTTGGAGTTAATTTCTAGTTTTATTCCACTGTGGTCTGAGAGAATACTTGATATCATTTTGCTTTTCTTAAATTTGTTGAGACTTGTTTTGTGGCCTATCATTTGGTTTACCTTGGAGAATGTTCCATGGGCTAATGAAAAGAATGTATATTCTGCAGTTGTTGGGTAGAATGTTCTGTAAATATCTGTTAAGTCTGTTTGTTCTAGGATATAGTTTAAGTTCATTGCATTGTTTAGGTGCATTGTTTTTTGTTGTTGTTGTTGACTTTCTGTCTTGATGACCTGTCTAGTGGTATCAGTGGAATATTGAAGTCCTCCACTATTATTGTATTAGCATCTATTGCATTTATTAGGTCTAGTAGTAATCATTTTATAAATTTGGGAGCTCCAGTGTTAAGTGCATATATATTTAGGATTGTGATATTTTACTGTTGGACTGATCCTTTATCACTATATAATATCCCTCTTTGTCTTTCTGAACTGTTGTTGCTTTAAAGTGGGTTTTGTCTGATATAAGACTAGCTACCCCTGTTCGTTTGTGGTATCCATTTGCATGGAATATCTTTTTCCATCCCTTTACCTTAAGTTTATGTGAGTCCTTGTGCATTAGGTGAGTCTCTTGAAGACAGCAGATACTTGGTTGGTAGATTTTTATCCTTTCTGCCATTCCGTATCTTTAAGTGGCACATTTAGGTCATTTACATTCAATGTTAGTATTGAAATACGAGATACTGTTTTGTTCATCCTACTAGTTGGTGCCTGAATTACCTTGGTTTTTTTTTTCATTGTGTTATTGTTTTATAGGCCCTGTGAGATTTATGCTTTAAGATGGTTCAATTTTGGTGTGTTTTGAGGTTTTATTTCAAGATTTAGAATTCCTTTTAGCATTTCTTAGTGATGGTTTGGTACTGGTGAATTCTCTCAGCATTTTTTTTTTTTTTTTTTTTTTTGTCTGCAAAAGACTTTATCTGTCCTTCATTCATGAAGCTTAGTTTTGCTGGATACAAAATTATTGGCTGGCAATTATTTTGTTTGAGGAGGCTAAAAATATGACCCCAGTTCCTTCTGGCTTGTAGGGTTTCTGCTGAGAAATCTGCTGTTAATCTGATAGGTTTTCCTTTATAGCTTACCTGATACTTTTACTTTGCAGCTCTTAAGATTCTTTCCATCATCTTGACATTAGATAACCTGATGACCGTGTGCCTAGGTGGAGATCTTTTTGCAGTGAATTTCACAGGTATTCTTTGAGCTTCTTGTATTTGAATGTCTAGATCACTAGTGAGTCTAGGGAAATTTTCCTCAATTGTTCCCTTAAATAAGTTTTCTAGACTTTTAGATTCATCTTCTTCCTTATGAACACCAATTATTCTTTGGTTTGGCCGTTTAACATAATCCCAGACTTCTTGGAGGCTTTGTTCAATTTTATTAAATTCTTTTTTCTTTGTCTTTGTCTGATTGGGCTAATTTGAAAGCCTTGTCTTCAAGTTCTGAAGGTCTCTCTTCTACTTGTTCTAGTCTATTGTTGACACTTTCCAGTGCATTTTGTATTTCTATAAGTGTGTCTTTCATTTCCAGAAATTGTGATTGTTTTTCTTTATATCTATTTCTCTGGAGAATTTTTCATCCATATTCTGTATTGTTTCTTAGATTTCTTTAAGTTGGTTTTTACCTTTCTCTGGTATCTCCATGAGTAGCTTAATCAACCTTCTGAATTCTTCATCTGGCAATTCAAAGATTTCTTCTTGGTTTAACTGCATTGCTGGCAAGCTAGTGTGGCCTTTTGGGGATGTTATCAAACCTTGTTTTGTCATATTTCCAGAATCGCTTTTCTGATTCCTTCTGATTTGGGTAAACTATTTCAGTGGAAAAGCCCGGAACTCAAGGTTCAGATTCTTTTGTCCCACAGGGTGACCCCTTGATGTGGTGTCCTCCCCCTCCCCCAAGGGATGGGCCTTCCTGAGAGCTGGACTGCAATGATCATTATTGTTCTTGCACATCTAGCCACTCAGTAGGGCTACCAGACTCGGGGCTGGTGCTGGGAAATTTCTGCAAAGAGTGCTGTGATGTGATTCATCTTCACGTCTCCCAGCCGTGGATACCAGCACCTCCTCTGGTAGAGGACGTAGGGGAGTAAAGTACACTCTGTGAGAGTCCTTGGTCATAGATATGTTTAGTGTCCTGGCTTAATCAAATACTGATTATGCTAGCAGTGATATTTTCACATGGACAGACTTAGTACCTCTGGTTAGCCAGAATGTTGCAGGCAGTGGAATTAGCTGCTGTTTTCTTCTTCCTTGGTGCAGGGTTATTCTATCATTTCTATCATGAGTTACTGTAATGTTCGGAGTTGGTTGGCCTCCAGCCAAGGGGTGGCACTTTCAAGACGGCACAAGCTATGATAGTAGACAGGGGAATGTAAGCTTGCCCTAAGTTGGCCAGGATAAGTATTTGGGTTTATCGGGTGATGTGCAGGGCCATCAAGCTCTCAATAGTTTGTGTGTTTTGTGATCAGCTACCAGGGCAGGGAAAAAAATACCATCAGGTTGGGGCAGAGTTAGGTGGGTCTGAGCTCAGACTCTCCTTGTGTAGGGCTTGCCGTGGCCACTGTGGGGTACGCAGGATGGTTCTTGGGCCAGTGGAGTTATGTTCCAGAGGTGATTTTGGCTGCCTCTGTTGCCAAGGAAGTTGGGGAAAGCCTGTGTGATAGGCCTTACCTAGCTCCCACACAGTTGGCAAGGCCAATCTTGCTCCCACCATGCCCTGCTAACAGCGCCAGTGTCTCCAGGCAGCCAGTGCAGGGTGGTGGTTGGGGGTGGCGGGCAGATCAGACCTTGCCCGTGCTATAAACTTCCCCACTGACAAAGCAAGTATGGCTTTCACGTCTCACCTGCCCCTTCCTGTCTGCCCACACTGTCAGTAGTGGCTTCTGTGCTCCTTTCTGTAGCATTTCCCATTCACCACCCAGATTCCGCTCAAAAGAGTTTGTGCCCAGTTGAAATTATTACAGAGTTCAGTTGGAAGCTTCTTTCACCCTGTGACCACTCCCAAATTCTGCCAGCCACCTTTCCCGAGGGCCCCTGTGAGATATAGTCAGGGATGGCTTCCCTGGGCTCGAGCTGGAGAATGGGAATGCCTCCAAGGCTCTTCCCACTGCTCCTTCTACTTTTATATTTTGCGCTAAATTTGTTCCAGCTCTAGGTAAGGTTAAATCCTTCTCCCGTAATCTGGATTTTCAGGTTCCCCAATGGGGGTATTTGTTGAGAGGCAGGATTTCCCCCTCCACACTTTGGGAACTCACAGTTTTTTACCTATCTTGTGGAATTTGCAGTGGCATGCCACTTTTTTCAAAGTATCTGTAAATTCTTTTGGTTTTCCCAGTATGTTCCTGCAGTGGCTCTTGGAGCAAAAGTCAACAGTGTGAGTCTCCACACGTTGCTCTGTCCATCCAAGTTGGAGCTGCACGTTAGCCCTGTCTCCTATCTGCCATCTTCCTCTCCACATCTATTGTGAGTTTTTTGAAGGAAGATGCATTATCTTATTGATCCTATTTTTACTCACACCATGACATATGTTTCTGAATTTATCTGATGTATGCCACCAAATAATAATCCACATGGAAGATATTTACAAAATAAAAAGACCTTTTTGCTGAATGCAGTGTCTGGATGGGACGCCTCTTGAAAATTCTAAAACAAATATTTTTAGGGGGAATTCTGGGAGGACTGTCAAAACTTGAAGTGCATTTACGCTTTGACCCAGAAATTTCACTTCTAGCAATTTATTCTATAAGAAATGATTGTACAAATGCACAGAAGTGTTTATACAAAAGTATTTATTATAGCAAGAAAGAAAGAAAGAAAAAAGGATGTTTAGAAAAAGGATGTAACCTTTTTTAGTCTGTTTACTAAATTCTAATACATTTGTATAATGAAATACTAGTAAATACTATGCAGTTACAACAAAACATAAGCTGAACTGGAAACTTATTGACGTTTTGTTATATGAAAAAGAAGCTACAGAACAGTCTATAGCATATGTTTTCATTTGTGTAAAGAATAAAACATGTGCACATTCATGTATATGTGCAGATATTCACCAAATTGCTTATGGTAATGACCTCTTGGGCGGAGGCAGATTCCAGCAGATTGAGGGAGCAGAGACAAAGACTGACCTTCATCTATCTTTGTGTCCTTCTGAGGTGTTTGAATTATTTACAATTAGTATTACTTTTACAATTATCATGCCCATTTAAAACAACTGAGGCTGGGCACAGTGGCTTATGTCTGTAATCCTGACACTTTGGGAGACCGAGGCAGGAGGATTGCTTGAGGCCAGGAGTCTTAGACCACCCTGGGCAACATAGAGAGACCCTGTCTCTACAAAATAAATAAGTAAATAAAACACCTGAAACACTAAAGATTTACCCTTAGCTCTCTTCCATAACACCAACCTTTTCAAAAATATGCTACATCACAATTTTTAAGAATGTCTTGAGCTCAGAACATGTCTATTCTATACTATCAAGCTGATCTTTTAAGTAGCACATAGTAGAATTAAAGCCTAAGTAGATTTTGTTATTCTAACTGTTTTATCAACATTTTCAGCAATGTCTTCAATGATCAGAAATCAAGAAAAGAGGATACAGAAAGTAAAAGACCAGGAAAAAATGTTACTAAAATGACTCGTTGCTTGCCTATTCTTTACAGAGGAATGAGGCCCAATTAATTGTGGTGTTACTCGTAATTAGTGCCCTGTGTACTTTTTCTTTTTATGTGAAAATTTAATAAAAGATACCCTGTCTTGTAAACTCTATTTTGAAATAAACTATTCTTGAATCCCTCACAGTAAAACTTCAAACATCTACTAGCTAGTATTCATACATTATAACAATTAATACCTATAAAGTATTCATACATAATAAGGTATTATAATTACCTTATAAGGTGATTAATTATAAGATATAATTTGTGCTTATTCTAATATATTGGAATAATTGTGGTTTTTTATTGTTACTGGTCCCAAGACAATAGAATCTATTTTATTTATTTTATTCTACTTAAATTTTAATTTAATTTAAATGTTTTATTCAATCTAATTTAGCTTCAAAAAAAATCTGGGGGAAGAACTACTTTCACATGAAAGTGAAAGACGTGGTGTAATACCAAGGACAGAGGACAAATTTCAGCATACTAACAGGGGCTCATTTTGTGACTGTGAACTCACTGTTCTGTCAATATCAGTGAGGGTAATCAGATAACCTAACATCAGGGCCCCCAGTCAAAACTTTTACAAAAGTTTCCCTTTTTTGCATATTAATAATAGTAAAGAAAATGATTTTGTTACTCTTTAGCAAGTTGGTAACTTCTAGATTATATCTATTCAGTCTGCTTTAATTAAATTTTAATAAATTAGGGAGGTTTATATGTGAACTAAATAAAATGAGAGAAGAACAAATACAAAAATGTATCAGTTGTGTCAAAACATCAGGGACAACGTGGCAGATGGCTAGCTGTCCAAAATAAATCTTATGTTCCTGTTGTATAACCTGGAATTGTCACTGAGAAACAGCTGCCCAGCAAGAGTCTCTATTTCCCAATCCTGCCTCCCCTTGTATATGGGTGTGGCCTGAGGGTTCTCATTAACAGAATGTGGACAGAGCAATATGTGGCACTTTCAGGTCAAAGTGTTAACATGCATGGGTGTTCTTCCTAACTTTATTTTCCCCTCCATGGGCTGGATGCAGAGGACATGAGGGTTATTATAGGGGATGGCAGAGCCACAGGGCAGAAGGGAGTCTGGGTAACTGAATCTCTGCAAGGAGGGGAGCTGCCCTCCTGCCAGGAAGACTCACTGCTGACAGTTACATGAGCAAGAAATCGGCCTCTGGTGCTGCAGCCTTCTTAAATGGATGGTGTCTATTACAGCAGCTAGCAGCAGCCCTAACCTATGCAGACAACAAATGGAGTAGGGCATGCATGCTCTCACCAGAAGATCCTCACGCTTCTGCTCTCAAGGACAATGTTAGAACTGTAAGCACATCCAATTTTAAGTGAATTTTTAAAATATAAAGTGTAATATTTCTCTCTTAGATCAGTTGGCTTTACTGAAAGATTAATTTTAATTTTACCAGGTAGTGATAAAATAGCCAGTAATAGAATTCTAGAGAGACTTTTACTTAAATTGTTTTACCTTTAATTTTCCTCATGGGCATGTTTGGGCATTCCATGCAGTAATGGTGAATGCCTTCTGCAGAGCTTACTGGTACAATATAAAATTCATTATGAAGTCTGTAAACAGTATACATGAATTTAACATAAAAGTGCTATGAGCCAAAAACTGTCAAACATAGTTCTTTTAAGTACTTTCTAATGCTATTTTCAGTTGGGTTTATTCTTTTCAGCAAAGACCATCTGTTTAAAAGGATTAAACATTATTTCACTGATAGATGTTAAACTTATTAAAAGTTATTTTAACATGTAAGAATTCATTTTCAAGTACAGGCGTGCTGAATTTCCCTCCAGTCAAAGGTGAACTTTGAGAATAAATATTGTCAACTTTTTCTCCAAAGGGAGGAGAAAAACAGAATCTTCATGTCTTCTGTACCTTTTGATGTTTGCTTTTCTGTATATGTCTCTTATTAGTGGAGGAAAATATTTGTATTTTATTTTACATCTAGGCTATTGTGATACTAAAATTTAGACAAATAATTCAGACATCAAATGAAGATATTAAAATTCAGGTTTTATTATTTGTTCAGTTATAATAATTTAAGTTAATATTTGCTGTATTCTCAGAGCAAAGATGTATTTCTGTACCACTGTCCTGTATAAATTTGTTACCCAAGATAGTGACTGGTATGAAAGGAGAGGGAAGAGGGTGACAGATGGAAACGATTGCTGTAGGACAGTCCATCTGGCCAGATGCGGTGGGGGAGGGGAGAAGAAGTGGGAGAGAGATGGTCCTACAGATGCTCCCATGGGTAAATGATGGGTGCATCCCTCCCTGCAGTCGGGCTGTGCCTGTACTTCACAGTCCTCTAAGAGGTGTCATTCAGGCCACCTCACTCAGCCTATGCCCAACCCCACTCACTTTCCCTTTCCTTATGGGCTGCCCCCGCAACTGACTTCCATGATGATTGGTTCTCATTAGGCCCTTTGTTTCTACACCAGCCTTAGATCATTAAGACAAAGACGTACTTGCTACCCTCATAGCACATAACAACGCCTGGCAGATGAAAATCAAACAAAAAGCATTAGGCAGTCTTAGAACATTATCTTGTATCCTTACTAATCACATCCAGACCAGATATTTTCTAATCACAGTTTCGTATCATGTTAACTTTTTAAGCATAAAATGTGTATGTAGTAAAAAGTGCTTTTCAAGCTGTACCAATAGGAAGTCAGCTATGTTTGAGTGAGGCTTATTTTACTACCATAGTTTAAAGATCACCTAAAGGCTCAAGCTTGAACCCTGGGCAGCTGGTTAATGTTTTTGCTCCGTGACCACAGTTTACACCTGAAGCTTAGCCAAGTCACTCCCCAAGAGAATCAAGCCCTAAAGTAATAATGGATCAGCACAAGTCTGTCAATCAGTGCCACAGGGAAAAGAAGTTCACATTCACTGGAAGCATTATCTGTGTGTGTGTGCATATATATACACACATACACACATATATATTTCTGCACATTAGACATATATATTTCTGCACATTAGACAAAATCCACTAGCAAATTTAAACAATTCAGATGGCTGAATTTGGAGTCACACTGCCTTTATTTTATTCAGTGTGTTCCACAACCTCAGCCTCTTCCACATTGTTCTACAGCTTCTCCATTACTTTGCAAACTGAATCAGTGAATCCCCCACCATGCGTGAACCACTTTATCCTCATGGCCAGTTTCTAGGAATCTATTGCTGCATTCTTCCCAGCGGGTAACTCCCCCATTCTCTACCAACACAAACTTCCACTCCACCACTGTATCTGCAGGCAGGAAAATGGAATGAGACCAGAACCCATCCTTGTTATAGTGGAGTGGGATGTAAGTGTTCCATCTCCCAAGACACTCATGGTCTCCAGTTACTGCAATGAATTGCACATCAGTGCTTGTGACATAATGGACCTGGAACCTGACACTAACTTGCTGAGACCCTGCAGGCATCACTGCTACCCTTTCCATTTTCCCATGCACTTGCTGACCTCTTGCTTCCACCAAAGTGCTTCTTCCATTGTCCATTCCCTGGTTTAGGTTTAACACTGGAGCCTTAAGACTGCCACCCACACCAACATCCCCCCAAGATGAGTGCCTAGGCACCATTTCCCACTCCTCGTGGTCAACCCGGTCCTGACTGTTCAAATCAGAGAGGCTCATTTCTTCTTTAGCTCTGTTCTTGAGCAGGTTGCTAGAAGGCAACTTCTCTGCAAAACATGTAGCTGCTTTAGCAGATATCTCTTGTCCTTTTTGGAATCCCCATTCTCCCATAGGAGATTCAAGGCTTTCATTTCTTGAAACTTCAGAGTAACTCCTAGAGTTACTGGTCTCAGAGGTAGCTGGAGCTTCTGTGTCTGGAAACTGTCCAGAAGGAACATGTTCTCTTGAATTGTCACAGACTTCCCTGGAAGGATTCTGCAATCTCCATGATGCTGCTTGCAGTTTACCAAGGTCTTTGGTCTTAGAAATCAAATGTCCATTGCTTTCTTGAAGATGCTCTAAGAAATCAAAGGAAAAATGTAATAGAGTCAGGTAGTTCATTTAAGAAAAAAGTCAGGCTGAGAAAATAGATTTAGTTACTGAAAGCTTTACTACTAATCAATCTGCAATTCACAAAGTCCCCCTCTATTAAAATCAAGTACTACTTAATTAACCAGTATGCTCCCAACACTGTGCTCTAAGAATACACATGTATATCTGACAACAAAAGGGACATCCAGGAGTATCAGTGTGCCAGCACAAGTGTAAATGAAGTGGTAAGCTGTAGAGGCAGACGTGTAACCCCCCCATGGTCCCCAGTCTCCACAGTCCAGGCCATACTGGCATGCAGCCAAGTTAAGTTGCTTGGCTCCTATCATCAAAGAATGTTGTCCAGGCTGTGGGGCAAAGGGCTGCGTGGCTACGTTACAAACCAGAAGAGTACACTTGTTCTCCCAGGGGAGGCATGCAGGGCAGGGATTGGCTCTCGCAGACCTGCGGGCAGATCAGCAGGAGCTGTCACCTTGGGGAGATACGGAGAACAGTAGTGCTTCCCTGGGCAGGAGTGGAGGGAGAACTGGGGGAAGGGGCTGGTTTCTCCTTGCCAATCCCATATGCGTTAGGAACCTCCCCAACAAAACGGTGTTTTGTATCCCCTTCCATTGTAAGCATTTTTTAAAAAACGTTCTTAAAAATACAAAATCCAAGTCCTCTAAAAATGCAGTTTCCTTCTTGGCCATGCCATTGGTAGTCCAAATAGCTCCCTACAAGATTGAAATCTCCAAATCATACATACAATCAGCACAGCTGTGGTTTTATGTGGTGTGGGGGTGGTGGTGGTATGGGGACAACAGTCTTGTTTCATTTTATCCCTTTTTTTTTTTTTTTTTTGAGATGGAGTCTCGCTCTGTCACCCAGGCTGGAGTGAGTGCAGTGGTACGATTTCGGTTCACTGCAACCTCTGTCTCCCGGGTTCAAGCGATTCTCCTGCTTTAGCCTCCCAAGTAGCTGGGACTACCGGCGCCTACTACCACGCCCAGCTAATTTTTGTACTTTTAGTAGAGACAGGGTTTCACCATATTGGCCAGGCTGGTCTCGAACTCCTGACCTTGTGATTTGCCCGCCTCGGTGATGGTGGGAGTTGGAAGTGAGAATGAACAAATATTATTCTGGATTCCCAACTTTTCAACCTAAAGCATGAGATTGGTCTTCAGAAAAAAGATAAGTGAACTGTCTAGGCATCCCAGACCAATCACAGTAAAGGCACACGGGCAGATTTTCATATGGCTGCACATGAACACCACTGGGCTAAAAATAAAGTTCACAGATGTCATTTTCACCATTAGGCTTCTGTCCAGGCATGGGCAGCTTGCCAAGGGAGGGCACTGGACGGTAAGCTTTTCTGCCAGTGTTCGCTCTCTGCTTAGCAAACGGTCCCTAAAATACAGAAATTTAAACCCAGATGTCAATTCTACTCATCAGGGTTGGGTCCCCTATTTAAGTAGTCCCTTCCTAGGGATGACTATCCGGCCCTATTCTGGGGCAGCGTGGAGGGGACTGCCGACAGTGCTGAAAGGGGTGACCAAGGCACATCCCCAGGGCCTCAGCCACAGCCTTCATGGCCAGAGTCCAACCTGAACTTTGCCTTCCTAAAGAAGCATCCAGATAGCAGGAGGCGCCCGCAGTTCGGGTGTTCCCAAACCCAGCTCTTCATGGGCTGTGCGATGGGAGGATGTCAGACTACCCGGATTGGGACTTAGAAAATGTCCCTGCTTGGGCAGAGATCGAAGAGGCTTGTAGGATCCCCTAAACCTAAGCCCCCCTTTCCAAAGGCCGGGAAGGGGCGCCGCCACTGCAGCCGCCCGCACTGCACCAAGCGCCGCCAAGTGGAGGAGCTCATCCCCGCCGGAGGGGCAGGACCAAGTCCTCAGGCGCGGGCGCTGAGGGACTCGGCAAGGGCGCGGCCCTTGGAGGACCAGACAAGAAACCTGCCTGCGCGTACCAACCAGCCTGGGAAACCGAGGGGCGTGGGGATGGCCCAGTCCCCTTAGGAGAGCCCGTCCGCAGGAATGGGCCCCTAGGAAAGCTCCAGGTGGGTTTGTCTCTTTGCTCCCTTCCTCGATGAACCTCAAAGCTCTGGCAGATGTGCCCTGGAGTCACGGGGGGAAGAATACCTGGTTTGGTGACCAGCTCCTGCCCGGAAGGTCCAGGGCTCAGTCCGCTGCTGCCACTCTGATGGCCTCCCGGAATCGCAGCTCCCCCAAGAGGGGCGTCTTTCTCCTGCTCCGCATCCCCGTCCTTCCCGGTGTCGCCAGGGCCGCCCCGCAGCAGCCAAACGAAAAGTGCTCCGGCCAGACCCCCTCCAACCAGCAGGGCGGACCAGACGGCGCCCATGGCTGAGAGGCCGCGGCCGCAGGAGACTACAGGGACTGGGACCGGGGCTCAGGTCACGCACACAGAGCCACACCTACCCCGCCCGCTCCAGCCTTTTACGGTTTCTGCGCCGGGCACTCCGGCGGAGCCCGGCCCTGAGCGACCAGTACTCAACTTTCCCAGCCCCGCCCCGCTCCCCGCCCCTGGGCTGCAGCCCCGGGCTCCCTCCCGGGGAAGACTCCAGCGCTCTTCTGTCCCTACACTTTCTGTTCCCGGCCTTGCCAGTTGCCAGCGGCCAGGGGCGCAGGGGTCGGCGTTCCACGTGTGTCCCGCGTGAAGAACCCAAGTGCGCACAACTGCCCCGCGCAGCCGGGACCTGCCCCACCGCCCTTCCTTCTTCCGCCTGCTGCCCGCGAGGCCCAGCCCTGCCTCGGCCCGCACCGGGCACCTCGGCGCCTTCTCCCCAGGGAAGCTCAGCAGCAACGCGGTCAGCTAGAGGCCGAGAGCTTCCTGGAACTTAGAGGTGGGAGAGGCCGCGGGCGTCGGTGACGCGCGGGCTGGAGCGCGGGCTAGAGCGGTGGCGCGTTCGGGTGGGATGGGTGGCCCGGAGGACGGCGGGCGCGGTGCGGGGAAACTGGGAGCCCTAGTGGAAGCTCCGCTCCGCCGCCAGCTCAGCGCGCTTAGCCTCCCCAAGCTTCCGCCTCCTCGCCTGTAAAATGGAAGGACTGGACTGAGGACCATCCATCTAAAGATGCCAGTCAGCTCAATCACATCCAGTCTCGTCCTCTTTGGGCGTGTATGGCTGCTGCGAAATGCGCACGCATCTGTATGAACTGGATGTTGTCCATGGACGAGCTCCTACAGATAAGTTTGTTAATAAAAACAGCAGCTCTTTATTAAGCACTGTCTGTATTCCGGATGTTTTAAGTGTGTATTTAATTTAATCCTCACAAGACAACAACCCTGTGCGGTGTTATATATATTTCTTTGTAAATCCTTTCCTCTGCTGATCTGATGACTTTGCACAACAGCTTCAAGCTGATGATCCCCACGTCTATGTCTGCAGCTCACACCTTTCCCTTGGACTCCGACATTCAACTGCTAAAGGCCACAGATACCAAACACCTGCCTTGGAGTAATTGCTATAATTGCTCTCTCTGGTAGGGCAAATTATCTAATGTGCCCCTTGCTCCGAATGGACAGTAGCCCTTAACGGGGTGCAAGGTTCTGCCAGTGGGGTTACTGGAAGGCTGATGCACGCCTTGATGCAGGCCACAACTTCTGTAATCATAAGAGAGGAGGTAGAGGAGAGGTGAGGGCGAAGACTGCCTACTGGGCATCTCCTCGTGGATGTCTAATAGACATCTCAAACCCAACTCATCCAGACCTGAACTCCCCACCTAACTCCCCAAACCTACTACTCTCCCCACCTTCCCCATCTCAGGAAGTGGCAACCACATCCTTCCCATTGCTGCAAAACAAAACACAGCAAGCTCCCACAGGCCACTTTCAAACCACCAGTCAGCGTGATCCTGTTAAAACACCCCAGTTCTCTGCTCAAGACCCTCCAGTTGCTCCAGATCACACGGAAGAACCTTTAAGACCCTACAGGATCTGTTCCCCATGACCACTGTGCACTCATCTCCATCTTGCCACCTTCAACCACACTGGCTTCCTTGCCTAGAGTCATCCTTCCTGCAGACATCCTCTCTCTCTCATCCCCTTTAGGTCTTGGCACAAGTGTCATCTGCATCCCCACTACCCCCTCCCCTGCCCAGCCCTTCCTTGACAATCCCAGTTTTAATTACAATCCTACTCCCTATATCCTTCCCCTGCTCCATTGTTCTCATTAGCACTTAGGGCGTCATTTCTAATACACTCTATAATCTGTGTGTCTGTGGTTTAATTTCTCTTTCCTCCCTTCAGAGTGTAAATGACAGCGGGGATGGTTGTCCTTTGTTCTCTGCTGAATTCTTAGCACCTGTAACCTCTCCGGAGTGAGCGCTTAGAAGTACAGGTTGAATGAATGAATTAAAAGCCCCAGGTAATTTCACCCTAGAGCATTATTGGCATTTTTCTTACGTAGATTCCATATGCATTTTTAGCCCATGTGGATATTACCGTTCCTTGAAATTCATTTTATGTATAATAAAAAGTAACCGTAAAGCTATATTTTTAAGAGAATGAATGTCACTGTATAAAATAAGATTCTTTCAGCCTGGGCAGCATAGCAAAACCCTGTCTCTATGGAAAAATACAAAAATGAGCTGGGCAAGGCAGTGGCGCCTATAGTCCCAGCTACTCAGGAGGCTGAGGATCACTTAAGCCTGGGAGGTGAAGGCTGCAGTGAGCCATGATCATGCCACTGCACTCCAGCCTGGGTGACAGAGGGAGACTGTCTCAAAAAATCTGATAAAAATATAAGATCCCTTGCATGTGCGGTTCACATAGGGTTTGTGCTCCTATGAGAGTCTAATGCCGCTACTGATCTGATAGGAGGTGCAGCTCAGGCTGTAATGTTCACTTGCCAACCACTCACCTCCTTACTGTGCAGCCTGCTTCCTAACAGGCCTCAGACCAAGGTCTGGGGACTCCTGTCTAAGGGATAAAAATCCCAGAGAATCTGTAAAATCCTTCAGATGTAAGCCCCACTATTCACTTATAATACCTAAAAGGCTCTTAATATTTATTGCTGTCATAAATGTCCATTCATTTATTTAAAATAATACCAAAAATTATTTTCTCAACCCATCAGAATTATTTTTACATTGTATCATATTGATCATGCAACATTTTTTTTAATTTACTTTTTTCTTTGGGAATCCCAAGAAGCTAATGCAACATTTTTAAAGAACATTATTTGGCCTTCCTTTTGGCTTTTCCAAACTTAAGTGCTGGCTCATTAATTTCTGTGTTGCTGCTCTTTTAAAAAATGCTCCAATCATAGTCATATGTTTATATTAAAGGTTCATAGCCACATATCCTAAAAACATTCTTGCCGCACTGATGATACCCATGCTTATCGCTATACACTTGCAAAACAATCATGTTTGCCTCCATATAGAAAACTGTGAGTGCCTAGGAAGATAGTGTTGTCAGGGAGCAAAAAAGGCAAGAACGGTTGTGCGGACAAAGGAGGAAGATGATGAGTTCTGCTGGGACGTGTTAAATTGGAGGCACGAGCAGGAAGTTGGAACTCGGTTTCTTTAGTTTAAGAGGATCAAGGCTGGAGATGTTGGAAATTCTGCATAGAGATGTGGTAATTAAATCCATAGTAAAGATTAATGTTATAAAGAGAAATGAAGGATGGATGAGCCCTTGACACAATTGCAAGAAGAAAGATTGGGAAGTTGCCTCCATGTTGCTATTTATATTGCAATTCTGTCTTGAGATTATATTTTATGGGCCATAATGTAGAACCCGTTTTCTAATTGATATTATTCTATTTAATAAAGTATGAATAGATATAGATGGATATTTTAAAGTTTATTTTATTATATATTTTTTCCTTTAAACTTATGCAAGAAAAGATTGCTCAATCCTGGCTTAGAGGGATGAGGACAGAACAATGAAAAGCAACTCTGTTTGCAAAGTCAGAGAGACTAAAGACTGTGGGAAGGAAGAGCCAGAGAAGAAGGAGAACCAAAATCAGATAAGAAAAGCAGTTCAAGAAGGTGGCCAGGAGAGGGAATGGAGGCATTGCTTTGCAGAACTGAAGTTGATAGAGAACTGAAGGGAAAATGGTTGCAATTGGCACATAAGAGGCCATCAGTAGCTCTGGAGTGTTTGTGGGGGTGGAAGTTGGATTTCAGAATGCTAAGATATAAATGTTGTGAAAGGATAAGAAGTCCAGCATTGAGTTATCTCTCTCTTGAGAAACGTGGAGGCAATAGGTTGGAGAGAAATTGAAGGGTTGCTTAAGAATAGAACAGGATACCCAGCACTTTGGGAGGCCGAGGTGGGAGGATCTCTTGAGGACAGGAGTTCGAGACCAACCTGGGCAACACAGGGAGACCCCCCCCCCCCACCTTCCACCAACCCCCCCCCCCCAAAAAGAAAAAGAAAAGAAATAGACCAGGACTCAGGGCAGTTCCTATAAACCAAGAGAGATTTAAGCACGATTGGGAGCAGGAAAGAGCCAGTGGAGACTGAGCTTGAAGACATGAGAAGCAGAGGAAATATTTTTTCATTGGACTTTCATAAGGCACAAGAGGGAGATGGGTCAGGAATGCCAGTGGAAGAATTGGCCTTCAATGAAGGAAAGAGATTAGAAGGGCATGAAAAAAAGAAAAGAATGAAAATAAGAGACATTTTGTGCCACAAAGGAAGTAGTCAATGAGGTTATCAGCTGAGTGGGAGAAAGAAAATCTGGCTGGAGTTTTAAGAAAAGCAGAGAAAGTAGATAATGACCACTGGGAGAAGACATGGCCAGTAGAAGAGGTGTCTCTGCATAGTCCTGTTGCCTCTCCACAGTGGGGTATAATAAGAAAGAGATTTGGTCTTGTCCTTTTGTTGCTGGCACAGAGAGCGTAGAACCCTTGGGATTTGTTATTCCTAATGGGATCCTTTCGATCACACCAGGTTTTCTCTTATGGTATCAGTATCTTTGAGGTTTGTCTCATCCCTAGTTTAGATCATAAATCCCTTGCTGGTCACAGCTTGGACATCTTTCTATTCCCTGGAATGTCAAGGCTATCATCTAATAGGCCTTCTTTTTATTGTTTTTGTTTATTGAATAACTAAAATATGCAGGCACCAGGCTAAGTGCTTTATAAAGATTATCTCATCCTTATAAATGGAATGCTTGGAGGGAAGTAATCTGGTCAAGGTCATACAGTTAATGAGTGACTGAGCTAGGATTTGAACCCGGTGTTCTGATCCCCAGGACCTGCTCTGAAACCCTAGCTACACTGAAGTCTGATGATTCTTAAACTATGTTCAAATTTCAAAGCATAGATTTTAGAAGTGAGTGTGCAAATTTGGATGTGTTATACTAGAGAACCCTTATGGTTGTGTTTCAGTGTTTGTGGTGACTCTCAGACTTGTTCTTGATCTGTAATAACTCTGCAACCCCTCTCTCCATTAGGGGAATGCACTTATCACCCTCAGCACCTGTCCATTGCTGTCAGACCTCTGGCTCCTGGGGAGCCACATAACATTAACCACAAGTACAACCTCTCTGCAAAGCAGTCACATTGGAGCTGCCCAGTTTCAGGTTTCACAGAGACATTTTCTAACTGAAACTGTTTGCAAACCTCTGACTCATCTTAGTTCCAGAATAGACTCAAGGCTGACATCAGTCATGCTAAGTCATTAAAACTTTAGAAAAGGGAGATCTGTGTTAGACAACTAGCTCACTATCTACAGAAAAATAAAGCTGGATTACTACTTTGTACCACATAAATGCTGAACTCCAGATGAAATAAAGTCCTAAATGTAAATGGTAAAACTATGAATAGAACAAAATCCAGGAAACTGGCAATGTGACATTGCCTAACATAGGAGGCCAAAAACATTTTGACTTCATTAAAATGATGCTATCTGGTCAATGAAGGGTGCCATAAACAGTTACCAGATAGAGCCAAACTGGGGGAAGATATTTGTGTTGTCTAAAACTGATAAGAGATTAATACCTAGCTCTACAATGAACTCGTACAAATTGGCAAGAAAAAGACGCAAGATCCAATATAAAAATGGACGAGGGACGCTCTTTCCTCAGTGCCCAGAACAATGACTGGAACATAATAGGCACAATAATTTTTGGCTGAATAAAATTAGACACAAAAAATGCTTAAACTCATTGATAGTCAGAAAAATGCAAATTAAAACAATGATATGCCATTTTACATCCATCAGAGAGACAAATATTAGAAAGAAGTTGTGTGGTGCTGCTGTTGGGAGAGCCAACAGGTACAAACACTCTGGAAGAGTGTTGTGAAGCTAAGTATGCACATAGCCAATGGCTGTGCAATCCCACTCCTCAACATGTAGGCCCAGGGAAAAATGTGCACAAGACTATAAGGGACATACAGTGTTACTTGGGCCAACGGCAAGTTCAAAGCCCCTGGCTGTTCATCATAGGGTAATAACTAAATAAAATGCGATAGATGCCTATGAAATACTATGCGGTAGTTAGAACAATGAACAAGATCTAGACATAATGTAATTAAATCTTAAATACATAATGGTGACTAGAAAGGCAAGAAACAATGACTTACAGTACAATAATATTTATGCAAGTTGAAAATACATAAACACTCAAAATAGCACTACTGAGGCTTCAAAGATACATGCATATTTAGGAACAATTCTTAACACATTAAAGGAAGTGGTTTGGTGGGCAAAAGTATAGGAATAGGAGTTGGGATAAAAGGAGAATGAATAAATAAACAAAGAGGTCCAGGGTGGGGTCTGGATTCTGCTTTCCTAACAAGCTGCCAGTTGATACTGGTCTGTTGGCCTCACTGTAAGTAGCAAAGAGACTAAGGAGTAAGGTGAACTCAAACCTTGCAGGCTTAAAGAGGAAGTGAGGAAGAATGGAGGGAAATATGAGGGAGGAAGGAAGAGGAGAACAGGCAAGTTTTGAAGGGTGGAGTCAGGGAGAGTCCAGGGCAGGGGCAGCGGGCCCGGCACACAGAAAAGGGAAGAGCCCATGGGTGCCATTGGCAATCTCTGCTTCCTCCAGTCAGACCTGCCGGACCACGCCATGCACTCCAGCTCCTCACACAATTAGATACAATTCAAATAATTGTAATCATGAGTGAAAGACTCCCAATTCCCACCAGGTGCACACTGTTACTAGAGAGAATGTAAGCCAAATTTCTCCTCAGAGAGATCCTCCCCAACCAAAGTTGGCCCTTGCCCTCACTTCCGCAGGCCTGCCCCCTGCTGTTCTCCATCCCTGCACCCCATTAATTGCCCATGTCACTCTCCATATTATCTTCTTTGATTAAAGGTGTGTTTCCCTCACTGGATTGTAAGCTCACAAGGGCAGGGAATTTATAGTTTTCTCCCAGTGACCTATAGGGTGCCTAGTGTCCTACACGGTAGAGGCTCAAAATATGTATTTATTGAGTGAATGAATAAATGAATATCAAGAATGGTCAAGCACTAGCATGTACCACCAAAATATAGGCTGTAAATGTCCAAGAGATTTTTTTAAAAGCATTGACAGTTATCTTCTTGGGAGAGAATGAGGTAGATTAGACCAGGACAGATCTAGCAAAGCCACCATGAGGGCAAAGTTTGGGGTGTCCCTTTATCTCGTTTCTTGTCTTCTTCCTCTTTTTGGTATTATTCTTTTTTTTTTTTTTTTTGTGAGACAAAGTCTCACTCTGTTGCCCACACTGGAGTGCGGTTGGCACAATCTCGGCTCACTGCAACCTCCGCCTTCTGGGTTCAAGTGATTCTCCTGCTTCAGCCTCCTGAGTAGCTGGGATTACAGGCATGTGCCACCACACCTGGCTAATTTTTGTATTTTTAGTAGAGACGGGGTTTCACCATGTTGGTCAGGCTGGTCTCAAACTCCTGACCTTGTGACCCGCCCGCCTCAGCCTCCCAAAGTGCTGGGATTACAGGTGTGAGCCACTGCACCTGGCCTCAGTATTATTCTTTAACTGCTTTCTGATTCCACCCATCCACCCAACCACGGAACTGTAAATATTGTTATCTGTGAACATTTGTCAAAAAGAAAGTTGATGTGTCACCAGTACCTTACAGTGAACTTGTTTGATATTTTAAAATCAGTTTAGAGGGAGGACAAACTAAAATAATGCATTTTTTTATTGATATGTCATATTTGTACATTTTTATGGGGTACATGTGGTATTTGTTACATGCACAGAATGTGTAATGATCAAGTCAGGGTATTTAGAGTATCCATCATTCTATGTGTTGGGAACATTTCAAGTCCTCTCTTCTAGGTATTTTGAAATATATAGTACTTTGTTACTCTGGCGTCAAATATTACAATTAATTCCTTCTATCTAACTGTCTGTATTAACCAACCAACCTCTCTCTTTATTCCTCCCCCACCCCCTACACACCCTTCCCTGCCTCTGGTAACTATCATTTTGCCCTCTACCTCCACGAGGTCAACTTTTTTAGCTCCCAGATATGAATGAGAACATGCAATATTTGTCTTCCTGTGCTTGGCTTATTTCACGTAATATAATATCCTCCAGTTTCATCTATGTTGTTGCAAATGACAAGATTTCATTCTATAGCCAACTTAGATTTCATTATGTATTTGTAAACTATTCATCCAACAAGGGACAAATATCCAAAATATACAAGTAACTCAACAGCAAAAGAACTAATAATCCCATTAAAAAGTGGGCAAATAATGCATTTCTAATGTAAGAATTTTATACCCTGCACACCTACCTTGGAGGGTGATGGGGGAAAGCAGGGCTTCCCCACCTCTTCTAACCAGAATGTGTAATACTGCCTATTCTGCCCACAGTGAAAGCAGGCCCTGTGAGCACACCATTGCTCATGCCCCAGGAGAAAATTGAGCTAAGTCACAAAGAAATGCAATAGACCAAATTCATTTTTAAATGTTCATTTTTAAAAATGTTCACCAATGATAAAAATAAATTCAAATATAAACAATATATTTTAATAGGGAAAAAATTCAACCTTTTTGGAGGCAACTTAGCACTCTATATCCAAAAACCTTAAAGAACAAGACAGAATAAACAACTATGTGAGTGTGTGTGTGTGTGTGTGTGTGTGTGTGTGTGTGTAGCTGCATGTACATATATCCTTTGACATAGCAATTCAACTTCTGGGAATTTTGGGTGAGTAGAGGCCAGAGGTGATACTAAATATTCTACAAAGCACAGAACAGTCCCTCACAACAAAGAATAATAAGAAAAATTCGATCCAAAACATCAATATTGCCTGGGCTGAGAAAATCTGCACCAGAGCATGTGATCTCAGGGAAAGCAAAGAGGGAACACAATGCCTTTTACAGTCTAGTTTTGGAATCACACATCGCTACTTCTGCTACATTCTATTCTTTAGAAATAAGCCACTAAGCACAGCCCACACTCAAGAAAAGCAGAATCAAGCTTCATCTTTTGAAGGAAAGAGTATCACAGAATTTGTGAACATATTTTAAGACAAGACCAATCTGTCCTCTAGCCACAAATTACTTACATTCTTTTCATATGTAAAATATACTTACCCCCACAGCCCCACCCTTACAAAATCCTCCCATAACCCCTTTACAGCATCAGTTTGGAATCCAGAATGTTAGAATCTGAATCAGGCCCAGGTACAGATGAAACTGCTTAGATGTACTTCCTAAGTACAATTATTCTAATGCATTTCCTTTCAATCTGAAGACAGAAAGGTATATGCCTATCCCTCCCACCCCCACCCTCTGTAACATCACCCAACATATAATAGTAGAACAGACACAATATAATCACCATATACAATCATATTCCAAAAATAGGAGAAAAATAGAGGCATACAGGAGTCACTGCTCCATGGCAATTCTGTAAAGCAGCCAAGGAAATTGTAGAAGGTCCTCAATTAGAACTTTGTTCAACTAGGAATAATTCTGCATGGCCTTTGTTTCCACTTTCTTGGTTATGTCCTCTGAGTCATCTGTTCTATAATGGAAGCACATATGTGTAGCTGAGAAGTTCTCTCAGTCTGCTTTCTGCCAGTAGAACTATGGAGATCCAGAGGCCTCTTTTCATTTCATACTGTCTTTGTCCCTTTTAGTCCAAGCTGGCAGTTTTTATTCCAATACAATTCTTTGAAAAACTTTACAGATTTCCTGTGACTCTTATTGGGTCCATGCCATTTTTCAAAAGCCAAATCTACAAATCAATTCAAGATAAGCCCTTCTCTACCATGGGCTTCTGGTGAAGAACAACATCTTCAGCTTCTTAGAAGCTTTATTTGTTTGATCAAAAGAAACTGTAGCACACCTAAGAAAATTTTAGGGAGCCTTTTGTCTAGTTGAACAGTACGCTGAGGCAACACCTTTTATCTTTCTGAGGTCTTAACAAAGGATTTAACAGTTACATCCTTACATCCTTGGAGTCTTCTTTAGACCATGTTTTCCTGGCAATGTCCTGGATTTTGTCTTTGCCCCATATCATTCCTTAATTTAAACATTATCTGCTATCCAAGAGGCTAGACATTTCGAAACCATAAAATCCTGGTTCCTCTTTTTAAGCTGTCCTGCTTTAGCTTATCTATTTCTTCTTGCATTTTGCTGTAAGCAGCAAATGAAAACCAGGCAGTATCTTCAACATTCTGTATGAAAATCTCCTTCGTTAGATCATCCAGCTCATCAGCTGCCTTTTCTACATTCCATGTGGGCTAAACTTTTTGCTATTTCATAACAAGGAGACTGTTTCTCCCACTTTCCAATAACATTACCTCATTTTCCTACAAGCTGTCACCTCCTCAAAGGCTTCTACTAACAGTGTTTTTAAGGCCCTTGAAGCTTTTACTAACAGTCTTCTCAAAATTTTCCAGCTTCCACCCCACTACCCAGTTCTTCTCCCTCCCACACTTTAGGTTCTTGTTATAGCAGCACTCCACTTCCAGGTAACAAAATCTATATTAGTTACCTATTACTGCTTAACAAATAAATCTTAAGCTTAATGGCTTAAAACAACAAACATTATAGTGGTTTTTGTGATTCAAGAATTCAAGAGCAACTTTGTGGTTCTGGCTCAGGACCTCCCGTAAGACTACAGTCAGGATGTCAGCAGGGGTTGCAGTCTCATCTGAAGACTTACTAGGGACTGGAGGATCCACTTCCTAGATGGCTTGCCCCATGGCTGCTAGAAGAAGGCTTTAGTTCCTTGCTATGTGGGCCTCTCCATAGACAACTTTAGTGTCCTCACAACATGGCAGCTAGACACTCCCAGAGCAGATGATCCAAGTGAGAACAAGAAGGAAGCCACAATTTCACCTGATGTGATTGGGACTCAGAAATCAGGCATCATCACCTTTCCCACATTGTCTTCATTAGAAGCAAGTCGCTAAGTACAGCCCACTAACTACAGTCACTAACTACACTTGAGTGGAGGGAATTAGACACCACATTTTGAAAAAGTATCAAATAATTTGTGGACTTTTTTTTTTTTTTTTGAAACAGAGTCTTGCTCTGTCGCCCAGGCTGGAGTGCAGTGGTGTTATCTCGGCTCACTGCAAGCTCTGCCTCCTGGGTTCAGGACATTCTCCTGCCTCAGCCTCCCGAGTAGCTGGGACTACAGTTGCCTGCCACCATGCCCAGCTAATTTTTTGTATTTTTTAGTAGAGATGGAGTTTCACCGTGTTAGCCAGGATGGTCTTGATCGCCTGACCTCATGATCCACCCGCCTTTGGCACACCAAAGTGCTGGGATTACAGGTGTGAGCCACCAGCCTGGCCAATTTGTGGACATATTTTAAAACAAACACAAATCCCCAAATCAGGGGCTCTTTGGAATTTTCTAAAGAAATATGTCTTGAAACTGTTGAACTGGGAGAGAGAGAGATAATTGACTGTTTAGTTTGCTAAGTTAAGACATCATTTGAATTCACAGGTTTTTAGGATACCTTATGTGAAGCTAGAACATTGTTTGGAAAAAGTGAGACCCTGAATCCTGAAATGGGAACATATGGGAAGATACGGTGGGCTCCAAGTACCCTAAACTCCCAACCCTATGAAAATATGCTACTCAGATCATCTGCTGCAGAGAGCATCATTGGCTGGTGGACCAAATTGCTGCCTCCCTGGATCCTCCACCCTCACACTGAGGCCATGCTTCTCATGGGCTACCCCTAACCAATGACTGAGCATGCCAGAAGCACCAAGGTAGTCCCATTCTGGCAAGAAGTGAAACTCCTCCTCTAGGCAACTTCAACTTGAGGACTTCCTGCTGGACTGGCGAAACCTTTATTTGAATTGTGCTACAGTCCAAGATTCTTCTTACACCAATCTTCTTTCCTTCCCTTATTCCTTCCACAGATATCAGACAGGCATCACAGTCTAAAGCTCTCTCTATCTTTTCCCATTCCTTCCTTCAGTAAAGCTCAAGAACATCTATTCCCATCTTGCCATTGCTTCTTGGCACACCTGAATTAATGCAGCCTTCCTCGTCAGAGAAAATCTCCCTTCATGATGAGGCTTTTTCCATCTTTCATGAAGACTCTGTAATGTTATTCTTTGTGGGAGTAACCTTACTGGAGGTAGGGGAAAACAATTCTCTTCATTCTTTGCTCCTAACATCCCTCATTGCCTTGAATTCTATAGTCAATAAGGTGCTAGAGACAGGTTGTACCAACTCACAAAGGTCAACTGACAAATTTTCAAGAATTTAGTGAGCTGATTGCTAAACACAACCATTATTAAAACAAATTATATATACTTACAGTTAAATAAATGATGTGAAAAACAAAGATAATTACAAACTCATCACTTCCTAGTTGACAGCTTTTTATTATTATCTATGCTGCTCAGATTATTTATATGTATTATAACTGGGTGTTGGAAATACTCTATAATGGTGTGTCTTTGAATTTTGGAGACCAGATTTAGACATGCTGTTTCAGCTAGTTTTTTTAATAATCTGAGAGGTTGCCAATTTTGAGTGCAGCCTGAAGCAAGAGTATGCTTTCTCACTGGTCCAGGAAGCTCTGTCTTCTGATCCAGTGGATCCAATGTTATTGAAATGCCTGTGGCAGACAGGGCTGCTGAATGGAGCTTTGGAACATCCAGCACAGGCTCTGAGAGTTTTGCAGCCAAGCCACGGATTCTGTGGCATGTAACTTTTCTCCTTTTGAGAAACAGATTTTGGCTTGTTGCTGAGCACTGGTAAATACAGCAGCCTAATCTCATGGCTAGCACTCATCATAAGCTGGGGACTATCTGATTCACCACGCCATAAAGTCAGCTAACATTTAGTGTGTGTGCACAGTGTGCCAAGCTCTGCTCTAAGTACTTTACTTGCAACATTTCCTTTAATCCTCACCACATTTCTGGGAAATAGTACTGTTATTGTAATCATCCCTATTTTAGATGAGAAAATTGAAGCAGAGAGAGGATAAAAGCAATTTGACCATAGTCATATATCTAATAAGTGGCAGGACTTGGTTAGAACACAGGCCCCCTGGCTTCAAAGTACACATATTAAATTACCAAATTGTATTGCTTCTTATGATCAAGTGAAAGTTTCCTACATAAGATTGGGCTTGAGCAGAAATTGAAGACACAACAAATTGCATGGTGTTCCCACTCCTACCACATTACCATTTTTTCCTCAGCCTACACCTCTGACTTCATGGTATGTTCTCTAAGTCCAACTGACTAGACAGCAACCAGCACAATATGACAGCACCAGCCACAAGTAGACTACAGCAACATTATAGGCCAACTTGAGGGTGACCCTGAAGATCAACAAAGAGGAATCTTCCAGAAGGCAGAATTTTAAGCATTTTATCTTGCTGACCACTTTGTCTGAAAGGAGAAATGGTATGAGGCACAGATATCACCAGTTAATGGTCATTAGCTGACGGTGTAGCTCAGCAGCCAAGACATGGAAGGATCAAGAATGCAAGTCTGGTGACAAAGATGTTCAGAGGAAGAGGTATCTATGGGATCTCTGAGAATGAATCCAGAGTATGAGGATATTTGGTTCTTTGTGAATGCCACCCAAAGGCCCCCACTGGAGAGGAAGTGCTCAATAGTCAAGAGAAGAGGTTGACCTGGCTCCTGCATGCCAACTCTCTCCTTTCTGCAGGCACTCCAGTGTTGCCCAATGAGCGAAGTAGGCATAGTAGCAGAATCACAGGCTACACGGGGGTTTAGCAACTTGGATTTCCCTCATCAAACCTGATCTGGCCACTGCTTCTGTTAAATATTTATTTGTCCAGGAAATAAAACTAAAGTCCCTGATGTGAATTAGGTTTGAATGGAACAAAGCCAGGAACAATGTGCCTGGGGAAAGAAGTGGATTCCCTCCAGACTACCACTTCCCGTAGCCTCTGCTGCTCAGCACCTGAAAGCCAGACTGGCTTGCAGAGGATCAGCTCTCCCCTTGGTGCTCCCTTGGACTTCCAAACATGTGGGCACTTTAATGAGTTGAAACATTAAGAGAGTTTGGGAAATGCAGCCATTAGTTTTCCAGCCTCTACAGTAGGAAGGCAAGCTAGAAGGAGGTCATAATGGTCGTTGAATGAGTGGGTTCAAAGAATGTCCCAGACCTCTTCCATTATCATGAAAGGGGCAGTAATTTATCTTTACTGGAATAGTAACTTATTCTGGATTGGGATTTGCTGACCCTGCCTAACAAATTTCTGCCCACACCAACATTCATTATTTATTCTGCACCAGCAACCAATATATGCTGTTTTTCCCATATTCAGCATACATGGGTGTAGCATCAGGAGGAGCACCTCCTTCAGAACCACTTGCAAAACTGTTACTTCTTAGCCCCATGAACTGGGCTCTGGTGATTTAAAAGCTTGAGACAAGGTGTCTATCAGTAGAAAAAAAATAATAGTTCCATTGAATTAGAATCTGAGACTGCCACCTGGTCATTGTATGGACTCTTCATGATCCCTGAAGAACAAGAAAAGGAGAGAACTATATGAATCATCAACAGCAAGTGAAAACTGATTGACAGTAGAGTCATGGAAATCAAAGGACCCCTTGGAGTTCTACCTAGTGTTGTCATGTCTACTAATAAAAATGTCCTGGCTGGTCAGGACCAGCAAGACTCAGGCGCTTTGTGAATAAAGGTTTAGGTCACTCTCTTAAATATTTTGTAACAGTTAAGGGACTAGCCAAAGGTGAAAAGAATGTGAAATGGGAAGTGGAGAAGGGAAATTATATATAGGAACTATGGCCTCTTGACCAGTTGTAGAAATGAACACTGTTGCATCTATCTGCATTTTCTTCCATGTCATGTATATGCCATTTTTTTAAGTTTCTTCCTCTTGTCTCTTTCTCCACAAAGGGTGTGTTATTGGTGATCAAATTTACTATGTAGTCAGTTCAGCATACAGATTACTGAGATGAGGTCATCACAGACCCAGAGGATGAAATGCCAGCCCCCAGGGATTTTGTATTTGAAGGCAAATGCAGTAATGGATACAACTTTGAACTCATCACTTTTGAGAACATGATTGTGTCCTCTTCTGCAGGAGGGATGGTTGTATTAATTAGAAAAAAGGTTTTTTTGTTTGTTTGTTTCTTATGCTTTTTTCTTTATGAAAAAAGTAGATATTGATATTGGGCATTCAAGAGGCTAGTCATCTGAACTCCATATTCTAAGAGGCACCTGAACCCCCTGACCTATGGGGGCAGAGTCCCCTTACACTGTAGGAGCTAGAAATGCCATATACTACTTTTCTTTGCCTACTTCACTCATAGGCATGGATCTGGCTCCGCCAGTCAAGTGCCTCATCAGAGACCCTGAGATGAGTAGGCAGAACCCACACTGGGCATGGATGCTGCTGCTGGGTAAGGTGCTGGCACTGGTGTTGCATCTATGTTCAAAGACAGCAGTGGAGGTGGCCCTGGGGGTAACTCCAGCATCCGATGATGGTGACTTCTGTGCTGGTTGCCATGTCTACGCCAAGGGCATCAATAGAGATGTGTTCACCAGCTCAGTTTTGAGGCATGAATTCGGGTATTGTTCCTGGGAGGGCAGACTCAAATCCGAGCCTCTGTCCATAAAGATATTCTGTGGATCAAGATGAAAAGCAGAGGATCTCGGAAGATGAATAGGAACAGCTCCTATCTGCAGCTACCAGCAAGAACAACGCAGAAGGCGGGTGATTTCTGCATTTCCAACTGAGGTACCCTGTTCGTGTCATTGGGACTAGTTAGGCAGTGGGTGTGGCCCATGGAGGGTGAGCAGAAGTAGGGTGAGGCCTTGCCTCACCCGGGAAGTGCAAGGGGTTGGAGACCTCCCTCCCCAAGCCAAGGGAAGCCATGAGGGACTGTGCTATCTGGCCCAGATACTACGCTTCTCCCACAGTTTTTGTAATCTGCAGACCAGGGGATTCCCTTGTGTGCCTACAACACCTGGACCCTGGGTTTCAAGCACAAAACTGGCCAGCTGTTTGGGCAGACACCAAGCTAGCTGCAGGACTTTTTTTTTCGTACCCCAGTGAGGCAGAACTGTTCACTCTCCTGGAAAGAGGACTGAAGCCAGGGAGCCAAGTGGTCTCGCTCAGCAGGTCCCACTCCTATGGAGCCCAGCAAGCTAAGAACCACTGGCTTAAAATTCTCGCTGCCAGCACAGCAGTCTGAAGTCAACCTGGGACACTCAAGCTTGGTGGGGGTAGGGGCGTCCACCATTACTGAGGCTTGAGTAGGTGGCTTTTCCCCTGACCATGCTAAGGACTGGGTAGAACCAAACAAAGCAAAGCAAAGTGACTGTGGCCAGACTCCCTCACTAGATTCCTCTTCACTGGGCAGGGCATCTCTGAAAGAAAGACAGCAGCCCCAGTCAGGGGCTTATAAATAAAACTCCCATCTCCCTGGGACAGAGCACCTGGGGGAAGGGGCAGCTGTGGGCGAGCTTCAGCGGACTTAAATGTTCCTGCCTGCCTGCCTGCTATGAAGACAGCAGTGGATCCTGACAAGGAGGATTCTCCCAGCACGGCACTCAAGCTCTGCTAAGGGACAGACTGCCTCCTCAAGTGGGTCCCTGATCCCTGTGCCTCATGACTGGGAGAAAATTCCCAACGAGGGTTAACAGGCACCTCATACAGGAGAGCTCTGGCTGGCATCAGGCTGGGGCCCCTCCAGGATGAAGCTTCCAGAAGAAGGAGCAGGCAGCAATCTTTGCTGTTCTGCAGTCTCCACTGGTGATACCCAGGCAAATAGGGTCTGGAGTGGACCTCCAGCAAACTCCAGCAGACCTGCAGCAGAGGGACCTGACTGTTAGAAGAAAAACTAACAAACAGAAAGCAGTAACACCAACATCAACAAAAAGGACACCCACACAAGAAACCTCATTCAAAGGTCATCAGCCTCAACGGTCAAACATAGATAAATCCATGAAGATAAGGAAAAAACAGTGCAAAAAGGCTGAAAATTCCAAAAACCAGAATGCCTCTTCTTCTCCAAATGATCGCAACTCCTCTCCAGCAAGTGCACAAAACTGGACAGAGAATGAGGTTGACGAATTGACAGAAGTAGGCTTCAGAAAGTAGCTAATGACAAACGCCCCTGAGCTAAAGGAGCATGTTCTATCCCAATGCAAGGAAGTTAAGAACCTTGACATAAGGTTACAGGAACTGCTAACTAGAATAACAAGTTTAGAGAAGAACATAAATGACCTGATGGAGCTGAGAAACACAGCATGAGAACTTCGTGAAGCATACACAAGTATCAATAGCCGAATCGATCAAGCAGAAGAAAGGATATCAGAGATTGAAGACCAGCTTAATGAAATAAAGCATGAAGACAAGATTAGAGAAAAAAGAATGCAAAGGAATGAGCAAAGCTTCCACAAAATATGGGACGATGTGAAAAGACCAAACCTATGATTGACTGGGGTCCCTGAAAGTGATGGGGAGAAAGGAAACAAGTTGGAAAATACACTTCAGAATATTATCCAGGAGAACTTCCCCAACCTAGCAAGACAGGCCAACATTCAAATTCAGGAAATACAGAGAACACCACTAAGATACTCTCGAGAAGAGCAACCCCAAGACATATAATCGTCAGATTCACCAAGGTTGAAACAAAGGAAAAAATGTTAAGGGCAGCCAGAGACAAAGGTCGGGTTACCTACAAAGGGAAGCCCATCAGACTAACAGTGGATCTGTCTGCAGAAACCCTACAAGCCAGAAGAGAGTGGGGGCCAATATTCAACATTCTTAAACAAAAGAATTTTCAACCTAGAATTTCATATCCAGCCAAACTAAGTTTCATTAAGTGAAGGAGAAATAAAATCCTTTACAGACAAGCAAATGCTGAGGGATTTTGTCACCACCAGGCCTGCCTTACAAGAGCTCCAGAAGGAAGCACTAAACATGGAAAGGAAAAACTGCTACCAGCCACTGCAAAAACACACCAAAATATAAAGATCAGTGATACTATGAAGAAACTGCATCAACTAATGTGCAAAATAACCAGCTAACATCATGATGACAGGATCAAATTCACACATAACAATATTAACCTTAAATGTAAATGGGCTAAATGCCCCAAATAAAAGGCACGACTGGCAAATTGGATACAGTCAAGACCAATCAGTGTGCTATATTCAGGAGACCCATCTCACATGCAAAGATACATATAAGCTGAAAATAAAGGGATGGGGGAATATTAACCAAGCAAATAGAAAGCAAAAAAAAAAAAAAAAAAAAAGCAGGGGTTGCAATCCTAGTTTCTGATAAAACAGACTTTAAACCAACAAAGATCAAAAAAGACAAAGAAGGGCATTACATAATGGTAAAGGGATCAATGCAACAAGAAGAGCTAATTATCCTAAATACATATGCACCCAATACAGGAACACCCAGATTCATAAAAACAGTTCTTAGAGACCTACAAAGAGACTTACACTCCCACACAATAATAGTGGGAGACTTTAACACCTCACTGTCAATATTAGATCAACGAGATAGAAAATTAACAAGGATATTCAGGACTTGAACTCAACTCTGGACTAAACAGACCTATCTACAGAACTCTCCACCCCAAATCAACAGAATGTACATTCATCTCAGCACCACATAGCACTTACTCTAAAATAGACCACATAATTGGAAGTAAAACACTCCTCAGCAAATGCAAAAGGAGAAGAATCATAACAAACATCCACTCAGACCACAGTGCAATCAAATTAGAACTCAGGATTAAGAAACTCACTCAAAACTGCATGTCTACATGGAAACTGAACAACCTGCTCCTGAATGACTACTGGTAAATGACAAAATTAAGGCAGAAATAACGAAGTTCTTTGAAACCAGTGAGAACAAAGATACAACGTTCCAGAATCTCCAGGACACAGCTAAAGCAGTGTTCAGGGGAAATTTGTAGCACTAAATGCCCACATCAGAAAGCAGGAAAGGTCTAAAATCGACACACTAACATCACAATTTAAAGAACCAGAAAAGCAAGACCAAACAAATTCAAAAGCTAGCAGAAGACAAGAAATAGCTAAGATCAGAGCAGAACTGAAGGAGATAGAGACAAGAAAAACCCTTCAAAAAATCAAACAATCCAGAAGCTGGTTTTTTTAAAAGATTAGCAAAATAGATAGACTGTTAGCCAGACTAATAAAGAAGAAAAGAGAGAAGAATTAAATAGACACAATAAAAAATGATGAAGGGGATATCACCACTAATCCCACAGAAATACAATCTACCATCAAATAATACTATAAACAACTCTACTCAAACTAGAAAATCTAGAAGAAATGAATAAATACCTGGACACATACACCCTCCCAAGACTAAACCAGGAAGAAGTTGAATCCCTAAATAGACCAATAACAAGTTCTGAAATTGAGGCAGTAATTAACAGCCTACCAACCAAAAAAGGCCCATCAGTGCAAAAATCCTTAGTAAAATACTGGCAATCCGAATCCAGCAGCACATCAAAAAGCTTATCCACTGCAGTCAAGTCGGCTTCATCCCTGAGATCCAAGGCTGGTTCAATATGCACGAATCAATAAACATAATCCACCACATAAACAGAACAAATGACAAAAACCATATGATTATCTTAATAGATGCAGAAAAGGCCCTCAATAAAATTCAACACCCCTTCCTGATAAAAACTCTCAATAAACTAGGTACTGATGGAACAAAATAATAAGAGCTATTTAGGACAAACACATAGCCAATATCATACCGAATCGGCAAGAGCTGGAGGCATTCCCTTTGAAAACTGGCACAAGACAAGGGTATCCTCTCTCACCACTCCTATTCAACATAGTATTGGAAGTTCTGGCCAGGGCAATCAGGCAAAAGAAAGAAAGAAATATTAAATTAGGAAGAGAGGAAGTCAAATTGTCTCTGTTTGCAGACAACATGATTGTGTATTTAGAAAACCCCATCGCCTCAGCCCCAAAATCTCCTTAAGCTGATAAGCAACTTCATCAAAGTCTCAGGATACAAAATCAATGTGCAAAAATCACAAGCATTCCTATACACAAATAATAGACAAGCAGAGAGCCAAATCATGAGTGAACTCCCATTCACAGTTGCTACAAAGAGAATAAAACACCTAGGAATACAGCTTACAAGGGACGTGAAGGACCTCTTCAAGGAGAACTACAAACCACTGCTCAAGGAAATAAGAGAGGACACAAACAAATGGAAAAACATTCCATGCTCATGGAGAGGAAGAATCAATATTGTGAAAATGGCCATAACTGTCCAAAGCAATTTATAGATTCAATGCTATTCCCATCAAGCTATCATTGACTTTCTTCATAGAACTAGAAAAAGCTACTTTAAATTTCATATGGAACCAAAAAAGAGCCCATATAGCCAAGATAATCTTAAGCAAAAAGAACAAAGCTGGAGGGATCATGCTACCTGACTTCAAACTATACTTCAAGGCTACAGTAAACAAAACAGCATGGTACTGGTACCAAAAAGACAGATAGACCAATGGAACAGGACAGAGGCCTCAGAAATAACATCACACATCTACAACCATCTGATCTTTGACAAACCTGACAGAAACAAGCAATGGGGAAAGGATTCCCTATTTAATAAACGGTGCTAGGAAAATGGGCTAGCCATATGCAGAAAACAGAAACTGGACCTCTTCTTTACACCTTATATAAAAATTAACTCACGATGGATTAAAGACTTAAACATAAAACCTAAAACCATAAAAACTCTAGAAGAAAACCTAGGCAATACCATTCAGGACATAGGCATGGACTAAGACTTCATGACTAAAACACCAAAAGCAATTGCAACAAAAGCCAAAATTGACAAATGTGATCTAATTAAACTAAAGAGCTTCTGCTCAGCAAAGGAAACTATCATCAGCATGAACAGGTAACCTACAGAATGGGAGAAAATTTTTGCAATCTATCCATCTGACAAAAGCCTAATATCCAGAATCTACAAGGAACTTAAACAAATTTACAAAATAAAACACAAACAACCCCATCAAAAAGTGGGTATAGGATATGATCAGACACTTCTCAAAAGAAAACATTTATGTGGCCAACAAACATATGAAAAAAAGCTCATCATCACTGGTCATTAGAGAAATGCAAATCAAAACCACAATGAGATACCATCTCATGCCAGTTAAAATGGCGATCATTAAAAAGTCTGGAAACAACAGATGCTGGAGAGGATGTGGAGAAATAGGAATGCTTTTACACTGTTGATGGGAGTGTAAATTAGTTCAACCATTGTGGAAGACAGTGTGGTGATTCCTCAAGGATCTAGAACCAGAAGTACCATTTGACCCAGCAATCCTATTACTGGGTATACACCCAAAGGATTATAAATCATTCTAGCACATGTATGTTTGTTGAAACACTATTTACAATAGCAAAGACTTGGAACCAACCCAAATGCCCATCAATGATAGACTGGATTAAAGAAAATGTGGCACATATACTATGCAGCATAAAAAAGAATGAGTTCACATCCTTTGCAGGGACATGGATGAAGCTGGAAACCATCGTCCTCAGCAAACTAACACAGGAACAGAAAACCAACCACCACATGTTCTCACTCATGAGTGGGAGTTGAATAATGAGAACACATGGACACAGGGAGGGGAACATCATACACAGGGGCCAGCCAGAGGGTGGAGGGCAAGGGGAGGGAGGGCATTAGGACAAATACCTAATGCATGCAGGGCTTAAAACCTAGATGACAGGTTGATAGGTGCAGCAAACCACCATGACACATGTATACCTAATGTAACAAACCTGAACATTCTGCACATGTATCCCGGAACTTAAAGTAAAAGTTAAAAAAAAAGATACTCTGTGGACAGAATATGTTTTTAATAAATAATTTCCTTTCAATAAATCCTTTTTTGATTAAATTATTCCCTATATGTTTCATAGAAAAAAATCTAGGATACATTCCAATGAGCAAAGAGCAGTTACTGCTAACTCTATAGGAAGAATTAGTATTTTCTATGTTCTTTTTGCTAGTCTATGTTTTCTGATTTTCCTAATATGAGCATTAACTTTTTTTTAGAGACAGGATCTCACTCTGTCACCTAGGCAAAAGGGCACTGGCATGATTATAGCTCACTGCAGCCTTGAACTACTGGATTCAAGCCATCCTCCTGACTTGACCTCCCAAAGCACTGGGATTATAGGAGTGAGTGGTCACACCCAGAGAGTATTAACATTTTAAAATAAAATATAATTTTTAAAAGGTAATTAAAATACATGTCATCTTGAGTTTCCATTAAACCTTCTGACCTATGACCTTATGTTATAGATACACATTTATTATCAACACTAACATGCCTGTCTTAGTCCATTTGTGTTGCTACAAAGGAATACCTGAGGCTGGGTAATTTTTAAGAAAAGAAATTTATTTGGCTCATAGCTCTACAGGGTGTACAAGAAGCATGGTGCCAGCATCTGCTTCTGGTGAGGGCTTCAGGATTCTTCCACTCGTGGCAAAAGGCAAAGGGGAGCTAGCATGTGCAGACATCACATGGTGAGAGAACAAGCAAGAGAGAGGAGGAGGAGCCAGGCTCTTTACAATAACCAGTTCTCACAGGAACTAAGAGTGAGAATTCACTCACTCCTGTGAGAATGGCACCAAGCCATTCACGAGGGATCCACCCCCATGACTCAAACATCTCAAACCAGCCCCCATGTCCAACACTGGGGATCAAGCTGCAACATAAGATTTAGCGGGGCCAAACAGACCATATCCACCCATGGCAATGCGGACAAAAGGAAAAAATATCTCAGTAAATTTAATTCAAAATGAAAGAAAATAATATTGTAAAGGAAGAGGAAAGGAGGTACTCATTCAATACCAGGGGAAAAACCTGGGAAAAAGGCAATAGAGTAAGTCTGTTTTTATTTATGCCTTTATTTATTTTTACCAATAGTTGATATACCTATATAATATTCACGTGCCACAAAAATATGAGAAGATTACATGTGAATATTGATCTCATGGGTGATAAAGTATACAAAATGTTGATTAACTGAAGCAGAAATCCATTGAGAAATGCTTATAACCATCAGGTATTACATTTACAGATGTTGCCAAGTCAAAGTTGAACATCCACAGTGGGACACTCATCATAAACTCTGTTTAATCTTTAAAAGGAGACAGAGAAATAGCCAAGTACGTAGTAATAAAATCTGCCTAATCATTCTCCTACGATTCTTCTATGCTTGAGTTCGTTTTATAGGAGTCTTATTACATGCACGTTTACATTCCTTCCCGATATACATATTCTCAAGGAACTAAAAAAAAATGAGAGAACCTTCATTAGATTGGCAAACAAAACTTGCACAGTACAGTCCTCCCCACAACCACTACCATATCTAACTCAAAATTTCACACTCTAATATATATCCTTACACTATGCAAAATCACATGTTAATAATCTGACCATGATAGATGTTGGTCTTTGGAAGGTAGTCACACAGTATCAGAAACACTCAGATGGAATTCACACTTGTTCTGTGCCCAAGTCTGGCCCAGCCCAGCTCAACATAGCCTTGTGCTGCCCATCCCTGCTACTAAGGCTTGGGATCCATCCGTGCAGCAGAGGGAATGAGGCTGTGGGTGATGCATCAAGTAGTTAATCCAGCAGCAGATACTGGAATGTGTAGGTAAGTGCATATGTTCACATAACATATGTGAATGTACACAGGAGGTTAAAAAAAAGAATGAATGTTCACATATAGATTTAAGTAAATAATAACTGTGTATACACACACACACATACACACACATATATTTATATACTGTGTGTGTGTATATGCATATATATCTTATTCCCTGTGATAGAGCCCCTTCTCTCCTTCAGTTGAAATCTTATTGATAAAATAAGAATATAGGATGTAAGAATAAAGGGACAAAATATTGTAGGGTTTTGAGTGACAGGTGTTCTCAGAGGACTCTGTTGTGACCAGGGGCATCATTTCTCTAGTCAATGTGACTGAAAAGAGGACAGCCAGATGTAGGGAGACCCCCTGAAACTATTGCTACGGAATAAAAGATGAAATGCTCCTGATTATTGTAAATACAAAATTGCATGCAGGATTGTGTAAAGACAATGCCAGGTTGGGCTGCCAGAACGAGCCAACAGCGCATGATGTGCTTCCCCCTGCAGACAGCCTATGAACGGACGTGCAGTCAGGGAGGTTGCACATCACCAACATTCCTATCCCAGAAAAGCAGATGTTCATAGCTCTGGGAATGGAATGCGACCCTTGTGGAAAGCCTATAAACGGACACATGGGGGGCGCCTGTCCATATGGATAAGATAGGGCTATAAATGCCCTCATCTTGCCACAGCTCTTCTAGGCCTCTTTAGGGTTAAGGCATACTCCCTTCTGAGAATTTCTGGTCTAACTGGTTGTCTAGCTTCACCTCCTGTTTCCATGGATTGTTTGTAACCAGCTTTTGTGGCAACTGTTACTGTTGATTAATATCTTGCTAATCATAGGTTATGGAAAGATTGTGTTTCTATTTTAAGATTCTGTTAGAAATTATTGACGCACACACTATATTGTAAATTCTTATCTCTGTACACTGTACTTCTACATACAAATGTACTGTACTTCTACATACAAATGTTATGTTAAAGAATTACTTCATCCCCATGTGACCATCTCATCTCACAATCAAATGACCCTAAATCTCTCACTAACCTACCCCCGCCCTCACTAAACTTAATAATAAATGCTGGTATATCCAGTGCATTGTTGGCACCGTGGGACCAGAAGGCGGTGACACCCCTGGACCCAGCTTTCACTATCTTGTGTGTGTCTATTATTTCTCAACCTGCCAATCCGCCTGGGAACAGAGAGCCCCGTTGCATTGCGGGCTGCTGGCCAGATCCTGCAATAGCCAGTGTGTCAGGCATGCTTCCTTTTGCCCAAAACTGAACTAAATGTTCATGAACAGTATGGATTAAATCAATAGGGAACACATCAAAATGAAAAAAAGAAGGGTGTTTTGCCACTAAAAATGTTAAGATACAAAAATGAGCCACAATAATATCAATGGCAAATAAGGATTTATATATACACACACATATACCACAGAAGTACATTTTTACATATCTAATATGGACTCGTAAACACATAATTATGTAATATTAAAGCTATAGATGCATATTTTATATTTTATATATTATATATAAATATAGTTATGCAAACCTTATATACAGATTAGGCAGTTATTTGTATATTAAATATATCTAGCAGACCTAGTATTGATGTTCAAAGCTAAAGGAGTTCCTCCAAACCAGTTCTATAATGGAGTTTCCCAGTCTCAAATCTCCATCTCATGCTCTAGACTTGCCTGATTTAACTTTGAAACCAGTCTGATTCTGAACTTTGTCCTACATTTATTTGCTAGCTGTATCAGCTATTGTTAGTTCTATCACTCTTGGAAAAACAGAAATCAAATCTCCCATTTCCAGAAACTTCTGACCATCTCAGTTGCACTGTCCCCTAAAGACCCCAAGGTACGTGCACACAGAGGACAGTGGACAAATGCTTGACATTATCAGCTATGACTTCAGCCCCAGATGCCTATCTAGTCTCCTGCTGCAGTGACAGGGCTGATCTGGGCACACTGCTCGAGGCAGCAGGCCCTCCCGCTCCATGTTCCCTTCTGCCAACCTCCCACCCCAACCCTGTTACAAGTGATTGTCCAAAGGGGGACCACATTGTGTGGAGATGCTGGGGCCAGCTTTACAAGTTAGTGAGGGGAAACCAGGAGGCAGAAATGAAGAAAGGGAAAAAAGACAGAAGACACTGGCCAGGCCCCCCAGGAAGTGAACTTTTGCCTTAGCCTGTTTCTACTTGAGGCAGAGCTAATAGTGCAATGATGAAATTGCAAATCCCAACGCTATTTTGTCCTAACCCAAGCCACAGCTCTTTGTCCTTAGACCAGGACGCAAAGGAGACTTGAAAACATCCTAGAGAATTCAGGGTGTTGAGTAACAGTTGGAATTTGCAAGGCCCATGCCCTGTACATAGACCTCCTATTGAGGCCAAATCCAAGGAAGATGAGTCAAAGATCACAGGGAAATAGTATCTCTGATAGTAGCAGAAACCAAATAGGCAGAATAAAAAGGGCAAAATGCCATATCCTATCTCTGAGTCCCCGTCTGGGGAGAAGCATGCCCTTTCTTCCAGGGGCCTGTCTTGGTATGTGCCTGTAAGAGAACTATTTGGGTTTGTCAGGGTCATAACCTCTTCCCGTCAACAACTGTGAGCCATGAAGCCCCTCAGCAGGGCCTTCTGAAAGGACCCTTTACTCACACGTGGCGTCCTGTAGCCCCTGCTTAGAATGAAATCCTTAAAGGCAACTGTTCCGTGAAGGTCTGCAAGTAACTCCTCCTAAAAGAGTACCCACATTTGAAGAAAGGGGTCAGCCATCAGAAGCTTGATTTCATATTTGTTCTCATTAAAAGCATTTAGTTCCTTATAAAGTATCTCATTTTAACCCATATCCTTCTTGTTTTTGAATATGTGTGTAATGTTCATGAGTTGATGAATATGAAGGCTTTTAAAGATGTCCAGCTTTCTCTCCTTCCCCTAGCCTTTTCCTTATCCCCATATTAAGGATGGGCAACACATTTTAGCAATTAGACAATTATTGACCTATGATGTCTGGAATCTAACCTAGTTAAGATTAACAGTATGTCCACAAATCATAGATCTTAACTTCAAAGGACAGGACAATCAAATATGATTTGATCAGTCCCAACATCTACAATATTTATGCATCTTTTTAGTTTTTCTTTACATTTATTTTAATTTAAAAATTGGATGCATAAGTTTACATAATTTCAATTCAGTACTTTAAAACCATTTCACCTTCCAAACCAAATCTATCAAGAATAGTCAAAACTCACGAGTTCCCAGAAAGACAGTCATGTTGTCATAGTTACTGTCTCTTACCAGTACCCCACAGTGCCTGCGTCTTGTAAACTGGGGTGCCACAGCCTGGTGGTGCCACCTATAGTCGATAATGTAAATCATTCCTCAGGTATTAAAAAGGTGTGATTTATAAAAATTATTGTAGAACAATTCCATTGTTATGCATCCTCCCTGTGTCTAAACTGCCTGATAAACAATCTTTTACTATACGAGTTATATCAATTATATTTAAATAATGCTACTTTATTAGCTCACTGTAACCATTTTGGCAAACATCTTTATAGCATTTGTCATCAAAATGAAATATGTTTTGTAAAACTTTTGAAGTCTTTAAGAATTAGTAATTAAGAATATGCTTTTAAAAAGAGAACTCTAGATACCTTAAAGCAAAAGTTTGTAGCTATTTTTCTTTTTAAATATTTAATTTGAGAAAAAATGATGTTACCTTTTATAATAAAAGTGCAACTGGAATAGCTTTATGTTATATATTAAATTCACATAAACCTAGGCTTTCCAAAAACCATACTAAGAAATTCTGCCAAACATTATTTACATAATTTTGAGACTTATATAAACATGGGGTGCTCATAAATTTGTATCATACCTCACACCTGAAAATAAGAATTTATATTCAGTACTGGAAAAGATTAAAATGACCATCCTTCCTGTCTTAGCTTTCCAATCTGAAGAAGACAATTGATGAGTGATTACTGAAGAATAATAAGTCTAATTTGTATTGTATTTTACTTTCTCAAAGTGTTTTCACGTCTGTTATCTAGGAGAAGTTTGGGGTCTGTTGAAAAAGAGAAGAGGTTTGCAAATATCCTCATTAGAGTACTATGCAAGTGTTGCATCACTATTTCCAAATTTCCAGGGCCATAATGAGTATCTTCTTTCCACTAGCTACTTTTACACAAGCAATGAGCAGGCAGGGTTTATCTGTAGTAAAATTAGAGCACACCCTTGTTGTGAGTGTTTGTTGCTTTGCAATATCAAACAGTGCTTAACCTTTGTCCCTTTCCTCTCAGACAGATCCTGCAACTCAAATGAATTGCCTAAAAGAAATTTCCTGGTTGAAATTTTGAATTTTTTGACATTCACCCATAGCTGATAGGAAACAAGCTTCACATTTTGTTACCCAAAGATAACTCATGACAGCACATCTATTCTGGGCACTGAGGTGGTCGTACCAAGTCACACCACCCTTTGAACAATTATCCTTGGAATAAATTGTTCCAAGAATGGTGGAATAGCATGAGTAGCTGTCCAATCTTTAGAGATGTCATGTCTACCACAAAGCCAGGAGATTCCAAGTCTTGCTTATTACACATTCTCCTTAACATTACTTAGCTTTCTCCTTGCTGAATTCAATATGCAAGGTGGAGGGCTTTCAGGAGCCTTTGTATTACGCCGCAGAGTCTGGTTCAGTAGGAGGGTGGCAGATGCACTGTGATCATCTGAAGCTCAGATGATCAAATCTCAGTATAAATACATACCTGTTCCTGCAGCTCCTTTTTAAAATTCTCCTCTTGAGCCTTATGTGAGACCTCAGGGTCAACCAGAGGCTCGTCTACTCTTTGCTTTTTCCACAACTTGGGGTTCAAATACCATGCTCCATACCTCATCTTCACCCACTTTGGCTTATAAGGATTCTGTGGAAAGTAACATAATTCCCAGTGCCATTGATTTTTTGTTTGTTTGTCATTTCAAAAATCTAAAGCTTAGCTTAGGAGAGCAGGATCATTACTTTGGAATTTAGGTTGGTCCTTGCCAAAGTATTTTGTGAAGTTTCAGCATGCTTTGATTTTACAAAGTAAACATTAAAGTTCATGATTTAAAAATAATGCAGTGGTTAATAACATGGCCTTTGGATTTTGACAGACCAGGGTTCAAATCCAGCTTTCCCCAACTTAGTAGGTGGAGTCCATGATCAAGTTACATAAATTCTTCATCTGTAAAATGGAGATAACAATAGTATACATCCCCACAGGGCTGTTGTGAAGATTAAAGGAGAGAATGTATGTAAAGCAGCTAGGAATCACGTAAAAATCACATATTTCCCCCTAGGGTAAAGACCTTGAACAATACTCAGTCAACCAAAATAGTAAGTTATTAAATAGTGTGAGCCCAGCACGGTGCTCAGCCTTGCACATGCTACAATATTTTTTTTTTTATCAAACTGCTAACACCAAGCTTTTGCCTTTTTTTTTTCTTTTTCTTTCTTTTTTTTTGAGACGGAGTCTCGCTCTGTCGCCCAGGCTGGGGTGCAGTGAGTGGCACGATCTCGGCTCACTGCAAGCTCCGCCTCGCAGGTTCACACCATTCTCCTGCCTCAGCCTCCCAAGTAGCTGGGACTACAGGCGCCCACCACCATGCCCGGCTAATTTTTTTGTATTTTTTAGTAGAGACGGGGTTTCACCATGTTAGCCAGGATGGTCTTGATCTCCTGACCTCGTGATCCGCCCGCCTCGGCCTCCCAAAGTGCTAAGATTACAGGCCTGAGCCACTGCGCCCAGCCAAGCTCTTGCCTTTATAACTGGAAGAGAGAAAGAGGACGATGAACATATCTCATTCCCTTCTTTCCCCGATTCCTCAGTAGCACATCAAGGACGTTAGGAGAACCTGTTGTTGGTTCATAGACTGATACTGTGAATGCAATACCCACACTGTCTCACCACAAAAGGGAGTCTAACTCTTGGGTGTCAGAAACATGAAACCACAAAGATTCTGTCTCTGTCTCCTCTCATGCACATTTAAACTATGTGGCAGAATGTGTGGGGCATTCTAGAGTCGAGCCAGATACGCTCCAAGAAAGAGAGGATGGGACAGAGGAGACGGGAGGGAAATCTCTTCCAGAGCTGGATTCAGCATTGTGATCTCTCTGTTCCGAGCATACAGACCGCCTTGCTATTTCCAGAGCACCCTTGTCATGCTTCTGCCTCAGTGCCTCTACACACACTGTTCCCTCTACTGTAATGTTTTTCCCCAAGACACACACATGGCTTGCTCTTTTACCTATTTCATGTCATCTTTTCAGTGGCATCTTCCCTGGCCATCCAATTTAAAAAATGGTAACCCTGGGCCGGGCACAGCACTTTGGAAGGCCAAGGTGGGCGGATCACCTGAGGTTGGGAATTCGAGATCAGCCTGGTGAAACCCTGTCTCTACTAAATATACAAAATTAGCTGGGCATGGTGGCGCATGCCTGTAGTCCCAGCTACTCGGGAGGCTGAGGCAGGAGAATCGCTTGAACCCGGGAGGTGGAGGTTGCAGTGAGCTGGGATCACGCCACTGCACTCCAGCCTGGGCGACAGAGTGAGACGCTGTCTCCCCAAATAAACAAAAAAACAAACAAACAAAAAAAAGTAACCCCCTCCCAACAGTCTTTGCCTTCTTTCTCTGCTTCACTTTTCTTAATGACCCTCATCACCATTTCTATGCTATATATTTTCTGATCGTTTGTCTGTCTCTCTTCTTGTTCTCTAAAATATAAGCTTCGGAAATTATTCCCAGCTACATCTCCCTAGCATCTAGAAAAATACTTAGGACATAATGGGTGCTTAATAAGTATTTGTTGAATGAAAGTCAGGTCTCTTAACTTTGGCACTATTGACATTTGGTACTGGAGAACTATTTGTATGTAGGGGAGGGGTGTGTGTGTGTGTGTGTGTGTGTGTGTGTGTCTGTCTGTCTGTCTGTCTGTCTGTCCCATGCATCATAGAATGTTTAGCAGCATTCCTGGCTTCTACCCACTAGATTCTAATAGCATCCCCCAAGTGGTGACAACCAAAAATGTCATCTTTAGATATTGCCAAATATCCCTGAGGTGGAGGAAGGGGGGCAAATTGCCCTCAGATGTGAACCACTGAAATGAAAAAGGGAAGGAAAGAGATTGGGGTAGAAAGGGGAGAAGGAGAGGAATGGAATCTACATTACTGCCACACTGAAGAACTTGAATTCTGGAATATGTTATGTTGTTGGGTAACTGGTGATCTTTCCAGACTCAAGATAAACATAATTCCTTCTGTGATGCCTTTGTAAACATGCCCTCACCCCGTGCTTGATGGAATTGATTACCTCTTCCTATGTCCTGCACAAACCATGACATCATTTCGCTATAGTTAATCATTTACCTGTTGACCCCACTAGGCTGTAATCTCCATAAGTGCAGGAAACAGTCCTCCATTTTTGCTTCACTTGTTCCCAGCACTTTTGGACACATAGTGGTCGGTGCTCAAAAACCTACTACTGTTTTTGAATAAATGCATACACAAATTGATGAATTAATATAGACGGCAAAGAAAGATATATAAAATAGAGGCACAGATTGCTGTGAGAGATTAGAAGTAAGAACAAATTAATGTCAACCAAGCGACCTAGAAGAGCTCCATGGAAAAATCAGCATACTTCCTGTGTCTAAAGGAAGATAGAACCTATGGACATGGAGAGGAGGGGCACTCCAGGCAGCGAGAATACTATGAGCAAGGCTAAGGTGGCAGGAAAGCTCATACACCAAAGACCACAGTTTAGCAGGCCTGAGGGTATGTGGAGTCAGAAAATAAAGACAGGGATGCCCAGAAAACAAAGACAGGGACTTCAGAATGGGGACCAGATTTACCCTGCCACCTTCAACAATCAAAAAACAAGAAAAAATACATGAATTAATACTGTGCAAGACACAAGACATTGGGTAACCAAGGATAGTGATCCTTGAGTGACAAACAAGATAAGCCTCACGACTGCCCTAGCTCACTGCCTTCAGGGAGAGCCCAGGAGGAGCCCAATGGACTCTCTGAATTGAGATGACAGGACCGAGAGTCCAGACAGATCAAGGCAGAGAAAGTTTGCAGCACAGAGTATCAGAAAAGAAAAAGCTGCACAGAGAGAGAACTCCAGGAGATTTCAGAGGGTACCCTTTGTGCATGTGTGGGAGGAAACTACCCATGGTCAGGGAAAGAACCAAAAGGAAAAGAGGGCAGTGTCCAGCACTTACACAGGGCCAGGAACACTGCCTTCTTCCTCCTGGAAAACCTAAAGATCCACAGGACACTAGGCAGAACACACAGAAGGGTCTTGCCTCAATAGCAGGGAATAATTACCCCACATTACTTTGGTCTTTCCCAACAAATTTTTTTTAATAGAGACAAAGTCTCACTCTGTTACCCAGACTGGAGTACAGTGGCACAATCATAGCTCACTATAGCCTTGAACTCCTAGGCTTAAGCAATCCTCCTGCCTCAGCCTCCCAAGTAGCTGGGACTACAGGTACATGCCACCACATCCAGCTAATTTCTTTTCTAAATTTTTTTTTGTAGAGACTGGGGTCTCACTATGTTGCCCGAACTGATCTTGAACTTCTGGCTTCAAGTGATACTTCTGCCTTGGCCTCCCCAAATGCTGGGATTACAGGCATAAGCCACCACACCCAACCCCAACAAATCTTAAAAGCAAAACTCAAAAGGATCAAACTTCCAAGTAACTTGGTTGCATCCCAGAACAAAGTTCAAGAATATTTATAGGAATACAAATAGTCAACACCCAGTAAGATAAAGTTAGCACTGCCTAGCATCCATCAAAGATTACCAGCCACACAGAGATTCAGGAAAGTATGACCCATAATGAGGAGACAAATCACCTAGTGGAAACTGACACAGAACTGATGCAGATGTTAGAATCAGTAAACAATGCCATCACAGCAATTGTTATAACTATGTTTTTTATGCGCAAAAGGTGAAGTTGAGACATGGAAGATATAAATTAAAAAGACCTAAGTTAAACTTTTAGAGATAAAAATTATAACATAGGAGATTCTAAAAAAATACTAGATGGGATTAACAGAAGATTAGACATTGCAGAAAAAAAAATAGAGAATTTAACGACATAGCCATAGAAACACAAAAAGAAAAGAGAATTTAAAAAGCTGACCAGAGCAGTGGTGAGCTGTAAAACAACTTCAAGCGGCCTAATTACAGTTAATTAGAGTTCTGGGAAGGGATTGAAAAACAACAAAAAAAAAGTTTGAAGAAATATAGTCCAAAATTTTCCAAAATTAATGAAAACTATAAGCCCACAAATCCAAAAGGCTCAACAAGCCACAAGTACATGAAACATGAAGAAAGATACACCAAGGTTTATGATAATCAAAATGCTCAAAACCAGTGACAAAGAGAAAATATTAAAAGCATCCAAGGAAAAAGCACATCCCCCCAAAAAGAAGATGAGGATGATATAAGATTTCTCCTAGAAACAGTACAACCAAGAAGACAGGAAGGCAAGACCTTTAGTGAAATTTTTAAAACTGTGAATTAACTTTGAACTAGAATTCTTTTCCCACAAAATACAAAATTCCCCCTTATCCATGTTTTTGCTCTCTGCATTTTCATTTACCTGTGGTCAACCACGGTCTGAAGTATTAAATGGAAAATTCTAGAAATAAACAACTCATAAGTATTAAATCGTGAGCCATTCTCAGTAGCATGATGAAATCTCAAGCCATCCTTGTTCCATTCCTCCAGGGATATGATCATCTCTTTGTCCAGAGTATCCACACTGTACACACTACCCACCCTTAGTCACTGAGTAACCGCCTGTTATCATATCAAAAAACGCAGTATATATAGGAGTTAGCACTATCCAAAGTTTCAGCATCCACTGGAGGATCTTGGAACATAACCCCTACAGGTAACAGATAACAGGCGACTACTGAATCTTTTTAAATGAGGCAGAACAAGTTGTCTTCAGACATACAAAAGCTGAAAGAATTCATCACCAGCAGATCCACCCTGGAAGAAATGTCAAAAGAGGTCTTCTAGTCAGAAGAGAAAATATATTATGTGGAAATATATTTTCAACTTTTGTATAGTGACCCTCCATTTGCCAGTCAAAAGCTCAATTTTGGCAATAACTTCCATGGTTTATAAAGTAGTGTTTGCATAACTATTTCTAAATACAGGGAATTGAGCAATTTTATTCAGCCCAGAATCAGGACAAGCAGTGGTTCAGGCCTCAGGTGTGATGGACATAATTTGCCTGTCTAATACCATTTTGCATTTTACCTTTTAGAAAGATGAAAGGAGAATGGAAAAATAAAAGTGCTGATATTCATGATGAAATGCATAGTTTTCATAAACCGTATGCAATGGAGTAAAGGATAGAAACATAATGTGTGCCAAAATAGGTTGGCAAATGTGTTCAACTGTAAAGGACAAAATTAATATGTCCCAAATATTGAAGTATAATATCAAAGATTATGTGTAAAAGGCAGAAGACAATTAGAGATAAAATATTGTTTTTCATTTTCAGGGAAGGGCTCTCCCCTCCAACTTAGGAACTTAAATCTGTTGTTGACTCACATAACTTGACTTGTGTATATATATTTGCAGTGACACACTGTAGAAAAGTAAATAGTACTTTAGGGGCCCACAATACTTCCCTTTGGAACATGGCATGTTATTTCTCCTTTCTGTTACCTTGTTCTTCCATCTTTACAGAAACTTGGTGCTGAGGAAACTTGTTAATCATTAGGCAAGCATGTGGTCAAGAATGATGGTTTGTGGTCAATAAGACTCCAGCAAAAATTTAAGAATTCTTTGGACATAATATTAACAGCATTCATAATAATTAATTGCAGCATTTTGCTCTTGCAATAATAACCATTCATGTATATTTCTACTGACTTTTAGTATTCCAACATATAAAACACCTAACAAATTATCTCTGAAAATGACTATTCAGGTATTAAAAATAATCCCAAATGACATGCCTCATTTGTATAACTGACTTTGTTATAGGTATTAAACATGCATTTATTTAACAAATATTAATCATGAAAAAAATTCCAGAATTCTACTTTAAAAAACCAGTACCCATGACACATCAGAATTCAAGAACTTTAAGACTTCAATACAACTTAATTTTCTTTGATTTTCGGTCTGGTCCCCTTCTGCAATTACCTGTGGTTTCTGGAGTTTCCTCTCATAGCCTAGTTTCTGGAAGAACTCTGTCTCCTGCAGTTTACTGAGCCCCACACTACGCTTTAGCTCCAGAGGAACCTGATTTAGCTTCATCGTGTGGAGCGCATCATGGCTTGGTTTGGTCTCATAGTCAATGTCAAACTGTTTCAAGATGAACTCTTCATCGATGTCCGAAATTCCCTGGAAGAATATCACATTGCATGAATTGAGGGCAATCGGTGAAATGCTCTTTGCTTTCTTCTTTAATCTGAGGGCCATCGCTGAGGAAAGAGGTAGTTTGGGGAGAGGTAGAAAATGCTCAGTCAGCATTCATTGAAGACAAGAAGTGTTTGGGGTTTGGAGGGCTTTGTCATTAAGAGACAGCTTAGGACTTTGCAAGAAGCAGTGAGGGAAATCATGAGCCCGAGGGAAATTCAGTTTGATCCATAGCAAACTTCTCCAGCACTTTATAGTGGTGCCATCTCTAGAAGTATTTTCCAGACTTGTGTAGATATGGCAGTGTTTTCTCTGCCAATAACTCTGTATAATGGAAGCTGCCAGGTTCACAGCTCCTGCTGAAGGAGGCGGTTTTAGTCAGCCGCATTCTGTACACAGAACAACCTTCACCATTTCCTTCCCTCAGCTACAGCTGGTGGGAGTAGAGATGGGCACATTAAGAGCAGCTAATCTGTATGCTGAGCATTTACCTATGATATGGCTCAAGGCTATATCTTAGACTCAATAGAATCTCACACTGGAAAACAGAAACTGGGAAACACAGAGAGAATGAAGTCACCAGCAGCTGGCATTGTGGCTGGAGTAAAATTTATAGAGAGGAGTCATGAAACAGAATCAGGGACATAAAGGGACAAGTACAGGCAAAACGAGGCTAACGTAATAATGAAGCAGAAATAAAGCAAGCAGAATCAATGAGGTGAAAAATAAACAAACAGCATGGAAGGAAAAGCACAAGCTAGTGCTGTGAAGAAAATCCCACAGGGTGATGAGACAGGGACCCAGCTTGTGGGATGACAGTAAAGATGGGAGCTTGGTCACAGGGTCTGAAACTACAGGCAGTTACCAGAGAAGCTAAACTCTTATTCTAAGGTTCCTTCAGTTTCCTGCCTTGAGAGACGAATCGCCTCCAGCAGCAGGAATGGGAGAAGTGGACGCTGGAAATCAGGCAATCCAATCTGAACAGATTATGGACAAGCAGTAGTTTGGATACTAGGCATAGTGGGCGTCGTCTGCTTCATCCAGCATCCCCGCTTCAATCACCCTCTGAGGAGTCTCTGTCCGTCACTCTCACTCTGTTGCAGCTGGGCTGGACACCCCCACTCTTGGCTTCAGGGTTAGGTGTGTGTCATGGCCTAGCCAATAAGCATATTCCATCTCCTTAATCATAATGGTTAATTCAAGCAAAAGCATGTGCCCCAAGTTAGTCCAGTGAGAGTAATTCCTGGACTTTTCCCTAATGGAAAAGCTTTGCTGTCTTCACACTTAGGTTGCTCGCTGGTAGGATATAAGCTTGGAAATTTTAGTGGCTACTTTTGCCATTTCTTGGGGAAATATTGATTGAGAATGAAGTCCAAGTTGCACAGCCAAAAGATAGGAACAACATCTAAAAATATTTCAGCACCTGGATCCAGCTGTGCCTGAAGTTCCTACTATATCTGGATGCTTCCCTTTTCTCTCTTAAACCAATCTGAATTATATTTAAGTCACTTGCCAATGAAGTAAGTAGCTTGATGTTTAAAGTACTAAAAAAAATACATTGACTAAAACTAACACTCAAAAGATGGGGTGGGGACATGGAATGCAAATCCTAAAGACCTTAAATCCAAGAAAAGCATCAGGTATTTAGACATCTACAGAGACTCAGGAACAGGAATAGGCAACTATATAGGTTCTTGGAAGGCGCACAAGGGAAGACCTTGATAACTGAGTCAAAAGTCTCTTTATGTCAGATTTTTTTTTTTTTGAGACAGGATCTTGCTTTGTTGCCCATGCTGGAGTGCAATGGCATGATGACAGCTCACTGCAGCCTCGATTTCCCAGGCTCAAGCAATCCTCCCACCTCAGCCTCCTGTGTGGGAAGGGGCACACCATCATGCCCAGCTAATTTTTATTTATTTATTTATTTATATTTTTTTAAGACGGAGTCTCTCCCTGTCACCCAGGCTGGAGTACAGTGGCGCAATCTCTGCTCACTGCAACCTCTGCCTCCAGGTTCAAGCAATTCTCCTGCCTCAGCCTCCTGAGTAGCTGGGATTACAGGTGCACACCACCACACCCGACTAATTTTTAAATATTTTTAGTAGAGACAGGGTTTCACCATGTTGGTCAGGCTGATCTCAAACTCCTGACCTTGTGATCCACCCACCTTGGCCTCCCAAAGTGCTAGGATTACAGGCATGAGCCACTGCACCCGGCCTAATTTTTATATTTTTTACAAAAATACAAGAGAGACAAGGTTTTGCCATATTGCCCAGGCTGGTCTTGAACTCTTGAACTCAAGTGATCTGCCCGCCTCAGTCTCCAAAAGTGCTGGGATTACAGGCATGAGCCACTGCACCTGGCATGTCAGAACATTTTTGTGTGAAGATTATAATCAAGGAGTACCTGCCAGAGTACTTCTAGGTAAATCTAACTAAGAAAAATGAGTTGAAGGAGTGAAAGAGAGAAAAGAAAGTCCTAACAATAAAATGGAAAATAAAAATATGAAACAGCTGCAATGATGTGAGATGTAAACATAAACATTCAAATTAGCAGCAAGTTTGCAACCTTTCCAGAAATTTCATCTACCAGAAATATTTCTATTTATACATAATAGAAGAAAATGATTCCTTTACGACTTTGAGGATTTGACTTAGATTTTATCCAATACTGTTTTTTAATAAAAGCAACTTTGAGCTTGACATTTAAAAGTAGGTTTAAATATTACCACTAACTTACAAAAGTAGTAACCCACTTGCAGAAGTCACTAACTGCTTTGCATACATTTTCATGAAGACCAGGACGAGGACCATTTTCATGGAGCAAATCCATTTTATGTGGCTTTTCTTCATAAAGCCATTGGCCTGCGTTTGACACAGACGTCTTCTTGGAACTAAAGATAAGATCATTAAAGAATTACAATATGAGACACAATGAATCCAAATGGATTTCAAACAGTTTTAGAGGCAAAAGGAAATCATAAAGCAAGTATTTCTAACAGTCTCTTGCAAGCTCACATACAAATTGTATTTTAATTTTTCAAAGAGCACATTCTCATTACGAATATCATAAAGACAAGTATATCATGATTAGTTATAATAATTAAAACTTACATAGCATTTACCATTATAAGTTGATTTTTTTAAATTTTGAGTACCATTTATTAAAACATGTACTGGGTAAAAGCCCAAATTACTGTGCTTGAAGTCTACCAAAGCCTCAGGCAACCTTGACAAGTAGGAGTCATCCTTGACTTCTCTAACATTCTTAAAATCCAGCTCAGTTAAGGTCTGGCAGATTGTAACTGTCTCCTTCTCTGGACTGCTGCAAAATGCTAGTGTCTCTGCATCATCAACTCCTATGGCTCCCCCAACCTCCAACCCCCAATCCATTCCCTACAATGCATCCCAAGCAGTCATTTCAAAATGTAACTCTGGACATATCAAATGCAGCCACGCTTCGTCACCATCAATAGCTTCTTTATAAAAATTGAGATATAATTCATCCACCATGAAATTCATAAAATTTACCACTTCAAAAGTGTATGAGAGTACCCTTTATATATTCACAAAGTTGTGCAACCACCACCACTATCTTATTCCAGAACATTTTTATTACCCCGAAAGAAACCCCGCAGCCATTAATAATCACTCACCATTTCCCCATTTCCCTCGCTCCTGGCAACAACTAACCTACTTTTCTGTCTCCGTAGATTTGCCTGTTCTGGATATTTCATCTGAATGGAACCATGCAATATGCAGTCTTTTGTGTCTGGCTTCTCTTAATTAGCATAATGTTTTCAAGGCTCATCCATGTTGTAGCATGTATTAGTAGTTTATTCCTTTTTATGGCCAATACTCCATGGTCTACATAGACCACTTTTTGTTTATCCATTCACAAACATATCCAGGTGATGGACTTTTGGGCTGTTGCCACTTTTTGCCTGTTAAGGACAATGCTGCTATGGATATTCATGAACAAGCTTTTGTGTTCAATAGCCTCTTGCTATTCCTCCAATAAAGACTTAAATCTTGACACAACCTCCAGGGCTCTGCATGGCCTGGCTCTCCAGGTTCTTTGGGACCCACCACCATTTTTTACTCTCTGAGCTCCAGCCAATGTGGCCTTCTCTCAGTTCTGTGAATTCATGCTGCTCCCTCCAGCCATTGGGCCTTTGCTTGAGCTGTTGCATCTGACTGCAATGCTGTCACCATTTCCTTATCCCCTTCATATCTCAACATACATGTGCCTTCCTCGGGGAGGCATCCCCACAAGCTGTCCCCTGAAGCTACTCTTTATTCATAGCCCCTGTACCTTTTATTCATAACACTCATATTAATTTATCCACCCATTCATTCAACAAATATTCAGTAAGCACAGACTATGTGCCAGGCATTAGAATTGAACTGTAAATAAACTTAAGCCCCTGTCCTCATAGAGTATACAACTGAATAGGAGAGACAGATAGTAAACAAACATATGCCGGGTGATTATAAGTTATATAGAGAAAGTAAAATAGGACAGGAGGGGGATGGAGAGTGATGGTAGGGAGCATTTTATTTATACAGAGAAGTTGTCTCTATTAAAGTAATATTTGACCAAAGACCCAAAAGAAGAAAGGGGTCAAACCATGTAAATGTCAAGTCATGCAGATAACAGACAGAAAAGAATGGCATGTGCAAAGAGCTGAGCTGGGAGTGTGCTGAGCATGTCCAAAGAACACAAAGTCCCGTGGAGCGGAGTAATTAAAGAGTAGAATAGTAGAGGATGAGGCTTGAGAGGTGACAGGGACCTAATCATACAGTACTCTGAAGGCAGTTGTAAGGACTTTGGATTTTACTCAGAAAAATAAGCAATTGGAGAATCTCAAGCACTGGAATGACACGACTTGACTTACATTTTTAAAAGGATTATGTCAGCTACTGTGTGACAAATAGACTTGAGAGAGGGGAGCTTGGGTGGAGGCCATGAGACCAGTTAGTAAGCTATTGCAACAATCCAGGCAAGAGGTGATGGAATCTTGGAATAGACTGGTAGTAGTGGAGAAGGTGAGATTCTGGATACATTTCAAAAGTAAAGTCATTACCATTTGCTGGCAGATTGCAACTATTGTTCCAGAAAAAAACTGGAAAGATGGGGTTCCCATTTACTGAACTGGGGAAGACAGAAGGAGGAATAAGTTCGGGGGAGAAAACAAGAGTTCAGTTTTGGGTTTGTCTAGTCTGAGATGCCAATTATACAACTAAGGACAAATACTGAATTAACCATATACAGATGGACCAGAGGAGGTCACTTGGTTGTGAGTAAACGTGCTGAAAAGACGTCAAAGACCAAAGTACTTCAAGGCTAGAAGGTAAAGAGCGGCCAGTAAAAGATGACTACGGAGAGGTCCATGAAAGAGGGATGTTCCAGAAGCCAAGTAAAGAAAGTGTTATGAGAAAGAGGACATGATCAATTACGTCAATTGCTACTATGTATACAACAAGTATGGTGATCCCTGAGAGCTGATTTAGTTAACATAGAGGTCAAAGGAGACCTTGACTAAGGTCAGGTCAGTGGAGTGGTGGAGATAAGAGCCTGATTGTTGTTTGGAGAGAAAAAGACTAAGTGAGTATGAATGCCTCTTTCAAAAAATTTTGCTCTAAAGGAAAGGACAGATTATCTGGTGAGTGGAAGTTGGTGTCGCTTGCATCCTGCCAGCACCTGGATGTGTCCATCAACCCGGAGGTTCATCAGATATATGTGTTCAAGAGTTTTTAATCTTCAGCCACGCCCCTCTCTTTCCCCTCTGAGAGGTCACACTGAGTGGGACTGAACATTCTAACCCTCTAATCACTTGGTCTTTCTGATGACCAGCCACATTCTAAGACAATCTAGGGGCCTCAACCTGAGCACCTCATTAGCATAAACTCACCAGTGACTAAAAGGGGCTCCTTATGAATAACAAAAAGCATTCCTGTCACTCAGGAAATCCCAAGGGTTTTAGGAGCCCTGTGTCAGTAACTGGGGACAAAGACCAAATATATTTATTATATCACAGATCCCTACATATAACACTCCTCTCGCTCCCTCACCCAAGTTCTGAGCAACTTCAAAAACAATACAGAGAGCAAAGACAGTAGCCAAAATATCCCCTTCACTGATAACAGCAGCCATGATAGACGACATGGCTTTAGGTCCAAGAGGACTTGCTAACTGACACTCAGAAATTGGCAGACCCTTCCACCCAGTCCCCTGCAAGGCTGGACCAGGACAGTCCTCCCCTCTAGAATGGGGAAGCAAGGAGAAATTGTGCTTCCCATGGGCCATCTTGCTCCTCATGGAGGAAAGGCAGAACTGAGACAAGCACGTCCAGTTACCCTTCCTACATTTACCAGGAGGTGGACTGAAGAGTCAGAAATGTCCTAAGACTAGAGTTCCTCTCACCTTGTGTCTTACCCTAAAAAACATATATAATGTAATGCAGTAGATTCCCTCTAAATCCACCTCCACGTAGGTAATGTGTGTGACCAACAAGCTCTACATGGCCCCCACCAAACACACTGACCACAGTCCACACTCCTCTAAGTGTCTGGGTACTGTGGATAGGCTACTCTCTAGTTCACCGTACTCTTCAGCACCCATCAGTGAGGTCTTTAATTTCAAAAGTCAAATGTAGGCCCGGCCCAGTGGCTCATGCCTGTAATCTCCACACTTTGGAAGGCAGAGGTGGGCAGATCACTTGAGGCCAGGAGTTCAAGACTAGGCTGGCCAACATGGCGAAACTTTGCCTCTACCAAAAGTACAAAGATTAGCCAGGTGTGGTGGTGGGCACCTACAGTCCCAGTTACATGGGAGGCTGATGCATAAGAATCACTGGAACCCAGGAGGTAGAGGTTGCAGTGAGCCAAGATTGTGCCACTGCTCTCCAGCCTGGGAGACAGAGCAAAACTCTGTCTCAAAAACAAACAAACAAACAAAAAATGTGTATCCCAAATCTATTTGTGTCCAGTAAACTTATCACTGCGTTTATGTTATTTAATTAAATATTATATTGACTGGGGAATCAAGAATGTGTTACAAAAGGGAGGTGCTTTCGTTAAGCTTAATGCTTTGAGAAGGGTCAATGAAGGTAGTATTACAGGTATGGTTTATGCAAAAAAGATGGGTGGAAACTCCAAGCAGTAGACCTATACTCAGAAAAAAGGCTTAGGTCAGGCATGGTGGTACATACCTGAAGTCCCAGCTGCTCAGGAGGCTGAGGCAGGAGGATCATTTGAGTCCAGAACTCAAGGCTGCAGTGAGTTGTGATCTCTTCACTGCCCTCCAGCCTTGACATTTCTTGGGGCACAAAGGATGATACCCCAAAAGTATGGTGCTTTGGCATGCTGAGCACTTTTGAATTAAAGGAAATTGGAAAGCCTTAGAAGCTGCCTCAAAATCAAGGATTTTCTAACCTTCACTGTTTCTACCCCTCAAGCATAGGGAGGGACTCTCTCTGGAATTTCCTTATAGACGCCTGTGTCTGCGTCGTCGCTGGATAAATCACATCCCTTGAAGAAATAAGCACTATTTAGAGCGGTACCTAGGACTCCTTTCCCTCTTCCTTGGGAACTTAGTTACATTTGCTTCATTAGAAGTATTCTAAAGATGAGAAGTTTTAAGAAGGTAATTCCTAGAATGTTTCATCAGGTGACAGCAATGATCGAAGGGTTAAGAACAATACTCACGGTCCCAGGTAGACTTGGGTAGAATGTTTTTTTAAAAGCTTCGTGGGTTCCTTCATTCCTTTCCTGGTGTCCTGACAATAAGCCCATGTGTCCTCCAGCTTCCGGTCAGGATCAAGCACTTCCAGCACCTTTGATAAGAGCTACAAACAGAAAATAGTCTTAGAGGAAAAGAAAAACATGCTGAAGAAGGGAGTCCCCATTCTACAACAAAACAGACCAACTTGCCCTTCACTTTTCCTTTTCAGTCCATCAGTGCTGTTCACCAACTTCTGTGCCAAGTATTATGCTGGGTGCTATGGATAGATTTGGACCATATCCCAAAAGGCATAATCCCAAATGTTAAAATCCTAAAAGATCATAATCCCTAAAGTCTAAAATCCTCAAAATCACAATCCCCAAAATTAAAATCCCAAAACTATAATTCTGAAAAAAAATTGCAAAAAAAGTATTTTAAAGGCACTTAAATTTTTAGATGGAGATTTATTTGAGAAATGTAAAAATGAGAGAACACTTCATTGGCCATTTTACACAACGAATTAGGCAATAACAATATACATAGTTTTGCAAGCATAAACAGTCAGGTGTACTAGCAGTCACATGGCTATAATATGAGCAGGGAAACCATATTCATGAAGAAATAGCTCAAAAAGTGATATGTATAAACGCATACCACTATGTTTGGCAATTGTGTGCACTCTGCTTTATAATTTCAGTCATCTGAAACACAGTGATGTACAACCTAAGCCTTTTGACAAAATCAATCAAAAAGCACAATGGGGCCAGGCACAGTGGCTAAGGCATATAATCTCAGTGCTTTGGGAAGCTTACGCAGGAAGATGGCATGAGGCCAGGAGTTTGAGACCAGCCTGGGCAACATAGCAAGACCTCTGTTTCTATTTAAAAAATTTTTTTAAATTAGCCAGGCATGGTGGTGCCCTCCTGTAGTCCTAGATACTTGGAGGCTAAGGTGAGAGGATCCCTTGAGCCCAGGAGTTTGAGGTAACAGTGAACTATAATTGCACCACTACACTCCAGCTTAGGTGACAGAATGAGAACCTGTCTCAAAAAAACAAACAAAAAACAATCATGATGGGACACCACTCTATGTGCAGTTACCCAAAGAACCAAGATATCAAAAAATGTTATCTTTCACAAATACAGATGAACAAAAAAGGACATCTCTTCATTCATTGATGAAGTTTCAATGTTTTTATGTAAATCCACAATGCTTACACACAAAGTTAGTTTTGTGACAATGCATTTTCATGAAGTCGAATTTGCAAAAAAGGCATGAAATGAATTAGAGCTCTATAAAAGTCTTTACACAATGTACATCTCCAGCATTAGAAATGATGCAAAGATGAAACACATAACATAGTGAATTGTAAAAAATAACACTTACAATTTAAAATAGTGTGGGGGGCACTAAAAAAAAGCTAAGAAGAAAATTCAACATGTTAAAAAATGTATAAGAGAGATAGATTATGGGCAATTACACAGAGGTATTCCATAAGAACTGGCAGGCATTTATGATCATTAACTATATTTTGAAGTCTTGCATCATAGTAAATAGTTGCTTTTTTTCTTTTAGGGCTCTCCTTGGAGAATACGTTCATATTCATTTTCTACATGCACTGCTCTTTTTAAAATTCTTCTGTGATTCAATATACACTCACGTGAGTACTCCCTATTACATTTTCCCCTCTTCTGTGCCATACTTCTATGTTGTTCTGGGTATAGGGAAATCCATTCCACATATACTCATATACAGACCCCAAAGTTGGCAGAAACAATACTGGTGATCCAGTAGCAACACCATCTTCTTATCTTACTTATCCTATAATTATTTTTGAACCAGTCAGTAATATCACTGATCTCTTCAGGCAGATGCAGCTTTAATTTATTAAAAGCTCCTGGAATTTCAGCAGCTGTAAGGAATGCTAATGCGAACAAATGACACTTGTTTTCATGTTTATTTTTTTCCTTAAAAAAAAACTTTTTATTTTACCTTTTAATTCTTTATTGTAGATTCGGGGGTACATGTGCAGGTGTGTTACATGAGTATGTTGTGTAATACTGGGGTTTGGATTTCTAGTGAACCCATCACTCAAATAGTGAACATAGTACCCCATAGGTAGTTTTTGAATCCTCAACACCCTCCTAACCCCCCTTTTTGGAGGCCCCAGTGTCTATTATCTCCATCTTTATGACCATGTATACCCATTGTTAAGCTCCCACTTATAAGCAAGAACACATGGTATTTGATTTTCTGATTCTGAGTTATTTCACTTAGGATAATGGCCTCCAGTTCCATCCATGTCGCTACGATAGACATGACTTCATTCTTTTTATGGCTGCACAGTATTTCATGGTATATACATACCACATTATCTTTACCCAATCCATCATTGATGGACACTTAGGTTGATTTCATGACTTTGCTATTGTGATAGTGTTGTGATAAACATATAAGTGAAGGTGTCTTTTTGATAAAACAATTTCTTTTCCTTTGGGTAGATACCCAGTAGTGGAATTGCTGGGTTGAATGGCAGTTCTATTTTTAGTTCTTTGAGAAATCTCCATCTTGTTTTCCACAGAGGTTGAGCTAACTTACAGTCTCATCAACAGTGTATAAGCATCCTCTTTTCTCTGCATCCTTGCCAATATCTGTTATTTTTTTTATTTCAATAATAGCTATTCTGACTGATATGAGATGGTATCTCGTATCTCATTGTGGTTTTAATCGGCTTTTCTCTGATGATTACTGATGTTGAGTATTTCTTCATATGTTTGTTGGCTGCTTGTATGTCTTCTTTTGAGAAGTGGCTGTTCATGTCCTTTGTACACTTTTTTTTTTTTTGAGACAGGGTCTCACACTCTGTCACCCAGGTTGAAGTGCAATGGTGCAATCACTGCAGCCTTAACCTCCTGGGGAGACTTCATGGCTTTGCCTACTTTTTAATAGAATTGTTTTTTCTTGTTGAATTGTTTACGTTCCTTATAAATTCTAGACATTAGTCCTTTGTCACATGTATAGTTTGCAAATAGTTTCTCCCATTCTGCAGGCTGCTGTCTGTTTACTCTGTTGATAGTTTCTTTTGCAGTTCAAAGTCCTTTAGCTTAACTTTCATTTGTCTATTTTTGTTTTTGTTGCATTTGCTTTTGAGGTCTTAGTCATAAATTCTTTGCCTCAGCCAATGTCTGGAAGAGTTTTTTTGTAGGTTTTCTTCTAGAATTTGTATAGTTTCAGGTCTTACATTTAAGTCTTTAGTCCACCTTGAGTTAATTTTTGTATATGGTGAGAGATGGGGACACAGTTTCACTCTTCTGCATACAGCTAGCCAGTTTTCCCAGCATCATTTATTGAATAGGGTGCCCTTTTTCCATTGTTTATTTTTGTCAAGTTTGTCAAAGATCAGCTGGTTGTAGGTGTGTGGCTTTATTTCTGGGTTATCTATTCTGTTCCATTAATCTATAGGCATATTTTTGTACCCATACTATGCTGTTTTGGTTACTGTAGCCTTGCAGTATAGTTTGAAGTTGGGTAACATGATGACCCCAGCTTTGTTCTTTTTGCTTAGGATTACTTCGGCTAATCAGACACTTTTTTGATTCTGTATGAATTTTAGAATTGTTTTTTCTAATTATTTGAAAAATTATGTTGGTAATTTTACAGGAATGGCATTGAATCTGTAGATTGCTTTGGATAGTATGGTCATTTTGACAATATTGATTCTTCCTTTACATGAACATGGAATGTTTTTATATTTATTAGCATCATTTATGATTTCTTTCATCAGTGTTTTGTAGTTCCCCTTGTGGAGGTCTTTCACTTCCTTCATTAAATGCATTCCTAGGTATTTTAGTTTTTTGTGGCAATTGTAAATGATATTGAGTTCTTGATTTGGTTGTCAGCTTCAGCATTGATAATGTATAGAGACACAACTGATTTTTGAACATTAATTTCATATTCTGAAACTTTACTGAAGTCGTTTATCAGGTCTAGGAGTCTTTTGGATGAATCTTCAAGGTTTTCTGGGTGTAGGATCATGAAATTATTCATTTTTAAACTCAAGTTTCTGTCATTGCCAAATCTCATGACCAATCCATTCATCTGAATTTCTGCCACATGTGTTAGACTACATGAAAAAAAATTTTTATTGATAACTCTTTCAGGTTCACTTTTAGAAGCTTTGATTACACTTAATTCCAAACCTGTCATTTTGGTTTGGGAGTTCCAAGAAATCCATTTTCTTCTGCACAGTCCACCAAATCTTCAAATAAGTGATTATAAAATACTTCATTTGTTTCCAGTCATTAATATATAAAGAAGTAGATAAGTTTTAGAATTTCCAGATCCAACAGGGGCATGAATTGTATATCACTGATTTTAAAAAGTAGGGACAGTCTTGAAAGTGCCATCCAATAGCCAAAGCGAAACACGCACTAGTTTTTCTATGTTAGATTTAGTGGTAAATATAAGAAGTCTATCTTTCTTGACAGTCAAATCTTTAACCAAGAGTAGTTCACCATTTTATGTGGTTATGACATTGGAGGAATCTCAATATCAGCAAATGTCTGGTTCAGAAGGTTGCTGAGCTTGTCAAATTCTTTTAATTCTCTGACAAACGGTGTCACATGCTCGAAGGCAACCACGGTGTTATATGTGAAGAGGCATAAATTGTACACAATTGAATAATTTGGCAGAGGAGATCTCTTGTATTTTTCACCTGCATTTTCACTTACTCTGTGATCTCTGAAGCACTGAAACACTGAGGGTAGATCTTTCTGGCCTGCTCCACTCAGACTCACATACTAATCTCCTCTGGGGACATCCTCTCAGACACATCCAAAATAACACTTTACCATGTTTCTGGAAATTCCTTAATCCAGTCAAATTGACACCTAAAATTAAGTCCACAAGTCCACCTCTTGTCAGGTTGACACTTATACTCATCTCCTTAAACCATATTTAATTTCCAAATAAGGACAATAGCAAGGTAATAGGTCCACCTACCACGATGCAACTATCCTGCATACAACCAAAAACACACTAATCCCTTCCCCAGAATTTGGCTTTCAGGATTTCAACATTCAGGAATTCAATCTTTCAGGATTGTGATTTGTGGGATTTTAGACTTTGGGGATCTCAACATTCACGATTATGATGTTTGGGACTATGTCTTTTGGGATTATAATCAGCACCACTTGGATAAACCTCCCATCACCTGGACACTGGGTACACAGTCTTTTACTAAAGTTCTACTTCCTCTAGAATGGAATATGTCTCTGGGCCTACCCCTGTCCCCAAATGCCCCACTGAGTGAAGCGCCTCTAAAGGATTTCTGTGGTTTTTGACTGCCCACTGTCTACTTTCCCTCGCATGAATATCTGGATTTTTCCTTGGAGAACCACCTCTCTCTCCACTCTCAACCTGCATGGTCTGAATTAGCCTGACCCCATCCTCACTCCTAAGGCCGACCAAACAATCAGAACCACAGTGACTGACTTTGGAATAGACACATGATCAAAGTTGGATCCATGATAATTAGGCTATGGAAGTTTTCTGGGATCATGCAAAAAGGTGCATTCTCTTTCTGCTGGGGTTGCTAAGTGGGTAGGGCTTAAACCTGGATCTTCTGATGGCCACCTTAGCACCATAAAAGATCCTGCTTCAGCAGGAAGCCAACACACCTATTTGCAGAAGTCACACATGGAAATAAGCGCCACAATCCCAAGCCATGCTCATGTGCCATCTGAGGTGTGGAAACAATCAATCTCTTTGTCATGGACTCAGAAGTTCTGGCCTGCAGGAGGCAGTGAGGGAAAGCCCCAGAGAGAAATTAACTGATCAGCAATTCTAGCTGTCCTTTCTGTAGACTTCTCTCCCACCGATCATTCATTTATTCATTCATTCAAAATTATTTATTGAGTGTCCGCCATAGGACAGGTATTGGTGGTACACAGTGAAAGACACAAATAAAGTCCCTGCCCTTATAAGCTTTCATTGTGGGAGGAGCTCAGTGGTGGCAAGTGCTACAGTGAAAAGTAGGGCACAGTAAGGAGTAGATGTGAGGGTGGAAGGGAAGTGCTATTTTATACAGGCCTCTCCAATCAGGAGACATTTGAGCATCGATCTAAAGGGAGTGAAGGAGTAAGCCAAGCAGCCGTCTGGAGCAAGTGTTCAGGCACCAGAACAGAGAGCTGAATTGGACATGCTCATAATGTCGATGGAGCAGCCAGGAGGCCAGAGTGGTTGGAGTGGCAGGAGCAGGGGTGAAGTTGGAGAGGGAGCAGAACAGGGGTACTGTGGAGAGCAGAATGCCAAGGCCTTTCAGATCCCAGCAAGAACTCTGGCTTTCTCTGAGAGAGAAGGGGACACTGGAAGGCTCTGAGCAGAGATTTGCCTTTCTGAACCATTGTCTCGCTCTCTGTGTAGAATACAGGCTGCAGGGATGCGGATGGAGTTGCAGTCACTGCTAGCTCCCTGCCCAATATCCATTCTACCTTTTCTCTTTAAATCTAATAGAACCTGGGTTTTGCTCAGGTTCAATGCCCAACTCTGAAACTCCATTTGCTAGACTCCCTAGCAACTAGGAGTAGTCAGATGAAAGAGATGTTTACTGGGAAAGCTATTATTTGCCTAATTAAAAGACAGAGTCAGCTGGCATGCACCCTTTAACCTTTGTCCCTTCCCTCTTCTTGTCTGAAATACAGACTCAATGCCTGGAAGCATGGAAGCCACTTTGAGATACAAAGACGAGAGATGCATACTAAGGATATAGAGCTAAAGTCAGGAGAGGCCTGGGACATTGGTGACATCACAGAGCTGCTGCTGTCCAGCCCTAGTCTGGACCATTAGGAGGATTTTCCCCATGACCTTTCTGGTCTCATTCTTTCCACCCATTAGTAAGTATTTAAGGGCACTTCCTAATACCAGGCTAAAGTGACAAAAATAAGACTAGACAATTCCCTCTCATTGTTTCCTCCTCTCCCCAAAAAGTCACAACACAAAGTACAGTAGATGGGTAGAAATTATGGGGAATAGAAGTCATACGTTTCTGGTTTGTGGCATCTTTGTAAATTGAAGGGCTTCACAGGAAGCAAAGAGAGCAGTGTGCATGTTGCTGCTGATTGTGTTTTCTGGGAACAGAGGACAGAAGGCTGCTCTGAGGCCCATAAGAACTCGCATCCTGGGGGAGACATTCATCACTCCTCTTATAAATATGTCACCCTCTCATGGGGACTTCCTAGACATTTAGATAGAATTATTTGCAAGGCCCCAGTGAAGCCCCTCCCACAAACCCTAGGACACATCACCTCTATGGGCATAGCTTCTTCCAGATTCAGGTAGAGCGCTAAGGGATGTGGGGTCAGGTGGGCCTCCACGTCCTCCAGGAATGCCTTCCGAGCCTGCTGGGCTGGCGAGAGCTTGGAAAGCACGTCTGCTTCCTTGAGCAGCTTGATCTGCCTCTTCTTTGGGGCCAGTTGGGGAGCTCTGTGATAAATCTGGGGCAGAAAGCCCTCCACAGGGACCTGAGTCACCAGACCAGTGCAAGGCGGGCAGCCCTTCCTGAAGTCGTCCAGCCCCTTTCTTGGAAATACCAACTGCCGGCTGTGCAGAGAGGTGGGGAACTTCAGCCCGTTCTTGTGCTTTGTGAAACATCTGGAAGGTAGATAGATTCTCTTTGTACCTAGAATACCACATGCCTGTTCATATTAACCACAGGACTTGGGTGGGAGAAGGAGGTAGTAAAAAGGCTGGTCTCCAGCTTTTAGGGTTGGGGGTAGGGGAAGTGGGATTCACTGGAGAAGCTGGAGTTAATCATATTCCTAGTTCATAGCACAGAATTGCTGCTCCGTACAAAGCCCCTCTCTTGCTTTCTTGTCTATTTTATCCCCACATCCGACTCTCACTGGTCTCCCTTGCAAAAGCAAAACTGCCCTAGTGGATTTGGAATATATCCTTTGTTTGTACACATCCTTGAAATTCTGAAGCATCCTTATGTGTGCATGCACTCTTAATTTACGTAAATGGCACTATTCTGCTTCTTGTTTACCCAGCACTATATTTTAAAGACCCTTCCATGTCACTCTATGTAAATCTAATTCATTATTCCAACTGCCGCCACCACATTTCATCTCTCCATTCGCTTTGTGAAGGACACTCAAGTTGTTGCCTTTCCCAAGGACTCTCTCTCTTCACTAAAAGGGACAGAGTGCAGTTGAGCGGGAAGAACCTGGATCCCACTGACAACTCAGCCCCTAACTAGCTGAATGGCGTTGGCTCTTCATGTAACCTCTGTGGGTTCCCCCTAAACTCAGGGGATCAAAGGCTGCAAAATGGCTGTCCATGGGCTACATTGGGCCAACAAACCTGTCATTTGGTCCTCCTTGTGTTTTAATAAGAATCATAATAGCTAACATAAATTGAGAATTTTCAACATAACAGACACTGTTCTACTGTTCTAAATGCTTTACACATACGAGCATATTTAAATCTCATAACAACCCTATGAATTAGGCACGAGTATTATTCCCATTTACAGATAAGAAAATTGAGCACAAAGAAGTTAAAAAACAAAACACTTGTCAAAGGTCACACAGCTAATAAATGGTAGAGCTGGGAGTTTAACCCAGGTAGGCAGCTCCAGAAAAAGGTGCTTAATCACTCTACTGGAGTTTATGATAAATAAAAATGTTCACATAAATAATCGGGAAAAATGGCTCCTCTTGAAAAGCCAGATTTTTCAAGATCTGTGAAAAGTGGGTCCACTTATCCAAGGAGCCCCAATTGGCATATTGGTTGCCCACTGGAGACAAATCATCTGCTCTCTCATTCACAACCTCCACCTCTCCCACCGCCATATATATAGCTGCTTCACTCAGCCTCCTTATCCACCAGCGCCCTGTTAGCATTGAGTAGTTAGGGCATATAGATGAGATGGAAGAGACAGATGGGCAAACAGGAAGGAAAATAGAACAAGCTCCTGAATAACCTAACACAACCAGCGAACACCAAAGCCACGACTTGGAATCTGAGCGTCTCATTATCCTCACATATTACAGTGCCTTAGTTAGGTAATTCTAGAGTCTTTGTGTCCTTCCCTGAAGCCTCTTCCACCTTCAGACCCCTTTTATCTATAATGTCTTTTTACACCAAATCTAATCCTTGCTACACCCATTGCTACAAAGTGTTTTTAAGAGATTCCAGCCTGGCCCCAATTCTTCTCTAGTGAGTCCTAGAAACTTCTTACTTGTTGCATAGATGTGTAGGTGTTGTTTTAAGGGCTTAACCCAACTCTACTGTGAAGATCTAGATGAAAGGACACAAAAAGATGAACTTAACAAAAAGTTACTCTCTGCATTTAACAGATCACTCTTAAATAGCTAAATGGCAGAAAGATGCTGAAATTACATCTAATCATAAGATTAATGACCCATTCAGCATTACTTATTAGTAAGTAACCCTCCATATTAAATGTCTTTACAAAGTTCATTATATGCACATTTACAACTAACTCATGCATCCAAGCACTTCATGAAATCAAATCTGAGAACAAATATTTTTGTTTAAGTACAGCCATACAACTCAAAATGGGGAATGTACGTGGCAGTGAGCTGAAACTTCATAGAATGTTAGAACTGGCAGAGATCCTAAAAGAAATCCAGTCTACTTTCTTCACTTTTCTTTTTCTGTTTTTTTTTTTTTTTTCAAGACAGGGTCTCACTCTGTTGCTCAAGCTAGGGTACAGTGGCAATTATAGCTCAATAGCTCACTGCAGCCTCAAACTCCTGGGCTCAAGGGATCCTCCAATCTCAGTCCCCCAAGTAGTTGGGACTACAGGTGTGCGGCACCATGCCTAGCTAAATTTTTAAATTGCTTTTGTAGAGAGAGGAGACAGGGTCTTGCTATGTTGCCCAGGCTGGTCTCAAACTTCGGGTTCAAGTGATCCTCCTGCCTCCGCTTCCCAAAGTGTTGGGATTACAGGCGCGAGCCACTTTCCTCATTTCTTTCCTTTCTTTTTTTTTTTTAATTCGAGACAGGGTTCCACTCTGTTACCCAGGCTGGAGTGCAATGGTGTAATCTTGGCTCACTGCAACCTCTGCCTCTCAGACTCAAGTAATCCCTCCACCTCAGCCTCTTGAGTAGCTGGGACTACAGGCATGTGCCACCATGCCTGGCTACCGCTTTCCTCTTTTTAATAAGGAAACTAAGTTCCAAGAGGAGAGTAAGGCAACCAGTGTAAAGGGAGGGCTTTCCTCTCCCCCACATGGCCTCTCATAGTTAATAAGCTTACCATTCTGCATTATGTTAGGTTCAGGAAAAATCTTGCTTGGCCCATAAAATAAAACTGGAAACAATTTTTCTAAATATTTACTGTTTTCACAGACACTAGTACATGATATATGGATATTTCCCTCTTTAAGAATTGCAAAAGGATACCGGACATGTATCCTAAAGAAATGAAAAAGTATGTTCTCAGAAAATTCTGTACACAAATGTCGATAGCAGCTTTCTACATATTAGCCCCAAAACTGGAATGTCCAAAACAACCTGAATGTCCTTCAACAAGTGAATGGATAAACAAACTGTGGTACATCCACACCAAGGAACACGACTCAGCAACAAAAATGAACTACTGATACACACAACTTGGATGGATCTCAGAGGCTTTATGATGAGTGAAAAAGAGCCAGTCTCAAACAGTTACATACTGTATTATTCTGTTTATCTAACATTCTCAAAAGAACTAACTTACAGAAATGGAGAGCAGCTTAGCGATTGACAAGGCTGGGGTGGGAAAAGAAGTGACAGCAAAGGGGTAATACTAAGAGTTCCTCTGTGGGGAAGGAACAGTTTTGTATCTTTATGTATACATATGACCAAATGTTACAGAACTCACACACCTGAGTGCAAGTAAGAGCTGATAAAATCCAAGTAAGGTCTCTAGTTCAATTAGCATATTCTGCCAATGACGTTTCCTGGTTTGGCAATGTGCTATCGTTATGTAAAATGGTACCACTGTAAGCAGCTAGGGGAAGGGTACATGGGACCTCTGTACTATTTCTGCAACTTCTGGTGAGCCTACAGTTATTTCAAAACAAAATTTTTAAATGGGGGGGAGAAGCTTCCCAAAGAAGCTCTTATGAATAACTGCTAGAAACAACTATGAATAATTGCTAACATGTACACGATACGTTCTATGTGCCAGTGACAACTTTACATGTGCTATCTCCATTAATCCTCACGACAATCTTAGAAAGCTGATTCCTAAGTTATTGCCCCATTTTATAGTTAGGAAAGTGAGCCCAGAAGGAGCAACCAACTTGCCTAAGGTCACCAGGCAAACAAGAGGAGAACTAGCCTTCTACTCAAGCCTTTCTGATTCTAGACTTTGGAATCTTCACCACCACATCGTGCTGTCTCCAAGACAGACGAATTCCATTCTCAAAAGATTGTCAAGGAGTCGGTAAAGGCAAAAACCTTCTTGTTCCTGCTCTGAGGCTACCACAACCGTACAAAATGTTAGCAGACCTCCCTAGCACCCCAGGCGCTCCCCCAACCCTGGGCTCCACTTGGCCACAGCCGCCATCTGGATACCAAAGGCTCCAGGGGCAGCAGATGCCTAACATCGGATACAGGGCTCCAGGCGCCCCGGGGCATCTGGCGAACAGTTGGTTGGCTAGGCCGGAAAAGGGTGGGTGGCTAGCAGGAGGGCACCAGCCTCCGCAGCGGACTCTGCGGCCATCACTTTCCCATCAGAAATGGGGATATTAGTCTACATCCCTGGGGGCGTGGGAGGCGGGGGTTGTGAGGATGACAGCAGGAAAAATCCTTTGCAAAGAGCAGCGCCAAGCGTTGGTTATCTCAGCGTATTATGTTGTACGTACAGGAAGCATTGAGGAGGGAAGGCAGGCTGGACCTCTCCCCTCGCCCCCGCCCCAGCAAGCGCGGGTCTCCAGGCGCCCCCGCGCGGCCCGCGTGGGATGCGCCCTCGGCCCGGGCGCTGAGTGTTTACCTGGACCTGCAGTTCACGCCCTCGCGCACCGGGGCCAACGTCCCCGGCCGGAGCCGCCGCCTGCGGTCCGCCATGGTGGCCCTAGCTTCGCGGCCACCGTCCGGGCTTGGGCGGTGTGTGTGCCCTGCTGCCGCCCCGTTGCTAGGACACCGCACAACCACCGCTGCCGGTATTTGCCCCGGGCGCCTGGCAACTCTGACGCCCCGCTGCGCGGTCCAACCCCTTCTCCGACGCCTGGGGACGTGGACCTGGCCGAGGGAAGGGAGAGGGTACCGGTCCTTGGTGTAATCACGTTTTACTCTGCTGGGAAGGCGTGTTCATCTTCCCACCGAAACGCGCCATAGACTGGATCAGGCGTTTTTTGCTCATCATCGTTTCAAAAAACGTTTACTGAAGGAAAGAAAGGAAGAAGGCAGGAGGAGCGATAAAGAGATAGCAAGAGAAAGAGGATGGAAAGTGGGGAAAATGAATAGATTTCTAAAGGTTGGGAAAGCCTTTTAGCAGGGAGATGTTTTCCTGGAGGTCTTGGAACTCTCTTGGTCTCACAGCCTCTGTAAACCGAGGGCTGCACACCTGTCTCTAGTCCCCAGCTGATTTCCAGAGGCCCTTCCAGCTCCTGTGTTGATTCTTCTGCCTCGACTCACTTCTAGCAGACAAGTACCATCCAGCTGACCCTGGTAGGCACGTGGCCACATAATACGGATTGCACGAGGGTGTGTTTCGTTTTTACTAAATTCTTATGCTACTTCTGAGTGTTTCTGATTTAAATATAAGCATTGGTTCTGCTACTTAATAATTATGCACTCCTGGGGGCAGGGTACTTACATTTTTAAGCTTCATTAATTACCTGGCCTGAAAATGGGGAAAATAATAGTATCTACCTGTAGGGTTATTGGGGATATTCGATGAATATAAAGAAATTAACACAGTGCCAGCATTTAAGAATCCCTCAAGAATTATTATTATGCAAGTACTATTATTCCAGCTGTGAACCGGGGGTGGTAATATTTGTCCTGACTACTTAACAGAGCTGTTGTGAGTTAGTTAATGGAGAAAGCTATGTAGGTAATCATTATAATTAGCCCAATTGTTATTTTTATTTTCTTTGATATTAGTCCGATTGTAATGCAAACTTTTTATTACTTTGAGGAGGTAGGGTTTCTGTAGAAATTCTGTGAGAACTGGGCCAAAAGTATGGTTATCTAGGCTGAATGGAGTCCTGCAGGAATGATTTGTAACAATTTGCCCAAACAATGCTTGATTAAACTAAAAAGCTTCTACACAGCAAAAGAAATAATCAGCAGAGTAAACAGCCCACAGAGTGGGAAAAATCTTTGCAATCTATATATCCAACAAAGGACTAATATTCAGAATCTACAAGGAACTCAAACAAGCCAGCAAGAAAAAAACAAGCAATCCCATCAACAAATGGGCTAAGGACATGAATAGACAATTCTCAAAAGAAGATATAAAAATGGTGAACAAACATATGAAAAAAGGCTAGATATCACTAATTATAAGGGAAATGCAAATCAAAACCACAATGTAATACCACCTTACTCCAGCAAAACTGGCCATAATCAAAAAATTTAAAAAATTAGATGTTGGTGTGGATGTGGGGAAAAGAGAACACTTTTACGCTGCTGGTGGGAATGTAAACTAGTAAAACCACTATGGAAAACAGTGTGGAGATTCCTTAAAGAACTAAAAGTGGATCTACCATTTCATCCAGCAGTCCCACTACCTGGGTATCTACCCAGAGGAAGAAAAGTCATTATACAAAAAAGATACTTGCACACACATGTTAATAGCAGCACAATTTGCAGTTGCAAAACTATGGAACCAGCCCAAATGCCCATCAATCGATGAGTGGATAGAGAAATTGTGGTATATATGTGTATATATACACATATATATAATGGAATAACATTCAGCCATAAAAAGGAATGAAATAATGGCATTAGTAGCAACTTGGATGGAACTGGAGACCATTATTCTAACTGAAGTAACTAAGGAATGGAAAACCAAACATTGTACATTCTCACTCATAAGTAGGAGCTAAGCTATGGGGATGCAAAGGTGTAAGAATGATAAAATGGACTTTGGGAACTTGGGGGGAAGGATAGGACGGGGACAAGAGATAAAAGACTACACATTGGGTACAGGGTACACTGCTTGGGTGATGGGTGCACCAAAATCTCAGAAATTGCCACTGGAGAACTTACTCATGTAACCAAAAAAAAAATAAATAAATAAACAAATAACGGATGCCCAGAAATATTCTGAAGGAGGCATTTTACCGGAATCTCCAAAGGTTGTGACAAAAAGAAGAAAAAGCTGACTACAATTTATATATCAGCAAGCAAGAGGTAGAGTTTCCTAAGATGGCTTTCTATATATTTTCTACAGCTGCAATAATCCTTTTAAAAATATTTAGCAAAATAATATGTTGGCAAATTATCACTCTTAAATAAACAAACAAATAATAAATAAACAATTTGTCCATATGCCTAGGGTTTCTACCAATTCAGGACTGCTTTCCCATTTCTCACCTTAAAGTTCTATTTTTTTGTTTTGTTTTGTTTTCTTTTTTGAGACAGAGTCTCACTCTGTTGCCCAGGCTGGTGTGCAGTGGTGTGATCTCAGCTCACTGCAACCTCCACCTCCTGGGTTCAAGCGATCCTCCTGCCTCAGCTTCCCGAGTAGCTAGGATTACAGGCACGTACCACCATGCCGGGCTAATTTTTGTATTTTTAATAGAGATGGGAGTTTCACCATGTTTGCTAAGTTCTATTGTTTTTGTTATTCAAATGCTTGTTTTTCTGGAATATATAATAGTGTTTGAAAATACTATTTTATATATTTGAATAATCCTTTTGGGAATGAAATGGCCAGCTTACCTGGCAAAAAGTCTAGAAATAAACACCTGGAAAATCACCAACCTCATTCTTAAATAACATATACTCACTTGATTACTGTATTTAATACATTTCACCTTTGAGTTGAGAGAGAGAGAGAGAGAGACTGAGAGATTCTCTAAGTAATGACTACAATTATGGTATGCAATGTATGGAGTCAAAATTACCATATAGAGCAATTATCAACTTGTGATGATGCAGATGTCATGAAAATAGATGGTTTCTTATTTATTTATTCAGCAAACACTAGCAACAAAGTACCAAGGTGACGAGGATCAGGTCTGTTTTCTTCTCCATTGCATCTCCAGTGCCTAGTATGGTATATAACAAATCAATAGTTGTTGAATGAGTATATAATGTGTGTCAGGCACAGTACTAGGAACAAGATGGACAAGATCCCTACCCTAAGTCTTGGAGAAATCCTACCTACATGCAAAATAATGAAGTTGGGCCCTTATACTGTATACAAAAATCAACTCAAAACAGCTTAGAGACCTAAATTTAAGAGCTAAAACTACAAACTTCTTAGAATAAAACATAGGGACAAATCTGCACAATTTTGAATTTGGCAATGGCTTCTTAAAATGATACCAAAAGCCAAAGCAACAAAAGAAAAAATAGATAAATTGGACTTCATTAAAATAAAAAACTTCTGTATATCGAAAAACATGATCAAGAGAGTGAAAAGAGGCCAGGCGCGGTGGCTCACACCTGTAATCCCAGCACTTTGGGAGGCTGAGATGGGCGGATCACGATGTCAGGAGATCAAGACCATCCTGGCTAACATGGTGAAACCCCATCTCTACTAAAAATACAAAAATTTAGCCAGGCGTGGTGGTGGGCGCCTGTAGTCCCAGCTACTTGGGAGGCTGAGGCAGGAGAATGGCGTCGACCCAGGAGGTGGAGCTTGCAGTGAGCCGAGATTGCGCCACTGCACTCCAGCCTGGGTGATAGAGCAAGACTCTGTCTCAAAAAAAAAAAAAAAAAAAAAAGAGAGAGAGTGAAAAGATAACCCACAGGAGATAATCTTTGCACATCATATACCTGATAAGAGTTTAATATCCGTAATATATTTAAAAACTCCCACCACTCAACGACAAAAAGACAAACAACCCAATTAAAAAATAGACAAAATATTTGAATAGATATTTCCCTAAAGAAGATATACAAATGGCCAAAAATCACATCAAAAGATGTTCAACATCATTAGTCATTAAGGAAATGCAAATCAAAACCACAATGAGATACTACTTCACACCAATTAGGATGGTTATAATAATAAAAACAAACGAATAGAAAATAACAAGTGTTGGTGAGGATGTGGAGAAATTAGGACACTCATGCATTGCTGGTGGGAATATAATATCTTGCAATTGCTGTGGAAAATAGTTTGGCAGTCCTCAAAAAGCTAAGCAAAGGTTTACCATATGACACATCAATTCCACTCTTAGGTATATACCTAAAAGAATTAACAACAGGAACTCAGATATTTGTACATCAATGTTTATGGCAGCATTATTCACAATAGCCAAAAAGTGATAAGAACCCAAGTGTCCACCAACAGATGAATTAATAAACAAAATGTGGCATATACATACATGGAAAATTATTCATAAAAAGAATGAAATTTTGATAAGTTATAACATGGATTAACCCTGAAAACATGCTAAGTGAAAGAAGTCAAATGCAAAAGGACATATAGTGTATAACTCCATTATATGAAATATCTAGAATAGGCAAACTCATGAGACAGAAAGTAAATTAGAGATTTTTAGGGACTGGGAGAAGGAAGAAATGAGGAGTTAGTGCATAATGGATACAGAGGTTTTTTTGGAGGATGATGAAAAAATTTTGAAATAGTGATAATGATTGCATAATATTGTAAATGTAATTAATGCCACCAAATTATAAACTTTAAAAGAATGGTTAAAGTTACAAATTTCATGTTACATATATTTTGACACAATTTTTTAAAGTTGTAAAAAATACCAAAAAAAGAAGGAAATTTGAAAATTAATGAGCTAAGAATCCAACTTAACAAATTGGAAAGATAGTCAAATAAATCCCAAAAGAAGTATGTTTTTAATGTTGAGCAAAAGAAGCCAGACGTCAAGAGTATACACTGTGTTCCTATTAACATGAAGTTTTAAAACAGGCAAAATTAATTTATAATGATAAATGTCAGAATTGTGGTTACTTGGCGGGTAACTGACAAAGAGAAGGCATGAGGGAGTCTGCTAGGAAGATGCAAATCTTCTACATCTTGATCTAGTTGGTGGATATGTTAGTACATATGTAAAATTTTAATGAGCTATACACATCAGATTTGTGCATTTTACTATGTAAGTTATTCAATAAGAGAAAAGCAAAAAATGCAGCATTTTCCATCAGGAAAATAATCCTAGAGAAATCTCTACCCCATTATCACATAAAGAAACAAGCTTCCTGGGAGCCCTAGGGCACCCTAAAGTCTGCAGACTTTCCCCTAAACATTCCTTATTTTGTGGTACTCATCCAGGGGAAGGATATTTAAAATATTTAACAACCAGTAAAGCATATACACTAACCAATCAGGAAGATGGCCAGCCAGATTGCAACAACGGAGTCCTAGAGTCCCCTAATCATAATGGCAATACCTTCCTTTAGTTGCTGATCTTGTAGAGAGTGGCTGGAGCCACCAGAGCACAGCAGTCACTCAGAATTGCTCAGAGCAGTGGCTATTTACCAACCAACACAGTGTTTTGACAACCATTATAGTCCTAAACCTTGCTTACCAGCTTACTGTCAACCTTCTCCCTCACCCACAGAATCTCTCTAGAGATTTTCCTGCATAGTGTTTTAAGTGGCTTCTTGAAAACTGCCCTCAGTGTAGACTACACCTGCAAACCAAATAACAATGGGGGTAAAGGCATGACACCAATAGTCAACAGGAGCATTTCTCACTTGGTCAGTAGCATTGAGCATGATGGCAGATAGGGGATTACAGATAAAATTGACAAGGTTCCTGCCCTCAGGAGGTTATGGTTAAGTGGATGGATGGGTCCTTTAGTTCGGTCAGGCTGCTAGATTTGAGGAGATGCCTGAGCCATCTGCAATAGGCTAGACACACTTAAAGGAAGATAGTGGAGATCTGTACCTCCACTCTTTGTTGAACAGTGGGCCATGAAGAGTAGATGGGATGTAGGGATACATTGCTGGTGGGAGTGTAGCTAGAACAGTTATTAGGAGAACAATCTGAAAGGACTTAGTCAAACCAAGTATATGGTATCTGCTGGCTGATTTGTTCTTCACTGCCCCTGCCTGCTCTGCCCTGGCGTCAGCAAGCTGCACTGGGGGCTGGGTTCGGCTAGTGGAAAGCACTAATAGGAGATTGGGGATGGAGGAAGGGAACAGTCAGGCTATTTTTCTCTCTCCATCTCTCTCCTATTTATAGAGGCATCTATATTTCTTCCTTCTCTTGGAGCTCCCACCAGGTGCTATGATTCCGGCTTTTGTCACATGACTCAAACTCTTGGTTCCAAGCAATTCGTGCAGTTTAGGTGTGGTAGGGGTTTCCTATTATTGCCAGTCTCTAGATTACCTATGTCCCCTGTTTGGCTCTCAGCTCTTTCATCACCTCTGTAACTATTCCCTGCATTAAAATCTTAGTTTTACACACTTAGAGTGGCTTCTGTTTTCCTGGTTTTACTCTGATACGTATGTTACTTATGACTCAGTATTTCCACTGCTAAGTATAGGAATCCAGAGGAATTCTCACACACAAGGCAAGACGTATGAGGATGTTGCTGCAGCATCGTTACTAGTGTTGGTGAGTTGGGGGCAATGTGCATGTCCATTTCTGTGAAATGAGTGGATAAAATGGATGGATAATTAGGCATCATTAGAAGCAATAGTCTAGATAGATACTCAGCAACATGATTAGACTTTTAAAAATATATTGCTGAATGAAGAAAAACAGAATGAAACTTTTACTACAATGTGGTTTATATAAAACTGTGCATAAAAAACAAAAATGTACCTCTTATAAGAATTCTGAGAGAAAACATATGTCAACACTTAATGACAGGCCAGGCGCAGTGGCTCACGCCTGTAATCCCAACACTTTGGGAGGCCGAGGTGGGTGGATCACGAGGCCAGGAGTTCAAGACCAGCCTGGCCAAGATGGTGAAACCCCGTCTCTACTAAAATACAAAAATTAGCTGGGCACAGTGGCAGGTGCCTGTAATCCCAGCTACTCAGGAGGCTGAGGCAGGAGAATCACTTGAACTCGGAGGGTGGAGGTTGCAGTGAGCTGAGATCACGCCACTGCACTCCAGCCTGGGCAACAGAGTGAGACTCCATCTCAAAAAAAAAAAAAAAAAAAAAAAAAGAAGAATGCCTGCAAACAAACATATGAAAAAATGCTCATCACTGGTCATTAGAGAAATGCAAATCAAAACCACAATGAGGTACCATCTCAGGCCAGTTAGAATGATGATCATTAAAAAGTCAGGAAACAACAGATGCTGGAGAGGATATAGAGAAATAGGTATGCTTTTACACTGTTGGTGGGAGTGTAAATTAGTTCGACCATTGTGGAAGACAGTGTGGTGATTCCTCAAGGATCTAGAACTAGAAATACCATTTGACCCAGTGATCTCATTACTGGGTATGTACCCAAAGGATTATAAATCATACTACTATAAAGACACATGCACACGTATGTTTATTGTGGCACTATTCACAATAGCAAAGACTTGGAACTACCCAAATGTCCATCAATGATAGACTGGATTAAGAAAATGTGGTACATATACACCATGGAATACTATGCAGCCATAAAAAAGGATGAATTCATGTCATTTGCAGGGACATGGATGAAGCTGGAAACTATCATTCTCAGCAAACTATCACAAGAACAGAAAACCAAACACCACATATTCTCACTCATAAGTGGGAGTTGAACAATGAGAACATATGGACACAGGGAGGAGAACAACACATACCGGGGCCTGTCAGGGGTTATGGGGCTAGGAGAGGGATAGCATTAGGAGAAATACCTGATGTAGGTGATGGGTTGATGGGTGCAGCAAACCACCATGGCACATGTATACCTATGTAACAAACCTGCACGTTCTGCACATGTACCCCAGAACTTAAACAAACCTAAAACTTAAAAAGACATACAACTTTAAAAATACTTAAAACAAAAAAACATAAAAAGAATGACTGCCTATGGAGAGGGCAGAGGAACAGAAGTGGAGAATAGGGATGAAAATGAATGAATGAATAAGAGAGGGTCTTGCATACAATTGATAGTGGAGTGCCATGAATTTAAGATTAAGCAATGCTCTGCACCTGAAGTAGAAAACAAAGTTGCCAGAAAAATAGTTACTTGGTGGCAATGAGATACAATTCAAAGAATGCTTTGTGGGTTATGAAATACTAAAATAATACCTGCCCCAAATCCAAGTTAGTTTGCAGTAATAGGAACAAAATCATGGGAGAGATGGTGAAACAAGACCCAGAGCTAGTATCAGGTACTAGATAAAGCAGGAGGTGTTGTCAAAATTCCATGGCAATTTTATGTGAATCTTGCTGATTTATTTGCCAGCTATATCAGACATGAGCAGAGATTATGATTTGGTGTCTTGTGGCTTAATATGTGTTTTAGTCAGTCCAGGCTACTATAACAAAATACCATAGACTGAGTGGTTTATAAGCAACAGAAACAGTTCTGGAGAATGGAAGTCTGAGATCAGGATGCCAGCATGGTCGGGTTCTGGTGAGGACCCTCTTCCCAGATGCAGACTGACTACTTCTTGCTGTGTTCTTACATGGCAGAAAATAGGGCAAGAGAACCCTCTGGGGTACATTACTAATGCTGGGCAACTCACTGCAGTCTACATCTCAGCGTTTCTCCTTCAGTAAAATAGACCTAACAGCAGTCTATGTTATAAGATTGTTATGGGATGCAATATGGGAATAATGTAAAGCTACACTCTCTAATAGAAGTATAATGCAATCCACAAATGTGAGCCACGTAAGTATACATTTTCTAGTAGTCATTTTTAAAAGTAAAGAGAAACAGATAAATTAATTATAATAATATGTCTTATTTAGCTCCACATAAAAAATATGATTTTAACATGTAATCAACATAAAATATTACTGAGATATTTTACATTCTTTTTCATACTAAATCTTTAGAGTTTGGTGTGTATTTTACTTTCAGCACATCTTAATTCTGACAAGCCACATTTCAAGTATTCATTTGCCACATGAGGCTGGTAGCAACCATATTAGACAATAGAAATAATAAGTATTTAGCCAAGTGCCTAGCACAAAGAGGCACTCAAGGAATATTGGCTCAAACACATTCCTTAGGTGTATTAGGTCATTTTTACATTGCTCTAAAGAAATATTCAGGCTGGGTAATTTATAAAGTGGTTTGTTTGACTCACAGTTCTGTAGACCATAGAGGAAGCATGGTAATGGCAACTACTTCTGGTAAGGGCCTCAGGAAGCTTACAGTCATGGTAGAAGATGAAAGGGGCACAGGCATCTCACTTGGTGACAGTGGGAGCAAGAGAAAGAGGGAGGAGGTGCCACACATTTTTAAACAACCAGAACTTGCGAGAACTCACTCACTATTGCAAGGACAGCACCAAGCTATTTATGAGAGATCCACCCCCATGACAAAATACCTCCCACAAGGCCCTACCTCCAACACTGGGGATTACATTTTAACATGAGATTTGGAGGGGACAAATATCCAAACCATATCACTAAATTTATCCGTAAGTTTCCTGTATTCCTTACCCTATTATAAGCATAGAAAAGATCTGTTGGCAACACAAGCTTGAAATCACATATAAGCCACATACTTCCTCCATTTCAGCTATTCTTGTCCTTTTTTCTCCAGGAAATAAGATGTTCCCCCTTTCTCCTTCTGATATGAGAAGATACTTGTTAGCCCTCAAGCTGCTCAGATGAGGGACTTTCCTGCCGAGAACCAACGTGAAGAGTGCAGCTTCTATAAAGGATTTCACTGGATTTTTGTACTAATGAACAAATTTTATTTGGATGAGTAGATATTTAATGTGCTGTTATTACCACTGGAGTTAAAAGTATATTATAAATTCTTATGTCTTTAAAACTAGAGAGAGGATTCTGGGAAGATGGCAGAGTAGAAAGCACCAGGAATCCGACTTCCCACCTAAACAACTGTTCTAGCAGCATCTGTCTGACACAACTATTTTAAAACTTTGGGGTCTATTGAAAGCTAGCAACTTCTAGGGGAAAAGTTGTACAGTAAGCTGCAGTTAATTTCAGTGAATTTCAGCACAGTAATAGCCAATAGTAGCCAAACCCTACTCCTCAGCCCTGTGTCAGGCAGCTGTGTATGTGTTCCTGGACCAGTTTGCACACAACTTGCTGGAATCAAGGTTGAAAAAAAAAAACTGTCCTCCAAATATTAGGGCTCTGATTGCTGATTGTTGCTTTACAAAGGTGCAGAAGAAGAAATGACAGCCATTGTTTTGTTGTTGCACCTTCCCCCCCATTGTGGCAAACTCCACCTCCTCTGGCTGAAGCACCTTCCAGGGGATTTAAACGATGAGCCTTTTTCTGCCCTTCATTTTTCTCTTTTTCTCCATTTTTGGAAGCCAGACATTGAAGGCTATGACATTCAAAACAACTGTATATACACTTGTTACAGAAGATATTAGAAAGTCACTGTGCGTGCCCAGGGACAGGCTTAGAAAAGACCCAAGAAGACTGTAAGCTTATATTTCAGGCTAATCCTCAGCACAGAGACAGCCTATAACAATAAAAAACAAAAAGCTAGTAAACCCTGGGGAAGGAAAATAATCTGATTTTCAGAATTACCAGATTATTAGATTCAAAAGTCTAGTTTTCAACAACAACAACAACAAAAACAAAAACACAAGAGATACAAAGAAACAAGCAAATATGGCCCATTCAAAGGAAAAAATAAACCAACAGAAACTGTCCTTGAAAAGGATCTGATGGAGGATCTATTAGACAAAGACTTTAAAACAACTGTCTTAAAGTTACCCAAAGAACTAAAGGAAGATGTGGAAAATGTCAAGAAAATGATGTATGAACATAATGGAAATATCAATAAAGAGAGAGAAAACCTAAAAAGAAACCAAAAAGAAATTGGTTTCCAGAAATTTTCTGGAACTAAAAAGTACAATAGCTGAAAGTTAAAAAAACTTGCTAGAGAGATTCAATGGCAGATTTGAGCAAGCACAAGAATCAACAAACTTGAAGAAAGGACAAGGAAAATTATTGAATCTGAGGAATATAAAGAAAAAAATTGAAGAAAACAGAGCCTAAAGGACCTGTAGGACATCGTCAAACAGCCCCACACAGGCTTTATGGGGAGTCCTTGAGGACAAGTAAGAGAAAGGGGCAAAGAGATTATTCAAAGAAATTATGACCAAAAACTTGCCAAATTTAATGAAAGACATGAATATAAATATCCAAAAAGCTCAATGAACTCCAAGTAGGATAAATTCAAAGACACACCAAAAGTATTACCATCAAACTATTAAAAGCTGGAGACAGAAAATTTTGAAAGCCGCAAGAGAGAAGTGATCATCACATATAAGGAATCCTCAATAAGATTATCTGCAGATTTCTCATCAGAAACTTCAGAGGCCAGAAAGCAGTAGGCTGATATAAAGTGCTAAAAGAAAGAAACTATCAACTAAGAATCCTATATCCAGCAAATCTTCACTTCAAAAGCTGGAGGATTCACACTTCTTTGTTTCAAAACTTACCACAAAGTTACAGCGATCAAAACAGTGTGGTACTGGCACAAAGACAGACATATAGACCAATGGAATAGAACACAGTCCAGAAAAAAACCCTCTTAGCACAAGGGTGCTAAGATTATCCAATGGGGAAAAGATGATCTTTTTGACAAATGGTGCTGGGAAAATTGCCACATACAAAAGAATACAGTTGGACCCTTACCTGATACCATTTACATTAAATTAATGCAGACTAGATCCATAACCTAATGTAAGAACTAAAACTATAAAACTCATAGGAGAAAGCATAGGGCAAAAGTTCACAACATTAGAATGGGCAATAATTTCTTGGATATAACATCACAAGTACAGGCAACAACAACAACAAAAGAACACAAATTGGATTGTATTACAATTTTAAAATTTTGTGCATCAAAAGTACTATTAACAGAGTAAAAAAGGCAACCCACAGAATGGGAGAAAATATTTGAAAATCATCTCTAATAAGGGATTAATATCCAGAATATAGAGAAAACTCCTAAAACTCAACAACAACAAAAAACAACATGATTTAAAAATGAGCAAAGGACTTGAATAGACATTTCTCCAAGAAGATATACAAATGGCCAGTAAGTACATGAAATGATGCTCAACATCATGAATAATTAGGGAAATACAGATCAAAATAACAATGAGATACCACCCCACCCTTATTAGGATGGCTACTATTTAAAAAATAATAATTATTATAAGTGTTGGCAAGGATGTGGAGAAATTGGAACCCTTATGCACTGTTGGTGGGAATGTAAAAGGGCACCACCAGTGTAAAATGGTGGTTCTTTAAAAACTAAAAGTAGAATTACCATATGACCCAGCATTTCCACTGCTGAATATATACACAAAAGAAGTGATAGCAGTATCAAAGAGATATCTGTACATCTGTGTTTATAGCAGCATTATTCACAGTAGTTAAAATGTGGAAGCAGACCAAGTGACTATTGGTGGATGACTGAATAAGCAAAATGTGGTAAACACATACAATGGCATATTATTCAGCCTTAAATAGGAAGGAAATTTTGATATATGGTATAACATGGATGAATCTTGAGGACATTATGTTAAGTGAAATGAGACAATAACAAAAAGGCAAATACTGTATTATTCCACCTATATGAGGTACTTAGAGTAGTCAAATGGTGGTTGCCTGGGGCTGAGCAGAGGGAAGAATGGGAGTTATTGCTTAATGAATACAGTTTTGCAAGATGGAAAGACTTCTGGAGATGGGTAGTGGTGATGGCAGCACAACAATATGATTGTACTTAATGCCACTCTACTGTACACTTAAAAATGATTAAGATAGTAAATTTTGTGTTATGTATGTTTTACCACAATTAAAAATTGTGGTAAATAAACAATAAAGTTTTTTTAAATGTTGTCTCTGTACCTAACATGACTAAGCACCCTCCTATTCTCCTTCCCATCACATCTCTCCTAGATTATCTTGGGCATCTGAACCTAAGCAGGTGCAATAGTTTCATTTGATTGCCCCCTTTAAGTCCGCTCCTTGTTGGACTCATAGTTACCTTTACCTGCTTACTTCTTGATGATCACTGGGCTGAGCTAGGAATTCTGCCTACTGCTAGTTCCTGTGCTAAAGATAAATGTAGTATGAGGAAACAAACTCACCAGCACCCTGGCAGGATCCTTCAGCCAGCCCACAGAGCAGTTGTTGCCCATTTGTCTTGGAAACTACACACTCATATTTTTAGAAAGGGACAAACAGTTTCCCTGAGCTAGATCAAAATTCAACAGGGAAGCGGAGGTAGAGAAAACCCCGTTCCTAGCTCCTGAAGACTGTGAACCAGACTTGGAAACGCCAGGCTAACCCAAAGTAACCTGGGAACATTCAGCCTGACCTGGGTCAACCGTGATACAAAGGAATATTTAGAGTCTTGGCAGGAAGAGACCTGATAATTCCATAGCCTTCCTTATGGATCATGGCTCCCCATTAGACACAGAATAAATTCAGATTCTTCAAGCTGGTATTCAAAGCCTCCCGGGTCTGGCCTGCTCACCTATCTTCCCTTATTTCCCAATCCTTCTCCTCTCTATATCATTACAGGGCTACACTGCAAACTCAACTATGGGTCTGATATAGTTTGGACAAATGTCCCCACCCAAATCTCATGTTGAATTGTAATCCCCTGTGTTGGAGGTGGGGCCTGATGGGAGGTGATTGGATCACGGGGGTGGATTTCTCAGGAATGATTTAGCCCCAGCCCCTTGGTGCAGTTCTTGTTATAGTGAGTGAGTTCTTGTGAGATCTAGTTGTTTAAAAGTGTGTATCACTTCTCTCCTTCCTCTCTCTTGCTCCTGCTCTGGCCATGTGATGTGCCTGCTCCCCCTTCACCTTCTGTCATGACTGTGAGTTTCCTGAGGCCTCCCCAGAAGCTAAGCAGATGCCAGCATCATGCTTCCTGTGCAGCCTGTGGAACCATGAGCCATTAAACCTCTTTTCTTTAGAAATTACCCAGTCTCAGTTATTTCTTTATAGCAACGTGAGAATGGACTAACACAGGGTCCAAACTCCTTGGTTTGTCCTCAGAATGACTGTACTTTATGCTCTGTGATACTAATGATACATGGAGCTGGATTGGGACAGACAGACATCAAAAGGACTAAAATTAACTCTGAGTCCTATATACCTTCACTGTTTTTCATACTATCTCAAGCCAACTTTTACCTTGTAAACCAAAAAAAAAACAAACAAACAAACAAAAAAAAAAAAACTCTAAGGCCCCTCAACCATCTGAATGGACTTTCTCAGCCAGGGCACTTTTAAAATTAAACCTGAGGCATGATGGGAAGTGGGGTTGGGCATACCTCATTATACCTTTCCAGCATTAACATCAACACAGACTTTAAATCTGATAAGAAACATTTTATGGCCAGGCGCGGTGGCTCACACCTGTAAGCCCAGCACTTTGGGAGGCCGGGGCGGGTGGATCACGAGGTCAGGAGATCGAGACCATCCTGCCTAACACGGTGAAACCTCGTCTCTACTAAAAATACAAAAAATTAGCCGGGCGTGGTGACAGGCGCCTGTAGTCCCAGCTACTCAGGAGGCTGAGGCAGGAGAATGGCATGAACCTGGGAGACGGAGCTTGCAGTGAGCCGAGATCATGCCACTGCACTCCAGCCTGGGTGACACAGTGAGACTCTATCTCAAAAAAAAAAAAAAAAGAAAGAAAAGAAACATATTTTACAACCTATTCTCTCTGAAGCCTACTACCTGAAGGCTTCCTCTGCAAATAAGAACTTTAGTCTCCACAATCCTTTGTCTTAACCCAGACATTTCCTTTCTGCTGATCCCAGGTCTTTAAATTCAACCAATTGTCAACCAGAAAATTTTTAAACCCACCTATAAGAAGCCCCTGACCCCCACCCCACCCCCCACCACCCTACCCCACCACTTTCAGTTGTCTTACCTTTCTGGACCAAACCAATGTATTTCTTAAATGTATTTGATTGAAGTCTCATGTCTCTCTAATGTGTAAATGTCTCCCTAAAATGTTCTAAGCTGCACCCCAACCACCTTGGGCACATGTTCTCAGGATCTCCTGAGGGCTGGGTTATAGGCCACGGTCACTCATATTTGGCTCAGAATAAATCTCTTCAAATATTCTACAGAGTTTGACTCTTTTCATCAACAACCCAGATGTGGGTTCTATCAGGGTGCTGCAGTTTCTATCCTGTGTTTTTCACAGATCACCTTTGATCATCTCATTATTTGAAATAAATACAATATGAAAAAGTTTCAGACTTGGTCAAAGTCCAAAGACATCTTGATTGCTACAAAAGCAAAGGAACCTAGATAATTGAGCTTATACTGGAGTGAATCATTTAACATCTGTTTGTTTTCATTATTTTCCTTTAACATTCTTGTGAGAACTATAAAGTGACTTAAACCTGAATAACCAGTTTGACAGGTTTCTGTTGGGTGGGGACAACTAAAAAAAAACACAAAAAATGTTCTTTAATCTCTCCAAGCCACTTTTGATATGTAAAAAATTCAAACCAGTTGTTATACTTTGCTCTGGTGCCACAGTTATAAAAGACAGGTAAGAGCATAACATTGGCACCAGTCTGCCAGGAACGAATCCTGGCTCTACTGTTTACTAGCTATGCAACCTTGGGAAAGTTATCTAACTTCTCTGTGCCTTGGTGTCCCATCTGCTAAAATGATGATAATAATAGCACTTACCTCATCAGATTGTGAGAGGATTAAATTGATTATCACATATAAACTGCTTAGAACATGCCTAGCATGTAGTTAAGCTCCCAGTAAATATTAGCGTTACAATGCAGAGGATTTCTGAAATGGGGAATCGATCTAGAACTAGTCAATGAATTTGTGAGTCTCCTTTGTGAAACAGCAGCATATGGTCTTAAGTTGGTAATATGAGAATGAAAAACACCTTCTCTTCTCTTAACAGGTTGATCTCTCTTGAGCCCTTAACTGGGAATCCCTATCTGTGCTTAGTTCCTAGCTTCATGATCTTGGACAAGTTAATTATTATCTGAGATTTTTCCAGGTTTTTTTTCAAATGTAAAATGGGGATAATAATTCCTACCTCCCACAGTTGTAAAGGAGGTAAAATATGGAGAGTGCCTACTGCTGTCCCTGGCATAGGAGGCTTCTCTTCCTAACTCCTTCTAATCCCCACCTTAATTTTAGTGAGGACAGGTAGCTTAGAATTATATTTTAAAATATATTTCCCAAAATGAAACTTATTTCTATTTTATTTATTTATTTATTTTTTGAGACGGAGTCTCGCTCTATCGTCCAGGCTGGAGTGCAGCGGTGCGATCTCGGCTCACTGCAAGCTCCGCCTCCCGGGGTCACGCCATTCTCCTGCCTCAGTCTCCCGAGTACCTGGGACTACAGAAGCCCGCCACCACGCCCGGCTAATTTTTTGTATTTTTTAGTAGGGACGGGTTTTCACCGTGTTAGCCATGATGGTCTCTATCTCCTGACCTCGTGATCTGCCCGCCTCGGCCTCCCAGAGTGCTGGGATTACAGGTGTGAGCCACCGCGACCGGCCAATTTATTTTTATGTTTATTTTTCAGGAGGGAGGATGGCTGCTGGTCCCCACCCTGTCCCTACTATCTTACTTTAATTTTACTATTTAAATCAGGCAAAGAAAAATTTTTTTTGAGAGACAGAGTCTTGCTCTATTGCCCAGGCTAGAATGCAGTGGCACAATCCTAGCTGGCTGCATCACTGCAGCCTCAAACTCCTGGGCTCAACTTCTCTTCCCACCTGGGTGTCTTGAGTACCTAGAACTACAGGAACACACCGCCATGGCCGGCTAACATTTTTTTTCCTTCCATAGAGATAAAGGTGTCACTATATTGCCCGATCAGGTCTTGAATTCCTGGCTTTAAGTGATCCTCTCAACTTGGCCTGCCAAAGTGCTGGTGAGACAGCCAGGTGGGAGGGGGTCCCCGGAAAAACTCCAACCAACCTGCGCCCTGGGGTGGAGTCTCGGGAAGTTCACGCTGTTTGCAGCGGGGAGGAGCCTGGCCGCCTCACTTCCTGTGTGGAACCTAGGATTCCAACCGTAAAGCAGGAAGCATTCTAGCAGGGACTCTGGCCTAGCAAGAGTCCCTGTTTCTTCCTTTTCTTCCTTTTCACCCAGTACAATTCTGTCTTACCATTCAAATTGTCTGCAAGCCTGAATTTTTGTGGCCATGGGACAAAGAATGCCATCTTTAGCTTCACAAAGGAAAAGTCCTGCAACATTTTTGACCCCCAACATGGGGCTCAAGAAGCGGTGAGTGAAATGACTCAAAACCTCTCACTGTTGCTCCTAAGCCTTTTCATCCTCAGACTTCTGAGAGTGGGGGAAATCATGCCCACACCCCCGCATTGCTCCCCAGCCTTTTCATGGCCTTTTCTTTCCTTTTTCGGGATGGACCAGTGAGCAGCGGCTCCCCTCCACCCTCCCCTCCCTGCCTGGGCTGAGACACATGGCCCAAGGTGCCGCGGGCAGCTGGCTGGTGTTTTCTGCCACACACCCTGGGCCTGAAAGGCCATCTCTGACCCGCAGCAATTAAACTTGTCTCCCTGGTGAAGGAACCACTTGAATAAGAATAAGAGGTTCTTCCCCAGGCATTTTTTAAACTTTTTTTCTTTCCTCTTCTTCACCCCATCAGTAGTAACTTTTAAAGTTCTTTTCCTTTTAGAAGATGCTTTACTAAACCAAGCCCCCCCCAACCAACTATCTCTGTTTGTATTATCTGCAAAGTTTTGGTTCTGAAATGAAGCCTTCATCTGGTTTTACATATTGGGGGCACTGCCTGTAACTGCTTGATAGGGCTTTGTTCAGCAATCCTGCCTTAGGGGATGAGCCTGCTGTGGTTGGTATCTGGATGTTTTCCTAGCCCTGTCTCTTAAAGAACCCCACCCGGGGACTGGGTTTTCTCCTGCCTGGCTGTTATATGTGTGTGTTATATGCTTGTCAGTTACATATGTGTGTGTGTGTGTGTGCGTGTGTGTGTGTGATGTCTGTAAAAAGAGCTCTAATTAATTTGGCCTAAAGAAAGACAAGTGCTCAGATCTAATATTTTTTTAAGGGAAGATAAAAGCTGTGATGCCTTTCAGTTCACGCGACTTTAATCTTTGAGAAATAAAAGCAACCTTAAAGATTATTGGTAAAAACAGATGTCATTAAAATGTAAATAGGTGGGCTGCATAATGCAGGTCAGATGCAAGGTTTGCTAAATGTTTTAAGGTTACAAACTGCTTTTTGGGTTTTGAGAAATATGACTTGCTGGCTTCACAGCTGGTAAGGCCTGGGGACACATGGAACTAACCACACCCTTAATTAAGAAGGCAAAACTTGGCTGCAGTTAGCACACAATTAGAACAACTTACCAGGTTTTAAATTAACGTTAAAAATTCTAGGAGTTACCATTACAACATGTAATTGAGACTACTGGAAATAGATTTACATGCAAGGTGTGTAAGAACGGTAAAATGTGGTTTTTTAGTAAAAGGTTATAAGGAAGCATGGAAATGTAAATTTTTGCCTAGGGTTAAAGGATTGTTTTGAGTTAGATAGGAAAAGCTGAAGGTTCAAACAACTGGTGCAAGAATTATGGAAATTAATCTTGCAGAAGAGGTTCTCTGTGACCATGTTAACTAAATTCAAAAGGGTTATTAAAGGTTTTTGCTGCTTTAAAATTTCTGAGTCATCATTTTGGCAAAATTGTTTATAGTAATCTGGAACACTATTTCATAATATCAAATGTTTTAAACATATTTAACAGCCTTCCAAAAATCAAACTTAAGTTTCATAATTGTCTTTTCTGATACCTGGCTTTTAGATAGTCCAGAGGGCCCCTGAAACATCCAGAAAAGAGAGGCAAACGAGATGATTTGACATGTCTAGGTAAATGAAATTGTCATAATGATGTTCAATCTTGTTTAGGTTATATTTTTGTGAGTAATATTAATACATGTTCCAAAACTGTATGGGACTTTCTAAAATTCTAATGTCTAAGTTATGCTACCAATCATAATTAAGGTTGTTATGTTAACTTATTGTAAACCACAGAGAAAACCAAACTCCTTTGTCAATTGTGTTTCCAAGTGTAACTACCCTGGACATTTTTGCTATTCAGAGACAATTGTTGTCTTGTTTTAATCCTTTTCAAGAGATGATTTAGAATAAGCCGTAGAACTGTAACAGGTGCTCTCAAATACAGGCTTCTGATAACTTTGGAGATTGTGACATTGGAATAAAGGAAAATGTACAGGACTCATGAAGAGCTGAAATGTTCACGAATATCAACCAAAGCAAGAATTAACTAAATGGACTGAACTCAGAAAACTAAAGCAATCTTTTTGACTTTTGCTTGGAATATTGCTCATCCTTGTTTTGTTTCTCAGAGTCAAGGAAACTTATTTTGAACTATTTATGGCCTTTAATAATTAAGCAAGGTATACTTCTGTAACCAAAATTTGAAGCATGTTTGTTTCTCTCTGCCTGGTTCCTCTAAAATTTGAAAACTATCTGTGAGTATTCATAACTTATGGCAATATAGTTGTTTACATCAGTGCAATAGGAATCCACTTCTCTCTTGCAACGGGACACAATTGGAAAAACTGGTTACTTTACCAAGTCTTTGACTGGAAGGGTATGCTTTCCTTTAAGGAGTCAATCTTGACTTGCAGCGCCAATAAAATCCCAGTGGGGAAACTGGCCTCATACCCTTGTTTACACAGTCCCTGCACAGGGTTCCTATGGTCAGTAAAGAATGCCACTTTTAACAGGTCCAGGAACTCCAAGTTTATCTTGGAACCTTAAGAGGAGAGGATCACCAAACTCACAGGTATTTGAGGATAAACCCATGCCTGGGCTCAGCTTTAAAAGGTCTTATCTGATTCCTTGTGGAACAAACTTCCATCGAAGCCAATCCGAAAGGCCTTTGCGGAAATAATAATTCTTGCTGTACTTTATGCAAATAATCAGGCCAAGTATAAAAATGTAAAGTCTATTTTGCAAACAACTCAGTCCTGTCATGATTTGTTTGTTTGTTTGTTTTTAACAAAAATGAGGACTGGCGAGTGAGAAATCGTGTTTCAAAACCTATCATATATTTGTCATTAAATTCTAAACTCACTAGTTGTTTTTAAGTTTTTACCTACATTTTAAGACTAATCCTACTTGTTCCTGTGAACCAACCGGCAGTCTCCAGCTGCAGCTCAGAAAGAACAAGAGGGATGGGTAATGTGAAAATCTGGATCAACATTCTAATTCTGAGGAATTATCCTGAAAACCCTGCCAGGTGATGGGAATGAATAGGATGCCCATCACTTGGACATTTCCTTTGGGAAAATAAGACCAAGGGAGCTAACAAAAGCCAAGCATCATGCACCCAAATCTTAGCAAGCATAACTATAGCTATCAGTCATCTGGGTGTGTCACAAGACATCCTTTCCTCTCCCTTATTGGAGGAGGACTCAGTTCTACGGTTTCACCTTAGCATGCAGCTTATGATAGGGAGTCCATGCAACTCCCCTGAGACACATTTTTGTTCCAAACTCAATTCCAAGCTTTGGGTCAAAGCCCTAGGAAAGAAAACTGGATCTAAGGGATCCAGAGGTAGACAACAACAGAGGTTAAAAGGCACAGCACAGGTGATCGTGGCTGATTCCTGCCAATTAAGCCATGCCCAAGCTTCCTGTTTGATGGATAAAGGCCACGTTAGTGTCCATGGCATAAATGAGGTCTAGGGAATTCAAGGCTACTGACAATAAGGGAGATAGGGCATATGTGGGTAAGAATGGCAGATTTTCACCCCCTAAACCCCCTGCTTCATGAGTGTAAGTCATTTTAACACCTATGGTGGTGACTGCCAAGGTCGCCTGGACTCGGGGATGGAAGGACAGAAGAGGGAAAGAGGACGCTCTTTCCTCTCTCTCTCACATACCCCAGATATCTGCTAGGAAGAGAAGGGAAGCTTCAAACTGAACTTTATAATAATTTTATTGGGCATAAACTCTCTTGAGCAGAATCCAGGTGTTGAACAGGAACTGCTGCAGAAAGAAGCACAGGAGCCATGGCCCATCGTGTGGGCAGACAGGGAGGGGCAGGTGAGGCCTGAAAGTGATGCTTGCTTTCTCAGCAGGGAAGCTTATAGCCTGGGGCAAGGTCTGAGTTCTCCCTGGGCTTCCTGGAGATTAATTTGCCACTGTTAGGAGGGCACAGAGCGAGCAAGACCAGCCTCACCAGCTGTGTGGGAGTTGAGTTAGGCCTATTGTTACTGGCTTTCCCCCACTTTCTTAGTGAGAGAGGTGGCCATAATCCCCTCTGGAACATAACCCCATTAGCCCAAGAACCACCCAGCATCCCCTACAGTGGCCATAGCAAGCCCTGCCCAAGGAGAGTCTGAGCTCAGACTTGTCTAACCCTGCACCCACCTCATGGTTTTTCTCTACCCATCCCAATAGCCAATCACAAAAGACATAAACTTTTGGGAGCTTCATGGCCCTGACCATTACCTGAGAAACCCAAATACATATCCTGGCCAACTTAGGGCAAGCTTATATCCCCATTCTACTATCGTAGCTGGTGCTCTCTTGAAAGCACCACCTCCTGGCTGGAGATCATCCACCTCAGGACATAATAGCAATTAATGACAGAATAACCCTGCTCCAAGGGAGGAGAAAACAACACCTAATTTCACTGCCTGCAACATCATGGCTAACCAGATGGCCTGGGTCTGTCCACATAAAAACTTCACTGCTAGCATAACCAGCATCCAAGAAAGCCAGCACACTAAGCATATCTACAACCAAGGACTCTCACAGAGTCTACTTCACTCCCCTGATACCTCCATCAGAGCAGGTGCTGGTATGCACAGCTGGGAAACCTGAAGATGGATCACATCACAGGAATCAGGTATTTCTCAGCACCAGCCTGGAGCCTGGTAGCTGCACTGGGTGGCTGGACCCAGAAGAGCAATAATAATCATTCAGTTCAGCTCCCAGAAAGCCACGTCCCTAGGGAAAGGGAGAGCATACCACATCAAGGGATCACCCTATAGGACAAAAGAATCTGAACAGCGGCCTTGAGTTCCAGCTTTTTCCACTGAAACAGTCTACCCAAATGAGAAGGAATCAGAAAAGTAATTCTGGTAATATGACAAAACAAGGTTCTATAACACCCCACAAAACCACACTAGCTCCCTAGCAATGGATTCAAACCAAGAAAAACATGTCTGAACTGCCACATGAAGAATTCAGAAGGTTGATTATTAAGGCTACTCAAGGAGATACCAGAGAAAAGTGAAAACCAACGTAAAGAAATTTAAAAAACAATACAAGACATGGATGAACAATTTTCCAGAGAAACAGACATCATAAAGAAAAAACAATCACAACTTCTGGAAATCAAAGACACACTTAGAAAAATATAAAGTGCACACTTAGAAAAATATAAAGTCAACAATAGAACAAGTAGAAGAAAGAATTTCAGAGCTTGAAAACAAGGCTTTTGAATTAACCCAATCTGACAAAGACAAAGAAAAAGTAATTAAAAAAATGAATAAAGCGTCCATGAAATTAGGGATTATGTTAAACAGCCAACCCTAAGAATAATTGGTGTTCCTGTGGAAGAAGAGAAATTTAAAAGTTGGGAAATTTATTTGAGGGATTTCCTGGCCTTGCTGGAGATCTAGATATCCAAATACAAGAAGCTCAAAGAACACCCAGGAAATTCATCACAAAAAGATCATTACCTGGGCACATAGTCATCAAGTTATCTAACATCAAGATGAAGGAAAGAATCTTAAGAGCTATGAGGCAAAAGCATCATGTAACCTATAAAGGAAAATCTATCAGATTAATAGCAGGTTTCTCAACAGAATCTCTACAAGCCAGAAAGGATTGGGGTACTATCTTTAGCCTCCTTAAGCAAAATAATTGGCAGCCAAGAATAGTTTATCCAGCAAAACTAAGCTTCATAAATAAATAAGAGATAAAGTATTTTTCAGAGAAACAAATGCTGAGAGAATTTGCCACAAGCCAGCACTACAAGAAATGCTAAAAGGAATTCTAAATTTTTTTTCTTTCTTTCTTTTTTTTTTTTTAAGATGGAGGCTTACTCCATCGCCCAGGCTGGAGTGCAGTGGCACAATCTCAGCTTGCTGTAACCTTCACCTTCCGGGTTCAAGTGATTCTCCTGCCTCTGCCTCCCGAGTAGCTGGGATTACAGGCATGCACTACCACACCCAGCTAATTTTTGTATTTTAGTAGAGATGGGGTTTCACCATGTTGGCCAGGCTGGTCTCTAACTCCTGATCTCAAATGATCTGCACCCCCCTCAGCCTCCCCAAGTGCTGGGATTACAGGTGTGAGCCACTGCGCCCAGCTGGGATTCTAAATCTTGAAATAAAACCTCAAAATAGGCAAAAATAGAACCTCCTTAGAGCATAAATCTTGCAGGGCCTATAAAACAACAACACAATGAAAAAAAAAGGTATTCAGGCACCAACTAGCACAATGAATAAAAAAGTACCTTACATCTCAATACTGAAGTTGAATGTAAATGGCCTAAATGTTCCACTTAAAAGATACAGAATGGCAGAATAGATAAAAATCAAGTAACCAGGTATCTGCTGTCTTCAAGAGACTCACCTAATGCATAAGAAATCACGTAAACTTAATGTAATGGGCTAGAAAAAGATATTCTAGGCAAATGAACACCAAAAGCAAGCAGGAATAGCTATTCTTATATCAGACAAAACAGACTTTAAAGCAACAACAGTTAGAAAAGACAAAGAGGTGGCACATTATATAGTGACAAGAGGATCAGTCCAACAGGAAAATATCACAATCCTAAGTATATACTCACCTAACACTGGAGCTCCCAAATTTATAAAACATGTATTACTAGACCTAAGAAATGAGATAGATGGTAACACAATAATAGTGGGGACTTCAATACTCCACTGACTGCATTAGACAGATCATCAAGACAGAAAGTCAACAAAGAAACAATGGACTGAAACTATACCCCAGATAGATATTTACAGAACATTATACCCAACAACTGCAGAATATTCATTTTTGTCATCAGCCCATGGAACATTCTCCAAGATAGACCATATGATAGGCCACAAAACAGGTCTCAATAAATTTTAAAAAGTCAAAATTATATCAAGTACCCTCTCAAACCACAGTGAAATAAAACTGAAAATTAACTCCAAAAGGAACCCTCAAAACTGTACAAATAATGGACATTAAATAATCTACTCCTGAATGATCTTTGGACATTAAATGATCTTTGGAACAACAATGAAATCAAAATGGAAATTTAAAAAATTCTTTGAACGATAATAGTGACACAACTTATCAAACCCTCTGGCACACAGCAAAAGTGGTGCTAAGAGGAAAGTTCATCAAACTTTTGACTACATCAAAAAGTCTGAAAGAGCACAAATAGACACTCTAAGGTCACACCTCAAGAAACTAGAGAAACAAGAACAAACCAAACCCAAACCCAGCAGAAGAAAAGAAATAACAAAGGTCAGGGCGGAACTAGATGAAATTGAAACAAACAAACAAAATTCGAAAGACAAATGAAAAAAAACTTGGTTCTTTGAAATGATAAACAAAATTGATAGACCATTAGTGAGATTAACCAAGAAAAGAAGAGAGAAGATTCAAAAAAGCTCAATTAGAAGTGAAATGGGAGCTATTACAACCAATATCACAGAAATACAAAAGATCATTTAAGGTCACTATGAACATCTTTTATTCACACAAACTAGAAAATCTAGAGAAGATGAATAAATTCCTGGAAATATACAACACTCCTGATTAAATCAGGAAGAAATGGAAACTCTGAACAGACCAGTAACAAGCAGTGAGACTTAAACAGTATTGGTAGAAGGGCTGAGGCAGGGCTTGTTTGTCTGACATAACGTAGAAGAGTCTTGGAACATGTCCTGGGTCCAGGGTCCAAAACCCCTTGTGGCCTATGGAACACCAAGCTCTGTGCCAAAGAGTGGAAGGCTGCCCCACAGCACTACAATCTAAATCCAGGGCATAAAACCCCTTGTGGCTTGGATGGAATCCAGGGCTCAGGGCATAAAACCCCTCTTAGCCTCTGGAATGTGTCCAGACTCACTGGCCCCTTGCTCCTTGCTCTCCCAAAATCATAAATTGATTGTATCTTGAATTAGAAGAACCTGTTCTCCATTATCTCAAGTAGCAGAGCATAATGCTAAACTGTGACAGCTACACTTGATGCACCACTGCCTTTCTACCCTCAATGTCCTCATGTCCTCACCTGTTTACCCCCATGTCCACACGTCCTCACCACCTGCTTCTTTGTTTGATTACCAGTAAATAGTATGGGTTCCCAGAGCTCAGGGCCTTCGCAGCCTCCATACTAGCGTTGGCTCCCTGGACCCACCGTATGTACTCTTAACTTGTCTTGTCTCATTCCTTTGACTCCGTCGGACTTCATAGCCACCACGACCTGGTGTTGAGTCTGATCACCCCAACAAACAGTAATAAAAAATACTGCCAACAAAAAGAAGTCCAGGACCGGATGGATTCACAGCTAAATTATATCAGACATTCAAAGATGAATTGGTACCAATTTCACTGAAACTATTCCAATGATAGAGAATGAGGAAATCCTCCCTAAATCATTCCATGAAGCCAGTATCACCCTAATACCGAAACCAGGAAAAGACATAACAACAACAAAAACAATTACAGACTAATATCCCTGATGAACATGGAAACAAAAATCTACAACAAAATACTAGCTAACTGGATCCAACAGCATATCAAAAAGATAATATGCCATGATCAAGTGAGTTTCATACCAGGGATACAGGGGTGGTTTAACTTACGCAAGTCAATAAGTGTGATACATCACATCAACAGAATTAAAAACAAAGATCATTTGATCATCTCAATAGATGCAGAAAAAGCATTTGAGAAAATCCAGCATCGCTTTATGATTAAAACCCCTGGTAAAATCGAAATAGAAGGGGCATACCTTAAGGTAATAAAAGCCATCTATGACAAACCCACAGCCAACATTATACTGAATGGGGAAAAGTTGAAAGCATTTCCCTAAGAACTGGAACAAGACAAGGATGCCCATTTTCATCACTGCTATTCAACATTGTACTAGAAGTCCCAGCCAGAGGAGTCAGACAAGGGAAGGAAAGGCATCCAAATTGGTAAAGAAGTCAAACTGTCACTGTTCGCTGATGATATGATCATATACCTAGAAAATGCTGAAGACTCTATCTACCCAGAGGAAAAGAAATCATATGAAAAAGACACTTGCACATGTGTCTTTATAGCAGCACAATACACAACTGGAAAAATATGGAACCAGCTCAAGTGCCAACGAGTGCGAGTGGATAAAGAAAATGTGGTATATATATTTACTATGGAATACTACTCAGCCATAAAAAGGAGCAAAATAATAGCATTTGCAGCAACCTGGGTGGAGTTGGAGATCATTATTCTAAGTGAAGTAACTCAGGAATAGAAAACCAAACATTGTATCTTCTCACAAGTGGGAGCTAAGCTATGAGGATGCATATAAGATGCTAAGCTATGAGGATGCATTATATCATTCTTATGCCTATAAGAATGATATAATGGACTCTGGGGACTTGGGGGGAAGGGTAGGAGGCGGGTGAGGGATAAAAGACTACACATTGGATACCGTGTTTACTGCTTGGGTGATGTGTGCACCAAAATCTCAGAAATCTCCACTAAAGAACTTTTCCATGCAACCAAACACCACCTGTTCCCCAAAAACTTCTGAAATTAAAAATAAATAAATAAAATAAAATAACAAAAATTAGCTGGGCCTAGTGGCTTGCATCTGTAGTCCCAGTTACTTGGAAGACTGACCTGGGAGAATTGCTTGAGTCTGGGAGGCAGAGGTTGCAGTGAACCAAAATCATGCCACTGCACTCTGCCTGAGTGACAGAGTGAGATCCTGTCTCAATAAAATAAAAAGGATTTTTTAAAAAGTTATAATTGTTTATTCTTTCTCTGCCCTTTTAAGATGTATGAACATCTTCTTAAAAGCTTTAAAAAAGTCTCCTGCCACCTTTACAACACAGGAATGTTTTTCTTAAGGACTTGGGAGTGAACCCTTTGAAGTGTAATCATCAAGAAAGACAGCCCCTCCTCTCTCCATTTCTGTGGGAGGGCAGGAGCCTAACTCTAAGGTGCCTGGCTCTAAGTTGCAAAACTACCTCCTGTCATAAAGATATGAGAAGTTTTATTTTTCCTTCGGATAAAGGCAATTAACACAGATGGCCAGCCCAATTATCCCGTGAATTTCGGATGAACTATGTGTGACAATGGTGCTGTCAAGTCTTCTACCTGAAAACATGTATGTAATGGACTGTATCTGCCTAGATATAGGAAAGGGTAAGATTTCTTTCTGACTTTGCAATCTGCAATCTCTTCAGCAGATTGCCTGTGATGCACGTCACATTCTGGTTTAATACCTATTCAATAATAAATTGTCTTTCCCTTCTGTGTTTGTGGGGAGGTCTCCTGGTTTGGCAGGAGATTTTATTTTTAATTACATTCCCCCAACATCATCAGAACCTGGGAAGACAGCATGACTGTGTCACACATCGCTCAGGGATAGGGTAGCAGCCCAAAGATCAAGCCTGAATGTCCCAAGACATAGTGATCTTCAATAGTCCAGGGAGACTCACTCTGAGGGTGGAAAGCAGGCCAGGGACACTCTCCTTTTAGTGAGGTGGAGAGTGGAGAGTCCAAATACCAGTTTTGAGGTCCCCTGAAGAAGGGTTATGGAAAAGCACACTTGTGACTGGGCCTTGAGGGACTATGGACTAACCTGCTATGCTTCTCACACTTTACTCTACTCATGGGTCATAGGTTGTTCTTGTTCAAATGCAAATTTTGTTTAGTTGGCCCAGACCAGGGCCTGAGAGTCTCTATTTCTAACAAGCTCCTAGGTGGTTCCAATGCAACGTCTTGGGATCACACTTTGAGTAGCAAGGGATTAGAGGAAGAGGGCGGTGATAATAAAGACAACTGTGATAATATTGTGATGCACATCACATTCTGATTCTGATTCTGGATTATACAGGATTCTGCTGTCTTCTCACAGTACCCAGCCAAATTTTGATGAATTCTCAAAGTTAGACTTCTGGCTAAGTAGGACCCAATAAGGGGTGGGCTACTGTACCACTCCCCAGGATGCAGATTACCCAAAACTCACTGGAAATCTACCAAGAAGGAGACAATTCTGTCTCCCAAAGCCTTTCACAGGCCAAGCACTGTATGTGTTTGGAGGGAACACTTGGTTAAGCCACTTGCAGAAATGAGCTGAGGTTAAAATAAAGTACTTCCAAGGAAGGTAGTTTTCATTAACACCTGGAGGACTGTTTTACTGAATGGTGTACAAACATGCCCCCAGAGCTGGATTGACAAGAGGTTGACATCTGCTACCAGCCCCCACAAAGCCTTACCTTTGATATTGAACAAAAATATGGCTTTGAAGGGGTGTGCAATTATCATTAGTCTGATGCATCCACCTGTCAAGGTCTGATCCTGCCAGAGAATTCTTACACCTACATGGTCGATTCCCATGCACGAGGCTTCACCTGGGCCTCTTCCCCCCCTGCCTTTCTTCTGAGCTTCAGCTTGGAACTCTTGCCTGACCAAGACTTAAACTAGGCGCTCAGCTGGGGCTTACTAGTCCTCCATGGTAGAAATATCCATGACCAGGGTCTTCTTCCCCTACCCAGACCTTTGAAAAATTAATAGATGTGAAGTCCTTAGAACAGAGCTTGGCATATAGCAAGTAATATTTACCTTTTGCTCAGACATAGTAAATAGAGTTTGAGAGAACTTCAACAGTGACAAGCAAAGGATGGGTTTGTGCTGTTGACTCTGAAAGAATGTGAAGGACCAAAACCCTCCTCTGATGATTACCCGGAACTTGAGAGGCTCCTCTAGGACAGGGCTGGTGGAGGCAGCGGAGAGTTAAGGACTAAGGAGAAGATAGGAAAAAGGCCGGGCACGGTGGCTCATGCCTGTAATCCCAGCACTTTGGAAGGCCGAGGCAGGTGGATCACCTGAAGTCAGGAGTTTGAGACTGGCCTGGCCAACATGGTGAAACCCCGTCTGTACTAAAAAATACAAAAATTAGCTGGGCATGGTGGCTCACGCCTATAGTCCCAGCTACTGGGGAGGCCAAGGCACGAGGATTGCTTGAACCCAGAAGGCCAAGGTTGCAGTGAGCTGAGATCACACCACTGCACTCCAGCCTGGGCAACAGAGTGAGACTCGGTCTCAGAAAAAAAAAAAAAAAGAAGATAGGAAATATGATGCCCAGATGTTCATGAATTGGACACTGGAAGGATTGGAGACTGAATTTAAAAGTAGTATTTTGTACCACTGAATATTGAGATTTTTCTTCAGATAAAGGATTGGGCCTGCCCAGCCTCCCTGAAATTCTGTGTAGGCCTCATTCTTAAATGTGCAGTTTCTTTTTGTTGTTTCATATAGAGATATTAGTATACCAGGTGGATCCCTTCATGGTAGTCACCTATTGTTAAAGAGTTTGGGATGAATTCCACAACATCATGTGGCATAGATTAAGGAATACGCATTTTTTTCCTTTGATTTTTATTTTAGGTTCAGGTGGTACATGTGCAAGTTTGTTACACAGGTAAACTGGGTGTCGCTGAGGTTTGGTGTGCGAAGGATCCTGTCACCCAGGTAGTGAGCATGATACCCAATAGGTAGGTTTTCAACCTATACTCCTCACCCACGTCCTCCTTCAAGTAGTCTCCAGTGTCAATTGTTCCCATCTTTGTGTCCGTGTGTGTTTGATGCTTAGCTCTTTAGCTAATAAGTGATAACATGCGGTATTTTTTCTCTGTTTTTGCAGTAGTTCGCTTGAAATAATGGGGAATAGGCCGGGTGCGGTGGCTCATGCCTGTAATCCCAGCACTTTAGAAAGCCAAGGCGGATGGATCACCTGAGGTCAGGAGTTCAAGACCAGCCTGGCCAGTGTGATGAAATCCCGTCTCTGCTAAAAATACAAAAAATTAGGCAGATGTGGTACCAGGTGCCTGTAATCCCAGCTACTCGGGAGGCTGAGGCAGGAGAACCGCTTGAACCCAGGAGGCAGAGGTTGCAGTGAGCTGAGATTGCACCACTGCACTCCATCCTGAGCAACAAGAGCGAAACTTCATCTCCCCCATGCCAAACAAAAGAGGAGTAATGGGGAATAGGCTTTAGTGGGGAAAAGAAAAACTCCCCAGGCCAGGACCAGTGAGGCAGTGGTCGCCCAAGCTTACCATTAGTGAAGCAGGTGAAGGCTGCTGGGCTGTATGATTCGGTTCCAGAGGAGAAAGCCTGTCCCCTTCCCCTGCCACAATGGGTTTTTCTTCCTGTGGGCAGGTATGGGAAAGTGGCCTTGTTCATAAGGGAATATACAGATTGCATGGTGCCAGGCAGTCTGGACTTAGGGAGCTGACTCTTTACAGGAGTTGATTAGGAATCAGTGAGGGACCTTGGGGCCTGTGAGTTGTACAGTTTCCCATGGGGAAATAAAGAGGACCAGGAGGAAGCTGCCATCCCCAGGGGAAGCTGAGTGTGTGTACTGACTCCGCTGAGAGAATGAAGAAACCCCTGTGGTCCCAGCTGATCCCAGGTGAGCACCTGGAAGCATTCTTGTACAATCTTGCTTCTTATGTAACAGAAAATGTACCTATGACTGGTTATCCCTTTTATTTCTCCCTGGGTAAAAAACTGCCAGAACTTTCTAGAATTCTTTTCCCATCACTGATTTTTAAAAAGATCATATTCTAAGAGGGACCATTACTCACATCAGAAATGGCAGATGAGAAAGAAAAGAAAAGAAGTCTGCACTGTAGTAGCATGTATCAGGACTTCATTCTTTCTTTAAGAGACAGGATCTAGCTCTGTCACAGGCTGGAGTACAGTGGCACAATCAGCTCACTGCAGCCTTGAACTCCTGGACTCGAGGAATCCTCCTATCTCACCTCATAAGTAAGCTGGGACTATAGGTGCATGCCACCGTGCCCATCTAATTTTTAATTTTTCTATAGAGATAGGGTCTTGCTATGATGCCCAGGCTAGTCTTGAACTCCTGGTCCCAAGCAATCCTCCTGCCTCAGTCTCCCAAAATACTGGTATTACAGGTATGAGCCACCACACCCAGCCTATTTCTTTCCTTTTTATAGCTGAATAGTATTTTCCACTGTATGTCTATAACATATTTTGTGTATCTATTATTGTCTGATGACATTTGGGTCGGTTCCACCTTTTGACTATTGTGAACAATGCTGCTATGAACACTGGTTTACAAGTATTTGTTTGAGTACCTGTCTTCAATTTTGGGGGTTATATACCTAGGAAGAGAGTTGCTAGGTCATATGATAATTCTGTTTAACTTTTTAAAGAACTGTGATTTGCATCTCTATCTCCTCTGGTTTGATTCAAAATGGAGGAAACAGTTCTGCTTAAGATAGCTTGCAGTGCAATTGAAGCAAACACTACTCATTAATATTCTGAAACGTTTTTCATTGACACTAAAAAGAAACAGTATTTATTTATGAAAGAACTGGAAATGCTTACAACTGTTGTAAAGTTAACTGAATAGCAGTCTTCTCTGAGGTTTGATGAGTATAGGAGGCTTCTAGGTAATCATTTCAGACTCTCAGGATATGTGGTGAGTGCAGTGGTTAGAAGTCATGCGGGGACCAGGTTAGTGGTGAGGGGCGGGGCTTATTTTTACCCTTTCCATAGTCTAATATCTAAGCCCCCCATTCCCCATTCCACTACTGCACCCCTATCTCTGGCCAAATATCTTCTCCCCACCACTCCAGGCTGACAAAGTCTGCCTCTACCCTCAGACAGTCCCCTCTTCACTCTCCATCCCCCCTTTCTCCCCTCAGAAAGAGATGCTGAGTAAACCTGGCTTTCTCGTTTATACAGCTTCTCCCCATGGAACACATCATTAAAGAATAACTGTGACCTCTCGTGTTGTTTATTTAGCCCTGATTTCACAACATGCAGGAAATCAGACAGCCTTGATATTTCACAATATGCTGGCTTTGCCACAGTGAGTTTAAACCCAACCCAAGCTTCATTTGCTTCTAGAAAGTACCATCAAAGTACCTCAAGTGAGAACAGACTAGAATACATTTCACGTCAGAATATACATTAGATATATTGCAAAGTATATTTTTGGCCACCGGACTGGCAACTCCTTCCTGGCTCTCCATTCTAGTTCAACATCAGGTTCAGGCAGAGGCATTGTCTCCCACACACACTAATTCCAACCTGTGCCCCTCCTGGATGCCCAGGTCACCATGAGTATTCCAGTGCCATTGCTTATTTTTATTTTTATTTTTTGCAATTTTCACTGCTTTCCTTTTACTCTTAATAAGCATGAGGCCAGAAGTCCCAAGCAGTGGCTAAGGGGTTAAGAGCCTGGCTAAAGCATCTGACTGACTTGGATTTAGTAATACCTTTGCTTCCTACTGGCCAGTAACATTGGACTACTTAGTCAATCTCTGTGTGCCTCAGTTTCCTTATCCTTAAAATAGAATGTCTACATCATAGGGCATTGTAAGGAGTAAATGAAGTAATGCAAGCCCACTGTCTAGCATAGTGCTTGTACAAGTACTATGTACAAGTAGCAGATAATATTGCTGACATATTCACCCTTTTTGCCCACTATATTTTTCTCCTCTTTGATCTCCTGACTCCTCGCCCTCCAACCACACATTCTATTAGTTAGACAACACTACGCTTGTGTTTTCAGGAAAGGGAAGAGAAAAAGGTGAATAGGATATCTCCTCCTAGTTCCGTGTTTCAATAAGTCTGCATTATTAGGGGAACAAAAAGGAAAATAAGAATTTGAAGAGGGGAATTCTCATTTTCCCATAACCCCAAACAAAATAAAAACCAAACCAAACCAAAACAAACTGGAAAAGATTCCCCTAGTTGGGGGTGCAAAGATGATAATGAGGAAGCCATGAGGTCTTCTTGATCGGAGGAGGCGGTAGACAGGGACATGGGTAACTTCACAGAGAGTCCCTGTGGCCTGGCACAGGTGCATGTGATATAATATAAATGGTATATGAGCTCTCCTCTGGGATATGTAAGCCTATCTGCATAAAGCAGTTCTGTAATGTAAGAACTTTGGAATGATGGGTAGGGGAGGAGGGAGGAGAGAGTAATTTTTTCTTATGGAGGCTGTATTGCTCAGGATTTAGGATGCCCCACAAACATTTAGGAATAACATATGTCAAATCACTAGGGTGTGATGGTACATTTTATAGATCACCTTCAATAAGAAGAAAGCCAAGACTTTTAGAAGTATCTTGGAGCCTGACCTGTCCCAAAGTAGGCAAGGCCTAGGGCCATTTCCATTCAAACTCCTGGGATCAAGTGATTCTCCTGCCTTGGCTTCCCAAAATGCTGGGATTACAGGCATGAGCCACCTGGCCCGGCCTGTGGTGTATTTTAAATGTTTATATTTAACACATTAACACTTTGAACATAAAAGTATACAATGACTACATCATTAAACTCATTTGAGTATAGTATCAACATTCTAAATTTAAGGTAGAGCCCAAAGAGCCCTCTTGCTTCCCCTCGATAGCCCTTAGAGTCTGTGAAGAAAGCTCTTTTTCTAAGTCCCGAATGATTGCATAATTTCAACAGGCACCAGCAATCATTCATTAAGTGTACTTGTTCTTCTCAGATAAAGTCTTCTGATTTTAGGTATAGAGAGATCACCGTATCTCCTTGCCACAGCATCAGTCTCCTCATTTTCCGCCCTTGTCTGTTTGTGTTGCTATAACAATACCTGAGATTGGGTAGTGAAAAGAGGTTTATTTGGCTCATGGTTCTGCAGGCTGGACAAGACGCACGGCACAGACATCTGCATTGGATGAGGGCCTCAGGCTGCTTCCACTCCTGGGAAGGCAGAAAGGGAGCACACCTGTGTGAGGCACATGGGCAGAGAGGAAGCTAGAGAGAGAAGGAGGAGGTGCCAGCTCTTTTCAACAACCCGCTCTCTGACAACTCACTCATGCCTGAGGGAGGCATTAATCTATTCATGAACAATCTCTCCTCAGGACCCAAACACCTCCCATTAGGCCCCACCTCCAACACTGGGGATCAAATTTCAACATGAGATTTGGAGGGAACACAAATCCAAACCATAGCAGAGAAGTCACCAGGAAGAGTCCTGATTGTCTCCCTGCCCTGGCATCAGCCTCCTCATCTAAACTCTGGGAGCAGTAACCCCTTCCCAAGCTGTCTGCCCCTCCAGAGTGTGTTCAGGGTTATTAGTGGCTGGCAAGCAGGGGCTACTCCCTGGATGAGAGGGCAAAGTCTCTCATAGGGTGAGATGATCCTGTGGCAATAAACTAACAATGCCAATTAGCGGTGCAGACATGTCCTATAGATCAGAAATGAGGAGGAAGTCCCAAAGGGCATTGAGAAACTTAAATCTGGATTTTGGGGCTTTGTGTCAAAAGCTTCTGAACATAGCTGTGGGTAGAGAAGATGGAACTGAACAGAAAGACAGCCAGGCCAGCTGCTAAAAAGTTATGCCAGCCTCGGTGATAAGACAGAGATTACTGTGGGATCACAGACTGCTATTTTGGGAACATACATTATTTTCTTAAAAGCTGTTTATATTTTCTGTAATTAGGTCCTTTTTGTTCTGTCTTATGTTAACACATTTAAAAATGCTAGCCTGGTCAGCTGTGTTAAGAAGAACCAAGAAAGAGATTTTCATTCGGCTTGTCCAGAGTTTTAAAGGGGAAGTGGCTTACTAACCGCCTGACATAGTGGAAACAGAGTGAGATCCTCAGAGAGCAGGTAAACTGAGGGCAACTTGAGCTGTAAACCCTTGTTTAGAAACTCTCCCACACTAAGATACATTTATCAAATTTGTCTCCATCTCTCCATCCCCACAGTCTGTTACTGTCCTGGTGGCCCAGACAAGAGAGAAGAAGGGACCTCAATGAACAATGAAAAGGAAGAGTACCCTGGGATTGGTGGTCCAGGGATGGGAGGAGTGGGTACCTATGGAGTTTGCCCTCCAGAATGGAGCCCGCAAACAGAAAATCTGATTGTAGCAGTCAGAGAGTAGGGGGTGGAAGTTCAGTGTGAGCATGAACTTCTGAGTGCCAAAGTACCTAGGCAGGCAAGTTACCAAATTTTTTTTTCTAGTTAGGGAAGGAGAGGACATATAGATGACAGGAGGACTTCAACCAATGCCTAGGTAGGGGACATGTGAGGGTTAGTGGGCTAGCATTGCTCCTTAAGCAAACTGGGGCACAGAGCAGAGTTAATGTAGCTAACTGAAACTTAACAGCAGAGAAGAGGCAGGATTAGGGGAAGAGAAAGGCTGCCGATTGTGGACACCTGAGGACTGGAGACCACCCACCCATCAGGCTGGGGACAGTTGAATCATTCAGGACCCCACCAGGTTCTATTTGAACACAGGACTGGTCCTCTGGGGCTGCTGCTTGAAGAGCTTTGGTAGCTACAAAATGTCCCAGCCTCAGTTCTGCCCTTACCATCTGCTCCAGTTATCTACTGAGTAACCTACCACACCAACACTCAGTGGCTTAAACAACAACAATCCTTTATTTTGCATTTTGAGCAGGGCTCAGCAGGGACCACTCACCTCTGCTCTGTAATGTCTAGGGCCTGTGACTCAAAAGGCTAGGGACAGCTGGGGACTGGTGGGACATTTCTCTTCCTACAGACTCAGGGCTTCTCCCCACAGTCTTTCCCATGTTCTCTGCAGCAGTCTCCGGGTAGCTGAACTTAGGGGTGACTTGAGGCTCCAAGAGCAAGAATTTGCAAAGGCCCCAGCAGAAGTTGCAAGGCATTTATGATCTAGCTTCAGAAGTTCCAGGATATGGTCATTTCCACTGTATTCTATTGGTTTAACAAATTGCTAAAACCTGCCCAAATTCAAAGCGAGAAAGTATAGACCCCACCTCTCAACGAAAGGAGTAACAAATAATTTGCCACCATTTTTAAACCATCATGCTATCTCACCAAGTCCTCAACAAAGCCTCCTAACTGATTTGCTGTCCTCAGATTCTCATTAGTGACAGATCGGGATGCAGCAATGCGCAGAGTAGAAAAAGTGAGGGTTTTGGAAGCCAACAGCCAGCCCTACATCCTGGTTCAAGCAGGATCCACCACTCAGCAACCAGTTGAGCTTGTTAGGTTACTTAACTCAGAGCCCCAGTGTTCTTGAGTGTAAAATGAGGATAATACACTATAGTTGCCAAGAAAATGTACTTCTTGGATCTTGCAGTGTAGATAGCATAACTGACCAATGGCTCCGCCTCAACTGCTGAGCTCTGCTGAAATCCATACCCTGATATTTATCCCTAGGTTGCTGCAAAGGCCAGCTTCCTAAGGCTGCTCCCAGCTCATGACTGAGCACAGCAGGGATACTAAGGCGGGCCTCTTTCTGGGAGATGCCAGACTTCTGGGACAAGCCCATTTGGCTAAAGGATTCCCCACCCCAATGGCCTTGCTGAACTTTTTATACATGGACTGTATATATATCAAATGCTTCCTTCCACCCAACCTTCCTTCCTTGCTTGCCTCTTTCCTTCACAAGGATCACACCTGCATCCCAGGTCCAGCTCCCTGTTTTCCCTCAAAACTCTCTTGCATAGTACCCCCATCTGGGACTGTTTCTGGAGGACTGGGACAAACACAACCTCCTATTCATAGGACTGCCAAGGGTATTAAATGAGTAGAACTGTGCAAAGAAACTAGTAAAGGGCTGGCGTAGAAGAAACACTCATTTAACGAACACTTCTTGAGTCCTGGCTGTGTGCAGGTCTTGGTCCTGGGTGTCTGGGACACCACAGTGAGCAAAGCAGGCAAGAACACCAGCGATGCCTGCTTTAAGCTCCTTCCCAACTTCCACATCTTTAACAGGATACCAAGAGCCCTTCAAAGTCTGACCTCTTGGGGCCTCAACACCTCCGACTCCACCCCCTGAACACCTGAGCCTACAGTCAAAAGGAACTTCCTTCTTGCTTCCTACAGGTTTTGCTCTTTCACCCCCAATGCCTTTGCTCACCGTTTCCTTCTCCGTGAAATGCCTCCTCCTCCCTTTTTTGCACATCTTCCATTCTTGCACATGCCCCTTACGTGACAAACTTATGCATCCCCCAGGCCCCAGTTCAATGTGGGGCCCTAGGTCATCCAGGCAGAACATGCTTGCTGGCATGATCTCAGCAGGCACCTGGTAGAAGCACTTGCTACATTGTGTTGTAATTGCGGTAACGGTGTCCCCGCTAACTTGCGAGCGCCTCTAGAGCAGGGGAATGTCCCAGCCACCTTGAATCCCCAGCGCGTGGCCCATGGGAGGCCCTCAGACCTATCTGCGGAATGAGTAAATGAGTGTGTGAACCAGGTTCGGCAATTTCGGTGGGGCGAGCGCTGGGCCTGCGGTGCAGGGCGCTGGGAGCGGCCAGGCCGGGCCTGGCTCAGGCGCCGCAGCCACTCAGGGCCACCGGGGACCGGCCGGGGAGGGCGCGGGCCGAATCACTGCCGCCGCCGCAGGGCACATGACTGCGGCCTCCGCCCCCGCCCGCCTCCCCGCGCAGTCGCCGGCGGTTGCCTCGCGGGGTTGCGGCGAGCCCGGCCCGCGAACGTCACGTCCCTGCGCGCTCCCTGCACTCTCCCGAGCTGCGCTAGGCGGGCGCCACGGCTGCCCGGCGAAGGAAACCGAAACCGAGTCCGGGCCCGTCCCTCCGCGGCCCCATCCGCCCGGTGCACCCGGGGCCGCGCTCGCCAGGCCGCGGAGCCCAGAGCTGCGCGCACGAACCGTGCGCCGGGAGGGCGTGGGCGTGGCGCCGAAGGGTCCCGGGTCTTCGACGCCTCTGCGGCGGCTCCTCCCTCCTTGCAGTTGGATCCCTGGCGGGTGCGGCCCGGCCCGGCCCGTGAGCGGCGCACAGAATGGGCCGATGCTGCTTCTACACGGCGGGGACGTTGTCCCTGCTCCTGCTGGTGACCAGCGTCACGCTGCTGGTGGCCCGGGTCTTCCAGAAGGCTGTAGACCAGAGTATCGAGAAGGTGAGGCGGGGCGGGCTGTGTGTGTGTTGTGGAGTCGTCCAGCTCACCCTCCCATCCCTGCTGCTACATCTTGTATGGGAAAGACCAGCACTCAGGCAGACCCTCCGCGCTAGAGCTCTTCTTGCGTCCCTGTCTTCCAGGGCTTGGTAGGCGAGGGTTAAAGAAGGATGAGGAAGGATGGAGCCGACTCTGTTCCCTTTACAGTGATAAGTAAGGCTATGGATCCTGACTTTTAAAAAGGCCTTCGGTTGTGTTCTGTCGTTTGCATCTCTCCCCACTCCTTCCGTCTACACCCCAATCTCAGGTGGGCCCAAACTTGTTTCCTTCCCACTTCATGAAGAAACAGAACTGAATGAAAGACACCGCAGAAGAGGCAGGTTATGTTGTCTGCTTGCTGTAGCCTTTGAAGTGGTGTGCGCCTGGGGATGAGACGTGGGTGTGCGGTCTATTGTGTTCTTGCCCTCTTGGGCTGGGCAGGGGCAGTTGGTAGCTGGGCCAGTCCTTTAGGCTGGGTGACAATTCATCCATCAGTCTTTGCTGAACGCTGACTTAGTGGCTTTGTATCTTGTACCAACAGTCTGTGTTGCTTTGTCTCACCATGAATTCTTGTTTTTCTCAAACGGCCATAATTTTCAGGCACAGATGCATTTAGATACCCTACAAGAATCTGAACTTGTCTCTTCCTCTAGATGATTGGGCTGGAGAGCCAGTCCTTTAAGAAGACTTCATCTTTTGATTTCACTGGTCATTTCATCTGCCCTTTCCCCCACATCCACCAAGCTGTGTCAAAAGAGGAACAAAAGAGAATTACTGGGATCATTTTTTCCTTAAAAAAGAAAAATAATCACTGGAGCAGCAGCCTTTCTTGTTAGCATCCATAACTGCACGCTTCATTTCTCCCACTGGTCTGCACTTGCTGCGGCCAGATAAAAAAGCCCAGGCCTAGTCTACTTTGAATCACTGCACTCTCCAGTCAGTAAAGCTATTTTATTCCAGGTGGCAATGGATATCTTCCTTTAACTGAGTTTCCAAAAGTAATTAAGTGAGTACCTGAAATCTGGCAGTTAAAGGCAGTTTTTCAAAAAGCACCATGGCAAAGCATAATGTAATTTTTAAAGTTCACATTGCCAAGGGAAGACAAGGCCCACTGTCTGAGCGTCTCGAGGGTCAGTTTCCTTTGAGCAATCATGTTCAAGGAAAAAAGAAACTGAATCCTTTCTCCACTCCTGTCCATGTCCAAATCCATGGTGAGCTGTGTTTGAGGATGTAAACTCTTGCTTTGGGTGACTAGAGTAAAGCAATCCAATTATAGTAAATATGTGAGTTTTCTTATATGGCCTTGAAAGGCTGTTTCAAGGAGCCCTATAGGATGAGTGATCTTCCCCGTGGTTCCCATATAGCCAGCCCTTAGATTCTCTGTGTGTCTCCATTTCTCTGGGTGAGGGGGTGGCTGTAAGGCAACTTGGCTGGGGCCTGAGTTTGTGTTGATATTTCCAAGTGTTTTTCTCCATGAGGAATGGACTCTGTTCTGATAAGTAATAGTACAGGGAAGTGGACTTTCAGAGCTGCTCAATCCCAGCTAAGGAGGACTGCACGGTGTATTGTATGAAACTAAAGGACAGGGCTAGTTTCAGTGGGCAGGTGTGGAAATACTGTTGTCATTAGAGGTAAGTCACACATCGCTATTCTGCTTTTTCCTGGATTACCTGTAGGGTGGTAGGTAGCATGGGACAGTGGGAAAGATTGAGGATGTTACACTCCTGGGCATGAAACCTAGCTTCCACTATGTCCCAGCTCGGTGACCGTGGGCTGTTTAATCTTACTTGATTCATGTTTTCCCCATCTGTAAATAGGGATAATAAGGACTAACGATCACATCTGCTTTGTCAAATAATTCTTATAACCTTAAGGTGTGATCTTTCTGGGATATAGTTAGTGCTTAATAGGTGATAGCAACTTTATTTTTATTAGAAGCCACACAAAGAAAATACGTGAGATTTGGAGTCAGATTCCATATGTTCAAATCCTATCCTTGCCAGTATAAGCTTTATGACTTACGTCAAATAACTTACTTGGTCCTCAATTTCATTGCTTGTAAAACTGGGGATATGAGCTGTTAGCTAACTTGGGCACAGTGATGCATTTACCATGAAACTCGCAAAGTTAAGCTTTGGGTCTCTCACTTGCACAGACCCTTGCGAAGCCCTGTACCTCATTCTATATCCCAAATTTTCTTTTTTCTTAAGAAGGACCCTTCAAATTGTATAAGCTTCAGGACCCACAAAACCTGGATTTGTCTCTGCATGTGTATTATTGTAGGACCAAGTATAAAGCACTTAGCATAGTATCAGGCACAGAATAGGTAATCAATATGTGGCAGTCATCTTTATTGCCACTAGTATTACTATGGGAGAATTCATTCATAACTTGATTCTAATGTAGTTATAATATAATCTACTCTGATATTTCCAGTTCTTTGTTTTTTCATTTGAAGATTGTCTATGCCCCGACTTGTCTATGTCAAAAAGGGAAGAGGGAAAAGGGATGAAATTCAAATGAGTAGGTGTGGGAAGCTTAGTAAGAGAATTCCTATCCAAAAAGTTGTCTCAAATGATAATTGTCCTTGAACCCTGCAGTGACCAGAGGTAACTGAAGAGAGACTTTTAATTTTGGCCAGTGAATATCGTGGAAGGAACCAAGACAATTTTGTTTCATTTTTGGCCTCAGTGGTGACTGCCTCGTATTGGGCAAGGCCTGTAATTGTTTCTGCTTCAATTTTCTCATTTGCAAGAGAGGCATAATAGTACTTCTCTTTTTCCCACACCCTCTTCCTAGGGGATATTGTGAGCATTAATAAGGCATTTCCTTACAAGCGTTTGGGCCTTCATGAAGAGAGAGCTTTGCAGAGACCCAGCAGTTCCTTTTCCTCCCTTAGGCCTGGAAAGGCAGGAGTTTACGTTACATTTCATCTGGTATCCCAGTGAACTGCCTTGACACCTAGCACAGTGCCTGAGATACATATTAAATGCCTCTTCACTCGCCTGTGATCATTTTAATAGAAAGAAGAGTGTCCTGAGAATCAGCAGAACTGAATCAAACATTTTTTTTCTGTCCCTAAGGATTTCTTGGACTAAGCTGAACAAGCACAGTGGCAAGTTATTTAATCCCTCAAATCCTAAGGATCCTCATTTTGAAAATAGGAACAATAAGGATAAGAATACTTAACTCAGAGTTGTCACAAGAATGAAATAATATGATATCTATAAAGCACCCAGCACAATGCCTCGCACAATGCCTGAACGTTAACAGTTGTTATGTCTTTAGCTATATTTGTCATCTGTGAATTGAAACTTATTATACAAGCTATGGTTCCTCTTAGCTCCAAACTTCTGAGATCCCATGACCTTTAAGAGCAGCTATGCAGTTCAGAATATTAAGTTTGCGCTCCTAATCTCTGCAGACGTGCTGGCAGGTTGACTGTCTCCCAGTAATAGGGATGCAGAACTGGCCACAGTCAGGGCTGGCCAACAAGGGATGGGATGGCAAGGGAACCAGTGGGAGACTGTTTACACCTTTGACTTCCTCTTCACAGGTCAAGGCAGGACTGTAGCATTAGGTCTCAGAGATGCAATGAACAGGACAAATACACTTCCCCTTCATCTGGACCTGAGGCTCTGGGCAAGTCAGTACCAGCTGGTTTCTTTTGGGAGCCATAGAAACTCTGGAGCTGTTCTACCGATTCCTCAAGAAGTAAAATATAGGCCAGGCGTGGTGGCTCACGCCTGTTATCCTAACACTTTGGGAGGCTGAATCGGGTGGATCACAAGGTCGGGAGTTCGAGACCAGCCTGGCCAATATGGTGAAACCCTGTCTCTACTAAAAATACAGAAATTAGCTAGGCATGGTGGCAGGTGCCTGTAGTCCCAGCTACTCGGGAGGCTGAGGCAGGAGAATCGCTTGAATCCGGGAGGCGGAGGTTGCAGTGAGCCAAGATGGCTCCCTTGAACTCCAGCCTGGGCGACAGAGCAAGACTCTGTCTCAAAAAAAATAAAAATAAAAATAAAAAAAGAAGTAAAATGTAATCACTGATAACCAGATTGCTTTGATTGGTGACTATGGGATCTTGTTTTTTAAAGTCAAATCAGCAAAACATCTTTATTGATGTGTATGTAAAGGCATTCAGCTATATATCATTTTAAAAGGCTCCTTCTTGCATATCTACCTCATCTCCTGAGTTGCCTCTATTCAAAGAAGACTTATCTTAGTCTGAGATTTTTCTTGATCAGAAAAAAACCTGTAAAGATATCTTAAATCTGTTATCTTACGGTCAAGGAAATTGAGGCTCTTGGAATAGAAGTGACTTATCTAAAGTCAAATGGAGAGGGAAGGAGAGAGCGTGCCAGCTAGCCTTCTGATCCTGAACCCACTTTTCCCATCTCAAGGATGACCATACATCCCATTTGCCTGGAATAGTCCTACATGGTTTCTGTGTACCTGTTGTGCTGGTGTAATCACTAACACCCCCTTTCCTCCAAAAGATTTCTGCTTTGGACAATAAATTCTATGGCCATCCCTCACCTCTCATGCTACATTGTCCTTACAGACCACAATGTATCCCGCTTCTTGGCTCTCTTAAGGAGTTGAGGCCTACTCAAACTAGCTCTGGCAAGAGAGGATTCTTTTTTTTGTTTCTGTAAATCTGGAAGGGGAAGCTCATAGAAATCAAAGGGCAAGAACCACGGCACAGTAAGGCCTCCTGAGAGGACAACCGAAAGTGGAAAGTCAGCAGGAAGCAGGCACACTCTGCCTCCCACTTTTTCCTCTGCTTTCTCCACCAACAGGCTTCCTCTGTTTACTCAGCCTGGCTCTGTACTCATCCGGGCTTGCTCAGCCCCGCCTCAGTGTGACTTTCCAGCTGTTGACCTCTCATAGACATGCTTCATCTCCTAGTTTCTCTTTTCCAAGTTTATAACGGAGCAATGTGATTGGCTCAGCACAGGAAGAAACTATAGCACTGTAAACGGAGGCAGTGTCGTTAATTTCCTTGCAAGATTCTCTAACTCCTAAGCAAAATTATCCAAATTCTTTCCTGGCTTTTAGAAACACGATCTTGTGATATCAAAATCATATTAAGTTTATTTTAGTGTCTTACTAATTCATGTTGACTATGAGTGCATTCCTTATTAATGATTAAGACAATATAGTAGGCTAACAGTTGTCAGCATAGCCCCTAGACTCTAGGAGATGCATCTAAATCACTTACAAAGATTTAGAAAATACCAGACCCCATCCCAGACTTGCTGAATCAGACTCATTAGGAACAGAACTCAGGTTAAAGTGCTTATCATAAAATCCATTACTGGAGGCAGGTTGCTGTGGGATCGTAATCTGCAATTTTGGGAATATGCATTTTTAAAAAAGGTGTTTATATTTGTATAGTGATTATTTTAGACCATGTCTTCATTCCTTAAGATGGTAATTCTGACTGAGGAGATTACTACTTATAATTACTATTAATCTGCAAGTTTACATTAAAGGAAATATTATTTGGTGAGGAGGGGAAGATTCCTGCCTGTGGAAACTACTTTGCTTTATTGTTAAATAAATCCAAGATTTCATTCTGTCAGGCCACAGCAGAGGGGCCATCTGTTCTGCCAGACATTTGCTTATTTCCCAGGAAGAATCAGGAGGTGGAATTATAAGCTCATTGATGAAAACATAGGATGTTGGCCAAGTTACTAGACATTCCTGGCCATATCATCAAGATATGCACTATCTATACACTATACACTAAGGAAGGGACCATTTTTAATCCAAGCTGGTAACTGGAAAAAACAACCAAGGAAAAATAAAGACCACTTTAGGTGTTTGCTTTCTATATCTAAATGCACTTTTGGGTACATGCTTTGGCAGTCATTCTTTCATTTGACAAATATTTACTGAGTGTGTACCATTTGCAAGGCAGTGTGCTAAGAGCTATGGATATAACACTAAACAAGAGGCAGTCTCTACCCTTGCAGATTTTATAATCCAATTTAAACTCCTGGGCCCCTCATATTCTTAAAAATTATTGAGGACCCCAAAGAACTTATGTTTCCATACCTATTGATAGTTACAATATTAGAAATTGAAACTGATATGTATTTTTGAGAAATGTTTAAAACAGAAGACTACACAAGCACATATTCCAATATGACATCATTATATATCACGTAACCTCTGGAAGACTCCACTCTACACTCAGAGAAATAATAGAATTAAAAACGCAAATGATACCTTAGTATTAAAATAGTTTTGACCTTGTGGGCGCCTCCTAAGAAGGTCTTCGGGCTCCCCAGGGGTCCTGAGATCACACTTTGAGAACTGTTGATCTAGTTTTCATTTAATTATTTTTTTAGAATATTTTTAAAAATACATAATATCCCTGTTTTATATTCCTGTAAGGCCAGTTTGGAAGCTATCTTGTTAATGTTTTCAAACAACCAGGATTTTGCTTGGTGTGTCTTTGATTTACTGTGTCCTTTTGGCTTTCCTGTGAGTCCAGTGTTAAAAATAGGAGTTTGGGCCATCAGTAATTCCAGTTCCACAATCTCTTGTCTTTCCCCGAGTGCTGATCAAAGTAGACAAGAGCATTCATATCTCCATAATTGAATTACTCAGTAATTCCCTTCTGGCCTCAGCCCTGCGGGGATTTTCAACCCATATGACGTAATTTGGTATTTTAATCTAGTATGAAAGCTCTCTTTGAAGGTAGATGTCCTGTCGTATTTAGTTTTGTGTCTTTTCTTACTGCCAAATGCAATGTCTTATTCAAAATAGATGGTCAGTAAGTGTTACTTGGATGAATAGAGAAAATAATTTCTTTGGAAATGATTTTGTTTGCATTTTGTTGTTTAGTCTCACATTTTGCCTCACTCTGTAGGCCAGTGGTCACATGTTTGTCTCATGAATGATTTATACCTTTAAAATCTGGAAACTTCACGTATTGGTCCAGATTTCCAGCTTCTCTTGAAACATGTGGATGTTCTTTGGTACTCGTCATACCAAGTTCTGTGTGGTAGCTGTCTCGGCAGAAAAGAGGCTGACCCTTAGAAGAGACCTGCCTTCCCTGTTTCCCACTGTCTTAGTCCATTCAGGCTGCTGTCACAAAATAGCATAGACTGGGTGGCTTATAAACAACAGAAATTTATTTCTTACAGTTCTGGAGGCTAGGAAGTCCAAGATCAAGGCCCCGGCAGATTTGGGGTATGGTGAGGGTCCACTGCCTCATAGATTATGGTCTTCTCACTCTAACCTCACATGGCAAATGAGCTCTCTGGGGTACCTTTTATGAGAACTAATCCCATTCGAGAGGGTTCTACGCTCGTGACCTAATCACCTCCAAAGGCCCCACCTCCTAATCTCACCACCTTGGGGGTAAGGATATCAACAAAGGAGTTTTGAGGGGACATAAACATTCAGACCACAGCACCCACCGTCCTTTGCGCCCTTATTGGCTCCCAAGGCCCAGTGAAGGTATCCGTTGTTGTGCATGTGCTGTTGTGTTTCTTAGAGTAGAGAAATGTTTCTCTATATCTGACACTCCTTACCAAAAGAAGGAAAATGAAAGATAGCTTGAGAGGATCATGTGTTTAACAGAAATGGGGGAGGGCATGTTTCTCTGTAGAAATGAATATTGCTGCTGGGGTTTGACATGCAAACAAATGTACAAACCCATGGCCTGTGTCACTCATTTGCCCTAGCCATCTGGCCCCTTCAGCATCTGAATTTTACACACTTTCCAGAGACAGTGTGAGGCAGAGTGCCATTGTTACACTAATGTAATCACTCATCACAAGTCCCATTTTTTAAAATTCATTTTTTAATTGACAAGTCAAAATTGTACATATTTAGGGCATGCAACATGATGTTTTGAGAGAGATATACATATAGATATACATAGTGAAATGGCTAAATCAAGCTGTTTAACATACACCTTACCTCAATTACTTATCTTTGTTTTGTGGTAAGAACACAAAATCTAATCTCAGCATTTTTCAAATATACAATATTTTGGGGTTTTATTTTATTTTATTTTTGTTTTTGTTTTTGTTTTTGTTTTGAGATAGGGCTTCTCTCTGTCACCCAGGCTGGAGTACAGTGCCACTACCATGGCTCACTGCAGCCTTGACCTCCTGGGTTCAAGCCATCCTCCTGCCTTAAACTCTAAAGTTGCTGGAACTACAGGTGTGCACCATGCCAGGCTAATTTTTAAATATTTTTTTGTAGAGATGGGGTCTTGCTGTGTTGCCCAGGCTGGTCTCAAATTCCTGAGCTTAAGCAATCCTCCCACCTTTGCCTCCTAAAGTGCTGGGATTACAGGCGTGAGCCACTGTGCCTGGCCCAATATATTGTTATCCACTGTGATCACCATGATGTACATTAGATCTCTTGAATTTGTTTATATCAAACTGAAATTTTGTGTCCTTTGACTAACATCTCACCAGTCCTCCCAGCGCCCACAATTCCCATTTTAAGGATATTTTCTTTTAACACTGTACTTCTGATAATCAACAGTAGTGGAAGAGGAGACATAGAAATAGGTAGGTAATGAAAATATTACTTATTTCAATTTTGAGAGATATAATCACAACCAAACAGGTTGCAAAATAATGAGACTGGCTGTGCAAGTTACACACAGAATGTGGGCCTTGTTTCCGTGGCCTTATTTCTTATTTATTCACATCTGAAACTCCTCTTTCTCACCCGCCTCCCCACTCCCCATATATGTATATATATATTCCCCTCCCGCTCCCAATTTTCACCTGGTTCTATGTTTAAGTTTCTATCGGTAGCTGCTTTTTTTCCCTTTAGGTCATCAGTTCTCAAACTTGGCTGTACATTTGTAATCACCTAGAAACTTTCAAAAATAAGTTAGTGGGTATTTTGTAGCAGGAGGTTTTTTGGGATTGTCATTCCACCATATTGTCCTGTATGTAATTTATAAACAAAGTACAGTTCACCCATGAGCTACATTTGAATCTGAACTATCAGAGCTCATTAGTTAAAATTATGACAGTTGCAAAATGAAAATGAGTTAAGCAACAGTGACATAAATAAATGAATGCCAATACATTTTTACTGAGTTAAAATAAGGTCAGGGAATAAGAGTAGAATGTTAATGGCAGTTTCTTTCTTTTATGTAAACAGTGGAAATTACTTAAATTACTGCATGAGTCTGGGTTGGGTTTGCTTCGTTTCAGGGAGCAATTTTAAAAAACAAAGCAAATCAATTGGTGTTTTGCCATTTGATGAGTTTTATTAATCTGGAGTCCAGTATACAATTAGGCCAATATACCATCCATACACAATTAGGGCAAGTTCTCCAAGTTGGTCTGCATTATCTCTGGATGAATTTAGACTGTGCAGATGGCAACATGGATGCTTAAGTTGTGTTTAATTATGAAGTAGCACTTTACTGACCTTAAAGAACAACCAGTAGTGCTCTCGAATCCCGAAACTTTCCTTAAAGGTATTACTGATTCCCGTGAAAGCCTAATGGATTCCCTGAGTGCTTATTTTTATCACTTGGAAGTGGCTTACATCAGGACAGCTGGTTTCACCACTCTCATGGTGTTGCCTTCCCAAAAGATTGCTGTTAGGCTGACTTGGGTTGTGGCTGTATTAAGTCATGTCAGTGTTCAGCAGTCAAGCTAATCCAGCCTGCATCTGTTCCTTCATCTGCAGGTCAGGTGTCAGCCTGGCCAGCGACTCCATGTTCACTACACACAGCTCAGAGAGGTTGTTCTCAGTTCTGTCTCTGACCAGCCTTCTGTGTACCCAAATGGAAGCTTATGCTGGTTGAAGATTCTTTTACTTTTGTTTTAAAACAGTCTCACTTCATACATGGTAAAAACTGTTATGCTTCTCCAGTAATTCAAGAAATGCAAGTTCAAACAAGAAGATGCTATTTTGCCACTACTGAGGAAGCAAAGATTTCTGAAAACCTTAAACACCAATATTGGGATGGATATGCTGAAATGGTTGCTCATACACTGCTTTCTGGAGCAACTTGTTGATATTTAAAGGCTGATGAGTTCATGAAAACTTTTTGTCTCTAGACCCAATAATCCCAATCTAGGAGTCTATTCTAAGAAATTATTCACTGATTTGGGCCAGGTGTGGTGCCTCATGCCTGTAGTCCCAGCACTTTGGGAGGCCGAGGTAGGTGGATCACTTGAGGCCAGGAGTTAGAGACCAGCCTGGCCCACATGGTTAAACCCCATCTCTACTAAAAATACAAAAAGTAGCTGGGTGTAGTGGTGTGCACCTGTAATCCCAGCTACTCCAGTGGCTGAGGCATGACAGTCAAAAGTTGCAGTGAGCCAAGATTGCACCACTGCATTCCAGCCTGAGTGACAAAAGCAAGACTCTGTCTCAAAAAAAGAAAACAAAATTATTCACTAATTTGGACAAATATATTCAAGAACATTTACTTCAGCATGAAAGCAACACAAATGTCCTATAGTAAAAGAATGATTAAATAAACTGATTTAGTATATTTTTTTAAATATACTAATACAGTGGATTAGTATACAGACATTAAAATAACAGTTTCAAAACCTATTTAATAACAAGGATAATCGTTTATAAAAGATGAGTCAAAAAATGATACAATACATATGATCTCAATTTTGTTTAAAATACACATATATATGACTAGACCAGAGGGAAATAAACCCATATGTTAACAGCGATAGTGTGGATTACAGGGGATTTAAATTTTGTTCCTTTTACTTTCTTCATTGTCCAAATTTTCTGTGACAAATATAATGGAATGGGTAGGGAATGGATGGAGTAGCATTTACCTGATTTAAAGTAACAACAGGCTGGGCACGGTGGCTCACACCTGTAATCTCAACACTTTGGGAGGCTGAGGTGGGCAGATCACCTGAGATCAGGAGTTCAAGATCAGCCTGACTAACATGGTGAAGCCCTTTCTCTACTAAAAATACAAAATTAGCCAGGTGTGGTCATGTGTGCCTGTAATCCCAGCTACTCGAGAGGCTGAGGCAGGAGAATCGCTTGAACCCGGGAGGCGGAGGTTGTGGTGAGCCGAGTCATGCCACTGCACTCCAGCCTGGGCAACAGAATGAGACTCCCTCTCAAAAAATAAATAAGTAACTGAATAAATAAAAAATAAAGTAACAACAATCAGTAGCATCATTTGTGAATAGAAATTGGAGGCAACACATGACTTTTTCTGCACATTTGTAGTAATGTTATCTGCTACTTTAAACATCTCTTCTAATATGAATATAGAAATTTCTGTAGATTGATAATTTATCATAATATCTAGGTATTTTTCCCTTAGATAAATGTGATGTTTTATTGCTTACAAGTCTAGTTTGTTCCTTGTTATATCAAGGAGTTTTTAGAATTCACCAATAAAATGAGAAGGTAGGAGATCTTGTCTACCATTATATCTCCAATACCTAGAACAGTGGCTTAGCACAAAGGAATTGCTAAGTTAATATTTGTGGAAAGAATGAAAGAGTTTCATCAGTTTTAAGGTTGTGAAAATCCTATGCTATACTTGCTATGAAAAAGGATGTTATAAAAAATTCATTAAAACCAAAATTGCTAAAGACAGATCTAACAGACTTAGAACTAATGTTTGTGTGCCTTTGGCATATTAATTATGCATAAAAATAGACCCTGCTAATTCCAAACTAGTCTTAACCATTTATGAAAGGAGGCCAAAATGTCTCCTTGAAAAATAATATTTGCAGCTAAGAAAGTTACTGTCTCTTCTTGATTCTGCAGTACTGAAATTCAGACTTTTTATTTATTCAGATCACCTTTCTTACATATTATTTAGAATATGCGGCATTTTGCCACATTGAAGATTTTACCAAGAAGAACTGGGTAAACAGCAGAAGATGAATGCCTGGCACAGCGTTGTGCTCTACGCTGCGGTATCATCTGTTTCTTCATTAATTATTTATTGTGTCCCTTCTGTGCCAGAAACCATGTTATGTGCTGGGGATCCATGAAAAAGATACAGTTCTTAGTATCAGACCCAATCTGACACTAAAGACTAATGAACACATTTTCCTTATAAAACTTGTGAAGTTTCATGAAAGCAGAGAGAAAACACATAGTTCAGAGGGGCCTTCTGAGAGATGGCACTTCTGAATTGAGCCCTGAAGCCCAAGTAGAAGTGAACCAGGTGATAAGGGCCCTGCAGAGACTTCTGGGTGAAGGGCGGTGAGTGACTCAGGCCAAGGCACTGGCTGAGAACTTGTGTGGTGGGTGCTAGGTAACAGTAGATGGTTGCGTGTTACTGGTGCATAAAGTGCCTACCAGGAAAAGACAGCGACAGGTGACGCAGTTGCATCAGATCACAACAGGTCAAGGACTGTGGACTTTATCCTTTGAGCAGGGGTGGAGTATCTGTTCCCTTAGGCACTTTTGACAGGCTTCTCTGAAGCCTGAGATGGATGAAGCATTTGAAAGGAAAAAGGCTGGAGAGAGGGAGACCAGTTAGGAGCCTACATACAGTATTGTCACAGTCCAAGCCAATGATGAAATGTGCCTTGGGGTAGAAATGGGGAAGAGGAGGAGGTGAAATCAGCAGGACTTAGTGATCAACTAGGGGAGAAAATCATGAGTCCATTTTGGTCATGTTGTCTTGGAGCAGCCTGTGAGATGTTTAGATGGGGGAATTTTATCACAGATCCATGCTACTGGAAGGATCTAAATAATTTCAGGCATAAGCTGTTTGTTAGGCTGAATTACTGAGTCTTGCACATAATTTTTCACTCCCTGTTACATGCATGTTGGTTTTGTGTCCTTAGCTAAATTTCTTCTTACAGACAGGGCCTATGCCTGTTTGCAGGGCATAGTCCGGGCACATAGAAAGCTCTCAGTAGGTACATATTGGGTGATTAACTGAAAAGTATGTTTTTTAGTCCAATTATTAATTTAGCTGTTGACACTGTGAATTCACCATAGAACTTGATAATTTTCCAGTATTTTGTTTTAGTGGTAGTGCCACAGTATTGTGCGTGGAAAAATTCATTATGTTCGTCTTGGTTAAAACTAATAAGCAACAGTTATATTGTGACTCCACAGTGCCACTCTTAATATCCAGAGTCACACTGTAAAACTGATTTAAGGCCTTATGTTGCTTTTTCATTTAGTGTAACTAAGAAGACTCAGCTGATTACAAGGTTTGTCTGGTGGCTGTCATCACCACAGCAGAACCCTCGGTGAGGAAGATCAGTTGTTCCCAAGCCATGGCTTTCTGTTCAGACTGGCAAAGGGCGCCTTTGAGGGGGACACTAGCTCGTTGTATCTGGCGGAATGAATAACTTCCTGTGCCAGACAGTCCGCGGTCTTGAGGCTGAGGTTATTATTTGTTAGTTTCTCAGGCCTTCCTTTGCCGAGCAAGCTCCTGGGAGTGCACACTTGAATGCCCTGAGGATCAGAAATAGAAGGGGCAGAAATTAAAAGTTTAAGTCAAAACAGAGCCCTCTCTGGGCCATCTTGTGGCAGGAGGTTGAGGTGCTTTCTTTGGACCCATTAGCATACTGGGGCTGCGCGGCTGCCTGGAAACTCTAGAGTTGAACTCTCCCTTTTTCGGTTCCTCACCTGTGGGCTCCTTACTAGGAGCTGACAGTGACCTCACGCAGCTGCCCTAGTTTCCTTTCCTCCAGATGGCACGGGTAACACTCGAGGAAACCCTGAGAGTTCAGAGTCCAACTTATGGCTTCTCCATAGTTTCACTGTCCCTCTGGGCTAGAGTTGCCAAATAAAATAAAATACAGGACAACCAGTTAAATTTGAATTTCAGATAACAAATAACATTTTAGTATGAGTCTGTCTCGTGTGATATTTCGGTTCAGTCCGATGTATCAGTTGTTAATGTCCTGCCATATTTATCTCTCTGATGCACTTTTTCTTGAATTATTTGAAGTAAGTTGTAGATATCACACACTTTGTTCCTAAATCCTTCAGCATGCATCTCCTATGAATAAAAACATTTTTGATGTAGCCCATGCAATATTTGGGACATAATTATATTATAAAATTATTTGTTGTTTATCTGAAATACAAATTTAACTGGGTATCCCAGGTTTTATTTGCTAAATCTGGCAACTCTACCCTCAGGGTGCCATGGGGTGGCAGCTGCTGGATGGGTGAGTAAATCTGCACTCCTGGACTTGGTCAGATTTGATTTCATTTACTGGCTTTGTGACTTGGGACAGCCAGTGCCACCATTTCTTTGTCTGCAAAATGGGGATTTTTATTTTGTAGTGTCAGTGTAAAACTCAGAGATAAGGTACATTATAAAGCCCCTAGCATAGCACCTGACTTTAGCAGACTCACAGTAGATTGCAGCTGGCGTGGCAGTAATGGTAACTGAATAGTAACTGCCATTCTCTGAGCTGAAAGTGAGAAAATAAAAATAAAGACACACTGTTTTAGAAATGTTAGCAGCTGTATTTACAACTTCCCTCTGTTCTCTCATTCCCCATCTCTCTTCCTACTTAGTGCATTCGCATGAGCACACACACACACACACACACACACACACACACTCACTCACTCTCCAGCACGTGATCTACTCTGGGATTGACAGAGGGTTTCCTGACAAACATCCAACTTGTAAGGTGGAGGAAAAGAGACATATGAAAGCAGCAGGAAAAGCCACCACTCTTGAGGGCAAGATTTGAAGGGAGTAAAAGGGGCTATGAGGATTTGTCTGAGTGCTGGTGACTCAACTAAGAAGTGGCCAGGCAGAGAAGGGCTGTGGGGGTGGAGGGAGACAGAGGAGAAGCCCCAGCTGTAACATGGTCTGGGTTGGTTATGACTCTGGCATGCTGCCAAGGACAGTTTTTATTGTTCTTGTTTTTCATTTGCTTTGTTTCATTAAGAAGTCAAATGTACTAAATGTTTATTTCTATCCTGAAAGTTGGAGGAACAAGTTCAAGTCACACTGTTTACGCATGTCAGAACAGCCAGGTTTACCCTTCTTTCTGGTAACCCCTTCTTTCTGGAAACCCTTCCACTTGTCTTTGGATTTATGGTTGCCTAAAAGCTGGATGCCAGCCCAGCAAGATAAACCAGGGAGGTTAGCCATCTGTTCATTTATGTTTGCTGATTCTTTCAGGGTTCCTAATTCTGAGGTGATTTTCTTCACATGAACAAATAAATGAGATCTCAAGTCCTTTCTCACTGGAAACTTCACACACTATGATGCTTGTCAGGAAAAATTAGGCAGGAATACAGAGTGCTCACTCAACTGTCCTGACAGTAATAGGAAGAGAAGTGCGGTGGAGTCGAGAGTGGGGGCGGCTGCTCCTGGGCCTTTGCAGCAGAGCAGACCGCAGCTGAGGCAGCATCAGGCTCGCCTTTGTTTTGCTAGAACAGAGGAAAGCCAAGATGAAGTGAGTTCTCTTTGTGTCCATTCCTTCTCCTTGCCTTAGGGTCTATCCATAACATGCTACAGAATCTGAGTTTCTTAGATTTTCACTTAAAAAAAAAGATAAGGGAACATTTTTTTTTCTGCTTACAGAAGTAATTTATTTCTGGTGTAAAAATCCAAACAAAAGCAACAGTGAGTGGAAGACTCCTCCTAATCCGGACCTGAATTATAACTGATACAAATTCTCGACACTCAAAGTTCACATTTTGGTTTGTTTATTTGCAGTCTGTGCTTTTATATTATTTTTGTATTTCAGCCGTTTTTACAGTAAAAATACAAGGCTTTTCTCCATTAACAGATAGAGGACTGTTGGGAATACCAGGTGTTAGGTTTCTGTTAACCTCAGGCGCTGTATTTATCAGGCCTCTACTGCCACGGTGAGTAACAAGTAACTCCCCAGTCTCGTTGCTTATAACAATAATATGTGGGTGTGCAGCCAGCTCAGCTGGCTCAGTGGAACGAGGCTGGACTCCAGGCTTCTGGTCCGCTTTAGGACTAGTCTACACATCTCCGTTTTAGAACCTAGGCTGAAGGATCAGCAGCTACCTGTGGCCTGCTCTTCTCTTTTCCAAGGGTGGCAACTTCAAGGTGGCAGATAGAAACTTGCCATGCATCTTAAGGCCTTAGCTCCAAATTGATACATTGCCATTCCACCCACATCCTGTTGGTCAAATCTAGTCACTTGGCCTAGCCTGAAGTCAGTGAGGCAGGGAGAATACTTCACCCTTAGGGGAGTCATGGTGTATTAATTTGCTAGGGCTTCCCGAATGAATACAACAGACTGGGTGGCTTAAGCAACAGAAATTTGTCTCATAGTTCTGGATGCTAGAAGTCTGAGATCAAGGTATTGGCAGAGTTGGTTTCTTCTGAGGCCTGTCTTCTTGGCTTGTAGAGGGCTGTCAGTTCTGCGTGTTTTCACGTGGCCTTCCCTCTGTGCTTGTCTGTGTCCCAGTTTCCTCCTCCAGTTAGGACACCGGTCCTATTAGCAGGGCCTACCCTCATGACCTCATTTAACCTTCATCAGCTCTTTAAAGACCCCGACTCCAAATACAGGCACATTGTGAGGTATTGGGGGTTAGGACTTCAGCTTAGGAATTTAGAGTATGGGGGGCATTATTCATCCTGTAACACAGAACAGGGGTGGAAAGTGCAGGAGGGATTGTGTGCAGAGTGCAGTCTCCATTGTCAGCTAACCTCAGTGAGGCTAGGCCTCCTGGTTTTTGAAACGGGGATAGGCAGTTCCATTTTAGGGTTTTTGGGGATCCAATAAGAAAATACATTTAAAGCCCCTGGTGGTGGAGGCGGTAGGGATGGATGTGGTTTGACTTGAAAAAGGACCAAAACTGGCCTTCTTGGGCCCTTCCCCTTGTTATTCTCTCATCTGGGCAAACTGGGAGTGTATGGTGCTTTTCAGAATTGCTTAACTTCTACAGAAGATACACCATCCATGGAATCTTCAAAAATAACAAAGCCAGCAGGCCCTTTAGGCACTCAATCTGTGCCCTAGGTTTTGGAAACACTATGCTTCATGCTTCTGCCCAAGTGCTGTCTTTAGTACCCTTCCTTTACAATTATTAATTAATTAACTAGTTAATTTATTTTGAGACAGAGTCTTGCTCTGTAACCCAGGCTGGAGTGCAGTGGCACGATCTTGGCTCACTGCAACCTCCACCTCCCAGGTTCAAGCAAGTCTACTGCCTCAGCCTCCCGACTAGCCAGGATTACAGGCACGCACCACCACACCTGGCTGATTTTTGTATTTTTAGTAGAGACGGGGTTTCACCATGTTGACCAAGCACGAACTCTTGACCTCAAGTGATCTGCCCGCCTTGGCCTCCCAGAGTGTTGGGCCACTGGGCCCGGCCCCTTTACAAATATTTATCGAAGGCCTTCTCTGACTTATTAGAACTGTGGGCTCTATTGGTGTAAGATATGGCCCTGTTCTCAGGAGACTGCAGTTGAATGCCTGTGAAATGATTAAAATAGTGATCTAGGAGGTCAGAATAGGGGGCGTCCCTTCCTCTGCTTCTTGGGTTTAAAGCCAACTATTGCCTTACATTTTTGTAAATCTCCTTTTGGTTTTTTCCTAGAAAATTGTGTTAAGGAATGGTACTGAGGCATTTGACTCCTGGGAGAAGCCCCCTCTGCCTGTGTATACTCAGTTCTATTTCTTCAATGTCACCAATCCAGAGGAGATCCTCAGAGGGGAGACCCCTCGGGTGGAAGAAGTGGGGCCATACACCTACAGGTAAGTCTTGACCACCTCCTGTCTTGAAAGAAATACAGAGTGACCCCAATATGGCCTGAGTCCTTGCCTCTTCCCAGGAGCAAGGCTCCAGGGCTGTGTGGGAGCACACTTTCTGATTTCATTGTCTGAAACGCTGCTGATGTTTTGTATGTGTGTGTGAAACCTCAGCAGAGAATGGCTTTGTAGACTGGGCCAAGTCTCAGCGTGTTGTGTTTTGAAGTGCAGCGGTTTCCTCCTGAGTTGGCAGACTGTGATTATTAAACCATGAAGGGTTACTCCTTACCCTGACCCTTTTAAGGTTGCCCCTTGATATTCTTATTTTATTTTATTTTATTTTTTTAAGAGACAAGGTCTGGCTTTGTTGCCCAGGCTGGAGTGCAGTAGAGCAGTCATAGCTCACTGCCACCTCCAACTCCTGGGCTCAAGTGATCCTCCTGCCTCAACCTCCCTAGTAGCTGGGATTGCAAGTGTTCACCACCACACCCAGATAATTTTTTTTGTAGAGATGAGGTCTTGCTATATTGCCCAGGCTGGTCTTGAACTCCTGGGCTCAGGTGATTCTCCCGCCTCAGCCTCCCACAGTGTTGGGATTACAGGCGTGAGCACCACCATGCCTGGCTACTGCTTGATATTCTTAAGTGACTTTTAGGGCCTCCCTCCATTTCCATTCCCCACATAACTAGTTTTAAAGCAGTTCCAGAATTTACTTTTGTCTGAGACAGATCTTTCTGTTTCTTACCCGCTCCTTTTCTCCACCTATCCTGCGTATAAGCAATAAGCAAGTAGCAGAGGCTGTTAGAGTCTTTGCTGGTGACCACCAATTCCAAACACTGGGGAATCAGGATCCCTTTAATCATTTTTAAACGATTAGTAGAGGGAGACGCTTGAATCAGAGCATTTTCTCTGTTGCAATGTTCCCCTTTTCCCTATTACAATACCTCCTCCCTCTCCCATACAATAATCTTTCCAATAAAGTCTCTCCTTACCAGGTTAGAAAACAAATTAATAGAGGAAGCAGACAACAAGATCTTTCTTTTTCAAAACTGCTGAATGATAAAAATGCCTGACAATTCTGTTGTAATCGATTGCTCAATAAATTATTGCTGACTGATTCATGTGCTATGAATCAGTACTATTCTCAGTGGTGGGAATTCAGAGATAAAAATCCTAGTTCCTGCCTTGGGTGCTCATGCTCTGACTCTGGAGTCAGATGACCCATTTTGATTCCCGCCTCTGCAACTTACTAGTTCTCTGTGCTTCCATTTCCTTATCTATAAAATGGGGATAAAAATAGGACCTCCTCCACATGGTTTTTACAAAGATTGAGTCAATGAGTCATGTATAAAGTGCTTAGACTAGTGCCTAGCACATAATTAGTGATACTTAAGTGTTTGCTCTTACTATTAGTTGGATTAGGCTATTTTTGCATTGCTATGAAGAAATACCTGAGACTGGGTAATTTATAAAGAAAAGAGGTTTAATTGGCTCATGGTTCTGCAGGCTGTACACACATGGCACACTGGCTCTGCTCGGCTTCTGGGGAAGCCTCAAGGAGCTTTTACTCATGGCAGAAGGCAAAGCAGGAGCAGGCACGTTACATGGTGAAAGCAGGAGCAAGGGGTGAGGAGGTGCCACACTTTTACAACAACAAGATCTCGTGAGAAGTCACCCACTGTTGTGAGGACAGCACCAAACCTTGAGGGATCCTCCCCTATGACCCAAACAGCTCCCACCTGGCCCTACCTCCAACACTGAAGATTACAGTTCAACATGAGATTTGGAGGGGACATCCAAACTATATCATTCCACCCCTGGCCTCCAAATTTCATGTCCTTCTCACATGTTAAAATATAATCATCCCTTCTCAATAGTCCCCCAAAGTCTTAACTCATTCCAGCATTAACTCAAAAGTCCTAAGTCCCAGGTCTCATCTAGAAATGAATTCCTTCTACCTATAAGCCTGTAAAATCAAACAAGTTATTTCCTTTCAAGATACAATGGGTGTATCAGCATTGGGCAAACATTCCCATTTGAGAAGGGAGAAATTGGCCATAAGAAAGGGGCTACAGGCCCCAAGCAAGTCTGAAACCCAACAGGGCAGTTATTAAATCATAAAGCTCCAAAATCATCTTCTTTGACTCCGTGTCTCACATCCAGAGCACACTGGTGCAAGGGGTGGGCTCCCAAGGCCTTAGGCAGCTCCGCCTCAGTAGCTTTTTTATGCTGAGATTGCAAGCTGATGGTGGCTCTACCATTCTGGTGTCTCAAGGACGGTGGCCTTCTTCCCACAGCTCCACTAGGCAGTGCCTCAGTGGGGACTCTTTGTGGAGCCTTCAGCTCCGCATTTCCCCTCCTCACTGCCCTAGTAGAGTTTCTCTTGAGGGCTCTGCCCTTGGAGCAGGCTTCTGCTGGGGCACTTAGGCTTTCTCATACATCATCTGAAATCTAGGTGGAGGATGCCAAGCTTCCTTCACTCTTGCACTCTGTGTTCCTGCAGGCTTAACATCACATGGAAGCTGCCAAAGCTTATGGCTTGCACCCTCCAGAGGAGTGGCCTGAACTGTACCTGAGCCCCTTTGAGCCATGTCTGGAGCTGGAGTGGCTGGGATGTGGGAAACAGCACAGGGAAGTAGTGCCCCTGGCCTGGTCCCTGAAACCACTCAGTCCTCTTAGGTCTCAGGGCCTGTGATGGAAGGGGCTGTCTCAGAGATCTCTGAAATGTTTTCAAGGCCTTTTACCCATTGTCTTGACTCTCAGCACTTGGCTTCTTTTTAGTTATGCAAATCGTTTTAGCAATGGTTGCTCTACAGCCTGCTTGAATTTATCTCCCCACAAAAATATTTTGTTTTGTTTTGTTTTTGAGACAGGGTCTCTGTTGCCAGGCTAGAGTGCGGTGGCATGATCATGGCTCACTGCAGCCTTGACCTCCTGGGCTCAAGGGTTCCCCCTGCCTCAGCCTCCCAAGTATCTAGGACTACAGGCAAGTGCCACCATGCCTGGCTAATTTTTAACTTTTTTTTTTTTTGAGACAGAGTCTCCCTATGTTGCCCAGACTGCGGAAATGCTTTTCTTTCTCTGCCACATGGCCAGGTTGCAAATTTTCCAAACCTCTATGTTCTGCTTCCCTTTTAAAAATAAGGTCCAACTTTAAGTCATTTTTTTACTCCCACATCTGAGTGTAGGCTGTTAGAAGCAGCCAGGCGACATCTTGAATGCTTTGCTGCCTAGAAATCTCTGCCAGATATCCTAAATCATCACTCTCAAGTTCAAACTTCCACAGATCCCTGGGGTGTGAACACAATGCAGCCAAGATCTTTGCTAAGGCATAACACATGTGAACTTTGCTCCAGTCCCAATAAGTTCCTCATTTCCATCTGAGACCTTTTCAGCCTGAACTTCACTGTCCATGTCACTGTCAGCAATTTGGTCACGATCATTTAATCAGTCTTTAAGACATTGCAAACTTTCCCTCATCTTCTTGTCTTCTTCTGAGCCCTCCAAACTCTTCCCTTCTCTGCCCATTACCCAGTTTCAAAGCTGCTTCCACATTTTCCAGCTATCTTTATAGCAATATTTGACTCTCAGTACCAATTTTCTAAATTAGGTTGTTCTTACATTGCTATAAAGAAATAACCTTCCTGGGCATGGTGGCTCATACCTGTAATCCTAGCACTTTGGGAGGCCAAGGTGGGTGGATCACTTGAGGTCAGGAGTTTGGGACCAGTCTGGCTAACACAGCAAAACCCCACCTCTACTAAACATACAAAGATTAGCCTGGCATGGTGGTGCCCACCTGTATTCCCAGCTAGTCAGGAGGCTAAGGCAGGAGAATTGCTTGAACCTGGGAGGCAGAGGTTGCAGTGAGCCGAGAACATGCCACTATACTCCAGCCTGGGTGACAGAGCAAGGCCCTGTCTCAAAAAAAAAGAAGAAAGAAAGAAAGACAGGGAGGGAGGGAGGGAGGGAGGGGAGAGAGAGAGAAAGAGAGAGAAGAAAGAAAAGAAAGAGGGAGAGACCTGAGACTGGGTAATTTACTTAAAAAAGAGGTTTAATTGGCCTATAGTTCCACAGGTTCTACAGGAAGCATGATGCTGGCATCTGCTTGGCTTCTGGGGAGGCCTCAGGAAACTTATAATCATGGTGGAAGTAAGAGAGGGGGAGCAGGCATGTCACATGGCCAGAGCAGGAGCAAGAGAGGGGAGAGGTGCCACACTTTACAACAGCCAGATCTCGTGAGAACTCACTATCTCGAGGACAGCACTAAGCCATGAGGAATCCTTCCCATGACCCAAACACCTACCAGGCCCCACCTACAACATTGGGGATCATATTTCAACATGAGATTTTGAGGGGACACCAAAACTATATTATTGGTCTTCGTAGATTAATTGTTTTAGTCTGTACAAGTCAATATGTAGAATTATAAAGATGAACCCTGTTGCTATATGAAGAAATCTAAGAAAATACTTGGGTCCTCATTTTAAAAAGCCATTTTGTATGTGTTCTATGCCTGATGAAACACTGTGTACTGGGTAGAGAAAGTTTGTATTTTAAGCTCTCCCACTGGCAATAATTAGAAGTTGAACCAGGATCAGTATCTAAGTGTCCCATTGTTTGTTGTTGTTGTTATTTTTAAATGAAATTCCTTAAGATGTGATGGAGACTCTGCAAACTATCCAAAATAGTGTCATTCCAACATGTTAGCAATATTTAGAATTATTAATGAGATACTTTACAATCTTTTTTTATACTGTCTTTGAAATCCTGTGTGCATTTTACACTTATAGAACATTTCATTTCAGACTAGCCACATTTTGAATGTGCAATAGCCACATGTGTCTAGTGGCTACCCTATTAGACAGCATAATTCCAACCATACTCCCATGATTTTTTGTTTGTTTGTTTGTTTGTTTGTTTGTTTTTGAGACAGAGTCTCATTCTGTCTCCCAGGCTGGAGTGCAGTGGCGCGATCTTGGCTCACTGCAACCTTTGTCTCCCAGGTTCAAGTGATTCTTCTGCCTCAGCCTCCCCCGTAGCTGGGATTACAGGCACGGCCACCACGCCTGGCTAATTTTTTGTATTTTTAGTAGAGACAAGGTTTCACCATGTTGACCAGGCTGGTCTCGAACTCCTGGTCTCAAGTGATCCACCCGCCTTGGCCTCCCAAAGTGCTGGGACTACAGGCGTGAGCCACCATGCTTGGCCACTCCCATGATTTATAAGCTCCCCAGACACACTGCCTTGCCAGTATTCATGCTGTTGCTTCAGTCAAGAATGAATTCCTCAGCGCTACCTCTCTTGACCTTCACATCTTACTTAGTGCAAATGCTGTCTCCTCCTGAGACTTGCCTGACTTCGGATACTCTCCCTGTTACATCTTATTTAAAATGTCAAGTAGACTGGGCACGGTGGCTCACACCTATAATCCCAGCATTTTGGGGGGTTGAGGTGGGCAGATCACTTGAGCTTAGGAGTTCGAGACTAGGCTGGGCAACATAGCAAAACTCCGTCTTTAACAAAAATACAAAAAATTAGCCAGGCGTGGTGGCATGTGCCTGTGGCCCCAGCTACGTGGGAGGCTGAGGTGGGAGCATCGCTTGAACCTGGGAGGTGGAGGTTGCAGTGAGCTGAGATTGCACCACTGCACTCCAGCCTGGGTAACAGGGTAAGACCCCCATCTCAAAAAAAAAAAAAAAAGTGTCAAGTATACCACTTTATAGCACTTGTAAAGTGGTATGTTGATGTGGTTTGGTTGTGTCCCCACCAGCCAAATCTCAGCTTGAATTGTAGTTTCCATAATCCCCACATGTCATGGGAGGGACCCAGGGGGGTAATTTAATCACGGGGGCAGCTACCCTCATGCTGTTCTCTTGATACTGAGTTAGTTCTCACGAGATCTGATGGTTTTATAAGGGACTTTTTAAAAAACCCTTTTGGTTGGGTGTGGTGGCTGATGCCTATATTCCCAGTGCTTTGGGAAGTCAAGGTAGGCAGATCACTTGAGGTCAGGAGTTTAAGACCAATGTGGCCAACATAATGAAACCCTGTCTCTACTAAAAATACAAAAAGAAAAAAAAATTAGCTGGGTGTGGTGGCACACACCGGCTAAGGCAGGAGAATCACTTGAACCCCGGAGGCAGAGGTTGCAGTGAGCTGAGATCACGCCACCGAATGCCAGCCTGGGCGACCGAGCAAGACTTTGTCTCAAACAACAACAACAACAACAACAACAGACAAACAAAAACCCTTTTGCTGGGCACTTCTCCTTGCTGCTGCCACGTGAAAAAGGACGTGTTTGTGTCCCCTTCTGCCATGACTGTAAGTTTCCTGAGGCCTCCCCAGCCATGCTGAGCTGTGAGTCAATTAAACCTCTTTCCTTTATAAATGACTCAGTCTCAGGTATGTCCTTATTAGCAGCATGAGAACAGACTAATAAATATGTGCATCCATTATGACAGTGACTAATTGCATTTTAATAATTGGCTTAGGTATCTGTCTTTCTTCCCAATGTACTGGAAGCTCCATGGGGTGCAGTGACCAAGTCCTTTGGTCTCTGACTGTCTACTATTTAATGAATATTTGTGGAATATGTAAATTAAACATCTTCAACTGTGGTTTAAATTCATAGGACACATGGAAAAACTAACACTATAGGACACAATTATTAAAAAGTATTTAAAAGTAATGACAAAAAACGCAGTTACTTTGCACCCACCTAATAGCCGGAACCATAGGACTTAGTTCAGGAAACCCAAATATAGGTTCAAGAAAGGGGAATCAGGCCCTGAAAATGAATGGCTTTGTTAGGAATATGCATATGTGCAGTGCAGGCTGCTAAGAGCTCCTTACAGGGCTGAGTGGGTCGTGAGATCTGGGATTTGTAGAAAAACATGGCTTTTTAGGGAGCTGTCCAAACCTTCTATGGGGCCTGTTAGTCTCTACATGTGCCTTTTGCGGTCATTCACTGGATTTGATTTCTGTCACTTGTGGCTTTATGATGCTATTGTTTAGGCTGGATAAGACAGAACATTCCAGAAGCTTCTGCTCCAGTGTTTTCTCCCAACTGAGTCAGCTGACTCCATCAATTGTATGCCAGGGGGCCTGGGGCAAAGGAAGGGGAGGGCATGTAGCCCCTTTCGCCAGTTAGTACAGATTGGTGTGGTGGTGGGAAACCTCTGAGATGGGGAAGGGCCAAGCAAGACTGTGGAGGGCCTAACTCATCTGACACAGGATTTACAGTGGCACATTTCCCAAACCTTTCACATACTGGGGAGTTCAGAATAGTAATGTTTTTGGAAAAAGATGATGGGCATTCCAAATGTTGATAACAGCCAGTCAGTCTGGTTTAAGGAATGAAGTGTATTATTTACATTTTTGTAAAGCTGCAGATTGAGCAGCCCTGGAATGGGTCTGTGAATACAAGGCTCATTGGCCTCATGATCCTTTTGCTCAGGGACATATTTGTATAAAATTTGTATCAAAGTTGTGGTATCCCATGGCTTCTGCAGCCTTTTTGAGGTTTATTTTTTATCTTGTCAGATACCTTTTTCTATTTTGCCTACCATTTAACATTTCAAGAATTAAAAAAGAAAACAATTTGTCTAAGGGCACTTCCAATTAATTTGCGTATTTCTAAGAAGTATTTACTAAATTTACAGTATCCCGTGAAATATCTTATTTTGGGGTTTCTTAGTTTTGCTGTTTGGATTATTCATTTCTATTTTAGGCTTGTATTATTTAAAAAGATGTAAGGGCTAGATCTTAAGTTATTTTATTATTCATTGATAACAAGTAATACTGGATTTTCAAATATAATCAACATATATAATATATACAGCATTATCTTTAAGAGTGTAGACTATATTTTATATTATAAAAATTACACATATATATGTGTTCCATATATATAATCACTAAAGATCAACTTGAAAATGCAGTAAAGTTTTGAACAAAAACTACTAATCCATGGCTTCACTGTCTCAAAAATAACCAATGCTAACTAACATTTTAGTGGATATCTTCTTGGCCATTTTTCCATGGATGAGTTTTAGATGGTTATCATACTATGTACATATGCATGTACATATACAAAATATACATATTTTTTATTCACCTAATGTTATAGCATAGGATTTTTCAATGTTATATTTTGGTCTTCATACAAATGAATTTTAATGATGATTATATTTAATAGAGTAAATGTATTACTACACTTAACTGTTCCTTTCCTGAACATGTAGATCCGTTTTCATTTTCTCCTCTGGTTACCTCGTGGGTTGAATGTTCTCCTCATGTTTGCCAGCCAGTTGTGTTTCCACACTTTTAGTTCTTGTCCTTTGTCCATTTGCTTATCTGGGTTCTGGAGTGTTCATGGCACTCTGTGAACCTTTTATGTTTCATTTGGGGCAACTGCTTTTCCATTGTTTACCTTGTCAATTTTTAAAATGTGTTGTAGTCAAGTCTATTCTTTTTCAACATTTCTATCAGGTCTGAGCTTTAAAAGTCTTACTCCCTTCAATGGTTTGATGTTCAAGTCGATTTTCTTATAGTTCTGTTTTTCCACATTTAATTTCTTCAGGATCTAAGTGTCTTCCTTGCAATTTAGCAAAGGCAGGAATTTTGTTTATACTGTCTAATTCTGTCCTATTAACCCTTTAGTTCTTTAACCGTGTCTGAGCCAAGCTGTATAAGAAATTTTTTTAACATAAAGAGACAACAAAAAATTTAGGAACACCGTGATCATTGTTTCCATTATTATAGGAGAATGCTTTCTCCTTTTTTCTAAACTTGCCTCGCTTTTCTCTGATAGTGTTTTTAGATTGGTAGCTAAAACTGTATTTGTTTTGCCAAAATAGAAACAGATTTTGAAAAAAAAAATCCTTAAACTGCTCAGAAGTAAAAAAAAATAGAAAAAGATCTCTCACACCATCTTATCATGCACAAAAGGTTGTGACCAGGTATGTGTGAGTTTTAAATGCACGTGGTACATTAGGTGAATTGCCTACGTGAGCCTATGGGTCACTGCCTGGGGACAGGGAGACCAGGGAGATATTTCCATCTTAAGGAGTGAAACTGTTTCTTGCACACTGTCAACAAGCGGGTGAGTCTTCTCCCGACCCTGCTCTTACCACTTCTTCTCAGTATCCTGCTTTGTATCTACAGGTTGCTGCCTTCAGTTACCTGAGCGGGCAGCGTACTCAAAGTTAAGGGTAGAGGCTCCTCAGCCTGTGCCTTTGGCTGGCTCCCCTTGCTTTCCCTCTTCTCTGTGGTCACCCTAGGACTTCAGTACTCCTTTCACGTTGATGTGTTCATCACCCCAGCCTCGCCTGGATCTGTGATGGTCTTTTAAAGCGTGTCCTCCTCCTCCAGGACCACAGCTTTCTCACTCCCCACATGGGAATGCTTTCATGCTTGCTGCCCACCTTCGCCCCACCGCTGCCTCTGTTGGAACACCCCCTTCACCCTCCCACCTGCAGAAGCCCACTCTTTCCAGAATCAAGCAAAAGTGTCTTTTGCAGGAGTCCCCTTCCAGTTGCCATCCCTCCCTCCTCTGTATGCCCACAGTGCGTTTACTGTGAAGGAGGTGGCCTCTGAAGGCAGTCTCCCATGCTCTACTGTGGATTCTTGGAGGACCAGAACCAGGACTTAATGTCACACCATCTCAAGAGCTTAGCACAAGCCGTTGCACATGGTATCAGTAGCTAATCCCTCCTAAGCAGCAGGTGTGCCAGGTAGTGTTGTAACTGGATTTATGTGGATTTCATTCTCACAACAACCCTACAAGGTGAGTACGTTATTACCTCCATTTTACAGATGAGGAAACTGAGGCACAGAAGCAGTGAGTAAGATGAAACCAGGGTTGAATGTTAACCCTACCAGCCAGATCTCAGTCTAGTTTGTATCCAGTGTATGCCCAATCACTTCTTAATAGTAATTCTCAACAGAGGATTAGGTGAATGAAGGAACCAATATGACTGAAAGATAACGATACTATGATAGTATTATACGCATCCAATTTATCAAACACCTCTGAGGAATTAGATATACCGATGTTAATTTTCCACCTAATTAAAATTATTCCTTTTGATTTCCACTCCTTATCTCAGTCTATTGTTTCTAAAATTATTTCTAAAACCAACCATGAATTTTCCTGCCTGATTAAATAGTTCATGGAGCATAACTGAACCTTGTCTTAATGACAAGGACCGTCATAGTAATGCACAAATGTTATACTATAGTCTGAGATTCATTAGCATCTACTAAATACCAGGGACCATGCCGGGCACTTTTAAGTATAGTTCCTTGATTAATTGCCTAGGCTGAAAATTTGATTTGTTTTTTGTTGTTGTTTTTGTTTTGTTTTTTCAAACTCTTCTTTGTATTTCTGAAAGTTCATTTGGTCTTCTTTGATCTTGTAGGACAGTAACTGATCAATATGCCCCTCTCTGCAGGCACCAGCCTTGGCTTACACAAAAGTTTGGCTTTGAAATTTCCTCTCCTCCTCCATATTCCAATAAATTACTGTGAATTAACCTCTGTGTAAAATCAAGGAATACCCTGAATGAGAGGTGAGGTCACCAGGATTCTAAACCTGGCCCTGACACTTTCGATTGGTCCTGAATCCACATATCCTTATCTATAAAAAGGTGGAGTTAATGATTTCTAAGTGAAGGGTCTTTGGTTATAAGCAAAATAAACTACCTCTGGCTAATTTAAGTAAAACGGGAATCTATTTGAAGGCTATAAAGTAGGTTAACAGAATCAAGGAAAGCAGCTTGGAAGACAAAAGCAGGATGCAGGGCAGCTTTAAAGATCCAGGTCACGAGAGTGTATTGATCATCACATCATGTGTCTGCCACTGGGAGGAATCCTGTCTTTTACTGAGTTTTCTTGTTTTTAAATTAAAATTTTTTTTTTTTTTGGTAGAGACAAAGTCTTGCTCTGTTGCTCATGCTGGAATGCAGTGGCATGATCATAGCTCACTGTAACGTCAAACTCCTGGGCTCAAGCCATCCTCCCACCTTAGCCTCCCAAGTAGCTGACACTACAGGTACATGTCACCACGCCTGGTTCTTTTACTGTGTTTTCTATCTTGAGGCACTGTGCTCAGGATTCAGAGGCCAGAGGAAAGGAATTGGTTGAGCTCAGGTCCCATAGCAACCTTGACTGATGGTCTTACACAGCTGTACAATACAAGAGAGGAAAGCAAATCAGGGCTATTACCAGCAGAAAGCGGAATGGTTGTCTAACAAATGAAAAGTCCACTGCAAACACTGAACTTCAAGCTGTGTAAGTGGTTTAACACGGAAGTGTCTATCAAATTTTTAAATATATTCTTTGTAAACTGGAAGGGCATGTAATTTATCATTAGATTTGGCTTTGGTTAGAGGCATTTGTTAGAGGCATTAGCTGGTTTCATCCTACAGGCGTTTCTTAGGTACCTGTTAGGAGAGGTTGTCTCATACAGAGAGAGGAGCACCTTGTGCTAATGAGAAAGACTTGGGATCAAGTTCTCACTCTTCTGCCTGTGCTCTGTGTCCCCAGCTGTGAAGTGGGGCAATACTACATGCTGTATTTGTACTACATACTTGTAAGGATTAAATAAAATAAAATAATGTGGGTTAAACTCTTTGAAGAGCTATGCAAGGGTCAGCTATTTATAGGATTAGTGGGCATAGCTTGGTGCTTAGTGTGATATGATGTGTGATATGTGTATATGTGATAGGAAGTATGCTTCCTTCTATACACTTGACAGAGTATAGGATATAGACATGTGATATGATGAAATATATATTTAGTCTTCCTCCATTTCCTGGCATACAGCTCCTAAGATCCTTGGAATCGCTTAAGTGATAAGTGTCTTTTTGTATGCTAGTGAATTGACTGATGACTGGCAGCCTCTATGGCTCCTGGATGGGAGCTGGTCCTGAAAGAAGAGGACAGGATTAGAGGGTTGGGACTTTCAGCCCCACCCCCCAACCTCCCAGGAGGGGAGAGGGGCTGAAAGTTGGGTTGATCACAAATGGCCAGTGATTTAATCAATCATGCCTATGTAATGTAGCTTCCATAAAAAACCAAAAGGACTGAATTTGGAGAGTTTCCAGAGAACCAAACATGGGGAGGTTCCTGGAGAGTAGCGAGCCTGCAGAGGGCATGGAAGTTCTGAGCTCCTTCCCCTACACCTTGCCCAGTGCATCTCTTCATCTGTATACTTTGTAATATCCTTTATAATAAAATGTAAGTGTTTCCCTGAGTACTCTGGGCTGTTCTAGCAAATTAATTGAGCCCAAGCACAGGGGGATGGGAACCCCAATTTATAGCCATTAGTTCAGAAGCACAGGTAAAACAGCCTGGGGCTTTTGATTGGCATAGGAGGTGGAAGGCAGTCTCAACCTGTAGAATCTGATGCTATGTCCAAGTAGAAAGTATCAGAATTGAATTGAATTGGAGGACACTGCAGAATTATTGGTGCAGAGAAAACGCCACACACTTCTTGGTGACCAGAAGTCTCAGAAGTCTTAGAAGTCTTCTGTGTAAGTTGTTACAGTATGAGAGCACAGAAAAAAATGGTTTGTTTTTTCTACTGGAGAAGATACAAAGACTCATCTATTTGTATGCATCTATATGAATGCATTTATTTTCTCATCTGTTTTTATTTTAAAGTCTAGAAGGGATTTAAGAGGTATAAAGAGATACAATATACAGACAGTCCTTGACTTATGATGGTTCAACTTGAATGATGTTTTGACTTCGCGATTGTGTGAAAGTGATGTATTTGGCATGCCCCTCCAATGACGATAGAGTTACATCCAGATAAACCCATTGTAAATTGGAAAGATACTAAGTTGTTGAATCAAAAACAAACTTTCAACTTACGATGTTTTCAACTTATGATGGGTTTACTGGGACATAACTCCATCATCACCGAGGCGCATTTTTACGTACCAGTTTCAGCCTTCAGCTTGCTTGCAGTCTACCTGAGGCTACATGATAATTTCACAATCTAAATGATGTCACTCAGAAGTTTCTAATTGAATGCTAAAGACATGTACGGACATCCACAGGTGGGTGAGAAAAATCCCTGTGCTGCTATGGTTGGGAAAGGCCTCAGAGGAGGTGTGGGTAGCCCAGCTGGCCAATGCCTTCCTAACCTGTGCTCTTAAATTAGCTCTGTTCAATAGAAATATTACATGAACCACATGTGTAATTTAAGATTTTAAGATTTTCTAGTAGCCACATTTTTTAAAAAGTAGAAGGAAGCAGGTAAAATTAATTTTGATAATATATTTTAATTTTACCCATTATAACTGAAATAGCATCATTTCAATATATAATCAATATAAAAAAAGGTTGGCACTGTTTTTGAAATTCTGTATATATTTTACACTTACAGCAAATCTCAATTCCAGTTAGCCACAGTTTAAGTACTCAGTAGTCACATGTGACTAGTGGCTACCATGTCAGACATAATAACCCTAGCTGGTTTAGGAAGAAGGAAAGATAAGCAAAGGGAAAGAAACAAAAGTCACTGGAATTTATTGAACACCTACTATGTACCAGGCAGGGCTAGGGCTAGGGCTAGTGTGAGGCATTTGATGAACAAAAGATCAGATTCTGTTTTTATTTAAAATTTTGTTCATCATAAATTTTTGGCATAAATTTTGGTTTTAATAAATAGTGCATTAAACTATTTATCTTGATTACTACTTGTTTAGGCACCTCTTACATCACTCACACTGACTCTAGGCCCAGCCCTGGCACCAGGCGCTTTCTAAGAACTTTCTAATGCTTCATTTGGGGGCTCTAACTTGAACCAAACTGTGCTGTATATCAGAAACAGAGACCGGGTGTGGTAGCTCATGCCTGTAATGCCAGCATTTTGGAAGGTCGAGGCAGGAGGATCACTTGAGTCCAGGAGTTCAAGACCAGCCTGGGTAGCATAGTAAGACCTCATCTCTACAAAAAAATAAAACAATTAGCTGGGTGTGGTGGCATGCTTCTGTACTTCTAGCTACTTGGGAGGCTGAGGTGGGAGGATTGTTTGAGCCCAGGAGGCTGAGGCTGCAGTGAGCTGTAGTCATGCCACTGCACTCCAGCCTGGGCAACAGAGCGAGACCCTATCTCAAAAAAAGAAACAGGAGTGAACTCCTGTAATTTACTAAGCCTTGGGCATTATTTTTTAAAATAAAATTTCAATTTAATTCAATGTAGAAACAAGAAGACATTGGTAAACAAATTGAAATTCAAACTAAATCTGTGAACCAAACTGAAAATTTTGAAAATACTTCAGGACCAAACCATAACCCAGGAGAGAGTTCATCGGCTTTGATTCCCGGTCAAGGTGACCCTCAACTATTGCACCTCCCTAATCAGGGAAGAAAAGAAGGAAAACAAAGTTTTTGAGAAGACTCTATCCTAGGCCTCGTTTCCTTCCCACATTATAGCTTCGATCTCCAGCTTTTTAAGGCTTAGTAGCTGCAGTCTCTATATAATGTTATATTGGGAATGTTATATTGAAAATATAACTTGGATGCTGAAAGAAAGGAAAAGTCTTGCTTATTAAAGTGGTGTCTATTTTCAAATAAAACCCTTTTCTTTCTTTTAGGGAACTCAGAAACAAAGCAAATATTCAATTTGGAGATAATGGAACAACAATATCTGCTGTTAGCAACAAGGCCTATGTTTTTGAACGAGACCAATCTGTTGGAGACCCTAAAATTGACTTAATTAGAACATTAAATATTCCTGTATTGGTAAGTAGGCATTTTAATACCATTAAGTTGGATTTTGGAAGAAAGGAAAAAGCTAAGTTAATGCTCTTTATGATTTTACATTTAGGAGCCATTAAGTTATGTTGAAATATACATATATAAAAAGAAAAATACTTCTTTTCTTTTCTTTAAAGTACATCTTGGACTTTTTTCTAAGATGTATCAAATAAGGTCTTTTCAAATGATGACAAAATTCAGATTTTAGGATTTGTTTTCATAATTTCTTCCTGGGTGTTCAGGATTAGCAATTGTGCAAATAAATATGCCCCTAGGATTTTTTGGTAGCTAATAATTTTAAAAATGTTTATTTGCCCCTTGTTTTCATTCAGAAATTCTAGCAATGAAATTTGTATACCATTTCTTACTTCAGATTTTTATGTTGGATTTTATACTCTCAAAATTCATAAATTGACACCAGAAATCAATAGACTGGCAGCCTACTGTGATTTCAGTGGGCTCTGTTTATAATGGTAATTCTACCTAATAACGACACCTATTCTACATCTATTCTATACTGAGACCCATGAGACTTTCTTTTTTTTTAAATTAAATTAATTTATTTATTATTAATTTTTTTTGAGACAGGGTCTTGCTCTGTCGCCCAGGCTGGAGTGCAGTCAGTGGCTCCATCACAGCTCACTGAAGCTTCTACCTCCTGGGCTCCAGGGATCCTCCTGTGTCGGCCAGGGACTCCAGGCGTGAACCACTGTTCCTGGGCTGGCCCAGTAAACATTCTAATTCACCTACACCAACCCCTGCCGACTCTCCCACCCTAACCCCTAGGTGACCGCTCCATATGCAGCTGGACACTGATGATGGACCCAGGACCTAGACAGTATGAGGTCCCTGCCACCTAGTCCCAGGGGTGTAGGTCGGGTTTATAATGAGCCTCTGGCCCTGCTTAGGCGGAAGGTAGCGCCACCTTGTGGCCAAAGATGCCCACATGTTTACAAGAGCTTTTCCCCTTTTGTGGTGTCTGGATAACTCAGAGCCTGCAAATGGTCTCTTTGTAAATATTACACTTACAAAATGCAGTACTGGGAAAGGACAGAGAAGAGGCTTTGTCTTCCATATGCAGCCAGAAAGGAGCTCACTGCCTGATTTTTCAGCTATTTAATCTCAACCTTTACATTTATATTTCCAACCCCCTTTGCTATGGGGTAGTAGGAGAGAGTGGATGGAGGTGCTTTGGAGGGGATGCTGCTGTCTTAATATACCTCTGCTCCGCAGACTGTCATAGAGTGGTCCCAGGTGCACTTCCTCAGGGAGATCATCGAGGCCATGTTGAAAGCCTATCAGCAGAAGCTCTTTGTGACTCACACAGTTGACGAATTGCTCTGGGGCTACAAAGATGAAATCTTGTCCCTTATCCATGTTTTCAGGCCCGATATCTCTCCCTATTTTGGCCTATTCTATGAGGTAAGTAGATTTTTCTTTTCAGAACCTCTTTTTTTAGCTGACAGTGGGTTGGGGCACCCCAAGCCAGATTAACTTTGAGTTTCTTCTAGAAATTGCCTAGAGTTAAGTTATCTTATAGAGTGTGTGAAAAATGGAGTGTTTTTTGGAAAGAAAAAAAACTTGAGGCCGGGTGCGGTGGCTAATGCCTGTAATTCCAGGACTTTGGGAGACCGAGGTGGGTGGATCATTTGAGGTTAAGACTTTGAGACCAGCCTGGCCAACATGGCAAAACTCTATCTCTACTAAAAATACAAAAATTAGCCAGCTGTGGTGATGTACACCTGTAATCTCACCTACTCAGGAGACTGAGGCAGGTAAGTTGCATGAACCCAGGAGGCAGAGGTTGCAGTGAGCTGAAATTACACCACTGTACTCCAGCCAGGGTGACAGAGCAAGACTCTGTCTAAAAAAGCCAAAAAAAAAACAAAAACAAAAACAAAAACAAAAACCCTGGAGTGCAGTGGATAGTTGGGAAGTTGGTAAAAGATAAAATAACCCCAGGAAGAGGATTAGATTAGGGGTGTGCTCTGGGATTGTGATGGGTCTCCTCAGCTTTAAATTTGTAGCTGTTTTCTGGCTCTGCCTGTTCAAGAGTCTTACCCTCTTCATGTAATCCTGTAGCATTCCAGTTTTTATGGCAAACAGCAATAATTGTGTCCCTGGGCCTTCAAGGTTATATAAAACGTAGAAATTGTTAAAATAGAATTGTGAGCAAGTTTTAAAAAATTATATGTGTGAGAGACAGGAGTCCTAAAAGTAGGGCCTCACCAACTCTGAATGCATCATTCGGGAGAAGCAGACCAGGCAGGAGTTCCCTAGAGGGTCCTGTCTCAGAGGAATACAGCTTCACAGGACCAGAGGAAGCACAGATTTCCTGTCAAGCCCTGACTGAACCTCCCTTCTAGAAATAATTTCAGGAGAGCCTCCTACTGAGAGATATTATGCAAAGGTTCCCTCGAGGCCCTTTTGTTCCCAGTGGCTTCAATCCATCAGCCAAGTAGATCTTGTTGCTAATATCTCACTGTTTCTCAGATAATTTGCATTATATAACTCACTTTTTTTGTTTTTACATCATTGAATTCACCAGACTGATAGCCACACTATCTTATGTGGTTGTGAGGATTTCATGAGATGATTCATGCAAAAATTTTAGAACAGAGCCAGGAATATTATACTCAACAATTGTTCACTCCTATTATTATAGAGGAGCTACTACCTGTGCTATTTCTGAGAAATCATAGCTACATGCCCAAATAAAGAATTTTAGGAATGTAGTGTCTGTATGTGCCCTTAAGAAGTATAACTTGGAGAGAATATACAATTGAAGAAACCTTAATTGAAAATAGGGCTATATTAATACCGTCTTCTTCCAGTGTAGCTATTCTGGTATAATTGGTCCTGGTCCTGGACTTAGGCTTTTAAATTTGTTATTATTGAGAAATAATTCACTTACTATAACATTTACCATTTTAAAATGTACAATTCAGTAGTCCTTAGTATAGTCACAAGGTTGTGCAACCATTACTGCTAATTCCAGAACATTTTCATTATCCCAAAAAAGAAACTGCATACTCTCTTAGCAGTCACTCCTATTCCTGTCTTACTCTCCCAGGCCCTGGCAACCACTAATCTACTTTCTGGCTCTGTGAATTTGCATATTCTGGACATCTCATATAAATGGAGTCATATAATATATGCCCTTCTGTGTCTGCTTTTTAAATTTAGTGTAATGTTGTCAGGGTTCATCCATGTTGTAGCATGTATCAGTGTTCCATTCCTTTTTATAACTGAGGAATATTCCGTTGTGTAGATATACCACATTTTGCTTATCCATTTATCAGTTGATGGACATTTGGGTTGTGTTCCTTCTTGGCTATTATTAGAAGTGCTGCTATGAATATTTGTTCATACAAGCTTTTATATGAACATTGGGTATATACCTTGAAGTGGAATTCTCTTGAGTATATACATAGGTGTGGAATTTTGGAGTCCTATGAATTCTGTTTAACTTTGTTAAGAACTGACAAACTGTTTTCTGCAGTGACTGCAACATTTTTATATTCCTGCTAGCAATGTATAAAGGTTCCAATTTCTCCACATCCTCACCAACGCTTACTATTTTTCTTTTTTTTTTTTTTAATTGCCCTCCTAGTGGGTGTGAAGTGGTATCTCATTGTGGTTTTGATTTGCATTTCCCTAATGACTAATGATGCTGAACATGTTTTTATGTGCTCTCTGGCCATTAGTATATTTTCTTTTCAGAAATGTCTCTTCAAATCCTTTGCCCATTTTAAAATTGAGCTCCTACTTTTTAAAACCATAAAATAATAATATGGTTAATATAGTATTTAGCAAAATAGTCACTATTTTCTGGTCCTGGTTCAGTCTTGTGTAGCAGTTAGGCCCTAGTAGGACAGTTAGATGAAGATTAAATTTTTTAGTTACTGTATCAGTTAGGGTTGCCAGAGAAACTGAATCAAGAGGGTGTATATGTAGAGATGAGAAAGAGGGAGAGAAAGAAATTTATATTATGGAATTGGCTTATGTGATTATGGGAGCTGGTAAGTCTGAAATCCATAGAGCAGGCCAGCAGCTGGAAACTCAGGTAAAAGTTGATGATGTGGTCTTGAGTTTGAAATCTGTAGGGTGGGCTGCAACCTGGAAATCCAGGCAGAATTTCGATGTTGCAGTCTTGAGGAGAATTCCTCCTCTAAGAAACCTCTGTTTTTGCTTGTAAGGCTTTGAACAGATTGGAGGGGGCCCAGCCACTCATTATTGAGGGTAACCTCCCTTAAAGTTAACGGATTGTAGATATTAATCACACCTACAAAATACCTTCACCACACCATCTGGGCTAGTGTTTGACCAAACAACTGGGCACCATAGTCTAGCCAAGTTGTCATAAAATTATCACAGTTACTTTAAATGATCATATTCACATATTTTCAGAAAAATGGGACTAATGATGGAGACTATGTTTTTCTAACTGGAGAAGACAGTTACCTTAACTTTACAAAAATTGTGGAATGGAATGGGAAAACGTAAGTCAAATGATTTATCAGTGGAATTATTTTTTCAGTTTTCATTTAAACTACATGTCTACTTCTACATTGCTTAAAAATGTGTTTAGCCTTTTTTGGATGAAAAATATAAAAACATGTAAATAGTCTTGTAATTATTATTCTACAAATCAAGATGGTGGTAAAACATCTTACAGATTAAATATTAGTGATTTGTAGATTTATCATGGCCAGGCATGAATTACAGGCCAGTGAAAAGTCCCACTCTTGCTTAGTAGTCATTGAGTGATGTGTAGTAGCTACAGCACAAATACTTTTCAAACCACCACATGTTTTGGGCTATTTGGCCATTGCCTCTATGAAAGCTGATTTGGGCCAGGGACCTACTTTTTCTCCCCCTTGATCTAATTAAAACTGTTGTGTCTGTGTATGAATAAGATACTGTGGATAGACAGCTCCAGTTAAATCTTGCAAAGTCCTGACCATTTAAGAGAATCTAAACTCAAATGTGATCATCTTTACTCTTTCTTGTGCTTATCAATTATAGGTCACTTGACTGGTGGATAACAGACAAGTGCAATATGATTAATGGAACAGATGGAGATTCTTTTCACCCACTAATAACCAAAGATGAGGTCCTTTATGTCTTCCCATCTGACTTTTGCAGGTAAAAGCTTTAAAGATAAGTTCTTTTTCAAAAATAAGGTCTTTCACTGCAAGACCACCAAAAGCATGAGGAATATATGCAGACACACTTATTATGCATGGATATTTATGCATAATCAGTGATAAATGCTGATGGCACATCGAGACAGTATAGTGTACTGGTTCACAGCACAGACTTCTGACTGTTGGTTTGAATCTTGGCTCTACCACTTATAGCTGTGTGACCTTGGGCAAATTACTTAACCACTCTGTACCTCACTTTCCTTATTTGTAAAACAAAGATAGAAATTGTTAACTATGTTAGAGGTTGTTATGAGGACAAATGAGTTAGTATTAGTCAAATACTTAGCCCAGGGCCCATCACACAGTAACCAATATTAAGTGTTGGCTCTTAGTTACTATGATATGCTCTGTCAAGCATCAACTGACCTGGTCTACTTCCAGTCAATAGGTAGTCTCTACATGGAAGCCAAATAAAAGATACTGTTGTCCATATTTCAGCAGAGTGGTTTCCTCAGGGGAGGCAGAGAAGGAATGGAATCAAGAGCATTACGTAGACAGGTTCAGTTATATCCATAATATAATTTTTATTTGTCTAAGTGGCAGATACAAAGGTATTTGTTAGAGTATTTTATCTCTTTCTGGTGCCTAAAATTTTTCATTAAAAAATGCTGTAGGGGTGGTTTGGTTTGTGCAGTGAAACCACCTATGTTATTCACAACCTTGCGAGAGATGTATCAACAGCTCTGGTTCAGAGATGAAAAAGTGAGGCCCAGAAGGCTCTTCCGGCCAGCCTTCAAAGGAAGGGCTGAAGGCTCAGTGGTGACTGTGTACATCAAAGTGGTTAGGCACTATGCAGTGTAAGCAGTGGTCATATTACATGGGACTATGTTTGAAATCAGTAAGAATGAAAGGCAGAATTACGTTGAACTCCATTTAAATAAATGACTGGGGCAAAATATGGAATCTGATTTTTCTTGGAGGGGGGGATTGAGTATCAAAGTGTGTATTCCAATAAAGTATCTGTCCAATGTGACACTTTTCAAGTGCCTAAGACCCTACGAGGCCACGGCCATCGCTGCCTGTTCTACCTTAGCTTTGGCTCTGCCGTGCCCTGGCTTCCCTGGCTTTGCCGGTGGCCCGTCCACACTGGCATATGTCCATGCAGGTCTAGAGAGGCCTCTTATTTCTTTTTTATGTGAGTCTCCATTCTAAATGTTATCATCTTAATTTTGTACCACATATTGTTTTTTCTTGTTTGGATGATATCACCGTTGCTACAATAAACACCTTCCACTACAATTCATCTTCTGCTTTATTACACGTTGAGTTGACAGAATGCCTTCCAAACATTCCTTTCTACTTACCCTGTGAGCTTTTGGCCATGTTGTACCTGAGAACTGTTGCTAACTTGCGGATTTCGGGCAGATTACACTGACCAGAGTCCACATTCACTTTTTATTCTTACATCCTAACAGGTCAGTGTATATTACTTTCAGTGACTATGAGAGTGTACAGGGACTGCCTGCCTTTCGGTATAAAGTTCCTGCAGAAATATTAGCCAATACGTCAGACAATGCCGGCTTCTGTATACCTGAGGGAAACTGCCTGGGCTCAGGAGTTCTGAATGTCAGCATCTGCAAGAATGGTAAGAACTCAGAGAGGGGACATGATAGGGGTGTCAAGAATGCAGAAGGATTGGAGTTCAACAAAGAATATGTAGCTGGGCGTAGTGGCGCACACCTACAGTCCCAGCTACTAAGGATGCTGAGGTGGGATGATCACTTGAGCCCAGGAGTTCTCAAGTCCATCCTGGGCAACATGGCGAGACCACTGTCTCTAAAAAACAAAACAAACAAAAAAGAATATATTGTCAGCCCAATAGAAAGATCAGTTTCTTTCAAGAACAATGTTTCATAACATGGCTATTGAATGGTAAAAAAAAATCATGGCTTTTCTGTGATGCTTTTTATTTCTAGAATGCCATGTTGTGTTTTTTTTTCTGGACAGTGGTTTAGAAGTCTTAACAGTAATAATAGCTCATGTTTACTAAGCACCTGATGTATGCCAGTCACTGTCCTAAGTGCTTTACATATTTACATGTAGTTAATGCATGCAAAACATTAACTGATTTCATGTTCAAAACAATGCTAAGGCTGGGCACGGTGGCTCATGCTTGTATTCCCAGCACTTTGAGAGGCCGAGATGTGAGGATTGCTTGAGGCCAGGGGTTCAAGATCAGCCTGGGCAACATAGCAAGACCCTGTCTCTACAAAAAAAAAAAAATTAAAAAATTAGCTGGGTGTGGCGGCACACACCTGTAGTTACAGCTGCTCAGGAGGCTGAGGCAGAGAGATTGCTTGAACCCAGGAGTTCGAGGTTGCACTGTGCTATGATTGTGCTGCTGCACTCCAGCCTGGGCAATAGAGTGATTCCGCACCTCCCCACCAAAAAAAAAAAAAAGCTAAAAGAAAAAGTGGACAACTCAGTTTTAAGAAAGTACGTATCATGGCAAAGATTCTCAGTGATTTTGAAGCAGAGTTAGTTTTAAACCCTGACACAAATGTCCCAGTGTTTCTTAATGTCAGAGCTACTCTGCTCCTTTCCATGAATGAGGCAGAATTATCAGTGGCACAACTGACAAAACTATTTTCTTCATCTTGAAGAGTAGTTTTAACAGCCACATGTTGCAGAATTATTCACAATGAACTTACTAGATAGTAGACATTCAGCGGCCTGTTTTTATAATTGGGGAAACTAGGGCTCAGAGAGGGAACGTGATTTTGATGCGACTCCTCCCTCTGAGCAGATCCCTGGCGGAACTCAGGGTCTTCTCATATTTGCCCTGTGATTCCCTCTTGGGCTGTAATTCCTCTTTAAAATTTCTCTGGAGAGCTCTCTGTGTAGTCCCTTTCTCCTGAATAGTAATGTGCTCACTTTTGCTCCCTTATCTATCTCATTTTAAAATCTCCTTTCAGGCCTGGCATGGTGGCGTGTGCCTGTAGACCCAGCTACTCAGGAGGCTATGGTGGAAGGGTCGTTTGAGCCCAGTTTGATTCTAGCCTGGGCAACATAGCGAGACTCCATCTTTTAAAAAAGAAAAAAAAAAAAAGAATAAGATATCATTTTGGAATAAGTCTGAAGTCAGCAGTATACCTCCTGATCCTTGTCTGACAGGGCAGTGACCCCCACACCTGGCTTTACATCAGAATTATCTGGAGAGTTATTAAAAATATATTGGTGAGGCATGGTGGATCATGCCTGTAATCCTAACACTTTAGGAGGCTGAAGCAGGAGGCTCACTTGAGGCCAAGAATTTAGACCTGCATGGGCAACAGGGAGACCCCATCTGAACAAAAAATTTAAAAATTAGCTGGGCATAGTAGCATACACCTATAGTTCCAGATACCCAGGAGGCTGAGGCTGGAGCGTAGGAATTCAAGGCTGCAGTGAGCTATGATTGCAACACTGCACTCCAGCCTGGGCAACAGAGTGAGACCTGGTCTCAAAAAACAAAAAAATTATATATATATAAAAAATTGTTTATATATACGTATATCATATATATGTGTATATATACATATATATATACAACTGACAAAAGTATTTTTCATCTTGAAGACTAGTTTTAACAGCCACATGTATATATTTATGTATGTATATGTTAATATATTTGTTAATATATGAGTATATTAACAAATTTTATAGTTATATATAAATATGCATATATTTGCATATACTTATATTTGCTATATTTTAATATATATGTATATAGTATATATATATAGGTATACACACACACGTGCGCAAGTGTGCACACACACTCATGGTGCACACACATGCATGTATGTCCCAGGGTCCCATGTTGGATATACCAGGGCCCCAGAATCTACACTTTTAACAAGTACTCCAGCTGATTTCCATAAAGATGGCGTCTAGGTATTTGGGGACCATTGTGCAAGGGAACATGGTACCCTTTACCTGGAGATAAAGACCAAGGGTGAATGGGAACAAGTTCCTGGTTGTGATCTCCCCCATTGCCTTACTGGTAATAGTCCTGAAACAGTGTCCCTGCCCCCTCATCTGGTGTGCATCTGGCTCAAAGCAAAAATGTAGATATATTTTCTCTTGCTGTTTTTATTAAATTCTGTTTCCTTAAGAAGCTGATGCCAGAATCAACAGAAGTATTCTACTTTACACATTTAAACTTCTTGCTACAATCCTTTTCCTCTTCCCTCTTAACGTATTCCCGAATTTGGACTGAAGTGAAACTCCCCAGGATTATCCTCCAGTGTTTTGAATTCTCCAGGGAAACATTTTGGATAGCAGGATGAGTGTTCTGGAGTCAGGCAGATTGGGTTTGAGTCCTATTCTATTTGTTGGTAAATTGGCCAAAGTTTATTAAGGAGGGTTCCAGACATCAGTTTTCTCATTAATAAAATGGAGGTGGTTATAGCTTCTTGAGGTTGTGTGAGAGTTAGAAATAATATATATAAAACACTCAGGACAGTAGCCCCTATTAAGCCCTCAACAGATTTAAAAAATACATTTTCAAGGTCATTATAGGTCACAAAGAAGGAAGTCATGCCTTTGTGGAACTATTCAGCAGTAAACAGCAAAATGCATGTGCATGTGAGAGATGAGGGATGAGTTCCTTAAGCCATGGGCTGGTGAATATGTAAGCAAATTTAAATAACTTGCCGACAAGCTCCTTTCTCCAAAAATGTATTTCCCTGGCAGCAATTGTTGGGTCCCTCTCTTCTTTTCAATAGCCAGATCTAGAATAGGTTTCCTTTAGTAACTTGTTTCCCTATTTGGTTATATATATATATATATATATATATATTTAAATTTACATAAGCACTTATTTGGTTCTTAAAATGAATAGGAAAGGAAAAACCCCAGAATCTTTGTGATCTGGTTAGAGGCTGGGTGTATAGCACAACCAGGCTAACTCTTAAAAAATTATGTAGGCCAGGTGTGGTGGCTCAAGCCTGTAATCTCAGCACTTTGGGAGGCTGAGGCGGGCAGATCACTTGAGGTAAGGAGTTCAAGACCAGCCTTGCCAACATGGTGAAACGCTGTCTCTACTAAAAATACAAAAAAATTATCCGGGTGTGGTGGTGCATGCCTGTAGTCCCAGCTACTTGGGAGGCTGAGGCAGGAGAATTGCTTGAACCTGGGAGGCGGAGGCTGCAGTGAGCTGAGATTATGCCTGTCTTTGGTAAAAACAAAACAAAACAAAACAAAAAACCACCAAAAATTTTTTTTTAATTTTAAAAAGGACAAGAAATAAAAAGTCAGTCCACTTACTGATAGAGAATTGTAGTTGAAACTAGTGCTTTGAGGTACAACACCCTTCATTCACTTAGTATTCTGCCTTCATAGCCTGATGGCTAGCTGTCCCTGGGTAAATTTTGTAACTTCTATGAACCTCACTTTCTTCAAATGCAAAGTGAGGCTAATAGTTCTGACTTTACTGGGCTGTTGGGAGCATTAAATAAAATAATGTGTATGAAGCACTTATACTTTAACTTCAGTAAATATTTGTTGAAGAATAAATAATTTAGCCTGAACTTCAATATATAATGTGGAATAAAAAATTGGGGGTAAATGAGATGTCAGAAAATGAAGTATAAATCCTGAACTAGGAGGTAAAGGATGGTGTTTTAGCCTACCCAAGTTAATTTATATGTAGCTTTTTTGTTTTTCTTTAGGAACCAGGCTGTGGCCAGGAACTTTTATATTCAGCTCAGCTTAGATTTTAAAAACAGCATCATTCATTTCTGTTTTCCTTCAAATGCAGGTGCACCCATCATTATGTCTTTCCCACACTTTTACCAAGCAGATGAGAGGTTTGTTTCTGCCATAGAAGGCATGCACCCAAATCAGGAAGACCATGAGACATTTGTGGACATTAATCCTGTGAGTACATACTTCCTCCTGGTAAAAGAGCATATGTTTTATTCTGTCTATACATTGTTCACCAGTTTAGTCCTGAGCCTTCTTTAAAAATATCCTTACTTTCATATACATATTCAAGTGGGAGAAATTCAGCTCAGTGCTGATGGAGGCATTGTCTCATAGCCCTGTAATTAGAAGGCTGAATTTTGTGGATTGAATAGCAGAAATACGAGCAAACCTGCCTTTAACAAAAAGCAACAGTGAAAACTCAGTTATTGGAAACTACTGATGTACCCATATAACCTGGTCAATCTTCTGATGCTAGCCTTGGACCTCAACATATATTTATTTCTCCCCTTGGGACACAGATCGATAAGGTTAAAGATGTCCCTTTGCTTCCTCACTGCCAGGAATATTTTGGTTGAAATATGAATATGTATATTAACCTCAGTCACTTTTGGCAAACTTCTTTCTACAGGTTATTTGAGAGTTTATTATATTATTAATTGTAAAGGTATCAGATATACATAGAGGAGACATACACACGTGTGTGTGTGTGTGTGTGTGTGTATAATACACATTTACTCCTGTATTCATAGACGAGAAAAACAAAAACCATGCTAACCATGTCTTCATTTTTGGAATTTGAACATTATGGACCAATAAAAAAAAAAAACAAGAACATTCTTTTAGCACAGTATTTTATGGGTACTTCACACTCTTAGCTGCATACATTGCATTTGTATCTGAGAAACCAGTGATCTTATGCTCTGGTGAATAAAATCGTGTGTGGTTTTCTCCCTTTTCTCTTAGCCATCAGCTGATCAGTTCCCTTGGATCAGCCAAACTGTTAGCAGTGCTTGTCACCAAGGGACGAACACAGTCTTATAACCTTAGTGCAAAGATGGAGCTGCCCTAAGGATGACAAGTGCTGCAGCTGTGCCCCATGGCTACGCTAGGCGGGCCCTATACTAGGATGCCACTCTCTGGCAGTGACCACCACCCTCTTCTTAGCTCTCTGGACAACTGCCTGGAAATCCAGACCTGACAGGCTATCTTTTAGGCCTCCTTCCTGTTGGATCCCTTCTAAGGCTGTGCTATTCAGAGTGGCAGCATCCTGGGAGCTTGTTAGAAATGGCCAGTCTACTGAATCAGAGCCTGCATTTTAACAGGATTCCCAAGGACCTACATTCATACTCATGTTTGAGACACACTGGTCTATCAGCCACCTAATACAACCCATGGTTCTCATTCTGTTCTGGGGATCACTTTTACTTGTTTCCACTCTGCCTGTCACACATGGTAATGGTCACCTTGTTTATGAGGACTACACAGAAATGGTGCTCTATTGAAAAAGTTGTTTGCAGTTTAATAAATCCTAATGTTTCCTTTTCACTTCTCTGATTTGCAGTTGACTGGAATAATCCTAAAAGCAGCCAAGAGGTTCCAAATCAACATTTATGTCAAAAAATTAGATGACTTTGTGTAAGTTTTGCTTCTTTCTATGGAGGGGACAGCAGTTTTGCTCCATTGCCCGTCTGGTGGGGTTGATGTCAGGAGGAGTACAGCCTACTTCATCTAAGCCTGCTCACCCCTGCCCTTCAGGGATGGGGCATGATCAGCATTTTCATGGGTGCCTTGGTCTTGGAATTTACTTGTTTTATTTAATCATACACTTACAGAGTACTTCCCATGGATCAGGTATTGTTCTCAGCACCTTATGTGGATTCACATATAACCTTGTATTATCCCCATTTTACAGATGAGGAAACAGAAGCAGAGTGTTTAGGTAACTTGGCTAAGCCTTACTATCTAGTCAACTTTTATCCACTCCACTAAGCCTTTCCCTCATGCACCTTGACTCTCTTGGTGTATTAGACTGTTCTTGTGTTGCTATAAAGAAATACCTGGCTGGGTACAGTGGCTCATGCCTGTAATCCAGCACTTTGGGAGGCCAAGGTGGGTGGATCACAAGGTCAGGAGATCAAGACCATCCTGGCCAACATGGTGAAACCTCGTCTCTACTAAAAATACAAAAATTAGCTGGGCATGGTGGTGGGTGCCTATAATCCCAGCTATTCGGGAGGCTGAGGCAAGAGAATCGCTTGAACCAGGGAGTCGGAGGTCACAGTGAGCCAAGATGGTGGCACTGCACTCCAGTCTGGCGACAGAGCAAGACTGTGTCTCAGGAAAAAAAAAAAAAGCGGGGGGGGGGAGGGAGGGAGGGAAAGGAAAGGAAATACCTGAGATTGGTTAATTTATAAAGAGATTTAATTGGCTTACAGTTCTGTAGGCTGTACAGGAAGCATGGTGCTGGCATCTGCTCAGTTTCTAGGGATGCCTCAGGGAGCTTTTGCTCATGGCAGAAGGAGAAGCAGGAATAAAGCACGTCACATGGGGTGAGCAGGAGCAAGAGAGAGAGGAGGGGAGGTGCCACACACTTTTAAATAACAGATCTCATGATAACTCACTATCACAAGGACAGCACCAAGCGAATGGTGCTAAACCATTCATGAGAAATCCACCCCCATGATCCAGTCACTGCCTACCAAGCCCCACCTCCAACACTGGGGATTACATTTCACCCTGAGATTTGGGGGAACAAGTATCCAAACTATATCACTCAGAGACTTGAGACAGAGTCTCTTCCTCTTCCTCTCTCTCTATTCCCACTGATCCCACTTGGGGCCAGCCATAGCTCTCATTTGTATAGTTATAATCTCTTGAGTCTAGCCTTACTTCCCCATGCTGCAGCTTAATTTGGATTCCAAAGTATAATCTCCTGCTCAGACTTTTCAATGGGAATTTTTTAGATATGAGAAAATTATGATATAATGTTGAGTGAAATAAACAGGATGCAAAACTATGCATAATATATTTATCTATAAAACTTGGCTTGTTTACCTCATTGAATTTGCCAGATTTAATACCAGGTGTCATGGCTCTTTCTAAGAAGTAGGTGGTTTACAAGAATGCATTTTGTCATCTGCATATCTATTTCCGAGGCAGTATAATTTAGTAGTTAAGAGCTGGAATCTTAGAAGCAAAGTGGAATTACATTTGTGGCTCCATCACTTACTTGTGGTGATCCTAGGCCTCTCTGAGTCATAATTTTCTCATCTGTAAACCTGGGACAGTAATACCTACTGTAGGTGACTACTCTAGGAATTGAATGAGATAATATCCCAAAAACACCCAGCACAGAGCTGGCACGTGGTACATGCTCAGTTGGCTCTTGTTGCAAAGACAGTACTTCAGTGGCCTAGTTACAAAACACTCTGAGGAGTGACAGTTTTGTTCTGTCGACTGGAGCCTTCCCTGATGACTCTAAGGAGACTAGTCATCATTTTAAGGAATCTGCCTTCAGTATCTTGTGTTTTGATAAACGTACAGCACATGGAATTGCTAGACAGACTGGAATCTAACTTTTGGGGTACATGTTTGCAAAGATAACTAAGAAATCAGCAAATTCTGGGTAATTTAAGAAATAAGTGTACTAGAATCTTCATATAAATGTGTCTGTCCGGGAAAGTGTGCCATTGTGATGAGGATGTTTCTGAAACAATCTCATCCTTTGTCTTTGTAGTGAAACGGGAGACATTAGAACCATGGTTTTCCCAGTGATGTACCTCAATGAGGTAAGTCCTGAGACGGAGGGAGCCACGGGTGTTTTCAGACTCAGAAAAAATCCATTATGATGTCTACTGTTGTAGTTACATGTAAGTTATGACAGAAGGGCAAAAGATTTTTAAAACCTGTTATTCCTCAGAAAATTTCACTTAAATGTTCACATGAATCTGCCTGTGTCTGAGAGCTGATTTGGAGAAATGATGGAAAGAAATTTTCCTTCTCAAGAACACTATTTGGGCAAAACTCCCTTCTGGGGAGCTGCTCACGTAGGAAACAGAAACAGGTAAAAGGAGCCATTGGCAGACATTGTTGAAGCAGGGAAATAGCTCACACTCAGATAGATGCCAGCTAGCCCTTTGTCTCCCCCTTCTTTGAAACCATGCTGGTTTAAGACACCTATGATAAATTCTTTTCTGAATCACATATCACGTTTACTGTAGTTATATCTCCTCAGTTTCTCCTGCTTCCGCCCAGTTTGAGGGAAAAAAAAAAAACGCAGGTTTTTTTCTTCAATAAATTCTTGATTGGCAAACTTCTCCTTTTTATTATTTTTGTGTTTCCTAAAAATACTTGCTGTTTGTAGAATATTGAATAACAGAGATTAGCAAGAAAAAGAAAAATTAAAATCACTATTCACAAAATCTGTGTCAGCCTGATAATATTTTTATTTTATTTTACTCAATGTGTTGTACAATTTTTTCCAATAACAACTTTAAAAGGTAATCTAATGTTTTACATTTTATAAAACATGTGCTCTTTATAAAATTCTTAGAAATTTTTTTAAAAATTGATTTAAAAAGTAAATTACTGATAAGTCCCTCTCTATCAGAGGCAGGTGCAGTTCAGATGTCAACTCCTGATATTTTCTGGTCTTGATATTACATAGTTGAAATCATACGATAGATACAATTTTATATCTTTTTTCTCCATTTAGCATTATATTGGTATTCACATTTACAAACTTTTAAGGGTTTGTTATTACAATTCTAAGATGAGGTTTTTATCGTTTCATAGGAAAAATTCAAGCAATATTTACCAATTTATAGGATCTCTTTGCAATTGCTCCTGATCATCCATGTTCCTGTTTGTGGGCAGGGGCATGAAAGATCTTTTTGAAAATGCAGAAGGGCCCTTTTCTGCCAACTTCTGTTCAGTAGTGGCATATTTGAAGTCCCTCCACCCCCAACTTCTAATTTGCTTTTTTGTGAAAGACTAGATTAAGTCCAGGTGTGTGGAGTGGAACCTTGTATTTTTGCTGCCTCCTAGGAAGAGCGTGATTATTCTCTTCTCTAGAAAAATAAAATATTAGACCTGGAAGTCTGGAAGTGACATTGGAGACTGTTGCCACACCACCTTTTTACCGAGGAGGAAACTCTATCCAGTTATTGGAAAAAATGTCTTAGAACCCAATCCACTGACTCGGTCCAATGAAAAAAAATGCTTTCTTTTCTTTTTTTTTTTTTTTTGAGACAAGGTCTCACTCTCACCCTCTACAGTGGTGCGATTTTGGCTCACTGCAGCCTCGACTTCCCGGGCTCAAGTGATCCTCCCACCTCTGCCTTCCAAGTAGCTGGAACTACAGGTGTGTGCCACCATGCCCGGCTAATTTTTTTTTTTTTTCCTGAGATGGAGTCTTGCTCTGTTGCCCAGGCTGGAGTGCAGTGGCCCAATCTCAGCTCACGGCAACCTCTGCCTCCTGGGTTCAAGCAATTCTCGTGCCTCGGCCTCCCAAGTAGCTGGGACTACAGGCGCCCGCCACCACCCCTGGCTAATTTTTGTATTTTTAGCAGAGATGAGGTTTCACCATGTTGAAACTCATGACCTCAAGTGATCTGCCCATCTCGGCCTCCCAAAGTGCTGGGATTACAGTCATGAGCCACCATGCCCAGCCCCAGCTAATTTTTGTATTTTTTGTAGAGAGGTGGTTTCACCACATTGCTCAGGCTGGTCTCAAACTTTTGAGCTCAAGCAATCCGCCTGCCTTGGCCTCCCAAAGTGCTGGGATTATAGGCGTGTGCAACTATGCCAGGCCTCCAGTGCAAATTAAGCCTAAACTAGGCCAGAATTGTTGCTCATTATTTCTATGGAATTAAGCTCTTCAGATACCTCACTCATTACACTAGGTGGTAATTCCTCTGCTCTGCATACACTAAGTGTTATTCTAGTACATTTCCTTCTATCAGCAGTCTCTGGAATTCTAGTTAGCCCACAACTTTGCTGAGCACTTTCTGTAGAGGGCTGTGGTCCTGATTACTATAGATGTAACCAAGAAAGAAATTATACTTTCCACATACCATTTTTGCAGTGTTTCATTTATTTATTCATTTAATCAGCCAGCATTAATCAAGCACCTACTGTGTGCTGGGTGCTATACCCAGTGTGGAGGTGACTGAGGTTAAGTCTTGCCTTCAGGGACTTCACAGCCATTGCAAGACAAACAGTTACAATGCAGAGTGCAAGGACAATGATGGAAGTAGAGAGTGAGATGGAAACTTAGGGAGGAGGCCTTTGACTAGGCCTGAGGTAGCCAGAGAAAACTTTTGGAAGGAAGTGATGCTGAGCTGGATTTTTAAGGATGAATTGGAATTATCTGACATAAAACAAAAGGTGATACTGTCTCAATATTTCTGAATACATTTTACCTCCTTTTTCCAATCTATTTTAAGAGTAAAAAAAATGTCTTCAGGAGAAGACAAGATATTAATGAATAAATGTCCCTTCTGATTACTCTGACTTATAAATGGATTTTCAGTATGTTTGGTTTGCTAACAGGAGGACATTCCCAAATTGTATTAAACAAAGGAAAGATATAGCAAAAAACAGTTACACACTGGATGTTTAGTCATCAAGAATACTATTTTCTTGCCTCTCCAGAGTGTTCACATTGATAAAGAGACGGCGAGTCGACTGAAGTCTATGATTAACACTACTTTGATCATCACCAACATACCCTACATCATCATGGCGCTGGGTGTGTTCTTTGGTTTGGTTTTTACCTGGCTTGCATGCAAAGGACAGGGATCCATGGATGAGGTGAGAACTGGCTGAAGGAACTTCTTCCTTACTGGATAACTTTACCTGAGGAATTCAACTGTACTTCACTGAAGGGCTGTCAGCTGGCTTATTAGGATAAATTCTGGGATTTTATGCTGGGCATAGTGATTTCGTGCTTATTTTACTGCTGGACCAAATGGGAAGCAAAGGAAGTGTGTCAAAGAAGGTGGAGGGTTAGAAGGTACCATCTAATATTTGGGGAATAGAATCTCTTTGGATGTATCCCCTGGGAGTTAACTTTATGTCTTTGAAAACAATAACCTGAAAGAAAAGGAAGAATATATAACAGTTACACATCTGATCTTTGGTGTCAGACTGCCTGAGTTCAAATCCCAGTTCTGCCACTTAACAGCTATACGACCCTAGAAACTGTGCTTCAGTTTCTTCATCTGTAAAATGGGATAATAAAAGCCTCCCTTATGAGTTTTTCATGAGGATTAGATGATATAGTAGACTTAAAGGACTTGGCCCAGTGTTAGCATATAGTAAGAGCTCAATAAAGGTTTAAGTATTATTAAATATGATAAAACAGCTCCAAGATTATAGAGCAAGACAGCCAGGGTCCTGCTTGGAAAGAATCCCTGATGTATCCGAAGATACCTATGATTTAGGTATCACTGCATAATAAATGATTGGAACATGGGTGTAGTTACTTTCCTGGAAGGCTAGGATAAAGAGTTGGGTTCGCCTTTCCAAGTGACCAGCAGCCCAGCCAGGAACCTGAATACCTGCAATGAGCCTTTTCTGTAGAAGCCCTTCTTAAATTTTCTGCAGCTTCCTTTTTTTTACAACAGTGGCCTTTTTTCCTCCAGTTTCCTCAACTAAGTGTCCAAGGCAAATGTGAAGTAGAAAATAAATACGTGAAACCATCTGAGTAAAATTAGCTGAATTTCCCTGACTTCCATATTCTTCCATTATTTCTCTTATCCCCTGCCAGTCACTTTAGCCTGAATTAGCTGTGAGGCAAACTATTTTGCCATTTCTATGTGTGGATCTTCCAGTGTGACTTTATGCAGTCATTGAAATTGTCTTAAGCACAAATGAAACCTCATGGAAATGTTAATTACTGCTCCTACAATTAACCTTCCTCATATATTCAACAAGCAAGGAATTATTGAGAACTAATACCTCTGAGACACTACTCCTTAGTAGGTTTCAAACCAGGAAGGAGGCAAGTTGAATAGAGTCTAAGTTTTATAATCCAGATCAACACAGAGAAGGGTACTGCTCTGGTATTGAGGGTGGGAGTGGTCAGAGAAGGCCTCCTGGAAAGGTTAGGCCTGCTGAATCTTCAAGAACAAGCAGCAGCCCAAGAGGGGAGGTGAGTGAGATGAGCCACCTTCCTATAGGTCTCTCCTCCTTCCATGCCCCCACTCCCCACCCAAACTTTTCACACTGGGGAGAAGTTTCTGACATGAACATCTAACTTGTTTTCTCTCTTCTGTGTTTCAGGGAACAGCGGATGAAAGAGCACCCCTCATTCGAACCTAAACATTGCCTTTGCTTGGTGAAGAAACTGTGTGAGCTGTCCTGACCTGGACGATGACGTGGGGAAACCCTCCACCTCCTTGCAGGCTTGTTGCCTGTTGAAAGAAGGAAAAAGACACGGCGCTGGCAAGTGATAGGAACATTCTGGCCAGAGGTTAAAGAGCAGGCTGACATGGCTGGCCATTAAGCTTTATAAAATCATGTGGGCTCTGAAATTGTTCTTTTATGTGTCTAGCAAGTATTTAATAAACCCTTGTATAGTAATTTTGTTGTTGTTGGGTGCTGGTAGCTCCAGAATTTTGTGACCACTATTGTGGGTAAAATGTCTCTGCATCACTTGTTAATGCTACTGGTCTAACTTCATTCAGTATGCTTCATTCACCGAACTTTGTGCTCAAAATGCGTATATACCATTTTATGTTGTATTCCTCCATTTCACTTGCAAAACAGAAGTAAATAAGAGTTCGGGACCCAGGGTAAAATGGTAGCTTCATCCAATATATCATTCAAATGCATCTGATTTCTAAAACATATTACATTTTATGCTGATCTTCAGTTCATAATTCTTCCAGGAAAACTCAGTCTTCCAACTGCAATAAAATACTGGGTAGAATCAAATGGGAAAGGGGTTGGGTGGGGCAATACCCATGAGTTGATAGTGATAAGCTCCTAAGGATTTTTAACTTGTACTTTTGTGAACGAAGAGAATGCATAAATAATGTTGGTGAGGATAAAGTACAGATATTTCATGTAGAATTAATTGCTAGTTATGATGCTTGTGGATAGTTAACTGTTTTTTTTTTAGTCAAAATGATCATGCTACGAAAAGATGCTTCTGAGAGAATGTAATGAGTAACTGATTTTTCTTCCTGAGTCGCCCTTGCCAAATATGTTACTGTATTAATTAATCTAATATTGAGTGATTATTTGTAAAATTATGAATATGGGAAATCCATCTATCTACAGCCTAAGTTACACATAAGTTTCAGAAAGTCTGATTAGACTAAAGAGATATTTCTTCTGGGACAGCCGCCTTCTTGGTAATTTTGAAGTTCTTTTTACAAGTTCCTTCCTCAGTTTCAGTTCTTTCCAGTGTTTTGTAGCTCACTGTCACTCACTGAATAGAGAAACGTGTGCCCTATACTTCCTGTGACAATCATTTTGCTGACAGAATGATGGATGTTTAAAATATTGCACAAAGTACTTTAAAGAAAGGTCTGTTAGGACCAGAAGCAGAGACACCACTTTTCAAAGGACTTCTTGGTTTCAGCATAACCTAAGACAGGGAATTGGGAGCCATCATATGTCACAGTGTTCAGAATTCAAGCATATTTAAGGGCATTTTCTTTGATTCTCAAAGTTCAGCATTCATTTTGAATTGAGAAGCCTATACATTTAGCTGACAAAGTGCTTATAGAATTTCTTAACAACTGAACCATTCAAAAGGATTTTTTTTGTTTAAAACTGGATTTCAATGTAAGCAAATGAAGAAAAAAATATAGATTTCATTTCCATAGCTTCTTATCCCTGTATTGAGGTAATAAATTGTTTTACTGACAATTTTTCCTTTTTCTACACTAAAACAATATGTGATATATTTCCCCTCTTGAAGAGGCAATTCATTAAACTCTCAAATTTTCTATAGAATCAAGATAGAACCTTTAGATACTCCAACTCACCAAAATGTAAAAAAACTAACAAAAATATTTGGTCTTCAATAATGCTAAATATCTACATTTTTAGAATTTATCAACATTTAACTAGATAATTGGGCATGTCTTAATTATGCATGTACTTATCCATACTAATAAAATTGACAATGCTAGTGCATACTTATTGGTTTAGTCCTATTATCAGGATATAATCATCTGTGAGGAGGATATTTTAAATACTGTAAATGATAACAGTTAATGATATACACATTTAGACTGAGTTGCACACTGGCAGGGAGACCAAAAACATTACTTCCATACTTGTGTCATGATTCTTTTTTTTTTGAGAGAGTCTCACTCTGTCGCCAGGCTGGAGTACAGTGGCATGATCTCGGCTCACTGCAACCTCTGCCTCCCGGGTTCAAGCAATTCTCCTGCCTCAGCCACCCAAGTAGCTGGGACTACAGGTGCGTGCCACCACGCCCAGCTAAATTTTGTATTTTTAGTGGAGACGGGGTTTCACCATGTTGGCCAGGATGGTCTCAATCTCCTGACCCTGCGATCTGCCCACCTCAGCCTCCCAAAGTGCTGGGATTACAGGCGTAAGCCACCGGGCCTGGCCTGTTTTATGATTCTTAATAGTTACTTGGTTTAAATCACATTTGATACTATCCTTCTGAAAAGTCTGAGACAGATCTACAAACTACAGTCAAAATTATAGATTAAGAGGAATGAATGCACCTATTTGGCTTTAAGTTGAAGATGAATTATTTCTCATGCTCATTTTCTTGCGGCAGTTATCTTAGAAAGACCCCCAAAGGCTTTGTGATTGTAAGCACTGTCATGATCACAGAATGCAAGCTTCTGGTACCATGATCCTCAACTTAGAGAGGAAGAAACCAAGACAGAGAGCTTAACTCACTTCTCTCAGGGAAAATTAGGAGTTGAGCACAGGACAGGAAATGGGCTTTGCCACTTTTAGCTCCAGGCTTTTCTAACCAGACTTGATTTCCTCATGTTCTAGAAAGATCACTAATGGTCAAGTGGAACAAGCACTACACGACTAACCCCTATTGGGGTTTTTAACTTAAGGGAGGCTAATTTTTAATTTAAACTGCTCGAGATATGAGTTCTGCAAAAGGTGGTCCGCATCCTTGGCCCTCTGGACATTATCACTAAATTGCTTGTGCCTGTTAACAAGAATACTGACCAGAATGCTCTTCATGTAGCTTATACAGTTGGTTCACTTCATGCGGTTCTTGACATGTTTATTTCTACCCTTAATGCAATGAAATGTTTCATTAATAAAAAACCACTTTATATAAAATTGCTCTAGAAGTCATATGTCATTGGATGTCCTGTTGTTTATGGAGTTTCCCTGGAAAGATGTTCCTTGACAGATGCAGCCCTGAGTCACACACTTGGGCCATGTCTGATTTCAGCTTCGCTGTAGTGGACAGTTACAATCAGCCTGACAAGTTTCACTCCAAGCAGTCCCACATTCTGCTTTTCTGTCTTAAGTCTTTCTCAAGAGCCCTCAAAGCACCATAGGAGTATCAGGGAGTTAATAACCCAAGGCAACCCTCAACTAAATGGGGCAGGAGTCAGTCAGCTGATAGATGTTTCAATCCTCAGAGGACCAGTTCTCAGGCTTATTCCACATGGGTCCTCAATTAGGGTTGCCCACAGTGGTAACTACTTTCTATCAGTGTTTCTTTATTCCCTGTCTTAATCGCCCAGCCCTTCAATGCTGCTTCCCAAATCATCCACCTGTCCTAACATCCTTATCTTAGGTCTGCTTCCAGGTAAACCCAACCAAAATGCAGATAAGTCCACCCAAAAGGGCTCAGTAGGATCCAAGAGCTATTGGAGAGGCACTGGTTTTTTTTGTTTTTTGTTTTTTCTTTTTTTGAGAGAGTCTTGCTCTGTCGCCCAGGCTGGAGTGCAGTCGTGCAATCACGGCTCACTGCAGTCTCGACCTCTTGGACTCAAGTTATTATCCTACCTCAGCCTCCCTAGTGGCTGGGACTACAGGTGTGCACCACCACACCTGGATAATTTTTGTATATTTTGTTGAGACAAGGTTTTGCCATGTTGCCCAGGCTGGTCTTGAACTCCTGGGCTCAAGCAGTCTGCCCACCTCAGCCTCCCAAAGTGCTGAGGCTTTTGTTTCTAGGGATATTTATCTATGGTACTATCTAGGGTACTAAAGTTATTAGTTCTAAAATTCAGATTACCTTTAAAACCTTTCTCATCCCAATATTGCAACTTATTTTTGAAATCAGCAAATCTAGATCAGTCTTAAAATATCTGGCTCAGTGTTACAAATGTCATGTATCAAGGACACTTGATCCCTAAGATACATACTTCCTAGGAATCCTAACTCTGCAGCTGGTTTATGTCACAGGGAAGCTCCTTGTACCTATTTCTTCTTACTCAAGGTAGTTAGAGACACCTGGAACTTTGTAACATGCCAAGCCTAGTTATTTCAAATCAGGGAGTAAGAAAAATCCAGAAAAAAAAATTTAAAACAATAAGGTATGTTAAAACATATATCCATTAGCAATAAGAAAATAGTATAGGATGAGTGGTATAGAATACAAAGTATAAAAAGATGTATACACATTCAGCACAAGATAAAGATCTCATTTCCAATAACTATATTTTTTCATTTAGTCAAGTTTTTAAACACCTTTATTGAGGTATAATTTACATACCATAAAAGTCACCCATTTTAAATGTACAATGATTTTTAGTAAATTTACTGAGTTGTGCAGTTTTAGAACATTTCCATAACCTCAATAAAATTCCTCATGCCAGTTTATAGCCACTCAGCGTTGCCAACCCTAGCCCCTGGCAAACCACTAATCATCTGTCGGTCTTTATAGATTTGCCTTCTCGAGACATTTTATATAATCATACAGTATGTGGTATTTGGATCCTGGCTTCTTTCTACATTATACCTAAAAATGTGTTCAACTAATTTCATTAAGCACTCACTTTATGCTAGGCACTTTGAATATAAACTAGGCTACTGGTTTAAAAGAGATCTATGGATCTTATGGTCTAGTGTGGAAAACAGTAACCAAATAATCATACAGATAAATGTAAAATTTCAACTGAGTTCATTGTTTTGGGAACATGACTAGGAGCTGGAGTTAATTAAGCAAAGCAAGGTATTTCAGACAAAAGGAACAGGACATGGTCAAGGGCAGGAGGAAACGTGTTTACTACAAGTGACTGAGAAAATATTTGGCTGCAGTCCAGAGAGGGATGAACGGTGGGAAATAAGGCTGGAGAAAAAGGCAGAGGCCAGATCATCTTGAGTCTCATTAAACCATATTAAAGATTTGGGTATTTTGGTATGTCTTAAGACCAATGGGGAGCTATTGTGTTTTCAATTGGGTTGTGGGAGGAAGGTGGGCAAGTCTGTTTAGAAAGACCCATTCTAGCTGCAAGATGAAGACTACAATTGAAGAGAATCAACATGGATGCAGAGAGATCAATTAGGAGCTGTTGTGCTAGGTCTCCATTGGCATGCAAGATGGGTCTTCTGGGTCATCAGCTGTCATACACCACCCTTCAGGGTGAATCCACAAAGCTACATAGCATGGGTTAAGGAATGAGCTTCACTGGAGGAAATACAAATTTACAGGGCCGGGAAAAAAGAAGGTACCATCCTCATGTTATCCCATGGAGAGGTGAGCCAAGGCCCACAACGCTGTTTGGTTTCAGAAGAGCACATCCTACTAGTCTCCCCTTTAATAGGGCAAGCTTGAAGAAGCAGTCTCGTCAACGGGAGAATACACAAGGTGCTGAGCAACAGGTGGTTTGGATTTGGAGTGCCAATGATTTACAGGAGTTGTCTGGAAATGCCAGCTGTCCATGGAATGTTAAAAATCTCCACTCCTGTGATGAAGAAGGCACCAGTCCCATGGGAACCTGAGCTTGGGTGCAGCCTTTTCCCTAGAAGGAGGAAACCCCAGCCACAGCTAACTTATTCTGCAGGCAACCAAGAATGAACTGCCAAGGTCATAGACAGTCTTGCTCATTATGCTATGGGAGCTGCTGCAGTAGTCTAGGTGGGGTTTGAAAAACTTCTCCAAAGGGCCATACAGAAAATCGTTTTGCTTTGCAAGCCAGGTGCCCTGTCACAACTATTCAATTCTGTTCTTAACAGCATGAAAGCAGCTAAAGACAACACATAAATGATGTCTCTATGTTCCAACAAAAGAGTATTTTACAAAAATCAGCAGTGGGCTGGATTTGGCCCCTGTATCTCAGGCTCCCTTGAGGGCTCTCTGCTCTCTTCTTACTACTAGTGCTCAGCTACAACCTCTTCTCACTTGATACTCTCTCCCTGACAATCCCATTTACCTCCCAGACTTCAATTACAACCTAAACACAGGTTGGGTTGTGTTCTGAATTGTGCATTTTTCATGTAATTTTTTTTTCAACTCCAAGGATGAACATTCCACATGTAATTTATCTTTGAGGTCTTTCTTTCCACAATACAGGTTGGTTTGTGTTTGGGTTGTAATTGAAGTCGGCGAAGTAAATGGGATTTACTGTTCAGCTTCAGCCTCACATATCCAGACACCTGCTGGATATCCTTAGCCAGGATGCCTCAAATGCAGTAAGTAAAGGAACTCATTTTTCTTTTCTTCCCAAATTCCCATTACTAGAAAATAGCATCACAATCATATCTCACTGTATAGCCAGAAATCAGGGACTCATGCTAGACTCCTCCTTTCCCTCCCCTCCATATACAATCAATTAAGCAATCACCCATCAGTCTTCATTCCTGCTGTCCTCACCTGCACATCTGCACTGTCACTAGGAATCCTGCAAAAGAAAGACCACGTGGGCGCCAGATATCGGGGAACCTGCCCCGATAATCACGTAGGTTCTTTTCTATTTTTCGTAAGCGTCGGCCGGCTTGAGAAATAAAGGGACAGAGTACAAAAAGAGAGAAATTTTAAAGCTGGGCGTCGGGGGGAGACATAACACATTGGTAGGATCCGTGATGCCCCACAAGCCACAAAAACCAGCAAGTTTTTATTAGGGAGTTTCAAAAGGGGAGGGAGTGTGCGAATAGGTGTGGGTGACAGACATCAAGTACTTAACAGGGTAATAGAATATCACAAGGTAAGTGGAGGCAGGGCGAGGTCACAGGACCACAGGACCGAAGCAAAATTAAAATTGCTAATGAAGTTTCAGGCACCATTGTCATTAATAACATCTTATCAGGAGACAGGGTTTTGAGATCAACCAGTCTGACCAAAATTTATTAGGCGGGAATTTCCTCTTCCTAATAAGCCTGGGAGTGCTATGGGAGACTGGAGTTTATTTCATCTCTGCAGCCTCGACCATAAGAGACGGCTAAGCCCAGGGGGGTCAGTTCAGAGACCTACCCGCAGGCACACATTCTCTTTCTCAGGGATGTTCCATGCTGAGAAAAAGAATTCAGCGATATTTCTCCCATTTGCTTTTGAAAGAAGAGAAATATGGCTCTGTTCCGCCCAGCTCACCAGCGGTCAGAGTTTAAGGTTATCTCTCTTATTCCCTGAACAATTGCTGTTATCCTGTTATTTTTTCAAGGTGCCCACATCTCATATTGCTCAAACACACATGCTGTACAATTTGTGCAGTTAATGCAATTATTACAGGGTCCTGAGGTGACATACATCCTCCTCAGCTGACAGGATTAAGAGATTAAAGTAAAGACAGGCATAGGAAATCACAAGGGTATTGACTGGGGAAGTGATAAGTGTCCATGAAATCTTTACAGTTTATGTTTAGAGATTGCAGTAAAGACAGGCATAAGAAATTATAAAAGTATTAATTTGGGGAACTAATAAATGTCCATAAAATCTTCACAATCCACATTCTTCTGCCATGGCTTCAGCCGGTCCCTCCGTTTGGGGTCCCTGACTTCCCGAAACAATTAGCATTACTTAGGGTTTTTTGTATGTGTGTTTTGTTTTTTGAGACAGAGTCTGTCACCAGGCTATAGTGGCGCGATCTTGGCTCACTGCAACCTCCACCTCCCGAGTTCAAGCGATTCTCCTGCCTCAGCCTCCCAAGTAGCTGGGACTACAGGCGCGTGCCACTACGCCTGGCTAATTTTTTGTATTTTTAGTAGAGACAGGGTTTCACCATATTAGCCAGCATTACTTAGTTTTTTAAATAAGTAACCCTTCTACATTTTCAGAATGCATAAAACGGGTTTAGGGTAAAAGTCTTCCTCTACCCATTTCCTAGCCACCCAATACATCTTCCCACATGCAACCAATATTATTTGGTTTTTCAAATGTATTTTTCCAGGAATATTTTGTACAAATTATGTGTATTTATATATTCTAGCCCTCTTTTTTTTAAAACCCAAATTGTAGCATACATACAGTGTTCTGAATTGTGCATTTTTCATGTAATTTTGTTTTTTCAACTCCAAGGATGAACATTCCACATGTAATTTATCTTTGAGGTCTTTCTTTTCAGTACATAAAGGGCTTTTTTGTTCCCAGTTCATAGCGGAATAGTATTCCTTTGTATAAAAGCAACAATTTATTTACCCAAACCCTGGTTTGTTTCCAATCATTATTATAGATAGTGTTGTAATGAATTACCTTGTATTCCATTATTTTGCCAAATCATTTATAAGATAAATTCCTAGAAGTAGCATTGCTGGGTCAAACGACATTAGTAATTTTAATAAGTACAAAGGCTTTTTGTTATTGTTTGTTTTCATTTTTATTAAAGTTATACATATAAGCACATACTAACAATCAAACAATTCTACAATTGTTATTTTTAAAAAAGATAAGAAAAGCAGATACTACTCTCAGAGTGCTTGCAGGCACCTCTTTTAGCCTTTTTTTTTTTTTAAATTTACCCCCTTGTCTCCAGATAAATGATACGCTGCTTGGTGAATTTTGTTTCAGCATTACCCACTGACTCCCCACCATGGAGGATGAGGGCTTAGCTCTTTTCTATGCACATAAATATTCTTTTCATTCCCCCATCTTTCCAGTATAGTTATGCCATAATTTTGTCTAGCTCAATATTCAATTCACATTATTGGGATGATGTGGAAACTGCACAATTGAGCCATGTAGTAACATTTCAACACTTTTCCTTTCTCATCTAATATTAATTGTCCCACTGGCTTAGTTTTCATGTATTTATTACCAATTCAACCCCAACCTTGTTGCTGATTGTCTAAGTCTCTCTCAAATTGCTCATCCTTATGAAGTAGCCTTCCCCAGAACCTGACTTGCTACAGTCTGGACTGGTTGCTCTCCAAGTCATCCTGAGGATTCCTGCCATCTGTGTTGGAGCTCCTAATGTCTTCCTCTTTCAGCATTGGCTCCATCTTGGTGGCAAACATCCTCTAGTAACTAACTGCCTAAGAAATAGGAGGTATTTTGTTTTTTAATAGTTTTTTTTTTGTCTAAAAATGCTATTATTCTCCCTTCATAGTTGATCTATAAGTTGGCTGGGAATAGAATTGTAGCTGGAAATAATTTGTATTCAGAAATTCAAAGGCATTTCTCAACTGCCTTCTAGCTAGTGTTACCATTGAGAAGTCTGATGCCATTTTGATTCTTGTTTTTGTGTGTGTGACCTCTTTTACTCTCTGGAAACTTCTTTGCCATCATGGTTCTGTTATTTTGGAATGTGCCTTAGTGTGAGTCTATTTTGATTAATTGTAATGAGCATTTGGTGAACCATTTTCAACCCAGCAGTGTCTTTCAATTATGATAAATTTTCTTGAATTATTTAATAATTTCCTCAGCTGTGCTGCCTTCTTGAACAGTCACAAGTATACTATTTTTTTTTTCTTTATTTTTGAGACAATGTTTCACTCCGTCACCCAGGCTGGAGTGCAGTGGCATGATGGCTGCTCACTGCAGCGTCAACCTCTGGGGCTATTGGCGTGTGCCACACCTGGCTAATTTGGTCTATTTTTTTTTTTTTTTGTAGAGATGGGGTCTCCCTATATTACCCAGGCTGGTCTCAATCTCCCCAGCTCAGTGACTCTGCCGCCTTGGTCCCCCAAAGTGCTGGGATTACAAGTATGAGCCACTGCACTTGGCCCACAAGTGTACTATTAACTCAATATCTGGTTTTCCCTCACTCAACTGTAAGTTCTCAAAGGCACAAACCATACCTTTTTTGTTTAGCACTCAGAATAGTACCAAGTACATAGTAGGACTCAATAAACTCTGAATGAACGAATAATAGGAAGAGACCAAATCTTGAAGGACTTTAAAGGACAGATTTTTCTCTATACTCTTTCTGAAATTATTGTATTAGTGTGCATGATATAACAGTGTGTGTGATAGAGGGCTTTTTGAACTAGTCCTCTAGTTTTAGTTTCTCCTCAATTTTCCATCCTTGGTCTTTTTGTTTTTCTTTCTGAGAGATTTCTTCACCTTTATCTTCCGACACTTCTACTGGGTTTTTCATTTCTGGTAATAGCTTTAAAATTCCAATAGCTCTCTTTTGTTCTGCTAAGAATACCTTTCTTTGAAAATAATAACATCCTGATATTATTTCATGGTTACAATATCTCTTCCTATCTCTCTGCGGATATGTTCACTTTTTAAAAGTTTTATTCTCCTTGCAGTTAGTTTCCTCCAAGCTGCTTTTGCTGCTCTATTTGTTTTGACCTCTATACATTGTGTTAAAGGCTCTCCTCAGCTTGGTAATCCTTGCTGGTCTACTCATATATAAGAGTGGGACTTAAAAGCTGAATGGAAGTTCTGAGTGCCTTAGTGAGGCTTGCAAAGTGTGAGCTTTATTATAAAGCAGGATTTCTCAAACTCTGTAATAGTGGTATTTGGGGCCAGGTAATTTTTTGTTTGGGTAGGAAGGGAGTCTGTCCTAGAGTATTTTGCAGCATCTTCAACTTCTACTCAATAGATGCCTGTAAGATCTTCCCAATTGCAACCACCAAAACTGTCTGTAGACACTGCCAGATGTGCCAGGGGATGGGAGAAGTAGAAAATTGGCACCAGTTGAGAACCACTGCTATAATGTCATGTGGCTAAATCATTTATTTAGAGATTTCTGATGTCAGATGATTGTCTTTTCTTTGATACTGGTCATTTCACCCATAAAAAATTCTCCTATATCTTCCTGGAGGGCGAAGGCCTGGCTGCCAATGTTCTGGGAGCAGTAGGGGAAGGTGTGTATAGGCATGCATTTCCACTCAGTCTTCCACCATTCAGTAGGGCACTACCCACTCTCAATAATGTCTGGTGCCCCCAAGTCCAGAGACACTACTATTTTTTTTTTTTTTACACTGACGGGGGGTGGGGGGGAGTCCCCACTGTGTTGCCCAGGCTGGCTGAACTCCTAGGCTCAAGCAATCCTCCCACATCAGCTTTCCGAGTAGATGGGACTATAGGCTGGTGCCACTGTGCCTGGCAAATACTATTTTAATCACTGTAGAGAAGAATCCTCCATTATTTTTCTAGAGTGGGGAAGAAGCATTCACTTGGCTGCACGAGGTCAGAAGAGGATTTGGGGAGCTCTAACTGCTTCTTAAATAGACTTTCAACCAGTTCCTCTCATTTTAACTTCCCTTTACCCCAACTTATGAAGATACGTGATATCTCCAATTCCTGAGCTTCTGGCAGATTCCATAAATTAATCATTGGTTTTCCTTTCTGCTAGACTGGGAGGGCTGTTTGTTTTTTTAAGGTAAGCTGAGTACTTAGCCATTAGACAATGTGCTAAATCAGGGGTGTCCAATCTTTTGGCTTCCCTGGGCCACGCTGGAAGAAGAAGAATGGTTGTTTGTTTTTTTAAGGTAAGCTAAGTACTTAAGCGTTAGGCTATGTGCTAAATCAGGGGTGTCCAATCTTTTGGCTTCCTTGGGCCACACTGGAAGAAGAAGAATTGTCTTGGGCCACACATAAAATACACTAACAATAGCTGATGAGCTTTAAAAAAAATCGCAAAAAACCTCACAATGTTTCAATAAAGTTTACGAATTTGTGTTGGGCTGCATTCAAAGCCATCCTAAGCCATGAGCCACATGTGGCCTGTGGGCCGCAGCTGGACAAACTGCTGGTAAATCAAAGCTCCTTAACATGCTAAGGAAGGTCTTTCAAGATCTGGTTTCCACCTATCTGTCATTCATTCATTATTTATTTCCCCCTGTTATATGCCAGGCACTTGTGATGGGCATGGAACAAGAGGGACATGGTTCTTGCACTTATGGAATATATACTATTGTAAGGAAAAATTAGATTGATAAATTATCTGTGACAAACAGTGAAAGAAGGCAGGGCAGTGGGTATGAGAGCATACTCAGTTTGTAGGAGTCAGACACGGGTCCACCATTCACCAACTTGCCCAAGCCAGAAAGCAGGAGGTTGTCCTTGAATCCTTACTTCCCACGTCCAAATACTACGAGTCTCATATATGCTATTTCTTAAGTATCTCTCAAATTTATTCTCCTAATTCCACTGCCAGATGTAATCCAAGTCATTATCATCTCCTACCTGTGCAACTACAACAGACTCCTAAAAGCTCTATCTTCCTCAGGCATTCTGGCTCCTTCCAATCCATTCTCCTTATGGCAGCCAGAGGGATCTTCTAAAAACAAAATTCTAGTCATACTAGTCCTCTGCCTAAAACCCCTTAAAGGTTTCCCATTACCCTCAAGAAATAGTCTGAAATCCTTACCATAATTTACAAGGCAATATAATATAATGGTAATTTTTACAAATTGGGACTCTGGAGTGGAGAAACATGAGTCCAAAACCAGACTCCAGAACCTACCTGCAAGGTGACTTTGGGCAAGCTGCTTAACAACTCCAAACCTCAATTCTCTCATCTCACCTGCAAAATACAGTTACAGAATCTTCTCTATTTATTTATTCTGAGGATTAAATTATATTACAAGTACAACAGAGGGGGCCCACTCTTCCCCTCTTTTTCAGTGCTCCCCTTAGAGCTGTGGTTAGGAGTATTTACTCTGTAAACAGCCTGACCCTTTGGTACCTGTTTCCTCTTTTATAAATTGGAGATAGCAGCAACCCACCTCATAAGATAGCTGATTAAATTATGTAAAATGTCTAGAAGAGTGCCTGGCACATAGTAAACGCAACGTGTTTGCTACAATTCCATTCGCTTTCATTTCTTCCAACGTGCATCCTCTTTACTGCTTCTGCTCCGTCTACTCATCCTTCAGCACTGGGTTCAAATACCACCTCCTCGTGGGTGTTGGGGGGGTTCTCAACCCCAGCCCTGCTGCCCGACCTCCCAGGCCCGCTAGTTGATGAGGCAGCAACTTCAACCCTACCACATACAAATTCTAGCTGTCTACCGCGTATCCCTACAGTAACAACTTCAGCCTCTGCACACCTTTCCCAAAGAACCTCCCTACGGCAGTTTTTAAAGGACTCTCAGGCGGCACACCCTCGCGAGCGTCCCAGCATTTTACCTTAACAGTGACACCCCACAGCATGTGAAGCCCACCGGAAGTGAGCTGGCTGGGGGCGTTCCCTCACAACCACCCACCTCCTACGCCCTTGGCGCCTTCCGGCCTCTTAGGCTAGGTCAGAAAGGAGGCGGAACTCGGTGATCTGACTGGCGGTTTCCCGGCCGGACTGAGAAGGGGAGCGCGCTGCGCGTCGCAGGAGTAACCTACTTGGTCTCCTGCTTTCGCGACATGGCCTTCAATTTTGGGGCTCCCTCGGGCACCTCCGGTACCGCTGCAGCCACCGCGGCCCCCGCGGGTGAGTGATCCCCCTAGACCTTCACCCGGGAAGAAGGGGAAGGGTCTGGTCCGCCCCCTCTGTCCGAGACTCTCCGACCTGGGGATCCTGGAATCTCCCGCCGACGCGGAGACTTTAGAGGCATTGGAAAAGGGCGGGCGGCGGCAGAGTGGGCCGAGGCGGCACCCGAGGAGGCCACGGGGGTACTCGGGGTCCCACTAGAAGCTCGCTTGCCGCGCGTGAGTTTCCACAGGGCCCTGGCTTGAGCGGTTCGCTTCCCGCTGCCGGGGAGTCCTACTCAGAGAAATTGGAGGTTGCTTCCCTCTCCCCTTGCCCGAGAACCTCCCTCCCCTCTGCACCTCAGCCTCCTGGATGGGCGGGAACGCTTGCGTGGTTCCCGCTGCCGGACTCGGCGAGGATAGGGCTGGGGATCCACCGGCACTGCCCATTGACTCCCTTAGTTCCACCCCCGGCCCCCTGTGGTCCTCGCTGTGGGGTTTATCCGTCATGCTTCTTCCATCTGCCCCACCCCACCCCCACTCTGCTTTCTTAAACTGTTTGGAGCAAAACCAGGTTTGTTCACTTCTGTGAAACCTCCTGCTGATTCTTCTAATCCTTATCTTGCTTTCTTTTCTTTTTCCCTCTCCCCCTTTTTAAAATTTTGTTTCTTTGCCTACACGCCTATCAGGATTTGGTGGGCTTGAGACTGCCAACTCCACCGCCAGTGGGTTTAATTTTGGGGGTTTCGGATTAACTGCTAATCCTGCAGTGAACTTTAATATTGGGAATTTCGGTGTTTCTACTACCTCGGCGACTCCGTTCAATTTTGGTAACAGTCTGGCAAGTGCAGGTAGATACTGCGGGTTGTATGTGTAACCAGTGTTGGGAGCTGGAGTCCAAGAATATTGTGGTTCCTGGAGTTTGGGAAAGAACAGTTACTTGTCTAATAGGGAAAGGAAATTTATTTCCTTATCTCGAATCAAAAACATCTGTATCAAGTTTTTACTGCCTTAAAAGATGTGGTTTAGGAAAGTTTTGCAAGTTACAGTGTTCCTTTATTAAATGTGCACTTATCTTCCAAATGATAAGCATTTGGATTATAATTTTGAATAGATCTTTAAAATTATTAGGTAGGACTTCCAAAGTATAAACTCACCACCAGTCAAGCCCATCCTGGGATTCTTGGACTCCTGCAGTCATTTTTCATTTTTTCTGCATCTTTCATTGAGATTTCATTTTATTGTCCTTGTGTTTCCAAAGAGAAACAAGTCTTATACGAACAGCAGTAACCTGTTTTGTTTTTTAACTTGTGTTATAATGATAATAATGTATTTCTTTGGTCAACTCAGCAGATTAGGATACTATAAGATGTGTAATTTCTATAAGATTTGTAATTATAGAAAGAATCCCCAGTTCTTTGCTGGAATTTTGGGAAATGCTCAAAGAGAGCAGTTTAGTTTTATGTGATATAGCATCGAATTCTAAAAGGTAAGCTAGACGTCTTTGCATTCAAAAAGATAATTATGAAGATTTTCATATGCACGTGGGTTGTTTGCAGCTCATTAGAAATTTTGCAAAACAATAATGATATATACATTTAAAATAGGTTTATGGGTACTTTACATAGTGACACTGTAGAAAAAAACTTGTTCTTCAGCTGCTCGTATATGAATTTATCGTCCATAGTCTCTTACGTTATGCCTCTTGTGCCCATGCCAATTATATGCATTTGATAAACATTATTTACTCCCTAAAAGTTAATTGGGAAGTTTGTTATTTTGTTCATTCACTGGTTACTGCAATGTGATTATCACCCTAGCATCTGAGTTGAAAACAGTTCGAAGAATATTTGAAAACTTCAAAGACAAGATGATGCATTTTAATTAAGATGTATTCGAAGTAATCACATATCACTGTCCTTTGATGTGTTTACTTTTCCTTGTTTGCTTAAAATTGGCACTGGGTAAAACAGAAATCTTACTTTGAAATTTGTGTTTCTGAATAAAGCCACCCAGCTCATAATTCAACAACAATAAATAAACTTGTTGGTATTTGCTTGATTTCATGTTCATTTGGAGTTATCACTGTTAAGTTTTGAGTTATGATAATGTAATATGTTTTAACTACTTTTATATGTGTTAACCTTCAGCAAAGGGCTGATAGACTTTCTTGTTTACTTTTTATTTTGTATACTTGCAGATCTGCTATTACTAAAACATTTTTGATGTTGTGGAGCATGATGAGAAACTGACTAGTGTTTCTATTGCGTAGCCAATTCAGATTATATCATAGTTATTCTATGGAAGTGAAGAATAATGAAAAGAAATTACAACAGTGCTTAGTACTGTGGGTGACTTTTATGAAAATGTTTATAGTTTGCAGTACTGCAGTAGAACCTACAAGTAAATAGAATATTTAGTTGTGCCTGCATGCAACATGCAGCTTACTCTTGAGTAGTTTTCCAAATCAGAATGAGGTGATTAATATAAAATGGTTGCATGTTTTTCTTCTTGTATTTTCTATATTGCAATATTGATGAATCTGTGTTGTATACCAGAAATAAATGAGATTAAAGGAAGATTCCAAAAAATCTGCAATATAATTCGACACTAATGGTTCAAACATTTGTCTTGAAAGGCTTTTTGATACCACATTGGTAATCAGCTGAAGACTGACAATAAGTTACAAAAATAACAAAACAATTTTAGATTGGCTAGCATTCCATTTATCTGTCAAATCTCTTCCTTCAAGAAACACATTCTTGTTGTTTGGAGGTAAGTATATTGGTATGCTTCCTTTGAAAAGTTACTTAGTCTTGACAGAGACTAAGTAGAAATATAAGTTAATTTAGACATAAATTAATTCACCAAAACCAAGGTTGCTAACTGGCAACAAGTCTGCCAATGTGATATGTTTGGCATGCTGTTTTCAAAACATTTGAATTCCTTGCAAAAAAAAGTAGTTGAATTAGGGTTTAAAAACCAATAAATTTTTTTTTTTTTTTTTTTTTTGAGACGGAGTCTCACCCTGTCGCCCGGGCTGGAGTACAGTGGCAAGATCTTGGCTCACTGCAAGCTCCACCTCCCGGGTCCACGCCATTCTCCTGCCTCAGCCTCCTGAGTAGCTGGGACTACAGGCGCCCGCCGCCACGCCCGGCTAATTTTTTGTATTTTTAGTAGACACGGGGTTTCACCGTGTTAGCCAGGATGGTCTCGATCTCCTGACCTTGTGATCCACCCCCCTCGGCCTCCCAAAGTGCTGGGATTACAGGCATGAGCCACCGCGCCCAGCCAAAAACCAATAAATTTTACATAGAAAATCCAGATTTCCTGTTTCTCTTGGGGTAAAAAATGGGAATATGTGACACTGCTAAACTACCTTTCTTGTATCTGCTGGAATTTAGGAACTGCTGATCTAAAAAACTATTCATTTTAAACAGTTCCACCTATCAGTAAACACATAGTCTACTTTACTCTTTACTGTTATCAGTCTAAATCTTCTAGGCATATGAATTTGCAACACCTCCTCTAAAAGTACATACATAGTCATTTTAGAATTATGGCAATAGGCTTAATGTGTTTTCTCAGCTGTAACTGTTAACCACCCCTTTAATTGAAGGGTATATATTACATTGTGATATTTCTATTTTAAATGCTTAGTTCATTTCTTGTAACATTTTGACTTCTTGATTGGTAGTATAGTTTTTTAAAAAATTGATCTTGAAAGTAGGGAAAGGAAAAATTAGATCAATATATTTTGATTTTATATGTAGCAATTATAAAATAATTTTAAAAAGAAGTTGCCTTTATATATACAAAAGATTCTTCCTTTCTATTTTTGTTCTTTTTTAATTAGGTGGGTTTGGAGGATTTGGGACAACATCTACAACTGCAGGTTCTGCATTCAGCTTTTCTGCCCCAACTAACACAGGCACTACTGGTAAGAGGCCATCTTAAGTCATTCATAGAAGTAAATGAAGTAGAGGTCAGATTTTTTTTTTTTTTTAACTTACGAAGTTCCAATTTTTCATTCAAAGGACTCTTTGGTGGTACTCAGAACAAAGGTTTTGGATTTGGTACTGGTTTTGGCACAACAACGGGAACTAGTACTGGTTTAGGTACTGGTTTGGGAACTGGACTGGGATTTGGAGGATTTAATACACAGCAGCAGCAGCAAACTAGTAAGTATGAGGTTTTCAGCTTCAAATACAAAACCGTGATGATACTAGCTGACATTATTGAGTGCATTCAGAATACTTTAGTGGACTTTTTATAAGAATTATTAATATATTCCAAAGGATTAGGAATGTTACTTTTCATGTTTAAATATGATAGCAACTGGGGAGAACACTGATTGGCACAGTTAGGATTATAAGGTCCCTGTGTTTAGGATCATTCCATTTAAATTTTTGTTGTTAAAAATAACAAATAGAGAAACTGCACAAAAGTACAGCTTAATGAATTATATATAAGTTTACAAAGGTTAACACCCTTGTAATCACTGCCCATGTCAGGAGATGGTTCCTGGCCAGCCAGTTCAGAAGCCTACCACATTTCCCTACCAATTGCTTCCCCATCAGAGGACCTGCAGTCTTGGCTTTTATGGTGATCATTTTCTTACTTTATATTTTGTCATTCAAGTATGTAAACAGTATTTGGTTTTGCCTGTCTTAAATCTCCATAGGCTCCTCTTTTATCTCTCTTTTTTATTTATTTTTTATTTTTTGAGACGGAGTCTTGCTCTGTCGCCCAGGCTGGAGTGCAGTGGCACGACCTCGGCTCACTGCAACCTCCGCCTCCCAGGTTCAAGCGATACTTCTGCCTCAGCCTCCTGAGTAGCTGGGACTACAGGCGCACACCACCACGCCCAGCTAATTTTTGTATTTTTAGTAGAGACGGAGTTTTACCATATTGGCCAGGCTGGTCTGGAACTCCTGACCTCGTGATCTGCCTGCCTCGGCCTCCCAAAGTGCTGGGATTACAGGTGTGCGCCACCGCGCCTGGCCTCTCTTTTTTATTTTTTAATTTGTTGAAGAAAACAGATCATTTATCCTATAGAGTTTTTTAGTCAAGACTTTTCTGATTGCACGCCTATGGTATAGTTTAACACATTCCTTTGTTCTCTGTATTTCTTGATGATTGGGTTAGATCTGGGGCGTACATATATATATTTTGTTGTTTTGTTGTTTGTTTGCAAGACTATTTTATAGGCCTATTTTTTATCAGAAGACATATAATATCTTTTTTTTTTGAGTGATCAGCCATTGAGCCATTGGTGATCATTACCTAGATCCATTAATTCATTAGGGGTTACAAATAGTGCCATTCCACCTGGATTCATTTATTTGTTGAAATACTTCTGTGAGGAGAAACTTGACTTCATCTGTTTGGTTGATTCTTTCTCTTTATTACTGGTTTTCAGAATAAAGAGTTGGTTATCTAGCATTCTCCAAAGATGACCAATTTTTTTTTAATGTCAGAAACTGCAGCCTTTAAACTAGTTACTATTTTTTAATCCATTGCAGTTACCATTCTTATTGATGCTTAAATTGTTACATCTTTGGCCAGTGCAAGCCTTTTCAAGTTGGCTCCCAAGTCCCTTTGAGACAGTCTGGTTATTAGTCTTTGATGGCTTCCTTACTAACCATCCTTACTAGGTGGTATGGCAGTAGGTTCCAGGGGTTGTTCTGTATGGATTAACTTATTCTCACAAGAACCCTGTGAAATAATACTTTTGTTATCCCCATTTTATGGGTGAAGAGAGGAACCTGAGAGATTGTGACTTACCTGTATACCTCTCTAGAAGAAGTACAGGGATGCAAATTCAACTACTCATTCTAGTGCTCTTTTCACTTTTCCAATCTGATGCCTCTTAAAATTACTTCTGTTTCATTTTTTTAAGTAACTTGATTGACTAGCTAAAATTCATCCTACTCAGTCACTGAAGATTAGTTATTAACTTATTAAACATGAATTTCAAGGATTGCCTAACAGTAGGATGAAGATAATAGAATAGTATTCTCAGAATTATTCTTTCAAGTATTCCAGTCATTCGTCTTTTCTACAATCCTGCAAAAATACAAAATTTGATGAAATATTTAAGTAGTTAAGGAAAGAACAGCAAAAGTGAAGTGTTTCCTTTGTTTCTTGAAATAAAGTCTCTCCAACTATGAGTAACTGTAGTTACATTTGGTTTTTTTAGGAAAATGGGAATTTGAATCTGGTGCTATTTTAAAATTGAAAGGGGCTCATTTTGTTATGTAATATCCATTTATTGTATATATCGTATGTCAGGCATTGGGTGTACAAGGTTGAAGACCACAATCCTTGCTCATAGTCAAGGAGATTCTAGGGTATCCACGCAGAGGAAATAACATGGCATGGTTTATGGCAGAGTATAATGCCTTTGGGACCAGTATAACTAGATCAGTGCAGTTTTTTTAATGCATAAATGACCTCAGGGTCAGTAGTGAGAGTTGGAGAGATAGATATGAATTGGATTATTAGCGTGCCTTATATGTTTTACTAAGGAGCTGTCCTTTAAGCAATTCTAAACTGTTGTAGGATTAAGTAGACAGGAAAATAATCAGATTTTTAGAAGTATCTCTTAGAGAAATACAAAGATAGATTATAGGTGGGTTGGAATGGAGGCAGAGATCTGGTGAAGCTGTTGCCAAAATCTGAGCAAGATATAGTGAAGACCTGAATTAAGGCAGTGACAGTTAAGAATGGAGAGAAAAAACAGGATGTGAATTTGAGAGAGATTTAACTTGTAGAATCAATAAAAGCGAATGACTGGATAAAGGTATCTTGGGCTTCTGGGTGGCGTAACTGAAGGATCCCTTGCTCTTCACTAAGATCCAGAATACTAAAGCAAGAGCAGATGTTTGTGGGTAGATAATGAGTTTGAGGTGTCCCTTGGGTAGTTGTATATATTTATGAAAGCCATCAGAACGTAAGTAGTATTTAAAGTGGTAGATATGGATGATGTAATTTAGGAGACCTGATTCCAGAGTAAGAGGAGAGTACTAGAACAAAACTCTTAGAAACACTAACACTTAAATGCTGCCATCTCCTATCCCCAAGCCAAGTAGGATTTTGACCATAAATTAGCGAGCAGCATTGTTAGGACCACTGCTTGTCCTATCTCAGTATAGAGATGCCCGTCCATGTATTCCTCATACTTATTAGCTCCCTTTTACTAATCACAGCTATTCCTATCTCAGTTGGCAATACCTGTGAATCAAGGGGAAAAGTCACATTTGACTTTGTGACAACCGCCAGAAGTCCTTTCCAAGCCAAAGCATGGATTATCGAGGATCCTTCAGAAGACTGTTGGATCTTTCGACAACTGATACTTTCTGCTCTGTTAGCTCTTTCTGTCTTCACTACTCTAACTAGCTTAGATTCCATGGCCTTCCATTTCTATATCTCTTGCCAATATGCTAAACTTCCTTGTTTTTGTGTCACATTTGCCTGAAAAAACCCCAAGCCTTTGTAAGCCCAACTGTCTGTGTAGATATTGCTTGAGAAAGATCACACATTATGGAAGAGGGGATAATACCTCTCTAAATTCTTGATCACCAACCTCAGGTCTCAATGTTGCCTGGTAATCCTGTGAAATTTCTACTTTCAACTTATTCTCCTGCTTTCTATAGCAGTAATTTTAAACCTTTATTCTCTTCAAATCTCAAATTTATCTGTTCTTACTTTTAGCAGATGGCCTTGACTGCTACTTCCAAGACAAAAAAGGGCTGAGCGCAGTGGCTCACATCTGTAATCCCAGCACTTTGGGAGGCTGAGGTGGGCGGATCACCTGAGGTCAGAGACCAGCCTGGCCAACATGGTGAAACCCATCTCCACTAAAAATACAAAAATTAGATGGGCGTGGTAGTGCACACCTGTAGTCCCAGTTACTCGGGAGGCTGAGACATGAGAATTGCTTGAACCCCATAGGCAGAGGTTGCAGTGAGCTGAGATCGCACCACTGGACTCCAGCCTGGGTGACAGAGCAAGACTCTGTCTCAAAAAAAAAAAAAAAAAACCAAAGAGAAAATAAAATCCCTTATTGCAATTCCTTCAACTTCCCTCCACCAAATCTATTTTTTTTCTCCCTCTATCCACCTTTTCCTCTTTTTACCTGACTCAGGATCTTATAACCTCCTGCCTTTTCAGGGCGCATGTGCTGTTGATTATTCTAGCTGTACTCCGTTCCCCAGTCTTCACCTTCTCATCCACATTTAAGTAACTCAAAGTTTATTTTTTCTTGAAACAGTAATAACAACAACAACAAAACTACTTTAATCCCACATTTCACTTCAGCTACCACTCTCCTCCCCTTTACAAACTATTCGCCAATCTGGTTTCTGTTTTCTTTATTTTATCAAATAAGTTAAGGTCATTAATCATCTCAGTAAATCCAGTGAACACTTACTGTTCTTTATGAAAAATGCTAACAAAGAAAAAAAGAAGTGATGTGAACCCTACCAGCTGGAGTCATCAAAAGTCAGAACTTGTTATTGTCCATCTCCTTTTTCCTTTTTTTAAATCACTGATGTATTTGAGAGCAAATCCCAAGCGTGTCATTTCATGCTTACTTTACTATACTTCTCTCTTTAAAAATGTGTACCTCATTCCAACCCACAATAATTCCTTGGTACTATCTAATACCCCATCTATAACCAGAGTTCCCTATTTGTCTCAAAAGCGTTTTCTTATTTGGTTTGTTTGAATCATGATCCAAACAAGGACCACACATTCATTTTCTTGTCATGTCCCTTAAGTTCTTTTTAGTGTAGAGAATTCCCCATTCTGTTTTTTCCCTCATGAATTTTCCAGTTGTCTTGTTAAATGCCCCCCATTCTGTATTTTTCTTCTGCTTCCTTGTAATATTATTTAACTTTATCTCTCATAATTGTGGTAAATAAAGTTTGCTTTAGGGACTTGACGTTTGCTTTTTTGGTAAGAACATTTTGCAAGTGGTGCTGTGTGCTTCATATCACGTCACGTTGAGAGGCTATCTCACTTTTGGTGATGCTAAGATTGATCAGTAGGTTCAGATGGTGACAGCGTATCTTTATCTTACTACTTTAACCTAATGGTTTCATTCCTTGATGATCATTGCCTCAATCAGTTATCTTATTAGGAGTTGCAAAATGGTGATTTTCTAATTTCCTCCCTATCACACTGAAATTTCTTCTGTAAAAGGAACTTTTTCTTCATCCTCCAAGACTGCTTGATCACCCTGATGTACAGTTTGTATAGTAAAGGCAAGATAATTTTTTTTCTTTTTAATGGACAATTTTTGTAAAAAGGAGTTGGCGGTCTCATTATTTCTAATGGTATCCAAGGAGTTAGGATTTAAAAAAAATTTGATCTTTACTTTATAAAATTACCATTTTGAATGCATGGGCTTTAATAAATATGTTTCAGTTGTTGCATTTGGCCAGTGGGAGACCTTAACTTCTGTGACACTCCAGTCTAGTTTTTTCCTACCTCATTGTTAGTCCTCCTTATTGCTTTTGTCCACTCATCTTCCTCTCTCTGTCTCTACAGAGATGTTACACATACTGTTGGCCTTTACCTCTACCCCATGGCTTAGCTGACTCCTTCCTTTAGGCCCTAACTGAAGTGCTAATGGAACTGTCTTCTCTTGACCCCTCTCTCAGGCTTGATCAGCTCCCTTATTTAGTACTCCCAGAACCTCTGTACTTCTCTGAAGGACTTATCACAATTGTTAATATTTGTTTGATGTGTTCAGTTTGTTTAATGCACCTTGTCTACCTTGTTTACCACTGTATCTTTAGTATTTGGCTCTGAGCACTTAGTAGGTACTCAGTAAATATTTGTTGTATGAATTAATGGTGAATGAATGAATGAATGTGTTTATAAAAAACCAAGAGAGACTGTGTTGTCAGGAAATTTAAGGGAGAAGGGCTTTCAAGGAGGATGTGTATTCAACAGAAGGTGAAGATTTTCTTTGGGGGCCAAAGGAATAATCAACAGCATGGGAGGCTGACTGCATATGTCTCGGTATAGAGATCACAGTTGATTCATCTCATGTAAAAGTTGAGGAAGATAAAGCCCAGGAATTTCTTGCTCAAGGATAGAAAGCGACCTTATAATAAACCAGGATTCAAGTGTTCTGAGTTCTAGTCCAGTTCTTGCCAATGTTTATATATACTAATTTGGGAATTAATACTTTTCTGGAGAGTAAAAGAGCCTCTCTCTAGCTCTGTAGAAGCTCCATGGACCTTGTGGTACTTTCAATGTTTAGAGCTGAAAGAGAACTTAAACAATATCTAATACAGTGTTTTAAAACTCAGGTCATTTTGGTATTCACGTTTTCTCCTCATCTACATACCATTTGTATTACTATTTAAGAATTTTCTTTAAATCAGTTTACTTTGAAACACGAAATACAGTTATTTTAAAGTAAAATTTATTGCTGCTATAAGTGGAAAATTAGTATCATTTGCTCTAAGGAAAAGGTAATTGAAATTAAGTACAAAGAAAATATAGTGTAAATAAATTCTAGGTAGATAACTTTGCCTTAAGCTCTGAGCCTTAGACTTGCTCCTCGCTTTGTTGAAAGATGACATACTTATCTCACACTTTGGGGCATATTTATCTGCCCTAAGAACTTGGCCCTTCTTTCCATTAGAGAAATTGGTATCCCAGAGAGGTTGATTTGCCCAAAGTTACACAGCCATCTAAAGTTTTAGCCTAGAATACTGATGGTTAATCCATTTGTTATTACTATATATATTTTTTAATAATGAGAGAAAGGAAAATGTTTAGTAAGCTGGTATTTGATATAACAATGATTTTTAGACTTTGTATCCCCCAATTTGTATTTATTATATAAATATAACAGCAATAAAGGTTATTTTAAAAAATCCTACATCTTTACAAACTTTTTTTTATCCACATGCATCCCTTCCTCCCTCCCTCCATTCTTTCATGTGTAGGTTTAATATTGTGGACCCAATCTGTGTTCTGGTAATGGAATTAATTTGGATAACATCATTAGGGCTGGGCACAGTTGCTCATGCCTATAATCCCAGCACTTTGGGAAGCTGAGGCAGGAGAGTCGCTTGAGCTCAGAAGTTTTGAGACCAGCATGGGAAACATAGTAAGACCCTGTCTCTACAAAAAATAATTTTAAAAAATTAACCAGGTGCACATTGGTGCACTCCTGTAGTCCCAGCGACTCAGGATGATGAAGCAGGGGTATTGCTTGAGCCCAGAAGGTTGAGGCTGCAGTGAGCCATGATCTTGCCACTGCACTCCAGTCTAGGCAACAAAGTAAGACCCTGTCTCAAAAAAATATTATTAGAAAAACAAATTTAACGTTATAAGGTTTGGCCTAGTGTGTTAGTTTCCTATTGCTGCCATACCAAATTACCACAAACTTAGTGGCTTAAGACAATAAAATTTTATTATTTTATAGTTTCTGGAGATTAGAAGTCCAGAAGTGGGTTTCACTGTGCTAAAATGAAGGTCCTGGCAGTACTGCGTTACTTCTAGAGGCACTAAGGGAGAATCCATTCTCTTGCATTTTCCAGTTTTTAGAGTCTTCCTGCATTTCTTGGCTCGCGGCTCTTCCATCTTGCCATATGCCAACAGCATAGCATCTTCAGATCTGTTTGACTCTGAGCGCACTCTTCCACTTTTGAGGATCTTATGATTACGTTGAGTCCCTCCTGATAATCCAGGATAACCCTCTATCTCAGCATGCTTAATTTAATCACATCTACAAAGGCCCTTTTGCTATGTAAGATAACATATTTATAGGTTCTGTAGATTAGGATATGGGCATCTTGGAGGGGGCCATTATTTTGCCTACCACGCCTAGGATCTGGATTAAGTTTTGTTTTGTTTTGTTTTTAAATACTAATTTTGGGTACATTTTTAGCATTAGGTGGTCTCTTCAGTCAGCCTACACAAGCTCCTACCCAGTCCAACCAGCTGATAAATACTGCGAGTGCTCTTTCTGCTCCAACGCTGTTGGGAGATGAGAGAGATGCTATTTTGGCAAAATGGAATCAACTGCAGGCCTTTTGGGGAACAGGAAAAGGGTATTTCAACAATAATATTCCGCCAGTGGAATTCACACAAGAAAATCCCTTTTGCCGATTTAAGGTATTATTAATACTATTTTTATCTTCAGTTGAAGATTTTGTATAACAGAAAATATATTTAGATTAATATCAAGATAACAATTGCTTGGATCTTTACTCCTTGAACATGGTATGATTATACTTTTATTTTGAAAATATAGAAATTATAAAATTGAAGTGATTTCATACATATGTGTGGTTGAAGGTGACCAGAATATGAATGAAGGAAGGTGTGACTGGAATGTGATTTATAACTGAAGAAAAAAAATGTAAACAGGAGAATGGTTTGCCTGGCACCTGTAAAGGGGAGACACCAAACTACAATTTAGTGGTATTCATTTAACATTGGCCAGGAGAGTATACCCTAACCAGCAGACAGAAATTCCCCTTGGCATGTATAACCCCAAAGCTATTAAAACAATATTGCCCATTTTCTGTGTTCTTATTCCCTGCCTACCAAACAACCTTCTCATTTGTCTCTTCAGAAAATCTCTTTATCAGCCAGTGAGAGTATTTAGGTCCATTTGGTAATGCATTTTCCATAACAAATTACGTATTGCAATCCAGTTTATACCTCAGCCTCTTAGGAGTTATATTGGCCTACGTTGGTCTCTTAAACCTAATCAATATGTACATAACCCTGTGTTTGGAGCTGTAAGGCTGAGGATCAGATCCTTGAATAAAGTGGTCAGCCTGTCTTATTACAGAACATCTCTTTGTGTCATCACTAACAAAAAGTATATTGAGTGCATATAGTTGAAATTTTGATACATGTATTTAGTCGCTAAGAGGTATTCAATAATAGACATAAGTTGAATATAACAATAAAGTTGGTGTATAACATGGTAAAATGCATAATGTACACTTGAGTTAATTTAAATTCTTTTTTAAAAGTTGCAGGTGAGTGGTGAAAAGGGATAAAAGGCTTCTATCTAAAAGAGCAATTATTTAGAAAAGTATAATTGGTCATATTAATATGTAAAAAAACAACAACCCTGTTTCATAAAGTTTTGTATTATATAAACCAATAAAGTGATACAGACATTCTTTATAGTATTTGTAAGTTGACTGTCATTACTGTGATTTAAAAGTATTTATTTGTAAATTACTTCTTTATATATTTAAAACTTAGTTTAAGATTCCATGAATCAGATATACAGATACTCCTCAACTTATTATGGGTTACATCCCAATAAACCCATCATAATTGAAAATATTGTAATTCAGAAATGCATTTAATACACCTAACCTACCAAGCATCATAGCCTAGCCTAGCCTACTTTAAACATGCTCAGAACACTTACATTAGTGTACAATTGGGCAGAATAATCTAACATCAAGTCCATCTTATAATAATAATAATTTTATAATAAAAACTAAAAGATCAGAATTCCATGTATGGTTTACATGTATGTATATATGAATGCGTATTGCTTTCACACCCTATAAAATGGAAAAATCATAAGTTGAGAATCTGTATAGTGAAATAAATTATAATTAGTTGGTGATTTTTGCAGTCACTTTTATAATGACATGCAGATGGTTCAGAAACAACCAACAATAATGAATATCAAAATTTTTTAGGGGAGAAAGCTGTTTAGTTACTCTCTCAAAGAGGAAATGTTAATCTTACTCTATAGGTTAATGTTATTCCTGGGTAAAATAGTTTTTCTTTATAATTTTGTGACCTCCTAGGGCACAAAATGGTGGGAAGAATCATTATTCCCTTAATTACCAGACATTAAGTTGTTTTTCCCATTTTAGCAGATATTAAGCTATTAATATTAAACACCTGATTTAAGATCTGTACATATTTTTTATATTGTTTATTTTGTCATTCCACAGGCAGTAGGTTATAGTTGCATGCCCAGTAATAAAGATGAAGATGGGCTAGTGGTTTTAGTTTTCAACAAAAAAGAAACAGAGATTCGAAGCCAACAACAACAGTTGGTAGAATCATTGCATAAAGTTTTGGGAGGAAACCAGACCCTTACTGTAAATGTAGAGGGCACTAAAACATTGCCAGATGATCAGTAAGTATACATAAATATACTGTTTATTTCTGTGTATTTATTTCTGGTCCTAAGGGAGTGATCAATAATGTTTTTGTTGCTAAAGCACAAATTAACTCTCAGAGCAGAATGCCTTTTCTCAGCTAGTGATTATTCAGTATTGATAAAAACATTTATTTAAAAGTTTTTTTAAAATTTTGGATTTTTTAACTTACTAGATGCTAATAATTTTCTAGATTTTCATTCAGGCCAGGAAGGGACCATTTGTCATAGATGCGTGCAAATTGAGGGCCATAAAGATGTTATTGGAAAATGTTATTAACTCATTACTGTTCATGTTCATTCATGAATAAATATTATTGCTTTACTTCCCTTGACCTAAGTATAATTCTCAGTGTTAGTGGCAAGACATTTATTTTAGGATATTTGGAGGAATGATTATTAATGAGATGCAATAATTGAACAGATTTTACTTGTGGTTGTAATTGCAGAGAAGCAGCCCATAAATTTCAACAGAATTTCCTATAGTAAATAACATTTACATAGGATTTTGCAACTAAGCAAACCCTTTTATAAATATTATCTTATTGGCCGGGCACGGTGGCTCACGCCTGTAATCCCAGCACTTTGGGAGGCCGAGACGGGCGGATCATGAGGTCAGGAGATCGAGGCCATCCTGGCTGACACGGTGAAACCCTGTCTCTACTAAAAATACAAAAAAAATCAGCCGGGCGTGGTGGCAGGTGCCTGTAGTCCCAGCTACGAGGGAGGCTGAGGCAGGAGAGTGGCATGAACCCAGGAGGCGGAGCTTGCAGTGAGCCAAGATTGAGCCACTGAACTCCAGCCTGAGGGACAGAGAGAGACTCCGTCTCAAAAAAAAAAACAAATACTATCTTATTTACCTGGTTCTTTTTAACTTTATCATTTAGGTTGATTTGTAAATGAACATTACATGAAGTAAAACTTTCTTATTTTCCAAGATTTAAGAAGAAAACAGTTGGGCACAGCAGCTCATCATACCTGTAATCCCAGAACTTTGGGAGGTCAAGGTGGGAGGATTGCTTGAGACCAGGAGTTTGAGACTAGCCTAGGCAACATAGCGAGTGTCCGTCTCTCAAAAAAATTTAAAAATATATATATATATATATCATATATATTTATGTATAGACACACATACATGTAAGCTAAACGTAGCGGGTGTGCAGCTGTACTCTCAGTTACTTGGAGGCTGAGGTGGGAGAATTGCTTAAGCCTGGGACATTGAGGCTGCAGTGATGATACCACTGCACTCCAGCCTGGGCAACAGAGCAAACCTTGCTCAAAAAAAAAAAAAAAGGAAACATTTTAATTGCCTCCTAAAACAACCATTTCTGAATTCAACTTAAACCCTTCTGAAATCACATGCTATGATATGCTGAGGTTTGTCGCTATGAGTTTTGTGCTCCATATTTTATAAATTGGTTATTCTTCCTTCAGGACAGAAGTTGTTATTTATGTTGTTGAGCGTTCGCCAAATGGTACTTCAAGAAGAGTTCCAGCTACAACGCTATATGCCCATTTTGAACAAGCCAATATAAAAACACAATTGCAGCAACTTGGTGTAACCCTTTCTATGACTAGAACAGAACTTTCTCCTGCACAGATCAAACAGCTTTTACAGAATCCTCCTGCTGGTATGTTTCTAGAATCACAGAGTTCAAAAAAAAAGAAAGATTTAGAACTAAACACTCCCCGTATTTCAGAGGTGTTGGTTGGTTATTAATGCTAATAAAATTAGTATCATCTTGTCATATATCTACTTATTTGGGAAATAGTTTTGAATATTTGTATTCATTTAGTTTTTTATTATATAGCTAATATGTATATGTTAAAATAGAAATTTTGAGAAATAGTGAACTGAAGAAAAATAGTCCATAATCCATCTACCCAAAGGTAATTTACTAGTAAAATTTTGGCTTATTTTTTTCTAGCTTATCTCATTTTAACTGAATATTCAAGTAAAACCTGAATGTATTCTAACTGTAAAATATTCTGGATGGCATAACTAGATTGACTATGTGATAGATTACCTTTAGTTCCTTTCCCCGGAAGTAACTACTGTCAATTTATGGTACTATGTTTAATCCTTTATCTGTGATTTGAAATGTAAGCATATTTACATGTAGATCTTTTAAAAAAGGATTCTCCATATACACCTTCAGCTTGCCTTTTTACAGTATTCCTTAGCACTTTTCATGTCAATACATGAAGATAAATCTTACTGTATTTAAACATTGCATAGTATTCCATGGATACACCTTTACTTAACACCTCTAAGTTGTTTTCTTTTTACTATTATAAACTGTACAGTAATTAACAATATCCTTGTAAACATGTCTTAGAACACATTGGTATATATTTCTTTAGAATAGATCTCTGGTAATGAAATTTTTGAGTCAATATTATGTATGTTAGATATTGCCAAATTGCCCTCCAGGGAAAGTTCTACCGTTTATATTCATAACAGGAATGTTATTTTTTCTGGCCACTGATGGCAAAATAATTAATTTAAAAATTAATACTTATTTTTAATATGTTTATTAGCTACATTTATATTTTTTGTGAGTTACCTATTTGTGTCCTTTGCCCATTTTCTAGATTTTTTTGTCTTCCTTTTTGATGTATAGGAACTCTTTCTATATTCTGGAGGTTAATCTATTATCCTATAGGTTATAGATAGTTCCTTTCAATCTGTGCTTTTTTTGAACTTTATTTATTCTGCAAAAATTTGTATTTTTACCATGATTATATTTGACAGTCACTTTTCATTATAGCTTCTAGGTATAGGGTCTTGCTTTAGGAAAGCCTTTGTCATACACATATTATAAAAATAGAAAATTGTTTTAGAAAAAATATTTTTTATTTGTGGTAGGTGTTGATCCTATTATCTGGGAACAGGCCAAGGTAGATAACCCTGATTCTGAAAAGTAAGTATGTCTTCATCTTGTTTCATTTAAGAACTAATATTTGCTACTAGGAAAGCAAACATGGGAGCTATTAATTATAATTCTTACATATGAGACAAGTTTATTTTCATTTTCCTGGCCTTTAAAAAATATTGATTATTGTCCAGCTAAAGCTTCAGCCAAAACAAAAAGAAAAAAATAAGAAAAAAAAAGATTATGGTAAGGCAGCATAGCATAGTGAGAACTAACTAGGAGCGGAAAATTCTATTTGCGTTTTCATTTAATAATGTAATGTTTTGACTGAACTGTATTTCCTCATTTGTAAAATAGGGAGGTTGAATAAAATCTCTTTGGTATAACATGGTTATCTCATAGTCATAGATCTGCCTTAGAGCCCTAGAAAGTTGATGTAAAATTACATGAGTGTTACTAAAACCTTCACTTCTTGTATTTTGTAGTAATAGGCTTAAGGTCTGAAAATTGTTCACTGCGTTTCTTCAGGTTAATTCCTGTACCAATGGTGGGTTTTAAGGAACTTCTCCGAAGACTGAAGGTTCAAGATCAGATGACTAAGCAGCATCAAACCAGATTAGATGTAAGCATTTAGCTTTTTATTCCCTGGCCCTGGAAGTAGGGAAAGGGATTATAGACATTTAATTCTTTTTAGTATATGTGCTACTGTTTTATCTTAATCAGGAAACAATGTAGCATACACTGCAATTTAATAGTTTTATACAACTACCTTCTTTATGATAGAAGTCCCCAAATCACATGAATCTGATTTGATATAATAATGAATTTAGAATTCTTGTCTTAGTGGATTAATTAGACTGTCATTTCCAGTTTCAGCCAGGGATTGCATATTATTATTTATGGGGCCTTATGAAAATGAAGGTTATAGTAATGATTATTTTATGTTGACATATAATTGTCTTGGTATATTATTGTATGTTGATAAAATTAATGCTTAAATATACTTAATATTTTATTTCATAAAGTAGACTTTTTTAGGAGACCAGGGTGGGTGGATCACTTGAGATCAGGAGTTCAAGACAAGCCTGGCCGACTTGGCAAAACCTGGTCTGTACTAAAAAATTCAAAAATTAGCTGGGTGTCGTGGTGCACGCCTGTAATGCCAGCAACTTGGGAGGCTGAGGCATGAGAATTGTTTGAACCCGGGAGGCAGAGGTTGCAGTGAACAGAAATCGTGCCACTGCACTCCAGCCTGGGCGACAGAGTGAGACTCCTCAAAAAAAAAAAAAAAAAAAAAAAAAAAAAAAAAAACTTTCATAATTAAATACTTAAAGATTCTTAAAGGTCAGAGAAATTTCTATGATTTCAATTCTTTTAACTTTGCTAAGGTTTTTTTTTTTTTTTTTTTTTTTTTGAGACGTCTCTCGCTCTGTCGCCCAGGCTGGAGCACAGTGGCGCGATCTAGGCTCGCTGCAAGCTCCACCTCCTGAGTTCACGCCATTCTCCTTCCTCAGCCTCCGGAGTAGCTGGGACTACAGGCGCCTGCCACCACGCCCGGCTAATTTTTTGTATTTTTAGTAGAGACGGGGTTTCACCGTGTTAACCAGGATGGTCTCGATCTCCTGACCTCGTGATCCACCCATCTCGGCCTCCCGAAAGTGCTAGGGTTACAGGCGTGAGCCACTGCGCCCGGCCAACTTTGCTGAGGTTTTATAACCCAGGAGCCTATGAAAATAATGTGTATTCTGCAGTCCTTGGGTGAAGTTTTCTATTAATGTCAGTGAGATCCAGTTGGTTGATAGTATTGCTCAGTTCTGTATTCTTGTTGTTTTTTCTGTCTGCTAGTTTGAGAAGAGATTTGAAATCTACAGCAACACTTACGGATTTGTGTTTTTCTCCTTTCATTTCTCAGTTTTTGCTTCATGTATTAATAGTTTGAAGGGCTGTTGTTATATAGGATTGTTGTGTTTTCTTGGCAAATTTACCTTTTATTATTATATCATATCCCTCTTAATCCTCGGTAAGTTTTAAATCTTCTCTAATGGCCTTTTCTTTTATTGTTTTTAATCGATACATAACTACATATTTATGGGGCATAGTGTGATAATTCAATACATGGATATAGTGTGTAATGATCAAATAAAGTAATTAGCATATCCATTACCCCATACATTTATCATTTGTTGGTATCATGGGAAATTCACTCCTATAGCTATTTGAAACACAATAAATGGTTGTGAATTATAGTTACCTATAGTGCTATAGAACACTGGAACTTAATCCTCCTATCCAGCTGTACTTTTGTATCTGTTAAGCAACCTTTGGCAGTTCCCTACTCCTACTCTTTCTCCACCTCTAGTAGCCACTATTCTACTCTTTTCTTCTACTAAATCAACTTTTTTTAGCTTCCACATATGAGTGAGAACATGCAGAATTTATCTTTCTGCACGTGGCTTATTTCACTTAACAAAATGTCTTCCAAGTTCATCTATGTTGCTGCAAATGGTAGCACTTCATTCTTTTTCATGATTAAATAGTATTCTATTGTGTGTGTATATATGTGTACACATACACACCATGTTTTCTTTATCCATTCATCTGTTCATGGACACTTACTCAAGACACTCAGAAGTCTTTGTCTGGTGTTAACATAGCCACGCTACCTTTCTTTTGATAAAAAGTGTTTGTATGGCATACCTTTGTCCATCTTTTTGCTTTTAACCTACCTATATTGTTATATTTGAAGCGAGATTCTTGTAGACAGCAAAAAGTTTGGATTTAGTCCTACCATTTATTTGTTTTGTGTTTGTAGCCTCTGTTTTTCATTCCTGTTTCTACTTTTCTGCTTTCTTTTGAGTTATTTGGACTTTTTTTTTTTTTTCAGCATTTCCTTTTAATCTATTATTTCAAGTCTTAGAGCAGTACTTCTTAGTAGTGGCTTGTGGTGGTGGTGGTGATTTTGTCTCCCAGAGCACATTTGGCAATGTCTGGAGACTCTTGGTTGGGGAGTACTACAGGCGTCTAATGTGTAGAGGCCCAGATGCTGCACACATTCTGCAGTGTACAGAACAGTACTCCCACAACAAGGAATTACCCAAGATTAATAGTGCTGAAGTTGAGAAACCTTTCTCTAGGTAATACGATGTATCTCCTCCCACTATAACTAGCAGACTTCCCTTGGAGCTCCCTTTCAGCATTTATGCTCATTTCCAGGTTTGAGGCTGGGTTGAAACCAGACTAGGGACGCCTGAGGGGAAAAATGGGTAAACTCACCACAAGTTTATTGGTACTTTAAATTCCTATCTTACCTGATCTTCCTGCCAGAGTTCCCAAATAGCTGCCCCGTGTATTCCATCCAAGTTTTATAGCTATATTAAATGGGAGAGATTGGGGTTGTATATGCTTAGTCCATCTTGTCCAGAACTGAAATCATTCATATCTTTGGCCAGTGTTTCCACTGGGCTTCCTATTTTTTCTTTATTGAACTTCAGTAATCATTTACTCTAGATTGTAGTCTCTGTTTATAACGTTGTAAATATCTTCTAGTTTCTCATCTCTTTGTTAATTCTGTCTTTGGTGTCTGTAGTTGAAGAGAAATCCTTAATTTTAATGTAATGATATCCATTAAATGTTTGCCTTGTATTTTCTTTTTGGGAATTTGCTTAAATAATTTTTCACCCCAAAGTCTGAGAGTATCCTACATTAAAAAAAATTTAGAGTTTAACCTTTCACGTTTGAGTCTTTTGTTGTCATCATGAAGTTTACCTTTATATAAAGTATGTGGTATGAACTCAGATTTATTTTTCTCTAAATAGTGGGTCCATTTTTTTTTTTTTTTTTTTTTTGAGATGGGGGTCTCGTTCTGTCGCCCAGGCTGGAGTGCAGTGGCGCAATCTCGGCTCACTGCAAGCTCCGCCTCCTGGGTTCACGCCATTGTTCTGCCTCAGCCTCCCAAGTAGCTAGGACTACAGGCGCCCACCACCACGCCTGGCTAATTTTTTGTATTTTTAGTAGAAATGGGGTTTCACCGTGTTAGCCAGGATGGTCTCGATCTCCTGACCTCGTGATCCACCCGTCTTGGCCTCCCAAAGTGCTGGGATTACAGGCGTGAGCCACTGCGCCCAGCCCTATATTTTTAATATTGCCTATAAAAATATGATATTCCTCAATGATTATCAAAGAATTTAAATTACACTGTTTGCATATATATATGTGATCTATTTCTAGACCCTCTCTTATGTTTCATTGGCCAGTTGGTCTGTTCTTATACCCACCCATTCCACATTTTTTTAGTCTTATGGCTTTGTAGTGTATCTTAATATCTAGTAGCATGAATCTCTAATCTTGGTTCTTCTTTTCAAAGTTTTCTGGGTCTTTATGGGTCTTTATTCTTCCATAAAAACTTTAGAATCAATTTGTCAGAATGCTAGAATTATGGTTGGAATTGCATTAAATGCAAAGACTAATTTGTGGGAATTGAATTTTAATATTAAATCATTTCATCCATGAATGTGGTATGTCTCTTTAATCCTTGCAGTCTTTTATGTCCTTTAAAATAATTTTAAAATATTCCCTTTTAAAATCTCATGCGTTCTTTCTTGGATCAATTCCTAGATGGCTTTCTTGGATCAATTCCTAGATGGTTTTAGTATTTGTTAATAAATACTGTGGCTGATAACATGTCTAATTTTTTTAGTTATTACTGGTAGAAAATAATGTTGTAAGTACTCTTGTATCTAAAAACCCTGGTGATTTTTCAAAATTGGGATGGGGAGATTGCCTAGGTTTTGTAATATAAAACATGGCCACCTAATTTTGTCCTTTCAGCATGGCCTGGCATTGGAAAGTTTCTGTAAAAGGTGATGTGTGCAGGTGGATGTGCTAAAATATGTCTTGCACAATCTTAACCTCTTTCTTGTAACATGTAAATGTAAGCCAGTGGCATAGAATGATTAATTATGATAGAGACAATTATGGGATTAATTCTGATTGGGATGCTTTAATAAAATAGTGAGATTTTAACCTACCCTGTAAGGTTAAGACTTCCTAAGGCAGAATAGTGGGATTTCAGTCAGGTAAAACAGCAAGTCAAAGATCCAGAGGCATAAAAATGTATCCTGCTGCATAATTAATATCATTCCTTTTCCTCTGCACTCTGATTACTCCCTCCAAGTATTCTGTAACAGTTAATGTTGAAATGTACTGTACTTGCTGTCAGTAGTTAGATACAGGGCTAATTGTCTATTAAGACACCCCCTAGATATCATCTTACACATCTTAACTTTTTCCACTCAGACCTGGTTGTTGGCTGTATTCCATGTTACTTCAGATTCCTTAATTATTTCTGAAGTATGTGTTTTCTTTTTTTCCTTTTGAGATAGGTCTCTCCCTCTCTCTCTGTCTCTCTCTCTCCCTCCCCCTCCCCCTCTCTCCCTCTCTCCCTCTCTCCCCCTTTCTCCCTCTTCTCCCTCTCTCTCCCTCTCCCTCTCTCCCCCTCTCTCCCTCTCTCCCCCTCTCCCCCTCTCCCCCTCTCTCCCTCTTCTCCCTCTCTCTCCCCCTCTCTCCCTCTTCTCCCTCTTCTCCCTCTCTCCCTCTCCCTCTCTCCCTCTCTCCCCCTCTCTCCCTCTCCCCCTCTCCCCCTCTCCCCCTCTCCCTCTCCCTCTTGCCCATGCTGGAGTGCAGTGGCATGATCACGGCTCACTGCAACCTCAAACTCCTGGGCTCAAGTGATCCTCCCACCTCAGCCTCCTAAGGAGCTGGGATTACAGGCATGTAGCACTACACCTGGTTAATTTTTTATATTTTTTGTAGAGACAAGGTCTTGCCATTTTGCCCAAGCTTGTCTCAAAATCCTGGTCTCAAGCACTCCTCTTGCCTTGGCCTCCCAAAGTGCTAGGATTACAGGAGTGACCCACTGTGCCCAGCCGTGTGTGTGTGTGTGTGTGTGTGTGTGTGTGTGTGATGGAGTCTCACTCTGTTTTTTGTTTTTTGTTTCTGTGAGATGGAGTTTCACTCTGTTGCCCAGGCTGGAGTGCAGTGGCACGATCTCGGCTCCATCCCCCAGGTTTAAGTGATTCTCCTGCATCAGCCTTCCAAGTAGCTGGGATTACAGGTGCATGCCACCACACCCAGCTACTTCTTTGTATTTTTAGTAGAGACGGGGTTTCACTATGTTGGCCAGGCTGGTCTTGAACTCCTGACCTTAAGTAATTTGCCTGCCTCGTCCTCCCAAAGTGGTGGGATTACAGGTGTGAGCCACCACGCCCAGCTTATTTTTTCTATGTATTGCCTCATTGCTAAATTTCCTAGAGCTCTAAAGATATCTTTGCATGATTCTTTTAAAAAAATTTTAGGTATGTAAAAAGGGAAGAAATATAAAGCACAGATTTATAGGGAAAGAGTTTATATTTTGAGAGATGAATCTCAGGCTTATCCCAAGATTAGAATTTCCATACAGGTGTAACTGATAAATAGTTGTGATATTTGATTAACCCTCCCCCCCCCAATTTTTTTTTAAACAGATCATATCTGAAGATATTAGTGAGCTACAAAAGAATCAAACTACATCTGTAGCCAAAATTGCACAATACAAGAGGAAACTCATGGATCTTTCCCATAGAACTTTACAGGTAGTAATTTGGATTTTCCCCCCCAGTGTTTATAAGACTATGTGTGTGAAATAATGTACTAAATATAGATTTTTAAAATAGAAAAAAAAATACTAAAATGAAAGAATAATGTGAAATTACAAGTACCGAATTCTTTCAGTAAAACTTTGAAATTGGAAAACAAGTCTCATAGGTTTGAGTGAGGAGAATAAAAATATCCTAAAGTTCGTATTTTAGTGACAGTTTGAGGGAAAGCAGTGAAGAAATAAAGCATCTTAGTGCAAGGGAAGCTTCTGTGAGATTATTGATGTCTCATAAATTTCATAAAATAGTTTCATAAAATAGTTCAGAAAATTTTTTGAGTGCTAGAAAAAGGAGTGTAACCATAATGGTCGAAAAACAATAGAATTTCCAAATTAACAGGAGGAATTAAAAGAATAATAACAACTGAAATTATAAACTATCATGAAAACAGAAATATTACATACCAGAACCAGTGGGAAACAGCAAAATCTGTACTCAGAGGAAAACTTACAGCCATAAAAAATTCTCATTTAAAAAAATCAAATGTGAAAAATAAAGGAACTTAGTACTCATGTTAAATTAGAAAAGGAATATCAAGATAAGCCAAAAGAAACTAAAAAGAAAGAAAGATAAATGTGAAATTAGTGAAAGACTAAAAAATGTAATAGTGGAAAGAATAAATTAAAAAACTGTTTCTTTGAAAAGACCGTTAAAATTACTAAGCATCTCATCAGCTGGAAGAAGGGAAAAACAGAGTAAAATATACAAAATTAGTAGTGGGAAAAGAGGCATCACCGTAGATATACAAAACAGAATAAGAAGATACTGCATGGGCCGGGCACAGTGTCTCACTCTTGTAATCCTAGAACTTTGGGAGGCCGAGGTGAGTGGATTGCCTGAGCTCAGGAGTTCAAGACCAGCCTGGGCAACACGGTGAAACCCCATCTCTACTAAAATACAAAAAAATCAGCCAGGCATGGTTGCTTGTGCCTGTAGTTCCAGTTACTTGGGAGGCTGAGGCACGAGAATTGCTTGAACCTGGGAGGCGGAGGTTGCAGTGAGCCGAGATCACGCCACTGCACTCCAGCCTAGGCTACAGAGCAAGACTCCATCTCAGAAAAAAGGAGAAAAAAAAAAGAAGATGCTGCATGTACTTTAGGGTAACAGATTTGGAACTCAGAGGAAGTTTTATTTTGATTTTTCTATGAAAATGAAAATTACCAAAATCTACAGAGAAGTAAGAAAACAAATACCACAGAAACAGTTGGAAAAATGAAAGATGAAACATGAAAAAGGCCTTAGGGACAGATAGTTTCATTGCCAAATTTTGTCTAACCACAAAAGAGCTAATCCAGTGTTATTTTGATTATTCTAGACAATTGAGGAATAATTTATACAGCTTCATTTGTTCTTTTTTCACAGCTTAAGATAATTTGCATACCATACTATTTACTCATTTAAAGTGTACAATTCAATGGCTTTTAGTATATTCAGAGACTTGTATAACCGTTATTACCACAATCAATTTTAGAACATTTCTGTCACCCTACAGACAAATCCCGTACCCATTGTCAGTCACTTCCCCGTTTCACTGCAAATCTGTCAGTCCTATGCAACCAGTTTTGCCTATATGGGTTTGCCTGTTCTGGAAACCTCATATAAATGGAATCATAACGATATATGGTCTTTTGTGACTGGCTTTTACTTAGCATAATGTTTTCAAAGTTCAACTGTGTTGTACCATGTAATAGTACTTCAGGTACTAATAAATGATTATTATTCATTTATTGCTGAATATTCCATCATATGGCTATACCACATTTTACTCAATTGATGGACATTTTGGTGGTTCTCCTTTTTGGCTATTATGAATAATATTGCTATTAAAATTTATTTACAAGTGTTTGTTTGGACATATACTTCTATTTCTCTTGGGTATAAACCTAGGAGTGAAATTGCTGTGTCATATGCACACTATGTTTAACTTTTTGAGGAACTACGTAAACTGTTTTCCAAAGCAACTGTACCATTTTACATTTCTGTTTGTAGCATCTCAAAAAAAGAAATTATAAACAGCTATTTTAAAGAGATGCAAATTATGCTAAGTGAAAAAAGCCAGACTTAAAGGCTGTGTAAGGCATGATTCTATTTATATAACATTATACAAAAGAAAATTAGGGACAGATAACAGATTAGTAGTTGCCAGGGACTGTAGATGAAGAGAGAAGTGTGACTACAAGGGGCTTGGGGTGATGGAAATATTCTGTATCTTAATCACTGTGGTGGTTACACGACTGTATGTATTTGCCAGATTCATAGAACTGAACACCTAAAACAGGTGAATTGTCATATGTAGAGTATACCTCAAATCGGACCAAAAAACCACATTCTAAATGAAGTATAAGCAAAGAGAATCCAGCTATTTATCAATTTCTTAAAAAATATACTATGACCAAGTAAAGTTTATTTCAGGAATGCAAGGTTGGTTTTAATAACAGGACATCTATCAACATGACTTATTATAGCAACACATTAAAGGAAAATATATAATAGAAACTGTAACCAAAAATGAATAGCAAATACTCCAAAAGGCAAAACACTAAAATCGCATTTAGAAACTAGACAACGGACACCCAATATTATCATCATTATTTGTTGCTATCTTGGAGGTTTTCATAAATAAAACAAGCAAAGAAATAATATAAACATTGGGAAGATGATTAAGTGATCTATTTTTGCTGATATGATTGTATATCTGGAAAACCCAAGGGAATAAACCATAGAATTAATGTAGTAAGCTGGCTAGATATAAAAGTACAAAAATCAACTTTCCTTTTTACTATCTGGAAATAGGAAAATGTTCCATTCACTATGGTGACAAAACTGTAAAATAGGAATATATTTCTGAGGAAAGTATAGGTATTTACAAATAGATAAACTATATTCTTAGATGAGAATACTTAATACCCACTTTACAAAATTAAAAATGAATTACAGCTTTTTAAAAATAGATTAAGCTGGGTGTGATGACATGGCACCTATAGTCACAGCTACTCAGAAGGCTGAGGCAGGAGAAGCACCTGAGCCCAGGAGTTTGAGGCTCTAGTGAGCTATGATTGTGCCTATGAATAGCCACTGCACTCTGTTGCCTGGGCAACATAGGGAGACCCTGTCTCTAAAAAAATTTTGATTAAAATTTCTTTAAGTTTATAAAGAAGGATAAGTGTTTGAGACTAGCTTGTTCAGGAACAAAAAAGAAATAGTGAAGGGGACTTCTTTACCAGATTTCAGAACCTATTTTAAACCTCTTATAATTGAATCAATATAGTGTCTGCATGGGATTGGACAGAACAATGCATGGAACAGAGTAGGGAATTTACAAATAGATGCAAGTGTGCTGAAAATTTAATATATGAGAAAGGTGGTATTTCAATTCAGTGGGTTTATTTAATAAATAATGCTGGAGTATAACTATCCATAAGGAAGAAAAGAAAATTAGACCATTGCATTGTATAAAAATAAAGTGGACTAAAGACTTTAAGAAACTTTCAAAGCTGTATGTACAGCCTGGGATTTGAGAGACATTGATCAAAAAGCTAGAAACTATAAACCAACATTGGCCACATAAAAAATTGTGTAGCAAAAGATACCAGAAGCCATTTGTCAATAGTCATGTGATAGAGTTTAGGAAAAGGAAATTTTGCAAACAGCATTCATTTTAGATTTAGTGTTCATATTCATATTATACAAAGAGATCCTATAATTTGACAGTAAAACCCAATTGAAATTTGGGCAAAAGATGTGTAAAGGCAGTTCATAGAAAAAGCAAATGCAAAATAGTTCTTAGTCATTAAAAGATGGTCCCTTTAATTTACTAGGAATCTGGGAATTGCAGATTAAAGAAAAAAAATGAGATCCTGGCCGGGCGCAGTGGCTCACGCCTGTAATCCCAGCACTCTGGGAGGCCGAGGCGGGTGGATCACGAGGTCAGGAGTTCAAGACCAGCCTGGCGAAGATGGTGAAACCCCGACTCTACTAAAAATACAAAAATTAGCTGGGCATGGTGGCAGGTGCCTGTAATCCCAGCTACTTGGGAGGCTGAGGCAGAGAATTGCTTGAACCTGGGAGGTGGAGGTTGCCGTGAGCCAAGATCACGGCACTGCACTCCAGCTTGGGTGACAGAGTGCAACTCCATCTGGGGAAAAAAAAAAAAAAAAAAAAAAAGAGATCCCTTTACACTCATGCGGTTGGGAAAAATTTAAACCACCACCACCTGTTCTTGACAGGAATGTGGGGAAAGGGTATTCTGATGTGTGGCCTATGAATCTAAATCATTAGGATATTTTGAAAAAGCAATCTAGCAGCTTTAGAACTGAAAACGTACATACTTTAAAACTCAGCCTCATTGTTAAAGATCTATACCAGTTAAATAGATATATGCACCAAAATGTTTATTATAGCATTGTAGTGTCAAAGCTACAAAATTTATTACAGCATTGTTTATAGAGTCAAAGCTACAAAAATGTTTATTATGGCATTGTAGTGTGAAAACAAAATGTATATCCATCAAGACAATAATTATTGATTATTGGTTAATAACATTTAAAAAGCATACAGCCATTAAAAATAACAAATTAGAGCTATACTTCTTAAGGCATTTCATGAGATTTTGATAATAAAATTATTTTAATTATAAAATTTAATGGTTAATATTGATAATAAAATTTTGTTAATTTTATATAATCCATTTTTAAAAACTTAGATGAGTAAAAAGCAGTCGGTCTATGTGTGTGTTTATGAAAAAGATATGGTTATAGGAGCATGGATGAGAGTATGGAAGGATTTGCACTGTTTTTAACAGAGTAAGCTGGGCTTGGAGAGTAGCAGCAAACCAAGAGTCTGCCTTTAGAGGCCACTGCTTTAGACCCTTTCCCCCGATGCATTGTTAAATTGGAAAGAAAGAGAAGCAGCCTGGCACAGTGGCCCACGCCTGTAATCCCAGCACTTTAAGAGGCCGAGGCAGAAGGATCATTTGAGTTTAGGAGTTTGAGACCAGCCTGGGCAACATCGGGAGACCTCATCTCTACTAAAAAAAAAAAAAAAGAAAAAAAATTAGCCAGGCATGGTGGTGAGCACCTGTAATTCCAGCTACTTGGGAGGCTGAGGTGGGAGGATTGCTTGAGCCTAGGAGATCGATGCTGCATTGAGCTGCCCTCCAGCCTGGGCAAGAAAGCAAGGTCGTCTCAGAAAAACAAAAACAACAACCAAAAAAAGGAACCATGTCACAGAGTGATATATACAGTTTAGTTTTATTTTGGATCTGTGTGTGTGTGCTCTCTCTGTATGATGAGCAAGGAGAAAGGTACAGGGGAATAAACATCAGTTAGCACTATTTGTCTTGGGGGTATGAGAGAAAATTTGTCTTTTACATTCTCGTATTGTTTCTTAACAAGTACATTTTGCTTTTGTAATCTCAAAAAAAATCCAAGAAATAATTTTTAGACCTAAATATTATAAACTCATCTTTAAAGAACACTTTATTTGGAAAGGCTGTGAGTAAATGTCTGAAACTGGTATTATGTTGTCTATTTTTTTGTACTGCTTTTAAGCCATACCATAGTTTTTGTTTGTCTGTTTTTTGAGACAGAGTCTCGCTCTGTTGCCCAGGCTGGAGTGCAGTGGCGCGATCTAGGCTCACTGCAAGCTCTGCCTCCCGGGTTTTCCGCCATTCTCCTGCCTCAGCCTCCCGAGTAGCTGGGACTACAGGCGTGCACCATCAACGTCCGGCTAATTTTTTGTATTTTTAGTAGAGACGGGGTTTCATCATGTTAGCCAGGATGGTCTCAATCTCCTGACCTCTTGATCCACCCGCCTTGTCCTCCCAAAGTGCTGGGATTACAGGTGTGAGCCACCGCGCCCGGCCAAGCCATACCATAGTTTTAAAATTGTTGGCTTGGCAAAGTGGCTCACACCTGTAAACCCAGCACTCTGGGAGGCCAAGGCTAGAGGATCACTTAATTAAGCCCAGGAGTTCAAGACCAGCCTGGGCCACATAGTGAGACCCCCCCCCCCACCCCGCCACAAAAAAATTAAAAAATGTAACCAGGTGCGGTGGTGCACACCTGTGGTCCCAGCTACTCAGGAGCTGAGGCAGGAGGATCACTTGAGCCACAGAGGTCAAGGAGTGAGCTGTGTTTACGCCACTGCACTTCAGCCTGGGAGACAGAGCAAGACCCTGTCTCAAAAAAAACAATTAAGTCTATATCATTGTATTTATATGATAACTTTTGCCTAGTTAAAATGGACAGAAACATAATTCAAATCCTGAACTGTTGAACCCTACTGTTGTTTGATTTTCAGCTGATTTCTTTCAGTAACTAATTGTACTACTACTACTTGCATAACTAAAAAGAGATGATTCTGTTGTTATTGGTGGTTTTTATTTGTATAGGTCCTAATCAAACAGGAAATTCAAAGGAAGAGTGGTTATGCCATTCAGGCTGATGAAGAGCAGTTGCGAGTTCAGCTGGATACGATTCAGGGTGAACTAAATGCACCTACTCAGTTCAAGGTAACCACTTCTAAGACCATAATTCTAAAATTTGTTTCAGGTGGATCTGCAGACAAAAAGTTATGTAATCTTCAAGCAGGAATTTTGTATACTTGTGTTTCTTATCTCCAATTAGAACTTCCTTTCTAAAGTAAACTCAGTCATGGTTCTTTTGGCTAGTATTAGTGTTTCGAATATAATGTACAGAGAGAGAAATAGAAATTTTTAATAGATGGTTTTGAAACCATCCTTTCAGAAGAAAACATTGTCTTTTACAAGTCTTCGTCGGCAGTTGTAATTTGACTCAGTCTTAACTTTTAGGGCCGACTAAATGAATTGATGTCTCAAATCAGGATGCAGAATCATTTTGGAGCAGTCAGATCTGAAGAAAGGTATTACATAGATGCAGATCTGTTACGAGAAATCAAGCAGGTAAGTGTTGCATGAGGCTGCATTATTTAAAGTGTGAGCTCACCACTTCACACCTATTAGGATGGCTATTATCCTAATAAGAAAAGTGTTAGTGAGAATGTGGAGAAATTGGAACTTTCTTGCACTGTTGGGGGAATGTAAAATGGTTCAGCCTCTATGGAAAACAGTGTAGTGTTTACTCAAAAAATTAAAGATAGAATTACGATATGATCTAGCAGGTCTACTTCTGGATATATACCCAAGTACGTTGGAAGCAGGGACTCAAAACATATTTGTACACCCATGTTCATAGCATCTTTATTCACAATAGTCAAAATGTGGAGATAACCCAAGAATCAATCAAAGAATAGAGAAACAAAATGTAGTATATAGACACACAATGGAATATTATTCAGCCTTGAAAAAAGAATGAAATTCTGACACATGCTACAATGCAATTTGACCTTGAAGAAGTTATGCTTCATGAAATAAGCCACTCATAAAAGGGAAATATTTATGATTTCACTTATGAAAAGTACCTAGTAGTCCAATTAATAGAGAGTAGAAAGGTGGTTGCCAGGGTGTGAGGGGAGGAGGGGATGGGAGGAACTTAACTGGTACAGAATTTCAACTTGAGAAGATGAAAAGTTCTAAACAAAGTGGATAGTGTTGATTATTGCACAACAGCATAAATGTACCTAATGCCACTGAACTGTATACTTAAAAATAGTTACAGGCAAAATTTTATGGTATGCCTGTTTTGCCACTGTTTAAAAAAGTGAATTATCCCTCTCCTCGCCAAAAAGATGAATTTAGAGGTAGTAGAGACACTAAAGTTTCCTAGACCTTGCTCCTTAAAGTGTAGGTAGTAGCCGCACCTGGAAGGTCATTAGAAATGCAAAATTTCAGTCCTTACTCCAGACGTACTCAATCTGCATTTTATCAAGATCATAGAATGATTTGTATGCACTTTAAAGTTTGAGAAGCAACTGCTCTAGATAATACCTTCCCTGCCTATATGTCGCATGTAAGTTATAAACATTTGGTTATTGATCTGTCCCCTAAGCTCTCAGGAGATCTGGATGGAGGTAGGTTGAGGTGGCCAGAACCTCCAACCACTTTTCTAGGGTTTTCACATTGTGTGAAAAAGTTGGGAAACACTGCTTTGGCTTATTTTCATTAGTATAAATGCAGATTGGTTTAATGAAAATGAACAGTTGTATCTAAAGAAAATATATGAAGATGATGAACTTTGTGGAACATACTAGGTAGCTAATGACTGTTGGCATGGCCCTGAGGATTTTAGATAAAGATTATAAATGTCATCAACAAATCCAATTTTATTATGTTAGAATGGATATGGCTGGTTTTATGCAACCAAAAACTACTTTGGCTTCCAGGTTCTTGGATATTACACACATAACCAATTATATTCCATTGTTTTAAGTATTTGCAATAAATTAACAGGTTCCAGTATATTGAAATAAATAGTTGTATTAAATAGAGTTGATATATGCAATAAAACTGGGAATAATTTAAACACCTGTCTTTTTTAAAATTATGAGCAGTGTATTGTTTTGGGATTGAATCATGGTTCACCATCTACTTTATGACCTTGGGCAGGTTATTTACCTGTAGTTTCTTTAACTGTCGAGATGATAATGGTACCCCAAAGGGGGCTCAAAAGGATTTTAAATGAGTTAAGTGAGTGAATACCAGTACTGTTAAAACAGCACCTTAACCCATGAGGAGGAGTCTTAAAAAAATGTTAGCATCTGTAGTCATCACCACCATTATCACTATGTACTTTGTACTTCAAAACATGAATATTCTCAGTTTTCAGAATGTTATTTTGCTAGTCATCTATATTTGAATACCTCCTTTGAGTTCTGTTTTATTATCATGCCTTTATCAAAAGTTGGTAAAAGGAATAGCTATCTAAAAAACATTTTTGTTGGAAGATATTGTTCATTATATATTTGTTTGATTTTATTGTTCTTTAGAGTTTGTCTTTCACTGTTAGCAAAAGATGTAGTACAAATGTTTAAATATGCATGCCCTCTATATTTAGAGCACTTACTAGGTACTGTGTTGCTAGTAAAATAGTCAAAGTGGAGTCTTTTTTCCTGTGACTAGCTTGCAGTTTTAAGAAATTAATACATTAATATGTTGTTTCTTAATTTGTTCTAGCATTTGAAACAACAACAGGAAGGCCTTAGCCATTTGATTAGCATCATTAAAGACGATCTAGAAGATATAAAGCTGGTCGAACATGGATTGAATGAAACCATCCACATCAGAGGTGGTGTCTTTAGTTGACAGTTCACAAACTTGTGTAAAGGTTTGTGAAATGCATCTTCTTACTGCATCAGACCTTCCTTAAGAATGAAACCGACCACATGGAGGGAAAAAGAAAACAATTCTTTCTTGGATTGGTTTTTTGAGAAGTTTACTGACAAATTACTGTTCATCAAATCTGAAATAGTCACCTCACAGCTCTTCAAAGAAAACCTTTGAAAGATTTATATCTAAAAGCTGTATTTACTTTAAAAGAAGTGCATAATTACCAAAATTGTATGTACTATTGTACATTTTTACAACAGCATTTTCTTAAACATAATCTGTGTTTAATGATTATTGTCCATTGAGCCTGTACTCTGCTTTCCATACCAAGTAAATATGAAATAATCTACTTTGCACATAACAGAACAAACTATAATTACTTGGCTGTTGGAGATTTGTACTTGAGTATAAATGTACACCAGTTTTTGTATTTGTGAACTCATCTGTGGGAGGAGTAAAGAAAATCCAAAAGCATTTAATGTTTTGTTTTTGTTCTATAAAGATATGAAAATGTATTTTTATATTATTTTACTTATTTGGAATTTACAGAGCACACCTAAGCAATTAGGATATAACAAAACTACTTAACCATTTTTGCAACCATTTTGTTTTTTAAGCCTTTTTATTTCTAAAAAGATGAAAACTTATAAATAAATTCTTAATTTGTAATTACTTTTATATAATTCTGTCTGGTGCTTTATTTGGCTTTTGAGGAATGACCATTTTTTGTCCACATAGGTACTAAATTCATAATCACAAGTCAGGAATTTTAGTCTTAAGTCTTATTTTTGCCTCCTAGGGATTTTTGTCAGTGCTGTTATATTTTGATTAGGGTATGGCAAGTAAAACTTACTTCAGATATCATCTAGTATTAAGAATTCCCTAATATGTCATTAGTATTCGAAATACTAGAAAATCTGAGTTAAACAGATTAAGTAGTGTTAAATAGTGGGTCTTTAACCAGTGGATCATTTTAAACAGTATTTCTGACTACACTATATTTGGGCTGCATCATGTTGGCCGCTTTTGAGATGCTTTAACTTTGCACTTCTCTGTGATGCTTTGGCTTGTATTGACAGGTGTTAGAAGAAACAGGCCCATGAATCTTGCTATTGTATTTACTATGGGGATGGTGAAGAGTGTGATGCACTGTATATCTATCTGGAGTCCATCCTCTGAGAATCCACTGAAGAGATTTCTCCTCAGTTGTATAGGTTACAGTTGTGTAGACTAGGATTTTTTGTGGGTTTTTTTTTTTTTTTTTTTTTTTGAGACAAGTCTCTCTGTCACCCAGGCTGGGGTACAGTGGCACAATCACGACTCACTGCAGCCTTGACCTCCTGGGTTTAAGCAGTCCTCCCACCTCAGACTCTTGAGTAGCTGGGACTACAGGCATGCACCACCACAACTGGCTATTATTTTTTATTTTGTGTAGAGATGGGGTCTTGTTATGTTGCCCAGGCTGGTCTTGAACTCCTAGACTCCAGCAATCCTCCTACCTTGGCCTGCCAAAGTGCTAGGATTACAGGCCTGAACCTCCATGCCTGGCCAAGACTAGGAACTTTAAAACTGATTGTTTCTTTCCAAATTGACTGCCAGAAGTATGCAGCTACTTTTGCCAAGTTTATGGTGTGTAAATTTGTTACACTACTCTACTACCCTCTCATCATTCTTTCCTACCCATTATATTGCAATACCAACAGTGTTGGGACAGGAATTTCTTGCCTTGTCCACATTTTCTCCGTGGCCCAGAAGATCTGCATGTCCATCATTCTTACCCATGTAGCCAAGTATAGGAGTTTTTGTCCCTCTGCACACCCCCTTATAGTAGGAAGAGTTGTTGGTCTAATTGATGAGAATTGTTACTCACTGAGCTATATAATCTAGTGGATGGATCACTCATCATGCATACCATGGTCGCTTCTCTAGCCTTTGATTTTTCATGTTCTAATATTGCTGGTTGCTAGTTCAACCAGATAAATATACCAGACAGGGCCTAAGGTCAGCCTTTTAAAAAGGCAGGCCCAGTCATCCTGTTGGGTTTCTGTCCCACTGGTGACTGCATATATAAGGCAGGCCTGTGGTCCTTGAGCATATAACTGGTGAGATAACTAGACTCAGTTATCGAAGCAAGTGTTATAGACTGAGTAGTTTGTGTTCTCAAAAAATTCATCTTGAAATCCTAACACTCAATATGGTGATTTTAGGAGGTATGGCTTTTGGGAGGTCATGATGAGGGTGGAGCCTTCATGAATGGGATTAGTGCTCTATCTCTCTTGTCCCTTCTGCCATGTGAGATGGTGAGGAAAGGACAAGGAAGAGGACACTCACCAGAAACTAAGTCTGCTGGCACCTTGATCTTGGACTTCCCAGCCTCTGGAACTGTGAGAAATAAATAAATGTTGCTTACAAGTTACCTAGTCTACAGTGGTCTGTTACAGCAACCCAAACAGACTAAGACAAAGAGATGAGTAGACTATCCTTAAAGTTCTAATTCAGATATTAAATTGATGTTAAACACTAACAGTATTGAGCATACTGGCAATTCTGAAATATCTAATCAAAATCTTTTATTGAATTTAATCAGAAGTATACAGTTTTCGGGATTTTTTTCCATTGTAAGAGTAGTATACAAGTGAAAAGTTCTGTGACATATATCTGGACCAACTTTCTGAATTTGCAAAATGAATAACAAATATACAATTCTCATTTTATCCAGTGACTTTGGCCAACACGTAAAAAATACATCATTCCTTTTGATCTCCTGTGGATCCCTATAGTTATTTCAAGTAAAGAATAAGAAAGATAAACAATGCATCAAACTACAGAGCAACAAAGAGATTTATAGCAGAAACACTGATTAAAATGATGACCATCCCAAACTGTGGAAGCAGCAGTTTGCCCGAGGATGCAGAAGGATGGCTTTTGGGACCTGGAACAGGAACTGGACCTGGAGCTGTTAACAAGAATACACAGTCACTGACACATCATTTTTTATGTCAAGTATCATCCACCTATAAAATATATCCTGAATATGTAAACAATGACACTAAAGTTGAAGTAGAAACTTACCTGAAATACTTCCAGCCAAAAGCAATTTTCAAATAAGTGTAATTCATTACAGATTTCAGGCTATATTTCCATATACAGTTGACCCTTAATACGGGTGTTGGGGTGCCAACCCCCACACAATGAAAACCTACATGTAACCTGATTCCCAAAAACTTAACTACTAATAGCCTACCATTAACTGGAAGCCTTACTGATAATAGAAATTGTTGATTAACATATTTTATATGTTATATGTATTATATACTGTATTCTGGTTGGGGCATGGTGGCTCACACCTGTAATTCCAGCATTTTAGGAGGCCAAGGCAGGAGGACCACTTGAGACCAGGAGTTTGAGCCTGGGCAACATAGCGAGACCCCATCTCTATTTTTAAAAAGATAAAAATAATTGATTAGCACATATTTTGTAAATGTATTATATACTGTATTTTGGCTGGGCGTGGTGGCTCACGCCTGTAATCCCAGCACTGTGGGAGGCGGAGGCAGGCACATCATGAGGTCAGGAGATCGAGACCATCCTGGCTAACACGGCAAAACCCCGTCTCTACTAAATATACAGAATTAGCCGGGCGTGGTGGCGGGCGCCTGTAGTCCCCGCTACTCAGGAGGCTGAGGCAGGAGAATGGTGTGAACCTGGGAGGCAGAGCTTGCAGTGAGCAGAGATTGCACCACTGCACTCCATCCTGGGTGATAGAGCAAGACTCCAGCTCAAATAAATAAATAAATAAACTGTATTTTTACAATAAAATAGAGAAAAAATATTAAAATCATAAGGAAGAGAAAACACATTTACAGTACTGTACTGTATTTACTAATACCCAAAGTTTACATCATCTGTTTATAAGATGAATTATCTGTCTGAAATGGCTGGCAACTGCAGCTGCAGACCTGAATCTATATATCAAGCAATTCAACTTTTTCTTGTAATGTCATGGCTTCTCTCTGCTTGTGAGACTTCCGGCCTCACTAGTGGCACTTCCTTTGAGTCCTATGGTGTTATTCAAGGTTTTTGGTATTGCACCAAACATGACAAAAAATACAGGAGAACTGTGAGAGATCACTTTTTGCTGTGATGTGCAATTTACTGGAGATGAACTCCTCAGAGATGTTTAGCAACACATGGTGTTTTAAGAGGATACTCGAAACATTTGAACTCACTGCAATAGCAACAGGAGGTGGCCATGAAATGATTACAATGATACAGTATGTATTATAGTTAATTTTATGCAGTTAAGTTTTAATACCGCATCTTTACATTTACGTTTCTTTTGATTTTGAATGGTGCCACATATGGTCTGTGTGCACAAATTTGGATAAATACTAACGTTTTACAATAGATTTGTGTATGTTTTATGGTAGTAAATGATAAAAATAGACTAGCATCTACATATATTTTATGCATTCATGACATACTTTCTTTTTATATATATATATATTTCTAGGTCATGCAGTTTGTCTGCAAGTTTCTTCAAATTGATGCAAATATCCAAAAAGATTTCCAATATATTTATTTAAAAAAAATCCATGTATAAGTGGACCCATGCAGTTCAAACCTGTGTTGTTCAAGGGTCGACTATATATCATCAAGATCTGCTACGCTAGGTTTTATGTAGGATTTCACATGCTTTTACATTTCTATATAGCCAATATAATGATTTTCTGTTGTTCAAGTTCTCTAGCATTTTTTTTTAGCAATTTTTCTATTTCCATTTTCTGTATATACATGCAAGGTAAAGTTTAACTCTGTGTGTCTTCTATTTCAAACAAGATAACCACCAACATACAACTGGATATACAGTCATCCCTCAGTATCCTTTGGGGACTGGTTCTAGAACCCCTGAGGATACCAAAATCCACAGATGCTCAAGTCCCTTATATAAAATAGCATACATAAATAAATAAAATAGCATACACAGTATTTGCATATACCTACACACATCCTCCTGTATACCTTATACTATCTCTAGATTTCTTATAATACCTAATACAATGTAAATGAAATGCAAGTAGTTGTTGTACTGTATGGGTTTTTAAATTTGTATTATTTTTTCCCACAAATATTTTCGATCCACAGTTGGTTGAATCCCAGAGGATACAGAGGGCTAACTATAGCTGCATTGTTTTTTAAACACTAATCTCTGCAAGATGATAAAAAAAAAATAAATGTTTTTCCCTCCATACATACACTGCTGGAGAAACTCTTTCCCTTTCATTTGAACTAGTGGAGAGGAGCAGTGGAGTCCATCCACAGGATAAACTGTTTCATGCTGACCTAAACTCTTTTTGTTTGAACTACGGGGAAGCGTTGACTGGAAGTATCCAAATGGGATCACCACTCAGATTTCATAAATAAAACCAAGAAAAATAGCCAGTCAGATTTGTAAAAGCCTTCATATTATCAATGTACTTGCCATAGTTATAAACATGCAGTTGGATGTATACACACAGAGAAGTGGATAGGCAGATGCACACATGCATTAGTACAGTCGTGCAATGCATAATGATGTTTCCATCAATGACAGACCACATGTATGACAGAGATCCCATAAGACTATAATTATAATAGAGCTGAAAATTTCCTACTGCCTAGCAACATCGTTGCCGTTGTAACATATTACGTGTTTGGGGTGATGATGGTGTAAATAAACCTACTGCACTGCCAGTTGTATAACTGTATAGCACATACAATTATATATAATACATAACATTTGATAATAAACAACTATGTTACTGTTTTATGTACTTACTATACTTTTAATCATTATTTTAGACTGTACTCCTTCAACTTATTAAAAAACGTTAACTATAAAACAGCCTGAGGCAGGTCCTTCAGGAGCTACTCCAGAAGGCATTATCATAGGAGGTGACAGTTCCATGCACGTTACTACCCCTGAAGACCTTCCAGTGGAACAAGATGTGGAGGTGCAAGACAGTGATATTGATGATCCTGACCCTGTATAGGCCTAGGCTAATGTAAATGTTTGTGTCTTAGTTGTTAACAAAAGTTTAAAAAGTTAAAAAAAAAGGTGATAAAAAAGCTTTATAGAATAGGATATAAAGAAAAAATATTTTTGTACTACTGTACAATGTGTGTTTTAAGCTAAGTGTTATTACAAAAGAGTCAGATTAAAATTAAGTTTATAAAGTAAAACAGTTACATTAAGCTACGGTTAATTTACTATTGAAGAAGGAAAATTTGTTATGAATTTAGTGTAGCCTCTGTATAGTATGTATAAAGTCTACAGGAGTGTACAGTAGTGTCCCAGGCCTTCACATCCGCTCAACACCACCCAGAGCAACTTCTGGGCCTACAAGCTCCATTCATGTTAAGTGCCCTATACACCTGTACCATTTTTTATCTTTTATATTTTTACCATAACTTTTCTATGTTTAGATACACAAATACTTACCACTGTGTTACCGCTGCCTACAGTACTCAACACAATAACATGCTGTAAAGGTTTATAGCCTAGGAGCAGTAGGCTATACCATGTAGCCTACATGTGTAGCAGGGTATACCATCTAGGGTTGGGTAAGTACACACTATGATGTTTGCACAACGACAAAATCACTTAACACATTAATCAGAACATACCCCATCTTGTTAAGCAATGCATGACTGTATGTTACCACAGACCAGTGGTTCTCAGGGGGGCATTACTGCCCCAAGAGGCAGTTTGGACGATTGTCAAGAGTTTTTTGTTTTTTTTTTTAATCATTGCTAACAGTGGAGTGGAGGTAGAGGGATAGATATCCTGCAGTGCTCTAGTTCTGGACCATGAAAAATTGACCAACTTCCTGCACAACTTTAAAATGTACTGCTAGACATACATGTAAGTTAAAACCTATTTAAAATAATCAAACTCAGAACCTAAAGCAGTTTTATGTATATTTTTAATAGTTTTGATAAACATTAAACATCAGTTTTTATTTAGTATCTACTCTATTTCTTCACTCCATTTTCTTATACTTCCTGTATAGAATAGCTTCCAATCTTCTCTTCAACCCAAATTTATTTGCATAAATGTAAACATCGGTCTACTTTAGACATGATGTTGATTTTTATGGGTACAAATGCATCTCATCTATGGATCTTCTTTCTGGATAATATAAGGACTTTATAAAATACTTGTTATAAAGGGAGAATTGGGTTGAGAACCACTGTTCTTTTTTTTTTTAATATATATTTTCTTTTTTATTTTTATATTTTGCTCCCAGTCTTCAGACTGGTAAGAACCACTGTTCTAAGAGTAGAAACTCTAGATACAATGGAAAACGATTATCGAAAAAACAAAGCTATATTGTCCCCAACACACACATGCACACACAAGCTTTTGGATATGACATTATACTCTGTTATTAAGATGCCTTAAAACCTTGCAACTTTGTTCCCTTTATTGAGGAAAAATAAATTTCTCACTTTTTCTATATTACAGAAGCAGGCATTTATCAACTGAGGAAATGAGATACTTCTTACTAGGATTGTTGATATTTCCTTGACTTTTATCTTCTAAAATATAAAGAGATTTTGAGTTAGTTATATTGTATATCTGTTTATCCAGAAAAGAAAGATCTGATTAAAAATTAAGCAAACTTGGTTATCTCTGTGAGTGGGTCTGAGGGGCAGGGTAATAGGTTTACGGGTATGTGTGGGGTTAGGGGAAGGGTTTAATTTGTTCTCATCTGTGCTCTTTGAATTTTTTTTCCCATCAATATGTGTTTACATAAAAATAAAAGTTAAAATTTTATTCACAAAAAGTATTTTCTACATATTGAACTTAGATTCCCAAGTACATTAATACCTACTATTGAGTGTTCACTATGTGCCATGCATTGTGCAAATGCTTTATGTACACTGTCACCTTTACTTCTTAGTCTTATTAGCCAGGTATAATTATCCATATTTCACAGATATTCCTTAAAACATTTATGAAATGTTTTGAGGAATGCCATGCATAAAATCACGGGGGTAACTGGTGCTAGAAATATCTAATTTCAAATTTGCTCTGAATTACTATGCTATACAGATGCTTCTCGACTTATGATGGGGTTGTGTCTCAATAAATCCAATGTAAGCTGAAAATACCATAAGTCAAAAATGCATTTAACTCACCCAACCTACAGAACATCATGGCTTAACCTAGCCTACCTTAAACGTGCTCAGAACACTTACATGAGCCTGCAGTTGGGCGAAATCAGCTAAGATAAAGCTTATTTTATAATAAAATATTGAATGTCTCATGTAATCTATTGAATATTGTACAGAAAGTGAAAAAGAGAACGGTATGGGTACTTGAAGTATGGTTTTTACTGAATGTGTATGGCTTTCAGACCATTGCAAAATCAAAAAATCCCAAGTTGAACCTGATAGAGCAGGAGCACCGTCATCTTGGACAAACACCACCACTTTAAATTCGAGCTCCCTTTCTAGCCTCATGCATTTCAAGGAAATCACCTCTTCTAACTACAAGCAGCCAGAAGGAGCAAACAGTAAAACACAGATAAAACAGCTCGGGCACAAAGGGAGGTGGGGGGGAAGTCTCTTGAGTAACTCCCAAACTTCGCCCTCATACAGTGGGCCCCAGTAAAACAGTGGGCCTTAATAAGCACATTCCTTTCTCTTCAGGTGCACTAAGTTAGGGAAGCTAAAAGCAGACTTGGGGAATATGCCTGCAGCTGCAGAATGATGTATGGGAACAGACACACAACGCTCTCTCCCAGATAAGCACAACAAAGAGACACAGAAGCAGTCCAAGCCGCTGATAAACTCTCCCACCCTAAATCCTTAAAAACTCTTAGTCTGTAAAAAAGTGGGCCTCTAACCTAACTCGGCCAGAAGGCGCCTCTCAAGTTTGTTTTCTCTAAAATAAATCTGTCCTAACTGGCAAGCCACCTTTTCGTGTTTCTTACAGACTGACCATTGTAACTTGGAGACCATCTGTACTACCAAGTGTGTGCCTAGCATAGAAATATTATGATATTACCATATTTTAACAGCTTTGAAGCCAAATACCAATTCTAGGTGCCCAGGATAGAAGTGGATAACTAAATCTGTTTGGAAGACAAGTGTAGCACAAAGTGAACAAAGCTTGAAAAGTTTGAGTCCTGGTTGTCTCTAGCCTATTATAAATTTGTTAGCCTTCTTATGTTCCATGTTCTCATCTCTGAAGTGTCAATAATATTTATCGTATTGGATTAAATGAGCTCCTGTGTACTGTTTTCACATCACCTTTTAAAAAGCTACACATAGCTTTCCAGGAGAGGGCACAATACACTGTAGTCCCAACAAAATCTAGTGGCCTACTGGACGATTGTAGAGTGTGGTGAGGAGCACACAGAATGGCTGGTCCCAGTATTGGCATGCTGCACAGTCCTCATTCACAGTTCTTGGATGATGCTATTTCTATGTCTACAGATTCCTTCACCCTGAGAAGCCTGCCTCATTCTGGAATAGACAGGCCCAGCTGGAAGCCAACTGTTCCAGTTTAAGATCAAGTGCCTTTTTTGATGTTTGGCCCAGAGAACCGTAATAGCAGCCTGCTGCTCACACTGAAAGAAATTCTCAACACTTTCCCTGTCTGGCTTGCAGACTGGGATATCGGAAAGTGTACAGCCCAGATGTCTTCCCCAGACCCCATAAGACTGAACTAACTGAATGATTATGGTAAAGGACTTAGAATCCATGGTGCCTCCACCCCCAATAAAGAATATATTACCAGGTTTTTCATTCAGTTGTATCATTTTTATTCCTAAACAAGAAAGAGGTTTTCAGATAATAACAAAGGCAGCTACCATTTACTACTATGTTACCACCATTCATTTTGCTAGGTACTTTGCTAGGTACTTTATCTCATCAGTCCTGCAAGACAGAAGCTTTCCTCATTTTACAGATGTGAAAGCAGGGGCGTAGAAAGTGAAGTAACTTATATAAAGCTACTCAGAGGAAAGTGGCAGAGACTTCCTGAAGCCAGGTCTATCTGTCTACACAGCTCATGTTCATCTCCCACCATGCTCGGTGGCTGCCTTTCAGATAGCCAGATGAGCAAGACCCCAATGATGGCACTGTGCAAACTCAGGACTAGCGAGCTGAAGAGATGTAGACGCACAAGGTGTGTCATCAGTGTCACTAGAGGTTCACTTCAAAGTTGTGGCCAAATAAATCCAACAGTGCAAATTTGGGTCAATATAAAAGAGGTCCTGGACCCTTTTCTCTGAGCCTATGTTCTCTGAGCCTTTATTTAACTAATGGAAAACGCTGTTTCTTTATACAGCACGCAGCTTCCATTGACAGCAGCGTTACGTGAAGTTCAGCACTGTGTGGCTGGATATAGTTTTTAAGATGCCAAATATCTAATTTCCTTAACAGATCATCATTTCCATAATAACAAAACCTGCAAAAAAATATTTCAAAGTACTACATGAACTCAGGAGAAAGGGATTTATGCATTGGACAGTGGCTTGCACCCTGAGATTCCATGGTTTTATAGTCCTTACAAATATTCCTGTCATGTACATGTGACTACTGATGGCTACATTTGATAGATGACAATTATGAGGCATAGAAAGTCCCATGCATATCTAATGGTGACTGTACTCCCCAAACTGGCATGTTCCCCTCTGGCATGCCTATCAGTTGCTTACCAGGTAGTGGAAAAGGTTCTGGAATTTTCATTCCTAAATGAGAAGGAAGTTTCCAATGACTTACAGTTTGCTCCACTGAGTATAATTTTCAAACTCTTGTCTGCTGAGCTTAAGAGATGCAAGCACCCAAGGCCCCAATGCACTATAGTTTCTGGCTTTTTATTTAAAAGTTCTGCTTACGTAAACCCTTATTATACAAATCCACACCATGATTAGAGGAGTCTTCTGCCATAGCACTTCACTGAGCATGTTTATGCCAGGAGAATATCGTGTTTTGTTACCTGGAGATACAGGCAATGAGATGTTAGCCAAGACTAACAGTCAACTTGTGCGTAAAGGTAGGTTTCTATTGAATAACTTTAGCTGTAGAACCTGGAAGGTGTTGGACTGATGCATCCAGATCCCAGGAGCCTTCCCCTCAGCAACATCCAGAGCAGAACTAACTTTCCTGCCCCAGAGACAATGCTCCAGGAGCACATGAATGCACAGGAGGAAAGAGACTTCTCTACGCTTCCCCAGCTAAATATTTGTAGATGACTGGCAGGTAGCTATAAGGGAAATATTCATGAATAATAGTCTCATGACAGTATTCTCTTAAATGCCTGGGAATCCTGCTCAACTCATTCTTGGGCTCAGGGAGTAAATAGAAAGCTGTCTTACCAGGTATTTGGGTGGGTTCAAGGATTTTCACACCTAAAGGCAGAAATAAATATTGGTTTGTATTAATCAGTTATCTTATACTGTTAATACTCTTCTTTTGTCTATATTTCCTCCATTTCCAACTTTCAAAAAAAAAAAAAGGCAGGGGGAAAGAAAAAAGAAACAGCAACAACAAAAACACCTTTCAATGGCTCTTCATTCTCCATGTGACAGAGTCCAAACTCCTTAGCCTGGACTTCAAGAACTTCCACGATCTAACCCGTCTCTCCAGCTTTATCTTCAGAAGGCAGTCCCAATATATCAGTTTTTGGATGAAACACTACTGGTTTTACATTTCTGCTTGGTTTAGCTCTATCGTAATTATAGTTATTAGCTCTGTGACTTTGGGCAGACTACTTAATCCCTCCTAACTTTAGTTTCTCACTTTGCAAGAGAAATATTTACCTCTTAGGTTTGTAGTTAGTGAAGATTGAAGGAAAGACTGCATAAAAGTGCTTGGTACACTGCACGGAGCGAAAAAAGGTACTCAATAAATGAAGTCCCTTTGTTCTTGTCTAACTCATTCCTCAAACTCTCCAGGCTCAGTAATATTTTTTTTTCTTTTTTGAGAGACAGGGTCTCGCTGAGTCGCTCAGGCTGTGGTGGGGTACAATGACACGATCATAACTCACTATGATTCTCCTGCCTACGCCTCCCAAAGAGCTGGGATTATAGGTGTGAGCCACCGTGCTGGCTTTTCACAATGTTCTTAATCCTAGGAATCCTTATCGTCTCCTAACCATGTAGCTAGTCTCAGTAAATAGATTATTTCCCAGGTGAAACAGTGAGCCTCTGGCTTTTTATTCCTAAGGACGAGAATAAGAACTATTTAGTAAAAAAATGCCATCAGCTTGAAAATTAATTTGACCTTATACTTGACTTCTGTAGTAGAAAACTCAGAACGCTTTGAGAAATGGCAGAGGACAAGGTAACAAAAAGAAGAGATTTAACCCACTGGAGCCTAACTGATGATAAGAACTAAGGCTAGTGACCCAGAATCTCTCCTAGGTTAAGCACCTCTTGTTCGTTTTTTAAAAATTCAACCCAAAGACCTCGACCCAAAATTGGCATTATATGTAATATATAAAATATGCTTCCTAACTATATAATACGTTATAGATAATTTGGAAAAATACAGAAAATTATTAAAAATTAAAGTTCTCTTAAAACTGCAGATCTCGGAAATACTCTACTCATTCTTAACATTTCTGGTGTATTTCAATCATTTTGCTATGCATACATATATATACATATACATTTTTAAAAGTTAATATTATACTCTATATGCAGTTCTATATCCAATTATTTACCATTGTATTAAGAGTACTTTCTTCTATCTTTAGATGGTTTTGAAAACATGATTTTTAAGTTGCTTAGTGTTTCATAATATAGGTAATATTTTATTTAACAATACCCAATGGTTGGACACAGGTTGTTTCTAAATTTTTGCTACTGTCAAATAAAAATTATAGGAGGCCATTGCTTCAGACTAAGTTTCTGCAGAAGGCCCCAACAGACCAGACTAAAAATCGAAATGGAGTCACCCATGCTAAAGTTCCACATCATCTAAACTAAGTTGTCTGAACTTCTAAGAAATCAGGAGAAAGAAATAACAGAATTTCCCAAATTGGCCATTTTAAAATCTTCAATCAGCTTGATAAATGAAGTTCCCGATGCTTCAATCCTTACACACAAAAAAGGTAGCCTGAAATAAACTGATGTTAACTAATCAGTTATTTTTCTACTGTTCTGTCTAAAAGTAATTAATATACTCTGTTCTTTGCTTCCACTTTCTTTGGCTCTTCTCTGTCTTTAAAGCCAAACTTCTGTGCTCAGCTCAATGAATGCTTATTCTATGGAATAAAGTGTTGCCCAATTCTAGAATCTCAAATAAAGCCAATTGATCTCTTTAAATTTGTTGTAATTTTGTCTTTTGACACTACCATAACACTGTGATAGGCATTTTTGTACACAAATCTTTGTGTTCATCTCTAATTTCCTTGGGACAAATATCCAAAAGTGTTATAACCGAGTCAAAAGGTACAAACATTTTTAAGACTAGTAATACATACTACTAAATTGCTCTCCAAAAAAGTTCCAATTTATAATCTCGCCAGTAATTTATGAGACTGTTCCTGTCCCGGTATCCTTGAGGACATCTGAGTAATTTTTTTTTTCCAAGATGGAGTCTCACTCTGTCACCCAGGCTAGAGTGCAGTGGCGCGATCTCGGCTCACTGCAACCTCCACCTCCCAGGTTCAAGTGATTCTCCTGACTCAGCCTCCTGAGTAGCTGAGACTACAGGCGTGTGCCACCATGCCCGGCTAATTTTTGTATTTTTAGTGGAGATGGGGTTTCACTATGTTGGCCAGGCTGATCTCGTGATCCGCCCACTTTGGCCTCCCAAAGTGCTGGGATTATAGGCGTGAGCCACCCCGCCCGGCCATTTGAGTAATATTAAAAATAAAACAAAAACAAATACTTGAGGATAAGTTACACTTGGAATGTACTAAATAATCAAATGGATATAGCTAATGGCATATATTAATCAGATTGCTGGTGACAGAAATAAATACAAAGAATAGTCATTTTAATTTAGAAAAAACAATATTTGTTATGCCCTGCCCAATATCCTAGAGGTCACAAGAATGTGGGGAATAATTAGTCACACCTTCCTCTATTTGGTGGGATGACCTAAAGATTGTTAGACAGGAGAAACAGAGCTGCTATGTCATTTTTCTAAAGAATTCTACCTGAAACCCAGGAGAGTCTCTAATATACCAAACCAGTAAGCTAAGGTGAGCTCTGCCTTCCTCCCACTTTTCTTACCACGACATTCTTCCCTGTTCCCACATGTAAAGGGAGATATATTGCAAAATGTAAGCCCCCAGAATTTACATAAATGTCTTACCATGGTCTTCAAGCTTCTGGTTTTTCTCACCTGAGTTACAAAAAGAAGCTTATCAGTTTTAACAATGGAACAAAAGAATTGGCAGTTACTATAGCTACAGCAAAATTATTTTCAGTAAATATGAAAATATTCCCACCTGTAAAGGGAGGTATCTTGTAAAATGTAAGCCCCCAGAATTTATAAAAAATGTCTTACCATGGTCTTCAAGCTTCCAGTTTTTCTCACCTGAGTCACAAAAAGAAGCTCATCAGTTTTAACGAAGGAACAAAAGAATTGGCAGTTACTACAGCTACAGCAAAATTATTTGCAAGAAATATGAAAATATTCCCACCTGTAAAGGGAGGTATCTTGCAAAATGCAAGCCCCCAGAATTTTTTTTTTTTTTTTTTTGAGACGGAGCCTCGCTCTGTTTCCAGGCTACAGTGCTGTGGCACGATCTCAGCTCACTGCAACCTCCAGCTCCCTGGTTCAAGGGATTCTCCTGCCTCAGCCTCCCGAGTAGCTGGGACTACAGGCATGTGCCACCACGCCCAGCTAATTTTTGTATTTTTAGTAAAGATGGGGTTTTACTATGTTGGCCAGGATGGTCTCAATCTCCTGACCTCATGATCCTCCCGCCTCGGCCTCCCAAAGTGCTGGGATTACAGGCATAAGCCACCACGCCTGGCCAAGCCCCCAGAATTTATAAAAATGTCTTACTATGGTCTTCAAGCTTCTGGTTTTTCTCACCTGAGTCACAGAAAAGAAGTTCATCAGTTTTAACAATGGAACAAAAGAACTGGCAGTTACTATTGCTACAGCAAAATTATTTTCAGGAAATATGACTATAAAGAACCATTTGATACGTCCAGGAAACTACCCTACTAAACTTAAGTTGTCGGTCACAGTCTAAATGTACCTTGGCTAATGAGCTGGAACATTCTCTGCCCCTACTATTAAGAAAAGTCATTACAAATAGCTTGTCTACCAGGGATCTCAAGGAGCCGAGAAAATGTCTTTGTTGAAGAGTCAGCTAAAGTCCCTGGGAAGTGATCAGTAGAACCTGTGACTGCAACGGAACAATAAAAAGAAGGGCTGCTAAGCAAGTCTTCAAGGCATAAAGTGCTTCACTTCTATCAGGACAGGAAGTATTTTCCCAAACATGAAATAAATTGCATGTTTTAAAAAGGCTGGAACCTCTTCTCTTTTCAACAAAGAAAAATTTATTGTAGCCACATGAGCCAAACACATGATAAGGAACTTATGTGCAAAGAAATGATTTGGGCCATATATCCTTCAGTGGAAACTTTAAGAGCATCTAATCACCTACATATTTTAGTTAAATCATAGTAAACATCAAGCATCTGCATATTTGAGAGATGCAAACATGCTGAGTTTTGTATTTTTGTCTGAGTATTTGGAGTCACACAGGTTCATTTCAATGACTGAATACAGAGCTATACCTAAGAAGCCCTCATAACTGGTCAAGAATGACTCTAGCTCTTCATTCTCACCACCCGTATTCCCCGGAAAATTTCCATATTGTTCAGATCTCCACGAAGCCAATTCTCTTATTTGAGGAAGGTATATTTCCCTAGAATAGGTTCTTTATTTTTTTCCTCTCATATAGGCCAAGTCACTGCTTTATATCTGCAAATTTTCTTCAGCTAAGAAATACATTTGCTAAACAAGAAAGAGCTATTAAACATCCAGGTAAGGATTATTATTATTAACTTTGGAGACAGAGTTTCACCCTGTCACCCAGGCTGGAGTGCAGTGGGTGCAATCTTGGCTCACTGCAACCTCTGCCTCCCAGACTCAAGTGATCCTCCTGCCTCAGCCTCCCAAGTAGCTGGGACTACAGGTGCACACCACCATGCCTGGCTAAGTTTTGTATTTTTTGTAGAGATGGGGTTCCGCCATGTTGCCCAGGCTGGTCTCAAACTCCTGGGCTCAAGTGATCCACTCACCTCGGCCTTCCAAAGCGCTGGGATTACAGGCGTGAGCCACCATGCCCAACCAAGATTATTTTTAAAAATTAGAACATACTCACCAGGGTTGTAGACATAGATGGGTTGAAAATATTCTGAAATACAGACATGTTTTCATTACATGGTACTATGCTCAGATGTGAATGTCAGGATCAGTCTATTTTTAAATGTTCATTAAAAATAAAGATTGTGTTGGCTTATATTTAAGAAACATAAAAATACAGTTACTATAACAGATATAAAATTTCAATTCAAAGACAAATGGATGTGAATTCACTTTTATTTTTTTGAGACAAGAGTCTTGCTTTGTCGCCCAGGCTGGAGTGCAGTGGCACGATCCCGGCTCACTGCAACCTCTGCCTCCCGGGTTTCAAGCAATTCTCTTGCTTCAGCCGCCCAAGTAGCTAGGATTACAGGCGCCTGCCACCACACCTGGCTAATTTTTGTATTTTTAGTAGAGCCAGTTTCACATGTTGCCCAGGCTGGCCTCAAACTCCTGACCTTAAGCAATCCACCCGCCTCAGCCTCTGGATGTGGATTCATTTAAGTTACATGAAAAAAAAATTCACAGGAAAGCTAGCCAGAAAAACAGCTAGAAACAGAACCTTGCTTTTGAACTTTTTTTCTCTCTCTTCTGATACCTTTGGTATGTTTTTAAACTTTTTAATGAGGAAATCTTCAAAAGGATCCACCCAGAGCATGTCTTAATCCAAAGGCATTTTTGGTATCTTTAATTCAAATTTATTAGGCCTCTTTGATAATGCTGTTCCTTAATACTCTTAGAATTTTCTGTCTGCCTTCCCAAATCTTTCCCATAGTCCTCTAAGAAAGATTTTTTTTTTTTTTTTTGGTCACATCCTCTTATTTTTCCCCGAGGAAGTTAAAATCTACCGCATTACCCTTCTGTCATCCCATTCTCCTCCTTCCTCGACCTATATTCATGCCATTCCTTCATTGGTCTCCCAAATGTTATTTCCTAAGATAACAAAATACAGGAACAGGAGCTAGCTCTTTGCATAGGAGTCAAGTGGGAAATGGCTGAAGATGTAGGGGAATTAAGGAGTCCTTAAACTCCTATAAGGTCAGGCTCAGATGACAGTGGCGTGTTCCCTTCATGCCCAGGCCAATGCAGTGTCTGAGAGAAGAGCCACAGGCAAGTCTTGGGGTGGGGATGAGGGTGGCAGTGGGGACTGGCAGCAAAGGCTCCTAGGCTCTCCACCTGAAAAGGTACTAGCAGTAGTAGCACAATTTAGCCTTGAGAAAATGATGTTTGACAGAACGACAGTACAGTGGTGGGGTAGCTCTGACCCATAGCTATGAGAAGTAACTGATAAAATTCCTATTATAGGGATAAGACTTTAAAGCTATCTTACCTAGGTTCTCAATACAGTTTTCGGTTTTTAGTCCTGAAACACAAAGATAAAGCTTTATTAGTTAGACATAATATACCCTAGTAAATATTTCAATTAATCTATGGCTGTTGGTAACCTAATCTGTCAGCTCCTGGTTTATCAGACTCATAATTAGTAAGATGCAAATTGCAGGCTGGGCATGGTGGCTCATGCCTGTAACCCCAGCATTTCGAAAGGCTGATGCAGGAGGATCGCTTCAGCCCAGGAGTTCAAGACCAGCCTGGGCAACATAGGGAGACCCCATTTCTACAATTTTTTTTTTTAAATTAGCCAGGCATGGTGGCACACACCTGTAGTCCCAGCTACTCAGGAGGGTCAGGTGGGAGGATCGCTTGAGCCCAGGAGGTTGAAGCTGCAGTGAGCTGTGATCATGCTACTACACTCCAGCCTGGGTGACAGAGTGAGACCCTATCTCAATTATTTAAAAAAATTGCAGAACAATTATATTTTAGTATTTATAGTACAGCCACCAAACAGCCATATGACCTCTGACAAAACACCTAAGCTTTCCGGAATTCAGTTTTCTTATCTGTATCTTTTACTAGGAGACTGCTTCAAATGACTTTCAAGGGCCCATCCAGGGCTAATACCTTATCATTCTATTCTATAATTAGTCGGCAAAATTTAGGAGAAAATTTACCTGTCCAATTAATCCTCTCTTCAGATACTAAACGTCCTCAACAGCAAACCTATCCCTCTACTACAACAATTCCTATCCTTTGAAGAAGAAGAATCTCAATCAGACCTTCAACATCCTTTAACATTTGAACAAAGATCCTTCACATTCATATAAAGAAAACGGGTTGGCATGCCCCAGAATATTCATTTGTATATGAGGAAATCCACAATATTTGGAGAACAGAACGTGGCATCTGACAGTACTTTTTGAAAGGCCCTAGATGCTCTCACTGGTGATGCCCTAGAAAAAGTTGTCAGCACTGCAGTGATTCCCCTGAGACTTGACAGAAAGGGGAATCTACCAGCCAACAGCAGTAAGGTAAGAAGGTTAGTGAGACAGTATACAGATTGGGTGCAGTATGAGCCATACGGAAGGCCTACCAGAATGCATAACAAAGGTCTAGATGCCTCGTGGTCTCTACTTCATACCTGGCGAACACACTAATCTAATCTGGAAGTTCAGCTACCTGAGGAGGAGCCTCTTTACCTACAATAGGAGAATCCCTAGAGAGGCCTGGCTCCTAAAAAAGATATATACTTCTATAATCTGCTCTCAAGTCCTGCTCCATTTGTAGTGAGTGTCTGAACCAAAAACCCAGGTGATTTGGTCCACTTTCTACTGGTCCAGGAAATAACAGATGTGTTAGAATCTGGACAGTGCCCTGAGGCTAAACTCAGGCATTTGACTAGACTAGAAATTTAAAAATTGGTTCTAGAGATTATTACAAAATGTTGTCTCAGGGTATGGTGGCTCACACCTGTAATCTCAGCACTTTGGGAGACCAAGGGCGGGTGGATCACCTGAGGTCAGGAGTTAGACACCAGCCTGGCCAACATGGTGAAACCCCGTCTCCACTAAAAATACAAAAATTAGTCCAGCGTGATGGTGCGTGCCTATAATCCCAGCTAGTCGGGAGGCTGAGGCTGGAGAATCACTTGAACATGGGAGGCAGAGTTTGCAGTGAGCCAAGATTGCGCCACTGCACCCCAGCCTGGGTGACAAGAGCAAAACTCTGTCTCAAAAGAAAAAAAAAAATGTTGTCTCAGCAGGAGATGAGTGAGTACAAGCCTCATCCAGAGGGCTTATTTGAGGGTAAGGTGAAGGTGAGGGGAATTGTGGATAAGAAAGCTACAGATGTAAGTTGAAAGGTGCAGCCTGGGGACCAGGCACCAGGGGGATTTTAAAAGCCTTTTGTCTGTAGCACAAGTTAGAGCATGTTTCTCAAAGTGTAGTTTTCCAGCCACATACTTCAGAATCACCTGGGTGCTTATTAAAAAGGCAAATTCCAGGACCATAGCCAGGACTATTATTGCTACATACTTTCTAGAGGGGGATGCCTTGTGATCTGCATTTTAAATAAGCACTCCAAGTGATTTTTATGCACAAAATTTTTGAAGGCCTCCTGAATAGAAAAGAATGGGTATCTTTATTTATTATTATTTTTTCTTTTTGAGATGGAGTCTCGCTCTGTCACCCAGGCTGGAGTGCAGTGGCACGATCTCGGCTCACTGCAACCTCCGCCTCCTGGGTTCAAGCAATTCTCCTGCCTCAGCCTCCTAAGTAGCTGAAATTACAGGCACCCACCACCACATCCAGCTAATTTTTGTATTTTTAATAGAGGCAGGGTTTCACCATGTTGGCGAGGCTGGTCTTGAACTCCTGACCTTGGATGATCCACCTGCCTCATCCTCCTAAAGTGCTGAGATTACAAGCATGAGCCACTGTACTGGCCTCTTTAATGTTTAACACAGAGTCATTTTGTTAAGATTGCATTTCTCCTCCCTATTTAAACTCTGGATTTAATCTTCTGTTTAGCATTTTCAATAGCAGTAATCAAACTATTTTGAGTTTCTAAAGAAATAGCAGGGTTAAAAATGGATAAGAGAATTGGTCCAGAAATAAAAGAAGAGGCATAAATATATAAGGAATGAAAAAGGAAACCTAACAACAGATTCAGCAGATGTAAAAAGATATGAGAATATTATGAACAGCTTTATGCCTACTAATTTGAAATACAAAGGCAAATGGACAAATTCCCAGAAAAATTTAACTTACCAACCCTTAAGTAGTTTAAAATTTTTCCAGAAAGAATATACCAAGATAATTCAATTTTTATAGACAGAGTACCAGAGAGAAAGGAGTGGCACAAACAGAGAACTCCAGAGATCTGCAAAGGGTTTCCCTCAAGTATTCAGTGGAGTGCTGATCAGATTATATGTGTTAGAAAACTACCCAAGGCCAGAGAAAGAACCCACAAGGTCAAGAATAGTGTCTATTCCCATCAACCAGGCTGGAAAACCTTATAATTCACAGGCATTAGGTAGAGTATTGAGAAGGGTACAGCCTCAGCAGTGAGAAATAATGAGCCCTGGATTAAAGTGTCTCTGGTTCTGCCTAGAAAATCTGAAGAATAAGCCCTAAAACAATCAAACTGTTCTAAAGTAAATTAACTATGTACCAGAACAAAGCTCAAGAATATTTTTAGAAATATAAAATTACCATGCACACAACAAGGTAAAATTCACAGCATCTGGCACCCAATCAAAAACTACCAGCAAAGAAGCAGGAAAATACAATTCATCATGACAAGAGAACTCAATCTAATGAAACTAACCCAGAGCTGACACAAATGTTAGTATTATCAGAAAAGTAAATTAAAGTAGTCATTACAACTGTATTCCATGTGTCCAAAAAATAGTTAAAGGTGTTGTCTTACCTCCAGCTGCCACACAAAATACCCTGACTGGATGGCTTAAACAACAGATTTTTATTTCTCATAATTCCAGAGCTGGGAAATCCAAGATCAAGGTAATGGCAGGTTCAATTTCTGGTAAAGGCTTTCTTCTTGGCTTGCAGATAGCCACCTTCTCACTATATCCTCATTATGTCAGAGAAAGAACAAAGCTATGGTCTCCTTTCCTCTTCTTATAAGGACATTAGCCCCGTCATGGGTACTCCCAGCCCTCATGACCTAATCAAAACCTAATCTAAACCTAATTACTTCTTGAAGGCCCAACCTCCAAATACCATCACAGTGAGGATTAGGGCTTCAACATATGAATTTTGGGGGGGATACATTCAGTAGTGTATGTCATTACTACTAACAGGTGTTAAGTAGAGACGTGGAAAATATAAAAAGACCCAAATTGAATTTCTAGAGATAAAAATTCTGAGATGAAAAATACACCAGATAGAATTACTGACAAACTAGACACTGAAGAAAAAAGATTAGCAAACTTGACATACTGTGGTATGCAGAATAATACCCTTCTTAAAGAGGTCTACATCCTATCCCCAGAACCTGTGAATATGTTATTTTACATGGCAAAAGAGAACAATGGTTGAAGATGCAAATAATGTTGTTAATTAGCTGGCCTTCAGGTGGGGCAATTATCTTGGATTTTCCAGGTGAGCTCAATCTAATAACATAAATTCTTAAAAGTGGAAAAAACAAGAAGTAGAAGAGATGATCAGAGAGATGCGAGGTGCGGAGGACTCAACATGCTGTTTCTTTCTTTTTTGAGATGGGGTCTCAGGGTCTCCCTCTGTCACTTAGGCTGGAGTGCACAGTGGCGCAGTCGTGGCTCACTGCAACATCAACTCTTGGGCTCAAGCAATCCTCCCATCTCAGCCCATCACAGGCAGCTGGAACTACAGATGCATGCCACCATGCCTGGATACTTTTTTTATTTTATTTTTTGTAGAGACAGGGTCTCGCTATGTTGCCCAGGCTGGTCTCAAACTCCTGAACTCAAGTGATCCTCCTGCCTCAGCCTCCCAAAGTGCTGAGATTACAGGCATGAGCCACCACACCTGGCCATCAACATGCTGTTTCTGACTGAAGATGGATGAAGGAGGCCACAAACCAAGGAATGCAGGTAACCTCTGGAAGCTGGAAAAAGCAAGAAAACAGATTCTTGCCTAAGCTCCTGGGAAGGAATGCAGCCCTACCAACACCTTAATTTCAGCTCAGCAAGACTTATGTCAGGCTTCTGAAATACAGAATTTTATGATAATAAATCTAGATGTGTTGTTTTAAACCATTAAATTTGTGGTAATTTGTTATGGCAGCAATGAAGTACTGAAATATACAAAACAATAGAAAACATCTAAAAATGAAACAGAGAAAAATACTAATAACAAGAAACATTAGAGTTTCATTGAGCTGGGGACAACCTCAAGCAGTTTAATATACATATAAACAGAATCCCTAAAGGAAGAAGAGAGGGGTGAAAAAATATTTGCACAAACAGTAGTCACAACTTTCCAAATATGATGAAAACTATGAACCTACAAATCCATAAGTTCAATGAACTCCAAGCACAAGATACATGAAAAAAAAATGACACTAAGTTACATCATAATCAAATTGGTCCAAATAAGTATGATAAACACAAAGTCTTAAAAGCAGCCAGTGGGGAGCAGGGGAGCTAAATAAAGAGGAGCAGAAATGAGGAGCACAGCAGATTTTTTTGTCAGAAGCAATTTAAGTAAAACAACAGAGGAACAGTAAATTTGTAAACTACTAAAAGACAAAAAAAAGATCAATCTAGAATTCTATACCCAGTGAAAACAGCTTTCAAAACTGAAGGTGAAATAAACTTTTCATACATACAACACTTAAAGGTAAATCTGACGAAAGATGGAAAAGCCTTACACACTGAACACTATTTGGATACAGCTGACAGAAATTAAGACCTAAATAAATGGAGATGTTATGCTGTGTTCATGAGTTGGAAAAGTATATTTTTTAAAACTCTTCTCATATTGATCTATAAATGCAAGGCAAGCTTAATCAAAATCCAAGCAGAAATTGTAGAAATTGACAAGGTGATTCTAAAATTCATATGGAAGCATAAAGAACATATAATCACCAAAACAACTTTGCAAGAAAAGAATACAATGAACACTACCTGGTTTTGAGGTTTATTATATAGCTATAGTGATCAATATATGATACTGGAATAAAGATAAATCACCAGGCACAGTGGCTCACACCTATAATCCCAGCACTTTGGGAGGCTGAGGCAGGTGGATCACTTCAGGTCAGGAGTTCAAGGCCAGCCTGGCCAACATGGTGAAACCCTGTCTCTACTAAAAATACAAAAAATTAGCCAGGCGTGATGGCACATGCCTGTAGTCCCAGCTACTTGGGAGACTGAGGCAGGAGAATTGCTTGAACCCAGGAAGCAGAGGTTGCAGTGAGCCAAAATTGTGCCACTGTACTCCAGCCTGGGTGACAGAGCGAGACTCTGTCTCAAAAAAAAAAAAAAAAAAAAGATAAGCTACAAATTCAGAGAAAATATTTGCAAATCACATATCAGACAAAAACCTCGTACCTACAATACATAAATAATTCTCAAAAGATAAGAAAACAACCTCATTAAAAGTGGACAAAAATCTTTGAGCAGGTGTTTCAGTAAATATATACAAATGGCAAATAAGTATGTGAAAAGATGCTCAACATTATTACTCATTAGGAACATGCAAATTAAAACTACAATAAAATACCACCACATATCTATTTAGAACTGTTAAAAAGACATCTATCAAGTGTCGGCAAGAATGTGGTATAGCTAGAACTCTTATACACTCCTGGTGAGAATGTAAAATGGTACAGGTACTCTGGAAAACCATTTGGCAGCTTCTTCCAAAGTTACACATATACCTATCATATAATCCAGCCAATGCATTCCTAGGCATTTACTCAAGTGTAATGAAAGCATATGTCCATACAAAGACTTGTATATACATGTTCACAGAAGTTTTATTTGTAATAGCCAAGGACTGGAAACAACCCACGTACTCATCAACAGGTGAATAGACAAGTAAACTGTGTTATATCCACTATTCTACAACAGCATAAATAAACTATTGATACATGCAACAACACAGATGAATCTCAAAACAATTATGCCGAGTGAAAGAAGCCAGGCAAAAAAGAGAATATACTGTATGATAAGATTTGAATGAAACTCTAGACAGTGCCAACTAATCTGTAGTGACAGCAAGTACATTAGTAGATGCCTGGGGGGACTGGGAAACAGGGAAAGGGAGGAGAAAGGAATTGCAAAGAGGAATGAAACTTTTGTAAGCAACAAATGTAAAATGCTCATTGTCTTGATTGTAGTGATGATTTCATTGGCATATACATATATCAAAACTTACTAAATTTTACTTTATGTGCAGTTTATTGCATATCAATTATAACTCAGTAAAGCTATTAAATTTTTTTTTCTTAATTATGAGGATGGGATGAACAGGACAGGACTAGGTTTTGGATCTGGTCTCTAGTTCCCTACCAAAAGAAGCCCTCCACATCCCTGACTTGTTAAATACTGGAGATTACATGGCTGTCATGTTAGCAGAGAAGTCTACAGTTAGAAACATTAGACGCAGTCTGGACAAGAGTAAATAAAGCCCTCCCACAAGTTCCCTATCTCTTTCAGATCCAAAGAAATTACAAATGTCAATGACTATACTCACAGCTGATTAGAATCTCTGGCAACAAGGCTACGTCAGAATTTGTAGGTCACGAGGACTTCCTCTTTCTGCAGGGCTGTTACTGCTAGCCTGTTAACTGGGCCTAATTGAGACAGACTGTCTTATCGAAAGAAAAGTCATGATTCACTAAACCAGTATCTTATTATGCAATACGTTCTCTCTGAACTAAATTCCCATAAGGCTGGACGAACTCTCGAAAGCTCCACTGTCATATGGAAATCTTACCTCCAATAAAGGGCCAAACCTGGCTACTAAAACCTAATCCACTTTCACAAACATGTGGCTGACCTGCCATTAGATCTGTGGTTTTTCTAAACAGTGGCTGAGGTGTTCACAGGGCTACCAAAGAATATTTTTATTTATTTATTTATTTTAAGATGGAGTTTCACTCTTGTCACCCAGGCTGGAGTGCAATGGCGCAATCTCAGCTCACTGCAACCTCTGCCTCCCAGGTTCAAGTGATTCTCCTGCCTCAGCCTCCCGAGTAGCTGGGACTACAGGTACCCACCACCATGCCTGGCTAATTTTTGTATTTTTAGTAGAGACGGGGTTTCACCATGTTGGCCAGGCTGGTCTCGAACACCTGACCCCGTGATCTGCCCGCCTCGGCCTCCCAAAGTGCTGGGATTACAGACGTGAGCCACCGCGCCCAGCCTCCAAAGAATATTTTAAATTTCAAGAAAAACACAGCCAGGCTTGATATCTGTCAGACACCGTGTGAACTACTAGCTTGAGGTAGAACTCAGTTTTAAAGCTACAGGTTATATCATGTTACAAACTGTTTGATGACATATATCTGTTCTCCCACTGCTATAAAGAAATATCTGAGACTGGGTAATTTATAAAGAAAGGAGTTTTGATTGGCTCATGATTCGGCAGGCTGTACAGGAAGCGTGGCAGGGGAGGCCTCAGGAAACTTACACTCATGGCATAAGGTGAAGGGGAAGCAGGCTCGTCTTACATGGCCAGAGCAAGAGGAAGAGGGAGAGGGGGAAGATGCTACACATTTTTAAACAACCAGATGTTGTGAGAACTCTATCATGATAACAGCACAAAGGGGACGGTGCTAAATAATTAGAAACAGCCCCCATGATCCAATCACCTCCTTCCAGGCCCCATCTCCAACATTGGAGATTACAACTGAACATGAGATTTGAGTAGGAACACAGATCCAAACCATATCATTTGCAAGGTAGGTCTTTTTAGCAATTGTTGTCGCAAAAAGCAAGTATATGTGAAAATCAGTGTGGAACAGGAAATGAGATAGTACACAATCTGATTCCAGGGTCTGAGAAGCTGTGAATGTCCAAAAAGCAAACACATCCCATTAGCAAGTAATTATTGTTAAGAATAAAATAATAGTACTTTTAAAAAGTATGTGCTATTTTTTCAAATGTTTACTAAGGTGTTAAGATATAAATATTTATTAATTTGGGGTATTGATAAATGCCACATTGATTTTCACATATACTTGGTTTCATTACAACAATTGCTAAAAAGATCCAGCTTTGCAAATTTATGATGTCATCAAACAGAATGTACTATGATATAACATGTAACTTTGAAACTGAGTTCCACCTCAAGCTAGTAGTTCACCCAGTGTCTGACAAATATCAAGTATGGCGGTGTCTGTTTTGAAATTTAAAAATATTCCTTGGCAGCCTGGTGAATTTGCTATAGCATTCAGGGACATTTCAGCCACTGTTTAGAAGTACGAATTTCTTATGGTGTTGGATATGTCACTTCCTATTAGGCCTAGAGACATGGATCTTATTGATGTCTCAATCTTAGACAATCCCAGACAACAGTACAGAAACTTTGCTACTCCCAGGAAATGCTAAAGAAAGGTGCCAATCAGAACCAATGGAGATACTTAACATTTAATAAGCACACAAGGGCTGGGGTAGATTTATAACAAATAAATCTGGATAGTCCTGTAGGCTCACCTTCTTTCCCCCTTTTGATGGCTTAGCAGAGAGCTGGCTCAACAGGTCTCAGTAAACTCTACAAAATAATACTACTAGCCACTGGAGTCTACAGGCTCCTCCTTTCTATCAAGGCTACTTTCCAGCCAGGGAACAATATTCCCTGGCCCTCTTACTCTATAAATTATGTAGAGCATTATACAGGCACGCCTCTCTCTATGGAAACATTGACCAAAATGCCAGATAATCTCTGCCTACTCTGTTCAGTAAAAAAAAAAAAAGAGAGTTCAGGGGATGATATGTGCTCTACTATTTCTCTGCATATAAATTTTCTTCCTATAAACCTAGTATATTTGCCCTGTAGGGTGCAGGGAGCCCCAAAGCCATGGCTTCCCACCAGGTATTTATAATTCATTCACCGTCCTCCCAATTGAGGTATAATTTTCCAATGGAGTAATTTTTTTAAGAGATGGGTGTCTCATTATGTTGCCCAGGCTGCACCTGAATCCCTCGGGTCAAGGGATCCTCTTGCCTCAGCCTCCCCAGTAGTTGGGTCTACAGGCACACACCACTGCACCCAGCCCCAATGGAGTAATTTTTAATGATAATGGATGTAGCTTGATTATACAGCTAACATTTCAACTTTATCGCATTTTCTAGAAAAATAGCATAAAAGTTAGTTAACCTGGGCTAATTTTCTATTGAGGAAGGAGAAAGGTTTCTGTTACTCCTTTTCACTCACATCAGCTTGGATTAATACCAAGATTAATGTCTATGACCACCAGGAACTATATTATCTAAAGAGATGTTGATATTCTCTCTGCTTCCTAACGAACAAAGTTTTCAGCTAACTAGTTTTTGAAAAACTCACAATATATATTTATCTTGGAAATCACAGGCAAGTTTAAAACATTGTGGGACTATGTTTAGCACACTAAACGTAACGCAGTAAAAATTTTTTTTACCCCTTTTAGAAACATTGTCTTTTTTTAATCCAAAGGCTCAGTTATATCCAGTCACAATGGAACAAGATTCTCACTACATTCTCCTTAGCTAGGGCTCTTAAAACACTTGGCCATTGTTCTTCACACTGTTTCAAACTGCCTGTCTTTAAAGGTTACTCCAGGGAGTTTTTGATCCTGACTTTCCATCTCTAGATGGCGGCAGAGGACTCCAGCCCAGGGTTAAATCAACACACTCGAGTACAATGGCTGACTGTCATAGCTCCCTAAACACATGGTACACGTGCGCCTCCACAATGACCCGCACTTCTCCACGCGGGTCTGAACTCTGGCATTTTCAGAATCAATCCAATAGAACCTCTTTGGTTCTTTCATAATCCCACTCACAAACATGGAGTCTGTGGGCTCCATTGCCCACCTCAGCCCATCAACCAGACCCCTGTGCTACATTTAGCTTGTAGCCACTGCAGCCAGGGCTTTGATATAACTAACGGTTCCACAAACGGCATCTGGCCAAAGGCATCAAAAACACCAAAAGCGGTACCATTTCTGTCAGCCCAGCTGCAGCCGGGTTTTTGGCTGTGCTATGCTGATAAAGTTTCACAAGATTGGTGTAGGGAGGGAGGGAGACCCTGGTTTGCAGTGTTTTCTGATTTCCATGGTATAACTCTAAACTATGGCCAATTTCAGGCTACTGTCACATAGGGGGAGCAGGAAAGAAGACATGCATACCCACGATCAGTTCCCATGAGCTCGTCTAAACTGGCCCCAGCTGGCTTGGTTTTGGGTCAGGTCCAATGTATGGTTGGTGAGAATGAGCACCTTTCCTTTTTTAAAAACTGAATTTTATTGTGTATATTTAAGGTTTACATGAAACCATGAAATACATATGGATAGTAAAATGGTTACTATAGTGAAGCAAATTAACATAGCTATCATCTCACATATTTTTGTATATGTAGCAAGAGAGCTAAAATCCTTATTTAAGTAAAATACAATTTTACTGACTTTAGTCCTCATGTTACACATTAGATCTCCAAATCTGTTCATCCTACCTGTCTGCTATTTGGTATCCTTTGATCTACATCTCTTCAGTTCCTCTCCCCACACCTGTGGTAACTACTGTTTCATTCTCTCGTTTTTGATCTCATATATATTCCACATATAACTGAGATCATGCAATAGCTTTCTGTGTCTGGCTTATTTCACTTAGCCTAATGTCCTCCAGGTCCATCCATGTTGTGGCAAATGGCAGAATCTCTCTCTTTTTTTAAGGCTGAATAATATCCTATTGTATATATACCTCATTTTCCTTACCCCCTTGTCTGCTGGTGGACATTTAGGTTGTTTCTATATCTTGGTTACCGTGAATAATGCTGCAGTGAACATGAGAGTGCAGATATCTTTATGAGGCGGTGATTTCAACTCTTTGGGGTATATACCCAAGAAAGGGATTACTGGGTCATATGGTAGTTCTGTTTTTCTGCGGGGAGGGAGCGGGGGGGGGGACTCTTGTTGACCAGGCTGGAGTGCAGTTGTGCAGTCTCAGCTCACTGCAACCTCCTCTTCCTGGGTTCAAGCAATTCTCCTGTCTCAGCCTCCTAAGTAGCTGTGATTACAGGCACGTGGCACCACGCCTGGCTAATTTTTGTATTTTTAGTAGAGATGGTATTTCACCATGTTGGCCAATCTGGTCTCGAACTCCTGACCTCAGGTGATCTGCCCGCCTCGGCCTCCCAAAGCGCTGGGATTACAGGCATGAGCCACTGTGCCTGACCAGCAGTTCTATTTTTAATTTCTATTTAAAGATAGAAACCTCCATACTGTTTTCCATAATGGCTGCACCAATCTACCTTCCTACCAACAGTGTTCCAGGGTTCCCTCTTCTCCAAACCCTAGCCAGCATTTCTCATCTCGTCTTTTGTCTTTTTTCCCCTATCTTTTTATAAACACTTTTTCTTTCAACCAAATTTACTCATTTCAGCTTTCATCTGCTCTAACTAGAATCGTCCTTCTCAGGTGCAACTCAGATGCAGGACTAGGGTGAGGCAAATAAGGTGCCTAGAGAAAATTTAAGGAGGCACTCTCAGGAATATACAAGTGCAGGTACAGCCCTAAGAGTGAGGACTTCCTTAAAATTTTCACCCTAGGCACCTCAATAGCCACACAGCTTCTGCCATCCAATCATAAGTGGATCTGTCCCTACCCAGACATCAATGTCTCATTAGCACTTCCCTACCACCCAGCCTTTTTTATCTCATAGTACCTTGGCTACATTTAGTCAAGATCTAAAAGTCTATCCCACTTTGAGGCCTACTGCACACTTTACTTGACCCAGCAGCGATGGTTTTTGGTTCAGTTAGGCAATCACACCTTCAAGACCCAAAAAGGCCAACCCCTCACCAGTTTACTCAGTTTTGCAGAAGAATATACAGCAGTGAATAAAGCATACTGTCTAGCAGCAGAGCAGCATCAGATGTGTTCCTTTAATGCAAGTCTTCACAGGAGTCCAGGGCTGTTCTTTTGCTTCCAAATTACAGCTCAGGTTCAAGGAAACAAGATTACACAGGTGGGTGTAGGAGCCTCTCTAGCTTAGTAGCCTCATGCCACATATAAAATACAATATATTTTGAACCTATGCAGGATTGGTACGAGAGTACTGCTGTCCTTCCAGGACTCAACAAGAAGAACACCTGGGTATGTCACACCACATTCAGGAAAGCCCAAAGCTATGGCTTCTCCTCAAGTATTTATAGTTCATTCACAATCCTCCCAGCTCAGATGCACTTTACCAATCAAGGGTTATGTTTACCACAGGCAATGCTGTAAGGTCACACAGCTGTCATTCCACCTTTCATAGATTGCAGAGAGAGTGCTGGAAGATCACCAGGAGGCCATTTTCACAGAAGACAGGAGAAGGAGTTTACTAACCCTTTGCTCACACACACTAAGGCACAACACCATAAAATTTCAGAATGTTGGGAATAAAGAAAACAACCTAAAACCTTCCAGATTTTTGTTTTTAAAAAGTCTTATTCAAAGTTTTAGTAATTAGAATGGCTTCATACCTTTCAACAACAGCTACAGAACCTAGAAGTCACTGGAGGAATATCTTCAAAATTCCAAGGAAAAATAGTTTCTAAAATAGAAATGCAAATCTACATAAACTATTAATCAAGCTTAAAGGCAGATCTCTCAGAGATGCAGAGACTTAGAAAATTTTCTTTAGTGGACCATTTCTCCGAAACTTCTGCAGAACCCCCATCCCCACCACACCAAACAAAGTAGTAATCCAAGAAAGAGTTGCAAATCCAAGAAATAGGAGATCTCTCATAGGGAAGAAGCAATATCTCAGAATGGTAATGAGAGATTTCAGGATGTTCAGCAGGCCTAAAGAGCTTATCATAGAGCAGTATGATGAGGGAATTATCCAGGGGAAAGAAGAAATTTATATTTCTGTCAAAGGATTTGGAGGTGAATTACTGATTGGATATTAAAAAAACTAAGGAAACAAACAAAAAAATCATAGAATAACCCTGGGGTAAAAGAGGGATTTAAGCACAGAAAAACCACTCTAACTGAGCTATGACCTGTCTTTACTATGCTGGGAGAATGGGAAGGGGGAAATGGACGTACATTGGGAAGGAGGGTGTTGGCTTTCAGAAACTTTTGGTTTACTGATCTAACAGCCATTTCTAATTCCCTTTTCCTTTGTCTCCCCCACACACTATATTCCCTTGGCTGGAGAAAGGATAATTACCCCCTTCCCAAGCTTCTCTGGTAGCTATGGGTGACCAAGAAACTGTTCAAGTCAATGACCTGTAATCAGGAGTTTAGTAAGGGTTTCTGGGAAAACTTTTACTTTCCTTACTGAACAAGTAGATTTGGCTGTCATCCCCTTTACTTTCTTTTTGTCTTGGACATGGATTGATGCCTAGAGCTGCAACAGTCACAAGTGCAAACATGAATCAACAAACAAAACATGGTAAGGATGGTGGAACAGAAAGAAAGAGCATGAGTGACATGACATGGATGAGCCACTGCGCTGACTCTGAACAGCCTGCCTCTAAGACTTATTAAATGAAAGCTCAGTCAGGTTTTCTGTTATTTACAGCTGAACACATAAAAAATTCTTAACTAATACACGGTAGATGAGGGTTACATACTCATTCTCTGTAGTAGGAAGTCAATACATGATGTCTAAAGATTTAAAAACCAAGAAATAACATGTTGAAGCATGTTATTTACTTGGAAACATGACAGTAAGCACCTGAAGAAATAGCTAAAAGAATGAAAACTGGATGCCACTGAGGAGTGGAAATTGAGGAAAGGTGGGGCTGGCGACTGCTATTTTTCTTTTTCTTCTTTTTTGAGACAGGGTCTTGCTCTGCTGCAAGACTGCAGTGCAGTGGTGTGATTACAGCTCACTACAGCCTGGACTTCTTGGGCTCAAGCAATCCTCCCACTTCAGCCTCCCATGCAGCTGGGACCACAGGCATGTGCCACCATGCCTGGCTAATTTTTAATTTATTTTTATTTTAGCAGAAATGGTGGTCTCCCTATGTTTCCCAGGCTGCACTATTTATTTATTGTAAGCCTTATAGTAGGGTCTCTCAACATCAGCACTACCAACATTTTGGGCCATATAATTCTTTGTTGTGTGGGGCTGTCCTATGCATTGTCTATCAGTGTTTCTGGCCTCTACCCATTAGATGTCAGTAGCAATCCCCCTTTTCCCCAACTGTGACAACCAAAAATGTTTCTGACCATTGCCAAATGACCCTGCAGGGCAAAACTGCCTTTGGTTAAGAACCACTGCCTTATAGTGCTAATTTTTTTTAACTTTTAATAATACTGTAAATGTACAATTTTCATAAAATTAACTATGGGTAAAGAGATAGTATGAAAGAAGCTAGACGGAATGTCATTTCACCTTTCAAACACCTCTCACTCTCCTTTCACTGACCTTTCCCTAAGCCTAAGAATCCCACTCCTTCCCTCCCAGCCAAGCACAGACAGAGCAGACACTTACCACCTAGAAATGCACACTCATAATGGCTGCAGGTCTTGTTTATGCTTTGAAGGATAAGGTTATTGCCAGCCCCCTCCTGTGACACTTGAAAAACCTCATTCAGAGGTATTAAAGTAATTCTTTCACTTTCTTTATCAAGAAAATTTTCAATGTCAACTCCAAGGCATGTGTAGATGGATAACACAGTGAGCTGGTCATTAGCAGCCTGAGGTTTGGCTGAATATGCCAAGGTAAAATGGCCAAACCTGGCTTGGTTTAGCCCTCCAAATGTAAATGAAGTGCCCTGGCTTGTTCTATATACCACAGTTTTGGAACTGGCCTCACAAGGTTTTCTCAGCAACTGCAGGGCTCTTGTGAGGTAAAAGTGGAAAGCTTTGAACTGGAAGCCATAGATATAATCTTCTCGAGATTGGCCAGCCATCTTCACAGCTTCACTGAACAGATGGTAAAAGGGAGTTTGCTCTTGAGCTTCGGAAATATATGCCATCAGGGCTATTCCATGGTTATCCTTAAAATTCATAGGGAGAAAGATTTGAGTCTTTCGGGCTGCCCATTTGGCTTTTGCATTTTCCCACACAGTATCTAATTGCTGGTGGCTTGCTTTTTCCTCCTTTAGCAGTTGGGGAACGTATTTAATTTCCATCCTGTCCGTACATTTCAGGTATTCATCATCAAATGCATTATCTGCCATGTCTAACACTTCAGCCTTCACCTTCAAAGGAAAAAGAAATTAATACTCTTGAAATAAGAAATTCAGTGAATATCATTTTCTCTCACATTATTACCCCCACCTTCTCATCCCTTGCCAAAATTCTCGCCTGACTTATAACCAATTTTGGGTAGGTTTTTATGCAGGAAGTATATTCCATTGCTATTGATAACTTTTCTCAGCTGTGCCATATTTGTGTGAAAGAGTAAATGTCAGTGGGTGAGAGGTATGGGTGAGATTGTGCCTGTAGCTCATTTATCTGGACATTATGGCACAGAGCAAAGAACAATGGATGTGAAGCTAAAGAAATGGGTGGCAGTCCTGGCTTTGAACATCTTAGCTAGATTTCTTCAACCCTTCAAGGCTGTTGGGAATTTGAAGTATCATATGCAAAATATTATTCATGATCTATAACACATAATGACAAACATTACCCTTTTCCTTTGGGGTTGCCCCCTCCCTTGTCCATATGGCCTGGGTAGAAATGATTTTGCACCTCCTGGATAAGCAGGTGATCTAAAGTCTAGCAATCAGAGCTCCCAGAGGAAAAAAATGGATCTTTCTTCCTCTAAAGCTGTAAGCTCTAAGGATAATATTGGCCTAGGGCTTCCAACAGTTATTCTTTAGTCCCATGGAGAATTCTGTCTTAAAATAAAGCAACAAATAAGGCTTGCTGAGCTGAGAGGTAGAGATGAGGACCCGAAAACATACTTTAGACGCTGGGCCTAACTGTACTCTTCACCAGTTGTAAGAATCAATAAATTCCCTGTTTGCTTCAGCTAGTTTGAACTGTATTTCAGTCACATACAACTGAAGAGGCATAATACCACATACAACTAAATTATACATATACATATGTTCACATAACATAAGAAGCAGGGTGGTGTAATGTAATTAACACCACTTTGAAGCCAGGCAGATCAGAGTTCAAATCCCATTTGTTACTAACTAGGTATGGGAAAGTTACTTGACATTTCTAATCCTCAAGTTTTCAATTTTAAAAAAAATTAGGATAAAAGGCCAGGTGCAGTGGCTCATGTCTGTAATCCCAGCACTCTGGGAGGCCGAGGCGGGCAGATCATGAGGTCAGGAGTTCAAGACCAGCCTGGCTAACATGATGAAACCCCATCTCTACTAAAAATACAAAAATTAGCTGAGCGTAGTGGCAGGCGCCTGTAATCCCAGCTACTTAGGAAGCTGAGGCAGGAGAATCGCTTGAAACCAGAAGGCGGAGGTTGCAGGGAGCGGAGACTGCACCACAGCACTCCAGCCTGGGCAAAAGAGCAAAACTCCATCTCAAAAAATAAAAAATAAATTAAAAAAGGAAGACAAAGTGGAGGAAATAGTATTTAACTGTGGGATGGCTGTGAGAATTAAATTATGTAATGAACATATGCAAAGCCCTCTGCCCCATGCCTGGCACATATCAAGTCTTTAACATGCCGTGGTTATTATTATTTTTTCATAAGGTCTTTCTCCAGTGTGATGTGGTTTTTTTGTATTATTTCATGCTAGGAATATATGTATTATACTGTTAGATCCTTAAGGGTACGGTCTGTATCGTTTTTATCTTTGAATCCTACACACCTAGCACAGAACCTGGCAAAATATTCAAGTGAACTACATTAGAACCCTGTACTCTGGCTTATGGATCAAAAAATAAGATGATCAAATCTCCCCAGGAATACCATTTATGAGTTTCTACAAATAAAAGGATAATGCCTCTTCCATTAGTCTATACTTGTATGGTGCATAGTTGCATAAGTCTGCTTAGGGACCTCAGTTGGAGACTTTATAGACATATTTAGCTAGAAGCTGTTAAAGTTACAGATTCAAAAAAAAAGTTACAGGTTCTATGTGAATGATACTTAAAAACTCTCTCTCTCTCTCTCTCTGTGTGTGTGTGTGAGAGAGAGAGAGAGAGTGAAAGAGAGAGAGACAGAGAGAGAGAGACAGAGATACTAACTTGTAAACGCAAAACAAAACTTGCTTCCATATCCTGCTCTAGGTATCTCCTTTCCCATCTCTCTTCTCTCCCTCACGAACAAACATCTTGAAAGAGATGTCTGTCCTTGCCATCTCCACTTCATTTCCCACGTATAGCTCAACCCTCCCCATTATGGCTTCCCACCCATTTCTCCACCCAAACAGCTCTCACTTAAGGGAGCATTTCTTCTTAGACTCTTTTGCAGACCCAACATATTCCAGTTAGCCATTAAATGTTGGAGTTCCTCAAGGCTACGTATTTTCTAACTCTCAACTCTACGCTCCCCAGGCAGTTATATACATGCTTACAGTTTCAATTATGATCTAAATATATCTGATCTATCCTGTAAGTGCCAGTCCTATATATCAAATTTATCTGCCTACTTAACACCTCCACTTGAATGTTCAAAGAACCTTCATACGTAACATGTCTAAGACGAAACTTACAATCGTACAGCCACAACGACCTGGTTCTTATTTAAAACCATTTTTCATTTGTGAACTTTTCCTACATATTTCCTTCTCAGACACACTGGGTGGACACTCTATCACTAAGTTTAACAAACATCTCCAGAGTTCTTTCTATATGCCAGGCACTAAGTGTTCGGCAACCTTGTGAGGTAGGTACTATTATTAGCCCCCCGCCTTTTTTTTTTTTTTTTTTAACAAAGATGAGGAAACTAAGAGATTGAGACTTACATGGAATTGGAATTTGATCTCAGGCAGTCTAATTCCAGAGTCTTGTCCTTTTTTTTTTTTTTAGACGGAGTCTCGCTCTGCCGCCCAGGCTGGAGTGCAGTGGCACTATTTCGGCTCACTGCAAGCTCCGCCTGCCGGGTTCACGCCATTCTCCCGCTTCAGCCTCCCCAGTAGCTGGGACTACAGACGCCCGCCACCACGCCCGGCTAATTTTTCTGTATTTTTAGTAGAGACGGGGTTTCACCATGTTAGCCAGGATGGTCTCGATCTCCCGACCTCGTGATCTGCCTTTCTCGGCCTCCCAAAGTGCTGGGATTACAGGCGTGAGCCACCGTGCCCGGCCGTCTTGTCCTCTTAACCAAACTGTTCTGTTGCCTCTAAAGAATCAGAATGTTTCCAATTATGAAGACCATGGACATTTATGTAGCACTTGAAAAAGAGTGTAATTCTGTCTTCATTACAACATTTATAAAAGGTTAACAAAAAATAGTTAACACCATTTTACAAACGAGGGAATTGTGCCAGCTTCAGAAACTATCTTGATTACTAGCCACAGAGAATTCTGCCATGGAAGTCATTAAGACCCCCGTAGTCCTGGGTTTGTAGGTCAGTTTCCTGACATGGGAATTTGAGCTTCAGGAGATCAAATCACTGCCATCTCATAGCCAAGAAATGCACTTTCCTCCACAGCACAGAATGTACCAGAGTGCAGCTTGGGTGCCAATGCCTGATTTATCTTCAAGACTTCAACACCGTATAAGACACCAGACCCTGAAAACACCTCCCACATTCCTTACATTATATCAGAGTTGATCTACTATGTTCCTGTCTTTTCCCTATGCCTCTAACCAGTCTCCAAATGTCTAATTTTAGACATCAAGTCTTTCTGGCCAGACACCATAGCTGATTGTGTATTTTGTATGGTGCGTGCCTTGAGCAGTGACAAAGTTCATAAATGCCACCACTATTCAGGGACAACTGAACAGATACTAAAAAACAGGTACAAAAGGCTAGGTGAACAAGCTGATTATATTTCTCTGATATAACCACCGAGAAAAAAAGCCCATACTAATGAAATTCAATTACCAAAAATTTCTTACAAAAATATGGAAATGACCTAAAGGTCAAGGAGAGAAACTGGCTAAGCAAATCATGAAACAATTACAGAACAAATACACTTAAATTATGTTGCAAGAGTATATTGAAAACCAAATCAAAACCACAATGAAATACCACTTCATATCCTCTACGATGGCTATAAATGATGAAAAACCAAGTAACATGTAACACAAGGATGCAGAGATATTAGAATCCTAATATACTGCTGGTGGGATTGTAATACCATGCAGCTAGTGTGAAAAAGTTTGGCAGTTCCTAAAAAAGTTAACATAAAATTACCGTACAACCCAGCAATTCCACTACTAGGTGTACACCCAAGAGAAGTGAAACATGTTCACAACAATAGGTAATTTTGCTATGAATCATAAATCATAACCCCCAAATTCATTCTTACATATATATTTCCTATATATAAGTAAACTTTACTCTGTAATGCTACCAAATAACCAAATAGTGTTTGTAGTATCTCAATATGTCAAGACTATATGATTAGAAAATTTTTTAAAAAGAAAAATAAAACACATGTTCACATAAAAACTTGTACATAAATGTTCACAACACCACTATTCGTAATAGCCATAAAGTGGAAACAGCCCAAATGTCCATCAGCTGATAAATGGATAAACAAGATGCGGTACGGCCATAAAATAGAATATTACTCGGCTATAAGAAAGAATGAAGTACTGATAGGACTCCTGAGAACATTATGCTAAGTGAAAGAAGCCAGACACAAAAGGTCACATATTGTATGATTCCATTTAGGCGAAATATCCAGAATAGGCAAAACCATAGACACAGAAAGTAGACAGTGGTTGCCAGGGAATGGGGGATGGAGAAAATTGGGGCTGACTGCTAATAAGTACAGGGTTTCTTTTTGGGTTGACGGAAATGTTTTGCAATCAGATAGTGGTGATGGTTGCAGAACATAATGAATATACTGAAACCACTGAAGTATACAGCTAAAAATGGTGAATTTTTATGGTATGTAAATTATATTTCAATAAAAAACATACTGCGACACAGGAAACAGGATACACAATGATTCTATAGAAAATGGATTAGAATATTAAATTCAAAAAAGGATAACAGTTTAAGAATTTAAGATATTTTTAAAAAGGCATCTAAAATGGTGCACAAATACCCACAAGTAATGTGGCAGCTAACAACGTGGGGAAAAAAAATCAAGTGAAATATTATATTTTACATAAAAATATGTTACAGGATGCTTAAAGAGTCAATTGCAAATAAAATCATAAAAGTTCTGCCAGAAAAAAAATGTGGGAAAATGGTCATTAATTAAAAAACATGTAATCAAACAATGCAGCATTATCTTATTTGGAGAAAAACATATATTCAGAATATCTGATGACATGCGTGACATGCAGCATAGTATTAACTTAAAATGCAAAGAAAAAATTCTATGTACAGTGTGAACCCATTTTTGTAAATTAAAAACAGTATACACATAGAAAAAAGCCAAGAAGCCTGTATACACCAACAGGTTGGGAATCATTCCCTCTGAGTGGAGGAATTATGAATAATCTTTACTTTCCTCTTTTTGCTTAATTTTAATTTTTTCAACTTTTTACAGTTAATCTGTCACATATTTAAAATGAAAAGAGCTACTTATAATTAATTTACCTATCCTACCTACTTTCATTTCCACCATCAAGCCACACAGATGCCTCAGGTAATGTTATATCAAGAATTTCCATTCCAGGCCAAGCGCGGTGGCTCACGCCTGTAATCCCAGCACTTTGGGAGGTCGAGGTGGGCGGATCATGAGGTCAGGAGATCGAGACCATCCTGGCTAACATGGTGAAAACCCGTCTCTACCAAAAATACAAAAAATTAGCCAGGCGTGGTGGCAGGCGCCTGTAGTCCTAGCTACTGGGGAGGCTGAGGCAGGAAAATGGCATGAACCTGGGAGGCGGAGCTTGCAGTGAGCCGAAATCGAGCCACTGCACTCCAGCAGTCTGGGCGACAGAGAGAGACTCCGTCTCAAAAAAAAAAAAAAACGAATTTCCATTCCAATGACCACATGCTTCCCATTCCCAACATTACCTGGAAAATGTCCACTAGAATCATGGTTGCCAGCAGCATGGTGACTATTTCAAAATGTCCCGTCTTCATTTTTCTCTTCTAAATTAAAATAAAGAAATTTCAATTCAGTAGACTCAAAAAAGAGGTGTAGGGAAGTAGAATAGGATGACACTGCGTATTTTTTCATTTAGAATGTGAGTGGATAGCATGATGGTCAGGAAGTGATTATCAATAAATTCCTAACGGGCTACAAGAGCCATTAGGCTTTATCTAGTGGTCTAATGCTCTCATTCTACAGACGAGGAAACAAAAACACCTTAGAATTTCAGTGATTTGCTCAAGATTAAATCTGTGCATTTCCATACTCCTCCAGACATGTCATCTCTCCCACCACAGTCACTGGGAGTCATATTTTCTTCCCATCTCTAAATCTCCCCTCAGCGTGCACAGGAAATAACACAATCAGACTAAAAAACAGCAGTCTCAAATTGGTCCCCTAGCTCCCAGTTTCTAAGAATTCCCCAGGAATATGTCCATGCACATTATCCATTCTTCTATCCTCTTTGCACATTGTCATGCCCTTTTGAGTGGGACAGAGGAGATGATGAGGTCAGTAGTGGTACAAAGCAGTGGATTGTCAGAGATGGCCCCCTTCCCCCAAATACAATCAAGAGAAGCCCGAGGGTAAAATAAGTGTCTTACATAACTTTCTGAAGGCGGGAACAAGAATAAGAAGGAACTGGGTAGGCAGCAATTCTAAGATTATACAACTATTGGCCGAATGCCTAATATTCATCCCAGTATTTATGATAATGTAACTCAAATGAAGCTTCTATTTTACCCTACCAATCACCATATTCTGGATTCTAAAAATGAGAATGAACAGCACAGGGGAAGGGAGAAGTCTTCCCTTTTATAGATCATTTTGGCCTCAGTTTCCCATATTTCTTCAGAAGCAGTTTTGTTTTGTTTTTACTAAAAATACTAAAATATAGTACCAACATGCTACTTTGTGTTAAACTTCTCTTTCCAAAAAAGATTTGAATATAAGATGATAGATATCTGTCACAAGGCAATATGTTTTAAGCAAGCTTTGATCAGGATTTTCCTAAAAATTGTTCATTTCTTTAGTCTGAGTGTAAATAAGTCAAAAGGTTTACCTGGCTTTTGTGCCTTTGGAGGAAGTTTAAGTGATGCTAGGCCTCAAACTGACTCCCCACTCTCAGTTGTGGTAAGCAAGTCTTCAGGATGGGATGTTGTTGACAGTGAGAGCTGAGACAGGAATGCTTTTCTTTTTATAAACACCCCCAGCAGTAGCTTGGCAGTGGCACACTACGCTACTTGTGTTCTGCTATTTATATCTGGCCCCCCCACACTATGCCTTGGAATCACTGCTGTTAACACTTTAAATCTCCAAGAGGCTTGTAAAGCCATAGCAATTCCCTTTAGCCACACAGCACATTCAGTTCTGAGCCCACAGTTCTGGGCTTCTCTCAGAGAGAAATGACTTCCCATTCCTAATCCTTTGACACTGAGATATCAAACTAAAGCATGGATTTTACTCTAGGCTAAGTGATTCACATAACTAGGGAAACTTGCTCTGTTAATCACTGGCAATGGTGACAGCTATCACCATTCGCTCAACTAGCTTACTATATTTCAGGTACCTCGTCAGGAGTCGGGATACATAAGCAAGTAAAACAAAGTACTAAAAAGCACTCAAAATCTAATAAAAAACATGAATACGCATACTTAACCAAAATACAACATGTTAAGAATCCCAAGTATAGACAAAGTCCAGTGATAACATTAAGGAGGGAAGGATTTGGTAATGCCTGCAACTACAGCTGTCATTTGAGTAACGCATACATGGTAAATATACTGACTGCAATGCTGAGGAACACTTAGGGTTCACTGACTGTGGATTTAAAAAACACAAAAATGTCCAAAGAAATTCACGCATACATACACCAAAATACATTAATAGAATGTTGATAGTAGCACTATTCATAATAACCCCCAAACTGGAAACCAAATATCCATCAACAGTAGAATGGTTAGACTGTAAGTGAAATTTTATATAGCAATGAAAACGAACAAACTCTGACCATATATAACAATGTGGATAAATCTCACAAACAAAATTTTGAGTAAAAAAAGAGATACAAGCATGTTTATACTGTATGATTTAATTTATATCAAGAACAAAATTAGGCAAAACACTTCCAAGGCATGAGAAGTCAGAATAGTGGTCACCCTGGGTAGTAGCTAGTAACTGGAAAGGGCACAGAGGAGCATCTGAGATGTTAGCTGGGTTCTGCTTTTTGCTATGGATGCCAATTACATTGACAAATTCAGTTTGTGAAAATTCAGTGAGCTATATACTTATGATATGTGTTTTTTTTGTACACACATATATTACTTCAAGAAAACATTTTAAATTATCATGAAATACACCTATATTTACAAAATCCAACTCTACTCTTTAGAATAGAGATATGTTCCAACCTTTTCCCACCTCACTGGCTTGGCAATCCAAGATTAAATACACAGCACAGACTCACTCCCAGAAATAATATGATTTTTTAAAAAGCAGGAGTTTGGTTAGAAAGAAAAAAGAAAGTTTGCATGTCTTCAGGCCTTAGGCTCACAACAACCTGCTTTTAAGTTCCAAGCATGTAGGCCTACAGGAAATGAGGTAGAGAAGTTCTCCTGTCGCTGGCCTCCATTCCTGTTTTGTTCCAGTTTTTAACCAAATTTCTTTCATTCATTCATTGAACAAATATTTGAGTCCTTAAAATGTGCTAGGAACTGTTTTAGGTACTAGAGATATACCAGTGAACGAAATGGATAAATATCTTGCCTTTGTGAAGTTTATATTCTTGTGAGGGAAGGCAGTCAAATAACTAAAATAAGTACGTAAATTATGCAAGTATGTTAGAATGTAGTGAGTGCTATGGTTTTGGCTTTTGTTTATAAGTAGCACAAAGGAGACTAGGAGCGCATGGAGTGTTTGCAATTTAAATTGGATTGTTAGGGAAGACTCACTGAAAGGTGGTATTTGAGCAAAGACTTGAAAGAGATCAGCCATGAAGACTGTGGCAGTCAAACACAGTGAACAGCACGTACTAAAGCCCTGAGACAAGAATATGCCTACTTTTGTTTGAGGAATAGTAAGCAGGCCAATATGGTTGGAACATTAGAGTAGTACAAGATAAGGTCAGAGATGTAAGGGGGTGGTGGGAAGACCATGTCAATCTCTGCAGGCCACTGTAAGAACACTGGCTTTCACTCTAAGAGAAAAGGAGCAAATCACAGGTTTTAAAAAGAGGTATAACATGATCTGATTTATTTTTTAAGAGGATCACTCTGGCTGTTATGCTGAGAATGGTCTGTAGGGTGAATGTAAGAAGACTAAATGACAGGTTATTATAATAATGCAAGCAGAGATTATGGTGGCTTGAATCAGGAAGGCAGCATTAAACGTAATGAGAAGTAGATGTGTGTGTATGTGTGTTGTTGCTGTTGCTGAGGTGGTATGAAGTGGATGTCTGAGTGTATGTTTATGTTGTTGCTTTGTTGTTTCTTTGGTTGTTAGAAACAGGCCATTTTTATTTGAGCCTGTTAAAAATCCGACTTTTGTAGATTAGACACAGTATTTCCTGATACGATAAGGAAAAGCATTTGTGGGTTCTAAAAGTCTACTGTATTTTCAAAAATGTAATAACTCACAAAAAAGTAAATGGAAATGATCTATAAAGATATCAATTTATTATACAGTTAAAGTGTTTGTAATCTCAGAGATTTGGAAGCCAGGGCAGGAGGATGGCTTGAAGCCAGGAGTCCTAGCCTGGGCAACACAGGGAGACCTTGTCTCTACAAAAAAATTTTAAAAATTAGCCAGGTGCAGTGGCACATGTCGGTAGTCCTAGCTACTTGGGAGGCTAAGACAGGAAGATCTCTTGAGCCCAGGAGTTGCAGATTACAGTGAGCTATGATGGTGCCACTGCACCCCAGCCTGGTCAACAGAGTAAGACCCTGTCTCAAAAACAAAAACAAAAACAAAAAAAAATGTTTAGACTTAAATGCAGGATATAATTTGAAGATTGAGGCAATAGGATGTACTGACAAACTAGATGTGGGCTGCAAGAAAAAGAGGGGAGTAAAGAATAGTTCCAAGATTTTTAGCTTGAATAGCTGGAAGGATGGAGTTGTCATTGATTGACATGGAGAAGACCGTGTGTGGAAAAAGTATCCTGGAACTCAAGTGAAGAAAATACTTACAAAAGAAAGGAAAGATCAAATGTGTTAAAAGCTTCTGATAGGTCAAGTAAGATGAGGACTGAGAACTGACCATTGGATTTAGCAATGTGGAGGATATTGAAAGTTTTGTTTAAGAGCAGGTCTGATAGAAGAGTGGAGATGAAAGCCTGGTTAGAATGGCCTAAGAAAGAATGAAAAGAGGAATTGGAGACATTGGAGATGGTTAATATCTTCAACTCTTTCAAGGAGTTTTTCTATAAAGGACATAAAAGGAATGAGGCAGTATAGCTTGATGGTGGGACCAGGGAAAAGGTAAAGAAGAGAGTCCAAGAATTTTTTTTTTTTTTTTGAGATGGAGTCTCGCTCTGTCACACAGGCTGGAGTGCAGTGGCACGATCTCAGCTCACTGCAGCCTCCGCCTCCCTATCTCGGCTCACTGCAGCCTCTGCCTCCCCAGTTCAAGCGATTCTCCTGCCTCAGATTCCAGAGTAGCTGCCCACTACCAAGCCTGGCTAATTTTTGTATTTTTACTAGAGACGGGGTTTCACCATGTTGGCCAGGCTGGTCTTGAATTCTTGGCCTCAAATGATCCGCCTGCCTTGGCCTTCCAAAGTGCTGAGATTATAGGCATGAGCCACTGTGCTTGGTCAGAAATATTTTTAAAGACAGAAAAAAACCAGCATGTTGGATATGATCTAGTAGATAGAGGAAAAAACTAATAATATAGCAAAGAGAGGGTAGAATGATTGGGTCAATCTTCTTGAGTAGGCAAAAGGGGATGAGACATAGCATACAAGCAGATGAGGTGGCCTTAGATAAGAGCAGGAGAGGTTCATCTAATATGAACAGGAGGAAAGGCACAGTATATTGGCAGATGCTGGAAAGAAGTGGGTTGCAATAAAAATTCTTTTCTACTTGCTTCAATTTTCTCAAAAAAGTAGTAACAAAAGATGATGGTTTAAGTGACAGAGACTTGAAGAAATTGGAGAAAGAATGAAATAGTCATCTAGAAAAGGAGAAGAGTGAATGCCTTATGATTGCTGGGCTGCATTAAGGGGCTACCTGAATTTAAAATGAAATCACTTAAGATGGTTGTATTTTTCTCCAGCTACGTTCAGTTCCATGGTAGATGCAGACTAAGCTAAATTGGATTGAATAAAGACTGTAGCTTTTTCAAGCAAGGATAAAATGATTATTTTATTGAATGATTACGGGCAAAAGATCTGAACTGACACTTCACAAAGGAAGATATATAAATGACAAACAAGTAGAAAACGATGTTCAACATTATTAGCATCAGGTAAATGCAAATTAAAACCACTATACATCCACTAGAATGGCTAAAATTAAAGACTAACAACATAAAATGTTGATGAGAATATGGAGCTACTGAAACTTTCATACATTACTGATGGGAATGCAAGATGATACAGCTATTTTTTAAACAATTTGGCAGTTTTCATAAAGTTAAACTTATATATTTACCATATGACCCCGTAATTCTACTTACAGGAATTCATTATACTTAAAAGAACAGGAATTCATTATACTTAAAAGAAATTATTAAAGTGTATGTTCACACCTGTCAAATGTTCACAGCAGGTTGATTCATAATAGTCAAAAGGTAGAAACAACCCAAATGTCATCAACTGGTAAATGGATAAACAAATGAAATAACACTCAGCAATAAAAAGGAACAAATGTCCTCAAAATGTTAAACATAGGGTTACTACATGATCCAGAAATTTCCCCACTCCTAGGCATATATCTTGGGTATATGCCCAAGATCCAGAAATTCCACTCTGAGGCCTACATCTTGGGTATGTTATATGTGCACACAATCACTTGTGCACAAATGTTCATAGCAGTATTATCTATAATATAATATAAATATAAATATATCTATAAATATAATAGTCAAAAAGTGGTCTAGATTTCAGTCCAAATGTCCACCAACTAGTAAATGGATATACAAACTGTGATATACCCACACACTGGAATATTATTCCACAATAAAAAGGAATTAAGGCCGGATGCAGTGGCTCATGCCTGTAATCCCAGGACTTTGGGAGGCCAAGGCAGGCGGATCACTTGAGATCAGGAGTTCGAGACTGGCCTGGCTAACATGGTGAAACCGTGTATCTACTAAAAATACAAAAATTAGCCAAGTGTGGTGGCGCGTGCCTGTAATCCCAGCCATTAGGGAGTCTGAGGCAGGAAAATCGCTTGAACCCGGAAGGTGAAGGTTGCAGTGAGCTGAGATAGTGCCACCGCACTCCAGCCTGGGTGATAGAGACAGACTGTGTCTCAAAAAAAAAAAAAAAAAAAAAGGAATTAAGTACTGATACATTTACATGAAATGTCCAGAGTAGACAGATCTATACAGACAGAAAGTAGATTATTGATTTTTTTAGGGCTGGACGTATAATGGGGAAATGAGGAAGACTGTTAATGCGTACTAGGCTTCTTTTTAGAGTAATGAAAACATTTCATCTCCCCAAAAAAGTCACCACATGTCCTTTGTAGTCAATCTCCTCCCTTCACCCAAGGCTCTGGAAGTCACTGATCTTCTTCCTGTCACCAGTTTTGCCTTTCCCAGCATGACATGTTAACTATTATCATACAGTCAGTATGTAATTTTTTATGACTAACTTCTTAGCATAACACTATGAAATCTATCAATGTTGTTGCATGTATCAGTAGTTCTAAAAATGATTGCAGTGATGGTTGCACAAATCTGTACACACAATAAAAACTATTTAAGCCATGCACAGTGGTTGGAGTAGCTAAAGGAGGATCACTTGAGCCTAGGAGTTCAATGCCACTGGGGCAACACAGTGAGACCTCATTTCTTAAAAACAAAAACAAAAACAAAACCCATACAAGTGAATACTTTACATGAATGAATTTTTTTTCTTTTAAACTTTTATTTTAGGCTCAAGGGTACATGTGTAGGTTTGTTATATAGGTAAACTCGTGTCAGAGGGGTTTGTTGTACCCATTACTTCATCACCCAAGTACTAAGCCTAGTACACAACAGTTATTTTTTTTTTTATCCTCTATCCTCTTCCCCTTCCCACCCTCCACCCTCAAGTAGGCCCCACTGCCTGTTGGTCCCCCCTTTGTGTCCATGTGTTCTCATGATTTGGCTTCCACTTACAAGTGGTAACATGTGATATTTGGTTTTCTGTTCCCGCATGAGTTTGCTAAGGATAATGGCCTCTAGCTTCATCCATGTTCCTGTAGAGGACATAATCTCATTCTTTTTTATGGCTGCATAGTATTACATGGTATATATGTACCACATTTTCTTTATCCAGTCTTCCTTAATGAATGGTATTGTATGTGAATTGTATCTCAATAAACATGCTTTGAAAAAGAATAAACTATTAATACATGCCACAATATGGGCATGAGGGAACACATTTTTTGGGTGATGAAATGTTTTATATCATGATTGTAGTAGATGTTACATGATGATATACATTTGTCAAAAGTCACAGAACTGTACACTTCAAATTTGTGAATTTTATTTACATAAGTCATACCTAAATAAGGCAAATTTTAACAAACAACAACAAAAACTATCTTGCCTACATACTCCCTGAAATTTGTGTACCCCCAGATATATATGTATCCCAATTTGAAGACTACCACAGTAAAGTATCTGTAATGCAATGGCCCATGAATGATGAGGAAAGAGAACTAGGTGAGTCAAAGGAGCCTAGGGTTGTGGTAAGATAAATACAAGGTATTTATATTTTAGAGACTGGATGCCAAGGCACAACATTACAGTGGTGAGTGCAAATTTCTATCAGCCAAAGACCAAGCAGGATCAGATACCTCGGGGAAGGCCAATGACCGCTAGAGGTCAGCACCAGAACAAGATATTTCTTCAATGGCAGGCCACTGCTCTTAGGAAGAAAAAGAACTCTGAATTTAAATATTTATTCAAAGAAAACTTTCAACTTTGAAGTGACTAAATTTTAATTGACAAGATTAAGTGTTTTTACTGTTACCAAATTTTAACTGACAAGATTAGTGTTTTACATGGGGGTTTGTGAACTACGTTGATTTCCAATAAAGAGAAATACATATTCCTTTTTGCACATGATTCCTCACACTATGACATACTGACACTGGGAAAAATTGTAGTTTGTTCTCTGTTCTCTGTTAGTTCTAGCTGTTAGTCTGGTCTCCAGCAATGGTGACATTTAATTGCTAGCTCAGTAATTTAGTGTTTTTTTATAGATTTTGGGAAAATGTTTGCTAAATTCCCCCATCGTAGCCTCCTGGCATTGGGCATTCTAAAGACAAACAATTTCTATGTCCTTTCACCCTGTTCGGTGGGCCTCCCACAAACTCAAGATGCACTCCTTTGCCCTTGGCGGGCATCTTCTTAAAGAAGATCATAAACTGGTTTGTACCCCAGTTACCTTCCCTAAGCCCAAAGGGAAACCTAGGAATTCTATCATGACAACTTTGATTTTAGAAAACTGGAGAGAATCTTTTGTCCTTTCCCAACTCATTCTGCTACTTTGTTATGTTCAACTTGTTAAATATAATGCTTTTTCTAAGAGACCTTAAAAATTCTCCAGTTTGCCCAAGTGATGGTGGCAGCCACTCCAGTTGGCCTGCCATCATCCCAGCTGTGGCAGGAAGGTGTGGCCAGGGCTGCCTGTTCCACAGAGCAGGCAGGAGCCCTGCCCTCCTGGGCAGGGGTGCAACTGCCCAAACTATGGCAGCAGACTCAGGTATCCCTGCACTCTTGGGGGCCTGGGAAGGCCCCCCTGCCCTCACAAGCTTAAAAGTGCCTGCTCCCACTGCTTGGCTTCTCCCTGCTGTTGGCTCCTGCTCCAATCTTGGAGCAAAGTCAGGCTGAGCCTGGGCGTCATGAGTAGTAGGAGGCAGAGTCCCACGTGGAAGGGGGTGGGTCTCCAGTAAGGTCCTTCTGTCAGGTCAGGGAGGGCCTGAAGGCTGGGGCCCAGGCTGCCAGTTCCACTGACTGGAGTGGACACTGGTGCCTTTTCCAGGCCTGCCCATGACCACCCATGGGCCAACCAGTGTGCACTTCCTCCCCTCTGAGGTCCATAAATAGCCGGGCTCAGCCAGAGCTGAGCAGAAGATGGGATGACCAGCAGCAGAGAGGAGCTACCCTCTCTGCTAATTACGCTCTCTGCTAATAGCTTCAGAGATCTGCAGAGACTGCCGAATGACCTGCCTGCAGAGAAAAGCAGACCTCAGGATGACCAGCGAGCAGAGAGAAGCTGCCATCTCCAGGGCCTCCTCTCTGTTGAGAGCTGAACACTTGACAGACGACCTGCCTGCCCACAGAGGGGAGCTACCCACTGTGGGTCTCCTTCTGAGCAGTTACAGCACTAAATAAATCTCCTCTTCTTCTTCCTCACCCTTCATTTGTCTGCATACCTCATTCTTCCTGGACGCAGGACAAGAAATGGGGCAAAGGCCCCACTGGCAACAGAGGTTTACAGGGGAAGAAAATCAACACCCCAAAGATCCTATAACACAAGGAGAAGTATGAAAAGAAAAAATCTCTGCTGCTAAAAGATTCCCTGAAAATTACTAGGGTGTTTCTAAACCCCTACATCAATGCTTTCTAGGGTTTCAGTCCAGAGGAGCCACAGGAGTCTGAATTCTCTTTTCTCCTTTTCTCTGTTCTAGAATCAGGTCTTCCACTCCCAATTCCTGTTAGGCATTGCTTCCTATGTGCTATTTCTTTCACCTTTATCCTATGTACTTCTTATTCTGGCATTATCAACCTTTTCCTTCCTTCAGACTACTAAGGATAATCTTAAAGGTTACAGAGTACAGACAGACTTTATAAAGGGAATGAAACATATATCTATTTAGTATTTTCAAAATAATGCGTATTATCCCTACACCATTCAATATATAATGATTAGATTGCTTTATTATATTTAATATATTGATGTTATATAATACAACATATTCATATATGTATATATTATTATAATGTAATATTATATTTGTGGACAAATCCTATTGGTAGATTTTAGGCCTCTAGGCTTTAATTCTCAACTTTCTTTCCCCCTATTTCAGTGAGAGAGACACATTCTTATCAAGGACAAGGAGTCTCTATGGTAATGATTTCAACGAGTGTGTGTGTGTGTGTGTGTGTGTGTTGGAGGGTTATATCAGAGTGTGGGAGGTTCAGGAGGTCCTTGAATAAGGCCATTTCATTATACCATTAATGAGAAAAAAACCTGATTCTCAGCCAGGACTACTGTCTATGTGGAGTTTGTACATTCTCCCCATGTCTGTGTGGGTTTCTCCAGGGACTCTGGTTTCCTCCCACATCCCAAAGATCGGCATGTTAAGTGAACAGGTTTGGAAATGAATGAATGAACACCAATTATTGTATAATAAAAATTCCAAAAGTATACAATAATAATACAAATGCACAAGATTAAATGATTCAGTACAAAAGCACTCAGTGAGCTCGCCATATTTGTAATTGTTTGTTTTTGAACTTTGTGGTGTTAAGAAGTGCACCTCACAATTTTTGCTTTGCAAACACTTCCTCCTTGATTGAACTCACCACCACTATGGCTACCATTACTCACGCCTGTGATCCCAGCACTTTGGGAGGCCAAGGTGGGCAGATCACTTGAGCTCAGGAGTTCGAGACCAGCCTGGCCAACATGGTGAAACCTCGTCTCTACTAAAAATACAAAAATTAGCCAGGCATGGTGGCAGGTGCCTGTAATCCCAGCTACTCAGGACGCTGAGGCAGGAGAATCGCTTGAACCTGGAAGGTGGAGGTTGCTGTGACCCATGATCTTGCCACCGCACTCCAGCCTGGGTGACAGAGTGAGACCCTGTCTCAAAAAAAAAAAAAAATTTACTCAATATTCCAACTCCCATCTTTCTACCAACACTGATAATTGAAGCAATATTGTTAGTATATTTTAAAGCATCCACTTTCAATATTCTCTTTTTGGTACTCATTTTGTAATAAGAGGACGTTAGCACTGTTACCCTTCCCTTCACCTCCTTTCTGCCTTTCACCTCCCAGCTTCCATCAGTAGTTCTTTTATCTTTATGTTGTCAAAATGTAATAACATTTGCTTTTTGTTCTGTAGCCATGCTTTAAGTAAAGGTCTATTCTAAAATTAAAAATCAAAAGTATAGTTTACTGCAAGTTTATTGCAACCAGCTATATATTCTTTAGTATAAAGACAAGACACAAGTTAGGATTTTATTTCCATCTCTGCTGTTTCAATGTCATGATCACTATTCACACTCAAAACAAAACATTTTTATGTCAAGATCAAATGAATATTCCTTTCCCATACTCCACTAATCCCTTAAAATCATGCCTCACTTTTGTCTCTTTTGTATTTAGATCACTAAAATTTTTTATTTTTCCTTTAGTTTCTGAGTGCCTTTTTTGGTGGTGATGGTAGTGGTGATCATGGTGGTTGTTGGGAAAAGTAGTATTTGTCTCCATCGTGTACCTAATGTGCTTCTATTTCCAATTCTATTGCTTGGAATCCATTTTGTTCTTATTCTTGAAGACCAGTTCTAACCTGGACAAACTGCTCTCCAGGCCAACAACTAGGAGACTAGAAAATCTTTCAATTGAATCCCTGGGTACTTTTTCCATTTCTTGTACTCTACAGTGGTTTTATTTTTTTAATTTATTTTTTGTCTCATGCTACTGCATCTACAGCTTTTTGCTTCATATTTATCTTTGTTTTGTAGGAATATATTCTGAAATTATTTCCTTAAAAAGGATGCATGGAAGATAAACATTTTCAGTGCTTTCATTTTTGAAATGTGAATCTGATGAACAGTTGGCTAGTATATAATTCTAGGTTCAAAATAATTTTTCCTCAGAACTTTGTATAATACATGAAACTCTAAAAGATTTGTATAAATTCAATGTTTAGTGCCAAAATTATTCTATTTTTCACTATCATTGTTTTAAACTAATTTTCAAGTGCAGGCTTTATATTACTTTTAGCTTTCTTGTTTTTATGTTCTCCGAGTCTCTGTCAAATAATGATATATAAATACATGACTACTTAAATACCTATTGGGAAATTCTCATCAAAGGAATATATATGGCACAACCGGAGAGACCTTATTGTAAGTCCATTTTCTAATTTTTTCAACAAAATTCAGGATTTTTTCCTAGTTTCTTTTTGTGAATCTTGTCTTCCTAACTACAGATTATAAGCTTCTTTTAATCTCATTTTAAACTCCTCATTTCTCTCCCCATTACTCCCAGCTTAAAATGGTATAAGGTACAGAGAATATATTCAAGACCTAGTTAAGAGAGATTTGGTCAGCAATGCTTTTAACTCTTCCTGAATTATGTCTTGAATCTAGTATATGCTTATTTATAATTGTAACAAGTTTTTGCAATGACTCATTCCTTCATTACATTTAATCTACAAATGTTTACTGAGCACCTACTATAGGCCAAGCACTATTCTAGGTGTTGGGATGTTGTCAGTGAACAAAATAAAAATCCCTGCCTCCAGGAAGCTTCCGTCCATGAAGTAGTAGAGAAAAAGAAGGCAGGCAATAAACAATGAAAATAATAAATTAGTAATTACGCAGTGAAAGAGATAAAGAATGAAGAAGTGTGAAGTGTGGGGAGTTGGGGCACACTATAGTATTAAATAGAGTGGTCAAGGTAGGCCTCACTGAGAGAGTGAAATTTAGCAAAAACCTGAAGGAGGTAAGGGACTTAAACAAGTGATTAGCTGTAGGAAAGCATTCCTTACAGAGAGAATAGCTAGAAGTGTATTGTTCAATGGCCACTAGCCACCACATGTAGCTACTGAGCATTTGAAATGTGACTTGGGGCCGGGCTCGGTGGCTCACACTTGTAATCCCAGCACTTTGGGAGGCTGAGGTGGGCGGATCACGAGGTCAGGAGATCAAGACCATCCTGGCTAACACAATGAAACCCCATCTCTACTAAAAATACAAAAAATTAGCCAGGCATGGTGGCAGGCACCTGTAGTCCCAGCTACTCGGGAGGCTGAGGCAGAAGAATGGCGTGAACCCGAGAGGCGGAGCTTGCCGTGAGCCGAGATCCCACCACTGCACTCCAGTCTGGGCAACAGAGCGAGACTCTGTCTCAAAAAAAAAAAAAAAAAAAGATTTATTTTTCTTTCACATAAGGATGAGATGCTCTGAGATGTTTAAATCTCTGCAAAATGGTGGATCATTTTTAAATGCTTAGCAATAACGATAATTTATAACAACTAATAGCTAGCCTTTATTAACTACTTAATTACACACAAGGCACTGTATATTTTATATTGACTAAACTGTATAGTTCTCATAATAAACCTAAAAAAATAGTTATTAACTTTTTTCCCAAGGTTGGAAACCCCCATGAAGTAACAATCATTAGAACATAAGTCAAATTTAAAAGAAAACTAAAGATACTTAATGCTTTTTAATGTAAGCTTACTCTCTCTGGAACAGGATATCTTAGCTTTTAAAAAATAGGAAGCAAAACTAAAAGGGGTAATCCCTCTTGCAGATAAGAACAGTGGATGATTACATGAGTAGGTCTGGTAGCTTTCTTATACGAGACCATCATCCATAATGACTTTCTCTTCTGAAGTAACTCTTTAGTGAGTTCCTGTCTATTCCTACTCCAAATACCAAACTCAAATGCTCTCTTCTTAGCATTTACATAAAACTAACAAAAGGCTACCCTCAAACTATTCCAGAAACATTGCCATCTAAAATTGTCCTTTAGGGAAAGGGACTCTAGAAATTCGTGTAAAAATCCACTTCAGTGGTTCACAATTCTTATTCTTTGGCATTCTTCTCATTTACTCTTTAAACCAACATTTACTGAGCCCCTAACTAAAGTGACAATTCAGTTGAAGACTAAAGAAGTAGGAGTTAGGGAAACAAAGAAAGGAGGGCCTTCCAGTCAGATAAAAAAGTATGTACAAGGCACTGATGGCATACATAGCACATGTTCAAGAAAATGCAAGCCATTTAATACAGCTGGACAGCATGATATGTTTTATGGAACACAAAGAGTTAAAAAGTTGGGGAGGAAAGAGGAATCAGATCATAAAGAGCGCCTTGTGTGTAATGCTTAGAAATTGGAACTTGACTGAAATGGCAATGGGAAACCATGAAGTAGAGGAGAAACATAATCTGATTGAAAAGGTCACTTTCATAGAACAGAAGAATAAATTACCAAGACATTTTAACAAGAGGCAGGAAGATGTGTTGGGAGATTACCTGAGAAATCCAAGTGAGAAGTGGTGGGAGCTTGACCTAAATCAGTGGTAATAAACCCCAAATCAAAATGATTTGGTATCAATTATATAGCATAGGGATGTGTAGAGAAATAGTGTATTTTGAGAAAAGGAGTTTAAACTGACCCCCAGATTTCTGGCTAAGGAGTCTGAATGGTTAGGAGCAACATCAAGATAAAAAATATGAGCAGGTTTTAGGGAAAAGAGTTTTATCTCAATGTAATGAGTTTGAGGTTCCAGCCAGATACTGTAGAGAAGCTATCCAATAGGCAACTGACTAGTTCAGAGAAAGATCTGAGATAGTCATTTAAATTTGAGAGTCATTAGCTGCAATAGTTTGTTACTGTTGCTGTGCAAACTATCATGACTTAGTGGCTTAAAATAATACACATTTCTTATCTTAAAGTTCCTAGATCAGAAGCCTAACATAGATCTCTGTAGGCTAAAATCAAAGTGTTGGCAGGGCTAAGTTACTTTCTGAGAGTCTAAAAGAGAATCAATTTCTTTGCTCATTCGGGTTGTTAGCAGAATGCAGTTTCTTGAAGACTTAAGATTGAGACCTGTGTTTCCTTGTTGACTGTCAGCTGAGGGCTATTCACAGACTCCAGAGGCCACCCACATTCCTTGGTTTGTGGTCCACTTTCTCCATCTTCAAAGCCAATAACAGCAAGTGGAATCTCTCATAATCAAATACCTCCTGCCTCTTCCACTGCATCTCTCTAACTGACTGCTCTGTCTTCCTCTTCCTCTTTTAAGTGCCCATGTTATTACAGTGGGTCCACCCAATGTATATATGTATTTTGAGGTCCATAATATAAGTCCAGTGTTCCTTTTGCCATGTAATATAACATATTCACAGATTCCAGGAATTAGGGCATGGAAATCTTTGGGGAATAATTATTCTGCCTACCATGTTAGCCAATAGGTGTGTAGGCTTGCAGATAGAGAGCATAATACCCTAGAGAACACTAGCATTTAGGTGCAGAGAGAGACAAGATTTCAAGAAGGAGATTGAGAAGGAGAATAAGAAGCCTCAAGAAAAGAGATTTTCATGAGAGAGAAAACAGTTGATTGTCACAGCCAAAATAAATCAAACTGATATGAAATAAGGGTTCTTTGGGCTTGGTTATATATTACCAATGTACTTATGATATCAGTAACTTAATCAGTAACTTATGATTCCACAATATTCTACAACAGTATTATGTTCCAAAATAGAAAAACATCTGACATCAGTAGGTTAAGAAGAAAATAGGACAAAGGCTTGAATTTGGGGTATCTTACATGTTAATTAGACTTTATAAACCAGGAACTACGGAAATGAGTTTTTTAAGACCTGACTCCATGCAAGGCAACAGGATGAGATGGAAGATAAATTAGACAAGGTTCCTTGCCCTGGAGGGACCTCTCAGACTGAACAATCACCCTTACCATTTGACATCTATAGGAAAGTAGGTTCTGATTTCCTAACCAGTGACTCACAAACAGATTTCTTCCATATAAACCCACAACATCCTCTTTGCTAATTCTATGTGTTAGTGTTACATATCTAACTTATATTTGGCCAGTGGTTTATTCTGTATTCTTCATCTCTGTGAGACATGTACAAACTTGATAGTTCTCCAACTTGTGTTTATAAAGTTTGCCTGCTTTTTCTCTTAAGTAAATCCTCCTGTGCTTAATGCTACTAAACTTTACTAATTCATTTCTCTAAATTGTCAGAGTCACTTGTTACTTTAATTTAGTTGTCCATACAAATTGGGATTGCCTGAATATGTAATGAGAGTACTGAAAGGACATTTCTTTTTCCTTTAAGCTACCTACAAGGAGGAAAATTAGTTGAGAACATATTTAAGAAAAAAGCCACTTAATTACAGTTTTTTTTAGTTAAAGAAGAAAGGTTCAATTCACAGCCTTTTAAATGCAAGACCAAGAAATAAACTTTTAAAAATAAATTTAACAGATTTTTTAAAAAATTCAATTCCATATTATAGTCAATTAAAAAGTAAGGATAGAGAAAAGGACTGGAGATGCAAATAAAGCTCAGGAAAAAAAAAAGAAAAAAAAACAAGAGAAAATAACGAGAAGACAGCAAGAAAACAAAATTGATCTTTGGACCTTGCAAAGCAAATATCTGCTATTAGATTCTTCCCCTGCCCCACCAATCCAAAGGCAACCAAAAAGTCTGTTAAATTAAGTTTAGCCTAAAGCTGTCTCTTTACATATTTTAAGTTCAGTCTAAAGGTTTCTCCATACATTGTGAACTATAACCTAAAGGTTTCTCCATACATTGTGAACTATAACCTAAAGGTTTCTTCATACACAGTGAACTGTAACCTAACTGGATGTGTAAACAGACTGTAATCTACTCTTGTGCCAATCACCAAGTTTCAGCCAATCAAGGACAGCCAGCTGTTCAACCTATGCTCAGATAAGGCAAACTTCAAGCTGTAATCAATCCAGCTGTTTCCGTACCTCACTTCCATTTTCTCTACGTCACTTTCCTTTTTCTATCCATAATCTTCTTTCACCACACAGAGCTCTGGAACCTCTCTATTCTGGTTGAGGGGCTACCCAATTCACAAATCATTCTTTGCTCAATTAAGCTCTGCTAAATTTAATTTGTCTAAGGTTTTTCTTTTAACAAGCCACAATTCCTGCTGTTTACAAATTTTAATTCAATGCACAGAAAAAAAAATACCCTATGGAATGAAAAACAAGCTGCTTCTGCAGCAAAGACTACAGGTTTGTTGTGTTTGTGTGTATGTGTATAAATAGATAGGAAATTCCTGTTACTTTTCTCACCTCTTAAATATTGGTTTTCTTTTTTCTTTTTGGCCTAAGAAACAGAAAGACAGAAATGAATATATCTAAACATATGAATCAGCAGTGATTGATTCCTAGAATTATGAAGCTTACTGAGTCAGTAACTGTCAATATATGCATTTAATCAACTCTCTATTTAACTCAAAGTCATTCTTCCTTTACAGCAACCAGTACCTTGTGAAACTTTACACCTCTGGCAATTTAAGGAAGCTCAGTCTCTACATTAGGTACACTAATCAGACCAAACTCAAGCAATTCATTCAGACTGTCAAAGGTCTAATGTATAGTAATTCATGTTGTACTCTTTCTTCAATTTTAAAGACTACAAACAAAGTCATTGTTACAATAGCTGACAGTTTTTGAGTTAAGAAAATGTAATTCCAATAGTAAAATGAAAAAGGCATTCATACTAACCAAAGTACTCATGAGAGCAACTGCAGAATTTGGTTAAATTCTGAATGAAGTTTGAGTCTACTTAATCATATTGTACTTAATCATAACATAGTAATCATGAGCAATTAGCACTTTACTCACAGACTTTGACCAACTCAGATGGGATCCCCTAGTTTCCAACACAGTTGCCATCTACAATTGTTAGCATGCCATCAGAAGATTCTGAAGAGAGACTAAAACATGGTCATAGCACAGCTCTGAATATTACAAATAAAAACCAAAGTGAGTTGCTTTCCTATCAATGTTCGAAAGTAAATTATTCTTTGAAGGATTAAAAGAAAAGCCAAAAAACTTGTAACAGAGATTGCTTCACAGAAGAGTATAACTGAATCTTTTTAAACTATGCGCATATATAGCACATTGAAAGCCAGTATGCTGTAATTGATTTCTGGATCCAAAGTGCCTCAGTTCAAATCCCAACTCAGCCACTTTCTAGCTATGTGACCAATTCACAGCCATGTGACACTGGACATGCTTCTTACCTCTCTGTATCTAGGTCTCCTCATATGTCAAATAGTGATAATAGCAGTTCCCCTCACAGGGTTGTTGAAAAGAGCCAGAGTTAATAGATGCAGAGTACATGTGGCAAATAGGAAGCACTATATAAGTGTTAGATAGCATTATTTTTTAACTTTTTATTTTGAGTTAATATTAGATTTACAGAAGATAGTACAGAGAGTACCTTTATTTCCTTCACTCCTCTTCCCCTAATATTAACATCTTTTATGACCATAGTACAATTATCTAGAACAGGAAATGAGCGTTGGTACTTGGAACCAATTGGAACATTGGAATATTGTTAACTAAACTTCACACCTTCTTTTAATTTCACCAATTTTGCCACTAATATCCTTTTCCTAGGTTCCTGTCAGAACCCACATTGCATTTAGTTATTTCTCTTAAGTCTCCTCCAACCTGTAAGGTATTTCCTAGTAGATCGCAAATATAATAAAATAATCAAGGTAAACATCACTAATAATAACACATATCAATATTATGAACCCTGATACAACATACTGAAAAGAAAACATAATTTTGTAGTTTTCATGCCAAAAATACAAAACCTCATTCCAATTATGAGAAAATATCAGATAAGACAAACTGAGGGATATTTGATAAAATAACTAATCAATACTCTTCAAAAGTGTCACTATTATTTTTTAAATTTTTAAAGAATTAATAGTAAATAATCTTAATGAATATGTGTAAGCCATGATAAACTACTAAAGTATGGCTAACTCTTCTTTAATTCTAATTTACAGGTGATTCCCCTCTTATTAGTGGAACCTAATTCAAAAGTTCATTTGATAACCCACTGTTTTCTACCAAGATTTTTCTCATGATACTTAGAATCTGTATTTCAAGTTCATTATGAGGAAACTATTTTAGCAGGCTAGCCTAGAAATCTAATCTAGTACGTATTTTTTTTCCTAGGGAGAAAGGTATTCTAAATCTCAACGTGAGATGTCAGGAATACATTTCTTTCTCCTCCTCAGCCTGATGGGCAACAGGAACTTTGCACCTTTCCTGGTCTCTTCACACACACTGTCCACCCCCAACCCATCCTCCCATTACTCTGGTGCTATTAAACTATAATGCTGGTTCTTGGCAATTTCCAGGCCCGCTGCCCCCTTACTCTAAACCTGCAACTCTTTTTCTCTTCCCCTAACCCTTGATTCCTGGCTTTTAAGACCTATTTTTAGAGTCCTTAGTTTTAGAATATGTTCAAAGTCCTCTCTGGCTTTCCAGACTCAGTTTCGGGCTCTGCATATTCATCAGATTTTGGGAAGACCCCACAGGTAGAGGTAAAAAGTCTCCCTCCACTAGTTTAACCCTTAGAAGCTTGATCTACTAACTGGGCTAATCCCTGGCATCCTTCCAAAAATGTAAACTCAAACTTCAAGGGTTCTGGAAGGAAAGGGACCTAGAATGAGCAGAGAGATAACACCTAGGGTTACTGGGACTCTGAGAAATAATTTAGAACAAAAGCTAAAGAAGGAGAAAGGTAGTGGGGTAGAGGGATGGCACTGAGGGAGCAGCACTGTCACCGAAGTCTTAAAGTAGTTTCGTTGCCTCCTTCTCTGTCCTTTCTGTTTCCTCTGGAAGGTCACAAGACCTTCATCTGGTATAAATCCTTAGGGACAGGAGTTGACCTGCTGGCTACCTATTGCACTGACATCAGTTACTGCCTCAGATCAGAGATTCTGTTCATCACAGCTAAATGCAGAAAATAACACAGGCTTCTCTCTTTTTACCCAGTCCCTGGAATAAACATTGGCTGGTCTGAAATTTTCTAAGGGTTACTGCTACAAATCACAATGGGGAAGTAGAGGATAAACTTTACCAACAAAATGCAAGTTTTAACAAGTCTCACATAATCATTCTCCTGTTATTCAATGAAATGTAAATTAAATGGGGCTCTAGACACCTTCTCTAGCTTTCTTAATTGCTTTCTCACCAGGACCCTCAGATTTTATTTATCCCAAATTGTTCCACATTTAGTCTTCTGCTCTAATCTTCTTTTGCATTTTCTATTTTCCAGGGAGGCTTGGGTCTGGGAATTACATTGTCAGACCTTTGAGATGCCTTTCACTCCCGTTTCATCTCAGAAAGGAATTCTTGTGTTTTTCATTGCTGCTGTCCTCTGACCCCGCTTCTTAACTAAATGTGTTAAGTGATTTGGGGGAGTTATATAAACTCTTAAAGGCCCACTTTCTTCTTCTCTAAATTGCCACTAATGTCCTTTTTACAGTGCCCCTTCTTACAGAATTATTGTGAGGACTAGTGAGACACTATGTACATTACGTGCCACATGGGAGACATTAAACAAATGATGGCAATTATTCTGGACTCCATCACTCATCCAGTTACCACCACATACCCAGCCACCAACTGCACAAATACAAGGTGAGAGGTAGACACTCAGAGCTGAAGAGTGAGCCACATTTCTCTGACTACACCTTTTACTGCTCATACTGAAAGTAAGAACAGGGAAGTAAGAAACACAGAAAGTAAGCTAGGTTGTAGATTCAAAGGTGAAACCAGGATGTTAGGAAAGCCTTAGAAAAATGACAAGAGGCCAGGCATTGTGGCTCACGCCTGTAATCTCAGCATTTTGGGAGGCCAAAGCAGGAGACTTGCCTGAGGCCAGGAGTTTGAGTCCAGCCTGAGCAACATAACAAGACTGTCTCTAAAAAAAGAAAGAAAACAAGAAAATTGACAGAAATGTTTTATTGGCTTTTCATTACAAGGAAAATAGCATTCAGCACAATGTATAAAATTTTAGAAAACATAGCCTAAATATTTATTTATTTATTTTGAGACAGGGTTTCACTCTGTAGCCTAGCCTGGAGTGCAGTGGATGATCATAGCTCATTGCAACCTTGATCTCCTGGGCTCAAGTGATCCTCCAGCCTCAGCCTCCCAAATAGGTGGGATTACAGGTGCACACCAGCACAACCAGCTAATTTTTCAAATTTTTAGTAGAGATGGGGGTCTCACTATGTTGCTTAGGCTGGTCTCAAACTTCCAAGCTCAAGTGATCCTCCTGTTTCAGCTTCCCAAAGTGTTGGGATTGCAGGCATGAGCAACTAAGCCCAGCCTAAATATTTTAAAAGTATTATTTTTGTTTTGAATCCAAAAGAAAGTAATTTAAGTATCAAGATTATATAAGAAATAAAATAGCTAGAACAAAAAACATCTTTCCTGTCCTATTTTTTTTATATTCGCACTCTCAACTATATCTATTTAAAACATTAAGTTTAATAACACTTAGTTCAAACTGGCAAATGATGTGTCCTGAAATACTCCTTATAAATGGTCATTTTACTATATTCTATTTTTTAAAAATACAAATAAATCCAATGAAGCTTCATACCTTGCAGACATAGCTCTTCTAACATTCACATGCAGGGGTCATCTCTCCAAGCAAGCTCCTTTGTGCATTTATTCTCTTTCCAACTAGCCCTGAAATAATATCGACCAGATCTATTTTCTCCTCTCCTCCAGCTTCTCTGAGTAGCAGAAGCAATAAACTAATAATGGTAAGTGAAGCTACTATTTCTCCCTTCTTACTGAATCAAGCTTCCTTCAGTTAGTCGCTTGTAAAGTTGCTCATTGCTTAATCTCTCACGTTTCTATCCCCTAACAATAGGCATGTTGTTTCCCAACTTGAAAAATTAACATGAACGTCTACATTGACCTGGCAGTTGTCGAGTGCAGTCATTTTCCAGGCAGCCAACTAAAGGCCATGCACAGAGCTGCTTTGTTGTGAGAAACATGATTTCTCTGAAGTTTATGGTGATGCTGAAGTTGTTTTGTACAACCCACTGTTCCTGGCTCACATACATACAAATGACAGCAAACATTCTGACAGAGGTACAGAGGACATGGAAAAGAGGGTTAGTCTATTCAATGAGCTGGCAGAACTTGATCATTTCTACTTCTGTGTTCTAAATTTTAACATATGCGACTTTGAATTTTACCTACAATTTTAAAGGAAAGTAATTGGTTTTAAACCCATATTCTTTTTTTCTTCTGAATTCCTGTGGAAATAAATTAAGTAGCTTTTCTTTGACGACTGTTAATTATACCCTAATAAAATTAACTTGGCAGTAGACTTGGCAAAAAGTAATATTCCAAGGCAATTAAATTTGGTTATAGATAAAACAAACAATATTTATATACTGTGCTTTGCCAGGTTGAAAAAAGAGACAAATAATAGCTAGTTTTTTTTTAGTAACTCTTCTACCAAAAAGGTAGAGAAACACTGTTTTCTTTTCAGAAGAGGAATGGTAGATCAAACTCTTAATTAATTTATAAGAAAATGAGAGAGCTGTAGTTAATAAATCAGGTATAGCTTAAATGTTCCAGGAAGACTCTTCCTGTGCAATAAATTTAATTAAGCCAATGAGAAACAATCCAATTCCAGTGACAAGATAGAGATAACCTGTACGTGATCAGCATGAACAGGCATAGTTAAAAAACAAAGTAAATTGAACTACCAGTAACTATTTTTCAAATCCTTAATCACTGGAAACTAAAGCTTATTTCTTCTTTTTGTGCTCAACTTTCAGGGAACAAATAACTGCCCTTCCTTTAAAGTCAGAAATTTGGTACACACCAGCTGGGTGCAGGGGCTCATGCTTATAATCCCAGCATTTTGGGAGGCTGAGGCAGGTGGATGGCTTAAGACCAGGAGTTTGAGACCAGCCTTGCCAACATGGTGAAACCCCGTCTCTACTAAAAATACAAAAATTAGCCTGGTGCGGTGGCACAGGCCTGTAATCCTAGCAACTTGGGAGGCTGAGGCACGAGAATTGCTTGAATCTGTTTGCTTGAATCTGGGAGGCAGGGGTTGCAGCAAGCCGAGATCGTGCCCGTGCACTCCAGCCTGGATGACAGAGCAAGACTCTGTCTTAAAAAAAAAAAAAAGAAGGAAAAAAGAAATTGGGTACACGCATGTTCTCACTTACAAGTGGGAGCTAAATAATGTGTACACATAGACATAGAGTATGGAATGATAGACAGTGGAGACTTGGAAGGGTTGGGGGCGGTGGATGATGAGAAACTACTTAATGGGTACCATGTACATTATTCTGGTGATGGATACACTAAAAGCCCTAATTTCACCACTATGCAATATATCCATGTAACAAAATTATATTTGTATCCCCCAAATTTATACTGACAAGGAAAGGAAAGGTAGATGGCTACCAGTGGCTCTCTCAAGCATGAGAAGTTCCGTATGGTGATACGGTAGTCACTGAAAACTGGCCCTTATTCTGTGCATGCACTTGCGACTGCAATGTTTGGGGTAGCACATATCAAGGATGAAGTCATCCTTATAAAATGTGAGCATTGATATATCTCATTCTCAAATACCAGACTACATTAGCAGAATACAACCTTTGGAAATCTCTTCTTATGTCAAAGTCCCAGAAAGAGATAAAGCATATTGACCAGGCAGGTCTCAAAATCCTGACTTCAGGTGATCTGCCCACCTCAGCCTCCCAAAGTGCTGGGATTACAGGCGTGAGCATGGCGAAACCCCGTCTCTAATAAAAATACAAAAAAAATTAGCTGGGCATGGTGGCAGGCGACCGTAATCCAGGCTACTCGGCAGGCTGAGGCTGGAGAAAGGCTTGAACTCAGGGGCGGAGGTTGCAGTGAGCTGAGATTGCGCCATTGCACTCCACTCCAGCCTGGGCAGCAAGAGCGAAACTCTGTCTCAAAAAAAAAAAAAAAAAAAAAAGAGAGAGAGAGAGATACAACATAAACTCAGAAACATCCTTATTTAAAATTCATTGTCAGCCAGGTACAGTGGCTTATGCCAGTAATCCCAGCACTTTGGGAGGTTGAGGTGGGAAGACCACTTGGGCACAGGAATTCGAGACCAGCCTGGGCAACATGGCGAAACCCCAACTCTACCAAAAATACAAAAACATTAGCTGGCTGTGGACGTGTGTGCCCATAGTCCCAGCTACTCAGGAGGCTGAGGTGGGAAGATGGTTTGTGCCCGGGAGGCAGATACTGCGGTCAGCCGAGATCACGCCATTGCACTCCAGCCTGGGCGATAGAGCAGGTCTAAAACAAACAAACAAAAAATTCATCATCACTTTGGAACTCTTTTCAATGGCATTAAAACATGCATTATTCCTCAACGTCTTAATGATTTTAATGTTATTTATACAATTTACTCCAAGTTTTGATGAAAAAAATAGAGCCTTACCCAGTGCCTAATGGCTACCTTGAATATAGCCTGCAGAATCTGTCTCATTTCTGGGACGGGTATTTTAATAATATTATAAGAAACTCACAGTAGTATTCTACTAAGAACTCTTAAAAAAAAATCCACCGGCAGCTCCCTAAAGTCATTGGCATGCCTAAATCCCTCTAAAAAACAGCATCAGGTACTATACTACTGTACTTTTGAGAGGTGACAGTGTGCTGGCAGTCCTCACAGCCCTCGCTTGCTCTCGGCACCTCCTCTGCCTGGGCTCCCACTTTGGCGGCACTTGAGGAGCCCTTCAGCCCACTGCTGCACTGTGGGAGCCCCTTTCTGGGCTGGCCAAGGCCGGAGCCGGCTCCCTCAGCTTGCAGGGAGGTGTGGAGGGACAGGCGCCAGCGGGAACCAGGGCTGCGCGTGGGCTTGCAGGCCAGCTGGAGTTCCGGGTAGGCGTGGGCTTGGCGGGCCCCGCACTCGGAGCAGCCCGCCGGCCCTGCCGGCCCCAGGCAATGAGGGGCTTAGCACCCGGGCTAGCAGCTGCGGAGGGTGTACTGGGTCCCCCAGCAGTGCCAGCCCACTGGCACTGCGCTCCATTTCTCATCGGGCCTTAGCTGCCTTCCTGCGGGGCAGGGCTCAGGACCTGCAGCCCGCCATGCCTGAGCCTCCCACCCCCTCCATGGGCTCCTGTGTGGCCCGAGCCTCCGCGACAAGTGCCACCCCCTGCTCCACGGTGCCCAGTCCCATCGACCACCCAAGGGCTGAGGAGTGCGGGCACACAGCACCGGGACTGGCAGGCAGCTCCACCTGCAGCCCTGGTGCGGGATCCACTGCGTGAAGCCAGCTGGGCTCCTGAGTCTGGTGGGAACATGGAGAACTTTTATGTCTAGCTCAGGGATTGCAAATACACCAATCGGCCCTCTGTATCTAGCTCAAGGTTTGTAAATACACCAATCAGCACCCTGTGTCTAGCTCAGGGTTTGTGAATGCACCAATTGACACTCCGTATCTAGCTATTCTGGTGGGGCCCTGGAGAACCTTTGTGTCGACACTCTGTATCTAGCTAATCTGGTGGGGATGTGGAGAACCTTTGTGTCTAGCTCAGGGATTGTAAACCCACCTATCAGCGCCCTGTCAAAACAGACCACTCAGCTCTACCAATTAGCAGGACGTGGGTGGGGCCAGATAAGAGAATAAAAGCAGGCTGCCCGAGCCAGCAGTGGCAACCCGCTCAGGTCCCCTTCCACACTGTGGAAGCTTTGTTCTTTCACTCTTTGCAATAAATCTTGCTGCTGCTCACTCTTTGGGTCCACACTGCTTTTATGAGCTGTAACACTCACCGCGAAAGTCTGCAGCTTCACTCCTGAGCCAGTGAGACCATAAGCCCACCGGGAGGAACGAACAACTCCAGACGCGCCGCCTTAAGAGCTGTAACACTCACCGCTAAGGTCTGCAGCTTCACTCCTGAGCCAGTGAGACCACGAACCCACCAGAAGGAACAAACTCCGAACACATCCAAACATCAGAAGGAACAAACTCCAGACGCGCCACCTTAAGAGCTGTAACACTCACCGTGAGGGTCCGCGGCTTCATTCTTGAAGTCAGCGAGACCAAGAACCCACCAATTCCGGACACATCTTGGCAACCACGAAGGGACTTTCGCCTATCGCCGAGCGGTAAGACCATCGCCTATCGCCGAGCGGTGAGACAATCGCCTATCGCCAAGCAGTGAGTACCATCAGACCCCTTTCGCTTGCTATTCTGTCCTATTTTTCCTTAAAATTTCGGGGGCTAAATACCGGGCACCTGTCGGCCAGTTAAAAGAGACTAGTGAGGCTGCCGGACTAAAGACATGGGTGTCAGGCTGTCTGGGAAAGGGCTCTCTAACAACCCCTGACTCTTTGGAGTTGGGACCGTTGGTTTGCCTAGAACCAGCTTCCGCTTTTCCTGTACTTCTGGGCTGAGCCGAGGGTCGACAGAGAGGAAAGCCATGCAGCTCCAAGGTCCCGACAACATGTTGGCTGACCCTGCGGCCATGAGCGGCACTCTCAAAAGCATGTCGCCCAAGAAAGACTCACCCATCTATCCTATCTATCCTGACCCTTGCCGCCTGGGTCCTAATGCCTGCCAGACAAACTTCCTCTCGCCTGTCTTCTCTGAGGTTAGACCCACTTCTAAAAATTGCTACCTGTCCCTGGTGCTTTTCTAGTTTCTCCTATAAGAATGATTTATAGTATAAACTCCAGGACTCTGTTACCTTCTTTAGGCACCCAGGCTCACCAATCAGAAAGACATGATTTTTGCCCAAAGCCCCGTCATAGTGGGGACTACCTGGAATTTTAGGATCCCTCCTGAGACTAACAGGCCTAACAAAAGCTATTCCTGAAGCTAGGATATGGGGAGCCTCAGAAATTGTATCCTTCCTATTCATATAAGTGAGGAAAAAGGTGTCACTCTTCCAACCCTGAAGATCCCTTCCCTCCCTCAGGGTATGGCCCTCCACTTCATTTTTGGGGCATAAGATCTTTATAGGACAGGGGTAAAGTCCCAATACTAACAGGAGAATGCTTAGGACTCTAACAGGTTTTTGAGAATGCATCATAAGGGCCACTAAATCCGATTTTTTGTGGTCGGTCCTCCTTGTGGTCTAGGAAGACAGGCAAGGGTGCAGGTTTTCGAGAATGCATTGGTAAGGACCACTAAATCCGACCTTCCTCAGTCCTCCATGTGGTCTGGGAGGAAAACTAGTGTTTCCGCTGCTGCGTCAGTGAGCACAACTATTCTGATCAGCAGGGTCCAGAGACTGTTGCGGGTTCTTGGGCAGGGGTTGTTTCTGCTGCTGCATCGGTGAGCGCAACTATTCCAATCAGCAGGGTCCAGGGACCGTTGTGGGTTCTTGGGCAGGGGGAGAAACAAAATAAACCAAAACCACGGGTGGTTTTGCCTTTCAGATGGGAAACACTCATGCATCAACAGGCTCACCCTTGAAATGCATCCTAAGCCATTGGGACCAATTTGACCCACTAACCCTGAAAAAGAGATGGCTCATTTTTTTCTACACTATGGCTTGGCCCCAATATTCTCTCTCTGATGGGGAAAAATGGCCACCTGAGGGAAGTACAAATTATAATACTATCCTGCAGCTTGATCTTTTCTGTAAGAAGGAAGGGAAATGGAGTGAAATACCTTATGTCCAAGCTTTCTTTTCATTGAGGGAGAATACACAACTATGCAAAGCTTACAATTTACATCCTACAGGAGGACCTCTCAGCTTATCCCCATATCCTAGCCTCCCTATAGCTCCCCTTCCTATTAGTGATAATCCTCCTCTAATCTCCCCTGCCCAGAAGGAAATAAGCAAAGAAATCTCCAAACGACCATAAAAACCCCTGGGCTATAGGTTATGTCCCCTTCAAGCTGTAGGGGGAGGGGAATTTGGCCCAACCCGGGTACCTGTCCCCTTCTCCCTCTCTGATTTAAAACAGATCAAGGCAGACCTGGGGAAGTTTTCAGATGATCCTGAGAGGTACACAGATGTACCTACATAGATGTCCTACAGGGTCTAGGGCAAACCTTTGACCTCGCTTGGAGAGATGTCATGCCACTGTTAGATCAAACCCTGGCCTTTAATGAAAAGAATGTGGCTTTAGCTGCAGCCCGAGAGTTTGGAGATACCCGGTATCTTAGTCAAGTAAATGATGGAATGACAGCTGAAGAAAGGGACAAATTCCCTACCAGTCAGCAAGCCATCCCCAGTATGGATCCCCACTGGGACCTTGACTCAGATCATGGGGACTGGAGTCGTAAACATCTGTTGACCTGTGTTCTAGAAGGACTAAGGAGAATTAGAAAAAAGCCCATGAATTATTCAATGATATCCGCCATAACTCAGGGAAAGGAAGAAAATCCTTCTGCCTTCCCCGAGCGGCTATGAGAGGCCTTAAGAAAATATACTCCCCTGTCACCTGAATCACTCGGGGGTAAGTTTATTACCCAATCAGCCGCAGATATCAGGAGAAAGCTCCAAAAGCAAGCCCTGGGCCCTGAACAAAATCAAGAGGCATTATTAAACCTGGCAACCTCGGTGTCCTATAATAGGGACCAAGAGGAACAGGCCCAAAAGGAAAAGCAAGATCAGAGAAAGGCCACAGCCTTAGTCATGGCCCTCAGACAAACAAGCCTTGGTGGTTCAGAGAGGACAGAAAATGGAGCAGGCCAATCACCTGGTAGGGCTTGTTATCAGTGTGGTTTACTAGGACACTTTAAAAAAGATTGTCCAATGAGAAACAAGCTGCCCCCTCGTCCATGTCCACTATGCTGAGGCAATCACTGGAAGGTGCACTGCCCCAGAGGATGAAGGTTCCCTGGGTCAGAAGCCCCCAACCAGATGATGCGACAACAGGACTGAGGGTGCCCGGGGCAAGTGCCAGCTCATGTCATCACCCTCACTGAGCCCCGGGTATGTTTAACTATTGAGGGCCAGGAAATTGCCTTCCTCCTGGACACTGGCGCGGCCTTCTCAGGGTTAATCTCCTGTCCTGGATGACTGTCCTCAAGGTCCGTTACCACCCGAGGAATCCTGGGACAGCCTGTAACCAGGTATTTCTCCCACATCCTCAGTTGTAATTGAGAGACTTTGCTCTTTTCACATGCCTTTTTTGTTATTCCTGAAAGTCCCACACCCTTATTAAGGAGGGATATATTAGCCAAGGCTGGAGCTATTATCTACATGAATATGGGGAAAAAGTTACCCATTTGCTGTCCCCTACTTGAGGAGGGAATCAACCCTGAAGTCTGGGCATTGGAAGGACAATTTGGAAGGGCAAAAAATGCCTGCCCAGTCCAAATCAGGTTAAAAGATCCCACCACTTTTCCGTATCAAAGGCAATATCCCTTAAGGCCTGAAGCTCATAAAGGATTATAGAATATTGTTAAACATTTAAAAGCTCAAGGCTTAGTGAGGAAATGCAGCAGTCCCTGCAACACCCCAGTTCTAGGAGTACAAAAACCGAACAGTCAGTGGAGACTAGTGCAAGATCTTAGACTCATTAATGAGGCAGTAATTCCTCTATATCCAGTTGTACCCAACCCCTATACCCTGCTCTCTCAAATACCAGGGGAAGCAGAATGGTTCACGGTTCTGGACCTCAAGGATGCCTTCTTCTTTATTCCCCTGCACTCTGACTCCCAGTTTCTCTTTGCTTTTGAGGATCCCACAGACCACACGTCCCAACTTACACAGATGGTCTTGCCCCAAGGGTTTAGGGATAGCCCTCATCTGTTTGGTCAGGCACTGGCCCAGGATCTAGGCCACTTCTCAAGTCCAGGCACTCTGGTCCTTCAATATGTGGATGATTTACTTTTGGCTACCAGTTTGGAAGCCTCGTGCCAGCAGGCTACTCTGGATCTCTTGAACTTTCTGGCTAATCAAGGGTACAAGGTGTCTAGGTCGAAGGCCCAGCTTTGCCTACAGCAGGTTAAATATCTAAGCCTAATCTTAGCCAAAGGGACCAGGGCCCTCAGCAAGGAATGAATACAGCCTATACTGGCTTATCCTCACCCTAAGACATTAAAACAGTTGCGGGGATTCCTTGGAATTACTGGCTTTTGCTGACTATGGATCTCCAGATACAGCAAGATAGCCAGGCCCCTCTATACTCTAATCAAGGAAACCCAGAGGGCAAATACTCATCTAGTTGAAAGGGAACCAGAGGCAGAAACAGCCTTCAAAAGCTTAAAGCAGGCTCTAGTACAAGCTCCAGCTTTAAGCCTTCCCACAGGACAGAACTTCTCTTTATACATCACAGAGAGAGCCAAGATAGCTCTTGGAGTCCTTAGACTCGTGGGACAACCCCACAACCAGTGGCATACCTAAGTAAGGAAATTGATGTAGTAGCCAAAGGCTGGCCTCACTGTTTAAGGGTAGTTGCAGCAGCGGCTGTCTTAGCGTCAGAGGCTATCAAAATAATACAAGGAAAGGATCTCACTGTCTGGACTACTCATGATGTAAATGGCATACTAGGTGCCAAAGGAAGTTTATGGCTATCAGACAACCGCCTCTTAGATGCCAGGCACTACTCCTTGAGGGACTGGTGCTTAAAATATGCACGTGCGTGGCCCTCAACCCTGCCACTTTTCTCCCAGAGGATGGGGAACCAATTGAGCATGACTGCCAACAAATTATAGTCCAGACTTATGCCGCCCGAGATGATCTCTTAGAAGTCCCCTTAACTAATCCTGACCTTAACCTATATACCGATGGAAGTTCATTTGTGAAGAATGGGATACGAAGGGCAGGTTACGCCATAGTGATGTAACCACACTTGAAAGCAAGCCTCTTCCCCCAGGGACCAGTGCCCAGTTAGCAGAACTAGTGGCACTTACCCGAGCCTTAGAACTGGGAAAGGGAAAAAGAATAAATGTGTATACAGATAACAAGTATGCTTATCTAATCCTACATGCCCATGCTGCAATATGGAAAGAATGGGAGTTCCTAACCTCTGGGAACCCCCGCTGGATGCCACAGGGAAGTTATGGAGTTATTGCACATGGTGCAGGAACCCAAAGAGGTGGGAGTCTTACACTACCAAGGCCATCAAAATGGGAAGGAGAGGGGAGAACAGCAGCATAAGCGGCTGGCAGAGGTAGGGAAAGACCAGCAAGAAGGAAAGAGAGAAAGAGAAAGTCAGAGAAAGAGACAGGGAGAGGAAGAGACAGAGAGACAGAACGTTAAAGAGGGTGTCAGAAACAGAGACAAAGAAAAGGAGTCAGAAAGAGGGACAGACACAGAAAGTCAAAGAGAGAGTTAAAAAGAGAGGAAGAGACAAAGAAGTTGAAGAGAGAAAGAAAGAGATGGAAGTAGTAAAGAAAAAACAGTGTACCCTTTTCCTTTAAAAGCCAGGGTAAATTTCTGTCTTCCTAGCCAAGGCATATTCTACTTATGTGGATCTTCAACCCATATCTGCCTCTCAGACAGTTTGCAAGAAATAACGAAATCTATTCTTACTTTACAATCCCAAATAGACTCTTTGGCAGCAGTGACTCTCCAAAAACGCCAAGGCCTAGACCTCCTCACTGCTGAGAAAGGAGGACTCTGCACCTTCTTAGGGGAAGAATGTGGTTTTCACACTAACCAGTCGGGGATAGTATGAGATGCCGCCCGGCGTTTACAGGAAAAGGCTTCTGAAATCAGACAACGCCTTTCAAATTCTTATACCAATCTCTGGAGTTGGGCAACATGGCTTCTCCCCTTTCTAGGTCCCATGGCAGCCATCTTGCTGTTACTCGCTTTTGGGCCCTGTATTTTTAACCTTCCTGTCAAATTTGTTTCCTCTAGAATCGAGGCCATCAAGCTACAGATGGTCTTACAAATGGAACCCCAAATGAGTTCAACTAACAACTTCTACCAAGGACCCCTGGACCAACCCGCTGGCACTTCCCCTGGCCTAGAGAGTTCCCCTCTGAAGGACACTACAACTGCAGGGCCCCTTCTTCACCCCTATCCAGCAGGAAGTAGCTAGAGTGGTCATCGGCCAAATTCCCAACAGCAGTTGGGGTGTCCTGTTTAGAGGTGGGATTGAGAGGTGACAGTGTGCTGGCAGTCCTCACAGCCCTCGCTTGCTCTTGGTACCTCCTCTGCCTGGGCTTCCACTTTGGCGGCACTTGAGGAGCCCTTCAGCCCACTGCTGCACTGTGGGAGCCCCTTTCTGGGCTGGCCAAGGCCGGAGCTGGCTCGCTCAGCTTGCAGGGAGGTGTGGAGGGACAGGCGCCAGTGGGAACCAGGGCTGCGCACAGCGCTTGTGGGCCAGCTGGAGTTCTGGGTGGGCGTGGGCTTGGTGGGCCCCGCACTCGGAACAGCTGGCCAGCCCTGCCGGCCCCGGGCAATGAGGGGCTTAGCACCCAGGCCAGCAGCTGCGGAGGGTGTACTGGGTCCCCCAGTGGGCTGGCACTGCACTCGATTTCTCATCGGGCCTTAGCTGCCTTCCTACAGGGCAGGGCTCGGGACCTGCAGCCCGCCATGCCTGAGCCTCCCACCCCCTCCATGGGCTCCTGTGTGGCCCGAGCCTCCCTGACGAGTGCCACCCCCTGCTCCACGGTGCCCAGTCCCATTGACCACCCAAGGGCTGAGGAGTGTGGGCACACAGCACCGGGACTGGCAGGCAGCTCCACCTGCAGCCCTGGTGCGGGATCCACTGCGTGAAGCCAGCTGGGCTCCTGAGTCTGGTGGGGACGTGGAGAACCTTTATGTCTAGCTCAGGGATTGTAAATACACCAATCAGCCCTCTGTATCTAGCTCAAGGTTTGTAAATACACCAGTCAGCACCCTGTGTCTAGCTCAGGGTTTGTGAATGCACCAATCGACACTCTGTATCTAGCTATTCTGGTGGGGCCCCGGAGAACCTCTGTGTCGACACTCTGTATCTAGCTAATCTGGTGGGGATGTGGAGAACCTTTGTGTCTAGCTCAGGGATTGTAAACGCACCAATCACGCCCTGTCAAAACAGACCACTCGGCTCTACCAATCAGCAGGACGTGGGTGGGGCCAGATAAGAGAATAAAAGCAGGCTGCCCGAGCCAGCAGTGGCAACCCGCTCAGGTCCCCTTCCACACTGTGGAAGCTTTGTTCTTTCACTCTTTGCAATAAATCTTGCTGCTGCTCACTCTTTGGGTCCACACTGCTTTTATGAGCTGTAACACTCACCGCGAAAGTCTGCAGCTTCACTCCTGAGCCAGCGAGACCACGAACCCACCAGAAGGAACAAACTCCGAACACATCCGAACATCAGAAGGAACAAACTCCAGACGCGCCACCTTAAGAGCTGTAACACTCACCGCGAGGGTCCGTGGCTTCATTCTTGAAGTCAGCGAGACCAAGAACCCACCAATTCTGGACACACTTTTAAGAGTTTAGGATTCTACATTAATCTGTTCAGTCTATCTATATTATTTCAGGTGTCTATTACATGCCTGGCAACCTCTTCCCTAGGAGTGAGTCATCTGTCTTCTAACACTCAAAACAGGATTCTTTTAAGTCATACTTATTTATAATAAATGGAAACATTAGTTTTCATTTCTAACCCACTTTTCACTAACTTAACTGAATAAAATATCCTTGATACTACCTTTTTTCTTTTGTCAGGCAATATATTATTCAGAGACCTGGTGAATGGTGAGTTGGAAATTATTTTTAAATAGCTTACATTAATCTCTTTTAACTTGGAAACATTTTAAAATTCTACATTAATTGGCTAACTTAGCAGCATTAATAAAATTTCAGATGAAGCACAGATTACAGATTTTTTAAGCTGAAAAGGTGATTACTTATGGAAACTAGATTCCATCATTTCCTGGGATGCTCCTATGTCTTTAAATTAAAAGCAAAACTTATTTAAGTGGGTGAACCTGGGAAAATAAAATAAAGTAGTCCAATTCTGGAAACAATAAAAAAGGCCAACACTGCTAAGAACACAGAGAATGTATCTGATCTTTTTTGCATTTAATCAAAGAAAAAGAGCAATGAGATATAATGACTTAGAGAAAGAAGAAAACAACTAGGGAAATTTACAGGAGTTTGACAGTTATCTATCTGCCTCTCCAACCTCAGCTTTAGTTTAAAATAAGTATGGAGTCAGTATATAATACATGCCAAATGAATAACTAGACCTTCACTGTCCAATATGGTAGCCACTAAACACATGTTATTATCAAGCATTTGAAATGTAGCTAGTTCAATTTGAAGACTTAGTAATAAAAGGTAAAATATTTCATTTAACATTTTTATATCCACATTGATTACACATTGAAATAATATATTTTCATGCTTAATTAAAGAAAATATATTTAAATTAATTTCATCTGTTTCTTTTTACTTTCTAAATGTGGCTATTGGAATATTTAAAATTATGTCCATGCCTTGCACTGTATTTCTACTGGATAAAGTTAGAAAAGACAGTAAGTTCTACAAAGTATAAAGGTCAAGAAGATACCACGATATAATGAAAAAGGCTTCATGAAGACATCAAGACTTAAACGAAGGAAAGGATTCAAAAGAGGAGAGGAAAGTGCATTTTCATGCTAGAAAAACCATATTATACAAATATAAAAAATAGGGATCTCTCAGGCTCACCAGATGAGGGGATGCTGTGAAAGAAGGTAATCTTCCTCATGTGATGTCAGAGAGTATAGAGCCAGAACAAGTCACAATCCTGAAGACACGTCTGACCCCACACATCTACAAAGCCAGCAGAAATCAGGCAGACTAACTTCTACAATAAGGCAGAAAGTTTGAAATTTGGAACACACGGAAAGGACTTGGTGAGTTTTGTTCACTGTTCTATCTCTAATACCCAAAAGAGTGCCAGACATGTGACAGACATCTAAAATAAACATTTGCTGAATGAATGAGTAAATGAATAAATGAACTACTATAGAAAAGGGTAGTGCTTTCCAGGACACTCTAAGGCAGGAACACTGGGAGGAAGAGCAGTAAAGAGGGAGAGAGTGTTATAGAAGGAGAGAGTATCCACATTAGCACCTGCTAAAGCCTAATTAGGCTTATTTTGTGGTTCAAGGAGATGAAGTGAAAAGGTTACAGCACAAAACCAATCCCTCTCCTTACTCTGCATAATTTTGGATCTATCACCTGAAGAAGTGAAGAACTAAATAAACCTCCCTCAGTTTTCAAACTGTGATTTAGCTCTGAGGAAAAGCAGACAAAGATGTGTCTACATGGGGGAGGGATAGCCCCCTCCTCTAGGGTCATACACAAGCAGCAGCCTCCGTGAGGAAGATTATGCAGTAGTCTTCCTCACAGAGGAAAAGGAAGAATTTTTTTTTCTCCCTGTCTTCTCCTCTGTCTCCTTCTGAAGTATCTATATAGTCCCTGACACATGGAGGGGGCGGGGGGGAGAACCTGATATAGTCTGATATAGAACTTGTTAGGCGAAATGTGTGTGTGTGTGTGTGTGTGTGTGTGTGTGTGTGTGTGTGTATCCAGTGTATGTGCGTATCCATCCAGAGGGAAGAAAACTAAAGCAGTGGTCATCTCTGGTGGTAAGGTTCTTCTTATTACACATTTTCTAATGTTTGGTTTTTTGTTTTTTTGAGACGGAGTCTCTCTGGGTCACCCAGGCTGGAGTGCAGTGACGCGATCTTGGCTCGCTGCAACTTCCGCCTTCTGGGTTCAAGCGATTCTCCTGCCTCAACCTTGCAAGTAGCTGGAATTACAGGCATGCGCCACCATACCCAGCTGATTTTTGTATTTTTAGTAGAGACAGAGTTTCACCATGTTGGCCAGGCTGGTCTCGAACTCCTGACCTCAAGTGATCCGCCTGCCTCGGTCTCCCAAACTGCTGGGATTACAGGCATGAGCCACCATGCCCAGCTCTAATGTTTTTTTAAAATATCAGATATTACCTTTGCAGTAAGGAAGAAAATAAAACAATAGAAAATAAAATACAGTAGTCCCCTTGTTATCCTTGGGGGATACATTCCAAGACTCCCAGCAGAGTACTGAAGGAGAAAATTGTGATCCACAGTTTTTCTACACAGCTAAGTAGTAATTCACACATGAAGGCAAAAGGAAGAGTTTAGTCTTGTTTTATGTAAATTTGAATTATGTCTATTTTCTATTTAAAATAGTATAATGTAAAAATATGTTTAATAATTTCCAGGGTCTTTTTAAAAAAATTAAGAATCCCTATTTAAGAAATTGTCTTACACCAAAGCTATATGACAACACTTTAGCTAGTAAGCAGAAATATTCACTATTGTTTGTCTATATTATTTGAACTATGCTATTGCATTCATGCACTTTCTGTAAGTGATTTTTATGATTAGTATGCTATTTTTATATTCATGGTTATTATAATTTAAAATATTTTTATATGCTATAACAATGTCAACTCATCTTTTATTAAGTGGTTGTGTTTGTGTTAATGCTGAAAAACAGCTGAAAACAAGCTAGATGTGGTATGCCAATTCAGGAAAGGACACTGATAATAATAATAGCAGTTAATACATTTTGAGTGCTACATATTTTTCTAAATGATTAATATGCATTACCTCTTTTAATACCTAGTTTATAACAGCCCTATGAAAAAGGGGTCTGAGACCAGCCTGGCCAACATGGTAAAACCCCATCTCTACTAAAAATACAAAAATTGGCTGGGCGTGGTAACACATGCCTGTAATCCCAGCTACTTGGGAGGCTGAGGCAAGAAAATCGCTTGAACCCAGGAGGCGGAGGTTGCAGTAAGCCGAGATCATGCCACTGCACTCCAGCCTGGGTGGCACAGAGAGACTCCATCTCAAAAAAAAAAAAAAGTACTATTATTATCCCCAGTCTATAGATGAGAAAATAGCCTCAAAAAGTTGAGGTAACTTGTTCATAAATAACTGAATGTGGGCTGGGCACAGTGGCTCACGCCTGTAATCCCAGCACTTTGGGAGGCCAAGGCGGCAGGATCACCTGAGGTTAGGAGTTCAAGACCAGCTTGGCCAACATGGCTAAACACCATCTCTACTAAAACTATAAAAATTAGCCAGGCATGGAGGCACGCACCTGTAATCCCAGCTACTTGGGAGGCTGAGGCAGGCGAATCACTTGAATCCAGGAGGCAGAGGCTGTGGTGAGTCGAGATCACACCACTGCACTCCAGCCTGGGCTACAGAGCAAGAATCCATCTCAAAGATAAATAAATAAATAAATAAATAAATAAATAAATAAATAATCAAGGGTGGATTTGAACACAGGCTGACTCTAGAGCCTTCCCTATTAACAACTATGCTCTACTGTGTTTCTAATGCTGAGAAAATGAAAAGCAACATTAAAAAATAATAACAGATAAGGATTTATGAGCTCCAAGAACACATTCCTTTTACTTTACCCATATTCCTGAGGGAAAATTAGTCTTTCTTTACATATGTTAAATGAATTAATGGAAAAGAAGGAAAGAATATTCCAGCTACTTGGAAATTAATTAAAATACAGTAGCCCCCTCACCTTATCCTTGGGGGATATGTTCCAAGACCCCCAATGAGTGCCTGAAACTGCAGATAGTACTGAGCCCTGTATATATTGTATTTTTTCCTGTACATATATACCTATAAAAAAGTTTGATTTATAAATTAGCCACAGTAAGAGCATCAACATTAATATATAGAATAATTACAACAATATTCTGTAATAAAAGTTAAGTGACTGTGTAGTCTCTCTCTCTTCAAATATCTTATTGTACTATACTCACTCTTCTAGTGATGCTGTGAAATGATAAAATGTCTATGTGATGGGATGAAGTGATGGAGCAAGATGATGTGAGATTTCATCATGCTACTCAGAAAAGTGCACAATTTAAAACTTATGAATTATTTCTAGAATTTCTCATTTAATGGGGGACTACTGTAAAGACTTTCAAAGGTTTTAAAGACTAGTCATGGTTGTTAAAGAATTTAAATGCAGGATTATATCTAAATAAATATATAATTTCAAGATAAAATGCAAATGATAATTCTCAAAAAAAGAAGTTGAATAAGATAAAATAATAATCTAAAAGTAATAAACTGGCTATAAATTCCCCGATTATACCAACTTTTATTGGTAAAACTAGGAAATAGGAGAAAATTCTTGAAAGAAAGTTACAGTGATTTTCTCATGTTACAAAGACAGGAGCTAAAAAAATATTATTGATGGTTGATGTAAATAATTAGAAAAATTCAGGTAAAAATCTTTTTAAAGAATTTTAAGAATTAATATCAAAATGTAAAACAATGTATTCCTTTCAAATTACTTAAGGAAGGCCAAGCACCGTGGCTCATCCCAGTAATCCTAGCACTTTGGGAGACCAAGGCAGGAGGATTGCTTGAGGCCTGGAGTTCATGGCTGCAGTGAGCTATGATTGTGCCACTCGACTCCAGAATGGTGACAGAGTGAGACCCATCTCATTAAAAAAAACAAAAATGGCTTCAAAAAGTTAAATAAAATATATTTAAAGTTAGAAAGAAATCAAAGAAAACATAAAGAATCAGCAAGGAAGCATTTTAAAAATTACAGATTACCAGTTATACAGTAAATATATTTTATTAAGCTTACCCATTAGAAAGCTCCTTTGATATGATTTTCTTAAACATCTACAAGTGACACACTTAAAACAAAGATTTAGGAAGCTTAAGAGGAAAAGATAAAGACAAAAAAATAGGAATTACATCAAAGTAGAATCTCAGAGGTAAAACTATCACATGAGCAAAGAGGATCACTTTTTTTTATGATCCCTAATACAACTCATACAACTTCATGTACTAAGTAACAGTGCTAAAATATATATAAAGTAGCTTTCCACCATGGCCACCATTGGAGGGCAGCAGCCATGACACTGCACTACCCTATAGCTGTGGGCCTCAACAAGGGCCACAAGGTGACCAAGAATGTGAGCAAGCCCAGGCACAGCCACTGTGGGCGCCTGACCAAACTCACTAAATTTGTGTGGGACATGATCCCAGAGGTGTGTGGCTTCACCCCTAACGAGTGGCGTGGCATGGAGTTACTGAAGGTCTCCAAGGTCAAACAGGCCCTCAAATTCATCAAGAAAAGGGTAGGGACAAACATCTGCACCAAGAGAAGGCAGGAGGAGCTGAGCAACGTCCTGGCTGCCATGAGGAAAGCAGCTGCCAAGAAGGACTGAGCCCCCTGCCATCTGCCTATAATGAAAGCTTTGCAGAATAAAATAAATATAAAATAAAGTAATAAAATTAAATTAAATTTAAAAATAAAATAAAGCAAAACAAAATAAAATATATAAAGTAAAAATTGTTGAAAATGCAAAACAATATGGACATAAATACAGAAACACAGGGAAACTTCTTTAGGCACTCATTTACAGGTAAAAATATGAAATTGAATAAAGGTCATCTGGTGTCAAATAATATAGGCCTTATCTATTATAAGAGTTTGGACTGAAAAGCAAAAGTGAGATAATAAAAAAAAGCTTTTCAGAATATTATTTTGTATAGATATGTGAAGGATGAAGGGTGGGTGAAAGGACCAAAAACAGAAACACAGTCTTCCTGAATGAATGACAATCAGAATTCCGCTGCCCAAAGTAGTCCGACAATTAAATGGATTTCTAGGAAAAGCTACCTTAAGAAGGCTGGTTACCATCTGGGTTTTCACAGTGCTTTCACATTCTTATCACTTTCAACACTACTGCAAATAGGAAGGGACAGTAACATTTAGAAGAGAACAAAACAGAAACTCTTGGAAGCAGGAAAGGTGCATGACTCAAAGAGGGAAATTCCTGTGCCATAAAAGGATTGCTGGTGTATAAAATGCTCTATATATGCCAATTATCAATTTCCTTTCATGTTCAGCATTTCTACTCCTTCCAAGAAGAGCAGCAAAGCTGAAGTAGCAGCAGCAGCACCAGCAGCAACAGCAAAAAACAAACATGAGTGTGAAGGGCATGGCTATAGCCTTGGCTGTGATATTGTGTGCTACAGTTGTTCAAGGTATGCAGTAATTTTTATTTCTCAACCTATAAGTTCCTTTTCTAATGTTTCAAATGTCTTTTCTTCCACTTTTATCCTAAAAGACATGATAAAGTTTTATTTAATCTCACAGATTAGAAGTTACTACAGCTTTAGCACAGAAATGGTGGACATGTTTAAGATACTAGAGATGATTATTGAAACTAGAAATTATGAACTTCATGGAATTTTTGATTTGGCTAGAATATCTGGCAAAAGCCTTTAGCAACAGTTTTAAATGTCTGTTAAGAAGATTTTATATAGCGATCATGTTAACAAGCTTCCTGGGAAAATATTTGAGGATAAAATCAAGGGGGCAAAACAAGCTTCACCTCCAATAAACTTCCTTCATGCTTCCCATTTGTTAGCGATTTGCTTACTAATTTAATGAGAAAATAATCAACATCTTACTTAACTTTTCCCAGTAACAGTTGTGTTAAGTGCTATTTGACAAATTACTATCTTTACCCTTAATGAAAATTCTGCTCACGTTCACCACCAGCTATAAACCACAGCCATCTGTTGCAATCAGATGCATTACTAACTAATGCTATGATCTATTCTAGGCTTCCCCATGTTCAAAAGAGGACGCTGTCTTTGCATAGGCCCTGGGGTAAAAGCAGTGAAAGTGGCAGATATTGAGAAAGCCTCCATAATGTACCCAAGTAACAACTGTGACAAAATAGAAGTGATGTAAGTAATGAACTTGCTGAAGATGACAATGGTGCAGGCTTTTTTGTTTATGTATTTGCATCTAAACTTTAAGACTCTTGTATGTTCTTTTAACAGTATTACCCTGAAAGAAAATAAAGGACAACGATGCCTAAATCCCAAATCGAAGCAAGCAAGGCTTATAATCAAAGTAAGTTACCAAATTACTCCCATGTTATAATCTGTTTTATCCAAGACAGATCTTTTGAAAAAGAAAATAATGTGGACAACTACAGAAAGATTCTGCTATGATCCTGTGTGAAATATTCTGTTAAGGGGTCCTTGGTTGTAACAGCTTCCCCTTCTTACTACATGTTTTTAGATGTCCTGGGGGAAACAAGAACAGCCCAAGTAAATAAAACTCTTGTTTTCTTATTCCAGAAAGTTGAAAGAAAGAATTTTTAAAAATATCAAAACATATGAAGTCCTGGAAAAGAGCATCTGAAAAACCTAGAACAAGTTTAACTGTGACTACTGAAATGACAAGAATTCTACAGTAGGAAACTGAGACTTTTCTATGGTTTTGTGACTTTCAACTTTTGTACAGTTATGTGAAGGATGAAAGGTGGGTGAAAGGACCAAAAACAGAAATACAGTCTTCCTGAATGAATGACAATCAGAATTCCACTGCCCAAAGGAGTCCAACAATTAAATGGATTTCTAGGAAAAGCTACCTTAAGAAAGGCTGGTTACCATCGGAGTTTACAAAGTGCTTTCACGTTCTTACTTGTTGCATTATACATTCATGCATTTCTAGGCTAGAGAACCTTCTAGATTTGATGCTTACAACTATTCTGTTGTGACTATGAGAACATTTCTGTCTCTAGAAGTCATCTGTCTGTATTGATCTTTATGCTATATTACTATCTGTGGTTACGGTGGAGACATTGACATTATTACTGGAGTCAAGCCCTTATAAGTCAAAAGCATCTATGTGTCGTAAAACATTCCTCAAACATTTTTTCATGCAAATACACACTTCTTTCCCCAAACATCATGTAGCACATCAATATGTAGGGAGACATTCTTATGCATCATTTGGTTTGTTTTATAACCAATTCATTAAATGTAATTCATAAAATGTACTATGAAAAAAATTATACGCTATGGGATACTGGCAAAAGTGCACATATTTCATAACCAAATTAGTAGCACCAGTCTTAATTTGATGTTTTTCAACTTTTATTCATTGAGATGTTTTGAAGCAATTAGGATATGTGTGTTTACTGTACTTTTTGTTTTGATCCGTTTGTATAAATGATAGCAATATCTTGGACACATCTGAAATACAAAATGTTTTTGTCTACCAAAGAAAAATGTTGAAAAATAAGCAAATGTATACCTAGCAATCACTTTTACTTTTTGTAATTCTGTCTCTTAGAAAAATACATAATCTAATCAATTTCTTTGTTCATGCCTATATACTGTAAAATTTAGGTATACTCAAGACTAGTTTAAAGAATCAAAGTCATTTTTTTCTCTAATAAACTACCACAACCTTTCTTTTTTAAAAAAAGATCTATATACTTTCCAGGACATTTGAGATGCCTTTAACAATTTTGCCTTATATTTCAGAAACATACACCTATCCGTCATCATGAAAAACTGTTTAGAAATATATTTTAATGGGTAGGTGGGAAAGACAGTTGTTTCTTTTGTCGGCCTTGGGGGGTCTTGATAGTCCAAACCCCCTTCTTACTTGGAGAAAATCCCTTATGTGAGTGTTGGTGGGAGGCCAAAAGAGAGAAGCCAAAGACAGGAGATCCTCTCCTGTAGCCACAACAAGGACTCAGCCATGCTGTTTCTACCCTAGACTTTGAACTCCAGCTGGCATCACAAAGATACTATTAGTAAGAAAATTATTTCAAGCCTGGCAGCAGCAGGAGAAACAATGAAAGTCTTACAGTAGTGTCTTCCCAATGTGTGTTCCTGTAGCATGACTCTGGCTAGTCCTTCCTATCACCTAGTTCCCTTAGGTCTTTGTCCATTTTCCAAGACTTATTCTCCATTGTCCTGTGGATTCTTCAACCTCCAACTAAATTCTTTTTCTCCTTAAGATAGCCAGAGTTGGTTTCTCTGCATGTAACCAAAAGCCTTGACTGATAGCAGTACTCTCTATATAGGCACCCATACATTTGAAAAATAAAAATATTTATTATAGGATTATAATCAGATATATCTATATTGCATTATTATATAGGTTATAGATACAATATAGATTTATAATAAATTGTTATATAAATCTATATAAATATCTATATAGAGATGGGACTTCCATATAAATTCCCTGGATAGTTTTAAGACCTGAATCTGGCTGGGTGCGATGGCTCACATCTGTAATCCCAGCACTTTGGGAGGCCGAAGCGGGCGGATCACCTGAGGTCAGGAGTTCAAGACCAGCATGGCTAACATGGTGAAACCCCATTTCTACTTAAAATGCAAAAAATTAGCCGAGGCTGCTGGCACGTGCCTGTAATCCCAGCTACTCAGGAAGCTGAGGCAGGAGAATCGCTTGAACCCGGGAGGCAGAGGTTGCAGTGAGCTGAGATCATGCCATTGCATTCCAGCTTGGGCAACAAGAGTGAAACTGCACCTCAAAAAAAAAAAAAAAAAAAAGACTTGAATCTAATCTTTGACTACTTACAGTGATTTTTTTTTTAAGTCTCTTTAAAAATAAAAATTCACATAGTCAGCTGGGCATGGTGGCTCACACCTATAATCTGAGCACTTTGGGAGACCAACATAGGTGAATGGCTTAAGCCCAGGAGTTCAAGACTAGCTTGGGCAACATAGCGAAAATTCATCTCTATAAAAAATAGGAAAATTAGCTGGGTATGGTGGCACATGCCTGTAACCTCAGCTACTTGGGAAGCTGAGGTGGATGGATCACTTGGGTCTGGGAGGTTGAGGCTGCAGTCAGCTGTGATCACACCACTGCACTCCAGCCTGGGCAAAAGCCTGCCTCAAAAAAAAAAAAAATTCACAGAGTTAAGGCTGCATGATAAATTGGTATTTGTAAGAAGTATATTAAATATTATAGGCCAGTACATTATTACTGAGAAGAAAACATACACCTAAAGTTCTTCATAGCAAAATAAATATATGAAATATTAATAATTAACATATTTGAGCCAAGATCCTCCCCACCTTGGTACCTTTGCACATACTATTCTCTCTGCCCATTTCTTCACTAAGCTAATGCCTACTAATTGCTTAGGTCTCAGCTTAAATGACTTTTTCTCCAAGAAGCCTTTGAAACCACCACTTCAGCTTTAACTAGATTAGGTGTCCTATTTATTTATTTCCATAACACTCTCTATTTTTCCATCATACTACTTACTGCAATTGTAATTAATGAATTATTCCTGTGCCTAATATCTGCTCTCTCATAAGTGTAAAAGAAAGCTGCTGTAGCCCAGGCCAACAGTACAGTTTCTGGTGCATATCAGACCCTATTGAATGGCAATATAAACTAAGGGAAAAGGAATTTACAGCAGAGGAATGACACAAGGGAATGTACAGTAGTAGGAAGTATAAAGTGATTTTTAGGAATCATAATTAGATTCGTTTGGTTGGAAGGATGAAGGACATGAAACTGTAAATAACCTTGAATTTTACTCTGTACAAAATGGGGATTCAATAAATGTTTGTGAAGAAGAGAGTGACCCTATCAAAGTCATTGGAAAATATTCTGGGAATTGCATGAATGGTTGATTGAAAGTGGGAAAGAGTGGAGGAGGAAAATCAGTTGGGATTTGCTGCAATAGCTGCAATATCTCAGGTCTGTATTTCCAAAACTTCAAGGCATTCTCATATCATCTTTACAATTTTTTTTTAACATTTCTCTGTTTGATCTTCATTATATTTTTAGAAACTCTGTATACCACTTTATTTTACGTACATTTACATGAAAAGTAAACTTTCACTACTGTACATGTAAAATCGGTAATACATGCCATGGAAATAAAATGTAATGATAAAACAAAATACAATGAAAAAATACTAATATTCCCCCTGATTTAATTAATCAGAGGGATTGAAGTTAAGAAGAGAATAATTCACTGATACTAAACGTTATTATCAATGTACATGGTAGTGTCCCACACTTTGGGAAACACTGGTGTGAAAAGTAATGGGGCTGGCTCTGCAATAAGTTAAACATAATTATAGTAATTATATATTACTATATAATCCAGCAATTCCATTCCTAGGTATATACCCAAAAGAACTGAAACAGCTCTTTAAACAAAAACTGGTACACAAATGTTCATAGCAGCATTATACACAACAGCCAGAAAGCAGAAACAACCCAAATATCCATCAACAAGTGAATGGATAAAATGTGGTATACACACACAATAGATTATTCGGCCATAAAAAGGAATGAAGTACTGATACATGCTACAACATGGATGAACCTTGAAAATATGCTAAGTAAAAAAAGCCAGACACAAGGGACCACATATTGTATGATTCCATTTTATAGGAAATATCTAGAGTAGGCAAAACCATAAAAACAAAAAGCAAATTAGCTGACTGGGGTTTGGGGGAGGTGTTAATGAGGAGTAACTACTTAATGAGTATGGAGTTTCTGGGTGATGAAAATGTTCTGGAACTAAATTATGGTGATGGCTTCACAGCACTGTGAAAGTACTTAACTCCACTGAATTGTACTCTTTTAAATGGTTAAAATGGTAAATTTTATGTTATTTGTATTTTACTATCATAAAAAGAAGAAGGGCTACACTAAGGTGGTATTGGTAAGAGTAGAAATATAATGACAAGTACACTGTACAAAAATAATCAAGACAGTGATAGATTGGATGTGAAAGTTGAAGCTGAGGCCAGACACGGTGGCTCACGCCTGTAATCCCAGCACTTTGGGAGGCCGAGGCGGGTGGATCACGAGGTCAGCAGTTCAAGACCAGCCTGGCCAACATGGTGAAACCCCGTCTCTACCAAAGATACAAAAAATTAGCTGGGCATGGTGGTGCATGCCTGTAATCCCAGCTACTCAGGAGGCTGAGGCAGGAGAATCGCTTGAACCCGGGAGGTGGAGGTTGCAGTGAGCCGAGATCGCGTCATTGCACTCCAGCCTGGGCTACATAGAGCGAGACTCCATCTCAGAAAAAGAAAGTTGAAGATGCAAAAAAGAAACAAAGAACATGTTAAGGATTTGAGTCTGAATTTAAAGCAGAGAAGAGACAAGGAAAAAAGGCTGAACTTCTGAGGTCTGAAAGAATAGTTCTGTCACTAACAGAAATAGGGATATGAGGGGGAAGATGTAGTTTAGCAGAAAAAACTGCAGATTCGATTTTAAATACATGGAACTTAAGATGCCAAACACTCACAGTGACTTAAAATTTCAGGACTGTTTCCTCTAATTAGCCAAGAAGAGCTTTCAAACAAATGGAGTAGTTTTGGATAATGCTATTAGAAAAGGAAAGATTATACTTAATTATTTTTGGCTACTGAGTACAGGACCTAATATGCCCACATGGAATTAATATACCTCTTTGTATCTATTTCTGAAAAGATTTTCATAGCCAACAATTATAAATCTTTATGATATGGTCAGCACATTCTGTGGATTATAAGTAGTACACACACAAAAAAAACTGTTAGGGTTTTTTTTGGAGAAGGGGTGAATGAGGCAATTTTAGTTGCTTCTTCTTGCCTTGTCTGCAAATTTTATTAACCAGACACTGGTAATGAAATTGAGCAAGTCTGAGATTATCACATAACACTGAAACCATAGTTTCACTTAAGTACCTAAGAAGAATACGTCCTAAAAATCCTGGCACCATAAGTACAGATGTATTCATAGTTCCTTAGTGCTGCTCAATAAACTGCTACTAAATTGGAAATGCCCTAACGTGAATTATAGACTCTATATAATAAATCCTGACTTAGCATTCTTCTTCAAATTGTTCACAAAGACAAACTGTCAATAAGAAGTTGAAGAAAACTGAATGATAATCTAAAATATGGAATAACAGGCACTACTGAACTATATCATATCTCAAGATTCCTCTTCTCAAAAGAAAAGACAACCAATGATGAATCAATTAAAATTAAAACTAGACATTTTCTAAAGATTTTGATTAAAAATGGAACAAAGTATCACAAAATTCTAATTTATTTTGTTGAAATATCTTATTTATGGGAAGGAGAAAGAAATGCACCATACTTCCCCCAAACACATTTACTTTATTATAATGTCCTCCAATTTTGTCTCTTCCTCCAAATGATGAAATCTGCCATATTTGTAAAAGTCCTCTCAAGTGCGCGAGTTCAGAAACACTGCATAGCCTAAAATGTATCCAAACAGAAGCTATTCTGAGCCTCTGCCTCCTCCAATGCCATGATGATTGTTAGGGTCTACCACCCACTTTGCCAGCACTCAGTTTGCCCTCTGCTTAGGCTGGCTATGAAGGATGAGACACATGGGTAATTGAAAAGTATGTAACCAGTATTACCAAACACTGTGAGCTCGGGGAATCTTTTGAGAGCTCAGAGTGAAAACTGTGAAGGGGAAGCTTTGCCCTGCTCTCCCATACTTTCCAAGGCATATTCTGCACCAGCTGAGGGGATTCCCAGTCCACAGAAATCACTGATGTCCTCCTGCTCACTTTTTAGAAAATTTCTTCTAAGCATAACAGTTTCCGGGAAAGCATTTTTGCCTTCGTCTGTGCTCATTAGTTTGTCAGGGCAGACTGTTCCTTTTTTCATTGTTGTCTTTTTTGGCCTGATGCCATAATCACAGGCTTAAAGATAAATCAATAGCGACTGAAACGGAAACTAAAGCGGGATACTTCCTTAACTTTCATTTTCTTTCAAAATTATACTCAGATCAGTGAATTCTAGGAACGTGATTATACCATAAACGTTGCAAAAATTGAGAGAAATATATAAAAAGAGTTATCATTTAGATTTTTATTCAAATGACACATGCAGTCTTGGCTTTGGGTGAAATAAGTAATAGTGGGCTTGCTACTGTCTCTAAAAGTTTGATTTTTTTTTTCTAAATGATTTTCCATGTTGATCACATTTGTCAGGTTTCTACCCTGAGCAGAACCCTCATTTAAAACAAGAAGAGAAGGGTCCTTCGTTTGACTCTGCTCACCAGGTACTGTTCTGATACTAATTCAATTTCCTAGGCAATCTGATCTTGGGAAAGGGGTGACTTGGATACCAAAACCAATCATCCTAGTCACTGAAAAGGTTCTCATTGTAAATGGATACACTGTCTTTTAATTTTCATCTTAGTCTATCTGAGATTTGGTTAGCAGAGTTAACTCTCTGAGAATATGCTTACCCTGGATGATTAGGAAAAAATGAGAATTTCTGGACTGGAAAAACTGAGGACCAGATTTTATAGAATCCTAACACGGCATTATCACCCCTATGAGTCTACCAATCTTCCTGACTGGTTGGTTGGCTTCCCCCTTTACCATTTTTTGATGACATTTATCTGTCATCAAATGTAATGGATTGTAATGGATACACTGTCTTTTAATTTTCATCTTAGTCTATCTGAGATTTGGTTAGCAGAGTTAACTCTCTGAGAATATGCTTACCCTGGATGATTAGGAAAAAATGAGAATTTCTGGACTGGAAAAACTGAGGACCAGATTTTATAGAATCCTAACACGGCATTATCACCCCTATGAGTCTACCAATTTTTCTGACTGGTTGGTTGGCTTCCCCCTTTACCATTTTTTGATGACATTTATCTGTAATTGCACAAGCTTTCCTCTCCTGGCCACTTACTTAAGTAACATTCACACTTTATGGCTCATCTGAGGTCTTTTTTTCTGAAGGATCTTCTGAAAACTTCTGACCTTAATGAGTACAGTCTCCTATGAACCTCCACATTATTTATTTTCTATACCACTCATTTGGTACTGATCATAAAGTTTCTTTTTTTCTTTTCTTTTTTTTGAAACGGAGTTTCGCTCTTGTTGCCCAGGCTAGAGTGCAATGGCGTGATCTCGGCTCACTGCAACCTCCGTCTCCAGGGTTCAAGTGATTCTCCTGCCTCAGCCTCCTGTGTAGCTGGGATTACAGTCGCCCACCACCACGCCCAGCCAATTTTTTGTATTTTTAGTAGAGACAGGGTTTCACGATGTTGGCCAGGCTGTTCTAGAACTCCTGACCTAAGGTGATCCACCCGCCTGGGCCTCCCAAAGTGCTGGGATTACAGGCATGAGCCACCTTGCCCGGCCCATAAAGTTTCTCTTATTGATATTTATTGTTTCATAGTTTCTGGTCTTCCCAATTAGAATGTAAACCCATCAAGGATAAATATTGGATCTCAACCCTTCTAGTATTCCCTGAGATTAGCTTAGTTCCCTACACAAAGTGCACAGAAAATAATGAGAACAAGCCTACTTCTCCTCCTTCTTCTAACACCATCCATGGCCATATACATGATATGCACTGAGGATATTTGCATTCCTGCATTCATTCATTCAATGCTTAATTACAGATAAAAAAACAGCAAATAACTAAGAAGCTTTTAGGGGTACCACTCTATATTTACCAGAGTTCCGGAATGAAGAGTCTGTCCTATAGCTAGCTGAGAATATCTGTATTGATTTTACCTACTTAAATCTAAACTAACTTCTGGGGAAATTATAGTCTTCTTAAATTAAACTTGGTTCTTAAAGCTAAGGAAAACAATAATACTCATGTCCAGATTCAGAAATCTGATGAACAAATGGAAATACTTCTTGAAATACAATCCTGGTATGCTGTCACTTAAAGTCTGTAAAGATTCATTCAACCATCCTTCTATCCAATATTTACCAAATGCCTCTCATATGCATTTTAGTTCCCTGTTCTCCTGGGGCATACATTTTAGCATGGAGAAACAGACATTACACTAATTAAAAAAAATGAATGAACTGAATATCAGATAGTATGAAATGCCATGTAGAGAATTAAAGTCATGTCTGCTTCAGATTGTGTGACAAGAGAAGGTACAAGCCAGCTAAAATTTAAATGTCCAGAAGGAACTCTCTATGTGACGAACAGGAGGAAAAGCATACCAGATGGAGAAAATTGCCAGTGTATGGGCCACTGACTGGATTGTAGTGGTTGAGAAGGAATGATATGAGGTTGGACAAATAGGTAGCAGCCAGATCATAGAGGATTTAGTAAAGCAGCTTAATTAGAAATTTGGATTTTATTCTAACTGGAAGTTGTTTGAGGTCTTAAGCAGAAGAGTGACGTGATCACTTACGTTTTTTAAATAAAAAAAGTAAGTGATCATGTTCCACTGCTACATATGTACCCCACAAAATGAAAGCATATGCCCAGAAAAAAAATTATAAAAAAATCTTCGTAGCAGCTTTATATATAATAACTAAAATCTGAACACAGTCAAGGTGTCCATCAACAAGAAACAAACTGATATGTTTGTGCAATGGATTACTACCCATCAATAAAGAGAAACAAATTACTAATTCATGCAACTACATCGATGAATCTAAGAAACATTATACTGAGCAAAAGATGTCTTGCACAAAAGAGTATATACTCAAGTGGTTCCATTTATATGAAGTTCTAGAACAGGCAAAAATAATCTATGGTGAAAAAAATAGAAGAGTGGCTGGGTCAGAGGTAGATGTTATTATAAGAATAAAATGAGTCAATATGGTCAATAGTCACAAAGCAGTTCAAACAATGCCTGGCACACAGTTAATGTAATACAATGTTTAGTAAAAATCAAATATTTTATCCCTAATAACAGATTTTTAGTCCATTTATCAAGTATCTCCTTTTTACATTGTCTTCTATATAGAGACATTTTAGCTGACAACTTAGATACCAACTAAAATAAAACTGTCACCATCTCTCATTTTGATTGTTTAATGTTGAACTTTTCTAGGCCTCTTCCATTCATGATGTCAGACATTTCTCTGAAATTTGTTGGCATTCTATTCACAGTAAAATGTTTGTTCTGCACAAATAGGTATGGAAGGATCCCTCCATTGTCACTATTTCTCATAAGACTTTCCCTCATCAGAACGAACGCCTCTTTGCTAGGTGAAAGTCTTTTGGGTTCTGTCAGTCTCTACCTCACCTCCCTCTCTTTTGCCTTTCCGGTTTCCCACAGCTAATTCCACTGACTTATTCACTTGAAAGCTTAGCTCTATTCCAGTTCCTAGAACAGATTAACATGGGATTCAGCTCTCTAGCAAATTCCATTTACCCCAAGCAACTCACTCTCTGCTTTAATGATGGAGTTCCTACATTTGAGGATCCAAGTTTTATGTGCACCCAGTTTGCAGATACAGGCTTTATTCTTGGCCCCTGATACCAGGTTCTGAGACAGTATCTGCCTAGTACAGTAGCCTGATCCTAGGATGGAAGCTTTTCCATTCCCTGACCAATCCCTGCATTGTTGCAGCCCAGCTGACTATGAAAAGAACTCCCATATATTTTCCTAGGTTCTAAATATCACTTGCCTCAGATCTCTCATTGCAGGGTGGTGCCTGCCTTTGAAACAGTATTTCATCTTGGATTCCCTGTTACTAATCATTTGCAAAGAACACAACCAAGGACCACTATATCCATGGATACTGCTAAATTTCCACTCTCAGGTTCAACATGTGTTCCATTATATGAGTATCATGTGCTTTCTACTGCTAGCTACTATGAATAATCAGTCAAGTACTATTGAATGCTGTGAAATTAAGTTTTGCCACGATTCATCATCCAGTTAAAATTGTGCCAATTTCAGTTATCACTGTTACTAGCTCAATGGCCAACACTTTTTTTTTCTTTTTCTTTGCATTTAACAGTGTCTTGGAGCTGAACCCCATCGTAAATCAACCTGTTTCCCTTCTGTCTCAAGCTACTTTCCCAAGGTCTGTCTCTATGCGTGCCCCCCCGCTTTTAAATTCATTTCCTCAAAAAGCACCCTTTGTTTTTTACAATAACCCTAGGATAGCTATGAATCCTTTTCTCACACCATTCTAGATACCATCTTATGATGTTTTCATTCAGGGACTGCTATAAGACGTGAAACTTGTTTTAACACACCACAAATCAGATACCCAAATGAGCAATGTTTTCCCTCAAAATAGTTATGTTGGAGGCTATTTACTTAATCTAATGGTGTTATGAATGATCAAAGCATTTATTGAATTATTTAAAACTTGCCAGTTCCAGATCTTTGACCCTGTCAAAGCAGGCCAGTCCTATTACTTTATAGTATTTGATCAAGGAGGACTGTCCAGGTAAATCACTGTTCTAATAATCAGGCACAACTTGCTGTTACCAAAAAATTAGGTTTACCTATAAAGGATGAAAAATTTCTATTACTGGGGATATTTTGAAAAATAACCTCTGAAAGTAACTGTAAAAGTTTAAGTGTTGAGAAAAAGCATTATAGTTAGAATGGATTGCAACCTTTGTTTTTTTCTATATGCAATGAAGTTCTTTTTTTCAAGAAACAGTTCATGTTTTGGAAAGTGAAACCTAATTCACTATTACCAAAAAAAGAGGAGCAGAGGGAAATTCCGTAACTTGGAGGCTACAATAAATAATACCTTCGAGTCTGCAACATGGGACTTCCCCAGGAACAGCCAGCAGGTTTTGCTAAGTCAACTGTAATGCCCTTATCCAATCAGAATTAGGGAGGGAAAATGGCTTTGCAGATAAATATGGCACACTAGCCCCACGTTTTCTGAGACATTCCTCAATTGCTTAGACATATTCTGAGCCTACAGCAGAGGAACCTCCAGTCTCAGCACCATGAATCAAACTGCCATTCTGATTTGCTGCCTTATCTTTCTGACTCTAAGTGGCATTCAAGGTAAGGAACATCAAAGGATACTTAATTTGTAAAATGAGAAATAGGAATAGGTATAAATTCTAAAAATACAGAAATAATGTATTTGTAAAAGTTTCACTGCATGCTTATAAATAAGAGGGAAATAAATAGAGATTCCCTCAGATCATAAAACTTATATGAATTGAAGTGAGAGAAACAAATAGAATAAGAGAAAGAGAAGGAAAAAGGGAAGGAGGACAGAAGAGATGGGGAAGAGGGAGGATAGAGAGAGAAAATGTGAGGGAATGCGGACAGAGATGAGATACAGATACTTCCTTACCTAACTAAGCTCAATGAACCACATGAACTGTGCTTAAGGGTTTGACTTTATAATCAACAAGCTGCAATTCTTTTCTTCCAGATAATCAACTCTTTAATCATTTACAGTTGTGTTATGATGTGATCCATTCCTCCTCAGATTAAGTGACTATTTGCTGATATGGGGATATAGGTTCTGCTAAATACCACCAGTCTACATTAAATGCCTAAAATGAACACTGTGCTAACCTTCTCTGCTGTTCCTCTTTTCCTACAGGAGTACCTCTCTCTAGAACTGTACGCTGTACCTGCATCAGCATTAGTAATCAACCTGTTAATCCAAGGTCTTTAGAAAAACTTGAAATTATTCCTGCAAGCCAATTTTGTCCACGTGTTGAGATCATGTGAGTGAAATCCCATCTGATTATCACTTCCCTGGTTGTAATTATATACTGTATTAAATATGTAATGATAATAAAAAAAGATCAGTAAAGGGTTTGTGATGATTCTAAAACTAATGTACAGCAAACAAAAACATGCAGAGTGAAACTTAAATGTCTGACTTCAGAACTGCGTATGCCATCTGTTTTATTGACCCAACACAGTTTTAAATATTTTCATCCCTATTTATTTCTACAGTGCTACAATGAAAAAGAAGGGTGAGAAGAGATGTCTGAATCCAGAATCGAAGGCCATCAAGAATTTACTGAAAGCAGTTAGCAAGGAAAGGTAGGTTTGCTGTTGCCTGCAGAAGAATTGCTCTTTAGGAAACGGCAATCTTGGGAGTCAGAAATACTTGCATTGTGGTTTGCTGTGCAATCGCTGGTTTAAAAGTATGTTACCACCACGCCCTCCCCTACCTCCATTTATTTAAATGCTGAGGCACCATCTTGTGTGATAAGTATCAGAAGTTACCCTGATTACCAGTCAACCTTGAAGTACAGCTATAACTATCTAAGCAAAACTGACAACATTTTCCCCAAGTCTTTCATGGTTGAAAAAAGCAACCCCTATAATCCATAATGAATGCATAGCAGCAGGAAAGCTCAGTTATCTATTCTATGAACTCGGTACTTTCCAAACACAACCCAATCTGAAGCCAGAGTCAGACTATCACACTTTTATATCCCCTTTCTCTTCTTACAGGTCTAAAAGATCTCCTTAAAACCAGAGGGGAGCAAAATCGATGCAGTGCTTCCAAGGATGGACCACACAGAGGCTGCCTCTCCCATCACTTCCCTACATGGAGTATATGTCAAGCCATAATTGTTCTTAGTTTGCAGTTACACTAAAAGGTGACCAATGATGGTCACCAAATCAGCTGCTACTACTCCTGTAGGAAGGTTAATGTTCATCATCCTAAGCTATTCAGTAATAACTCTACCCTGGCACTATAATGTAAGCTCTACTGAGGTGCTATGTTCTTAGTGGATGTTCTGACCCTGCTTCAAATATTTCCCTCACCTTTCCCATCTTCCAAGGGTACTAAGGAATCTTTCTGCTTTGGGGTTTATCAGAATTCTCAGAATCTCAAATAACTAAAAGGTATGCAATCAAATCTGCTTTTTAAAGAATGCTCTTTACTTCATGGACTTCCACTGCCATCCTCCCAAGGGGCCCAAATTCTTTCAGTGGCTACCTACATACAATTCCAAACACATACAGGAAGGTAGAAATATCTGAAAATGTATGTGTAAGTATTCTTATTTAATGAAAGACTGTACAAAGTAGAAGTCTTAGATGTATATATTTCCTATATTGTTTTCAGTGTACATGGAATAACATGTAATTAAGTACTATGTATCAATGAGTAACAGGAAAATTTTAAAAATACAGATAGATATATGCTCTGCATGTTACATAAGATAAATGTGCTGAATGGTTTTCAAAATAAAAATGAGGTACTCTCCTGGAAATATTAAGAAAGACTATCTAAATGTTGAAAGATCAAAAGGTTAATAAAGTAATTATAACTAAGATGAAGTGCCTTGTGTGTCACTTGGTTGGGATATTTATTTCATAAGAAACTTAGATTGGAGAAATCTATGGCCTGGAGAAGAAGGTGGCATGGGCAGAAGACAAATGAGTTAGAGAATTACCACTCTCTCTCCTTCCAACTGTAATCTCCTGAAAGGCCCATCATATAAGATCCTACAGAACTAATGTAGCATAACAGAGCTTGGCCTAATCTCCAAATCCCTATAGCCAAATTTCTTTTTTTTTTAATCTCTTATTTTTTTAGACACAGGGTCTTCCTCTGTCACCCAAGCCGGAGTGCAGTGGTGCAATCATAGCTCACTGCAGCCTCGAACTCCTGGGCTCAAGTAATCCTCTGACCTCAGCCTCCAGAGAAGCTGGGATTACAGGTGCAAGCCACCACATCCAGCCCTATGGCCAAATTTCTCTAAGACATGTCCACTTGAATATCCCATAGGAACTTTAGTTTAAACTCCAAAATAAACTAATTCTCCTCTCCCTGAGATCTGTTTCTCCTCCTCTATTCTATGTCCTAGTTTAATTGCACCATCATCCAATCAGTTTCCCAAACCAGAAACCTGGGAGTAATTCTATACTACTTCTTCCTCTCCTCCCACATCCAATTACTTACTAAGAAGATCTTCACAATACATTTAGTTGGCAAATTATTAGCATCTAGAATATGTAAAGAATTCCCATAGATCAAAAAGGAAAAGACAAGGCTGGGTGTGGTGGCTCATGCCTGTAATCTCAGCACTTTGGGAAGCCAAGGCAGGAGGATTTCTTCAGCTCAGGAGTTTGAGACCAGCCTGGAAACACAGTGAGACCCTGTCTCTACCAAAAAAAATATATTTTTTTAGCTACTCAGGAGGCTGAGGCAGGAGGATCACCTGAGCCCAGGAGTCTGGGGTTACAGTGAGCTATGACTGCACCACTGCACTCCAGCTTGGGCAACAGAGTGAGACCTCATCTCTAAAAGAAAAAAAAAGAAGAAAAAAAAAAAGGAAACAGAAGTGAGTAAGAATTTCACAGAAGTAAGAAGCATAAGCCCCTAACATACAAAGATGTTCAACCTCATTTGTAATCAAGGAAATGTACATTCAAATCATTGTGAAATAACATTTCACACCACTAAACTGGCAAAACTTTTTAAGTTTGATAACATCAACCATTGCCAAGGATGCAAGGCAATGAGGAATGCTCTTCCACTGCTGATGAAAGAAAAAATAGCTATGACTACTCTGGAAAACAGTTTGGCATTATCTCACAAAGCTAAACACTGGCATACCCCATGTTCCAGCAATTCTACTACTATGTATATACCACAGATATTCTTGCATAGGACATACATCAGAATGTGATATGGCCGGGCGCGGTGGCTCACACCTGTAATCCCAGCACTTTGGGAGGCCGAGATGGGTGGATCACGAGGTCAGGAGATTGAGACCATCCTGGCTAACATGGTGAAACCCTGTCTCTACTAAAAATACAAAAAAATTAGCCAGGCGTAGTGGCGGGCGCCTGTAGTCCCAGCTACTCGGGAGGCTGAAGCAGGAGAATGGGGTGAACCCAGAAGGCAGAGCTTGCAGTGGCGCGATCTCAACTGGGATTACAGGGTGCCCAGCCAAGAATTGCTTTTTTATCAGATTGAATTTTTTTTATTTAACAAGCTTCAGTGTACAGTACACTGATCTTCCTAGAAAGAAACAATAAAATCTGTTGTAGTATAATTTTAACATAGTTCATTCAATTGCAAATACGTAGTTTATTTTTTAATAATGACTGTATTTTAAAACTAACTCACATAATTCATGAAAATCTAACCATTAGCTCTCCCTAGCCAATACAAGCCATCACCAGAATAGTACTGCTTTTATTCTCTGTAATTACTCTACTTTTCTTTTTTACTCCTTTCCTGAGTATTACAAAAACACACTTAGTTCTAATCTTTTTGATATTTTTCATCTTTTGGTGGGGCCATTTTTTTCACAAAGAATCTTATTATGTTCAAATTCCCATGACTTCATTGGATTACTTCCTTTCTGGCATATGTTCTTTTTTTTTTTTTTTTTCCTTGAGATGGGGTCTCACTCTGTCACCCAGGCTGGAGTGCAAATGGTGTGATCTCGGCTCACTCCAACCCCCACCTCCCAGGCTCAAGCAATCCTCCCACCTCTGCCTCCCATGTAGCTAGGACCACAGGCATGTGCCACCACGCCAGCTAAATTTTTTTTGGTATTTTTGGTAGATAATACAAATATGAGGCTTCACCATGTTGCCCAGGCTGGTCTCAAACTTCTGAGCTCAGGCGATCCACCCACCTCGGCCTCCCAAAATGCTGGGGTTATAGGCATGAGCCACCATGCTCAGCTCTGGCATATGTTCTTCATTTGCTTTGTTTAGATTCACTTTTATATGGCAATGTAAAATACAGTAAACTTGGTATTCCATTCATAGCACAGGGAGACTTTTCATGGCATATTACTTTGTATTTAATACTTCTTGAATTTTTTTTCTTTCCAACTTTTATTTTAGGTTTAGGGAGTACGCATGCAGGTTTGTTACATGGGTAAATCGTGTGTTGTGGGGGTATGGTGTATAGATTATTTCATCACCCAGGTAATGAACATAGTACCAGATAGGTAGTTTTTGAATCTTCATCTTCCTCCCTACCCCCACTGTCGAGTAGGTCCCAGTATCTATTGTTGCCTTCTTTGTGTCCATGGGTACTCAATGTTCAGTTCCCACTTATAAGTGAGAACATGCAGTATTTGGTTTTCTGTTCCTGTGTTAATTTGTTTAGGATAATGGCCTCCAGCTTCATCTCTGTTGCTGCAAAGGACATGATTTTGTTCTTTTTTAGTATTCCATGGTGTATATGTACCACATTTTCTTTATGAAGTCCACCGTTGATGGGCATCTAGGTTGGTTCCATATCTTTGCTATAGTGAATAGGGCTGTGATGACATACATGTGCACGTGTCTTTATGGTAGAATGATTTACACTTGTTTGGGTATATACCCAGTTATGGGATTGCTGGGTTGAATGGTAGTTCTATTTGAAGTTCTTTGAGAAATATCCAAGCTGCTTCTCACAGTGGCTGAACCAATCAGTACTTCTTTCAGTGATACAAAGTTAAAACCAGGTAGGAAAGATGGTCTTGAATGGCCAATGCCACCCCTCTCCCTTCCCCTGGCAGTGGCCATGAGGCACAGAAAGATAATCTGTGTGCTTGGGGGAACCCAGTCATGCTCTGTCACAGTGGAAAGCAAAATTAGGCTGAACTCAGTGGATGCCCATGGAGGGAGCATTTAGACCATCCCCAGGCAAAGGGGAATCACCCATCCTAGTGGTTAGAAGTTGAGTTTTGGCAAGTCTTGCCTCTGCTCGCTAAAGTGCTCTGGGGTCCTAAATAAATCTGAAAGGCAGTCTAGGCCACAAGGATTGCAAGTCCTAGGCAGTCCTAGTGCTGTGCTGAAGAGCCAGTGGACTTGGGGAGTGCACAACCTAGTTGGGGGAACATGACCTAATGAGACACCAACCAGGACAGCAAAGAGAGTGCTTGCACCACCCTTCCCAACTCCAGGCAACACAGCTCACAGCAATAAAAGCGACTCCTTCCTTCTGCTTGAGGAGAGGGAAGAATAAAGAGGACTTTGTCTTGAAACTTGGATACGAGTTCAGCCACAGTAGGATAGAGTGCTGGGCAGAGAGTCATGAGGCCCCTATTCCAGGCCCTAGATCTTGGATGACATTTCTAGACATGCCCTGGGCCAGAAGGGAACCTGCTGCCTTGAAGGGAAGGACCCACTGCTGGTAGGATTCATCACCTGCTGACTGAAGAGCCCTTGGGCACTGAATAACCAGCAGCCAATACCCAGGTAGTACACAGTGGGCCTTGGGTGAGACTCAGATATGCTGGCTTTAGGTGAGACCCAGCACATTCCCAACTGTGGTGGTCATAGTGAGAGATTCCTTCTGCTTGAGAAAAGCAGAAGGAAAAGTAAAGGAGACTTTTTCTTGAACCACAGGTACCAGCTCGGCCACAGTGAGGTAGAGCACCAAGTGGGCTCTTGGGCCCCCAATTCCAGCCTGGGCTTAGATGGCATTTCTGGACCTGCCCTGGCCCAGAGGGGAGCCCACTGCCCTGAAACGTGAGTCCCAGGCTGGGCAGCATTCACCATAAGCAGACTGAAGAGCCCTTGGGCCTTAAGTGAATATTGGTGTTAGGTAGCCTGTCTGTACATCCCATGGGTCTGTGGTGATGGGCATGAGTAAAAGGCTCCTCTGCCTCTGGAAAGGGGAGGGAGGAATGGGAAAGACTTTGTCTCATAGATTGAGTGCCAGCTTAGCCGCAACAGAATAGAGCACCAGGGAGATATCTAAGGTTTTTGACTCCAGTCCCTGGCTCCCAGACAGCATCTCTGGGCCCATCTGGTGCCTGGGAAAACTTGCTGCTTGCAGGGAAGGATATAAGCCTGGCTGACTTTTCCACATGCTGATGGTAGAGCTGTAGGGCCTTGAGCAAACACAGATGGTAGCCAGGTAGTGGTTACAGTGACATGCCTTGGGTGAGACCCAGTGCTGTGCTGGCTTCAGGTCTGACTCAGCACAACGTCAGTGGTGGTGGCCACAGGTGTGCTTGGTGTCACCCCACCCCCAACCCCAAGCAGCTCAGCACAGAGAGAGAGACTTCATTTGTTTAGGAGAAACTAAGGGAAGAGAACAAGAGTCGGCCTGGTAATCCAGAGAATTCTTCCAAATCTTATCTAAGACCAAGGCGGTATCTCTTTGAGTCTGCAAAAACTACAGTATTACTGGGCTTGGGGTATTCCTAACGCAAATATGGCTTAGATAGCAACACTCAAATATCTTCAAATATCTGGAAATATGTCTAGCAGCAAACTTTTCAGTGGAAACCTTACAGGCCAGGATAGAATGGCATAACATATTTAAAGTGCTGAAGAAAAAACATGTTTAACCTAGAATAGCATATCCAGTGAAAATATCCTTTAAACATGAAGGAGAAATAAAGACTTTCCAAACTCATTCTATAAGGCCAGTATTACCCTGATACCAAAATCAAAGACACATCAAAAAAGAAAACAACAGGCCAATATCTCTCATGAATATTGATGCAAAAATCCTCAATAAAATACTAACAAACCTAGGCCAGGCATTGTGCCTATAATCCCAGGCCAGGCTTGTGCCTATAGTCCCAGCACTCTAGGAGGCCAAGGCCAGAGGATCGCTTGAGCCCAGGAGTTCCAGACTAGACTGACCAACATGGCAAAAACCCATCTCTACAAAAAATACAAAAATTAGCTGGGCATGGTGGCGCATGCCTATGGTCCCAGCTACTCGAGAGGCTGAGGTGGGAGGATTGTTTGAGCCAGGTTGAGGCTGTAGTGAACCATAATCATGCCACTGCACTCAAGCCTAGGCAACAGAGTGAGGCCCTGTCTCAACAAACCAAAGCAAATCAAACCTTTATACATATAAGCTCATTAGGCCAGAGCTTAATTCATTTACATTTAAAGTTATTACTGATAAGGAAGGTTTTACTTTGCCTTTCAGCTATTGAATTTTTTAAGTGTCTTATTTTTTTGTTCCTCAATTTCTCCATTACTTCCTTTTTTGGTAAGTAGTTGAATTTTTAGAGTGTACTATTTTGAGTCCCCTCTTTTCTTTTCTGTATATTTTTAGTTATTCTCTTACTGGTTACTTTGGGGATTATAATTAACATCCTAAACTTGTAACATCCTAGTTTGAATACCACCTTAGTTTCAACAGTAAACAAACACACTCTGCTCCTATACATCTGCATCCCTCCCCTTTGACAATTGTTATTGTCACAGATTACAGCACTGTGTGCTCATTAATACATATTTATAATTATGGTTTTATGCATTTTTTAATTCACATAGGAAAAATGAGAAGGTACAAACCAAAAGTGCAATAATACTGGTTTTTATATTACCTACATAGTTACCTTTACCAGTATTATTCCTTTATATGGCTTGGAGTTAGTATCCTTTCATTTCAGCCTGCAGGACTGCCTTCAATATGTTGTGTAGAGCAAGTCTACTAGTAATAAACTCCCCCTAGCTTCAGTCTATTTAAAAATGTCTTCATTTCTTTTTCATTCTTGAAGGGTAGTTTTGCCAGATATAGAATTCTTCATTGACAGATTTTTTTTCTTTCAGCACTTTAAACATGTTGTTTCACTGCCCTCTTGCTTCCTTGGCTTCTGATAAGAAATCAGCTGTTAATATTATCTAGGATCCCTTGGATGTATATGATGAATCACTTCACTTGTTGCTTTCAAGATTCTCTGTCTCTTGAGTTTTAGCAGTTTGACTATTAGGTATCTCAGTGTGGATCTTTTTGAGTTTAACTTGCTTGGAGTTCACTGAGCTTCTTGGAGTCACGCAGATTCATACGTTTCATTGGATTTCGTTAGTTTTCAGTCATTACTTCTGTGAATAGTCTTCTGTCCCTTTCTCTCTCTTCTCCTTCCGAAACTCATATTAAGCATATATTGGTCCACTTGATGGTGTCTCATAGGTCTCTTAGGCTTTGTTCACTTTTCTTCATTCTTTTTTCTTTCTACTTCTCAGCCTTGAAAATTTCAATTGTCCTATCTTCAGATTTGCAGATTCTTTCTTCTGCTGGCTCAAAACTGCTGTTGAACCCATCTACTAAATTTTTTCACTTCAGTTTTGCACTTTTCCGCTCCATCATTTCTATTTGTTTCCTTTTTTATAATTTCTACCCCTTTATTAATATTCTCATTTTGTCTTGTTTCCTTTTGTTTTTTTGTACATGATTTCCTTTAGTTCTTTGAGTATATTTAAGACAGCTGATTTAATATCTTGGTCTAGTAAGTCCAAAGACTGTGCTTCCTCAGGGACCTCACCTTAACTTAATTACCTCTGTGAAAACCCTATCTCTAAATACAGTCACCTTCTGAGGTACTGGCAGTTAGGTTTTCAACATAAGCATTCGGTGGGGGAACACAATTCAGCCCCTAAGTTGTGTTTTCTTTTTTTTAATTATGAAGGAAATTAATTTAACAAAATGGAAAAAGCAAATATTTTCACTAAAAATGCATTAGAGCTTCCTAATCAAAATATGTAAAGAATTGATAGATATTTACAAGGTCAAAACTCTGACTCTACTTGACAAGTGGTCTTAAAAAGGTAGGAAATGCAGATGTTAAACCAATACAAAGTAAAATATCAATTTGTAAAGAAAATGGAATTAACACTAGTCTCTAGTGCCAATTTTCACATGCTAAATGAACAAAAGTAAATAAAATGACAAGAGGATTGTGAAACAGATACATCTACATACTGATAGCCCAATCTTTCTGGCAAGCAATCTGTCAAAATGTTACAGAAGATACAGAAACGTTTTTTAACCTTTGTCCCTACAGTTTCAAAGATGGGAAATACCCCAAGAGAGTAAAATCTTTTTTAAAATAGTAAGATCACTGTTGTATTACTGAGACATTATTGGAAACAACTCAAATACACAGAACTGAGAATGAAGAGGCTAGAAATATGAGAACATTTTACAAATATATAAACTACGTAGACACAAGGAAATGTTCAAGTAAAATAAGATTAAAGACTGGTGACAAGGGGCAGATGTATACACAGGGGTGTGTGTGTGTGTGTATATATAAATCTCATGTTATTCCCTTAGTTAAAATTCTGCAGTGTCTCCTCCCCACATAGAGATTCACAAGGCACTTCATCGTCTTGTTCCTGCCACATTTCTAGACCAATTTCTCACCACTCCATTATTCACTCTACCGTCCACCCTTGCTAAAGTACTTGCAGGTTCTCAAATTTGGCATACCTTCTCCTGCCTCTTGCTTAGAATATTCCCCCAACTTCTTCTTGTAACAAATTCCAGCCAATTCTCCTTTTCAGACCTAACTCAGACAGCTGCGTCTGAACCCATCAGCCAGGGTTGTGCACTTCTCTGTACCTCCAATTATTCTGTACAATCCTTTATCATACCACTTCTTCTATAATAAGTGTTAATGTACATGCTGTTTTCCCCCACTGAACTGTGAACTCTCTGAGGAAATCATTGTTCACATATGTGACCTCAGAGTCTAGAACCATAAGAATAAAAGTTTGGTGGATGAAATGAATGATAAACAGTAAATGAAGATTTTTAAGAATGTGGATTTTTTCTTGTAAAATTACTTACATATGCAATTTTAAAGTGACATTTTAAATAAGTATGGATATTTTAAGTATAAACATGTTTTCTTTTCAGGATAATTTTTCTCCAGGTTAGTCAGCAGCTTCTTAATGGCTATTGTTACATATCCTCAGACTACAAGCTGACTTGCCTAAAGTCACCAAGCAAAAATGTTGCTATTGTCAACATTTTGCAAAAGTTGTCCTTTACATCATGTCCTTAACATGCTCTCTCAAAACTGTTTATTCACAAACCTAACCCAGTCCTTAAGTTTTACATGAGAAATATAAACCAAGAAGCCAGATAATAAGATTAGCAAAGGAAGAACTTGGTCCTTTCTCTTAGTGACTTAGATGCAGACAGGATATAAAACCTCCCACAGCTAGGATTTGCCTGCATGTAACTCACCATGTTGTATTTAGGAAGGAAGGAATGACTCCCTGCGTGGGGAGAGGAGAGGGAAAAAGAAAAATCAGAATATTCTCTTGGGGCTTCTAAGACTTTCAAGAAATAAACCCCTTTCTAGTCAGTTTAATACTAACAACAGCTGCCGAGAGGAGGGGAAATCCACACTGTGAGAAATTCAAACAGGCCTGGAGGTTTCTTTATGAGAGAAACTTCTCCTCTCACAAGTAAAAAGGGAAGGCTCTTACCGTCCCTGCCACAGAGTCAGTCACACTGGATAATTAAACAGAACACCTCGATTCCACAACCAAAAAGATTCAAGAGGGAGGCTGGGCCACACTTGTGAAAACTAAGAATTCCGCTTTGTAAAGTTCTTTGGGGTTACATTAGCATTTGGATCCCCTACGGACACAGAACTGGAATTTTTCAAGGCACAGGAAGTTAAAATTCTTGTCCAAAAAGGAATTGGTAACTGTTGATTTCAACTCTAGATCATCTTTGGCTCCATTCCCAGGGCTGTGAGAAACGCCTGCAACATCCTCTCATCAGGTTTCTGTTTCTCCTAAAAGCCTTGTCTAGCCATAAATGCAACGATCAATGGGATTTTCTCCTTCCCGCTGCCTGCTTCCTGAGAGAATGTGGTTGCTCTCAGACTTTGCATGACAAGTTCCTAAACGAAGCCCAGGAAACTAGTGTCTGGACAGGCCTGAGCTGGGCGCAGCGGCCCCAGCCTGCTCAGAGGGGCGGGGCCCTACCCTACCATGGCAGAACAGTTTCACCACGAAGTAGGGTCAGGCGAGAGAAGCCCTCCCATTCCGCTTGCTATCTCAGAAAATTAGCCCCTTTTTGGGTAACAAATAAGATCTGGCCTCAGTGACTCCCAACTGACCCCAACACCTCCTTTCTCTTATCCGAAGGGCCTCTTTCCCAGTCACTGAAGCCCACGGCCCAGGGTTACCCCTAAGCCCAGTGCCCTGGCCCTTCTGGGGCCGTCGTTCCCTGCTGGCCTCACCCAAGCCTCGTGTGAAACCTGCAAAACGGGCCTCTTCGCTCATGGCCACCGCCGCTGAGAACCTTCCCACCCATCCCCAAAAGCACGGCCATCTCGGCTGGGGAGGCTGCGGGCCGCTCAGGGGACAGAGAGGAGAGATCCTGAAGGCACAACCCCTACCTTTTGCCCCCAAAGTGCTTCTCTTCGCCTCCGGCTGGATCAGCACTGGCAGCAAACGTACCCAGCGGCAACACGAGCAGCACGAGCGAGCGTCGAGACCTCCGGGTATAACCTCCTCACTGAAGAAGGTTCTGGAAGACCAGTTGGCTGGGCATGCGCAGTACACGCACCTTGGGCCCGGCTGAGGTCGCTGCGTGTGAGGCCCCTGGAGCCAGGCAGCCCTTTACAGACCCTATCCAACTTCCAGACCTGCCGAGCCAGCTCCCAGCTCCTTCCCTCATGCGTGTGCGCTTACTGGGTGCTAGGCACTGTGTTTAGCACCATGCTCAGACGGGGAGCGTCGCAGGCCTTCCTTGCCTAGTGGTGGAAGGAAATGTTAACCATAGGGTTGCAGGGAAACGTAGCGTTGCTGCGGACACGGGCTCAGCAAGGCCTCTGCAAGTGTGCGGTGAGAGCCCCTCTGGGGTTCAGGAAAGTCTTCCCAGGGAAATGATGCTGGCCTGGGTAACTATGGTGAGTAACTACTATGCAGGAGGGCAGGAATGAGGAGCATGCACAGTCGCTCCAGGCAGAAGAATGGCATGAGCAAAAACAGTGCCATGGGAAGGAGCATTGTCCCCTTTGAAAACTGAGAGAAGGGCCGGGTGCAGTGGCTCACGCCTGCAATTGCAGCACTTTGGGAGGGCGGGCAGATCACTTGAGGTCAGGAGTTCGAGACCGGCCTGGGCAACGTGGTGAAACCCGGTCTCTACTAAAAATACAGAAATTAGCCTGGCATGGTGGTGGATGCCTGTAATCCCAGCTACTTGGGAGGCTGAGGCAGGAGAATCGCTTGAGCCTGGGAGACGAAAGTTGCCGTGAGCTGAGATTGCACCATTGCACTCTAGCCTGGGCAAAAAAAAAAAACGGTCTCAAAAAGAAAGAAAAGAAAAGAAAAGAAGAGGGGAGGGGAAGGAGAAGGAGAAAAGAAAAGAAAACTGAGAGAAGACAAAGTGATGGGAGCAGAGAGCTGTGTAAGAAGAGGCTAGAAAGGTGGGTAGCACCAACAGTGCTGGGCCTTAGTTCTTATCCTAAGAAATTTCCATCCTCCTTTCTTTGCTGGAAAGAACAGCCACTAGCCCTGTGAGGCTTTGCAGTTGACAATCCGTCCTTGGCATTAATTTTAACACCCTGTGAGGTCTAATAATTTTCTTAAATGAGGGAGATGAAGCTCACAAAAATTAAGTATTTTGCACACAGTCATTAAGTGGTAAAGCAGGAACGTGAACCTATTTGCACTCTATGCATTGCCACAGTCAGTACCAAAATTAAGCATGAGCAAATGGATAAGCTGTATCAATGGTCACCACATGTTTTATTCAAAAAGAATTCTGTAATTCCATTTAAGTATTAATAATCTGTATAGAAGTCAGTCAAAAAATGTGCACCATGTGACATGAAATGCTAATATCCATTTTCCTCCAATTCTACAGCATGCATTGTCAATGGGAAGAGAGGTAAATTGCTCCCAAGGGGGAAAATATTGGTTCTTGGAGAGCTAAAAAATTTTAGATATTGCAATGACTAGTGGCCTACCAAGGTTCAACCCTACCCAACAAAATCTTATTTCTTAGCATTTGATTTCTCTCTTCAGGAAGAAATTAAATTTAGTTTTCAGTTCATTTTATTTTTTCTCAGAGCAAGGTGAAATGTGGGGGGGTGTGTGTGTGTGTGTGGGTGCACATGCGCGCACACACGCATGCAGTGCTGAGTCCATAATGAAAAAAAACGTTGAGAAACATTGTTTTACAATAAGGAAATCTCCAATCTTTAGCTAGTCAACCAAAATAAAGATGACGTTTCTTAACTTCCCCTACAACTAGGTGTAGCCATGTGATTAAGGCCTGCCTCCATGGGAGGTGATAGAAAATGATGGGTGCAACTTCTAGGATGTCTAAAAAGGAGGGACATGCCCTTTTTCTGCCTTCTCATCATCCTATACCTGGAAATTGGACATGGTGGCAAGCCACCTTTGGCCATGTGCATGAGGGCAGCAATCTAGAGATGGTGACAACACAAGAAAGGAGAAGCCTGGAAGACCTCATGGGAAAGAGCCACTATCCAAGTGCTAATCCACCTACATCTCTCAGGGAGAAATAAGCTTCTATCTTAGCCACTGTTTTCTGTTGTTGTTTTTTTTTTTTTTATTTTTCCATAAGTTATTGGGGTACAGGTGGTATTTGGTTACACGAATAAGTTCTTTAGTGGTGATTTGTGAGATTTCGGTTCACCCATCACCCAAGCAGTATACACTGCACCCTATTTGTAGTCTTTTATCCCTCACCCCGCTCCCACTCTTCTCCACAAGTCCCCAAACTCCATTGTATCATTCTTATGCCTTTGTGTCCTCATAGCTTAGCTCCCACATACCAGTGAGAACAGATGATGATTGGTTTTCCATTCCTGAGTTACTTCACTTAGAATAATAGTCTCCAATCTCATCCAGGTCACTGCTAATGCCGTTAATTCATTCCTTTTTGTGACTGAGTAGTATTCGATTGTGTATATATAAACCACAGTTTCTTTATTCACTCATTGATTGATGGGCATTTGGGTTGGTTCCATGATTTTGCAATTGTGAATTGTGCTGCTATAAACATGCATGTGCAAGTACATTTTTCAAATAATGACTTCTTTTCCTCTGGGTAGATACCCAGTAGTGGGATTGCTGGATAAAATGGTAATTCTGCTTTTTAGTTCTTTAAGGAATCTCCACACTGTTTTCCATAGCGGCTGTGCTAGTTTACATTCCCACCAGCAGTGTAGAAGTGTTCCCTGATCACCAAGTCCACACCAACATCTGCTGTTTTTTGATTTTTTGATTATGGCCATTCTTGCAGGTGTAAGGTGGTATCACACCGTGGTTTTGATTTGCATTTCCCTGATCATTAGTGATGAGCATTTTTTCATATGTTTGTTGGCTATTCGTGTATCTTCTTTTGAGAATTGTATATTGATGTCCTTAGCCCACTTTTTAATGGGATTGTTTGTTTTTTACTTAATGATTTGTTTGAATTCATTCTAGATTCTGGATATTAGTCCTTTGTCAGGTATATAGATTGTGAAGATTTTCTCCCACTCTGTGGGTTGTCTGTTTACTCTGCTGACTGTTCCTTTTGCTGTGCAAAAGCTCTTTAATTAGGTCCCAGCTATTTATCTTCATTTTTATTGCATTTCTTAGCCACTGTTAATTTGGGTCTCTTACATGCAACTGACCCCTTATTCTAACCAATTTATTAGTTTAAAAAATAATACTGTAGCAGGAATGATACAGAATGAGCTTACCACTAGTAGAAAATGACCTGGTCCCAGAGGAAATTAAGGTGCTTTAAGTTGTTAAGTGGGCAATATAAGAAAATATCAATGTAGCCATCTATTATACAGAAGAATATGCCATAAATAGTAAGGGAATTTGAAAAGTATATTATTTATCTGGACTTTAATATTTCCCATCTGGAAACCACATCTCCAACCTTTGTTGTATAACATTAGTATATTCATTATATAACCTATTCTTCACACAGGTGAGCAACTGTGAATGTGCCAAAGGCTATCAGTGTTGCTAGTTTCACATCCCTTACTATAAACCACCCATTTATGTGAAATGGAAATAAAAACATGCAGAAATTCCCTTGGATCTGAGACTAGGGTTTCCCCCAGCACAATCAAGTTTGTGGTCAATTTAGTTAGCTCAGCTAAAGATACTAGCCAATCAGAGTTTAGGAGAGAAATGAATATCCTAAATAAATATGATCCCCAAAATGTGTTCTCTAAAGAATTTCTCAGGCTCAAAATCCAATACAGGAGTGACTTGGAACTCCATTCTATCACTATGAAGAAAAGTGGTGTTCTTTTCCTCTTGGGCATCATCTTGCTGGTTCTGATTGGAGTGCAAGGTAAGGGGTTCTGAGTTAGGTTGTAAAGTAAGAGAAGTGATTCACTGTAAAAGAATCTTGATTAGCCAGATAAAGGTGAATGTTCTGCCTGCATTGAAGAGTAATATTTGGTCAGTCATAAAAGCTTCTCAGTGACATGACCAGTTATCCAAAGTTCATAACTTCGATCTGCCAAGTCAAACACAAGTCTTTGTAGTCTAGGTGTATGAATTCCTAGTAAGTGTTCAATAAATGTTCATTGAACTGGGTAATAATGAGAACTCTATCTCCTAAATTATTTTCTTCTCCCTGATACTGTTTTTTGCTAAGTATATCTGTGGCTAACCAATTAAGGATCCAACCAATAATCAGAGAATTTGTCCCTAATCTATTTACTAACTATCTTTGTTACCTTGGACAAATTACTTAATCTTTCTAGACCTCAGTTTCCTCATCATCTGTAAAATAGAACTTTGTAGTTATACCTTTTCTGACTGCTACACAATGTATGGCATATGGTACAATAAGTACCAAGTAAATATATGAATTTAAGAATTAAGATAATGTATTTTAAGGGGTTTTCAAAAATTTAAAACACTATTGAAAAGCAAGGCAGTGGGGAGGAGAGAGGATGAGGATGAAAGTGGTGATTGGTTACAAAGGAGTGCTTTCTATTCAACACCAACACCAGTTCCATTCCTTAAGGTCAGATAATAAATAATAGATGGTTTAGGAGTTGCTTAAGAAACTGTGATCAGCATAGCATACATGAATTAGTTATCTGTTTGTCTTGTGATAGGCATTTATTAAATATTGTGAAAGTCTCTTTTTCTCCCACGGACTTACGGTGTGGTAGTTAAGAGCAACGCCTTTGGACTCAGAGAGATCTGGGCTAAAACCCTGCCCCTGCTCCCTAAAAGCTGTATGACTTTGTTCTTAATCTTTCTGAACCTTAGTTTCCTTATGTATAAAATAGAGATGATACCTCCTTCAAAGGTTTGTGGTGATTATTTTTAGGCACTCGGTAAATGATAGCAATAATCATGACTCAGTCAAGTGTATCATTTTGATAGATCACCTAAACTGAAACATTGGCCTATACTGATGTGTTCTATCTTTTTCTTTCCCTCAGGAACCCCAGTAGTGAGAAAGGGTCGCTGTTCCTGCATCAGCACCAACCAAGGGACTATCCACCTACAATCCTTGAAAGACCTTAAACAATTTGCCCCAAGCCCTTCCTGCGAGAAAATTGAAATCATGTAAGTAACAACCCAGCTAACATGCATGCACCATATTGGCAAGAACATTAAATTTAGCATGAGTTTTACCCTTGGAGTGCTTGCCCATACAAACACTTAAAAATCAGATGGTTACCCCCTCCATAAATTTGGGCAGCTCCTTTCTTTTCTTCTCCTTAAAAATGCAAGGAATTTCTGGTAGATTAGGCCCCAAGAATGACACATGTTTATTGTACAAAATGTTTAATGCAGGTAACACAATAGAAGAAAATAAAAATCACGCATAATTCTACCCTTGAGTGACAAATACTGTTAACCCCTTAGTATACAGTTTTCTAAATCTTCCTTACTTGCTTCGTGTGCACATAACATAGATATGTTTTTACATACACGTATATAAGCACAAAAATTAAATCATATACTATACACTGTTTTGTAATCTGCTTTTTCATTAACACTATATCATGAACATTTTCTCGTGTCAGTAAATCTCTAATAATGTCATTTTTACTTAATGTCATTTTTAATGGCCAAACTGTATTTCATCATATGGATAAACCATAATTTATATGACCAGGATTATTGTTGGAAATATAGATTATTTCCAAATTTTTACTGCTGAAATAAAACTTACTGTGGCAGTATTGTGTCTGTAATTCTTTCCTTTCTAGAGATTAGGATTGCTAGGTTGAAGGATGTGTGCATATTTTGTCTTTATAAGTCATCCTTGACTACTCTTATTCTCAGACTATACAGAAAAATTAAAGGAACATTTAAATTATTTCCAGACAGTCTACTGTAAGTAATTTTTAAAATTTAACCAGGGCCGGGTGCAGTGGCTCACACCTGTAATCCCAGCACTTTGGGAGGCTGAGGTGGGCAGATCATGAGGTCAAGAGATTGAGACCATCCTGGCCAATGTGGTAAAACCCTGTCTCTACTAAAAATACAAAAATTAGCTGGGCGTGGTGGCGCATGCCTGTAGTCCCAGCTATTCGGGAGGCTGAGGCAGGAGAATCGCTTGAATCCAGGAGTTGGAAGTTGCAGCAAGCTGAGATCGCACCACTGTACTCCAGCCTGGCAACAGAGCGAAATTCTGTCTCAAAAAAAGAAAAAAAAAAAAATTCAACCAGTGACTCATCTTGTCCTAGGAAATAATTTTAAGTAGTTTCATTAGAAAATTCAGCACAATTCATACTGATTTTCATTATTTCTGAGAAGAAGCATTTAAATTATTAATGAGAAAAAACTATCTCATTGCTATTTCTTTGGCAGTGCTACACTGAAGAATGGAGTTCAAACATGTCTAAACCCAGATTCAGCAGATGTGAAGGAACTGATTAAAAAGTGGGAGAAACAGGTTGGTGAAAAGGAAGATCAAAATTTTCTTTCTTTTAGAAATTAACTTTAGAAGACAAAGAATCTGCTTTTTCATTAACACTATAAGAATACATAACTTTTAAGAATACATTTTTCATTCATATTATGGTGCTTCTATTTTGTTCCTAGGACAAAATTAGGTTCCTACATATAGTATCCCCTCTCTGTCTCCCACTGGAAGAATGTGTGTTCCTTGGGGGTACAGAGCTTGTCCTTATTTAATACAATAAATATGTAATGAATTGAATGGTAGACACAGGATACAAAGATAATAAGGTATAGTCCCTTCCTGTTGTAGTGCATATGCTAATAATTATGGTACAATGTGAGAAATATAAAAGTATGCACAAGAATCTTGACGACATAGAGGAGGGAGTACTTAACTTTGCTGGGGGAATGGGGCAGGAGAAAGTGTTAAGGAAGATTTCTCATGTCAGGTGATATTTGATTTGGGTCTTGAAGGATAAATAATTTGCCAGGAAGGTAAGGACAGCATGAGCAGAAGAGTAGAATCATGAGAGAACCTGCTGTGTTCAGGGAGCCTCCATTAATGTGGCTGGAGTTTGTGTGAAGAGAGTGAAGGGACTGAGGCAGAAAAGTAGATCAGGACAAAGCGGGAGGAATCCTGCATGGCATACTAAGGAGTTGGATTTGAAGAGAGCCACAGAATATGTGGGTGGGAGATTGGGTTCTGGAGTCTCACAGACTGGAGGTTCTGCCACATACTAGCTGTCTAGATTTGGGAAAGTCACCCTCTCCAGAACTCAGCCTCCTCCTATGTAAAACGTGGATGATAATAGTGCCACCTTCAGAGGGTTGTAGCTGGGGCAGGTGAGTGGTAAGCAAGGTTGCCAGGAGAATGTAATAAGCCAGAAGAATAGACAAAAGACAGCCAGTTTGAAGGCTGTTGCCTCCTCCTCAAAGTGAGCAAAGTAGAGAGAATCTAAGGGAGCCCCTCTGAGAGTGAAGTGACTTTAATGTGGTTTTGAGACTATGTGGGTATGAGACAATGATCAGGAGAGTCCAAATAAAAGGAAGTAAAAATGGTAAGATTCAGAAACATTGCCCTTTTTCCCCTTCTTCTCACAGGTCAGCCAAAAGAAAAAGCAAAAGAATGGGAAAAAACATCAAAAAAAGAAAGTTCTGAAAGTTCGAAAATCTCAACGTTCTCGTCAAAAGAAGACTACATAAGAGACCACTTCACCAATAAGTATTCTGTGTTAAAAATGTTCTATTTTAATTATACCGCTATCATTCCAAAGGAGGATGGCATATAATACAAAGGCTTATTAATTTGACTAGAAAATTTAAAACATTACTCTGAAATTGTAACTAAAGTTAGAAAGTTGATTTTAAGAATCCAAACGTTAAGAATTGTTAAAGGCTATGATTGTCTTTGTTCTTCTACCACCCACCAGTTGAATTTCATCATGCTTAAGGCCATGATTTTAGCAATACCCATGTCTACACAGATGTTCACCCAACCACATCCCACTCACAACAGCTGCCTGGAAGAGCAGCCCTAGGCTTCCACGTACTGCAGCCTCCAGAGAGTATCTGAGGCACATGTCAGCAAGTCCTAAGCCTGTTAGCATGCTGGTGAGCCAAGCAGTTTGAAATTGAGCTGGACCTCACCAAGCTGCTGTGGCCATCAACCTCTGTATTTGAATCAGCCTACAGGCCTCACACACAATGTGTCTGAGAGATTCATGCTGATTGTTATTGGGTATCACCACTGGAGATCACCAGTGTGTGGCTTTCAGAGCCTCCTTTCTGGCTTTGGAAGCCATGTGATTCCATCTTGCCCGCTCAGGCTGACCACTTTATTTCTTTTTGTTCCCCTTTGCTTCATTCAAGTCAGCTCTTCTCCATCCTACCACAATGCAGTGCCTTTCTTCTCTCCAGTGCACCTGTCATATGCTCTGATTTATCTGAGTCAACTCCTTTCTCATCTTGTCCCCAACACCCCACAGAAGTGCTTTCTTCTCCCAATTCATCCTCACTCAGTCCAGCTTAGTTCAAGTCCTGCCTCTTAAATAAACCTTTTTGGACACACAAATTATCTTAAAACTCCTGTTTCACTTGGTTCAGTACCACATGGGTGAACACTCAATGGTTAACTAATTCTTGGGTGTTTATCCTATCTCTCCAACCAGATTGTCAGCTCCTTGAGGGCAAGAGCCACAGTATATTTCCCTGTTTCTTCCACAGTGCCTAATAATACTGTGGAACTAGGTTTTAATAATTTTTTAATTGATGTTGTTATGGGCAGGATGGCAACCAGACCATTGTCTCAGAGCAGGTGCTGGCTCTTTCCTGGCTACTCCATGTTGGCTAGCCTCTGGTAACCTCTTACTTATTATCTTCAGGACACTCACTACAGGGACCAGGGATGATGCAACATCCTTGTCTTTTTATGACAGGATGTTTGCTCAGCTTCTCCAACAATAAGAAGCACGTGGTAAAACACTTGCGGATATTCTGGACTGTTTTTAAAAAATATACAGTTTACCGAAAATCATATAATCTTACAATGAAAAGGACTTTATAGATCAGCCAGTGACCAACCTTTTCCCAACCATACAAAAATTCCTTTTCCCGAAGGAAAAGGGCTTTCTCAATAAGCCTCAGCTTTCTAAGATCTAACAAGATAGCCACCGAGATCCTTATCGAAACTCATTTTAGGCAAATATGAGTTTTATTGTCCGTTTACTTGTTTCAGAGTTTGTATTGTGATTATCAATTACCACACCATCTCCCATGAAGAAAGGGAACGGTGAAGTACTAAGCGCTAGAGGAAGCAGCCAAGTCGGTTAGTGGAAGCATGATTGGTGCCCAGTTAGCCTCTGCAGGATGTGGAAACCTCCTTCCAGGGGAGGTTCAGTGAATTGTGTAGGAGAGGTTGTCTGTGGCCAGAATTTAAACCTATACTCACTTTCCCAAATTGAATCACTGCTCACACTGCTGATGATTTAGAGTGCTGTCCGGTGGAGATCCCACCCGAACGTCTTATCTAATCATGAAACTCCCTAGTTCCTTCATGTAACTTCCCTGAAAAATCTAAGTGTTTCATAAATTTGAGAGTCTGTGACCCACTTACCTTGCATCTCACAGGTAGACAGTATATAACTAACAACCAAAGACTACATATTGTCACTGACACACACGTTATAATCATTTATCATATATATACATACATGCATACACTCTCAAAGCAAATAATTTTTCACTTCAAAACAGTATTGACTTGTATACCTTGTAATTTGAAATATTTTCTTTGTTAAAATAGAATGGTATCAATAAATAGACCATTAATCAGAAAACAGATCTTGATTTTTTTTCTCTTGAATGTACCCTTCAACTGTTGAATGTTTAATAGTAAATCTTATATGTCCTTATTTACTTTTTAGCTTTCTCTCAAATAAAGTGTAACACTAGTTGAGATAACACATGAAAGCTCTTTAAAGGGTCGATCGGGAACAGGAAAAAAAACCTATGGAAAATATGACAACACTGCCTTACAACAACACTGATTTAAAAGAGTTATGTGGGGCTGGGCGCAGTGGCTCACGCCTATAATCCCAGCACTTTGGGAGGCCGAAGTGGGCGGATCACTTGAGGTCAGGGATTTGAGACCAGCCTGGCCAATATGGTGAGAGCCCATCTCTATTAAAATTACAAAAATTAGCTGGGCATGGTGGCATGCGCCTATAGTCCCAGTTACTTGGGAGGCTGAGGCAGGAGAATCACTTGAACTCGGGAGGTGGAGGTTGCAGTGAGGCAAGATCATGCCACTGCACTCCAGCCTGGGTGACAGAGTGAGACTCTGTCAAAAAAAAAAAAAAAAAAGCATTATGTAGAATTCAATGTATTTCCTAATCCTCAAGAGTAACACTATTCCAATGAGGTGTGTCCCCAGGAAGCCAACACGTCTTCTTTTCTATCCCTAAAATTGTATATGTTTAAATATTGTAAAGCCTCAAGTAGTTATGATGGAGACCTAAACACTGAATGAATTATTTAAGGGTCCAGGAAACTTGGGCTGGAGGCATTACGCAGCGTGGAGTCTCTAAGAAGGTTGAGAGTGGAACGAAGAGCATCAGCCTGTACACTTGATGTACACTTTAGAGGCCAGACAGGTGTAATATTCGGGCAGATAACAGCTGCTAATGGTAGACATGAATTCTCACAAGGGCCTTCACCTGAGAGGCAACAGGACTCTGGAAGGAGCTAAGATCCTGGATTCTGAGATATCCTGGTTAGAATCAGGGGCCCACTACTTATTAACTGTGTGACCCTGGTTAAAGTATAATATTTAACCTCCCAGTGCATCATTTTCCTCATTCCAGATTGTTGTGAGGAGCAGGTTCAGCATAGGTCTTGGTGCAGAGAAAGTCCTCAATGTTTGTCCCAGATCCTCCCTAACCACTTACCTCTGCTGCATCTTCCTTGCAGCAGATGGATCCTACATCTCATAGAGAGAGAAATGTTTCCAGCACTGAAAAAACATGTTGGAGAAATGAGACTAAAAGGCTTCCTGACCAGTTCTCAATATCTGTATTTTATAATCCTAGTCCAGGCCATCATTGTCTCTTTCCTGAGCTACCTCAGTAGCCTGCTGTTTTCCCTGTTGGCTCTTCTTCTCAACATTTCTCTTGCTTCCCTAACTTCCATGACAACTAGAATAATCTTTTTAAAAAATAACTTACAGAATGCTGCCACCTTGCTTAAAATCCTGCAGCTTAGCATTAAGTCAAAACATACCATGAGCTGGCCTAACATAAGCTGGGATCTGCCTGCTTATCTAATCATGCTCCCTCTACCCTCCCCTCCTTTGTTGAGCCTCAGCATCACCTTTTTTCTGTATGTCTCTTGAGCACACTGAATTCATTGCCTTCTGGGGTTTTTGTTCCCTGTGGTTCTGGGTTGTACTATATCAACTTGGTTAGTCTTACAACTACATTTCCCAGAATCTCCTTCCCTGTGTGGTTCCAGGTTATAGTTAGCCAAAGAAGAACTCATGTGAGATTTGGAAATCAAAAGTGAAGGAGTGACCCTTAATCTTGATTAGACATATTGACAGACACACTGGTAGCCAGTGGATCCCAGCTTGTCCTTGCTCTTTTCCTCCATGTTCAGCTTATGCTCAGGACTGCTGGCCTCATGATCAGTGATGGTCCCAGGCCCCCCACCCAGATATTTGGCAGTGGACCCACAGAGGCGGTAGTTACACAGAAGCAACAGCTCCCATAGACCCTAGCAGCCCCAATTTGGCGCTGAACGGGCTTAACTTCTTGGATTTTTCACACAAGCTCTATTTGTCCAACTGTCCCAGTGCTTCTGATGGACCAGTCACTGATTCTTCCTCTGATCCCCTGACTCTCCCTTCTAGATGTTCACTCCCTGAGATCCTTCCTCATCTGTGAGATCTGAATCCTATAGTAAATTTTTATCCTCATAATACTCATAGTGGCTCTGCTTCCCTGAAACACCTGGGCCTACACACACTTCTTTGCATGGCGGTTCTTGCCTCATCACTTAAGTCTCAGTTTAAATGTCACTTCACAGAGTCCCCTTCTCTTATGACCCTTAGTAAAATAACCACTCTTTCCCCAGACTCTCTCTCTGGTAGTGGTAGTGGTTCCAGTGTGTGTACCTTATGGAGTTGATGAAAATATTTAGAACTTACATTTTTGTCTAAAAAACAAGAAAAAACTGAAAATTGACTGTAAATCATTTGTCATGTGCTAATTTCCTGAGGAAAAGGTGACATCGCCACAACTGAGGGGCTGGCATGTGCCCTCACTCAGTCATTCACCTTCTGCAGATTGCAACATGAGTTTCCATTTATGTGCATGTAGTTAAGGGGATTTAAGGATTACAAGACAGAGTGCTCACTAAGCCAACCTTCACAAAATGGGCAAGTGGCTCTAAAAGACTCCTGCTAAGAAATTCCTGAGGAAAAGGTGACATCGCCACAACTGAGGGGCTGGCATGTGCCCTCACTCAGTCATTCACCTTCTGCAGATTGCAACATGAGTTTCCATTTATGTGCATGTAGTTAAGGGGATTTAAGGATTACAAGACAGAGTGCTCACTAAGCCAACCTTCACAAAATGGGCAAGTGGCTCTAAAAGACTCCTGCTAAGAAATTCCTGTGGAAGATCATATTAATAATGCTAATATAAACTAACAAGAGAACAAAACATACATAGATGGGATGGCTGTTCTAATTTTAACTAGAAGGGTACACAATTTTAAAAATCCGGTGGCTAGAGTCTGTTTCATTTTCTTTTATCATGATTAGATATAATGATCAAACCATCACAATCTACAATTACCTTTTAAAATAATGTGTGTACTTATATCTTCCCTCCTACCCTACCACATGTACAAATTTAGGTTTCTCGACCATGGAAACTTTGTCTTCCCCACTACTGCATGCCTAGAGCAGTGCCTGGCACTTAGGAAGCTCCTAATATGTATTTTTTAGTTGATTGACATATACTTCACCCTAAATTTTCATTTTAGGCCTTTTCCAAATCAATTTCAACTACTCTTGTCATGTTCATCTCATGCTCATTTCTGCCCTCGCATTGCTCATTCTTTTATTCGCCCTGTCCTACTTTCCAACTCATCTGACTCCCACCTACACATGATTCAAGTCCCACTTTTCCCATGACTCCATCCCAGAATCCTCCTGGCCACACTGATATCCACCTCCATGCCCTGTCATAAAATGACTTTAACTAGTAAGGATTGTTCTATGATTAAAATCTTCAATTATTTTGCTATACTAGAAAGCAGTCTGTGCCTGAACAAATTTTATACATTAGAGCAATGGATAAAAGACTCAGACGTATTTAATCTGTAAACTATTCTTATGAATTTAAATGCTAGTGGCCAGGTACCATGGCTCACGCCTGTAATCCCAGCCAAGGTGGCTGGATCACTTGGGGTCAGGAGTTTGAGACCAGCCTGGCCAACATAGTGAAACCCTGTCTCTACTCAAAATACAAAAATTAGCTGGGCGTGGTGGCACACGCCAGTAATCTCCACTACTTGAGAGGCTGAGGCACAAGAATCGTTTGAACCCAGGAGGCGGAGTTTGCAGTGAGCTGAGATCGTGCCACTGCTCTCCAGCCTGGGCAACAGAGTGAGACTCTGTCTCAAAATAAATTAAATAAATAAATAAATAAATAAATGCTAGCGATCTCTAGGTCAGTTAACTGGGAGGAAGCTATCTGTAGTTGTTTTATCCTTACGGGGAAACTGGAAAGTTGCCTTCTTATTGGAAAGGAAGATAAAGAGAGACTACAATCACAGATACTTTAGGTACTGTCTCGTTTTTGGCCTATATAGACAGGAGATGAAATTAAATGAGAAAGAAAAACAGGCAACACTTCTTAATAGGGAGTGGAATTAGCTCCCAAGTCATCACAAGCCAAGAAGTCACTTGAGGCATTTTGATACCCACATTGGTTTAAAGTTCTCAGGAGGGAACTTTCAACTTTGGACCCTACATTTTAAGGAGATGAATAAATCACAAAGGAACAGTCTAATCTAAGTCCATTAATAAGATTATGAACTGGGGCAAACTGACAAAAGATTAGAGGGAAAGGTGTCAAGTTATACATAACTAGTTGCTTTCTTTAAAAGTCTGCTATACAGATTAAAAAAAAACTCTTCCTTTAGATATAATATACTGTTTCAAGTCAACTGTTTTAATAAAGAATTTGTTTTGCTCAAAGAAAAAAAGAAGGAAGGACTTGCTGGTATCTCCATCTCCAGAAAACTAAATCTTGGCCTCTGCCTTCTGGTAGAGTATAGGACCAAGTAGGTACAGCCATCTACCACCAGCTTTCTTTAACCATTGGAGTAGACAACCTGCATTTCCTCTGGAATGAAGAACTAAAAATCACAATCTATTAGGTAAGAGGATACATGTCAAAATAAACTATATAACAGAGAGGGAAAAAATGTGTTGCTTAGAAAAAGAAATGCCAGCAATCACTTCTGCAATACTGAAAGCCTCAGAATTTACCTCAGGGCAGATGTCTCTTTTGTATGGAGCCTTTGATTAGGGAGAGATGGGCCTAGGACTTTTGATGGTATGGAAGTTAAAGCAAAACTAAGCTAAATTTCTCTGAATAATGGGGAAACAGGGATGATCTCTGCCAGCTAGGGAGAATGTTGGGGACCTTGGATCAGCAAAAAGAGAGGCAGTGGAGGTGGATGAGAAGCGAGGGCCTGTACCAATGACAAAATCTATCAGCCCTGATAGATTTGTCCAGAGGCAAGGCCAAAAGTTTTCGCTGCCCACAGGAGCAAAGAAATACATGGGCTTGTGGGGAAAACTCATAACAAAGCTGTAAAAGAGAGAGAGGAGGAAGAAAGTACAATAAAAGGCCGGGTGCGGTGGCTCACGCCTGTAATCTCAGCACTTGGGGAGGCCAAGGCGGACGGATCACGAGGTCAGGAGATCGAGACCATCCTGGCCAACATGGTGAAACCCCGTCTCTACTAAAACTAGAAAAATTAGCTGGGCGTGGTGGCGCATGCCTGTAATCCTAGCTATTCAGGAGGCTGAGGCAGGAGAATCGCTTGAACCAGAGAGTCGGAGGTTGCAGTGAGCCGAGATCGTGCCACTGCATTCCAGCGTGGCAACAGAGTGAGACTCCGTCTAAAAAAAGAAAGAAAGAAAGAAGAAAGAAAATGCAATAAAAAATTAAATTAGCTTTAAGGACTATAATTCTTTATGAGATTTCTGTTTAGTTTGTGGGCATGTCAAATCATGTAATTTTCCCGTTAACAAGAAAAGCATGAGCTCCCTCTAGTGGCTAATCTAACAGTTTTTTTAAACAATAGGCCAAACATCGCAGCTCCCACCTGTAATCCCAACATTTTGAGAGGCTGAGGCGGGAGGATCACTTGAGCCCAGAAGTTTGAGACCAGCCCAGGCAACATAGCCAGACCCACCCACCCGGTCCCTCATTTCTACAAAAAAATTTAAAAATTAACCAGGCATGGTGGTGCACACCTATAGTCCCAGCCACTTGGGAGACTGAAGCAGGAGGATAGTTTGAACCCAGGAGGCTGAGGTTACAGTAAGCCATGATTGTGCCACTGAACTCCAGCCTGAGTGACACAGCAAGACCCTGTCTCAAATAATAATAATAATAAAACAATATATTTTAATCAGAAAAGGATGAAGACATGACTGGCTTTTCCGAACACAGTCAATATCATTGGTTTCTAATGAGAAAGGTAATAACAAGGATTCACACGTTAGTCACTTACTGATTTTCAGGTAAATTTTATCTGCGTTTGTCCAAGATATTTTAAGTTCCTGCTTTAATAAATCACACAGTTGAAGAATTGGAAGTCATTAGAGATTATCCATGCATTCATTCATTCATTCAACAAATATTAACTGATTACCTATTATATGCATGCATTGCTCCAAGTGTACAGGATAGACAATGAACAAAACAGTCTTCATTAAGCTCATATTCTAGTGCATAAAGACAGGCAATAAACAACTAAACTAGTAAGTATACGATATATCAGAGACGGATAAGGGCTTTGGAGAAAATGAAGCAGGGGAAGGGAGTGTGGGGTGAGCAGAGGGCTGTGAGGTCAGGGAAGACATCTCTAATAAGTTGTCATTTGAGCAGAGACTTGACAATGAGAGAGCAAGGCTTGTGGCACTTGAATCAGAGGAAACAGCAAGTGTGAAGGCCTGAAGTTTGACACATTTAAGGCAGCTAGGGGATCATTGCAGGGTTGAAGGGGCGCAGAGTAAGCAAAGGGGAGAGTGATGGGAGAGGAGCCCAGTGAGATAGTGTGGGGTCAGATCATATAAGGTTTTGGGCTGCTATAACAAATTACCACAGACTCGATGACTTCAACAACAAACATTTATTCCTCACAGTTCTGGAGGCTGGCAAGTCCAAAATCTAGGTGCCAGCAGATCTAGTATCTTAGTATTTGATGAGGCACTCTTCTTGATTTGCAAACAGATGTTTTCTCGTATCCTCACATGGCAGAGATCAGAGAGAAAGGAGGTAAGCTTTCTTGTGTCTCTTCTTACAAGGATGATAATCTCATCATGAGGACTCCACCTTCATGAACTAATTACCTCCTAATACCATCCCATTGGGGGTTAGGGTTTCAACATATGAATTTGGCGGGACACAATCATGCAGTTCATAACAGCCTTCTATGCCACTGAAGAACTTCAGCTTTTACTCTGAGTGAGAAGGGAAGTTGGAAGAATAACCTGATCCATTTAAGGCTCTCTCTGACCACTACATGGAAATACAGTGTAAGAGGGTAAGGGAAAATGCAGAGAGACCAGTTAAAGGTCAGTTACCAAGTATGTTTCCAGGAGAAGGGAGAGACCAACTGTGTCCAATGCTGCAGGTTAAGTTAAATAATGAAAATTGATGTGATTGGTGATCTTGATAAAAAACAGTTTCAGTGGAATGGTAGAAGCAAAAGATTGATCGGCAGTTTCTTAAAAGTTACACGTAAACCTATCATATTGATCCAGTTATTCTATTCCTAGACATTTACCAAGATATTTATGTCCACATAGAGACTTGATGGCACGACATGGTGGCTCAAGCCTGTAATCCCAACACTTTGAGAGGCCAAGGCGGGAGGATCACTTGAGGCCAGGAATTCAAGACCAGCCTGGACAACATAGTGAGACCCTGTCTTTTATATATATATATATATTTTTTTTTTTTTTTTTTTTTTTTTTTGAGACGGAGTCTTGCTCTGTCACCAAGGTTGGAGTGCAGTGGTGCGATCTTGGCTCACTGCAACCTCCACCTCCTGGGTTCAACCGACTCCCCTGCCTCAGCCTCCTGAGTAGCTGGGACTACAGGTGCGCGCCACCACGCCCGGCTAATTTTTTGTATTTTTTAGCAGAGACGGAGTTTCACCATGTTGGCCAGGATGATCTCGATCTCCTGACCTCGTGACCCGCCGCCTCGGCCTCCCAAAGTGCTGGGATTACAGGCGTGAGCCACTGAGCCCAGCCAAAAATATATTTTTTTAAATTAGCTGGGCATGGTGGCACACCACCTGTAGTCCCAGCTACTAGGGAGGCTGAGTTTAGGAGTTCAAGGCTGCAGTGAGCTATGATCATGCCACTGCACTCCACCCTTGGTGACAGAGCAACACCCTATCTCTTAAAAAGAGACTTGAACATGAATGTTCACAGCCAAAACTGGAAACAACCCAAATATCCAGCAACTAGTGAATGGATAAACAAATTGCAATATGTCTATATGATGGAATACTACTCAGGAATAAAAGGAGTGAACTATTGATACATACAACACCATGGATACATTTCAAAATAATTATGCTAAGTGAAAGAACCTTGACCTCAAATAATAGGTACTGTATGATTCCATTTGTATACAATTCCAGCAAACACAGACATATCTTTGGTGACAGAAAGCAGATGTGTGTTTGTCTGGGGATGATGAGGCACAAGGAACGTTTGGGGATGATGGATATAGTCATTATTTTGATTGTGATGATGGTTTTATGGGTACATACATATGTCAAAACTTATCAAATTGTTCACTGGGTAGTTTGTTGTACATCAATTATATCTTAATAAAGCTATAAAATAAATACATTATAATTTTAAAAATAAAGGATGGAATTTCACATGAAAGCAGAGATGTTGGCCTTAGATACCCAAATTATTTAACATCTGAAAAATATATATTCAGTTAGCCACTCTTAGTCTTAGAGTTCTCATTTATCAAAAACAAATCCTGCCTTCCATGCTGCTGGAGGTAAAATGAACTGACCTATATGCCCTCCTTAGAATAGCAATTAAAGCCTTTCATATCAGGACAATATAACCTTCTCAGCTCTTTCCCTGCTGCACCCTGCCCTCCCAGCCTTTAGTCACACCAAACTTATGGCTATTGTTTCAATACACCAGACATTTTCAAGTACCTGTACGCAGTCTTTTTTCTTTTTTTTTTTTTTTTGAGACAGGGTCTCACTGTATTGCCCAGGCTGGTGTGCAGTGCTTCACTGCAACCTTAACCTCCTGGGCTCAAGCAACCCTTTTGCTTCAGCCTCCTCAGTAGCTTGGACCACAAGCCTGTGCCACCATGCCTGGCTGATTTTTCAACTTTTTGGTAGAGATGGGGTCTCACTATATTGCCCAGGCTAGTCTTGAACTACCCAGCTCAAGTGGTTCTCCCACCTTGGCTTCCCAAAGTTCTGGGATTACAGGCTTGAGCTACCACACTTAGCCAGATTTTGTTTTGAGAATACTTTTTTTGCCCTCACTAAAACAACCTAGCCAAAAAATTTTAATTTAAATCTATGCTTTTTAAAAAAGATTTATTGCTGACATTTATTTCTTAACTTCACAGGTAACTGATTTGATAATTAATAAATAAGTCATTCTCCAAAAGCAGCTGAATAACATGGTTTGTGAAGCATTCTTTATTTTGTGTGCAGGTGTGATTACAGAGTTGTTTTGTTTGGGGCTCATTTTATCATCGTCACAGATGAGGTTGGCGTTCTATAAAATTGCTTTGGTTAAGCAGAACCCTATTGTCTGGCTATTTTGCCAGACCAGCAACCAGCTACCAGCTGTTAGGCTATGTTTTTTCTCATGTAGTTACAATCAAGACTGTCTAGATTGAAATCTCATCTTCCTCACAGGCTATGAATTGAGGCAGTCAACTTCCCTGAGCTTGTTTCCTCTTCTGTAAAATGTAGATAACAATAGCACCTATTTTAGAGGGTTGTTCTGAGGATTAAATAAGTTAATACAAGTGCTTGGAATAGTGCCTGGCACAGGGTGGGTAATTAGGTTTTTTTTTCTCTCTCTCTAATTCACAACACCCTACCTCATTCATTCAACCCTTATTGATTTTTTACACCTTGAGATTGTAGAAATGTATTCTCCTCTTCGAATTACCAGGATCTGAATTAAAAACTCTGACTGAGGAGTGCTTACAAAGCTTATAACGATGGTTGAATTTTAACGATTAATTGCATTTATTAATGGTCAACATGATCACATTTTATCCAGCCCTCTTTTCCCTTGTATGGGTCACGCTAAGTTGAAACAACCAAAACCAAAATAAAAACATATCTAAAATCATACACATTAACTTATATGACCCTCGTTGCTCTTTTTTCCTCCTAAGAGGGAATAGTGTTATCTAGCGCCACGGTTCTTTTCAGTTTTGTTTTGTTTTGTTTTGTTTTTTATACGGAGTTTCGCTCTTGTTGCCCAGGCTGGAGTGAAATGGTGCAATCTCGGCTTACCGCAATCTCCGCCTCCTGTGTTCAAGCGATTCTCCTGCCTCAGCCTCCCTAGTAGCTGGGATTACAGGCATGCGCCACCACGCTCGACTAATTTTGTAATTTTAGTAGAGACGGGGTTTCTCCATGTGGATCAGGCCGGTCTCGAACTCCCGACCTCAGGCCCGCCTTGGCCTCCCAAAGTGCTGGGATTACAGGCGTCAGTTTCTAATTTTAGACTGCGGGATTAAAAATAAACGATTAATCCTCATTTATGTGCTTCATATGGGTGTCGGAATGACGATACATGCTAACACACGTGAAAAAATTTACATTTCAGATCCTTTCAGAAACGCAAGGCAATATTAAGTAGTAGCATATGCCCAAGGGCGAGGGGCGGGTCGGCGGTGGCTGGCTCTCCAATACACCACAGAGTATTTTGGCAACGAGAGTAATTTTGACACTCTGAGGCTTCCGTAGCATAGCTCGCTTTAGGAACCGCTAAGGTGTCGCCTGCCTAGAGTCCCATGCGCTATTTCCGGTCATACCCGGAAACACGAGTCCAAGCTGCAGCTGGCAGGGATTGCGGGGTGCCGGCCGTCTGAGTTTTTTTAAAACTGCTCGCCGCGAAGTCTGTCTGCAGCCAAAATGTCCAACAGAAACAACAACAAGCTTCCCAGCAACCTGCCGCAGTTACAGAATCTAATCAAGCGAGACCCGCCGGCCTACATCGAGGAGGTGGGAGTGCGGCGCGGCAGACGCTAGAGGCCGGATAGTGGATGGTTGAGACGCCGGTGCGGGAAAGCATGGAGTGGGGCTGGGATCCAGGCTCGCCGCCTATTCTTCTGTTAGGTTCAGGGGTCCCTCCAGAGGAGAGAAGGGGTTGGGGACGGGACATGCCTTAGGGTTCGTTCCCCACCTCTTGAAAATCTGTTGCCCCTTTGGATTTTCTACCTGCCCTGCTGCCGCTGAAACACCTTTAAAACCTCATTTTGTTTTAAGATATTTTTCTTCGTCCGCACGGAAGTGGAGAGAGAAATGGGCCGCACCCAACCACCAACTTCCACGCGGATTTCTCAGCCTCTTTTCAGAAATCCCAAACTTGAATTAGTCGGTAACCTTTGATGAATCGTATGTTAGAATGCTTTCGATTGACGTCCGTTTCTGAGAGCAGGCTGTGTACCCTGGACTGTGCCAGGAAAGGGGGGGGGGGGGTTTCTCAAGCACAACGGACAGACTCGGGAGCTTAGTATATTTAGTTAAGCCAGGATTCAAACTTACCGGAGACTGGCATGACTCGGATGTCAGAATTTGCTTCGGGAAAAGATTAGGTTGAAAAATTAGGCCCTCATTGTGATGGGCTTTGTGTACTGACCTCATGTAAGTTGTGAACATTAGGGGTGTTTGAACCAAGTACCGACAAAACGAAAGTGGTTTTTGATATATTAATCTGACAGGTGCTTCCTTCAGACACTCATTTATCAGACGGGCATTAAACAGGTATCTCTGCTAGGCATTTGCTGCAATTACATGTTTGTGCTTCTACCAGATTGTGATTTGTTCAGTGGCTAACACAATTACTTATTTTTTCATTGCCCTTCTCACTTCCCTCCTCCCCTAAATTTTCACATATATGTATTTTATGAGTGCTTTTTAACACATGGCAATCTCAGTGGCTTAGGTCACCAGTAGAGAAAGCCTCTCCAAGGATCAAGGTAGTGGAAATAAAGAGTAGGAAACAAGTACAAGAAGTTAAGTAACATAGGCAAGGCTTTGAGATGCTTAAAGCATTGTATAGCCATTCGCAAAGAAAGTGGTAAGTTGAGAGTCTATATAATTCCGTTAGATAACTCCTGCTGCTGACTGTTGTTAACCAGTTGTGTAACCGAAGCAGGTTAATCGCTGAGCCTATGTGGGTATTTTAATATGTAAGAAGGGGGTAATAACTACTTCTTTAATTCACTTAAGTATATATGCAAAATCACATATAACTACTGTGTGTTGTTATTCTAGGTAGGCGTTGGGGTACAGTAATGAATAAGACAGATAAGAAAGCATTCTTCTCTTGGACTTACATTCAAGTGAGTGTAGACTTATTATGGTAGAGATTATGAAGAAAATAAAACTGGATGGGAATAGGTTAGAATTGGAGGCTTCTGATTTAGACCCCGTAAACAGGGAAGGTGGCTCTGCAATGATGATATTGAGCCAGGCAGGTAAACATCATTTTAGGTACAAGGAATAGAAAGTGCAGAAGCTACTGGTGGAAAAAAAGCAGAGAAGAAGCCAGTGTAGCTAAAGTGTAGTCAGCATAGAAGAGGGCAGTGGAAGATGATGTAGGAAATGCAGGCAGGGGTCAGCTTATTCAGAGCCTCTTAGGCCCTGTTAACGAGTTTAGATTTCACTCTGAGTGCCTCGGGGAGTGATTGAAGAGTTTTAAGCAGGAGAGTGACATGATCTGACATATTTTTTTTAAGAATTTACTCTGGAAGTTACATGTGGAATGGCTTGTAGAGGAGCAACACTGGAAGCAGGGTAACTAATATAATGGATCTCAGAATAACCAAGCAAGGGATTGTGGTGTCATTGGAATTATGGGCAAAGATTCGTGCTGTTCTACGTGGAGGTAGAGCTAGTAGAGCCTTGGGATTTCTGGTGGAGTGGATGTGGGGGATAAGGAAAAAAGAAGGAATGAAGGATCACCCAGGTTTTTTATTTATATGTCTAGGTAGATGATAGTGCCATTTCCTGAAGTTCGTTCATTTGACAAATACTGTTGATTACCTGCTATATGTAAGGCACAATGCTGGGCCCTGGGACTACATAATATTGAGCTGTACCGATAAAAATTCTATGCTCATTAAATGACATTCTAGTAGGGGGTGATATACAGTAACAAATAATATAGTATGTTAAATAATGAAAAGTGCTGTGAAAAAAAGACAATAGGAAAGTACTTATGTATGTTGGGGGTGAGATGGGTATTGCAGTTTTAAATTGGATAGTTAGGGAAGGTCTTCTTGAGATAGTAATCTTTGAGTGAAAACCTGAAGGACATGAGGGAGAGCTGTGCATATGTTTAGGAAGAATGATCTAGGCAGAAGGAACAGAAGGTATAAAGACCTTGGGGTAGGTATGCCTGGTAGATTTCAGGAACATAAAGGCCAGTGTGGCTCCAAATAGGGAATGAGGAAAGGGGGTGAATTTGGGATTCTACCTCCCAATGAGATGGAAGCCTTTACAGGGTTTTGAGCAGAAGAATACATGAACCACCCTATATGAGAACAAGATCACCGTTACTTGAGGATAGACTGTATGTAGGAGGGCAAAGATAGAAGCAGAGACACCACATAAGAAGCTATTGGAATTATCCACAGCAAGAGATGATGCTGGGTTGAGTGGTGCTAGGATGGTAACAGGAAGTAGTAAGAAGGGTGATTAGATCCTGGATTGGGTAGGTAGAGAAAGCCCTGGGGATTCCCAACATTTAAAGGCCAGTGAGTTTCTAAGTAACTGGAAAAAGGGACTGAGAAAGCAGCCAGTGAAGTTTCGAGGAAAACCAGGAGGTGTTCTGGAAGCCAAGTATAGAAGATGTTCCCAAGGGAGGGAGAACCCAAGCACATCAGATGCTGATGAGTCAAATAAGATGAATACCAAAAGTTGACCACCATTAAATTTAGCAACATGGGGTCGGGCACGGTGGCTCACACCTGTAGTCTCAGCACTTTGGGAGGCCAAGGTGGGTGAATCACCTGAGGTCAGGAGTTCAAGACCAGCCTGACCAACATGGTGAAACCCCATCTCTACTAAAAATACAAAAATTAGCCAGGTGTGGTGGCGGGCACCTGTGATCCCAGCTACTCCAGAGGCTGAGGCAGGAGAATTGCTTGAACCTGGGAGGCGGAGGTTGCAGTGAGCCGAGATCGCGCCACTGCACCCTAGCCTGGGCAACAAGATGAAACTCCATCTCAGAAAAACAAAACAAAAAAAAATTAGCGACATGGATGTCATTGGCTACCCTGATTCATTGAGCAGTTTGGGAAGAGGAATGGGTGCAAAAATCTGATTACAGAAGGTTTAAAAACAATTGGAGTATGATTCTATGTATATGAAATGTATATGAATAGAATATGTCCAGAATAGGTGCATCTATATGGATGGAAAGTAGACTAGTGTTTGCCAGAGCTGAGGGTAAGGGGTATAGGAAATAACTGCTAATGGATTGGGGTTTCTTTTGGTGATGATGAAAAACCTATGGTTGTACAACTTGGTGAATATACTGAAGAACCGAATTGTATACTTTCAAAGGGTAAATTTTATGGTATATGAATTATATCTCAATTTAAAGGATTTTTTGAAAAAGGAGGGCAATTAGGTAACATATGGACAACTCTTTAAAGGACTTTTTCTGAAGAGAGAAATAGAGTAGAAGGTACAGAGTAAAGTGGAATCAAGAAAGGATTTTTTTTTTTAAGACACAGTCTTGCTCTGTTGCCCAGGCCAGAGTTCAGTGGTGTGATCACGGCTCACTGCAGCCTCAACCTCCTGGGCTCAAGCAATCCTCCCGCCTCAGCCTCCAGGGTAGCTGGGACCACAAGTGTGCAACCACCATTCCCAGTTGATTTTTTTGTAGAGATGAGGTCTTGCTAGTTGCCCAGGCTGGTCTCCAAGCTGAAACCATGCAATCTTTCTGCCTCAGCCTCCCAAAGTGCTGGAATTACAGGCATGAGCCACCATGCCCAACCAAGAAAGGTGTTTTTTGTTTTGTTTTGTTTTGTTTTGTTTTTAAGATGGCAGAAAGAACAGCATGTCTATATACTGATGGGGCAGAACCTGTTGAGGCAGGAAATGGGAGGTGGGGACTAGTGAAGCAAAGACCTTGATTGAGTGACATTACAGGGTTTAGAATCTAATGCATAACTGGAGGGGCTAGCCTTAGATGGTGGCCTGATAGCTTTTGTAGTAGGAGAGAAGGTAAAGTATATGGGCACAGGAGAAGATAGGTGGTTAAATGGAAATTATCCTCAGATTGCTTATATTCCTAGTGAAATTGGAGATAAGATCATCTGCTGAGAATGGGGACAGGGAAAAAGTGAGGTTGGAGGACAGATTGCAAAGTATGAAATGGTTGTCCAGAAAAGTGGGAAAGTGAAGGGACTAGAGAAATGTAATGAGATTGCTGGAGTACACGCAGGGCTTAATTGAGGTTTGTAGTTATGAATTTGTGCCTATAGTCCCAGCTAATTGGGAGGCTAGGGCAGTTGGATTGATTAAACCCAGGAGTTTGATGCTGCAGTGAGCCATGATAGCACCACTGCACGGAAACCTGGGCGACAGAGCAGGACCTTGGCTCTAAAAAAAATTAAAATGAAAAAAATAAAATGACACCAATTAGCCGATTTTCTCCAACCATGTTCAGCTCTGGGAGTATAGCTGTAGAGAAGGAAAGCACAGGGTGGGCATTTTACCAAATGGGTATAATGATAAGAGAAATGGGCAAGTGAGTTGAAGTATACGCATGGAGGTGATTATAATGATTGATCATGGAATTGAAGCTGGATGAGAAGGGAAGTTGGCGTGGGGGTTACTTAGGTGCAGTGGAAAGGTAGTAGGCTTAGTGGACTGTGGATTCTGATGAGATTGAAGGATCGTTGGAGTTTGGAAAATAAGAGATGTGGTTGGAGAGGAATATACCTCTAGTTGAGATTATGGAGTTGTAATATAGTTATTGGTAATGACAACATTTAGGGTGTGACCATGGAAGTGAGTGCTAAGATACAGTAAGTTCAAGATGATTAGAGGAGGAGAAGTCAGGGTAATGAGGGGCCAGAGTATTGGGAAGACCCTCCATGTGGATACGAAATCACCAAGTATTATAACAGGAATTGAGATAGAGGGTGAGAAGACAGTGAGCAAAGAGCTGAAATGTTGAAGGAATGTGAGGATAACTCTAGTCTTTAGATGACTACAAGGAGGAATAGTGGGTCTTGTGGCATAAGATTCAAAGCTGGGGGTGAGGACAGTTGAGGAGAAAGGATATTAATCTGGAGGGATATGAGTGCTCTGGAAGTAGCATTGATGAAAAAGGAGGATGCCTACTGACTCATCCATGCTGGGAGAAAGAAACGACGTAGCAGTGTGTCAGGAGAAAACCACTGTTCCCATAGAGCATCTGAATGACTGGGCTGTTTGATTTAGATGCCTTGGCCCCACCCCAAGAGTTTCAGGATTGTAGTGGAATGAGGATTACAGTGAGGAGGATGAGGGATGGCCAGGGAATACTGGGCTCTTGTGGTGACTGATGCACATAAAGGGTGTAATGAGATTAGTCCTGATCATCTCAAGGCGGGTAAATAGTGTTAGCTGGGCCATGGGTGGGGTGGGGGAAGAAATGGGGTGAGGATTTTGTCAGTAGCATAAAGAGTTGTGTAGCCCTCTCCTCACTCCTATTCAGTGGAGGTGTCGGGTCAAGAGAGAAGTGGTTCTATCTGAAGCATGTAGGGACTTGACTTCTGTTCTTAGAAAAAGCCTGGCAGTTTTGTTGAGGAAATCAAGTTGTGTTTTTTGACCATGCTAAGTTTATGATGTCTGTTTAGACACCTAAACAGAGATGTCAGACAGGTGACTGGATATGTGAATTGGGAGTTCACTGGACCAGGTAGGGATGATGAGAAAGAGTGTGTGTGTGTGTGTGTGTGTGTGTGTGTGTGTTTGTGTGTGTGTGTGTATGTCACATAATTTAAAGACATAGACTATGTATGGGTGGAGAGTAGTTAGCTGTAAGGCATGGAACTGTGGAATTGAGGCCTGGTGAATTCCAACATTTGATTATCAGGTGGCTGTTACAACTAAACATAAGTAAGTGAGTTGATGTGCATAAGGAGCTTAGTACATAACAAGTGCTGAATAAGTGGAAGCTATTATTATTTCCATGTGTCTACTGCTATTGGCTGTTAACACATCCTGCCTAGAGCTCTAGCATAAAGTTACTGACACTTAAAAGAAGAGGTAAAAAAAGAGGGGAGCCAGGTGCTATGGCTCACACCTGTAATCCCAGCACTTTGGGAGGCCAGGGTGAGAGGATCACTTGAGGCCAGGCGTTTGAGTCCAGCCTGGGCAACATAAAGAGATCCCGTCTCTACAAAAAATAAAAATGAAAAATCAGCTGGGTATGGTGGTGAACGTCTGTGGTCCCAGCTACTTAGGAGGCTGAGGCAGGAGGACCTCTTGAGCCCAGGAGTTTGAGGTGGCAGTGAGCTATGATTGTGCCACTGCAGTCCAGCTTGGGTGACAGAGGGAGACCTAGTCTTTTTTTTTTTTTTTTAAGGTACCAAAACAGATACATAGACCAATAGAATAGAACAGAGGCTTCAGAAATAACGCCACACATCTACAACCACCTGATCTTTGACAAACCTGACAAAAACAAGCAATGGGGAAAGGATTCCCTATTTAATAAAACGTGTTGGGAAAACTGGCTAGCCATATGCAGAAAGCTGAAACTGGACCCCTTCCTTACACCTTGTACAAAAATTAAATCAAGATGGATTAAAGACTTAAACAAGAGTCCTAAAACCATAAAAACCCTAGAAGAAAACCTAGGCAATACCATTCAGGACATAGGCCCGGGCAAGACTTAATGACTAAAACACCAAAAGCAATGGCAACAAAAGCCAAAATTGACAAATGGGATCTAATTAAACTAAAGAGCTTCTGCACAGCAAAAGAAACTATTATCAGAGTGAATAAGCAACCTACAGAATGGGAGAAAATTTTTGCAATCTATCCATCTGACAAAGGGCTAATAGCCAGAATCTACAAGGAACTTAAACAAATTTACAAGAAAAAAAAAACCCCATCAAAAAGTGGGCAAAGGATATGAACAGACATTTCTCAAAAGAAGACATTTATGCGGCCAACAAACAGTGAAAAAAAGCTCATCAGCACTGGTCATTAGAGAAATGCAAATCAAAACTACAATGAGATACCATCTCACGCCAGTTAGAATGGCAATCATTAAAAAGTCAGGAAACAGCAGATGCTGGAGAGGATGTGGAGAAATAGGAACTCTTTTACACTGTTGGTGGGAGTGTAAATTAGTTTAACCATTGTGGAAGACAGTGTGGCAATTCCTCAAGGATCTAGAACCAGAAATACCATTTGACCCAGCCATCCCATTACTGGGTATATACCCAAAGGATTATAAATCATTCTACTGTAAATACACATGTACACATATGTTTATTGCAGCACTATTCACAATAGCAAAGACTTTGAACCAACCCAAATGCCCATCAATGATAGACTAGATAAAGAAAATATGGCACATATATACCATGGAATACTATGCAGCCATAAAAAAGGATGAGTTCATGTCCTTGCAGGGACATGGATGAAGCTGGAAACCATCATTTTCAGAAAACTATCACAAGGACAGAAAACCAAACACCGCATGTTCTCACTCATAAGTGGGAGTTGAACAGTGAGGACACATGGATACAGGAAGGGGAACATCACACATTGGGGCCTGTTGGGGTGGGGGGCTAGGGGAGGGATAGCATTAGGAGAAATACCTAATGTGGATGACAGGTTGATGGGTGCAGCAAACCACCATGGCACATGTATACCTGTGTAACAAACCTGCACATTCTGCACATGTATACCAGAACTTAAAAGTATAATTTTTAAAAAGGGGTGGCAGTGGGGGGGTGGGATTTTGACTGGAGAGCTTCATGTACTTGAGATATAATTTATATTTCTGCCCTGTTATTTTTCTGCTGATTTGAGTGCTCTGCATACATGGATATGGTAGTAGGGGTCATTTATTTTTATTTTTATTTTGTGAGACAGGGCCTCCGTGTTGCCTAGGCTGGAGTGCAGTGGCATGATCATAGCTCACTGCAGTCTCAACCTCCCTGGGCTCAAGTGATCATCCCATTTCAGCCTGTTGAGTAGCTGGAATTACAGGTGCACGCCACCACACCCTGCTAATTTTTGTATTTTTTGTAGAGACAAGGTCTCCCTGTGTTACCCAGTTTGGTCTCGAACTCCTGGGCTCAAGTGATCCTCCCACTTTGGCCTCCCAAAGTGCTGGGATTACAAGTGTGAGCCACTACACCCAGCAGTCGGGATCATTTAGATAGTAACTGGCAGAACAGGGCTACAATCTGAATTTGGGATTCATGCTTCTCTGTTCTTACACCATGCTGCCTAAACTTGTAGTGATAATTCCAAGGAAAAGTTCTTTAGATTATCTGTGATGTGCTCAGGTCTTTAAAAAGCGCACTTTGAAGAATGCAGATAAGGCAAAAGGAGTGTTTTTATATACTTTTGCATTATCTTTTTCTCCATGTGATCGTCAACAGTTTCTACTAAGAATTTCTCTACTGAATGTCTGTACTGAGAAAGTCATGTAATACAATGTGACAAACTTAAATTTTATTTTTCTGCAGTTTCTACAGCAGTATAATCACTACAAATCCAATGTGGAGATTTTCAAATTGCAACCAAATAAACCCAGCAAAGAACTAGCAGAGCTGGTGATGTTTATGGCACAGGTAAGAATATAATTGCTTAAATAAAGACCAGTATTAACACACAGTTTGCTGAATGTTTTTTCACTAATACTCAACCTTATTCCACTCTGGAATGGGAACTTAATTAAAATATTTTTCTAACTTTCCCTTTTTGCAAATTTTATTTTCTCCCTATCATGAGTTAGAGAATGTCACTAGATCTTTTTGCATAACTAACCAGGACAAAACTTTAAGACTATTTTTTTTCTTCAAATTCATCATAAAAGCAGGTACTAAATCATGCCATAAATATTACTAAGACTAGAGAAACCATGATAAATGTTGGAGAAATTAACATGTAGAAGGAAAAGAAGGTTGTTTGGAACCATCTACTTCTATGAAACATAGCCTTTTACTCTCGTTTTGCAGAACATCCTAAATGTATGCATCTGAATTATAGGAGAGAAAGAGAGCAACTTCAGAAGAGCCTTTGCTTTGTTACAGATTAGTCACTGCTACCCAGAGTACCTAAGTAATTTTCCTCAAGAGGTGAAAGATCTTCTCTCCTGCAATCATACCGTATTGGATCCAGATCTGCGAATGGTAGGACCAGTAGTTGGATGAATAAATTGTGCTGTGTTCATGTGTGCTGCGTTCATATATATTTAAATGAGAACAGCCTCTAAGCTAATTATCTTCAGAAAACGTAAATTATAATGTATTATCCTTTCCTAAAAATCCTTCTATGGCTTCTCATTTATACTTAGAGTAAAACGGAAACTTAATAACCTGGCTCAAAAGTGCCTGCATGATCTGCTTCCAGCCTGTGTTTCTGATATCATATTGTTTTCAGCTACACTGTGATCTTTCTATTCTTCCAGCACACTAACCCTACAGGATGCTCTTTAACCTTTTGAGATGATTTCTTCTAGTCATTCAAATCTCATATGCATGTAGAATCCTAATCACAACTTGTCATTTTTATAATGCCTTAAATTAGTAAACTTACCCATTAGACAGTCAGTTTGAGCATTTCATCATTGTCCTTTTAGTGGTTGGGGTTGAGTCCTGGCTGACATTCCCTTCACGAGGCCGGTGTACCTGTTTGCCCCACTTGTTGTGAATGTCAGCTGCTGGTGGCCCTCAGCTGCCCTTTCTCTGCAACATTGTCCTCAGCTAAATCGGAGTCCTAGTGCCTGGGAGGTGTCCTCCTACCCTAGTAGCCCACAGCCCATTATCATGTGGTACAAAAGCCCAGCCCATTACCTCAGGGTGGCTCTGACTCCAATGCAGGATGTGCTCCAGTGTTTTCCTGTGTTGGGACTAAAGCTAGTCTCCAGTCAAGGGCACATCCTTGCTTTGCTTTGCGTGTCTCTGCACTATCCTCCTTCCTTCACTTCCTTTCTGAGATCATACCCCCAACAAATCACTTGTAATAAATCAGTCTCTGCTTCTAGGGACTAAGACATTTCCAAATTTAATACATCTGCTTTTCAAACCTCTTTACAGCAGATAAGTACGCAAATATGATCACAAAACGTACTAATATCCTATAGCACAACTTGTAGAAATGCCAAGTCTTTAGATGAATATTTGTTTTCTTTTAGACTTTCTCAGGTTTTTTGTATTTCTATCATTTTTATACTACTTTAGGATTTTAGTAATTTGATTAGGCCAAAAAGAAAAAGAATACTGTCTCAGACAAGCCAAGGTTTCAGGCCCTGGGTTGTCAACTGATTGATACTCAGCTGGTACATGGGACCTGGCAGTATAGCCCAAGGGACTCCAAACTTGAACCCCTAGTCTAAAGGCTTTTACCTATGTCATGTTACTCTTGAAGTCCTTGTAGGTCATAGAGATTTGATATTTTGAGTATAGAGACTTAATGGCTTTCCAAGTAATTAGGATTTCTTTAAGTTTTATTTTCCTGGCAGTACCCCACCAAACTGGTCTGTGGGCATTATTAAATTAATATATATGCCAGGTGCACCTGTAGTCCCGGCTTCTTGGGAGGCTGAGGCAGGAGGATTGCTTGAGGTCAGGAGTTTGAGGCTGAGGTGTGGTATGAGCATGCCTGTGAATAGCCACTACACTGCAGCCTAGGCAACATAGCAAGATCCCACCTCTAAATTTTTTTTTAAATGGAAAAAAATGTGTATGTATATTTCTTTATAGTGCTTTATGATGATTAGTAGGTTTTTAAAAAATAATAAAGATTTCCGCCAGGCGCGGTGGCTCACGCCTGTAATCCCAGCACTTTGGGAGGCCGAGGCAGGAGGATCACCTGAGGTCGGGAGTTCGAGACCAGCCTGACCTACATGGAGAAACCCTGTCTCTACTAAAAATACAAAATAAGCCGGGCATGGTGGTGCGTGCCTGTAATCCCAGCTACTTGGGAGGCTCAGTCAGGAGAATTGCTTGAACCTGGGAGGCGGAGGTTGCAGTGAGCCGAGATCGCGCCATTGCACTCCAGCCTCTGTCTCAAAAAAAAAAAATAATAATAATAATAGAGATTTCCTTTACTAGGAGATAAAGGATTGCGTCTGTATAGTTAGCATTGCTCTTTAGAGGAAGCATTGAACACACTGGAAGAAGCTCTTTTTAATTGGTTATTGGGATAACCAACAATTCTTATCAGCCACTGGGCTATCTTTCTACCTGGTGTATTTGCTATTTTTCCAAGACTTTTTGAATCATTCCCAAGATTTTGTTCACTCTGTCCTGCTTACACAGATAGAAACATTGTATTTTTTTTGGAAGAAATAAAATATCCATATATAGTAATTCTTACCTACTTAGTCAAATCAATAAAAGTCAAGTTATATGTATTTCATTGACATTATAACTACCTTTTTATGTACTTTAAAACTTTTTTTTAGTATTATTATTTTAATTACTTTATGTTCAGATTGTCACCACCTTGCCAGGGGAAGCTTCTTAGTCCTTTTAGCAATTTCCCTGAATTTTTTTTTTTTTTTTTTTTTTTTTTTTTCTGAGACAGGGTCTGTCACTCAGCTGCCCAGGCTGGAGTACAGTGGTACGATCTTAGCTCACCGCAGCCTCAAGCTTCTGGGCTCAAGCAGTCCTCCCACCTCAGCGTGCCAAGTAGCTAGGACCACAAGGTGTGTGCCACCACACCCAGCTAATTTTTTTTTTTTTTGTGTAGAGACAAGGTCTCACTACATTGCCCAGGCTGGTCTTGAACTCCTGGCCTCAAGTGATTCTCCCACCTCAGCCTCCCAAAGTGCTGAGATTATGGGTGTGGGCCACCATGCCCAGCCTTGCCCTTGTTTTTGAAAGCATCCTTGAATTCTGGCAGAAATAGTTCCAAATTCATTCTTACCGTTTTTCCTGCCCCAAGACTTGGAATCAACTATTCTTCAAGGATTGTATTTCATCTAATGAAGGGTAACACAAAATTTGGGTGATAGGGCTACATGTAAGAGTTGGTGGTAAGCAAGAGTGCCACAGCTGCTAGGCGCATCAGCTCATGCCTGTAATCCCAGCTACTTAGGAGGCTGAAGTAGGAGCATCATTTGAGAAGTTTCCAGGAGCTTGAAACCAGCCTAGGCAACATAATGAGACTCTATCTCTTAAAAATAGAAAAAAAAAAAAAAATAGCTGGGTACCTACAGTCCTGGCTAATCAGGAGGCTGAAGCAGGATCACTTGAGCTCAAGAGTTCAAGACTAGCCTAGGCAATATAGCGAGACCCGTCTCAAAAAAAAAAAAAAAAAAAGGCGGGGGGCAGGCATGCAACAACTGCTGTTGAGCCATTCTTAGTGCTGATGGTACTTCAGAAGAATGCCTCGTAAGGTCATAAACTCTCATTGATTATTCCAATTTAGTGTATTATGTTGTTATCCCACCTGTCTTTATGGATTCAGGGTTTTGCCGTATGATGACACTACAAAGAGACCTTACTTGACCTCCCTGTGGCCCTCCCTCAGTCACTGTTGATCAATTACATAACCCTGTTTTACTTCCTTCATGACACTTATTTTCTTAGATCCTCCTTTTTATATGCTTACTTGGCTTGTCTGTCCTCCGTTCTGCTCTATCCCCAGTGTAAGCTCCATGAAGGCAGAGACTGACTATTCTGAATCCTACAATAGTGTCTAGTTAGTAAAAGACATTAAGGTCTTGGGACATATACGCTGTATTTTCTCACCTTGTTAACTTTACCATTGTCTTATGGTATGTTTTTTTCCTTCCCGAGACATTTTGCAAAGCTTTGATCTTGCTGAGAAATAAGAATCTCATCAATCCATCAAGCCTGCTAGAACTCTTCTTTGAACTTTTTCGTTGCCATGATAAACTTCTGCGAAAGGTAAAGGGCAAAACAAATATTTCCCTGCATCTTCCTTGAGGCGACATAAAATTTTGTTGTCTCTTGAATTATCGATGCTTTACATTGTTAATAATAACTTTAACAGGAAAAAGCAACCATTGTGTGCATGCTATATGGTGTTAATAGCCATATTTATTGAGTGCATACTTTGTGCCAGGCACCATTCTCAGAGCTTTGTGTATTTACTCATTTACTCACAAAGCCCTATGAGAGAGGGATCCTCATTATTATTATTCTTACTTTGCAGATGAAAGGGCTGAGGTTAAAGAGAGATAGAGTAACTTGCCCACTCTCACACTGCTTCTTAGTGGTGGGATTGGATATAAGCCCAGGCTCTGGTTCCAGAACCCAAGCCTTTTACTACTGCACCATACTGGCTGGCTAAATCAGGACATTGGTACTCACAGCTATAACTGACCCACTCCCCCACAAAAAACTTTTTTGTTGTTATTAACATTTTCCCATGATTTTGCATTTGCTTATATAAGACTAGAAGCTGAAGATTTATGAAAGAAATTTAAGATGGAGAAACTTGGCTGGACACTGTGGCTCACACCTACAATACCAGCATTTTGGGAGGCTGAGGTGGGAGGATCACTTGAGTCCAGGAGTTTGAGACCAGCCTGGGCAACACAGCAAGACCACTGCTGTATTTAAAGAAAAAAAGGAAAGAAAAATTTAAGTTTACATTCATTAATTTAAAATTTTTTTCAAAGTATTAAGAGACTACCACTGTTTGATTTTAGCAATTGTACTTCTTGGTCTAATTTGTGGAATAAAAGTGGTCCATGGGAGCATGGTGTGGGCACCAGTGATATATGCATTCACAGTATTTTCCTGCATGCAGTTAGGTGCTTGGTAAATTGGAGCATTTTTTTTTTAATAACACTTTTATTGAGATATAATTTATGTAAAATTCATCCACTTAAAGTGTACAATTCAGTGTTTTTTAGTGTATTCACAGCGTGGTACAACCATCACTGCAAACAATTTTTGAACATTTTGTCACCCCCAAAAGAAACTCTATTCCAATTAGTAGTTAATCCTGTTCCTCATCCCTTTTAGCTCTAGGTAATCACCAGTCTACTTTGGGTCACTATAGATTTGTGTGTTTTGGAAATTTTATATAAGTGGAATCATAACAATATGTGGTCTTTAGTGACTAGATTCTTTCACTTAGCATAATGTTTCCAAGATTCATTCATGTTGTAGCACGTATCAGTACTTTATTCCTTTTTGTTGCCAAATAATATTCCATTGTATGGATATACCACATTTTGTTTATCCATTCATCAGTTAGTGGAAATTTAAGTTATTTCCACTTTTTGGCCACTATGAATAAGGCTGCTATGAATGTTTGTGTGAACACTGATGTTTTCATTTTCTAGGATATATACCTAGGAGAATTGTGCCGTATTACATTAAACTCCATGTTTAACTTCTTGAGGACAACTTTGCTTTGCTTTGTAGTTGCTTTTTTGTTTGTTTGCTTGGTTTGGGTTTCTTTTGGGATAGAATGAAAAATAGGTAAAATTAAGTCATCCTGTACATTCATACTGTTCTCCAAATTTAGCAAGGTTAAAAATGTTGGTTAGGTTTAATGTATATATTTTTGTTTCTTTTCCTCAGACTTTATACACACATATTGTGACTGATATCAAGAATATAAATGCAAAACACAAGAACAATAAAGTGAATGTAGTAAGTACTCTTCTGTCTTCCATGTTTGCAGCATTGTACCATCAGTGCATTAAGTCTTCTTTCTCCTCCTTTTCTGCAGGTATTGCAAAATTTCATGTACACCATGTTAAGAGATAGCAATGCAACCGCAGCCAAGATGTCTTTAGATGTAATGATTGAACTCTACAGAAGGAACATCTGGTAGTGTATATATATTTGTCTCTTGAGAAGTAGACTCTTTTTTCATTTGTAATTAATACAGAGCACATATACAAATACTTTTCTTGAGCTTGAGCTCTTTAATATACTTATGTCATAGATTTAAGTTGGAAGTAAAAATAGAGGCAATTCAAATGACTAATGACATTGGTTATCATTTCTTGAGCAGCTACTGAGGTCGGGCACTTTGACATGACCTCACTTAGAACAACTTGAGAACAGAAGATGTAGCTTATCTGGAATTATCCCCATTTTATAAGTAATGACATGGAAGTTCTTAGAGTTAGTAAAAGTTTAGCTATTAAGAGGCAGAGCTGAAATTCAGACCCAGATCTAACTGACTCCAAAATCTGTGCTCTCTCTTCTGCCGCTCTGAAGATTTTCAAGTCAATTCATCCTATTTATATAAAATATCATGCTTCGTACACTTCAGTTTGTTGATACAGTGTCCCTAACTCATTTCTTTTGCTTTTCTTATTGACTAACATTTTTTTACTATAAAAGTAATATTCATTACAGCAGAAAATTTGGAGAAATTTAAAAAGTGGTTTTAATCAATTACTGTTAGTATTTATGGTATTTCCACCCAGTCTTTTTTGTTTAATGTGAATTTTTAAATATGGTTGAAATTTTTCTGTATTACAGTTTTTATTTTTTTTAATTTTTATTTATTTATTAATTTTTTTTGAGAAAGTCTTGCTCTGTCACCAGGCTGGAGTGCAGTGGCATGATCTTGGCTCACTGCAACCTCTGTCTCCTGGGTTCCAGCGATTCCCCTGCCTCAGCCTCCCGAGTAGCTGGGACTACAGGCATGCACCACCATGCTCGGCTAATTTTTTTTGTATTTTAGTAGAGACGGGGTTTCACCATGTTGGCCAGGATGGTCTCAATCTCCTGACATCGTGATCCACCCGCTTCGGCCTCCCAAAGTGCTGGGATTACAGGCGTGAGCCACTGCGCCCGGCCTATATATTATAGTTTTTAAATTCTCGATTATTTTTGTTTGTTTGTTTTTTTGAGACAAAGTCTTGCTCTGTTGCCCAGGCTGGAGTGCAATGGTGTGATCTTGGCTCACTGCAACCTCCGCCTCCTGGGTTCAAGCAGTTCTCGTGCCTCAGCCTCCCAAGTAGCTGGAATTACAGGCACATGCCCAGCTAATTTTTTGTATTTTGTGTAGAGATGGGGTTTCACTATGTTGATCAGGCTGGACCGGAACTCTTGGCCTCCAGTGATCTGCCTGCCTTGGCCCTCCAAAGTGCTGGGATTACAGGAATGAGCCACTGTCCCCGATCTTCTCAGTTGTTGTTTTTTTTTTTTTTTTTTGCACTTGACTAGCTTCCTACGTCATTAAAAATTCTTTAAATAGTCTGTCTTAATGGCTGCAAATTTTGTCGTAAGTCTGGGCTAAAATCTGATGAAATGTTTTACCTGTGGTTAAGTAATTTAGCAACTCGTATCTTTTTAAAATATTACAACTGGGAATTCTAGTACGTCACAAACATTTGTTATATCATTTATTTTGTGCCATTGTCTGTGCTATGAAATACAGTAGAATGAAAATTTACTTCAAAGCATTCATTGTCTTCCCCCAGGAATGATGCAAAAACTGTCAATGTTATCACAACTGCATGTTTCTCTAAGGTCACCAAGGTGAGCACCTATAGGGCTGTGTGTAAGCTCTGTCTGTGGATGGTCTGCTTCTGCATGCAGTTAGAAGAAAGCATCACTCAGCATAAACTGCATGCCTGCACACCAGGCATGCAGTTAGAAGTAAGCATCACTCAGCATAAACTGCATGCCTGCACACCAGGCATGCAGTGATGTGCAGGCATGCAGTTTATGTTAAGTGATGCTTTCTTTGTTCCTATACTGCTTTCCTGGGTCATCTGAACTTTAAAAGAGTCAATAGAATTATGAGTTTTTAAATTGCTATGTAATAAATGATAGCCTCAGTGGTTTTTTACTGTTTTCTCCTGTGATTCTTGACTTCCGTTGGGCTTCGGCACTGCTAAAAGAAATTTAAGGTCAATGTTTGACTTTTGTCTGTTAGAAGAACTGCAATGTCACTTTTCTTATAGGGGATGTAGAAATTCTCGACAGTCTTGAAGGATAACTATATAGAGCCTAGCAGTTTTTATCTAGTTTTTAAAATTATTTATTAGAGAAATAACATAAAACAACTTTTAATTAAGAAAAAATGAACAAAAATCCCACCACTCTTTGAATTTGTTCTTCAGATCTTAGTTCATGCACATGTATAAAGCATACTCAAAAGGATTTATTCTTTATTTTAAGCTGAATCAAGTAGCTGACTTTTTTCTCATTGGTGTTTAGATATTAGTTGCCGCTTTGACATTCTTTCTTGGGAAAGATGAAGATGAAAAACAGGACAGTGACTCCGAATCTGAGGTTAGTTTAATCATAGCTGCTTCTGAATCTTACCTTTTATTATTGCTCTGAGTACACATTGTAAAGTCTATGACTGCTGAAGTTAGAAAGAAACTTAGATGACACCTTTGCCCTGTTATTGAATTCTGCCATGCTATTTTACTCTACTTGGAATTTGTCACTTGTATTCAGTAAGATTATCTTGGTTATATAATTAATAAAACAGATTTATTCAACCTTGATCTTAGTTCTAAAGTTATACCTATATCTCACTATGTAAATTTAGGATGAAAATTGTCACCAACATTTTTTTTTTTAAGACGGAGTCTCGCTCTGTTGCCCAGGCTGGAGGGCAGTGGTGTGGTCTCAGCTCACTGCAAGCTCTGCCTCCCGGGTTCATGCCGTTCTCCTGCCTCAGCCTCCCGAGTAGCTGGGACTACAGGCACCCGCCACCACGCCTGGCTAATTTTTTGTATTTTTGGTAGAGATGGGGTTTCACCGTGTTAGCCAGGATGGTCTTGATCTCCTGACCTCACGATCCACCCGCCTCGGCCTCCCAAAGTGCTGGGATAACAGACGTGAGCCACCGTACCTGGCCATCACCAGCATGTTTTTGAGGAAAAAAAAAAAATCAAGATTCATGATGGCATAAAATATTAAAATAAGAATTTCTAAAAAAAAAAAAAAATTATCCTTCCCCATTTTAGTGTTTTGGTAACCAAAGTACTGGAATATGTGATAACGTCTTTTAAACAGTATATGACTAATACATTTTATTGTAAATGGCAACCTAAATAACAAAAAGAGAGAAACTCTCTAAAAGCAAATGATACTTATTTCAGAATAGGGCAGTGGGAATACATATGCCATAGTAAACTATGTACATATTTGTAAAGGAAGACAACAGTCTTTGTTTGTGTGTTTTTTTTTTTTTTGGAGCCGCGGACCTTCACTGTGAGTATTACAGCTCTTAAAGATGGCACGGACCTAAAGAGTGAGCAGTAGCAAGGTTTACTGTGAAGAATGAAAGAACAAAGCTTCCACAGCATGGAAAGGGACCCAAGCGGGTTGTCAACAACAGTTTTTAAAGGAAAAATGAGGGCTGGGTGCAATGGCTCACACCTGTAATCCCAGCACTTTGGGAGGCCAAGGCGGGCAGATCACTTGAGGTCAGTAGTTCAAAACCATCCTGTCCAACATGGCAAAACCCGTCTCTACTAAAAATACAAGAATTAGCCAGACATGGTGGCGTGTGCCTGTAATCCCAGCTACTTGGGAGGCTGAGGTGGGAGTATCACTTTAACCTGGAAGGTGGAGGTTGTAGTGAGCTGAGATTGTGCCATAACTCTCCAGCCTGGGTGCCAGAATGAGACTCCATCTCAAAAAAAAAAAAAAAAATAGTGCTACAGTGAAAATCTTTGTATGTACCTGTTTGTGCACATGTGGGCATATTTTTTCCACCTAATTTTCTTTTTTCCTGTTTTTTGAGACAGGCTGGAGTGCAGTGGCGTGATCTCAGCTCACTGTAACTTCCCCCTTCTGGGCTCAAGTGATGCTCCTGCCTCAGCCTCCTGAGTAGCTGGGATTACAGGTGTGCACCACCAAGCCCAGCTAAGTATTTGTATTTTTAGTAGAGACACAGTTTTGCTATGTTGGCCAGGCTGGTCTCAAGCTCCTGGCCTCAAGTGATCTACCCACCTTGGCCTCCCAAAGCGCTGGGATTACAGACGTGAGCCACTGCGCCCAGTCTAAAAGTAGTATTCATTTTTAATAGCTGTGTGCAAAGAGTATAAGAACGAAGAAGTGGCTGAAAGGTTTACTCTTTCATTCTATGCAGATTTTCCTTGTTTACAATTTTACAAAGTAATTTCTTCTTTAGGATGATGGACCAACAGCAAGAGACCTGCTAGTACAATATGCTACAGGGAAGAAAAGTTCCAAAAACAAGAAAAAGTTGGAAAAGGCAATGAAAGTGCTCAAGGTGGGACTTGTATCTGGAAAATGAGATAGGAGTGATTAGAGTGAAGAATATGTTGTCGTTAGCCAGAGCTTTTAAGAATTTAAAATCAGAGTACCATTTTCAGAATACTTAGAAATGTTAGATAAATTTTTAAGCACTAATATTTTAGATGAATAAATGTATTCAGCTCTAGCAAAATCAGTGACTTGGATAAATTAGTTTAATTAAATTCACTTTTTACTTGTTCTGATCAAGGTGGCTTGTATTATGGTATCTTTGCTAGACATGTTTTGTCAGAAGAGTACATAAATGCAGTACATTTCATATTTTTGTAATGATTATTTTGAAAGTCATTAATTTGGCCCTTGTGTGTTTATTAATTGTATTAGTTTGTTTTCACACTGCTATAAAGAACAACCTGAGGCTGGGTAATTTATAAAGGAAAGAGATTTCATTGACACACAGTTCTGCATGGTGGGGGAGGCCTCAGGAAACTTAAAATCATGGGGAAAGGCAAAGGGGAGGCAAGGCATGTCTTACATGGTGGCAGGAGAGAGCACTACAGGAGATCTGCCAAACACTTTTAAACCATCAGATCTTGTGAGAACTCACTATCACGAGAATAGCATGGGGAAAACTGCCCCTATGAGCCAATAACTTCCCACGAGGTCCCTCCCTCCAGGTCCTTCCCTCGACATGCAGGGATTACAGTTCGAGATGAAATTTGGGTGGGGACACAGAGCCAAACCATATTATTAATGTTTGCATTTCCAAATTCCTGTAAGTCTCATAGGTGCTAATGGTTGGAACACATTCCCCACATTTAATCTTAAAAGGCAAAAACCAACTTTAATTCTTCTAGTTGAAAAGGTTTTTAGAACAAAGTTTTTTTTCTTTTTAAAGAGTCTAATGGACTTATAACAGCCTTATTAGCACATTAAGTTCTAAGAGCATCATCACTGTAACTCAGACTGAAAATGTTTTTCCTCTCCCTTTCAGAAACAAAAAAAGAAGAAAAAACCAGAGGTGTTTAACTTTTCAGCCATTCACTTGATTCATGATCCCCAAGGTACGTTATTATGACGTCCGAGTTCCTTGTTGGCCTTATCTCTGCCTATTTTATTTCCTGCCTTTGGGGTTTTCAGGGAATATAAGATCCCTGGCATTTAGTAGATAGTCAATAAATGCTTAGTTGTTACTAGTTGGTTGTAACCTACAAAATTGTCATCTAAAGCAGTGATTCCCAGTCTATCGCAGAACAAGAAAAATATGGAAAAACGGATGTTTCTGAGATTCATGTTTTTAACAACACAATTGTAATAGGGCATTGTACTTGACCAAATAAACTGGCAGTCTTTTGTTGGTCCTTTTTTAAAAAAAAAAAAAAAACCTAGTCTGTGGAAACCAAAAATCTGGGAAACCTTGTTCGAGAACACTAGTTCTCAAACTAGGCCACACATTGGTCTCACCTGGCGAATTTATAAAAACTGTACTGATGCTTGGGTCCTGTTATCTCCAGAGAATCTAATTTAGTTGGTATGGGGTGTAGCTGGGCGTTGGGGCTCTCAGTACTCTAATGTATGGCAAGATTTGCTGACCCCTGCTCTAGATCAGTGTTTCTCAAACTTGCATGTAGATACAGATCACCTGGGGAGGTGGGGCCTGAGCTTCTGCATTTCCAATGAGCCTCCCCGGTGGACCAGCAGCTGCTGGGTCTGTGGACTACCCCTTTAAGAAGCAAGGATCTAGAGAGCTATTAAGTGAAGCGAGCACCTGTCAAACAGTCACTCTAGATGTTGATGCTAAAAAACTTGGGAATTATTAAGACTTAACTTTGGGCACCATTACATATATTGACATATTCACCTGTTTGTCAGTCTATTCACTGATCTAACTATTGTCTTTTCCTACGCCTGTTACATAAATGTCACATAGACCATAGACTCACAATGTACTTCTTTCATCCTCTCCTTGCCAGATTTTGCGGAAAAACTACTAAAGCAGCTTGAGTGCTGTAAGGAGAGGTTTGAAGTGAAGATGATGCTCATGAACCTTATCTCCAGATTGGTGGGAATTCATGAGGTTTGAATTATATTATGTTTCTCTTGGTGAATATTTGAAGTAGAATTTACCATGGTAAAAGAAAAGCCATTAGGTAGAGCAGTGGCTTAATTTTATCCCTCATACATTTAAACACATAAAATTTACAGAAGAGTAACATCTCTGAAAATAACTATTTTTATCACTTCATTTTCTTTGCAGTAATGTGGATGTTAATTTGTACATATATTCCATTTATGGACAGGCTATTTTATTCTCTGCTTTTTTTTTTTTTTTTTTTTTTTTTGAGACAGAGTCTCCCTCTATTGCCCAGGCTGGAGTGCAGTGGCGCAATCTCGGCTCACTGCAACCTCCACCTCCTGGGTTCAAGTGAGTCTCCTGCCTCAGCCTCCCAAGTAGCTGGGACACAGGCGCATGCCACCACACCTGGCTAGTTTTTTTGTATTTTTAGTAGAGACGGGGTTTCACCATATTGGCCAGGCTGGTCTCAAACTCCTGACCTCATGATCTGACCACCTTGGCCTCCCAAAGTGCTGGGATTATAGGCATGAGCCACCGCACCTGGCCTGTTCTGCTTTTTTACTTTCTTTTTGTTCACTTTGTTACGCATACACATTTTCTTGAGCCAATATAATGCACATATTTTAATTGACTTACTACATCTCACTGTTTGTTTAACTCTTCTTGGCTTTCCTGACTTCCAGATCCCTCTAGTAGGAAATTGTCATGTTTACAAATGTTAGTTGCAAGAGTTTCTCAGTGGTATATATATGGGAACTTTACACATACTGTTAGACTAGATGCCATTGTAGAAAAAGAGATACCCAGAAATTTAAGCCATGAAGAAATGACCATTAAGGTTTTTCCTTATCATTTTGATCTCGTGACTGGTGCTGCTCTGAACATCCATTTAAAAAAACCAAAAGAAAAGAAAAGAAAAACACTTTTCAAACAATATAGACATATATCACGTTGAAAATGAAAGTACACATGAGTGAAAGTAATTGTTCCCTTTCTCTGAGAAAAACCTGTTAACATTTTGCTGACTACATTGCTTTTTCTCCATGGCTGTAGTCCCAGTGTAGGATCAATTCTTGTTACATTTGTGCAGCAATTTCATTCAGACTGAGTTTGAGCTCTACAGGAAAGAAAAAGTGATTTGTGATTTAAGCGTGGTTTGAGGGAAATGATACTGGAGTTTCACAACTGACTACAATTGAACATCCATCATTATGTTCAACCAAAGTCTTCCCTGCAACTTCTCAGTGGCCCATCCTACTTTTGCTCTGTGGCTAAAATAGAAAAAATTAGTTTATTCCCACCTAACTGATATACCTTGAAAAAGACCAGTTTATTTCCAGTTTCTCTTCTTGAAATTAAACATTACCATTTCCTTAATAACCCTGGTCACCTTTGTTTAGGTGGACTTCAGAGTGTTAACGTTTTCCCTCTGAATTATGGTGCACAGAGTAACTCCTTCCATGTGGTTGGACCCAACTCCTTCCACGTGGTTGGACTGGTATACAAGAATATAACCAGGAGTGAGCTTTGCTGATTAAATTATACTCGGTGCTATTCAGATTTGAATTCCGATCTTGTCTGTTGTTTTGGAGCCTTGGTATCAATGCTGTTCCTTCCTATAATCCCCTCTCCTTAGAACACTAAAAAGTTAGTTTCTGCAGCCACACCAGTTTTAAGAGTAGAAGAATGTTACATTTTGTTTACCTTTCCTTCCTCTAGTTCATTCTGCATATACTTGCTTCCTCCTTTACATAATAAGGATAGCAGCATAGCCTCATTTGAGAGAATTCCTAGCCTTGGTTAATATAGCATATTGAATCATCCTAGGGCATGATTGCTTACTGAGAAAAAAACAAAAGTGTTCTGCAATTAGTTGAGCTTGGTGATATGTTTGCATTGAGAAGAAATGGAACTCCATAGTGTCAGCTGCATCAGTATTAAAGTCGGTTTTCTCTCCACAGCTTTTCCTCTTCAATTTCTATCCCTTTTTGCAAAGGTTTCTGCAGCCCCACCAAAGAGGTAAGCTGCCACTTGCCATGTTTCTTTGGTGGCCTTGGTAATAGAATAAACATGCAAAGTCTTTTGTTCTGGAATCACTAAAGACAGGAGTGCAGTGTGCTCTACATTAGAGATGTGAAGAGAAGCCCTTGTTTTCTTTCTAGAGTTTGCTATGGGTTTGTCGTTACCCTCAACTTTAAGAAACTATTGTTTTTTTAAAACAACAACAACTGCCGGGCACAGTGGCTCAGGCCTGTAATCCCAGCACTTTGGGAGGCCAAGATGGGTGGATTACCTGAGGTCAGGAGTTCAAGACCAGCCTGGCCAACATGGTGAAACTTCATCTGTACTAAAAATACAAAAATTAGCCGGATGTGGTGTCGGGCACCTGTAATCCCAGCTACTCAGGAGGCTGAGACAGAATCGCTTGAACCCAGGAGGCGAAGGTTGCTGTGAGCCGAGATTGTGCCCTTGCACTCCAGCCTGGGTGACAGAGCAAAACTCTGTCTCAAAAAGAAAAGAAAAGAAAACAACAACAACAAATTGGTTTCTCAAAGCAAGTCTTCTTGTAATACTGTAAATACTCATGGAAAATTCTTTTTTAAAAAATTGACGTTTTATTGCATCTTCATAATAGATATTAAGATTTGATCTCACTGCTCACATTGACCTTGCATGCATTCTCAATGAAAAACAACACAAAAGCAGGAAAGAAGAGATGATTGTTCTTGTCTTTGAACCTGAACCAAAGTAGGAAGGAAACTAACATTTATTCAGTATCTAACATGGACCAAGCACTGTGCTAAGTGCCTTACATACGTCATTTTGTCTAATCCTCACATTAATCTTGTGAGGTATACAAAGAGAGGGAAAAAAAAGACTAGAGTCACTCAGCAAATAAATGGAAAATCAGGATTCACCTCACTTCTTTTGCCAGTGGCCTTGTTTGTTACCTATGCTATGCTGCCCCTTTGAAAAGAGACAGTGTGTGTGTGTGTGTGTGTGTGTGTGTGTGTGTGTGTGTGTGTGTATGCATTCATTCAGCAAGTATTTATTTAATGATTTTTATGCCAGGCACTGCATTAAGACAGTACGAATTCCACAGTAAACGTAAAACAAGGTCCTTACCCTCATGGCTTACATCTGGAGGCAGATGTAGATGTGCTATATATAATATGTCCAGGTAAAGATAAGTGTTTTGAAGGAAAAGGAAGCAGGATAAGGACAATAGGGAGTGTCGGGACGGGTTCTGTTTTACATTGTGTGGTCAGGAGAGACTTTTTGATAAGGCAGCTATTGAGTAGGGACCTGAAGAAAGTGAGGGGGTAAGCCAAGCAGATATCTGGGGATTGAGTGTTCCAGGTGGAATACGCAGCAATACCATTTAGACCAGAATGAGCTTGCCATGTTTGCTGTGGTCCTCAGAGGCAGGGTGATACACTGACCATGACCTTTCTGTTCTCTTATGTTTTCAGAAGTAACCAAGATCCTTCTGTTTGCTGCACAAGCATCTCATCACCTAGTACCCCCAGAGGTGAGAACCTGTAACCTGACTTCTGGACCTAGGGCATGGATGACAGTGTTACTGTTAGGTACTTCAGGGTCTATCGGGGGAACCTGCCCCCGATAATTCAACGTGGGTTTTTTTCTATTTCTTGTCAGATGGTCTGAGAAATGAAGGGAAAGAGTACAAAAGAGAGAAATTTTAAAGCTGGGCGTCCAGGGGAGACATCACATGTCGGCAGGTTCTGTGATGCCCCACAAGCTCCAAACCAGCAAGGTTTTATTAGTGATTTTCGAAAGGGGAGGGAGTGTAAGAATAGAGTGTGGGTCACAGAGATCACATGCTTCACAAGGTAATAAAATATTACAAGGCAAATGGAGGCAGGACGAGATCACAGGACCAGGGCGAAATTAAAATTGCTAATGAAGTTTCGGGCACGCATTGTCATTGATAACATCTTATCAGGAGACAGGGTTTGAGAGCAGACAGCCAGTCTGACCAAAATTTATTAGGCGGGAATTTCCTCATCCTAATAAGCCTGGGAGTGCCACGGGAGACCGGGGCTTATTTCATCCCTTATCTACAACCTTAAAAGACAGATGTCCCTAGAGCGGCCATTTCAGAGACCTACCTCTAGGAACACATTCTCTTTCTCAGGGCTGTTCCTTGCTTAGAAAAAGAATTCAGCAATATTTCTCCTATTTGCTTTTGAAAGAAGAGAAATATGGCTCTGTTCTGCCTGGCTCTCAGGCAGCCAGACCTAATGGTTATCTCCCTTGTTCCCTGAACATCGCTGTTACCCTGTTCTTTTTTCAAGATTTCATATTGTTTAAACAATTTGTGCAGTTAACACAATCATCACAGGGTCCTGAGGCTACATACATCCTCAGTTTATGAAGATGACGGGATTAAGAGATTAAAGACAGGCATAGGAAATCACAAGAGTATTGATTGGGGAAATGATACATGTCTATGAAATCTTCACAATTTATGTTCAGAGATTGCAGCAAAGACAGGCATAAGAAATTATTAATTTTGGGAACTAATAAATGTCCATGAAATCTTCACAATTTATGTTCTTCTGCCATGGCTTCAGCTGGTTCCTCCATTCGGGGTCTCTGACTTCCCACAACAAGGGTCATTTTTCCCACAAGGGTTACTGTCCCCCCTTCCCTCACCGTTTTCTTCTTTTAATAGATAGAAGAGACACTAACTCTTAAGGGGATCTACACAGAAGTTCAGTTGTACGTCTCATAAAAAGAAGTTTCTTTCAGACAAGTTGTTTAGAATTCTGATTTTCTTTAATAAGCAAATTTTGTATAACTAGGGGAGGTCAAGAATATTAGTAAATTTATAGAGTAATTCCTTTCTTTGATTTAGTCTGAGGATAGCCAAGAAAAACACTGAATTCCTAAGTGGAGTGTTTTCTTCTGTCTTCCTTAATCTTGATTACTTCCAATTCCTAAACTGAAGGTGGAAGGCTGGGTTTTCCACTATGAATAATCTATTGTCCTTTCATTCTTATGTGTTTGTGTATGCAGACATTTAATCAGCACCCATCTCTTTTTTGTTTCCAATTCAGATTATTCAATCATTGCTTATGACTGTGGCAAACAATTTTGTTACCGACAAGAACTCTGGAGAAGTCATGACAGTAGGGTATGTAGAATCTGGTTGGAGGCAGAAGATACATTGTTTAATGGACTAGATTTGCTATAAGTTACCAAGATGTAAGATTGTAGCTGGTAGTATCACCTCTATAAAATTGGTTTAAAATATATTTCAGTCTTTTTGGGAGGCTTGATAATTTTTTTATTGGTCAGAATTTTGAGAAGGGAGCCAGAGAAAAGATACTTTTCCTTCTAATTAGCATTTTTGTTTTTTAGCAGTTTTACTTTTACAGATGAATAATTGATTAGCAAACTAAGTGCTTTTCTTCTGATCTCCCACCGTAAACTTTGTACTGCTAATAAAATAAATATTTGGCTCCTAGTTCTGGAGCTGGGAAGTCCAAGGGCATGGCATTGGTGTCTGTCTGGCACCTGGTGGGGGCCTCGTTGCTGCATCATTGGCAGAAGGCACAAGGGGAAGAGAGCACAAGAGCCAACAGAGGGCCAAACTCACTTTTTTATAACTCACTGGTGATAAGGGACCTTCTCCCAAGATAACAACATTAGGCCTAATCACTTCTTAAGAGTCTCTCCTCTTTGAACTACAAACCACTGCTCAACAAAATAAAAGAGGATACCAACAAATGGAAGAACATTCCATGCTCATGGATAGGAAGAATCAATATCATGAAAATGGCCATACTGCCCAAGGTAATTTATAGATTCAATGCCATCCCCATCAAGCTACCAGTGGCTTTCTTCACAGAATTGGAAAAAACTACTTTAAAGTTCATATGGAACCAAAAAAGAGCCCACATTGCCAAGACAATCCTAAGCCAAAAGAACAAAGCTGGAGTCACGCTACCTGACTTCAAACTATACTACAAGGCTACAGTAACCAAAACAGCATGGTACTGGTACCAAAACAGAGATAGAGACCAATGGAACAGAACAGAGCCCTCAGATATAATACCACACATCTATAACCATCTGTTCTTTGACAAACCTGACAAAAACAAGAAATAGGGAAAGGATTCCCTATTTAATAAATGGTGCTGGGAAAACTGGCTAGCATATGCAGAAAGCTGAAACTGGATCCCTTCCTGACACCTTATACAAAAATTAATTCAAGATGGATTAAAGACTTAAATGTTAGGCCTAAAACCATAAAAACCCTAGAAGAAAACCTAGGCAATACCATTCAGGACATAGGCATGGACAAGGACTTCATATCTAAAACACCAAAAGCAATGGCAACAAAAGCCAAAATTGACAGGTGGGATCTAGTTAAACTAAAGAGCTTCTGCACAGCAAAAGAAACTACCATCAGAGTGAACAGGCAACCTACAGAATGGGAGAAAATTTTTGCAATCTACCCATCTGACAAAGGGCTAATATCCAGAATCTACAAAGACCTTAAACAAATTTACAAGAAAAAAACCCCATCAACAAGTGGGCAAAGGATATGAACAGATGCTTCTCAAAAGAAGACATTTATGTAGCCTAAAGGCACATTAAAAAATGCTTATCATCACTGGCCATCAGAGAAATGCAAATCAAAACCACAATGAGATACCATCTCATACCAGTTAGAATGGCGATCATTAAAAAGTCAGGAAACGATAGGTGCTGGAGAGGATGTGGAGAAATAGGAACACTTTTACACTGTTGATGGGACTGTAAACTAGTTCAACCATTGTGGAAGACAGTGTGGCTATTCCTCAAGGATCTAGAACTAGAAATACCATTTGACCCAGCCATCCCATAACTGGGTATATACCCGAAGGATTATAAATCATGCTGATGTAAAGACACATGCACACATATGTTTATTGCAGCACTATTCACAATAGCAAAGACTTGGAACCAACCCAAATGTCCAACAATGATAGACTGGATTAAGAAAATGTGGCACATATACGCTATGGAATACTATGCAGCCATAAAAAAGGATGAGTTCATGTCCTTTGCAGGGACATGGATGAAGCTGGAAACCATCATTCTTAGCAAACTATCGCAAGGACAGAAAACCAAACACCACATGTTCTCACTCACAGGTGGGAATTGAACAATGAGAACACTTGGACACAGGATGGGGAACATCACACACCGGGGCCTGTCGTGGGGTGGCGGTAGTGGGGAGGGATAGCATTAGGAGATATACCCAATGTTAATGACGAGTTAATGGGTGCAGCACACCAACATGACACATGTATACATATGTAACAAACCTGCACGTTGTGCACATGTACCCTATAACTTAAAGCATAATAATAATAAAACAGTGAAAAAAAAGTCTCTCCTCTTTAAACCATTACAGTGGCAATTAAGTTTCGACATGAGTTTTAGAGGGAACATTCAAACCATAGAACCCTGGAACGAGTGATTTATTATTGAAGCACTCTTTTTTCCTAGGGCAATTTAGTAGCCCTTTTGGTTGATTAAAAAACACTTAATGAGTATAATCACTGGTTTAAGGATTGTCTAATCTGTCCTGATAAGTAAGTGATATGCTGAACAGCAGCTTTTTATTTTCCTTGGAAAATATTGCAGGATAATAGCCCTAAAGACTTTAACCTTTCTTATTTGAGCTAGTCCCATCTCTTCTTAGAGTTGGCAAGTAAATGCTTCTCTGATTTAGTGTGCCGGACACTGTTCCTTATTCCACCAGTAGAGGAAATGGCAGTAACTGGAATAAAAGCCCTCTAAGGCTGCCTACCTGACATTCTCTAACATGCTGCAGTTTTGGAGACCTAAGCTATATAAAACTCAACGTGTTTTCCTTTTGAGTTAATCTTTTTAGGAAGTCTTCCTGTGTTGAATCATGAAAAAATTGCTATTCGGGCTCTTTTAAACTTTGTTTTTCTTTTTCTAGAATCAATGCTATAAAGGAGATAACAGCTCGATGTCCTCTGGCCATGACTGAAGAACTTCTCCAAGACCTGGCTCAGTATAAAACACACAAGGATAAGAGTAAGCTGCATGTTACTCTCTACACACCAAAGAGTACAGTGTGACTCCTTTTTACCTCATTGTACTCTATGGGCCAGAATTTCTAATTAAAAGTATTATTTTACAGATGTAATGATGTCTGCTAGAACTTTGATTCACCTCTTCCGAACACTGAATCCTCAGATGCTGCAGAAGAAATTCCGGGTAGGTAAAGCACACTTATGTTGGTCTAAAGGTTATGGTCTCACAAACTGAGAGAAATTTCCTACAATTAGGATTTTAGTACTTATGATGCTTCTGTTATGATTACATGGTTATGATGCACACGGTTGTATTCTTTAAGCTTGGAATCAAATACCATGGCCCTGAATATTTTATAGTTGGCACATATTCATTGATGATGACTGTGTCTTGAAGACCTATCAGGCTGTTTCAGCTTGAAAGCTTTTAATGTTATTAACAGATCGGAATCTCAAAGATCAGTCAGTAGCTGATGCCAGTTTTGTGAACAGGCTATTGCACAGCCAGATACTACCTCTTTCAAGTTGGAAGGGAGGAGGGATGCATGTATGTAACAGAAAGAGAGATGACGTTTTTCAAGACTTAAAAAATTAGAGCAGTTACTCTCTAATAACTACCAGTGTCTTGATCTAGATCAAAACACAACAAGAAAATAGTGGACAGATTGCTGGCTGGGGATTTATTTTGACCTGAGACATAAGCAAACTGTTGCTGTCATTTGGTTACCAGCATTTTTTATAGTGCTCCCTTTTAAATTCATAATTTTGTTAGCTGGGTGTGGTGGTGCGTGCCTGTAGTCCCAACTACTAGGGAGGCTGAGGTGGGTGGATCCCTTGAGCCCAGGAGGCGGAGGTTGTAGTGAGCTGAGATTGTACCACTGCACTCCAGTCTGGGCAACAGAGCAAGACCCTGTCTTCAAATAAATAAATAAAATAAATTCATAATTTCAGAGACTACCTTTCATGATTAAGGTTTTATGATCTAAGCAACTTATTACAAACAATTTCTTTTCCTTTAGGGTAAGCCTACAGAGGCCTCCATAGAAGCAAGAGTACAAGAATATGGAGAATTAGATGCTAAAGATTACATTCCAGGAGCAGAAGTTCTGGAAGTTGAGAAAGAAGAGAATGCTGAAAATGATGAAGGTTGATTTTTATTTCACCCTTATTTTGGGCAAAACACTCCTGCAGTATCTGTGCAGACCTTTAAATTGTATACTATTTGAACATTCATTCAGCAGATATTTATTGAGCAATGACTATGTGCCACGCACTGTTAGAAGTATGGGGGATCAATTGAGCATGGTTCCTCCTCTTGCGGAACTTATGTTCTAGCATAGGAAATGCCTTTTCATGACCTTCGGGGTGGCTGCCGCTCATCCAAGGGCATGCTGTTTGGTGCTTGAGAAAGACAATGATCTTGTGTTTGTTGCCTAGAAAAAATTACGGGGGTTAGCCCTTAGAGGAATCCCCCAAAATTCTCCTTGTTGAAGGAGAATGCATGTTGAATTTGTGGGCAAATACTCGAGGAACTCCATTCTAATTTCCAGAGTCGTGTATTCTTCCTGTCCATTCATTCATTATTCAGCAAATCTTTTTTTTTTTTCCTCACGTTGGAGTCTCGCTCTTGCCCAGGCTGGAGTGCAGTGGTACGATCTCAGCTCACTGCAACCTCCATCTCCCAGGTTCAAGCGATCCTCCTGCCTCGGCATCTTGAGTAGCTGGGATTACAGGCGTGTGCAGCCATGCCTGACTTATTTTTTTATTTTTAGTAGAGATAGGGTTTCACCATGTTGGCCAGGCTGGTCTTGAACCCCTAACCTCAGGTGATCCTCCCATTTTGGCCTCCCAAAGTGCTGGGATTACAGGCGTGAGCCAGTGCACCCAGCCTATTTGATCAAAGCCCTCTTAAGCATTTGTTGTGAGCCAGCCACTGCCAATGCAAAGATGAATGGTATTATTTCTGCTCTAGAGGGCTTCCAAAGGGCTGAAGAATGAAGTGTTAACAGGATTTATGATTGGAGTGGGTGGGGGCATAAGGGCAGGAGAGCAGTCAGGTCCACCTCGGAAGTTTTTTTTTAGGTTTTTTTTTTTTTTTTTTTTTTTTTTTTTTTGAGACAGAGTCTTGCTGTGTCGCCCAGGCTGGAGTACAGTGGCGTGATCTCGGCTCACGGCAAGCTCCACCTCCTGGGTTCACGCCATTCTCCTACCTCAGCCTCCCGAATAGCTGGGACTACAGGCGCCCGCCACCACACCTAGCTAATTTTTTGTATTTTTTAGTAGAGACGGGGTTTCACCGTTTTAGCTAGGATGGTCTCAATCTCCTGACCTTGTGATCCGCCCGCCTCAGCCTCCCAAAGGGCTGGGATTACAGGCGTGAGCCACTGCACCCGGCCTTTTTTTTTTTTTTTTTAAAGGGCTTTGGAGAGATGGTGACTGATGAGCCAGGTATTTGGCAAGGAATGCTAGAATAGCAGAGACTTTCCAGGCAAAGTGTGAGCAAAGTCTTGAAGGATTTAGGGAACTAACTATTAGAATGTAGGATACAAGATGGAACATAGAAAGACAGGAGGCTTGAGATAGAGTTTGGTGACCTTTTCATACTTGGTTATGTATATGCCAGACAAAAGAGCTGGCACGTTCTCTTAAAGATCATAGGGAGTCATGGAAAGATTGCAGTGTCTGTGATTTAGAAAATTTAAACTGTGGTGGCTCCATTAAGAAGCCTGATACCTTTTTATTGAGGTGTCTTCAGGATTCTTTAACATCCCAAATATTCTACCTCAGTTGTCTGAATGACTAACTAGATTCTCATACGTGGGTAACACGCATAGGACAAATTAGATGCCTGCTGCGTGGCCAGGATAAATGTACAAGTGCAGTTTTGATGGACACAGTTGGTTTAGTTGAAAGAACATGACCCTAAAGGTAGACATGATTTTCATGATTTCAGTGTAGGATGCCTTTTTAGCGGTGTGGCTTGGGGCACATTACTAAACTCTGAGCATCTGTTCCTTTTCTTTGGAGTTATGAGGGTTAGAGAGAGTGATTGTAAGGTTTTGACTCATGGTAGATACTTGATCAGTGCCTATTTCCTATTCCTTAGATTAACTAAAGGCACATTGTTTATTTAACAATAAATATTGCTCAGTTCTTGGTTAATAATGTATCTGTTCAAGGTTCATTACTTTTCTGTTGCTTGCTTCATCTCAACTTTATGTTGAATGTGCAACATAAAATGGCAGTAGTGGGTTTGCTTTTTTCACGCAGATGGATGGGAAAGTACCAGTCTCAGTGAGGAGGAGGATGCTGATGGTGAATGGATTGATGTGCAACACTCTTCCGATGAAGAACAGCAAGAAATCGTAAGTCTGAAAATTTCATCTTATAACCTGGTGTTTATTAAGACGTAATTTATTCTGGGCCTTGTTGGGAGGCTACAATTTAAATGGCTGAGCTCTCACTTGAGCTGGTAGCCATTTAAGCCCTTGTGTGGTTTCAAGTCCAAGAAGCTGAACAGCATGCCCATGGAGGAGCGGAAGGCCAAAGCTGCAGCCATCAGCACTAGCCGAGTTTTAACTCAGGAAGACTTCCAGAAAATCCGCATGGCCCAAATGAGAAAAGAACTTGATGCTGCCCCCGGGAAATCCCAGAAGAGGAAATACATTGAAATAGACAGTGATGAAGAGCCCAGGTAAAATGGCACATCCACTTTAGTACTTCAGTCAGCTCATGTGGTAATGAAAGCATCAGGAAACAGAATTCCATTCTTGTTTCATGTGTTATTTTTCCCTCACCCCAGGGGTGAATTACTTTCTCTTCGGGACATTGAACGCCTTCATAAAAAGCCAAAGTCTGACAAAGAGACAAGACTAGCAACTGCAATGGTGAGTGAGCATATCATTCCTAGTTTTTTAAACAGAAAGCAAATAAAATGAAACATAAGCCAGAACTTGTATAGCCACAGAATGGCAATTTTTAAAAATGTTTTAAATAAAGGTATAATTAACACAGAAATTAAAATGCACAGATATTAGATGTTCAGTTAGATGAGGGGTTTTGTTTGGGTTTGCTTTTGTTAGTATGTTTGTTTGTTTGTTTTTTGCGACAGTCTCTCTCTGTCACCCAGGCTGTAGTGCAGTGGCACAATCTCAGCTCACTGCAACCTCTGCCTCCTAGGTTCAAGCGATTCTCCTGCTTCAGCCTCCTAAGTAGCTGGGGTAACAGGTGTCTGCTACCACGCCCAGCTAATTTTTGTATTTTTAGTAGAGTCAAGGTTTCGCCATGTTGGCCAGGCTGGTCTCAAACTCCTGGCCTCATGCGATCCACCCGCCTCAGCCTCCCAAAGTGCTGGGAGTATAGGCATGAGCCATTGCGCCCAGCCAGTTAGATGAGTTTTGACAACTGTATATAGCCATGTAACCACCACTCAAAACAAGGTAGAGAGCACAGGAAGGCAGTATTACATGTCTGTATTGTCAGGAAGCCACTATATTTATCAAAGCTAAGAGAAAAGTAGGAATGTGTTTACAGTCACCAGTGAAAAGCCAGAGCCAGTTGGAGTCTGCCTGTGGCTAGTGCTGTGGCTGCTCATGTCTGTGTCCTGCCTACATTTCCAACATCATTTTCTGTATCTCCACTTGTTTGAGACACTGTCCCCTCCTAGTTCCACCTCATCCTCTGTCTTCCATGTGTCCTTTCTCCTCCACACCTTTGTGTGCACTGTCCCTTCTTCCGGAAATGCTCTGTCTTTCCCCTCCTTTCCCTTACCATGAATGCCTTCATCCTGCAAAAAAAAAAAAAACAAAAAAAAAACAGTCTACCTGTCTCCCTTTCTAGGAAGTTCCCCTGACCTCACCAGGCTAAATTATGACTTTTCTTCCACCGAGCTCCCCTTGCTCTGTTATAATACTGTATGGCCATTTCTTGGTCCCAAGGAGCAAAGACTGTGTCCTGTCCATTCTGTGCCCTTGGCACCTAGTAGAGCTTCTGACACAGAGGAGACATTAATGTTGATTAGATGACTCCTAAAGTATGTTGTTGAAGAAGAAATATCAAACTTTTTGTTCTGGTAGGCTGGAAAGACAGACCGAAAAGAATTTGTGAGGAAGAAAACCAAAACAAATCCATTTTCCAGTTCGACAAATAAAGAGAAGAAAAAACAGAAGAACTTTATGATGATGCGGTATAGCCAGAATGTCCGGTCAAAAAATAAGCGTTCCTTCCGAGAAAAACAGGTGAGTTCCACTTGAAGCTTGGGTGGCAAGAACAGCACTGTAATTCCAAGACAGCTTTACATTTGAGACGGACTTGCGCCTTCTGAAGACTGGGCATTATTGTGTGTGTCTTGGGAGCATTGTTGGAGAGCATTGTTGGAGAGTTCCCATTAATGGGAGCATTGCTGGAGAGCATGGAGAGGTGAGAAGGATTCAGGGTATGTAAATCCCAGACCTGACTTGATTGAGACTCAGCTGTGGGACCAGAGGGGAATCCATTTTCCTCCAGTATAAGTAAAGGAATGCAAGCTAGATCATCCATGAGGTTCCTTCCCATGCTAAAATTCTCTGACATTTGATCTGTGAAATATAATATCAAAATTAATTGAATAACTTTTTAGTGCCAATTTTATGCCTGGTTTTCTGAGACAGGGTCTCACTCTGCTATCCAGGCTGGAGTGCAGTGGTGCAGTCACAACTCACTGCAGCCTCATGGCTCACTGCAGCCTCGACCTCCCAGGCTCCAGTGATTATTGCGGGATCTGGCCAGCAGCCCGCAATGCAACGGGGCTCTTTCTTTGTTCCCAAGTGGAAAGGCAGGTGGAGAAATAAAAGACACACACAAGATAGTGAAAGTTGGGTCCAGGGGGGTCACCGCCTTCTGGTCCTGCGATGCTGCCAATGCACTGGATATACCACCATTTATTATTAAGTTTAGTGAGAGTGGGCGTAGGTTAGTGAGGGATTTAGGGTCGTTTGATTATGAGGTGAGATGGTCACATGGGGATGAAGTAATTCTTTAACATAACATTGGTATGCAGAAGTACAGTATACAGAGATAAGAATTTACAATATAGTGTGTGCATCAGCAATTTCTAACAGAGCCTTAAAACAGAAACACAGTCTATCCATAACCTACGTTTAGCAAGATATTAATCAGCAGTAACAGTTGCAGCAAAAACTGGTTGTAAACAATCAATAGAAACAGGACGTGAAGCTAGACAACTGGTTAGACCACAAATTCTCAGAAGGTAGTATGCCTTACTCTTGAAGAGACCTACAAGAGCCGTGGCAAGATAAGGGCGTTTATAACCCTATCTTATCCATATGGACAGGCGCCCCTCATGCATCCATTTATAGGCTCTCCACAAGGGTCACATTCCATTCCCAGAGCTATGAACATCTGCTTTTCTGGGATAGGAATCTTGGTGATGTGAAACCTCCCTGACTGCACGTCCGTTCATAGGCTCTCTGCAGGGGGAAGCACATCATGTGCTGTTGGCTCATTCTGGCAGCCCAACCTGGCATTGTTTTTACACAATCTTGCATGCAATTTTGTATTTACAATAATGAGGAGCATTTCATCTTTTATTCTGTAGCAATAGATTCAGGGGGTCTCCCTACAAGTGATCCTCCCACCTCAGCCCTCCAAGTAGCTGGGACTACAGGCGTCTGCCACCACACCCGGCTAATTTTTGTATTTTTTGTAGAGATGGGGTTTTGCCATGTTGCCCAGTCTGGTTTCAAACTGCTGGACTCAAGCAGTCTGTCCACCTCAGCCTCCCATAGCGCTAGGATTATAGGTGTGGGTACTTTTCTCTTTTTTTTTTTTTTGAGACAGAGTCTCGCTCTGTCACCCAGGCTGGAGTGCAGTGGCGCAATCTCAGCTCACTGCAAGCTCTGCCTCCCGGGTTCACGGCATTCTCCTGCCTCCACCTCCCAAGTAGCTGGGACTACAGGTGCCCGCCACCACGCCTGGCTAATTTTTTTGTATTTTTAGTAGAGACGGAGTTTCACCGTGTTAGCCAGGATGGTCTTGATCTCCTGACCTCGTGATCTGCCTGCCTCGGTCTCCCAAAGTGCTGGGATTACAGGCGTGAGCTACTACCGCGCCTGGCCCCAGGCGTGGGTACTTTTCAAAACCCAATAATTTTGTGTGGTGATATCTCAGAAACAGTTTCAGAAAAGCAATGCAAAATAAATAGTGTGTTGGCATGATCCTTCCTGTATGTGCCCTTTTGAAAGCCCTGATGTTTACAGGCTTTGGGATTACATTTTATCCATTCATGGCCTTTGAATGGTAATCCCATGCTACTTAGGCAGCTCATTTATTTCAGTTATTCATTGTGATAAAACAAGTTTATGCTTTTGTATCTTTCTCTCCTTGTGGTGTAGCAGTGTATCTAAATATCATTCTGAAGAATTGCCAGGATATCAGCTCTGGGTTAAACAGTCTCATATTGTGAATCAGTGTTCCTAAATAGCTAGCCAAGGATCAGCCTGCCAGCACTGAATGTAACGGCCAGCCCTCTAGGGCAGTGCTGTGTCTGTGGGTTCCAAGTCAGTATTCACTGAATTAAGGTACCATTTAGCTCTCCCTGTTGACTCTTTCTAGTTCTAAACTGTGTTCAACAACATCATTTAAATAATGACGGCATTTTTAATAGAAGCTGTTGAAACTGAGGTGAAAGGAAAGGTGCCACTTAGGATTTTAAGTACTCTAAATTTTGCCACATTCTCCTAAAATTATAATAGGATTGACTTAAATCCATTAGTCTGTCCTTCACTGGCCCTTAACTAACATTTCAGGGTTGAGGAAGTATTAATTACCCTGTTGGTAGGCCTTGTTTCATTATAAGGTTTCTGTGAGCTTGTTATATTTTAGTTAGGGCTCCCCCCACCCCTACTTCCTTTGTTTTTTAGCATGCCTTTTCTGGCATGAAGGGAAAGCCCAGCTTTGTTCCTTTCAAGCACCTCGAGTCATAAAATAACTCTCAAAGATTGAAGAATCTTTTTGAGAGTAAATTAAGATTTCATTGGACATATGCACTTGTTGGTTCAAGAATGTTTTTTCTTGTTCTCCAATTTTCTTGTCATTTGGAACCTGATATTAATCAGAATTTCTATGTGTGTCCCTTTGCCCTGTATTTTCTTCAAGATCTCTTCATTATAAACATAAACTTTTAAGTTCCTGATTTTCTCTGTTCTCCCCTTTAGACCAGTACTGTTCAATAGAAATATAATATGAACCACATATATCACTTAAAAATAAACAAGTAAAAAAAGAGGAAATTGTAACAATATATCTTATTTAACCCAGTATATCTAAAATAGTATTGTTTCAACATGTAGTTCAACATATAAAAATTATGAGTGAAATATTGTACATTTTTGTTTCTGAGCTAATTGAAATCAGCATGTCGTTAACACTGCAGCACATCTCAATTTGGACTAGCCACATTTCAAATGCTCAGTAGTCACATGTAGTTAGTGGCTACCCTATTGGACACAACAGTTACAGAGCATCCCCAAAACTGCCCTGTGACCCCAAGGGCCCTGTGAGAAAGGAGCATCACACTTCACACACCCCCCTACCCTTTGGTGATATTTCAGTGTCTTAAATAAAGGAATCTTACCTGGCTTGAAAGTGTACATGAGGTCTTACTGTAAATTGTTAGAATATGAAGAGGTGACTGGGATGAGACTAGAAGAGGGAAGTAAAGCATACGATAGGGAAGGAGAGGAGGATCTTGCAGTAAAGCCTGTAGAAAGATAAAAGAAGAAAAGGGGGATATACCTGTTCCTTTTCTTTAATTGGTGGCATTTGAAGGGGAAGGAACTGAAATATGTGTGAGAGTAGGCTGTGCTTTGCTACAAAGCTTAATGAGTGGAAGTAAATTCCCATAACCAACATTAGCTAACACATTTAGTTCTTAGCATGAGACTTCACTATTCCAGGGCTTTCCATTTATTAACTTGTTTAATCAGTATACAACAGTATGTGCAGTTACTGTGATTAAACCAATTTTGCAGATGAGGAAAATAAGATAGAATTAGATGAATCTGGAAAATACCTCCTTAGCCAAATTAAGTTGAAATGAACTTACAGATTTTTGTTCTGCCTTAAGTATCCCAGCTCTTCTGCTTTTCTGCAAAGACATACCAAGACCCAGGTGTGAGTTAAAGGCAAAGAGTCAACTGGAAATCATAAAATCCAAAAAGTTTGAACATTTGTATGTAGAGCCAGGTAACTTCTACCCCGAAACTGTTTTAGGTGTATCTTGTTAAAATTTAAGCTAGAATTTTAAAATAAAAATTAAATAAAAGCTAGAGATTTTTAAAAGTTTCTAGGACAAAGAATAGTACTTGGGAATTAATGGAATAGTATCCATCACAAACTTAAGATGTATACATTGGTCTTGGTTAACTTTAATTTTGGTTTATTTTTGATCATCTTTAATACTATGTTTGCTTTCTTTTGACATGTAAAACTTTATAAGGGCTTTTGTAGGTTTGCGTCAGACACTGATCCTTCAGTCTTCTTTTTCTCTAGATGTTAAATTCTTCACCTTCCAGTTCTACCCTGGGGATCTTGAAGAACCCAGCCTCTGGTTAGAGACAAACTCCAGGAGATGAAAGCCTAGACTGAGTCTCATTATGATATACAATTCACTGCTTTCATTCTTCATGTTCACTTTACATACTTCCAACACAAAATAATTAAACAAGTTAAAAATTAGAGCCTGTATTAACTAGAATAAATATTTTGCCATAAGCTACAATTGTCAGGGCTTCAATTTCTGAGTTAATATCTTCATGTTTGAGCCATTATAAAGGGTTAGTGTTAGCATATACTTAGAACATTTTCTTAGTAAGGTATCACTTTTCTTTGTTTCAGATTTTATATTGATAGAGTTATCATAAATCTACACAAGTGCTGAATGCCATTATAAAATCTTTGAGTGATCCATACATGCCATATTTAGTGGAATATATGTGATATTGGGAAAGGTGATTGATTATGAAGAAAAATCTGTTTTCCTGTTACTTTTAATTTAGACAATGTATTCCATCCACAACTCCAAAATATTAAGAGCCACATAGACCAAATAAGTATTATTTATTATCCCTGGAGACAGGGATAATAAATAGTAGTCTCTGCATTCCATAGCTGCTCCTGTTTTGAGCTTATGCCTCCATGAGTTGGGAACAGCAGTCAAGAGTTTTGCATATTTCCTAGCAGTAATATGCCCCATCCTCGATTCAGATGTGATCTGTTTTGGAATATTTTATCATTTATAGTTTTTCAGGATGGTGTATTGACTTGGTGATTCCTTTTTAGTAAACTTTCATGTAACCAAATTCGTATAATAGGGTACCCAAGAGTTATCATGTTTCAATACTTTTTTATCTTACAGTTGGCACTACGAGATGCACTTTTGAAAAAGAGAAAAAGAATGAAGTAACTTCCTGGCAAGTTTTCCATTCCTAGAAGAATGCTAAGTTTGTGTCCTTGCTCTGAAAATTGGTAAATCAAGCATGTTTGTTTACATTAAAAAGTCCAGACACACTGTATTGTGAAAACTGCTGAACATGTGGCAGCAATTTTGTGTTTTTATTTTGGAGACGGCTAATGGTAGGAATGTTAATGTAAATAGTGGTGGTAATGTAAAATCATTTCATTTATCATTCATGCAAAAAAAAGTATGTATTGAGTGCCTATTCATTGTCACTGTAGATGCAAAACGAATGAGCTGTAACCCCTTCACTCAAGGCATTGACAGCTTAGCTGTGAGGGTGGACACACATATGTGTATTTACAGTGCAGTGTAAATAGTTCTGTAGTAGAGGTTAACTCCATATTTCTGTGAGGTCACTGAGGCCTTATGGACTAACTCTGTGAGGATAGGAGTTATATATTCTTATAAGACAAAACAAAACAGGACAATGTTACAAGAGTAAGAGGTTCTTACTTGTACATAGGCTTTCCTGCTGAAAACAGGCCCCTGCTGTACAGATTTTGGGTACATAATTTAGCTCTTTTAGTCAATCCAAGAGATTTAAGTGACCCCCCCCCCCCCGTGTTTTTTTTGTTTTTGTTTTTGTTTTGAATGCCATGTAAAGGCTTTTTGGTTAAGACCTCACTTTTAAAACTGCCTTAAGTATAAATAGTACCTTTGGAATATATTTAGTTCATCATTTGAGCTGCCTTCATACTGGTTTCCTCAGCCTTCCTTCAGCCTGTAATATTTTCAGCCCACTGTTTACCTTGTCTCAATAAAAGGTTTCTAATGCCAAATACGTACCTTTGTATGTGGAGTGGTGTGTGGTGTTCTACGTTCCACAGGCGTGCTACATCCATTTCAGGGGACAGTCTGTTTGCATGCAATTTTTTGCATTTGGAAATAGTTTGGTGCCTTTTGCTTCAGCTTTCTCAGATAATGTTGTGGTAGATGTTACCTCAAGTTAGAGTAAAGGGCAATTTTCTGCACTCAGAAAGCATTTTCTTTTTTATTTATTTATTTGTTTTTTTTTTTTTTTGAAACGAAGTTCACTCTTGTTGCCAAGGCTGGAGTGCAATGGCACGATCTTGGCTCACCACAACCTCCGCCTCCCAGGTTCAAGCGATTCTCCTGCCTCAGCCTCCCAAGTAGCTGGGATTATAGGCATGCGCCACCACGCCTGGCTAATTTTGTATTTTTGTTTTAGTAGAGACGGGCTTTCTCCCGACGTGAGGTGATCCCAGAGTGCTGGGATTACAGGCATGAGCCACTGCGCCTGGCCTAGAAAGCAGTTTCTAAAACCAGTGTTCTTATTTCCTTTCCAGTTTCTTCTGTTCACTTTCTACATTCAACTTCAGTTTTATTTCAATGAGACTTAGAGACTTTCCCTAAAATGCCCCAGATTGCTGTTGGGGGATTAGTCAAGTCACCAGAGTCAAGCCCCAGCAACTACAGTGCTTTACAGGAAGTGTTCGATGCAAATTTGTATATTTTAGACCGGAAACTGCTCCTTTTTTTTTTTTTTTTCGCATTTTTGAACTGGGTGTCTCCTCCTGTGTCTGGATCCAGAAAGTGAAAAAAATTCAATTCAAAATAGCAACAAGTTTTTATAGCTTTATTGTGTGAATTGTGATGGCGCCTGGAAGTTTCATCCTTCCTCTAGATTTTCCCACTCAGATACCAAGAGACCAAAGTCCATTCTGTGTTCTGACTTCTGTTCTTCTACTGTGCCCTCACCCTCTTCTTAACTAGCCTTTCTTACATGCAAGACAGAAAGATACAGTATGTGGTTTATAAATGCATATTCTGAACTTTTATTTCTTTAATCCCATAGTATCTTATTTCTATCTGATTCCTTTTATTGTTTTCCAAATCTTCTCTTGAGAATATTTTGTTTGCTATCCATTTGAAGATGAGATTCTCAGAAGGGTGAATGCTTCATTAGAGGGTAGGTGAGCTTGCAAGGTGAATTCTACTTTGAAGAAGTCATCAGTGTCTGAACTTGAGCTATTTAGTCTCAAATTTTGTCAACATAGAGAATGAAGCCATTCAGGGATGAACTTAACTTTGTCCAGGCTCATAATGTATAAAAGTGGTATATAAATCCAGAATGCTGATATATTAGCTATATGATCTCAGCAAGTGACCATGGTTAATATAAATGTTATTTCTTCAAAGTCTAATCCTTTGAAAATTTACTCTGTATAGACTTGCATTGCAACTCCATTTCAACTAGAATGTTTACTCAGAATATTCTGTTCTTTAAACTATTTTAGATAACACATTTTAAAACCATATATAGATAATATAGTTCTACCAAGTGACAGTCTTTCATCAATTGCTTATGTTCTTTTGAAATGTACTTTATGAGATTTTTTAAAAGATCTTAAATATGAATAAAAATATAGGACAATGACTTGTAGCCTTTTCTCTTACAAGGTCAAGGCTCTAGAAAGAACCTTTCCAATATTAGCAGAGTCTTTGGTCTGCACGTGTTTACAAATGCAAATAAAAGCAGAGAACACAGCTAATTTTGTACTCCTTAAATAGCATAAGCTTATATTTGTATAGACCATTTCTTAGGTAGTAAACTTATTTCCTTCTGTAGATTCTGCTTTCATGTTTTGTCAGTCCAATCCCAGTGTGAAGATGGTTGAATAAAACTATCATTTATCCACATGATAGAGTATTATGCAGCCATTATTATAATAAGCATTTCCCATTGTAAACATTTCCAGTGTTTACAATGTCTTTTGTTCTTTTCAAAACAGGCTGTTCCTGTTCTTTTCTGCCAAGGCAGGCAGATCACCTTGTTCTTTTCCAGCCCAGGCTGGAGAGCACTGGAACAATCTCAGCTCACTGCAACCTCTGCCTCCTGGATTCAAGCAATTCTCCTGCCTCAGCCTCCTGAGTAGCTGGGACTACAGGTGCCCGCCACCACACCCAGCTGATTTTTGTATTTTTAGTAGAGACAGGGCTTCACCATGTTGGCCAAGCTGGTCTCGAACTCCTGACCTCAAGTGATCCACCCTTCTCAGCCTCCCAAAGTGCTGGGATTATAGGCGTGAGCCACTGTACCTGGCCACTATTATTTTCAAAAGCAGAGTATAAAATGATAAAGAAGCCTGGGCAACATGGTGAGACCTTGTAAAAATTAGCCAGGTGTGATGGTGCATGCTTGCCATACCAGCTACTCAGGAGGCTGAAGCAGGAGGATCGTTTGAGTGCCGGAGGTCAAGGCTGCAGTGAGTAAAGTTCAAGCCTCTGTAGTTTAGCCTGGGTGACAGAGCGAGACTCTGTCTCTAAATAAATAAAATGATCAAGTGGTTTTAAGACAATTTCTTTACACATTTAATCTCTGAAATTGAGATGTTTAAAAATGTTTGCAGCCAGACAACAGTCTTGATGTAGTTGTCATTGCCTGCACATTCACAAACCTGGTCTGCTATTTTCACTTGACATCTGCTAACATGAAGCAGGGACCAACATCAAAATTTGCAGAATGGGAATTAGTAGCCTTTATGAAAATTCCAGAAAAAAACTGGAACTTTTAAAAAATTCCAAACTCTTTATCGACATGTAAAGAAGAGTACAGGTACCATCAAGTGTACTTAAACTCAATGAATTTTCACAAGCTGAATACATTCCTGTAACCAGCACTCAGATTAAGAAACATTACAAACACCTTGAAACCTCCTTCGTGAGTGGAGAACTTTTAAGAAATGAGGCATCACTAAGACTTTTATTTTTTCTTTCAGAGACTGGGTCTTGCTCTGTCACCTAGGCCAGAGTGCAGTGGTGTAATCAGAACCCACTGCAGCCTTGAACTCCTGGGCTCCAGAGATCCTCCACAGGCCCAGGCCAGAATGCCTAGCTATTAATCATTTTTTAAAATTTATTTTTAATAGAGACAGGGTCTCGCGATGTTGCCCAGGTTGGTCTCAAATTTCTGACCTCAAGTGATCCTCCCACCTTGGCCTCCCAAAGTGCAGGGATTACAGGTGGGAGCCACTATGTCTGGCCAGCACTAAGATTCTTTTTTTTTCTTTTTTTTTTTTTTTTGAGACGGAGTCTCACTCTGTCACCCAGGCTGGAATGCAGTGACACGATCTCGGGTCACTGGGATTACAGGCGCACACCACCATGCCCGGCTAATTTTTTGTATTTTTAGTAGAGACGGTTTCACCATGTTGGCCAGGCTAGTCTCAAACTCCTGACCACCTCTAGTGATCCACCGTCCTCGGCCTCCCAAAGTGCTGGGATTACAGGTGTGAGCCACCACATCCAGCCAAGATTCTTAATGGCACAGAAAAGTAGTGTGGTGTGGAAAAACATGGGTATCTGTAGTCAAATGGTGATTCAGGAGAATCTAATTCAGAATGCAAAGAAGCTTAAGCAATAGCTTAATTTATTTCACTTTTTAAAAACATAGAAGAGTAGATATGTGATTTTCAAATAATTTTGACAAAAAACTTAAGAAAACTCTTTCAATACATACACATTTTTAAATTCTAGTAAGACAGCGTATCATAGTTTAAATGGCAGTGAATTTTTCTTCAAGATACATAAAATAATGGTGCTTCGTATAACTACAATTTCATAAATAAAATATGCATATGAAAGTAGTTGCTAGGTTTGGGTGATGGGAATATAACTGATTGGATTTTTTCCTTTACATTTAAAAAAATTTTTTTACAGCTCATGGCCATGAACTCCTTTACATTTTAAATATTTTGTAATGTTGCTTATCAAACATTTCTACTAAAAATTTTTTTAATCTAAAATACTTCTAGTTCCATCTTCGTAAGATCCAATTTTGTTGTACTTGCTATTCCTAATATCTATGTTACCATCAGAGGTGTTTTTAAAAGAAATTTGGCCAAGGAGGAAAAGAAAATTAAGAACAAAATGGAAACCCTAATTCTGGGAAATGTTACAAAAGGGGAAGTTCAAAAGAATTACATGGAAACTAAGAATAAATGATGTTCAACAGAACATCTTGTTTTAAGGATACTTAAATCTTTTTAAATCTTTTAAACATTTTATCATTTTGTGATTTTTAAAAAACATACATATAGAAAATAATGAAACTTGTTCATCTCCAAGTTTTATTCAGTGTTAATATTTTGCTTTTTTAAAAACTTAAAAACTAGAACGTTAAGAGTATAATTATGTCTCAGCCATTTCCCCGCCTCTTCTCAGGGATAACCCTTATCTAGAAGTTGATGAACATTAAGAGTATAACTATGTCCCACTCAGCCATTTCCCACCCCCTTCTCAGGGATAATCCTTATCCAGAGGTTGATGCCTATCATTCCTGCAGTTTTTTCTTTCCCTTGTATATTTGTATGTATATATAAATTTTTACATAAGCAGTATCCTATAAATTCTTTTGCTATGTAACTCAACATTAGATTCTTGATAGATGGAGATTCATTTTAATTGTTGTATAGTTTCCATTGTTTATTCATACATCCACAATTTATCATTCTACCAAAAAGCAGTTAGAAAAAGTTTTCCACTTTTTTTGCTATTTAAAAACCTTGCAGGCTGGGCACAGTGGCTCACGCCTATATCCCAACACTTTGGGAGGCTGAGGCAGGCAGATCACCTGAGGTCAAGAGTTTGAGATCAGCCTGGCCAACATGGTGAGACCCTGCTCTACTAAGAAATACAAAAATTAACTAGGCATGGTGGCACATCCCAGATACTTGGGAGGCTGAGGCAGGAGAATCACTTGAAGGCAGGAGGGGGAGGTTGCAGTGAGCTGAGATCACACCACTGCACTCCAGCCTGGGTGACAGAGTGAGACTCCCTCTCAAAAAAAGTAACTAACTAATTAATTTAATTAAAACCTTGCTGCAGTAAGCATCTTTGAACATGTCTTCTAGGGTTCATGGTCTTAGAGTTTTTTCTTTAAACAAAGTTTAGATAGAAAACTGAAAATGGGCTGGGCACAGTGGCTCACGCCTGTAATCCCAGCACTTTGGGAGGCCAAGGCAGGCGGATCACTTGAGATCAGGAGTTTGAGACCAGCCTGGCCAACATGGTGAAACCCTGTCTCTACTAAAAATGCAAAAAAATTAGCCAGGTGTGGTGGTGCGCATCTGTAATCCCAGCTACTCAGGAGGCTGAGGCAGGAGAATTGCTTGAACTTGGGAGGCAGAGGTTGAGTGAGCTGAGATCACGCTACGGCACTCCAGCCTGGGCGACAGAGCAAGATTTTGTCTCAAAAAAAGAAAAAAGAAATCCAGAAAACTGAAAATGAAATCACTGGGTTTGTAGGGTCTGCAATTCTTCAACTTTACTAGGCAATACTGAATTAACACTATATTCTCGTCAGTAACTCATGTAAGTTTGTATCTTACTACATCCATGTCAACAAGATGTTATTAGACTTTGAAACTTAAGACAACCCTTTGTTTATGAAATGGTATCATGGTTTAATTTGCATTTCATTGATTACTAGAGAGGTTGAAATAACTTCACATTTTTATGTTCATTTGGGTTTTCCTCTTTTTATAGCCTTTTGTTTTCCTTTTTTTTTTTTAGTAATAAAAACATAGGAGATCTTTACGCATTCTAGATACTAATTCTTTATCAATTACCTATGTTGCAGATATCTCCACAGATAAACAATGCGATATCTATGATAAACTAAGTTCTCATGTATACTTTGGGCCTAGGATTTTCAAAACCATTTCTGGATCCTTTTTAACAGTCCTTGCTCTAGCTTCTCTCTTTCCTCTCATATTTGACTATAAGCAGCAAGAAGCCAGGTAGCAACTTCAACATTTTGCTTGGAGATCTAGCTAGAGTACCTAGTTCCTTAGGTACATTTTTCTGTGTTCTGCATTCCTCTAGGTGATCATGTTAAACATTCTGGCACTACATAACAAAGGAACCTCTTACTTCCAGTTTCCAATAACATTCTCACTTCTGAAGTGGCTAGTGCTGGCAGTCTCCTTCAAGACCATCAGACTGTTTCTTTCTTAGGATGGTTTGTTTCTCAAGGGATTTCTACTAATCATCAGACTTCTACTAATCATCAGTCTGTTAGGAACTTTAGGCTCTCACTAACATTCTGCTCAAAATTATTACAATTTCTCCCTACTACCAGTTCCAAAGCAATACATTTTTAGGCATGTGTTATGGTAGCACTACAGTTACGTTCCCAAACAAATCTATATTAATGATCTGTTTGTCACATACCAAATTACCTCAAAACTTAGTGGCATAAAGTGATAAACATTATTTCACAGTTTCTTTTTTTTGCGGGGGGGGACAGTCTCACTGTCACCCAGGCTGGAGTACAGTGGTGCGATCTGGGCTCACTGCAACCTCCATCTCCTGGGTTCAAGCAATTCTCCTGCCTCAGCCTCCCGAGTAGCTAGGATTACAGGCACCCGCCACCACGCCCAGCTAATTTTTATATTTTTAGTAGAGACGGAGTTTCACCATGTTGGTCAGGCTGGTCTCAAACTCCTGACCTCCAGTGATCTGCCCGCCTCGGCCTCCCAAAGTGCTGGGATTACAGATGTGAGACACCATGCCCGGCCTGCTTCACAGTTTCTATGGGTTAGGAATTTGGGGGTGGCTTAGCTGAGGCAGGAAGGTCCACTTCCACCATGGCTCACTCAGATGACTTGACAAGAAGCCTCAGTTCCTCTCTGGCTCTTGGTAGAAGCTCAGTTCCTCAACAAAGGGACTTTCTTTTTTCTTTTTTTTCAATTTTATTTACTTCTTTTTTGGAGACAGGGTCTCACTTTGTCATTTAGGCTGGAGTACAGTGGCGTGATCATAGTTCACTGCAGCCTCAAATTCCTGGGCTCAAGTAATCCTCCTACCTCAGCCTACCAAGTAGCTGGGACTAAAGATACATGCCCCCATGCCCGGCTAATTTATTTTTATTTGTTTGTAGAGATGGGGTCTCACTGTTGCCCAGGCTGGTCTCCAATTCCTGGGCTCAAGCAGTCCTCCTGCCTGACTCTCCAAGTGCTGAGATTTGTGTCCAGCCACAAAGGGACATTTTCATAGGGCTTCCTCAGGACATGACAATGGGCTTCCTATAGTGAGCAATTCAAGAGAGCAAGGAGAAACCCACAGTGTCTTTTGTGACCTAGTCTTGGAAGTCAACCACCAGCAATTCTGATTCTATTCATTAAACCAAGTGACCTCAGATGATCAGCCAGCCAACGTGCTGGGATGACAGGCGTGAACCACCATGTCTGGCAAGAAATTTTGTAATTCCTTTAAGTGTTATCCTTAAAAACAAGTGATTGATTATAAAAGTTGTATTTCTTCATCCTAAAATTGGTAAAAAATAAAAAAAAAATGTGTTTAGTTTCTACTATGCATTTAGTTTTTTTTTTTTTTTTTTTTTTTTTTTTTTTTTTTTTTTTTTTTTTTGAGACAAAGTTTTGCTCTTGTCACTCAGGCTAGAGTGCATTGGCACAATCTCGGCTCACTGCAACCTCTGCCTCCCAGGTTCAAGAGGTTCTCCTGTTCAGCCTCCCAAGTAGCTGGGATTACACCACCACGCCCGGCTAATTTTTGTATTTTTAGTAGAGACAGGGTTTCACCATGTTGGCCAGGCTGGTCTCAAACTTCTGACCTCAGGTGATCCACCCGCCTCAGCCCCCCAAACTGCTGGGATTACAAGCCTAAGCCACCATGCCCGGCCCTTTCATTTAGTTTCTACTATTCATGTACACATGTACCCTGTTTTACCCACAGACAACTGTGCTAACCGTTAAGAATGTCCCAGCCTTACTAAGATTTTCCTAAGTTTGTCTCCCAGACATTGGGAACTCAAAGGTGAAGAAACTTAGGTGTGAAGGTGGATTGTGGATTCAGACCTCCTTACTTGGAGGCCAGTGCAGAGACACACCAGCAGAGTAACCTCGGGTACATGGCTTCACCTCTCCAAGCCTCACACTCCTCATCAGTAAAGCGAGGATTAGTGGAACCTACCTGTTGGCTTGTTTTGATGATTAAATGAGATAATGTCCGCGAAAAATATTTAGCAGATAAATGTTCACTAAATTTTGAGCTTTAAAAAAATGTTTTACCAGCCAGGCGCGGTGGCTCACGCCTGTAATCCCAGCACTTTGGGAGGCTGAGGCCGGTGGATCACCTTAGGTCAGGAATTCGAGACTAGTCTGGCCAACATGGTGAAACCCTGTCCCTACCAAAAATACAAAAATTAGCCAGGTATGGTGGTGGACGCCTGTAATCCCAGCTACTTGAGAGGCTGAGGCAGGAGAATCGCTTGAACCCAGGAGGCGGAGTTGGCAGTGAGCGGATATCTCGCCGCCGCACTCCAGCCTGGGCAATAGAGTGAGACTACATCTCAAACAAACAAACAAACAAGCAAACAAAGTTTAACTGAAAAGTCTTTCCTGACACCTTTTCGCTACTGAAAATCTTACAGCCCCTCCCGGCCGCAGCCTACACTCCTTCGGCCCAAGCAGGTGCGCTGGAACCGGCAGTTGGTGAGAAGCCGGCTGCCGGCAGCCCCAACCCTTAGCGGCCCCGCGGTCAGGGACCTCCAGGCCCGATGGAGAGTCGGGGCGGGCTAGTGGATGCGCGGCGGGGACGGGAGGTGTCGCCGCTCCGGCTTGCCGGTGACAGGGGCGGGCGGGTCGTGCGCGGGCCCCACCTCCAGCGATCGCAGCCCAGCCCCAGCTCCTCCTCCTCCACGGCTTACCCGGGCTCCGACAGCGGCTGCAGGTCTCCAAGTTGCGGCCGCTGGAGCCCGAGCCATGCGGACCGCGGACCGGGAGGCGCGCCCGGGGCTTCCGTCCCTGCTGCTGCTGCTGCTGGCCGGGGCCGGGCTGTCAGCCGCCTCGCCCCCAGCAGCGCCGCGCTTCAACGTGAGCCTGGACTCGGTCCCCGAGCTGCGCTGGCTGCCCGTGCTGCGGCACTACGACTTGGACTTGGTGCGCGCCGCGATGGCGCAAGTCATCGGGTGAGCTGGGGCCCTGGACGGGGTCTGCGGGGACACCGGCCCTGCGGGTCGGAGTCAAACGCGCGCTGCTCAGAGTGCTTTAAACGGGGACGCTTTACTCCCCGCCACCCTTGGAGAACTGGTTTTGGCTGCCGCCCTGAGCAGCGTCCGGGTTGGGGAGAATCCAGCGCGGCAGGTTCGGCTTTCAAGTTCGGTGTCACCCGTGGCACGCCAGTCCTTGAGCCATTCCGGGTCAGCGTGGCGCGCGAGTTGTCGCCCGGGCTGCATAGCTACCAAGGAGGGGCAACCCGCGCCTTCCTTGCGGGCCTCGCGGGCCTTCCAAGCTTGCCCCTTTGGGACCAGCCTCACTCGCCCTCCCCATTCGGAGTTTTCTTACCCGCCGCCTTCCCCCCGCCCCCTTCCCCCCACTCCCGGGAGGCTGCAGATTGAGTGACGCCGCGCCTGGGCGGTCCACTGACTGGGGAGCAGTGGCCCTGAGACCTCACGCCCTAAGGATGTAGCCCCGCTCGCAGTGCACACGCAGTCGCACGCCGCCGACCTCTGAGCGGGTCAGACGCCCTTGTGCTTTTTGTTTCTAGGGACAGAGTCCCCAAGTGGGTGCACGTGTTAATCGGAAAAGTGGTCCTGGAGCTGGAGCGCTTCCTGCCCCAGCCCTTCACCGGCGAGATCCGCGGCATGTGTGACTTCATGAACCTCAGCCTGGCGGACTGCCTTCTGGTCAACCTGGCCTACGAGTCCTCCGTGTGAGTGCCCCAAGCCCGCGCGGAGTAACGCGGGGCTTGCGGGGGCCCCCGACACAGACTAGCGGGAGGAGACATATTTTCCGTGTGATAAAAACAGGGCGGTGCCTGCTTGCCTAGAAACCTCCAGCGCTTCCTCTTTGCCTCTCTGGGTAAATCTGAGCTGCACATCGTAGGCTTCGAGAGGGAAAGCAGATTCTCCGATTCAACACTAAACTTTCCCTCTACGTGTAGCCCCGGGTTTTCTCTTCCCCAATCCAGGTAGCGTACTTTTAAAATTCTGCTCAAAGGCCGGGCGCGTTGGCTCACACCTGTAATCCCAGCACTTTGGGAGGCCAAGGTGGGCAGATCACGAGGTTAGGAGTTCGAGATCAGCCTGGCCAACATAGTGAAACCCCGTCTCTACGAAAAACACAAAAAATTAGCCAGGCGTGGTGGTGGGCGCCTGTAATCCCAGCTACTTAGGAGGTTGAGGCAGGAGAATCACTTGAACCCGGGAGGCGGAGGTTGCAGCGAGCCGCGATCGCGCCACTGCACACCAGCCCTGGCGACAGTGCGAGACTCTGTCTCAAAAAAAAAAAAAAAAAAATTCTGCTCAAAACGTACTTTTCCAGGAAGTTTTTGAAACTAAGCCTCCTCTCATCTGGACCCTTTAGTTAACTCAGTGGCCTTCCAGCTCTATACTGGCAGTGGCTCATCTCTGCCCTTATTTGTCGCCCTGCATTTATCCTTTCATGTGTGTCGTGGCTGAAGTGTCTGTGTCCACCAGGGCTGGGGCGACAGGGAACACTGCTCTAATAGGGCCAGCCAGTGTTTGGACCGGGAAGTGGGCATGATAAAATGTGCATCCAGGCTGGGCGCGGTGGCTCACGCCTGTAATCCCAGCACTTTGGGAGGCCGAGGCGGGTGAATCACCTGAGGTCAGGAGTTCAAGACCAGCCTGGCCAACATGGTGAAACCCCGTCTCTACTAATAATACAAAAAAATTACCAGGGCCTGGTGGCGGGCACCTGTGAATCCCAGCTACTTGGGAGGCCGAGGCAGGAGAATCACTTGAACCCAGGAGGCAGAGGTTGCAGTGAGCCAAGATGGCACCATTGCACTCTGCAGCCTGGGCGACAAAGCGAGATTCCATATCAAAGAAAAAAAGTGCACCCAGAAGTGAAAGCAACATGGAGTGTGTGGTTGATCCCAGGCAAAGTGCAGGGGACCACTAAAGGTTTATGGGCTCAGTAATAGGCCCTGGAATAAAGAGAGGTTTTGACTTGGTTTCTTCCTTCAATACTTATTGTTTTGCCAGCAGACTAGCTTCATCTCGTAACCTCTTGTACATACTTAGAGCTTCTTGCTGCCTAAAGATGATGGGGGTAGAAAAGATCTTGGAATAATGAAACTTTACTGGCCCAGGCATTTTCCCAGAACACCTAGGCAGAGTAAGCTAAAAAGCACTGGGACTGCCTTCCTCTTCAGGAAATGCTTTCAGGCACAGAAAAGACACAGGCCTGCTAAATAACATGCTTTTCAGTTGAACTAAGTTATTATAATTTTACCACCTCCCTCTCCTACCTCCAACTTTTTCCTATTTTTAACTTACAGCTTTCTCAATGAAAAATCACGAATCATTTTTACCCTCATCTGTTGGAGTCACCATATTCAAACACATTAAAGCAAAAGTTCTAGTAAAAACATTCTAACTTTTGGATTTGATACTAAGGTATTTATTGAATTGCCTAATAGCACCATTCAATTCACTAGCATTAACAAAGGAAATGCTTTCTTCTCATGTTGGAAGTAAGCCTTCTTGAATTAGAATAATACTAGCTACCCTTTATTGAGCCTACTGGGTGCCAGGCACTTCATGAACACAGTCCCGTGGGGAAGATGGTATCATCTGTTTTGTGATGTGGAAACCAAGCCTCAGTGGGGCCACCTTGCTGGAAGTCAGGTGGCTGGTGAGTGCTAAAAGCATGGGAATCTCCAGTTCGCTGCAGTGCCTTTCAAAGCAGAGCCTGTTTCCTCATTTGTCTCCCATGCTTGTGCACTGCTGCATCACACTACAACATTTGGGCCTGAGATGGAAGTATTGTTATCTTGCCAATTTTGAAAAATCGCCTCTGAGAGAGATCCCACAAACTTTGCTTTAGTACTTCCCATGTCTTACCAGTCCCCTCCCTGACCTGAACTCTTTGAAGTTAAGCTCAGAAACCTTGGAGGGTGGCCGGCCACAGTGGCTCACGCCTGCATTGCCAGCATTTTGGGAGGCTGAGGTGGATGGATCTCTTGAGCCCAGGAGTTCGAGACCAGCCTGGGCAACATGGTAAAACCTTGTCTCTACAAAAAATACCACAAAATTAGCCGGATGTGGAGGCTTGCGCCTGTGGTCCCAGATACTCAGGAGGCTGAAGTGGGAGGATCGCTTCAGCCCGGGAAGTCACGGCTGCAGTGAGCCGACATTGCACCACTGCACTCCAGCCTGGGTGACAGAGACTCAAAATAAATAAATAAATAAATAAATAACAGAAACCTTGGAGGGAATTAAAACTGACCAAGTTTCCGTCTTTATTTTATTTTATTTATTTATGTTTGAGACGGAGTCTCACTCTGTTACTCAGGCTGGAGTGTAGTGGCACGATCTTGGCTCATCGCAACCTCCGCCTCCCTGGTTCAAGCGATTTTCCTGCCTCAGCCCCCCAGATAGCTGGGACAACAGGTGTGCGCCACCATGCCCGGCTAATTTTTGTATTTTTAGTAGAGATGAGGTTTCACTATGTTGGCCAGGCTGGTCTCAAACTCCTGACCTCATGATTCACCCACCTTGGCCTCCCAAAGTGCTGGGATTACAGGCATGAGCCACTGTGCCCTTGCCCAGCCCAAGTTTCCATCTTAAAACAAACAAACAAAAAGTAACACTTTTTTCCCCAATTATAAAAGTAACATGTAATCGTTGTAGAAAATCAGTAAATGTAGAAAAGTAAAAAAACAAAGCTAACCACCATCCTGTTATTAAAAAATGACCAGAAAAACCCTTCAGGATATTTTCTCTCAGTTTTGTTCATGTGGATATACATATTTTTCCCTCTGGTATTGGACATACTGTATATAAATATTTTTTCATGTACAGTTAAATATTCTCAGAGAATATGGATAGATACTTAACAAGCCTCCTCCTCTTTTTCTCACAATACTTCTGTTCATAGAGATTCCCCCTTTTTTAAAATTATGATCTCTGTGCAAGGAGCTGGAGAGAGAAAGGAAAAGTGCCAAGTCCCTTAAGAGCCAGCCATTTTCCCAAGGGGACAAAATGAAACATTTGTGAAACAATGGTTTAGTGTTACTTTATTTGCTCTGAGGAATTCATATATGGAGAGGTGAGCTTGAGCTGGCTTTGAATCATGTGTTAAATAGAATACATGCTGCCATGCAGAGGAAAAAGCAGAGTTCAGAGGTGTCCTGAGCCCAGGATGGGTTAGTTTCACTTCAGATTTAGACTGAGGATGAAATTCTCACTTACTATGCTTATGATGCCCTCCATGTGTGCTAAGGGTAAAGATCCTAGAAACACTGAATGAACACAGATGAGTTGTATCCAGTTGTGTTTTTCATCTTGAATTGTTAATCTATATTCTTATACAAGCATTATAGCACATATATCAGTTATAAGGAAGAAAAACTTTTACTTTGAGGATTTGTTTTACAAATGAAAAACTCCTTTTCCTTTTTTTTCTTATTTGTCTTATTCATTCATGTTGGACTTTTCCCTTTTCTCAGGTTCTGCACCAGTATTGTGGCTCAAGACTCCAGAGGCCACATTTACCATGGTCGGAATTTGGATTATCCTTTTGGGAATGTCTTACGCAAGCTGACAGTGGATGTGCAATTCTTAAAGAATGGGCAGGTATAATCCGTACCATATAAGATAAAAAATCAGAAAGATTTGCAAACTCAAGTTAGCAGTCATTTGGATGGCCTGCTAACTTAAGTGTGTTATCAGTGTAAGACACAAAAAAATCACACCCCTGGAAAAACAAAGCCAGAAGAGAGGTTTGCATCAATTATGCTTATAGGAAGGACGGTCATTTATTATTTATTATTCAGTGTCTACTTAAAGAGGTCACCCAGTTTTCCATAGGGAAATCTCTTTTAGAGAGTGATCAATCATCCACTTATGCAGAGTCAGCTCTTTCCTCTGCTTTCCCATGCCCAGGCTGCTTCTGGAATATGGAGGGGCTGGGTAGTGCAATAACTAGAAACACCCAACTTTGGGATCTGACAGTCCCAGGTTTAAATCTTGATTCTATCAATTACTGTACTTCCTTTGTGAACCTGAGAAATTACTCATTCCCTAATTTTGCAGACTACAGCTCATGGAGGCTCATAACTACTTTACTGCGATAGTTATAAATGTTAAATGAAGTAGTCTATGTAAAGTTGTAGCCAAATAATAAATGGTCCTTCATTCTGCAAGTGTGATTGACCCACACCACTTTCTTGTGTATGATCTTTAAAAAATTATACTTAGATCTTTTGTTTATAGCATGGTCCCTTTAAAACTATAATCTAGTGTGTGCTGTTGTCAACTGTGTAAACTTTTAGAGAGACAGAATTAATCAATGTTCATTGAGTACGCAAAGCATGTTTTGCTGTAAAACAGAATACAGAGTGCAAAAGCCAGATTTTGGCTGTAAGGACAAGGACTATATTCCCTTTGTTCTTTGCATTTAGGGGTTGATTCACAAATACTAAAAACTCATTTACTAACTACTCAGTCATCTGCTTTTACAAACACTTTTTTTCATAAAAAATTCAAACAGTACAGAAATATTTAAAGTAAAAGTTTCTCCTTTCCAGTCCCATTTCTTTACTTTGCCACTATTAACAATTTGATTTCTAGCTGAATTACTTTAAAAATGATTTTAAGTGGTAACGATAATATAAATGCATAATAAATTCTCAAAGGAAATCTGCTAAATATTAAGTTATTACTGAATGAAGGATAATATTATTTATTATTTATTCATGTTTTTTCTCCATTGTTCTATAATGAGCTAATACTCTTAATAAAGAGACAAAGGAATAAATGCAATGAAAATAAATTATTTCAGCTGCTCTGAAACTCACTCTAATAGTTGTTGCTTCATTTGTTTTTGTTTTTCCTGGAGTTCCCATGAAATAATCTATAGAGAAATAGTCTGTAGAGGTAGTTTTACTCTCAGTACTCAGGTGACTGTTACTGAATATAGACAGTTTACACTTGGGTATTGCTTTTCTATGGAGGACTCATGGCCAAGAAATTGTTTTATGAAATTAAGAACAGGTTATCCACAAAATAATTCATCTCTCATTCTTGTCTAGTGTTTGTAATCTTAAAAGTATTTTTGGCTGGGCGCGGTGGCTCACGCCTGTAATCCCAACACTTTGGGAGGCCGAGGCAGGCGAATCACGAGGTCAGGAGTTCAAGACCAGCCTGGCCAATGTGGTGAAACCCCGTCTCTACTAAAACTACAAAAAAAAAAAAAAAAAATTAGCTGGGCGTGTGGGTGGGTGTCTGTAATCCCAGCTACTTGGGAGGCTGAGGCAGGGGAATCGCTTGAACCTGGGAGGCGGAGGTTGCAGTGAGCTGAGATCGCACCACTGCACTCTAGCCCAGTGACAGAGTGAGACTCCATCTCAACAACAACAACAAAAGTATTATCATACACAGGACCTCATTCGATCCCCCCAGCAGCCCTGTGAAGCAGGCATAAGTCAACATTTTAATCTTTACTTTCTAGATGAGGGGGCCCAGCTTCACAGAGACTGACTTGCCCCGAATCACAAGGCCTCTAGAGACATGGCAGAGGTAGGGCCAGAACCCAGGCGTTAGGCCTACTGATAGTTTTTGTTTACAGCCTTAATTAGGCTGTAAATTATTATTATTATTATTATTATTATTATTATTATTATTATTATTACTACTACTATTGTTTTTATTTTTGAGACAGAGTCTCGCTCTATCACCCAGGCTGGAGTGCAGTGGCGCGATCTCGGCTCACTGCAACCTCTGCCTCCCATGTTCAAGCAATTCTCCTGCCTCAGCCTCCCAAGTAGCTGGGACTATAGGAGGGTGCCACCACACCCGGCTAATTTTTGTATTTTTAGCAGAGATGGGGTTTCACTATGTTGGCTGGTCTTGAACTCCTGAGCTCAGATAATCCACCCGCCTCGGCCTCCCAAAGTGCTGGGATTACAGGTTTGAGCCACCGCACCAGGCACCAGGCTGTAACTTAAAATTCCCTGCTAAGGGTTTGTTTATGTTAACTGACTAGGCAGAAACAACTGGGAAGTACAAACAGAAGTAAAGACAGATTTTCAGAGCTGCAAGATAAAATATCTTACAAATTATATCTCAAAATTATTTATAATTATGTATCGTAATTGAAAACTACGATGTGACTTTTGATCTCATAACTTCAATTTTCTCAGCCCTCCAAGAGTGACCCTGACGATCACGGTGTCACGCAAATGAGGTGGCCATATAATTACTTTTTATTTTCCATATAATTACATTTGAGTAGTAAGGAAGACTTATTTCTGCTTTACCACCATGCGTGGAGATGAGACATTCATGGAGGTCCTCAGTAAGTCTGAGGGCTGAGGTCATTTATAAAGCTAAGGACACTGCATTCTCCCTTGTAATTCAGCCACCTTAAATTATTTTTACAAGCAGATAAGGTAAAAATAAATAATTAAATGAAAAACATTACTGACCTAATTTTTCTAAGGAAAATATCAATCTAGGACTATCTATTTCTTAAAACATAATGGTATTAGTTAACTTTTATTGAACAGTATGAGTCAGATACTGTTTTAAGTACTTTTTTTTTTTTTTTTTGAGACAGAGTCTTGTTCTGTCACAGGCTGGAGTGCAATGGTGCAATCTTGGCTCACGGCAACCTCTACCTCCTGGGTTCAAGCGATTCTCCTGCCTTAGCCTCCCGAGTAGCTGGGACCACAGGTGCGTGCCACCACACCCAGCTAATTTTTGTATTTTTGGTAGAGTTGGAGTTTCACCGTGTTGGCCAGGCTGGTCTTAAATTCCTGGCCTCAAGTGATCCGCCTACCTTGGCCTCCCAAAGTGCTGGGATTACAGGTGTGAGCCACCATGCCTTGCCAAAGTACTTCTTTGAAAAATAAAATTTGGTATCAGAAATAACTGATAAAGGCTAGCTGTGGTGGCTCACACCTGTAATCCCAGCACTTTGAGAAGCCAAGACAGAAGGATTGCTTGAGCCCAGGAGTTTGAGACGAGCCTGGGCCACATAGGGAGACCCTGTCTTTAGGAAAAGCAAAAAAAAATTTTGTATATATTTATATATCAGTCAGGTTTGGTGGCATGCACCTGTGGTCCCAGCTACTTGGAAAACTGAGGTGGGAGGATTGCTTGAGCCCAGGAGGTCGAGGCTGCAGTGAGTCGTGATTGCACCATTGCACTCCAGCCTCGGTGACATACAGAGTTTGATTTTTCTCCTGCAGGTTACATAGTGGTATCTTGCAATCACTGGAGCTTGTGACCTTAATTTAAAGTAGGAGTGATGCCTATAATTCATGGGATAGTTGTGAGGATTAAATGAAAGAGCTTTGTTAAAGGATTTTTAAATATTTAAAATTTAAATGTGATTATTATTGGTGAACAGTCCCACTTTGATATTCTAACTTCACAGAGCTTATAAAATATGTGATATTCATCTCTTATAATCAAATCAAAACAAGTTTTATTTTATTTTATTTTATTTTTGAGACAGAGTTTCACTCTTGTTGCCCAGGCTGGAGTGTGATGGCGCTATCTCGGTTCACCGCAACCTCCGCCTCCCGGGTTCAAGTGATTCTCCTGCCTCAGCCTCCCTAGTAGCTGGGATTACAGGCATGTGCCACCACGCCCGGCTAATTTTGTATTTTTAGTAGAATCCAGGTTTCTCCACGTTGGTCAGGCTGGTCTTGAACTCCCGACCTCAGGTGTTCTGCCCACCTTGGCCTCCCAAAGTGCTAGGATTACAGGCGTGAGCCACTGCTCCTGGCTTCAAAACAAGTTTTAAAGTAAGACTCCACTTGCTACTTCTAGGATGGGGCTTCTTAACCTGCTTTGTGCACCCCTTTGGTGAATACTGTTTTATAAATACATAAAATAAAATACGTAGGATTACAAAAAAAATCAGTTGTGTTGAAAACAGCCATTTCAATGTTATACTTTTTCTTAACACATTAAATAGTAAGGTTTAGCAGGGGGTCTAATAACTACCATGATTTCAAAGTAGTAAATTATGGATAGTGTTTCAAAATAACTGCAGCCAACATTGTGTATGTGAAAATATCTGTGATTTCTACTAGTGGCAAAATTATAGGCACCACTATGATTGTGTGATTTGTTGCATGCATTCATTATAGAAGGAGTTAAATTTCAGTTAGAGGTTAGTGAAAATAAAGATGCATCTTTTTTTTTCCCATCCAAGGTCACAAATCTACTAAAATCTATCTATGGACCACACCCCCACCCACCCCAGCTTAAGGTTAAGAACCTCTGTCTTAGAAGACTATTTCAGAGTTTTATTCTATTGTGTTGGAATTTATAAGAAAAAAAATCCAGAAAATTGTGGGGCAGAACAGGTGATTTCAGTGTATTTGATTGGAATGGTGAAATGATCCATGTTATCTCTTGATTTCAGATTGCATTCACAGGAACTACTTTTATTGGCTATGTAGGATTATGGACTGGCCAGAGCCCACACAAGTTTACAGTTTCTGGTGATGAACGAGGTAATCAAAACAAACCCCTGTGTAATTTTAGCTACATTATTGTTCAGTTCTATCCAAGCACTTCCTTCACTCACCCAACAGAATATACAGAACACCCACTATGTGGCAGGGACTTCCATCCTAGGGGGAGAAAGTGGACAGTATGCATGGAAGCAATGAAGATTTCAGGTAGCAATAAGTGCTGCAAAGAAAGCAAAATAGGAAGCTGTGATAGAGAGTGAAGGAGGAGGTGGGGTGGTTAGTACAGGTCAGAGGGTCAGAGAAGGCCTGACCCATGTGATCCGGGAGCTAGTTCTGCAGAAGCCAGGGGAAGACCATTTCTGGTGGTCTTACCGCAAGGATGAAGGCCGTAGGTAGTAATAATAAGCTTGGTGGATTTCAGAAGCCAAAGAAAGTCAGTGTGGTTATGGCATGGGAGTAAGTGGGTAGTGACATTAGAAGTGAAGAAGAGGCTGAGGCCATGGTGCAGGGCCACAATGAAGAGTTTGGTTTTTAAGCATAATGGAAGCTGTAGGGGGATTGTAGGCCAGGGAGTGAACAGATGTGATTTATATTTTTAACTATTACTTTTGCTGCTCTGTAGAGATTGGGTTGTTTTAGGTTAAGATGGAAGCAGAAGACCATTTGGAAACTACTGTGATAATCTAGGGGATATATGATGCTGTTATACAAGCCACATTTGTAAAGCACTTTCTGGTTTACCATGTACATCCTCACATGTCTTCTTCTTAGACCCTCACAACAGTCCTGTTAGGCAGGGCTGTTATTTTTAACTCCATTCGTTAGGCAGAGAAAGAAATAGGCTGTGAGATGAAATGACAGCTAGTAGTGGGAGAGGAAGTTCTCAGATTGCTCTCCTGGGTCCTGACCCAATTGCTCTGTTCATTGACATCCCCACTGCCATTCCCCAGATCTCAGGGGAACACCATTTAGTTCCACAGTATGTGGGAAATCTAGAAATAAGTGAGCTCTGTGTCTGTCCTCAGCGTGCAGCTGAATCAAGGAGAAGGATATATACAAGGAGTATCTTGAAGTTTAGTGTTGCTCGTCTGATGAACCCTGATTGACTTCATGGTGTTGTTTTTTTGGGGTTTTTGTTTTGTTTTGTTTGTTTGTTTTTGTTTTTTTGAGACAGTCTCGCCCTGTTGCCCAGGCTAGAGTGCAGTGGGCGATCTCAGCTTACTGCAACCTCTGCCTCCCGGGCTCAGCCGATTCTCATGCCTCAGCTTCCTGAGTAGCTGGGATTACAGGAGGTGCCACCACACCCGGCTAATTTTTGTATTTTTGGTAGAGATGGGTTTTCACCATGTTGGCCAGGCTGGTCTCGAACTCCGAACCTCAGGTGATCCACCCACCTCGGCCTCCCAAAGTGCTGGGATTACAGGCGTGAACCACCATGCCCGGCCAGTGTTATTGTTTATTCTTATCTTTTTACATAAGGCTTTACCAGGAAGATGGTGATTGAGTATATATCAGTGTCCACAGTAAGCAGTTCTTTATCCTAATGTATTTCTTCCACATTTTCTCATATGTCAGCTATGTATAGTACTGGTTCTCAACCTGTGGTACCCAAACCACAGCATGACAATTACTAAGGTTTTTAATAGAATGCCTATAATTACATGTATATTTATTAAAAATGACTGGCTTTCATTTTGCAACTCAAGTTGTTTACCAAACTTGATTAGTAGAATCTAAGGTATGAGCAGTTAAAAATAACCAAGTTAGTCTACAACATATGCATTTAATGAAATACTGTCAAACTGCTTTTAGCCAGGCATGGTGGCACCTGCCTGTAGTCCCAGCTACGTGGGAGGCTGAAATGGGAGGATGGCTTGGGCCCAGGAGTTACAGGCTGCAATGAGCTGTGATATTAAGTCTCTGGACATTATGGGGGGTGCCAGCAATGCCTCAAAGCCACCCTAGGAAAGGATAAAGATATGAGGAGGACTAATGAATGCCACAGGGCATGGGGAGGCTTAACAAAACACCTGGTGGGTAACACCTGAAGACTCCAGGGCCAGTCTGCCTGGGTTTAAATCTTATTGCTGTAGCTGGGTGACCACGATCAAGGAGTTTAACCTGTCGGTGCTTCAGTTTCCTCATCTCGAAAGCAGGGATGGGCCGGGCGCGGTGGATCATGCCTGTAATCCCAGCACTTTGGGAGGCCGAGGCGGGTGGATCACGAGGTCAGGAGATTGAGACCATCCTGGCTAACACAGTGAAACCCCGTCTCTACTAAAAAAAAAAAACACAAATTTAGCCGGGCGTGGTGGCGGGTGCCTGTAGTCCCAGCTAGGCGTGAGGCTGAGGCAGGAGAATGGTGTGAACCCGGGAGGTGGAGCTTGCAGTGAGCCGAGATCGCGCCACTGCACTCCAGCATGGGCGACAGAGCGAGACTCCATCTCAAAAAAAAAGAAAAAAAAAAAGCAGGGATGATAATAGCTGCTATGAGGATGAAATGAATTAACGAATATGAAATACAGCAGTCCCTGGCACAGAGCAAGGGCCACAGAAGTGTTTTTGTTGTTGTTGCATCTCCAGGCCTGGCCTCCTCTGAGTCCTAGACTGGAGCATCCAGCCATCTTCTCAGCATCTCCACTCTGACGTCTACTAGGCATCTTACACTTGCCTAAGCAGATCTCTTGCTTTTTTCTTTTCCCTATTTTCTACCCAACTCTGCCTCTACTCAAATCTGTCCCTCTCCTCGTTTCCCATGTCTCAGAAAATGGCACCTCTACCCAACCAATTGCTACCAGAAATCATCACTGACCCCTCACTCCCTAAGTCTTATCAGCTCTGACAGCAGAACTAGACTGTACCTGTCCATTCTACCTCCACTGCTGAGCTAGCCCCCATCACACCTGTACTGCCTGATTAGTCCACCTGATCTCCTTGCTACTATTTTTACTTTCTTATAATTCCTTCCCTACCCAGCAACTAGAATGGTCAGGTTGTTCCCCTGCTTAAAACCTACTGTGACAGATATTGCATGATTTCACTTATATGTGGAATCTCCAAGTTTGAACTCATAGAAGCAGAGAGTAGAATGGTGGTTGCTATGCACTGAGGAAAAAGGGAAATGGTCAAAGGGTACAAAGTTTCAATTAGACAGGAGGAATAAGGTCTGGTGATCCACACAGCAAGGTGAGTACAGTTAACAATCATGTATTATGTATTTCAAAATTGCTAGAGTGGGTTTTTAAAAATTAATTTTGTTATTGATACACATTACATGTGCATATTTTGGGAGCACATGTGATGTGTTACATTCATATAATCACATCAGAGAAATGCAAATCACATTTTTATTTCTCTTAATGATTAATGATATGGAGTATCTTTTCATGTGCTTACTGCCCATTTGTATATCTTCTTTGGAGAAATATCTATTCAAGTCCTTTGCCCATTTTTTTTTGTTTGTTTTGAGACAGAGTCTTTCTGTCTCAAATCACACATTCATAAATGCACGATCATGTGTGCACAATCTAATTGTGATATGTTACCTTAAATATTTGTCTTTTCTTTACACTAGAAACATTCAAATTCTAGCTATTTTTTTTGGCGGGGGGGGGGGGGGCATTAAAAATTTTTTTTTAATTTTTTTTTTTAGTAGAAACAAGGTCTCACTATATTACCCAGGCTGGTCTCAAACTCCTGAGCTCACGCAGTCCTCCTGCCTCGGCTTCTTCCCAAAGTGCTGGGATTACAGGAGTGAGCCACTGCACAAGGCCTGTTTTTTTTCTTTTTCTCTTCTTTCTGTTTTCTTAAGACAGAGTCTTACTCTATTGCCCAGGCTGGAGTACAGTGGCGGGATCTTGGCTCACTGCAGCCTCAATCTCCTAGGCTCAAGTTATCCTCCTACCTCAGCCTTCTGAGTAGCTGGGACTACAGGCATGTGCCATCATGCCTGGCTAACTTTTGTAGAGGTAGGGTTTTGCCATGTTGCCCAGGCTGGTCTAAAACTCCTGGGCACAAGTGATCCACCCACTTTGGTCTCCCAAAGTGCTGGGATTACAGGCATGAGCCACTATACCTGGCCAATAGTAGCCATCTTAATGGGTGTGAGGTGGCATCTCATTGTAGTTTTGATTTGCATTTCTCTAATGATTAATGATATGGAATATCTTTTCATGTGCTTACTGGCCATTTGTATATCTTCTTTGGAGAAATGTCTATTCAGGTCCTTTGCCCATTTTTTTTTTGTTTTGAGACAGAGTCTCACTCTGTCACTCAGGCTGGAGTGCAGTGACTCAATCACAGCTCACTGCAGCCTTGACCAACAGCGCTCAAGCAATCCTCTTGCCTCAGCCTCCCCAGAAGCTGGGACTACAGGCATGTGCCACTATGCCTGGTAGTTTTTAAATTTTTTGTAGAGATGGGGTTTCACTATTTTCCCCAGGCTGATCTAAAACTCCTGGGCTCAAGCACTCCTCCCACCTGGGCCTCCCAAAGTGTTGGGATTACAGGCTTGAGCCAGCACATCTGGCCCTTTGCCCATTTTTAAATTGGAATGTTTGTTTTGTTGTTGTTGAGTTTTAGGAGTTCTCTGAATACTCTGGATATTAATCTCTTATTAATGCAAATATTTTCTCTCAATCTGTGAATTGCCTTTTACTCTGTTGATACCGTCTTTTTTTTTTTTTTTTTTTTGAGACAGAGTCTCTCTCTGTCACCCAGGTTGGAGTGCAGTGGCCTGATCTTGGCTCACTGCAACCTCCGCCTCCCAGGTTCAAGCAATTCTCCTCCCTCAGCCTCCCAAGTAGCTGGGATTACAGGTGCCCGCCACCATGCTCAGCTAATTTTTATATTTTTAATAGAGACAGGGTTTCACCATGTTGGCGAGGCTAGTGTCGAACTCCTGACCTCAGGGGATCCGCCCACCTCGGCCTCCCAAAGTGCTGGGATTACAGGCATGAGTCACCACACCTGGCTAATACTGTCTTTTAATGCGCAGAATTTTAAAAATTTTTGTGAAATTCAATTTGTCCATTTTTTTCTTATATTGCCATTACTTAGCCTTGAATGAAAACTTTTGTTTGGCAATGAATCCCCTAACAGACTTTTAAAAGTTGTCCAAAAGTAATTTTGGGAAATGATTGCAAATTTGTATTTTTTTAAAATGTGAGCACAAATCACAGGTGTGGAAGACTCAAGTTCTCTATGTTCTTCCTAATATTTATTAAGACACTTCCCTTGATGGCTACATAATTTTATTTTGCCTGGCATAATTAATAGAATTATTTCCTTTGACATAACTATCATTGTATCCTGGTACAAAAGATTCTGCTTTCAAAACTTGAGTGAATATCTCTCTATATTTCCTTGCTAAAATAACATATCTGTTTCATGTGTGTACATATATACACACACATATATAACATATATACTCAACTTGGCAGATAAAGGCTGGTGGTGGGAGAATGCTATCGCTGCCCTGTTTCGGAGACACATTCCCGTCAGCTGGCTGATCCGCGCTGTGAGTATATTTAATGTGGAGCCCTCCTTAACTCCACCTCCACCTTCTAAACTGTTCTGTGTCATTTAACAATGTTGCTTTTAATGTAAGGAGCTCCTTAAAAGAATAAGCATCTAAATGTCTGCAAAGTGCATATAAATCTTTTTGATAAATGTCAAAGATAAAGCCAGACACTAGTTAAAGTGGTAAGGACAGATTGTAATCAGTATATGCTATTGGAGTAAGGAAGAGTCCAGTGTGAACTGAGCTCAACTTCGGTTTGTGCAGAGGTGATGGGTATTTTAAAAGGTGAGGGAACAAGGAGCTTAGGATAGTCAGAGAAGTGAAAAGTGGAAAGGCGGGATCGGTTCATGTGAAACCAATTTGAGTTTGCGAACTGGAACTTAGAAGTTATGCTCCAGGCAGGGCGCAGTGGCTCACGCCTGTAATCCCAGCACTTTGGGAGGCCAAGGAGGGTGGATCTCGAGGTCAGGAGATTGAGACCATCCTGGCTAACACAGTGAAACCCTGTCTCTACTTAAAATACAAAAAATTAGCTGGGTGTGGTGGCATGTGCCTGTAATCCCAGCTACTCGCGAGGCTAAGGCAGGAGAATGGCGTGAACCCGGGAGGCGGAGCCGGAGGCTGAGGTAGGAGAATGGTGTGAACCTGGGAGGCGGAGCTTGCATTGAGCCGAGATGGTGCCACTGAACTCCAGCCTGGTCAATAAGAGCAAAACTCCGTCTCAAAAAAAAAAAATGAAGTTATGCTCCTACCCTCCTACAGAGACAGGGAGACAGGGGCCCTACCTTCAGGTATTGGCTGGAACAAATGGCAAATTCTTTTGACAGCCTGGAGTTTTCTCAGACAGGCACTTTAAGGGGGACTAGTCATCTGAGAGACGTGGCCTTGAGCTGTTAGAAACTATTAGTATTTGTTCGAGTCTTTATAAGCCAGGGTCAAGGTCTAATAGAGAAGAGGTCTCAGAGGAGCCTGGCTAGAGTTTGGTTAAGGAGAGAATCTTTGTCATAGGCTAGAGTTTTCCACAATAGCTGATTGAGATAGGAGATAATATTATGCTCTTCTACAGAGACAGATGTACTCCCCTTTTAAAATCTCCATTTGCAAATATCCAAACTAGCAAAGCAAACACATTAGAAGCCAGCTGTGCACACAACAAAAGGAACATCTGCTCTACAAGAACCTATTAAAATGTGCTGGGTTCCAGGCCACATCTACAGTAGTCTCCCCTTATTCTTGGTTTCTGTTACCCACAGTCAACTGTGGTCCAGAAATATGAAATGGAAAATTCCAGAAATAATTCATCGGTTTTAAATTGCACAATATTCTGAATAGTGGGATGAAATCAGTCACCTAGTAACTGTCTCAATTATCAGACTGTTACGCATCTCAGTGCTTGTGTTCAAGGAACGCTTATCGTACTTAATAATTTGCCACAAAGTGCAAGAATAGAGATGCCAGCAACTTGGGTATGACAAAAAGAAGCTGTAAGGTGTTTCCTTTAAGTGAAAATGAAACGGCCTCATTTGTCTGGGGTGATACCTTAGATTTGTTGTCTCAGGGCCACAGAAAACTAGAATGCGGACACACCAGTGTGAGGTTAAGAGTGGAAGTTTAACAGGCGAAAGAAAGAGAAGAGCAAAGAGGAGTCCCAAAAAAATGAGTTGCTGCTTCTGTGGTGAAATGAAGGAGGTTTTATGGATGAGCTTGAGGAGGTGGTAACTGATTTACATAGGGCAGCAAAGATTGGTTGGACCAGGTGTACCATTTGCATAGGGCATGAAAAGCTGTCTGCCCCCACCCTAATCTTTTATTATGCTGATGGATTCTCTACCTGGCTGGTGCCATGTTGCCTGCTTCTTTACTGTACACATGGTGACAAAGAAAAGGGAAGATGGGCCGGGCGCGGTGGCTCACACCTGTAATCCCAGCACTTTGGGAGGCCGAGGCAGAGAAGTGAGGAGGTCAGGAGTTCGAGACTAGCCTGGCCAACATGGTGAAACCCCATCTCTACTAAAAATACAAAAATTAGTCAGGTGTAGTGGCGGGTGTCTGTAATCCCAGCCCCTTGGGTGGCTGAGGCAGGAGAATCACTTGAATTCAGAAGGCAGAGGTTGCAGTGAGCCGAGATCACACCACTGCACTCCAGCCTGGGAGACACAGCAAGACTCTGTCTCAAAAAAAAAAAAAGAAAAAAGAAGGGAAGATGGAGCCTCCGTTTTGAACATACCTGGCTCCCAGGTAGCCCTTTTCTGTTGGCACAGCTGCTGGCATTCACCCGTGCAAGCTTCCAGCTTGCTTGTCTATGTTTGCAGCTCGATTTTTCAGGCTGCTCTTTGTTAGAAAAGAATAACTTCTTGGGCTACTTTTTGTTAGAAAGGAAGCCTTGCCAAGGACTCTTCTACCCTCACTATCTGCCTAATTTCTTTCTATCTCCTGTATCAAAAAGGTGAAAGTTCTTGATTTGATAAGGAAAGAAAAAAAATCCATATGCTGAGGTTGCTATGTTCTCTGGTAAGGACGAATCTGCTGGGTGTGATGGTGCTCGCCTGCAGTCCCAGACACTCAGGAGGCTGAGGCGGGAGGATCCCTTCTGCCCAGGAGTTCAGGTCCAACAGACAACATTGAGACCCCATGTCTGGAAAGAAGTAAATAAATGAAATAACAAAAGAAACTCTGGGACCTAGACTAAAAAAAAAAAAGGAAGAAGAAAGAAACTCCATGTCTATTAGCAGTCACTGCCCATTTCCTCCATTTCCTGAGATAGATGCATTTGCACTCCCTGACTTTGTCGCCTGGGTAAAATAAGTCACCAGTGCCTTCAGTATTTTTTATGGATGTTCTTTTGCTTTGCTGTCACAGGTTAGAGAAAATGAATTTGATAGTAGTTGGGGGATGGTATAGGCAACATAAGCAAACAAATATTTCATCACTCCTATTACCTCTGCAAAGGCCAAGGGAAAATTTCTTCTTTGCCCTCTGATGGTTCACTGAAAAGTCAACTCACAAAAGGCAGATTAATTGGAGAAAAGGCATACAAATTTATTTAACATGTACATGACATAGGAGTCTTCAGAATGAAGACCCAAAGATACAGGGGACATTGTCCATTTTTATGCTTAGGTTTAACAAAGTATGGAATGCCATGTAGAAATATGATTGAACAAAAAGGTAGATCCAGTGCTAATAGATGGAGTGGGGAAACCCAGCTAGGCCTGTGTGTCTAGATTCTTCTTGGCCTCTCTGACCATACATTCCCTTCTTCCAGGTACAGGGCAGGATCCTCTCTGGAAAGGGGATCATATGACCTACAGTCAAACAAGTTAGGACAGATCATTTCTTTTTTTTTTTTTTTTTGAGACAGGGTCTCACTCTGTCACCCAGGCTGGAGTGCAGTGGCATGATCTCGGCTCACTGCAACCTTCATCTCCTGGGTTCAAGCAATTCTCCCACCTCAGCCTCCCTGCATAGCTAAGTATAAGGCAGGAAAACTCTACAAAGCCCTGCCATGGGTTTTGTAGAGTTTTCTTGCCTTATGGTTATTGCTGTTAAGGTTTATGGTGCTGAATGACGGAGCCTTTGCAGACACCAATACCTTGAATTGTTCTTTTGTTTGACCCTATCACCACCTCCACCCTTGACAATGTGCCCTGGCAATATCCAGGATGGGTGAGCATACAGTGTACTTCCTTTAAAACATGGCAGCAGAGTGGTTGTGAAGGTGGAGACAGGAAGAGCAGGCCCTCCACCGAAGGATATTCTTGAGCAGATCAGCTCTAGGAAGGAGCCCATATGGAATCTGAAGATTTGGGGAGTGATCCCCTTAAGTATCCTTGCCACAGGCCTTTGGAAGTCATCATGCGCCCTCGGGGTGTCTGAACACCAGTTAAGCTCAGGGCGCTAATGTAGCGCATGCTCTTTCATCCCCAAGCCTTTGCCAGTCTAGTCCATCGAACTAGAACCCTCCTCCCCACTGCCACTCCTCACCCTGCAACCACCACTTTCACCACTCACTTGTGTTTGTCTCTTTAGCTTCAATTCATGCGATGCTTCCCAGCAGTACCTCCTCCACTGCCCTTGGTGAGGATGGGACCCCTACTGTGACGTCCATAGCATCTTATTCTCCTATGTGAACTCTCATTACACTGTGTCACCATTGGTTGTTGACTTTTCTGTCTTCCTCAGAGGCTTGGGGAGAATAGGACCAGGCGACTCATTCACTGCTCTATCCCCCACCAGCACAGTGCCTGGCACAGTGTAGATATTCAAGAAAACCCTGTTTAAATAATAAATGAATGAAGAAGCACAAAAAGTCCTTTGTGAGGGCGATCTGCCTGGAGAGCACACAGCCGGTGTTTGCTGAGCCAGGCCTAGGGCTTGTCAACAGTTCTCTCCTCCTGTCAGAATTTCCTGCTGCTCCTGGCTCCGCTTTGAAGCTGAAATTTCTTCCATCTTAGGAGCCCTGATAACAAGAGGATAAGGTCAGAGCAGATCAAGGTGATAGTCATGACATAACATATCAGGAGAATGTGCTTTGGATCATTTTTGCATCATCTGGTGTGGACCCAACTGCAGGTGGGGTTGCTCACGCAAGTTCATCCTTTCGTTCAGACCCTGAGTGAGTCGGAAAACTTCGAAGCAGCTGTTGGCAAGTTGGCCAAGACTCCCCTTATTGCTGATGTTTATTACATTGTTGGTGGCACGTCCCCCCGGGAGGGGGTGGTCATCACGAGGAACAGAGATGGCCCAGCAGACATTTGGCCTCTAGATCCTTTGAATGGAGCGTAAGTAGAATTGAAAGCTCTGGTCATTTTGTATCAGATAATCATTTTTTTTAATCGGTGAAATGAGGGGTATTTTAAATTTGTTCATATGTCTCCTCTGCTATGTCGTAAATTGCCTTGGATAAGACAAGATGATGTGCTCTGTTGTAGGTGGTTCCGAGTTGAGACAAATTACGACCACTGGAAGCCAGCACCCAAGGAAGATGACCGGAGGTAGGCTGCTACGTGCTTTCTGGTTTGCAGTGTTTTCTTATGGTCAGGAGAATATGCCCATTCTGTCACAGGAACTGGCAAGACCTATGGGTGCTATCCTCTCCCAGAAAATGTACCTGAGCCCCTTCGCCAGTGCCTTGGCTGGGAAGGGAGTGTTGTGTGGAGGAGAGCAGTGGGCAGAGCCTCTCAGCAGCTGGGCGGGTGTTGGGAGGCTGTCAGGGTCAGGAGCCCTAGAGCCCACCACCAGCTCTGCTAGTGACTCACTGGGTGGCTCTCGGGCCTCTGTTTACCAGTCTGTAAAATGAAAGCAAAGGGCCAGGTTCATGGTCTTCTAGGCAAGATATTTTTAGAAGGAAATTATTTCCCTTATTTAAACAATAAATAAACCAGTCAAGGGTTTTTATTGTCCCTTCAAGTTGTAAACATTCTATAATTATAAGTCAGCACAGTTCCAAAGTGCAGGTAGCTATATACGTTGCCTTGGCTTTACTACCCCACAAGTTTGGCCACTGTTCAGTTCTGCAGCCACACATTTTCATCATCCCAGCTTTCTGGAGCAGATGGTGCCAACCGTCCCAGCTGCTGGATGAATTCCACTGTGGTGGGCTGGGCCTCAGCAGGAAACAGGCTTGGGGCCAGAATCTGTTTTGGAGAAAGGGAGATAATGAGACTGGAGCTTGCATTCTGCCTCCCAAAAATGACAGCTGATGGGCTTCAGTGCTTGTTGAAATGCCAAGTGACCTTCGACCTTTGTCCTTACAGAACATCTGCCATCAAGGCCCTTAATGCTACAGGACAAGCAAACCTCAGCCTGGAGGCACTTTTCCAGGTAACTTGTGTCACAGTGTCCTGCATACCTAGGATGTTTGGTGTTTTGTTAATAGTGAATATGAAAAACTCCGTGAAATCTTCTGGTAGATGAAAACGTTAGGGTAAAAGTTTTATTTGGTTGAAATCATGTATTAAAAGTGGTGGCTCACACCTGTAATCCCAGCACTTTGGGAGGCCTAGGCAGGCAGATCACGAGGTCAGGAGATTGAGACAATCCTGGCTAACACAGTGAAACCCTGTCTCTACTAAAAATACAAAAAATTAGCCAGGTGTAGTGGCGGGTGCCTGTAGTCCAAGCTACTCCAGAGGCTGAGGCAGGAGAATGGCGTGTACCCGGAAGGCGGAGCTTGCAGTGAGCCGAGATTGCGCCACTGCACTCCAGCCTGACAGAGCGAGACTCCGTCTCAAAAAAAAAAAAAATTATATGACATTTTCTCAACTTGCTTTTATATAAGTTAAAATGTCCATCTTCACCAAAGTTTTTCTTTATATTAAAAAGAAAAAGTCATAGTTGTAATATATGTTCATTGTTTAAAAGAAAAAAAGAGAAAGAATTAAAAAGTCAGGCCGGATGTGGTGGCTCACACCTATAATCCCAGCACTTTGGGAGGTCAAGGCAGGAGGATCACTTGAGGTCAGGACTTCGAGACCAGCCTGGCCAACATGGTGAAACCCCGTCTCTACTAAAAATATATAAATTAGCCAGGCTTGGTGGTGTGTGCCTATAATCCCAACTACTTGGGATGCCGAGGCAGGAGAATCGGTTGACCCTGGGAGGCGGAGGTTGCAATGAACCAAGATCATGCCACTGCATTCTAGCCCAGGTGACACAGCAAGACTGTCTCAAAAAAAAAGTCTATATCACCTCAAGGTACACTAAAGAGTGGTTATGTTCTTTCTACAGACATTCTTTTTTTTTCTTTTTTAGTAAAGACAGGGTCTCTCTATGTTGCCCAGGCTGGTCTTGAACTCCTGGGCTTGAGTAATCCTCCCACGTCGGCTTCCCAAAGTGCTGGGATTACAGGCCTGAGCCACTGCACCCGGCCCTCCATAGATATTCTATGTGTATTTCTTCTACCATGTAATCTTCTCTATAAAATGACTTTTTCCTATGCAGATTTTGTCGGTGGTTCCAGTTTATAACAAGTAAGTGGCTTGTTAAACATGTCTGTTCACACATCACTCCAGAACAGTGAACTCACTCACGTACTGTTTGGCTCAGCAAGGATCTGAGGGCTCCTGTAACCAGGCTGTGGGGGCACTCCTGTGGGGGCACTCCTGTGGGTACAGCTGCGAGCAAAACAAAGTCTCTGCTCTCATGGGACTAATATGGGTGGGGTGGGGGTGGTGGTGATAAACAAATATAAATCAGGTGAGAAGTCCATGAAGAAATCCAAAGGTAAAAAGAATAGAGTGACCCTGAAGGAGGCTCTGGGAATTTTTTTTTTTCTTGAGCCAGAGTCTCGCTCTGTCACCCAGGCTGGAGTGCAGTGGCGCAATCTCGGCTCACTGCAAGCTCTGCCTCCCAGGTTCACACCATTCTCCTGCCTCAGCCTCCCAAGTGGCTGGGACTACAGGCTCGTGCCACCACGCCCAGCTAATTTTTTGTATTTTTTAAGTAGGGACAGGGTTTCACCGTTTTAGCCAGGATGGCCTTGATCTCCTGACCTCATGATCTGCCCACCTCGGCCTCCCAAATTGCTGGGATTACAGGAGTGAGCCACTGCGCCCGGCCAGCTCTGGGAATCTTAAATTCAAACTTGGCCTTCCATAGTGTTGTCAAACTAGAAGGAAAAACACTTTGACTGGCTGACCTCTTGATTCCTACATTTGAAATATTCTGGCAGTGAGGTGTTCATCCTAACTCAGTCAGGTAGCTGTGGACAGCCTTCACCTGTTAGGAGCTCCTTAGAAATAAATTCTGAATACCTTTGGTTTTCTTTTATCCTCCGGAGGAATTTCCACTATCTCCGAAGCTGTTCCTTGTTCCACTGACAATTCGCTTAGTTAATGTTCTTTTTTAGCCTGTACCCTTGATAGCAGCATTCTGTGAGCAATGGTTTCTCTAGTGTATAGCCTAGGATTTTACTCACATTCTTTTTAATTTCTTTTTCTTTTTTTTTTTTTTTTAAGTGAAAGCAGGCCAGGTGCGGTGGCTCACGCCTGTAATCCCAGCCCTTTGGGAGGCCAAGGCGGGTGGATCACTTGAGGTCAGGAGTTCAAGACCAGCCTGGCCAACATGGTGAAACCTCGTCTCTACTAAAAATACAAAAATCAACCAGGCATGACGGTGCACGCCTGTTATCACAGCTACTTGGGAAGCAGCGGCTGGAGAATTGCTTGAACCTGGGAAGTCGAGGCTGCAAGTGAGCTGAGATCATGCCATGGCAGTCTAGCCTGGGCAACAGAGCGAGACTCTGTTTCAAAAAAAAAAAGAAAAGAAAACTAATTAGTCAGTATTCTGCTACTCAAACAAATGAGCTATTTGGATAACAAAGCATACCCAGTGGTCTGCTAGTAAACCAGCTCTTTGTGTGGGAAGGGACAAATGAAAAAATTCCCAAATTTGTAGCATTTGTTGACTTCCATGGTGTGAATACTCCCACATGGCTGATTTCAGGCTTATAGTTGGCTCATACACTTCCTGCATATTTAATAATTGGCCCTCACCAGACTGTAGGAGCTAGCTCCAATGCACTATTGACTGTACCCTTCATAGCGGGGCACAATGTTGCCCTTTTAATAGTCATTTTTTAAATGGGGGTTAATAAACTACTTTTGTGTTCTTATAGTTTTTTTAGGTAATTATAGAAGTGATGAATATATCTGGCTGGGCGCAGTGGCTCACATCTGTAATCCTAGTACTTTGGAAGCCGAGGCGGGTGGATCACTTGAGGTCAGGAGTTCGAGACCAGCCTGGCCAACATGGTGAAACCTCATCTCTACTAAAAATACAAAAATTAGCCAGGCGTCATGGTGCGTGCCTGTAATCCCAGCTACTTGGGAGGTGGAGGCAGGAAAATCACTCGAATCCGGGAGACAGAGGTTGCAGTGAGCTGAGATTGCACTCCAGCCTGGGCGACAGAGGGAGACTCCGTCTTAAAAAAAAAAAAAAAAAAAAAAAAAAAGAAGTGATGAATATATCTTTTAAAAATTAGTATTATAATAAAATAGTTACATTTATTTTAATAAAACAAAGCATTTTCTCTGCTTTGAACAGCCCTCATAATTTTACATGGTGGCAGTGGCCAGTTGGCTGTATTATAATTGAGTTAAGCATTCTCCAGTTGTTAGATTTTCCTCTATTAAAACTCTGAAATAAACATATTCGTTTGCCTCTCCCCTGCTTACTTTCAGATTATTTCCCTTGGCTGAATTCCCAGAAGTAGGATTACTGAGTTAACAGTTATGAATGTTTAAATGGTTTCTGAAATGGTTTGGTCAAAATAAAATTGTTAGAAATTATAAACAGTTTACCAAGTAGTGTTTTTCTCTGTTGTATACTTGAAAATTCAAGAGAAACTGCTTTTAAGTGACAATCACCATGGAGCCAGAATTAACACAGACTTCTGACTCTCAGGCCCTTTACATGTAATGATTAACCTCAACTGAGGCTGTTCAGTTGTATTAGGTTAATAGAAATAAGTGTAGCTGTATCTGAAAAAAAGAAAAAGAAACAACAAAAAAGTAGTCTGAACAAAGGCAGTTAGCTCTATGCTGCCCCTTTGTGCCATGCTGCAAAATTACACCCACCTGCAATACATCTCCATCCTCTGCTGTGGCTCATCAGTAGAGAAAATACTAAAACAGTAATGGAGAGCAGAACTATGACTAAAGTAAACGAGCAATTAAGGTCCTGTTCAGGGAACCTCCATTACCCTTGGACGAGCTCTGCACTTGCTTACAGTGCTGTCTTTAACTGGGTGTATGATTTAGCTGTGGACCCAGTGCTACTAATTCTGCCTGTTTCTGAACAACCCAGCTCCGATATTTTGCACATGCACCTCAACTGGATTCCAAGACAAATGTGTGTACATGTGGGCACATGTGCTCAAGTTGTTTAGGTCTCTTGTTATACGGAATGTGTAATCAATGACACTATACTTTTCATCCTTAGATCTGGGCAAGGTGGAGGGGCGGGGCAGGTGCCTTGATCCTGGAGCTTTAGAGGCCCTCCTCTGGAATTCCTCTAGTTGTGATACCACCCCCCCAAAGCATGGTGTAAGGAATCTGCTGGACCAAGGGCATTTGCCCACCTGGAGTCTGCCCAAGTACCCAGGACCCTGTAATTCTCAGCCTGAACAGCCCCACCTCCACTTCCAGGGTTTGTGTTTTCCTCTTCCCTGGGTGATATTCTCCTGATGGTGGTGCATGGCCACTGAGAGAGAGCACAGGGGCAGGTGCTTGCTGGGGAATGTGAAGGCGGTGATGTCACATGTGTGCAAGTAAGGCCCTTGTGGGTAGGACAGAGCCAGGGTGAGGGCCAAGGCTTGGTCTCCCCCACTGCCTTGGGGTAGAGCTCTGAGGAGTCTTGAGATTTTATTTATTTATTTTTTATGAGACAGAGTCTCACTCTGTTGCCCAGGCTGGAGTGCAGTGGCGCAATCTCAGCTCAGTGCAACCTCTGCCTCCCAAGTTTAAGCAATTCTCCTGCCTCAGCCTCCCTAGTAGCTGGGATTTCAGGCACCACCACACCCAGCTAATTAAGTCTGAGAATTTTAAGTTCCAACTTGGCCTTCCACAGTGTTGTCAAAATAGGAGGAAAGTGCACTTTGACCTCTTGATTCATAGATTTAAAATATTCTGGCATAAAGGGCCTTGTCCCAGATCTCAAGTGTTAGGGAAGCACTTGGTCATTTTCTTCCCTTTCTGGCATATTAGAGAAAATGATGTGTACATAAAATTTCCTCATAATTTTCAGCTTCACAATTTATACTACGGTAATGAGCGCCGGTAGCCCAGACAAGTACATGACTAGGATCAGAAACCCGAGTAGAAAGTAAGTCAGCAGAAGAGCGAGTTCGCCCGTGCTGTGAAAGGTTTGTTGTTACTGTTTTGTGGAGAGGGGGTGAGGTGGGTGTGTGCTGGTATTTCTTACAGAGGGTGGTAACATCCTTAAAATGTATACATATATAATATTTTCTGACAAGCATCTGGCATTGTCATTTGTGTCAGATTGTCATCATTAGATATTTTATTTGGAATTGTTTGTATGAAAACCAATCTTCGGCGGGGCGTGATGGCTCATGACTGTAATTTCAGCACTTTGAGAGGCAGAGGCAGGCAGATCACTTGAGGTCAGGAGTTCAAGACCAGCCTGGCCAACATGGTGAAACCCCATCTCTACTAAAACTACAAAAAAACTGTTAGCCAGGTGTGGTGGTGGGTACCCAAAATCCCGACTACTCAGGAGCTGAGGTAGGAGAATCACTTGAACTCGGGAGGTGGAGTTTGTAGTGAGCTGAGATCACACCACTGCACTCCAGCCTGGGAAACAGAGTGAGACTCCATTAAAAAAAAAAAAAAAATCAGTCTTTGAATTAAATGCGTTTTTTTCTTCCCTTACAGATGATTTTTTAAAAAATGAAATTCTTGAAGAGCTGCACCTTAAAAAATAAGACAAAGTGAAAGTATTGTATTATGTTACAAACAATGCAGGCTCCTTCCTCATTTAACTTTACAACCTTGCGAAGTGGGTCCAGGAGATTTGGAGTTTGTGGTAAAGCCAGTAATGGGCATTGTCCTGCATTCCCTTCCCTTCATGGTTTGCCTCGATCCTCTCTAAGCTTCTATCCTGGCCTGAATAACTCAAAGATAATTGGTCTCAGAGATCAAGCCATATCCTCAGGCCTTATTTCCATCTTCTCATGATTCTGCCATCATACCTTTGCTTCTCCGCTAATGAAATGAGCTGGCAAGACCTCTGTTCATTGTGAAGTGCTTCTGAAAGAGCCTAAGAAAAAAGGCTCATCTGAAAGAAATGGAGAACTCTATTTCGAACCAAGCCTGTTTGAATGTGTGTTAGTCTGATCTTTGATCATGTGTTTCCATGTAATGGGAGTCTCGTTTTTTATAATGTTTCTAACGTTTTATTGAAAAACCTATGGCCCTCCTTCTTTCTCAATAGCTACTTTCTTACTGCTTTTTGAAAATAATATGCAACCAAATTATTTCTTAATGTCACATAATTAAGTAATAAAATGTCAAAAGAAATGTTGGCAAGGAGAATAAAAAAATTTCCAAGAAACTTAGCGTTATGCTCTCCCTGCTTTCTTTACCTCCGAAGTCTTATGGTTCTGAACTGCTGTCCTGAGAAAGCAACTCTCTTAGTTGTGATGTTATTTAAGTGTCAGCATTCAAGGGAATGAACAGCTGCTTGGTAGAGTTTGATTTTTCACATGTGCATGAAAGAAATGTCCTTGAGGATGAAGTCAGAAAAGGTTAAAAGTGTAAACGAAAATGTGCCTGAAGCAGCACTCAGTCCATGAGAGAGTTATTTTGCCAAGGCTAAGGATGTGCCCGGGAAAAAGAAACACCAGTCACAGGAGGACCTGTCCTGTGCTTTTCCCAAAGAGGGTTTGAGGAACTTCGGTATTTAAAGGGGAAAGAGCAAGCAGGAGCGGGGGATAAAAAGAGGGTAGACAGTGAGGCAAATGGTTACATTCTTGTGAGCTCTTATTATTGGTGCTCAGTGAATCTACATTTAGCACATGAAAACAAGGGAATGGAGGGAAAGTCAATGATGCATTTATCTCGTGCTCAGTAAATCTACATTTTACATAAGATAAAGCAACCGTGTGAAATTACAGCTATGTTTGGGAACAAAAGGAAGGCAGTTTTGGAGTGTCTCGGTTCCCAGGCTTAACTTTTCCTTTGGCATAGTGAGTAGAATGTCTAGAAGGAAGTGTTATCCAGGTACAGAACATCGCTCCCCTGACATACTGCAGACGTCTCTAGTGGCCCAGAATATTCGTGTTTCTTCTTGGACAGTGTCGTATAAATACCGTTTAATTTTCATCATCCAATGCCCTTTTAAAAATCAAATATGAGAAGTAGTTTACTCATGCCAGCTGTATCACACATCACACAGCCATTGAAACTAGAAATTTCTACTCATTAGTCTTTTTTTTTTTGAGACAGGGTCTTGTTCCACCACCCAAACTGGAGTGCAGTGGTGCAATCTCGGCCCACTGCAAACTCTGCCTCCAGGGTTCAAGCGATTCTTGTGTCTCAGCCTCCTGAGTAGCTGAGATTACCGGCATGTGCCACTATGCCCAGCTTATTCTGTATTTTTAGTAGAAATGGGCTTTTGCCATGTTGGCCAGGCTAAATTTCTTTTTTTTTTTTTTTTTCCAGACAGAGTCTCCCTCTGTCACCCAGGCTGGAGTGCGATGGCACGATCTCGGCTCACTGCAACCTCCGCCTCCTGGGTTCAAGCGATTCTACTGCCTCAGCCTCCCGAGTAGCTGGGATTACAGGCGTGTGCCACCATGCCCGGCTAATTTTTGGTGTTTTTAGTAGAGACAGGGTTTCACCACGTTGGTCAGGCTGGTCTCGAACTCCTGACCTCATGATCTGCCCTCCTTGGCCTCCCAAAGTGCTGGGATTACAGGCGTGAGCCACCGCGCCCAGCCTGGCCAGGCTAAATTTCTACTTATTAGTCTTATTCCATTTTTGTTTTCTTGAAAATATGCCATGATCTTCGGAAATTTGGGGAATACCCTAATTTTAACCAGGCAAAGCGAAGGCATTGAGGGCTGTTCCTCAGGAAAATGATTTAAGTAATCCAACACTCTAGTTGCTTTTCAGATATTTGTCCTTTTTGTTGAAACCGCCTTTGCAAAGATGATGACAGTGAGAGAAGTCTAGCATGGCTGACTCCATCTTCCTTCTAGCCTCACAGGCTGGCTGTCCTTGCTCGTTCCTGGGCACAGACCAAGCTAATCGTGGGAGGAATTTAGTTTAGAGTTTAACTTTAAAGAAAGGATGATAATAACCCCACCCTCAGACTAACCTCTGCCCTGCTAGGGAGTAAAGCCACCTTTGTAAAACTAATGGAAGGCTATGAGATTAGGATTATGGGAAGAACCCGAATTCTGCTAAATGTAGGCGTAGTTTCTATAATCCCTTACTGCTCAGGAGTCATGTGGCTAGAAGTCAAAGATTTGTGACTTCCCCAATTGTTCCTGTAGAGAACATCACTACTATAGCACCTAAGATTGGTCTTTTGAGATGTTTTTCAGACTTTTGCATTCTGGCAACCACTGGACCCCACCAGGACCTGTGACCATGAGTCAACTAGTCCTGTGGCCCTCACCCAAAGGGCATACTCAGTGCATAAAGACTGTTTTCCATACCCCTGTAATTTCATCCCCAATCAGCAACCCCCTTCCTTAGCCCCCAGCTCACCAAATTATCCATTAAAACCCTAGCCTCTGAGTTCTTGGAGAGACTGATTTGAGTAATAACATCCATGCTCCTGCTAGGACTGTTAATTGAACTCTTTCTCTACTGCAATAGTATGATCTCAGTGAATTGGTTTTGTCTGTGCAGTGAGCAAGAAGAACCCATCAGGTGATTGTCAGGCCTCTGAGCCCAAGCTAAGCCATCATATGCCCTGTGACCTGCACGTATACATCCAGATGGCCTGAAGCAACTGAAGATCCACAAAAGAAGAGAAAATAGCCAGTTCCTGCCTTAACTGATGACATTTCACCATTGTGATTTGTTCCTGCCCCACCCTAACTGATCAATTGACTTTGTGACAAGACACCCTCCCCACCCTTGCAATAATGTACTTTGTGATATTCCCCCGCCCTTGTGAATGTACTTTGTACGATACACCCTCCCCACCCTTGAGAAGGTACTTTGTAATATCCTCTCCGCCCTTGAGAATGTACTTTGTAAGATCCACTTCCTGCCTGCAAAAAATTGCTCCGAACTCCACCGTCTATCCCAAACCTATAAGAACTAATGATAATCCTACCACCCTTTGCTGACTCCTTTTTTGGACTCAGCCCACGTGCACCCAGGTGATTAAAAAGCTTTATTGCTCACATGAAGCCTATTTGGTGGTCTCTTCACACAGATGTGTGTGACAGTGATAACAGTGTCACGTGGTTTAACTACAATGTGTCCAGATATTGAATTTTGTTTAAGCCTGCTTGGGATTTGTTGTGCTCCCCAAATTTCAAGTTTGTGTCTTTTGTTCAATTTTGGAAAATAGTCAGCTATCTCAGAATTGCTCACCTACATTCTCTTGTGTCTTTTCTCCTGAACTTTAAGTATGCTGAAGGAGCTCAGAACACACTACCCCAAATATGCCACTTTGGTATAAGGACTATTTTGAGCTAAAGGCACTTACAAAACCAGCAGGGAAAAGAAATTCACTCTGACCCTCCCCATTTTCTTCCTGAAAACAAGAGATAAAATCTCCATTTGGAAGATGTCCTTCCAATATCAGGAGGAAAGTAACACTCTTATCAACAATCTAAATGTCCATCTAGGCATGAATGGATAAAGAAAATGTGGTATGTACACACAGTGGAATATTATTCATCCTTTAAAAAGAAGACAGACAGGCACAGTTGCTCACATCTGTAATCCCAGTTACTCGGGAGGCTGAGGAGTGCTTAAGCCCAGGAGTTTGAGACTAGCCTGGCCAACATAGCAAGACCTTGTCTCTAAAAAAAATGTTGTTTAAGGCTGGGCGTGGTGGCTCACGCCTATAATCCCAGCACTTTGGGAGGCCGAGGCAGGTGGATCACAAGGTCAGAAGTTCGAGACCAACCTGGCCAATATGGTGAAACCCTGTCTCTACTAAAAATACAAAAATTAGCTGGGCACGCACCTGTAGTCCCAGCTACTTGGAAGGCTGAGGCAGGAGAATTGCTTGAACCAGGAAGGTGGAGGTTGCAGTGAGCTGAGATCACGCCACTGCACTCCAGCCTGGGTGACAGAGTGAGACTCTGTCTCAAAAAAAAAAAAAAATTTGTTTAAACTTTGCTGGGAATGGGGGTGTGCACCTGTAGTCCCAGCTACATGGGAGGCTGAGGTGGGAGGATCACCTGAGCCCAGGAGTTTAAGGCTGCAGTGAGCTATGATCATGCCACGGCACTCCAGCCTGAGCAACAGAGTGAGAACTTGACTCTAAAAATTAAAAAAGATGGTCTCGCTGTGGGGGAGGAAAAATCAATTCCTCTACCCATCTTACGTTCTCAGCTGGGGCCTTGTAAATTAGACTGACAAAAGACAGATTAACATAACAACAAAAAAGATTAACAATTGAAAAAACAAATAGAAGTTGATTAACATATGTACAGAATACGCAATATGGAGTACCCAGAGAAGAGTAACTCAAAGGTTTGTTTTGAACTTGTTTTTATATGGCATCTTAGCAAAGGAACTATAAATTTTTAGAGAAGTGACAAGACAAAGGAAAAGGACCTTGAGTCTCTCGGGGCAGCAAATTGTGGGAAGGAAAACATATAGTAACAAAAGATAGATGAAAGTTAATTGGCTGGGTGTGGTGGCTCACACTTGTAATCCCAGGACTTTGTGGGGCTGAAGCGGGCAGATCACCTGAGGTCAGGAGTTTGATACCAGCCTGGCTAACATGGTGAAACCCCATCTCTTCTAAAAATACAAAAACATTAGCTGGGCGTGGTGGCGGGGACCTGTAATCCCAGCTACTTGGGAGGCTAAGGCAGGAGAATCACTTGAACCTGGGAGGTGGAGGTGAAGGTGAGCCGAGGTCACACCATTGCACTCCAGCCTGGGCAACAAGATCGAGACTCTGTCTCAAAAAAAAAAAAAAAGTTAATTATATGAATTGGGTCATTCTTGTCATGACCAACTAAAAAAGTCAAGACCAGGTGCGGTAGCTCAGCGCTTTGGGAGGCTGAGGCAGGAGGATTGCTTGAGACTAGGAGCTTGGGCAATGTAAGGAGACTCTTGTCTCTACAAAAAACAAACAAAAAAATTAGCCAGTGTGGTGGATCATACTTGTAGTCCCAGCTACTTGAGACAATTGCTAGAGCCCAGGAAGTCAAGGCTGAAGTTAAGCTATGATTGCACCACTGCACTCCAGCCTGGGCGACAGGATATCTTGTCTCTAAAAATTTTTTTTTAATTATAAAAGGGCATTTAGAGGACAGGAAGAAAAAGCACACAGGGCACAAAACATTGCTCCAAGAATGCAATTCTTGGCAAGCTTGACTGCTGAAACCGTCGTTAAAACCTGAAACCAGTTTTATCTAGTAGCTACTGAAACAGCTGCTAAGACTGTAAGATTAATTTTACCCACTGCAACCACTCACCAATCAGAGTTTGCCCCCTTCCCAAAACTTTACTAGCGCTGATGAACATTCTTTCAAAACAATATGTAACATTTCTCCTTTTTATAAAACTTCCAACCTTCTCTTTGTTCTTTGAACGTACCGAAGATCACCCTGTCTCTGTGGACGACCTGGAATTGCAATTCTTGCTTCCCCCAAAAAATGTTAAATTTGTCTCTATATTTTATTTGACTTAAACAGTAGATAAAGCCTAGTTTGTACAGTTTGGTATGTAGATTTCTCTGGTGCCATGTCCAGGCCAATAAGGATCTAGAATTGTCTCTGGGGATTAGCCTTTGTCCTTCCTGAAAGAGGAAGAAGAGGAGCAAGACTATCTTCTTTTTTATTTTTTTAAAGCCGAGGTCTCACTCTGTTGCTCAGGCTGGAGTGCAGTGGCGTAATCATAGCTCACTGCAACCTCAAACTCCTGCACTCAAGCAATCCTACCACCTCAGCCTCCCAAGTAGCTGGGACTACAGAGTCTTGCTCTGTTGTCCAGGCTGGAGTGCAGTAGAGTCTCGCTCTGTTGCCCAGGCTGGAGGGCAGTGGCATGATCTCCACTCACCACAGACTCTGCCTCCTGGGTTTAAGCAAGTCTTGTGCCTCAGCCTCCTGAGTAGCTGGGATTATAGGCGTGTACCACCAGGCCTGGCTAATTTTTTTTTTTTTTTGAATTTTTAGTAGAGACCGGGTTTTGCCATGTTGGCCAGGATGTTCTCAAACTCCTGAGCTCAAGAAATCCACCTGCCTTGGCCTCCCAAATCACTGGTATTATAGGCATGAGCCACTGCATACTGTTTGCTGCTTTTTTTTTTCTTTTTTTGAGACAGAGTCTCGCTCTTGTTGCCCAGGCTGGAGTGCAATGGCATGATCTCTGCTCACTGCAACCTCCACCTCCTGGGTTCAAGCGATTCTCCTGCCTCAGCCTCCCAAGTAGCTGGGATTACAGGTTCCCGCCACCATGCCCGGCTAATTTTTGTATATTTAGTAGAGACGGGGCCTTACCATATTGGCCAGGCTAGTTTTGAACTCCTGATGTCAGGTGATCCACCCACCTCGGCCTCCCAAAGTGCTGGGATTACAGGCGTGAGCCGCCATGCCCAGCCTGTTTGCTGCTTTTTAATTGCCTTTAGCTCAAAATAATTTTTTTTTTTTTAAGAGACAGAGTCTCGCTCTGTTGCCCAGGCTGGAGTGCAGTGGCGCGATCTCGGTTCACTGCAAGCTCTGCCTCCCGGGTTCACGCCATTCTTCTGCCTCAGCCTCCCGAGTAGCTGGGACTACAGGCGCCCACCACCACACCCGGCTAATTTTTTTTATTTTTGGTAGAGACAGGGTTCCACCATCTTAGCCAGGATGGTCTCTATCTCCAGACCTCGTGATCCGCCCACCTCTGCCTCCCAAAGTGCTGGGATTACAGGCATGAGCCACTGCACCCCGCCTAGCTCAAAATAATTCTTATTTCAAAGAGGTGTATTTTGGGGTGACATATTTTGGTTTTCTTCACTGCAATATGACAACCTGGAGGACATTATCTTAAATGAAATAAGCCAATCACAGTGCTTACTGGAATAATTCCATTTATGTGAGGTATCTAAAATAGTCAAACTCATAGAAGCAAGAAGTAGAGAGTGGTTGTCAAAGGCTAAGGGGCTGGGGAAATAGGAAGTTGCCATTCAACTGGTGTAAAGTTTCATTTATACAAGGTGAATAACTTCTAGAGATCTGTACGTCGTGCCTATTGTACACTTAAAAATCTGTTAAGAGGCCAGGCGTGGTGGTTTATCTTATAATCACAGCACTTTAGGAGGCGGAGGTGGGGGTGAAACAGGAGAGTTCCCTGGCTCCCCTTGCAGGACACTCAACAGGGGTGTTGATCTCTGTTCAGCTGCCACAAGCTCAAACCCCTTATAGGAGCGGGAGGATACAGACAGGCAGGTGCAGGAACCAGAGTGAGCGCTTTTGGGCTCTGGCCCCAGGGCAGCTTCTAGGGGTGGTGCTTTGACTCCTGAAGCCCCAGTAGGCATGCTACAGTGCTCTTTTAACTCTGCCATCCACAGATGGCTTAAGTGTTAACCAGCTCAGTGTCCCCTTGGTACCCGGGCCCTTGTCCAGCACCCAGAAAGAATCAGGTTACACACAGACTTGAAGAGTGGTGAATATGGGGGTTTTATTGAGTGGTGGAGGTGGCTCTCAGCAGGATGGATGGGGAGCTGGAACGGGGACGGAGTGGAAAGATGATCTTCCCTTGGAGTTCAGCAGTCCTGTGGCAGAACTCCTCTCCAACTGTCCCCAGCTGGACTCCTCTAGATATTCAGATGCTCCTTCTCTGCCATGCCGTTCTTCAGTTCTTTGGCTCTTCTGCTCATCTCCTCATGGACCCAGGGATTCGGGGTTTATATGGGTACAGGATGTGGGGTGTGGCGGGCCAAGATGCAACATTTGGGCACGAAAACAGGAATGCCTGTTCCCATTTGGGGCCTCGGGTTTCCAGGCTTGAGGGTGGGGCTTTTGGCAGGTAAATAAATCAAACAAAATAAATAACTTTCCAGTATTTCCCCGTCTCCTGTTCATATCAGGAAGATTGCCTGGGTCTATGAGTTTGAGACCAGCTTGGGCAACATAGTGAGACCTCTGTCTCTACAAAAATAAAAATATTAGCTGGGAGTGGTGATGTGTGCCTGTAGTCCCAAGTACTTAAGAGGCAGAGGTGGGAGGATCACTTGAGCCTGGGAGGTCGAGGCTGCAATGAACTGTGGTCATGCCATTGCATTCTACCCTGGGTGACAGAGTGGGATCCTGTCTCAAAAAAAGAAGAAAATCTGTTAAAAGGGTAGATTTCATGTTGTGTTCTTACCAAAATAAAATAAATTTTAAAAACAAGAGGCAATAAAATTTTTTAATTAAAAAGTTAAAATTTATTTTTTTATTTTGAGACAGCATCTCACTCAGTTGCCCAGGCCAGAGTGCAGTGGTGTGATCTCTGCTCACTGCAATAGCTGGGACTACAGACACACACCACCATCCCCTGCTAATTTTTTGTATTTTTTGTAGAGACAGGCTTTTGCCGTGTTGGCCTGGCTGGTCTTGAATTCCTGACCTCAAGTGATCCACCCACCTCGGCCTTTCACGTGCTGAGATTACAAGCATGAGCCACCACGCCTGGCCTAAAATAAATAAATAAATAAATAAAATTGAAAATTTTATTTAAAAAATTTTGGCTGGGCGCAGCAGCTCACACCTGTAATCCCAGCACTTTGGGAGGCCGAGACAGGTGGATTGCATGAGCTCAAGACCAGCCTAGACAACATAGCAAAACCCCATCTCTACAAAAAATACAAAAATTAGGTGGGTATGGTGGCACATGCCTGTGGTCCCAGCTACTTGGGAGGCTGAGGCAAGAGGATTGCCTGAGTCCGGGAAGGTCAAGGCAGCAGTGAGCTGTGATTGTGCCACTGCAAATACCAGCCTGGGCAAGTAAGACCCGTTCTCAAAAAATATATATATATTTTTAAATAAAAATGGCTTGGCCTACAGAGCTTTCATGGCAGATGGAGAGAGCTGGTTTTCAAAATATTCTGTTTTTAAAAAGTACACAAGTGACTGGGCATCACCATGCTCACGCCTGTAATACCAGCACTTTGGGAGGCTGAGGCTGGCGGGTCACCTGAGGTCAGGAGTTCAAGACCAGCCTGACCAACATGGAGAAACCCTGTGTCCACTAAAAATAAAAAATTAGCCAGGTATGGTGGCACATGCCTGTAATCCCAGCTACTCAGGAAGCTGAGGCAGGAGAATCGCTTGAACCCAGGAAGCAGAGGTTGCAGTAAGCCGAGATTGCGCCATTGCACTCCAGCCTGGGCAACAAGAGCGAAACTCTGTCTCAAAAAAAAAAAAATAATAATAATAAGAACACAAGTAACAGATTTCTAATATAAAAATAAATCAAACAGTACATAATGTGATCCTCTGCCTCTCTTCCCCACTTGTGGATGGCACTCTCCCCATGAGTACCCCTAGTGATAACTGCCATCTGTACTCATTAAGACATTTAAAAATGCATAAACGTTTTAAAATGTAGATTCTATTTTTATTCAGGTATGATAAGGCCAACAGATCAGGGGACAATTGCCATTTAAAAGATAGCTTATTACTCCTCGTTCCCAAGAGGAGAGGTCACACCTGCACAGCCACGGGAGAGAACACTGAGGTTGGTCACAGGCAGAGGACAGGAGAACTGTGGTTTTCGAGGGAAGGAATGGGTGAGGCAGGGTAAGGCGGCTAAGCAGGTGGAGGACTAGCTAGTTGGAATAGTGTCAGCTGACTCCTGACTGTAGACTGCACTGAGTTGTCTGATATATGATGTCAGGGTGATTAGGGTAGAGAGATAACGGCCTTGAGTATGAAAGTCCAAAAAAGGAGGGATTTGGTGGTAGGGCTCTAGATTGGTTAGTTTGCATCTCAGGGATCAGCTAATCCCAGGAGGTGTAGTCTCTCCCTGGTCAACAAGGCCCCAAAATGTCAAAGCATCAATATGGAAACTAGAAAATATGGGTAATACCACATAAAAAAATATCTTAGGTTATTTTCCAACTTTTCCTAATCACAAATTATACAGTAATAAAAATCCTTATATAGATTTTTGCATGGGTGTATAATTCTGTAAGATACTTAGAAGTATAATTTCTAGATTAAAGGATTTACATATTTTAAGTATGTAATTTAATAAATTACAATTAAAATTTAATTTAATTCCCCCAAAATGAAACATTTTAACGATCCCAGCAATAGTATATGGAGAGGGTCCTTTTTCTCATACTCTCAGTAATACAGGATTTTATCAGTCTTTTAGTCAACTTGGAGAAAGAATGTTAGCAGTCAGCCACTAACAAAAACTAAGCTAATGTGAAAATGTTAATATCAGACAAAAGAGAATCAAATGCAAAAAGAATTTTAAAAGGCAGAGTGATATTTAATTTTTATGTCACCCTCTACCAAGACAGTTAAATGACAATACGGCTTCATGTGTAATTACACAGTTGCCGATGGCAATTTTACATGGTTTAAATTTAATATCTAATTATATAGCTTCAAAACGTGTAATGCAAAGACTCAAATACAAGGAGAATTTGCTAAATCTGTACTTGTCATAGAAATCTTCAAAATACCTCTTTCAAAGATGGTCAGATCAGGAAGAATAAACAAAGATAAAGAGGATCTGAATTAATATAATTAACAAATTTAGGCCGGGTGTGGAGGCTCACACCTGTAATCCCAGCACTTTGGGAGGCTGAGGTGGGCAGATCACTTGAGGCCAGGAGTTGGAGACCAGCCTGGCCAACATGGAGAAACCCTGTCTCTACTAAAAATAGAAAGACTAGCTGGCCATGGCAGCGGGGGTGCCTGTAATCCCAGCTACTCGGGATGCTGAGGCATGAGAATTGCCTGAACCCAGGAGGCAGAGGTTACAGTGAGCTGAGATTGTGCCACTGCACTCCAGTCTGGGCGACAGAGCAAGACTGTCTCAAAATAATAATAATAATAATAATAATAATGAACAAACTTGACCTACTAGATATAGACAAACAGAATATCACTTTCTTTGAGAATTTCCATGGTGCATTTAGTACCTACCAGAACACACACACGAGCATCTTAGATTAACTGAAAAAGTAAGTTGTCCAAGAATAGTGATTAACCACAGATTAGGTTATATCCTAAGGAAAGTGTCCATAGAAAGGGCAGGATATTTCAAGCAGGCTTTGCAAACAGAAAAGCCAGCCCCAACAAAGAATGCCTCCTATGTGTCTTCTGCTGAGGACTCCCCTTGGACTCCAGAGCCCCTAGGCCCCTGTGTCTTGTCAGCACTCTGCTATTTCAGGGCTAAGGAGCTCAGGCTTCTCAGATGTGGCCTGGGAAACACAGTCTTCTAATCCAGGAGAGTAAGAAGATTTAGGACTGACGTGGGTGCTGTTAGAGAAACCCATCTCCTTGGGTATATGGGAGATACCCCGACTATGCAGTCGCCCCCTTCAAATCTTCCTTGGGGGCCTGATCTGACTGACGTCAGGGGGTGCCTACTCCTTCGAGGCAAGAAGCCTGAACTTTCCTTCCTGTCACTGTGAATACTTGGCCAGGGCTGTGAATGTCACCATTGCTTTTCAGGAAGAAGACATGGCAGACTAGGGCTGCACCTTCTTTATGGGCTCTGTAGGTCTGAAAGAAATCAGATCAGCCTGGGATCCCTCAGCCAACTCTGAAGACAGGATGGGGATCACGCCTGCATGTTAAAGAGATTTCTGCCTTGTTGTGTCTCATGGTAAATAAAAAACCCAGCAAAGAAGGTAAGAACTTTCTGTCTAGCCTAAAGTAGAAATGGGTGAGAACAGGAGGGCGACACTTATGTTTTTACCTAGGAAATAAATACAGAGTTGTTTTGAGACAAAGGTCAAAGACAGCTCCTCTGTTATCTATCAACTCATCCAGATGGGGTCTTTGCTATCTGTGTGATGAGATCTTCAAGTGCTGGGTGACCATTCTGCCCTGGATTTCTTGGGCTCACTTAGTGGACAGATAAACACTTTTTTTTTCCACCTAAGAGACAGAGTCTCACTATGTTGCCCAGACTGGAGTGCAGTGGCTGTTCATAAGTGCAATCATAGCACACTACAGCCTCGAACTCCTGGGCTCAAGCAGTCTTCTCACTTCAGCCTCCTGAGTAGCTGGAACCACAGGCATGCTGCACTACCACCCCTAGCTAATTTTTGTTTTTCATGATAATGTGAGGCATTGATGATGCTAAGTCAAATTCTAGAAGGAGAAGGGGTCTCACCCACGTTGGGTGGATGTACTCATCACCTGGAGAGATGGCTCAGCTTGGGAAATCATCAGGGGGAGAAGACAGCTGGTGATTACCAAAGGTGCTGATTCAACAATCTCGGGCTCCCTCAAGCTCGTTTTCTGTGGCTGACCTTATGAAGTTTTCACATTTTTAGTTTTTCCCTTGAGAATTATTCTACTTCCCCTTTCTGTTCATTTCCTTTTTTTTTTTTTGAGGTGGAGTCTCGCTCTGTCACCCAGGCTGGAGTGTAGTGGCGAAATCTTGGCTCACTACAACTTCCACCTCCCAGGTTCAAGCGATTCTCCTGCCTCAGCCTCCCAAATAGTGTAGCTGGTATTATAGGCATGTGCCACCATGCCCAGCTAATTTTTGTATTTTTAGTAGAGATAGGATTTCACCATCTTGGCTAGGCTGGTCTCGAACTCCTGAGCTCAGGGGATCCAACCGCCTCAGCCTCCCAAAGTGCTGGGATTACAGGCATGAGCCACGGCACCCAGCCATTTTTCTTATTGATTTCTAGAATGTTCTCTGCTTGTCCGTAGATGACTCCATCTTCTTCTCTTAAGCAGCCATATGGGATACCTATTTAGTCAGAGCCACTTTCTAATTTTTCTTATGTGTAAAAATTTTAGAAAAATATCATTTATTGATTTTTAATTACAAAAGCTGTAATAGAAGTATATAAGTTAAAAATGGAAATCTCTCACCCAACCTCTTTCTCCAGAGGTAATTACTGTTAATAGCTTGGTGTATAGTCTTTCATTTTTATATACTTACTGACTTTTTTTATACAGATGATATCACACTAGGCGTGCTCTTCTGGAATTTGCTTTTCTTCATGTAACAATATATCTTGGGGCCGTTTTCATATGATTACATATCGACTTGCCTTGTTCTTTGTCATGGTGGAATACATTCCATTGTTTTTAAAGCATCATGATGTATTTTGTTGATTCTTTACTGATAATTATTTAAGGTGCTTTTTATCTGAGGAGGAGAAGAACTTTAAGAGATTTTTGAGGATGTCATTTAAGAAAATTCCTTATCTATGTTTTTCATGACGATGACAAACATTTGCAAAGTACTCCTCATATATAACCTCACTTCACACTCCTAACAACCCTGTAATGACGTTACCATTATCCATAAATAACAGAGAAACAGATGAGACCAGGGAGCCCCAAGGCAGGGATCACATGTGCCTTTGCTGTTATAATGGTAGCTAGGTACCCCTTTTCCCCTTCCACATGACATAGGAAAACATATCCTTTTTGTCCTTGGTGACAAAAGGTCACCAAGAGTTAGTTACAACTACCTAATGGGAGACTTCATTTCTTTCATCTCTTGTGGTTGTTCTAAATAGTTTATTGGCCCATGATAGATATCAACTTCCTTACTCTAGGCAATGCTATATTTCTATCTCCAATAAATTCTTTGTAGGTCATCTTATTCTGCCACCATTTTTGAATTTATAAATTCATGAGAAAAAAAGTTGCCTAAGGGCAAAAGAGGATTTATTTAATAAAAATCTTTGACCCAGCAATAATCAGTATCCATCCTGCTGATTCATGCAGCATTGAAATAGTATGCCTTTTACTGCCTCCAAGAACATATTTTTGGTTGTTGATATTTTAAAATAAATATGACATCAGATTCAGTCCATCAACATATATTGAGGTTTTATTGTATAGAAAGCACTTTAAATATATCATTTATGATCCTTGAAGATACATAGATGAGAAAACTGAGTCTCTGAGAGCTTAAGTGCCCAAAATTGAGTGAGAAGGTGAACAAAAATTCTCACCCACATCAAACACTCTTAAATACACAACTTGGCTATGCAGGCAAGTTACCAATGTATCAAAGCAACTTGTGAGTCATTGACAAGCAGAATCATTGCTGAAGTCCCTTCTAGTTCTAAAACTGTGCAAATATTTAGGAGCAGTTTTGTTGGTTTGGACATGATGGCTTCTCACTTTACCCCAAACTCAGATTCTGGTATCATGACATCTCATAGAACTAGGAACCATTTTGCACACAAAAAGAGATCACAGTCTTTTTTCCTCTGGTTGTTTATTCAAAATAAACTAGCCAACATAAGCAAGGTAAGACTTTAATTTTGATTTTCAGAGAAAAAGACAACAACTCTTTGATAATCCCCAGTATCACAACCTTCAAAAATAGCGGAGGAGAGTGGGGTAGAAATGAGGTAGAGAAAAGAGTAAAAGAAGTGGGATTCGCTCTTGATGTTAAGTCAGTACATCTCACATTACCTCCTGAAGAAGAACTAGAGAAAGTGTCATCTTTGTTGTATAAAAAGAAATATGGCATAATGATCCAGCAATCCCACTACACTTTGGGTGTATATCCAAAGGAAGCAAAATCAGTATTTTGAAGAGACAATTGCATACTCATGTTTATTGTAACATTATTCACAATAGCCAAGACATAGAATCAACCTGTATGCCCATCAGTGGATGAATGGATGAAGAAAATGTAGTATATATGTACAGTGGAATACTATTCAGCCATAAAAAGGATGAAATCCTGTTCTGTGTGACAATATGGGTGAACCTGGAGGACATTATGTTAAGTGAAATAAGCCAGGCACAGAAAGACAAATACTGCGTGATCTCACTCATATGTGGGAGCTAAAAAAGTTGAGATCATGGAAGTTGAGCATAGAGTAATGATTACTAGAGACTGGGGAAAATAGAAGGAAGCAGGAGATGAGGAAAGTTGATTAACAGGTACAATGTTACAGTTAGATAGAAGGAATAAGTTCTGGCACTCCATTGTACAGTACCATGACTATATCTAACAATAATGCATTGTATATTTCAAATAGCTAGAAGAGAGAATTTTGAATGTCCTCATAACAAAGAAATAATAAATGTTTAAGGTGATGGATATGCCAATTACTATGCTTTGATCACACAATGTATACATGTATCAGAATATCACATTGTATCCCATAAATATGTATAATTATTATGTGTCAGCAAAAAATAAATAAGGCATAAAGTTTATTCAGTTAATATTTATGGAATCCCTACTACATGTCAGGCACTGTGCTAAATCCTGGGGATAAAATGATGAATTTGCTTACAGTCTTTCTCTGAAGGAACTCACAGTCTAATAGTAGAGAGATACAAGATTAAAGACTGTAATATGGTATTGCAGTGATGGAAATGTGAACAGGATATTCAGGAGCTCAGAGGAGGAGCAGGTCAAGCTGGCTTCTTTAAGGAAGGTGATACTTAAAGTGAGCCTTTAGCAATGAATAAAGTTAGCCAGCTTAAGAGAAGTGGGATAGAAAGAACATTCCAGGTAAGAGCAGAAACACAGAGGTCATGGTAGTTAAAGCACAGAGTTTGAAGAAAGGAGAGAAGAGAGACGAATGTTGGGAACAAGCCCCCCAAAATCTGGCCGTAAACTGGCCCCAAAACTGGCCATAAACAAAATCTCTGCAGCACTGTGACATGTTCATCATGGCCATAACGCCCATGCTGGAAGGTGGTGGGCTTTCCAGAATGAGGGCAGGGAACATCTGGCCCGCCCAGGGCAGAAAACCGCTTAAAGGCATTCTTAGGCCACAAACAATAGCATGAGTGATCTGTGCCTTAAGGACATGCTCCTGCTGCAGTTAACTAGCCCAACTTATTCCTTTAATTCGGCCCATCCCTTCGTTTCCCATAAGGGATACTTTTAGTTAATCGAATATATACAGAAACAATGCTAATGACTGGCTTGCTGGTAATAAATACGTGGGTAAATCTCTGTTCAGGGCTCTCAGCTCTGAAGGCTGTGAGACACCTGATTTCCCACTTCGCACCTCTATATTTCTGTGTGTGTGTCTTTAATTCCTCTAGCACCGCTGGGTTAGGGTCTCCCTGACTGAGCTGGTCTCGGCAGACGAGGCTTTTGGGGAAGATTTGTTGTTGTTGTTGTTGTTTTAGGCAGAGTCTTGCTCTGTCGCCCAGGCTGGAGTGCAGTGGTTACACATCTTGGCTCACTGCAACCTCTGCCTCCCAGGTTCAAGCCATTCTCCTGCCTCAGCCTCCCAAGTAGCTGGGATTACAAGTGTGCACCACCACACCCAGCTAATTCTTTTGTATTTTTAGGAGAGATGAGGTTTCACCATGTTGGCCAGGCTGGTCTCAAGTGATCAGCCCACCTTGGCCTCCCAAAGTGCTGGGATTACAGACATGAGCCACTGCACATGGCCTGGAAGATGGGTTCTGTTTGGAGTCTGAGACACCCCAATCAAAGTGTTTAGCAGGGAGCTGAATATGTGGGGCTGAAGTTTAGGGATCATCTGGGATGGAGACAGAGATCTAAGAGGTAGGAAGTGATAGCTGAAAATGTGAGAGTTAATTAAACCAGCCAGGGAGCATATACCACGTGAGATCAACAGATATTTGAGACTAGAATGCAAATAAAAATCAACATATAAGGGACAGACAGAGGAAAATGAGCTCAAGAAGCAGAGACAGTAAGTAGTCAGGAAGATGGGAGTAAACATAAGAGTTTAGTATCACAGAAGCTCAAGGTGTAGAATTGAAATAAAGGTGTGGCCTGGCCAGGCGCAGTGGCTCACGCCTGTAATCCCAGCACTTTGGGAGGCCGAGGCAAGCGGATCACAAGGTCAGGAGATAGAGACCATCCTGGCTAACACAGCGAAACCCCGTCTCTACTAAAAATGCAAAAACAAAATTAACCGGGAGGCTGAGGGGGTGAGAATGGCGTGAACCCAGGAGGCGGAGCTCGCAGGGAGCCAAGATTGTGCCACTGCACTACTCCAGCCTGGGTGACAGAGAAAGACTCTGTCTCAAAAAAGAAAGAAAGAAAGAAAGAAAGGTGTGGCCTATGGAGACAGATGGCCTTGCTGTTCTGGCAAGGTAAGGACTGAAAAGATGAAGACATTAGAGGCATCAGGAAAGGCTTTGATCAATAGTGAGGATGAAAAAGGTGATTTTGAGAGGAAGTAAAGAGAAAACTGTAGTCTACCCTTGAGATAAATCTGGATGAGAAGACAAGAGAGGTTGGGTGACAGTTAGAGGAATATAGGAGGTCAAGGGAGGAGGAGGTGGCGGATGAATTGCTTTGAGAATGCAAAATAAGAGATTTCAGTATGTTTCTAGACTGAAAGGAAAAGGCAGTGGAAAGGTTGAAAACGGGAGACCTAGGGAATGACAAATGGAGGGAACTCTCAGGGGAGGAACATCTTGTGCACTTAGACTGGAGAGGTGGAGAGGATACTCTCACATGATTCATAGACAATTTGGCCCACCCGATTTAATACTCTGCCTGCATCTCCTATTACAGATTCTCTCTTCATTTTGTCAGCAAACAGCTCACTGTCCTCTGGATCTGCTGCGTCCTGCAGGAGCATTGCGCTTAAACTATGGGAAGCGGCACCTCCACCCAACATCATTTTGCTTTCCAGAATGCAGAGAGAGGTACGTGTTTCCCACTTTCCAAACCAGCTGTGGGTACCACAAAGCCCATATTGCATGGAGAGGGTTGGGGGTTCTGAGGGTAGAAGCAGAAAAACCCTTAAATTTCTCCTCAGGCCAGCTCTTAGAGGTCAGCTTCTCCTCCTTGTGACATGCCCACCAAAATGTCCAGTTGAAGTATATTTGACAGAATTAACATTCGCTCAGGAAGTTAGTGTTGTCCATTGGGGTTGATCCCAAACTACCCAGGTACAAATGAATGAAATAAGGTTGGGCAAAGAGGGGATGAAACACATTCCAGGCAGAGGGTAGAGCACGTCCAAAGGTCATGAGGTGGGAAGAAGGAAGCATGAGCTCCCTCTAGTGGCCAATCTAACAATTTTTTTTTTAAAACAATAGGCCAGGAGTTGTGGGTCACACCTGTAATCCCAGCACTTTAGAAGGCTGAGATGAGAGAATCTCACCTGGGCCCAGGAGTTTGAAACCAGCCTGGACGACAGATCAAGGATCCTATCTCTACAAAAAAAAAATTTTTTTTTTTTGAGGCGGAGTCTTGCTCTGTCGCCCAGGCTGGAGTGCAGTGGCACGATCTCTACTCACTGCAAACTCCTCTTCCTGGGTTCAAGCGATTCTCCTGCCTCAGCCTCCCGAGTAGCTGGGATTTCAGGCGCCCGCGACCACGCCTGGCTAATTTTTGTGTTTTTTGTAGACACTGGGTTTCACCATGTTGACCAGGCTTGTCTTGAACTCTCACTTCAGGTGATCCGCCTGCCTCGGCTTCCCAAAGTGCTGGGATTACAGGCGTGAGCCACCGTGCCCAACCTAAAAAATTTTTTTTTGTTTTTGAGACCGAGTTTCCCTCTGTGGCCCAGGCTGGATTGCAATGGCACAATCTCGGCTCACTGCAACCTCCGCCTCCTGGGTTCAAGCGATTCTCCTGCCTCAGCCTCCCAAGTAGCTGGGATTACAGGCGGGTGCCACCATGCCCGGCTAATTTTTTGAATTTTTAGTAGAGACGGGGCTTCACCATGTTGACCAGGCTGGTCTCGAACTCCTGACCTCAGGTGATCTGCCCGCCTCGGCCTCCCAAAGTGCTGGGATTACAGAAGTGAGCCACCATGCCCAGCAAAAAAAAAAAAAAAAAAATTAATTAGCTGGGTGTGGTGGCGAGCACCTCTGTAGTCCTAGACACTCAGGAGCCTGAGGTGGGAGGATTGCTTGAGCACAGGAGTTCAAGCCTACAGTGAGCTATGATCATGCCACTGCCCTCCAGCCTGGGTGACCGAGTGAAATCATTTCTAATATGGTAGGGATATCAACTGTGATATAAATTGCAAATATTTTTTCCCAGTTTGTCACTTGTTTGGACCAATTTTGGAATTAGCTTCAGCTCAGGGTTTCCTTATCTTGTGAATAACACGAATTCAACCCACACACGCCACAGGCTGAGACTTTCTATCTCACTGAGTTCTAGGTCAGCTCAGCTCCTGCTACCACAGGGGCCGGTAGGCAGAGATTTATTAGATCACGCAAGGTACAGAAACTTCCCCAGCTCCTGCCTTTTCACAGACAGTCCAGTTACCACTCCCTGCCATGCACAGAACCCAGGAACTCACTCTCATCCCCATACAGGTGTTAAACCCCAGCTCCTGAGACATGTGTCTGGTTGAGATTCCCCTGGGGCCTGCCTGACTTCAGTGCCTCTAACTGCCTTTGGCTATGGGTTCCGTCTTCATTTCTGGCACCCGGAGATCTCCCTTCAATGCTTTTGATTTCAACTATTGGTTAAAAAGAAATTTAGCTTATTTTATGCAGCTTTTCTTAATGTGTTGGAGTGTGAGGGAGTCCTACATCTGCTTAAGCATGCCATTTCTTATTGGAAGTCGATATTAGGCTCTCTATTTTCCTTAAAGGGATGTCATAATTCATTAAGTTTTTATTGCACCTTTTGGCAAGCTTATACTTCCATTACAGAAAGGTACTTCTTCCTAGAGGCATCATTTTTTTCCTTTAAATCAGTGTTGTATATAGAGACATAAATATTCTTGACAAAGATAATAAAAATAAGAGGGTAACCATCAAAAAAATTCTCTGTTCTATCTTTCTTAAATAATTTACCTATTCTCCCATACCCTACTGTGCATTGCCTTGGTTCACAATTTTCTCACAGTGTTGTTATATGTAGAGTTTTTACAGCCCAGGTGTATTTGTAACTTGTACCCTAATAATTTAGTTTACACATGGCCCAAGTAAGAGGGGCCTATACATTTTTGCATTGTGCTATTAAAAATACATGATGGGATAAAGGATATTAAAAGATCCTGCACTTCCCAGAGCCCATCTCAATTGAAAGCAAGCCAGCTCCCCACCACACCCTACCAGATAGTCAACCGGGAGGAAGAAAAAAAGAGGGAGAATGAAAGGTGTTGCCCACTTCTGCTGCCTGAGTAGCCAAAGCAAGACTGAGGATGTAATACGTATGTCTCATCATTGGCAGCACTGGCCATAGAATGCTCAGGGCAAGGTGTTAGCAGACAACATTGATGTCCATGATCTTCTTCAGTGGTCCTTAAACTTTAGCACAAGTATGAATTATGTATGGAGCTTGTTAAACCTTCAGATTCCTTCCTGGATTCCAGCGGTAGAGATTCTGATGTTACAGGTCCAGGGTGAGGTGTAGCAACCTGCATGTTTACCAGGAATCTCTAAAGAATCTGTAGCACCAGCCCTGGACCTTTCATTCACTATTCTCTTTTGTGTGTGAGTGTGTGTGTGTGTGTGTGTGTCAGAGTCTCTAGCCCAGGCTAAAGTGCAGTGGTACGATCTCGGCTCACTGCAACCTCTGCCTCCCAGGTTCAAATGATTCTCCTACCTCAGGCTCCCAAGTAGCTGGGATTACAGATGCCTGCCACCATGCCCAGCTAATTTTTGTATTTTTAGTAGAGATGAGGTTTCACCATATTGGCCAGGCTGGTCTTGAACTCCTCACCTCAGGTGATCCACCAGCCTCAGCCTCCCAAAGTGTTAGGATTATAGGTGTGAGCCACCACGCCCAGCCTCATTCACTATTCTGAACATGGTTTTACAGAAGTCAGTCAGTGGGGTTCAACCTCATCGCTTACTATTTAGTGAGTGCCTTTGAGAAATACTAGTAGTATGAATTTTTTTCATAGGAAATCAAATTTATCTTTGTTTAAGTTCCTCCCAGCTTCTCTTTTCCCATGTCACCATCATCTTTCCTCTTAGGGAAATCAGCAAGAATTCTATTATCTGTCTAATGCAAACGAAACATATTAAATCAATCTGTCTACTCTTTATGAGGTTGACCTGAGTCAGCCTGCAGGATTTCTAATCCAGCCTGCAGGATTTCTAATCCAGCTTTATCCACAAATAGTCCATTCATCACCAGCAGTGTATCTAAGCCTTGGAGCTTAAAAAGAATCTAGTTATGTGGACAGCTGTTCCCTTCTCTGGCAACAATACTTGACCACACAGGTCCTAAACCTTATATAAAGAATGAAACTCCACACCCTAACCTGCCCTACCTGGTCACCTAGCACAGGTCCTGGCAAAAATGAGAGGCCCAGTGGCCATGTGGGGGACTGCATGGTCAGTGCTGTCTATCTTATGACGGGGGTGCTTAAAGCCTGTAGGGATATCATGGAACTGGGGATGGCAAGCATGGGAGCTGGGACACAGTTGCTACCCCCTGACATCGTATGATGCATTCATTTGAGTATTCGTTTATTGTTTGCTTTTCCTAGTCTTCATCTGGCCCCGCCCCTTTTCCAGATGAGGACATTGAGGCCCCAGATGACTTGTCTGAAACCACAGAGCTTGTCAGGGCAGTTCTAGGTCTAGATCCCAGGTGTCCTGACATCCAGTCTATTGTCACAATATCAAAATGTCCACCCCACCCCCGCATTATAACCTGTCAGGGATGCTGCATCCTTGCAATCTCATGAGTTTACATCTCCTTCTCGGAATCCTGGCAGTCCAACCTTTTCATCCCTATACAGAAATGTTTTCATCAATACATGGGAATTCTAATCAACCTACAGTGATATGAGTATAACCATCAGGCAGGAATGAAGGGGAGGGGCAGGAAATGGGGAAAAGCACTATTGCCAGCAGAAAGGGAAATACTTCCTATGGGCGTCAATGGGTAGTGCTTCTGCTCCATCTTGTCCTCACATATACAGTGGGAGAGGGCTGAGCAGCTTCCTCTCCCTACCCCCAAACCCCTGGCCCAGGGAGTCCGAGCTCACAGGCTTGCTTCTCCATCGGTGTCATAGCCTTCAAGGCAGCAGCCCTGATCCAGAGATGGTACCGGCGCTACGTGGCCCGCCTGGAGATGAGGCGGCGTTGCACCTGGAGCATCTTCCAGTCTATAGAATATGCTGGGCAGCAAGACCAAGTCAAGGTACAATGAGATGTGGGACGGAGCCGCCTCCTGCTCTCCCTTGGGCAGCAGGGCTCGGGTGCTCCTAAAGTGAGGCCAACTGGACTACTTGTGGGTTCTCTTTTCGCTCACCTCTAAAGCCACGTCTCCTTGGGTTCTTCTGCAGCTCCATGACTTCTTCAGCTATCTCATGGATCACTTCATCCCCAGCAGCCACAACGACAGTGAGTATGAACTGCCACATGTCATGTCCTCCTGTCGCAAGGCCATAGATTACACGGTGAGGTGGGGGATGCACAGGGAGTGAAACCGTGAATCTGGTGACAGCCAGGGAATAAGCAAGGGGCTGAGGAGTAAATGGCAGACTGGGGTTTTATGCCAGGTTCTCCTGAACACACACCTGGAGACAAGAGTTTGGACGCAAGGAATTCATTTATTAAGTTCAAGAAACCCTGGGGGTGGGAGGGAGTGGGGAAGGGATTCAGGAAAGGAATCGCAGCCAGTCCAGCAACTCAGTGTGCCTAGGAAACAGTGCAAAACGCAAGCCTCAGAATTATACCCCCTGCAGGCAAAGGGAACTGGAGTTTTTCTGTGTCAACTCCAGGAGTCATTGGTTGAAAGCGGCTGGGGAGGTGGGAGAGAAGTATAGGAAGGAGGCTTTTTCTTTTCTTTTCTTTTCTTTTTTTTTTTTGAGACAGAGTCTCGTTCTGTGACCCAGGCTGGAGTGCAGTGGCATGATCTTGGCTCACTGCAACCTCTACCTCCCGGGTTCAAGTGATTGAACCTCAGATACCCAAGTAGCTGGGATTACAGGTGTGCACCAACACACCTGGCTGATTTTTTATATGTTTAGTAGAGATGGGCTTTCACCATGTTAACCAGGCTGGTCTTGAACTCCTGGCCTCAAGCGATCCACCTGCCTCGGCCTCCCAAAGTGCTGGCATTACAAGCGTGAACCACTGAGCCAAGCCAGGAGGTTGTTAATTCCATAGCATTTCTGGCCTGCCATCCGGATCCAGGAAATAAGTCCTCAGTCTGGAGATGCCAATGCTGGCAGCTGGAAGCTGCTGGAAGGCACTGCCAGGTCTGATGCACCTGTTGCGCTCACTAAATGCAACATAAATACCTGTGATTTTTCCACACTGGCTTTCCCCTTTCCTTCTGCTTGCAAATCCAGGTCCCTAAATTTCTGTACTCTCTAAGTCTGACAAATCTTGATCTTTTAGAATAAAAGTAGAAAGCATGACTTTTTCCTCCTGCCCATCCTAGACTGTTGTCACTTTCTCCTTCCTTTTTCCTCTTCTGTGCTGGAGCTGAAGCTGAAGCCAGATTAACCATGTCCTGCTTCAATAGTCCAGGGAAGGACTTTTTTTTTTTTTTTTTGAGACAGGGTCTCACTCTATCGTTCAGGCTGGAGTGCAGTAGTATCATCTCTGCTCATTGAAACCTCTGCATCCCAGGCTTATGTGATCCTCCCATCTCAGCCTCTTGAGTAGCTGGAACTACAGGTGTGTGACACCATGGCTGGCTAAATTTTTAAATTTTTTTTGTAGAGGCAAGGTTTCCCTATGTTGCCTAGGCTGTTCTCAAACTCCTGGGCTCAAGCAATCCTCCCTCCTTGGCCCCGCAAATTTCTGGGATTAGAGAGCCACCGTGCCCAGCCAAGGACTATTCTATAGTGCCCACAGACTGCATGATCAGATGATCATAAGCTGATCCACCTTTTCTATCTGGACTAGGGGACTTCCTGACCCGCATATTCACTGAGGACAGATTCGCCCAGGACTCCGAGATGAAGAAATGCAGTGACTATGAATCCATAGAGGTACCCGACAGTTACACGGGGCCACGCCTCTCCTTCCCACTCCTGCCTGACCATGCAACTGCCCTGGTAGAAGCATTCAGACTGAAACAAGTAAGCTCACCTGGGGAACCTGGGTCACTACCAACTCCATGAAATGTGTGAAGGGAGACGAAACCCAGCACAGAAAGAATGGCCCCAGATTTAGGGTGTTCATGTCATGTGTCCACTAGAGAGATTCTACCCCTGCTGTGCTTAGCCAGGACCTTGCAGTCAATCAGCCAGTTCTGATGATTGACAGCTTTTCTTCCTAATCACATAATCTCTCATTGTTCATTCATCCCACACATAACTACTGAGCACTGCTGTGTGCCCCACATTGCTCTGGGCACTGAGGATACAGCAGTGAACAAAACAGATAAAATCTCTGCCCTTATGGGGCTGGCATTCCATCGGGGAGGCAGACAATGAACAATAAATAACAATAAATAAGACAATTATGCAGTATATTAGAAGGCGATGAGAGCTATGGAAAAGAATAAACTAAGTTATGGATGGAAGAAATAGCAATTTTATAGAGTTGTCTGGGAAGGTGATTTCTGAGCAAAGATCTAAGGTGGTGAGGAATGCGCCGGAGAAAGAGCGTTCCAGGTAGAGGGAGGAACACATGGAAAAGCCCTGAAGCAGAAACTTGCCTGGACTGTTCACGAACCTCGGGAGGCCACTGTGGCTGGAGAAGAGGGAGCCAGGGGAAGAGTAATGGAGGTGAGGGGGTGGACTTTTATTCTTCCAAAAGAGACAGGGAGACAGCAGACATAGGAATGACATAATCTGACTTGTTTTTTTGTTTTGTTTTTTTGAGACAGAGTCTCGCTCTGTCATCCAGGCTGGAGTACAGTGGCGCGATCTCGGCTCACTGCAACATCCGCTTCCTGGGTTCAAGCGACTCTCCTGCCTCACCCTCCTGAGTAACTGCCACTGCAGGCACCCGCCACCACACCCGGCTAATTTTTTTATATTTTTAGTAGAGATGGAGTTTCACCATGTTAGCCAGGATGGTCTCGATCTCCTGACCTCATGATCTGCCTACCTCAGCCTCCCAAAGTGCTGGGATTACAGGCGTGAGCCATCATACCCAGCCCTGACTTGTTTTTTAAAATAATCATTCTGGTTGCTGTGTTAAGACAGTGTAGGCGGCAAGGGCCAAAGTAGGGTGACCAGTCAAGAGACTACTGCAATCGTCCAAGCGAAAGATGACAGTGGCTTGGAACTCTGATGGTAGGGTAGAGGTAGCGAGATAGTCAGCTTCTGGCTCTATATCAGAATTCAATCCTTCCCCTCTTCCACATGAATGTAACTCATTGCAGGAGGAGCTGAGCTGATATATTCCAGTAATGACAGGATCACTAAGTACCATCAACACACCTGCACTTAGTCATACTTTACTGAAACAATCACATGGTCTTCCCATGCTAAAGGCAAGGAAGCATTTAATAGAGTAGAAAGGAAAGAGAAAAGTAGCTCAATATTTGCAGGGGGGGCAAGTGGGAATGATGAGAAGCAGAAACAAGGGCAGAAGTTGAGTGATAAAGAAAGAATCCGTGCATAGTCCCAGGAGCAGTTTACTGGGGTTACTTTTGGGGTCTTAGGTGATGGGGGTTGTTAAGCAGTAAAGGTAAGGACCATTTTCCCTCACGAATATCAGTGTTGTTTTCTTCCTTCCCTCCTCTTCCTCCCAGTAGCAGCTCCATGCTCGCTACGTCTTGAACCTTTTGTATGAAACCAAGAAACATCTGGTACAGCTGCCAAACATCAACCGGGTCTCAACCTGTTACAGTGAGGAGATCACAGTGTGTGGTAAGAGCTGGTCAGAAACGGCTTTCCATGCTGCACACAAAGAAGAATGCTCTACCTGTGTGGGGATGCAAGAGGAGTGGCGGGCTGCAGGGAGATGTGATGATAAGCCAAATTTAACCCCTTCAGGTCCACAATTTGCATATTCACTCCACATTTACCTAAAAAAGAGGTGGTGGTGCAGCGAAGGGGATCATGGACCTCAGGGCCCAGCCTCTGCTTTATTTTCCCAAGCAATTCCTACTGACTCAAACTCATGTTCTTCATTCAAAACAAAATCTCTGCAAATAACCAGACCCTCCTTGTTAGAAGATGGTTTATTTAATGGTACTTGAGAAAGCCCCGATGACTAGCAAATTATTCCTCCCATCCACACACATTCCTCTCCTGGAAAGAAGTCCTGTTAATGACTGTTTTCCCCATCTTATGTTTCCAGTGATTTTTAACATCCACTGTAGACAGACATCCCACACCTTAACCTAGTGGAGGCTCCAGTGCAGGAGGGATTGTAACTGGCCCTGCTAGGGTCACCTGCAGCCTGCAGATGGTCTTGCCTGCCTTGCAATGTTCATAAAGTTTTTTTTTTTTTTTTTTTTGAGACACAGTCCCGCTCTGTCGCCCAGGCTGGAGGGCAGTGGTGCAATCTCGGCTCACTGCAAGCTCCGCCTCCCGGGTTCACACGATTCTCCTGCCTCAGCCTCCCGAGTAGCTGGGACTACAGGCGCCCGCCACCACGCCCGGCTAATTTTTTGTATTTTTAGTAGAGATGGGGTTTCACCGTGTTAGGCGGGATGGTCTTTATCTCCTGACCTCGTGATCCGCCCGTCTCAGCCTCCCAAAGTGCTGGGATTACAGGCGTGAGCCACCCGCCCGGCCCATAAACTTTTAAAAATGGTATTTCAACATTGGAAATTTGGAGGATTTTATATTATGATCTAGATTTTGCTTTAAAAGTCTCCTGAAAAATCTTTTAACACTGGCTCATAAGTGAGTAGCTGCTTTCTAGTTTAACGTGGGCAAAATCTCTCCAGTTCTCATCTAGGTTTGCAACCTTGCACTATTCTATCGCATCTTTGCTTCAATAAAAATGTAGCTCATTTACTATTTATAATAATCCGGCAGAAAAAATATTATGCCTTCTGCTTTCAATACTATCTCTGCAATAAGGAGAAATTAATATTTATCCTTATCTTACATATGGAAAACTTTGTAGGGTTTTTTCTGTCAGATTCTTCTGGGTATTTTCTTTCTTATAATAAAAATCAGAAGCACTGGTAAGGAACAATCAGAATTGATATTCTTTTTCTATCTTTGTTAGGAGACTTACATGGCCAATTGGATGACTTAATCTTTATATTTTATAAGGTATGAATGTTCAAATTAAGTTGCTTTCTTGCTCTGAAGCTTAATTTAGAAGCTCAAATTCAGTATCAATTGAACAAATGCTTAAATATTACTTGAAGTTTTAAAATATTATTATTTATTTTTATTTTTTTGAGATGGGGGTCTCAATCTGCCACCTAGGCTGGAGTGCAGTGGTGCGATCTAGGCTCACTGCAACCTCTGCCTCCCAGGTTCAAGCAATCCTCCCACCTCAGCCTCCCGAGTAGCTGGGACCACTAGTGCATGCCAACATGCCCTAATTTCTTTATTTTTTTCACTTTTTCTTTTTCAAACCCTTGTGTCGAGGGCTGACTTTCAGTAGATCACAGCGAGGGAGCTGCTCTGCTCAGTGCGAAATCCTGACCCAGAAGCAGGTCATCTACGAACAGTTTAATGTCAGGTTCCCCACGAACGTGCCGTTGCATGACGGGTGAGGGGCGGCCGCCTTTCCGGCCGCACCCGGTTTCCCAGGAGGAGGGACTCTCCGCACCGGCCTCGGGTACCTGCGCGCTTGCTGAGCCGAACTGCGGGCCGGCGGGGATGGCAGGAGACTGGCTATCCCAGGCCATTGGGAGACTGGCTATCCGAGGCCAACTGAGGCCCTGCAGCGCTGCCCTGTGGTTCAGCCTGGGCGGGATTCTGACTTAGAGGCATTCAGTCAAAATCCCACAGAGGGTAGCTTTGTCCCATTGGCTCCTTAGCCAAGCACATACACCGAATGTCTGAACCTGCGGGTTGGTACTGAGCAGGATTACCATGGCAACAACAGATCATCAGTAGGGTAAAACTAACCTGTCTCATAATGGCCTAATTTTTTTTTTTTTAAGACAGAGTTTCGCTCTTCTCGCCGAGGCTGGAATGCAATGGCACGATCTCGGCTCACTGCAACCTCCGCGTCCCAGGTTCAAGTGATTCTCCTGCCTCGGCCTCCCAAGTAGCTGGGACTACAGGCGTGCACCACCACGCCCGGCTAATTTTTGTATTTTTAGTAGAGACAGGGTTTCACCATCTTGGCCGGGCTGGTCTCGAACTCCTGACCTCATGATCCACCTGCCTCAGCCTCCCAAAGTGCTGGGATTACCGGTGTGAGCCACCGCGCCTGGCCTACGATGGACTAATTTTTTATATTTTTTATAGAGACGGGGTTTGGCCATGTTGGCCAGGCTGGTCTTGAACCCCTGAGCTCAAGTGATCCACTCACCTCAGCTCCCAAAGTGTTGGTATTACAGGCGTGAGCCACTGTGCCCAGCCTAAGATATTATTTTTAATAATATTTGCTACTCTGTTGCAGCAAATAAATAATAGAAAAGTCAGCATTGCATTATATTCTAGTACATTTTTGCAAACTATTTAACAAACTTAAAATGTTTGGTTAATAACTAGAAGGGGCCAGGTGCAGTGGCTCATGCCTGTAATCCCAGCATTTGGGAGGCTAAAGTGGGAGGATCGTTGAGGCCAGGAGTTTGAGGTCAGCCTGGGCAACATAGTGAGGCCCTGTCTCTTAAAACATAAATAAATAAATAAATATTTAGCAATTGATTTTCTTTCTTTCACATAAAGAAAACTGATTATTATCAAAACAACCAAAAGCTATTTTCATATATATTTTAGTTATAATGTGTAGAACATATAGCAAGGGAGATGAGTATAATATTTTTTAATGGAATATTACTTTCTACACATACTACATTTCCCAAAGCATTTTCCCATGCATTATCTTGTTTAATCCTGAGAAATCTATGGCAAGTATTATTATTTCTAGTTAAAGATAGTGTGGCCAGGACTTAAAACTGGCCTTTGGATCACAAGTTTGGTGCCCTTTGCTCCACACCACATGGCAACACTCAGGCTTTGTCTAAAGGAGCATCTCCTAACCTTAGCCTCTCTGGAAAGGAAATATAAGACCAATAGAAGATACTTCCATCATTTACTGACATTTCAGGCTTGGAGGAGACCTAGAAAGCACAGAATTGGTGTTAGACATGATGTGATTGTCAAATGCCTATTGGTTTTAACCTGATTTCCTATTTCCTTCCTCCCATTCATTCTTTCACTGGTCTCCTTGTTGAAAAGAATGGCCTCCCGTCGCCAGAACGGTCATATGTGTTCAACGGTGACTTTGTGGATCGAGGCAAGGATTCAGTAGAGATCCTGATGATTCTTTTTGCCTTCATGCTGGTTTACCCCAAAGAGTTCCATCTTAACAGAGGAAACCATGAGGACCATATGGTGAACTTACGGTACAAGTCAAAACATGCTTGAGTATTTGATGTTTGTTTGTTGTAATTGTAAAATGTTATTTCTCCAGAACTTCTTATTTGTTAAATGCCTTTAAAACTAGTTTTCCAATTTTTTTAAAAAGCAGAATACACAGTATATAACATTCAAAAAAAAATTTTTTTTTTTTTTGGAGAGAGTCTCACTCGGTCGCCTAGGCTAGAGTGCAGGTGCAATCTTGGCTCACTGCAACCTCTGCTTCCTGGGTTTAAGTGATTCTCCTGCCTCAGCTTCCCGAGTAGCCAGGATTACAGGCACGCACCACCATGCCCAGCTAATTTTTGTATTATTAGAGACAGGGCTTCACCATGTTGGCCAGGCTGGTCTCAAACTCCTGACCTCAAGTGATCTGCACCCCCTTGGCCTCCCAAAGTGCTGGGATTTACAGACGTGAGCCACCGCACACAGCCAGATTTTCTTTTTTTTGAGATGGAGTTTCACTCTTGTTGCCCAGGCTGTGCAATGGCACAATCTTGGCACACTGCAACCTCCACCTCCCAGTTTCAAGCGATTCTCCTGCCTCTGCCTCCCAAGTAGCTGGGATTACAGGCACCTGCCACCACGCCCGGCTAATTTTTTTTTGTATTTTTAGTAGAGACGGGTTTCACCATGTTGGTCAGGCTGGTCTCGAACTTCTGACCTCAGGTGATACACCCGTCCCAGCCTCCCGAAGTGCTGGGATAACACGCATGAGCCACCGTGTCCAGCCCAGATTTTTTTTTTTTTTTTTTTTTTTTTTGTGACGGAGTCTCGCTTGGTCACCCAGGCTGGAGTGCAGTGGTGCGATCTCGGCTCACTGCAAGCTCTGCCTCCTGGGTTCACACCATTCTCCTGCCTCAGCATCCTCAGTAGCTGGGACTACAGGAGCCTGCCACCACACTCGGCTAATTTTTTGTATTTGTAGTAGAGACGGGGTTTCACCGTGTTAGTCAGGGTGGTCTCGATCTCCTGACCTCGCGATCCGCCCATCTCAGCCTCCCAAAGTGCTGGGACTACAGGCGTGAGCCACCATGCCCAGCCCAGATTTTTTTTTTAATTTACACATTATTTTACTATTCCAATGAAACCATTGAATTTGTTTTTGCATACACATACTCTATCATATAAATAATAGAGATTCATGATAGTAAAGCAGGAAATACAGATAAGTAAAAGGAAGAAAATTAAAATATCCCATAATTTCTCTACCCAGGGATAATGACATAGTTTTAAACATTTTGGTGATTATTCCTCAGTCTCTTTTCTATGTATTTAAGTACATATACCCAGAATATGCATTCTTCTAAAAATGTGATTATGCCCTGATTATTGTCACCCAGTTTACTCTAATATCTATTTGTGCTTCTAAATCTAGATATGGCTTCACCAAGGAAGTGATGAATAAATACAAGGTGCGCTGCCTTTAAAGACAAAAGTTTCTCTCAGTTCAGATAAGTTGAGTGAATTATTTGATAACATTTTGTTTATATCATTTTTTCCAGGTACACGGGAAGGAAATACTAAGAACCCTGCAAGATGTTTTCTGTTGGCTTCCACTGGCCACTCTGATAGATGAGAAAGTTCTAATTCTTCATGGTGGGGTGTCAGACATAACTGATCTGGAGCTTTTGGACAAAATAGAGAGGAGCAAGGTAGTGGTTAATGAAATAATACAAATTTCACCATAATGCCCAGTTTCATTGCCAATATAAATGTCATCTTACATGCTGACTGCAGTCAACTGATTATGGCTGTTAAGAGTGTGGAGGCCATTAAGAGTATGGAGGCTGGGCACAGTGTCTCACACCTATAAACTCAGCACTTTAGAAGACAGGAAGATTGCTTGAGACCAGGAGTTTGAGACCAGTCTGGGCAACATAGCAAAACTTTGTCTCTATAAAAAAATTAAAAACTTAGCTGGGAGTGGTGGCATGGGCCTGTAGTCTTATCTACTTGGGAGGCTGCAGTGAGCTCTGATTGCCATTGCACTCCATCTTGCAGGGACACAGTGAGAACCTGTTTCTAAAAAAAAAAAAAAGATTGAGAACCTGCAGTTGGGCTAGGGGGCAAGTGTGCTGTAGTCACTTAGTCATGTCTACCATGTACATGCCAGTGGGGAGTAGCAACCAGTGCCGTGTTATCTGCCATTGGATCTAGATAATTCTAAATACTACCTCTCAATTATTGCCACCTAAAGAGCCTACGTTTCCCAAATAATTCATATTACCTTCAATTAAAGTCAAGAAATATGTATTTAGTGCCTACTACTACATCCAGAGAGCGTGCTAGTTGGCAGAAAAAAAAGATGAAGATCAATTTCAGTTAAACTCAACAAATGTGCTTTGAGTGCTTACTATGTGCAAAGAAAGTGTTACAGAGATAAAAAGATGAAACAGAGATGGTGCCTGCCCTAAAGGAACACAAAATAACCAGAATGTGTTGGGGTTGGAGGTGGAAGAGTATGAGACAGAATGTATGATTTACCAATAACAATAGATTTCTATTTTCCATTTCATTTTGGAAATGGAAAGCTAGGAAGCAAAGTTTCTATTTTCTTACACTTAACTCTTAAACTTGACTCATCCCACACAGGAAATGCTGCTACAACATCCATGACAACATTTTCCTGGGAAGTTCCAAAGACAGGGAACAATCAGTCTACTTCAGCTTTGGGCAATTCTAATGGATATGGATATGAAAGTCTATGTATATGAGACATACATGAAATGAAAGAATACGGCTTTAGAGTGAGACAGACCTGGGTTTGAACCCTGGAATAGGCAATTGTTGGCTGAAATGGCAGTTTGGTTCTATGAAGTTGTCCAGAGACCCAGGTTTCTTGTTACTCTGCCACCCCTAATGTGTGGTTTCTAGACTTAGCTACCATTTAGCAAGTAAGGATATGACTCCTTGTGGTTTGGTAACTAGAAATTGCTGTGTCCCTGTACACCCAAACTCAGTGTTTTCACTTACACATCTGTTATATCTTTTTTTGTTTGTTTGTTTTTGAGACAAGGTCTCACTCTGTCATCCAGACTGGAGTGTGGTACCACGATCACGGCTCACTGCAGCCTTGACCTCCTGGGCTGAGGCAATCCTCCAGCCTCAGCCTCCCGAGTAGCTGGGACTACAGTCACACACAATCATGCTTGGCTAATTTTTAAAAAATTATTTGTAGAGGGCCGGGTGTGATGGCTCACACCTGTAATCCCAGCACTCTGAGAGTCGGAGGCCAGCGGATCATGAGGTAAGGAGTTCGAGACCAGCCTGACCAACATGGTGAAACCCTTTCTCTACTAAAAATACAAAAATTAGCCAGGTGTGGTGGTGCACATCTGTAATCCCAGCTACTCAGGAGGCTGAGGCAGGAGAATCGCTTGAACCCGGGAGGCAGAGGTTTTGGTGAGCTGAGATCGTGCCACTGCACTCCAGCCTGAGCCACACAGCGAGACTCCATGTCAAAAAAAAAAAAAAATTATGCTGGATGCGGTGGCTCATGCCTGTAATCCCAGCACTTTGGGAGGCTGAGATGGGTGGATCACGAGGTCAGGAGATCAAGACCATCCTGGCCAACATGGTGAAACCCCGTCTCTACTAAAAATACAAAAAAATTAGCCGGGCATGGCAGCGTGCGCCTGTAGTCCCAGCTACTCAGGAGGCTGAGGTAGGAGAATCACTTGAACCCAGGAGACAGAGACTGCAGTGAGCCAAGATTGTGCCACTGCACTCCAGCCTGGCGACAGAGTGAGACTCTGTCTCAAAAAAAAAAAAAAGTATTTATAGGGATGGGGTCTCACTATGTTGCCCAGGCTGGTCTTGAATTCCTGGGCTCAAGTAATTCTCCCACTTTGGCCTCCCAAAGTGTTGGGATTGTAGGCATAAGTGACCACACCTAGCCATCAGTTGTATCTTGATTTTCTCACAAACTTTCAACTCAAACATTCTGTCCAGCTGCATGTATGTCTGGAGGCAGAGACAGCAAGCCACAGTAGAGCAAATTATCTCATGGGAAGAATCATATTTAATTATGTAAACATAGAAGAAGGAACTCTGGGAAAGAATGCTAACGAAAAGTTTATTTTCTGTGGCTTAGCAAAAAACTAACTTCCCAATGTTTGGTTTGCAAAGCTCTGGAGAGAGGGTGATGCAGCAAATGATACAGTCCAAGGACTACTTGAGAGAGAAGTACAGAGAGGTATGGGCTCCAGAGTCAGACTATCTGGATTCAGTCCTGGAAGAGTCTTAGTATTTTGTGCCTCAGTTTTCTTATCTGTACTATAAAAGATGCTATCTTATAGGAGTGGTATGGTGGTTAATCAACTAATTTATAGAAAATGCCCAGAACAGCGCCTATTTGGAAAAGGCTCAATACATATTAACACTATTAATCTCCTCAAGTTAGGGATGCTGCTTGGAGCAGATAACAACATCCTTAAAATAAAATTACCTGGGCCAGGCACAGTGGCTCACGCCTGTAATCCCAGCATTTTGGGAGGCCGAGGCGGGCGGATCACGAGGTCAAGAGATGGAGACAATCCTGGCCAACATGGTGAAACCCCCGTCTCTACTAAAAGTACAAAAATTAGCTGGATGTGGTGACGCGCGCCTATACTCCCAGCTACTCGGGAGGCTGAGGCAGGAGAATTGCTTGAATCTGGGAGGCAGAGGTTGAGCAAGCCGAGATCGCACCACTGCACTCCAGCCTAAGTGAGAGTGAGACCCCTATCTCAAAAAAAAAATAAAAGTAAATAATAACATTTTAAAAATTCAAGTAATATTTAAGCATTTGTTCAATTGATACTGAATTTGAGCTTCTAAATTAAGCCTCAGAGCAAGAAAGCAACTTAATTTGAACATTCATACCTTATAAAATATAAATATTAAGTCATCCAATTGGCCATGTAAGTCTCCTAACAAAGATAGAAAAAGAATATCAGTTCTGATTGTTCCTTACCAGTGCTTCTAATTTTTATTATAAGAAAGAAAATACCCAGAAGAATCTGACAAAAAAACTCTACAATTACTAAGTTTTCCATATGTAAGATAAGGATAAATGTTAATTTCTCCTTATTGCAGAGATAGTATTGAAAGCAGAAGGCACAATATTTTTTCTGCCTGATTATTATAAATAGTAAATGAGCTACATTTTTGTTGAAGCAAAGATGGGACAGAACAATGCCGGGTTGCAAACCTAGATGAGAACTGGACAGATTTTGCCCATGTTAAAGTAGGAAGCAGCTACTCACTTATAAGCTAGTATTAGAAGATTTTTCAGGAGACTTTTAAAGCAAAATCTAGACCTTAATATAAAATCCTCCAAATTTCAAATGTCAAAATACCATTTTAAAAATTTTATGAACATTGCAAGGCAAGCAAGACCTATCTGCAGGCTGCAGGTGACCCTAGCAGTGCCAGTTACAATCCCTCGTGTACTGGAGCCTCCCTCCACTAGGTTAAGGTGTGGGACATCAGTCTACAGTGGATGTTAAAAATCACTGGAAACATAAGATGGGGAAAACAGTCATTAATAGGACTTCTTACCAGGAGAGGAATGTGTGTGAATGGGAGGAATCATTTGCTAGTCATCAGGGCTTTCTCCAGTACCATTAAATAAACCATCTTCTAACAAGGAGGGTCTGCTTATTTGCAGAGATTTTCTTTTGAATTAAGAACACGAGTTTGAGTCGATATGAATTGCTTGGGAATATAAAGCAGAGGTTTTGGTGAGCTGAGATCGCACCACTGCACTCCAGCCTGGTGACAGAGCGAGACTCCATCTAAAAAAATATAATAATAAAATACCTGAGAATCGGAAGAGGTGGGACTGGTGGACTGGCCCTCACTGTGTGCCAACAAGGAGCAAGAAGGTTGTTATGAGTTGGTTTACATTTTGTGGCTTTGCACTCTCTATGCCCAAGATTGGAACTGCCTAGAAAGTGATTAACGCTTGTCCAATGTCAGATAATAAGCTCTGTTCTATTCTCTTCACTCTGGACTGTCCTTCAAACATCAGTCAGCTCTGCTGCCCCTCTCTGGGTGTCCTTCTTTGTTCTTGCCCTAAGCCAGTCCAAGCTGGGACGTGGCTTTCTTGTATCACAGTCCTTAGATCTATTTGCAGAAAGTTCTCGTTCTTTGATTATGTGCTCACACAGAGTTCCTTTTGTGAACAAGCCCTTTATTGTGGATATACCATGGAAGTCTTCCCCCTCGGGGTTCACCATAGCACTGAGGCACAGCAGGAATGGCTGCTCTCTCTTTTTGCTCGCTGCTACAATCTGCTCTGTGGCCTGACCCCTGATCAGAATTCGTGCCACTTATGTCCTCAGCCCAGTCCCAGTGCCATGATGACCGCAAGTGAGAGGGACTCTATTCAATTCCCTGTGGCAAGGAGTGTCTTTCTGATTAGGTCCAGGCTGAAAAGAGGAGCTCCCTCCCCTCCCCTGTCCTTCCCCAACAGGTAAGATAATGGGTACAAGAGCACTTCCTCTAAAGTACCATTAAGTGCTGCCTCCTCTGCAGCAAGAGTCAAGTTTTTCCTCTTCCTATTTCTCACCTATATACTTTGATTCTTTTTCTTTGTTTTAGCATCTGTGGAATGACAGGAAAGTCAATGAGGACTGGCCTGAGACAGAGTTGCCCTTTCCTATCCTTGTCTAAAAAAGTCACTGGTCTCCCAGACAGAAACGATGAACTAGGTTAGTGTTTCTCGAAATTATATGTGAAGGACCAGGTTTTATAAACTTCCAATTTGTTGCAGATCAATACTTTCGTAAAATACAATAAATATGAATTATTAGAAAAATGATGAAATAATATGTAAAACAACCCCCTGTGACATGTGTGTACCTATGTAAAAAACCTTCGCATATACCCCCAAACCTAAAATAAAAGTTAAAAAAAAAAAAGAGAAAGGAAATACAAACAAAAGATACAAGCCCACTGATCATGTGCTTGACTGTCATGACAATGTCATATTGCTGTCAATGTTTCTCAGACTTACTCTCAAGGGCTGTACTTACCTTGTCCCAGGCCAGGAACAGTGAACCGACCAGCACTTGTCTGTGGGCACCAGTGTTTAGGACTGACCTGGGTGTCAAAGTGGTACTCTCAAAGGACCTACAGTTCCTTCCTTCCTTCCTTCCCTTCTTTCCTTCCTTTCTCTCTCTTTCTTTCTTTTTCTTCCTCTTCTTTCTTTCTCTCTTTCTTTCTCTCTCTCTTTTTTATTGTTTATTTTTTTTTTGAGATGGAGTTTCACTCTTGTTGCCCAGGCTGGAGTGCAATGGTGCAATCTTGGCTCACCGCAACCTCCGCCTCCCGGGTTCAAGCAATTCCCCTGCCTCAGCCTCCCAAGTAGCTGGGATTACAGGCATGCACCACCACGTCCAGCTAATTTTGTATTTTTAGGAGAGATGGGGTTTCTCCATGTTGGTCAGGCTGGTCTCGAACTCCCAATTCAGGCAGGTGATCAGCCTGCCTCGGGCTCCCAATGTGCTGGGATTACAGGCGTGAGCCACCGCACCTGGCTTCTCTGTTTCTTTTCTTTCTTTCTTTCTTTCTTTCTTTCTTTCTTTTTTCAGGGTCTCCCTCTGTTGCTCAGGCTGGAGTGCAGTGGTTCAATCTCAGTTTACTGCAGCCTTGACCTTCTGGGCTCAAGTGATCCTCCCACCTCAGCCTCCCTAGTAGCTGGGACTACAGGCATGTGCCACCATGACCAGCTCATTTTTTTGTATTTTTTGTAGAGACACGGTCTTGCCATGTTGCTCAAGCTGGTCTTGAACTCCCGGGCTTGAGTGTTCTGCTGGGCTCAGTCTCCCAAAGTTCTAGGATTACAGGAGTGGGCCACCACACCTGTCTGGGCCTACAGTTTCATTCCAGCATCTGTATCTCTTTCTGGACGTGTTTAGATAGTTTCCACCATGAGGTGCAAAACGAGACAGAAGAGTGAGAAGCAGATGGAGGAGAAGAGAAGAGCCAACCAGAAGAGCTCTGCACAGGGACCCATCCCATGGTTTCTCCCCGAAAGCCGCTCTCTTCCCTCTTCGCCCCTTCGGCTTGGCTCCTACAAGGCCCAGAAAACCAGCAGGTCCTCCAGCATCCCCTGCAGCGGTTCCCTGGACGGGCGGGAGCTCTCCCGGCAGGTGCGGAGCTCCGTGGAACTGGAGCTAGAGCGGTGCCGGCAGCAAGCAGGCCTCCTGGTGACCGGAGAGAAAGAGGAGCCCTCCCGCTCAGCCTCAGAAGCAGACTCTGAAGCCGGAGAGCTGCGGAAGCCCACTCAGGAGGAGTGGAGGCAGGTGAGCGTGGCCAGGCGCTGCTTCCTAGCATGTGGCTGCCAACAGGTCAAAACTCTCCCTTCCAGGGAAACTCAGGATATGTTTTGAGGCCCCTCTTTCTCTTTCTGGGGTAACAACACCCCAGAAGGACACTAGTATTTGCCTAATGACTCATATGTTTTAGAGTTTTATAAAAGATGGGGATGTGTGGCTGTTAGGCTCTATTGCCTGATGATACTTGGGTTAGTGATTGAGCACTAGTAGGGTAAGAAGATAAGCTATGATTTGTTGGATGCTATTGTGTGCTATTTTTTTTAATGTGTCAGTAATATAGCTGCCATAGTTCAAGGCCAAAAGGGCTAGGCAGCAGCTTCTTTCCTCTGTTACCAGGCAAGAGCTGTCCCCAGATCTCTAGAACTGGGTCACATGGCCACCCCTAGCTGCAGGGGAGACTTGGAGAGTAAGTAGTATGCAGCGAGGCACCCTGCCACCCCAAACCCGCAGTTCTGTCAGTACGGAAGAAGGAAGAGGAGAATGGACATTGAGTAGGCGCTAACATTACTTGCCAAAATAGATGGCTTAGGCAGCCGACTTCACCGATGATGACTATGGCAGAGAGAGCCCTGAAAAGGCTGTTGTAGCCATCCAGGTGGGAGATGATTATTGTGAGCTTGTTTTGTTTTTGTTTTTGTTTTTCTTTGAGACAATGTCACTCCAGTTGCCCAGGCTGGAGTACAGTGGCATGATCATGACTCACTGCAGCCTGTACTTCCCAGGCTCAGATGATCCTCCTACCTCAGCCTCCCCAGTAGCTGGGACTACCGGTGTGCACCACCATGCCTGGCTAATTTTTGTATTTTTTGAAGAGATAGCATTTCACCATGTTGCCCAGGCTGGTCTTGAACCCCTGAGGCTCAAGCAATCACCCACCTTGGCCTCCCAAAGTGCTGGGATTACAGACGTGAGCCACTGCACCCAGCCTGAGCTGCTGTGCCTGGCCTGTAGTAGTGTTAACAGAATTATAGGAACTTGCTGGTATTCAACCATTTCTGACCCATTAGAATGGCAATCTCATACAGTTCACCCAATAAAGAAATGAATTCAGCCGGGCGCAGTGGCTCATGCCTATAATCCCAGCACTTTGGGAGGCTGAGACAGGCGGATCACGAGGTCAGGAGATAGAGACCATCCTTGGCTAACACGGTGAAACCCCGTCTCTACTAAAAATACAAAAAAAAATTAGCCAGGCATGGTGGTGGGTGCCTGTAGTCCCAGCTATTCGGGAGGCTGAGGCAGGAGAATGTCACGCACCCAGGAGGCAGAGCTTGCAGTGAGCCGAGATCGTGCCACTGCACTTCATCCTGGGCGACAGAGCGAGACTCCGTCTCAAAAAAAAAAAAAAAAAGAAAGAAAGAAATTCAGAATTATTTAAGAGCTAAAATTAGCAGAACTTGCTGATTGATTGGATGGAGGGTAGTGAGAAAGAGAAGTTGCAGCTGACTCTGAGTCTAGAAGCCTCGGAGAAAGAGATGGTGAGTTTAGTTAATGTTCTGTCAGTTATTGATCTGGGCTTCAACACCAATTTAGAATTGAAATTATAAAGTATAGGTCTTTCCTTTTGCAAACTGACTCAGTGTTAATGTCTTGATCTTTACAAATCGAATGAAGTTTTTCTTTTACAAAAGTACTTTTAGAAAGCATTAAATGTTGGCTAAGTGTGGTGGCTCACGCCTGTAATCCCAGCACTTTGGGAGGCTGAGGTGGGAGGATCATCTGAGGTTAGGAATTCGAGAACAGACTCTGGTTAACATGGTGAAATCCTGTCTCTACTAAAAAATACAAAAATTAGCTGGGCATGGTGGCACACGCCTGTAATCTCAGCTACTCGAGAGACTGAGGCAGGAGAATCGCTTGAACCTGGGAGGCAGAGGTTGCAGTGAGCCGAGATTGCACCACTGCACTCCAGCCTGGGCAACTGAGTGAGACTCTGTCTCAAAAAAAAAAAACAAAAGAAAAGAAAGTATTAAATGACAATAACCAAAATTATTCAGTTATTTCATCTGAGTATTGTATGACTGGCAGTTATTGTTTTCCTGAGTATTAATAATAGAGTAGAAACTGAAGTGCTAGAAAAATTGCTCAACTCTTCTGCAATTATTTATTTATTTATTTATTTATTTGTTTGTTTGTTTGTTTGTTTGAGGTGGAGTCTCGCTCTGTCACCCAGGCTGGAGTGCAGTGGCACGATCTCTGCTCACTGCAACTTCCCTCTTCCGGGTTACAGTGATTCTCCTGCCTCAGCCTCCTGAATAGTTGGGATTACAGGTGTGTGCCTCCATGCCTGGCTCATTTTTTTGTATTTTTAGTAAAGACGGGATTTCACATGTTGACCAGGCTGGTCTTGAACTCCTGACCTCAAATGGTCCACCTACCTCAGCCTCCCAAACTACTGGGATTACAGGTGTTAGCCACCATGCCTGGCCTCTTCTGCAATTTGTAAAAAAAAAAAAAAATTCTTAAACTACTTTAAGAAATAAAATGTCGATTGCATTTTCCCAGGACCACGTCTGGGGTCTTGTGAATATGCAAGAGACTCTCTTGCCAGTCCCAGGACTTGCGCCTTCTCTTTAGGGCAAATGTCCAGTAGCCTGGAGCATTGGCACTGACTGACAACTACTGGCCATGATCAAAGCTTCTAGCAGGACAACTTCATCTGTTTTACATATTGAGCTTTCATATCAGATTTATTTTCAAGAAAGTGGGTATATGCTTGTCGACAAATATGTAGGCACGCACACATTCATTTTGTGAGTAATAAGAAATTCTGGAACCTTAGAGGTCCAAAATATAAATGTATGTCAAATATTGCTTGCATGGACATTTATTCACTTATTTTTATTCAAATATTTTCCTCCTCCTCTTCCTTTCATTTGAATGACTGTGGATGAATATGTATCTAGTTTTTGGGAAGGAAATCATCTCTTGGTCTTCTCAGGTTGTAGATATCCTGTGGAGTGATCCCATGGCTCAAGAGGGCTGCAAGGCCAACACTATTCGAGGAGGAGGCTGTTATTTTGGGCCTGATGTGACACAACAGTTGCTACAAAAATACAACATGCAATTCCTGATCCGTTCACATGAATGCAAACCTGAAGGCTATGAATTCTGTCACAACCGCAAGGTGGGTGCTCCCTCTGCAGCAGTACAGGCTTGTGTGTCACCAAAGTAGTCCGAAGGGCTCAGGCCTGGATGAGCAAAGGCTCTCAGTTTCTAACAACCTACAGACCTTGTATTTGTTACCTACTTGCTCAAAGCAACTAGGTCCTTTACAGTCATTTATCCTTGACTCTTATGTCCTCTTTAAAACCCAAAGTTTGATTAAGGCCACTGTCCACCAATGCCCTGACTGACATGGTCCCATTTTATGAATGGAAATATGAGGCCAGTGTTTTCTCAGCCACACCTCTATTCTTCAGGTCGCTCCCCAGGCAGGGATTCAGGCTCATTTGTCTTCTCAGGAGCACAATTAACATCCTGACTAATCTTTGGACATCTCCAAATCCTACAATATTTGTCTCACCTAATACCACTGGTTATATTGTACAAGTTTCTTTATTGCAGGACTTCTGAGTACCTTTAGTTTCCTACCACTGTAAATCCTCAGGAAGAGATACAGTATCTAGCATTTCCCAACGTATTGACTGTGAAAACTTTTTTCATACACCATCTGAGGAGCCACAACATTCCGTAGAAAACTGCTTTAAGGCACCACATCAGCTCTCAGAACTCATCTTCTTGCTCATTGTAATGGCCATCCTGGTTTATCAGACCCAGCTTGCCTCTAAGTTGAAGCAAATATGGTGTTTTCTATGACCCTTGCTATTTTCACTTGGGATAAAAATGTGAAGAAGATACATTGTGAAACTATCGGAATTCAAATTTCTATGACTTGAGTCACAACTCTTGCCCTATTAGCATTGATGCCTTTAGAAAAAAAGAAAGAAAGAAAGAAAGAAAAGGATTCCCAGATGAGCACTAGGAGAAACAGCAGCTTCTGCAGTTGAGTTGGGCCACATAGGATTGAGGGTGAAGGTTTCTTCAGTGAATGTGAACACCTGTCTCTCTTCTGTTTTGATGTAGGTATTAACAATCTTTTCTGCCTCCAACTACTATGAAGTTGGCAGCAACAGAGGGGCCTATGTCAAACTGGGGCCAGCCCTGACCCCACATATTGTGCAGTATCAAGCTAACAAGGTGACCCACACACTCACCATGAGGCAAAGGCAAGACTTTTCAATGAGTGATTTTCAGAAAAAAAAATTATAGTGTTCATAGAATCTTTGAATGAAGTGTCAAACGTTATATTTATTCAAATTCTACGTGAGAATTCAGAATTTGGCTATGTCAGCATGAAGTTCTATTAATACAATAGACATTAGAGTAGGAGTCTCTTCCTTCTCCTCCACACACTCCTAATAGCTCTATCTACCCATCATTAATGGGAGCAACAAATTTGTTTTCTGCAGAAATTATTCTCAGTGGGGCACAGTGGCTCATGCCTGTAATCCCAGCAGTCTGGCAGACTAAGGCAGAAGGATAGTTTGAGCCCAGGAATTCCAGACCAGCCTGGGCAACATGGCAAAACCCCATCTCTACAAAAAATTCAAAAATTAGCCTGATGTGGTGGCGTACTCTTGTAGTCCCAGCTACTTGGGAGGCTGAGGTGGGAGGATGGCTTGAGCTTGGGAGGTAGAGTTTGCAGTGAGCCAAGATTGTGCCACTGCCCTCCAGCCTGGGTGACAGAGCAAGGCTGTCTCAAAAAAACAAGAAAAACAAAAAGAAGAAGAAGAAATTATTCTCCATGGCTGCGTCTTGGGTAAAGTCTGCTTACTAAACCACTAAGTCTTTCTGAGGTTACTCTTCTATTTTCTCTCATCTTTAACGGGTTTGTGTTACCCCTACAAGCCACAGCCAGAGGTTCTTTCACTGTCTGGAGATTTTGCAGGTGAAATTCAGTGCACAGATTTGTTAATGAGGCCCGTTTCTTTCTGGAAGGAAGCATATAATACTACTCGAATGGTAGATTTTGGCCGGGCGCGGTGGCTCACGCCTGTAATCCCAGCACTTTGGGAGGCTGAGGCGGGTGGATGATTGGAGGTCAGGAGTTTGAGACTGGCCTGGCCAACATGGTGAAACCCTGTCTCTACTAAAAATACAAAAAAATTAGCCAGGCGTGGTGGTACACGCCTGTAATCCCAGCTACACGGGAAGCTGAGGCAGGAGAATTGCTGGAACCCAGGAGGTTGGAGGTTGCAGTGACCCGAGATCGCACCACTGCACTCCAGCCTGGGCGACAGAGCAAGCCTCCATCTCAAAAATAAAATAAAATAAAGTAAAATAAAAATAAATAAATAAATAAATAAATAAATGGTAGCTTTTGAGATGATTCTGAGTTCTTAGTTGAGAGATTACAACCACAAAATGTTATAAAGAATTTATATGGGTAGCCTCACAGTAAATTTATGCAACAGATATTGTTATTAATTTCAGTTTTGTAGAAGAGATTATTAAAGAACCGATGTTAAATCATCTGACCTGTGGTCACACAGCTAGTCCTTGAGTGAAGGTAGTCCTTGACCGAGGCAATTCTATTTCAGAACCCACACTTTTAATGTCTATGCAATATTGCCTCCTACAACGAAGATGGCCTCAGAGTATATAAGATGCTAACAGATACAGTTTTAGTGCTATTGAACATGCTTCTTTAAGTATTCAGCCTAACAGAGTTAGAAATTAAGATCGGCAAAACTAGCATAAATCAGGTGGATAGAGAACATGTTAGTATTTAGCATTTACCCTTGTGTGAGTGCTGTAAAAGTGCATTATTTTAAATCATTCTCAAGTTATTAAATATAGGCCAGCCTCACTTAAAAAGAAGAATTATGTAAAAATATAAACCTACCAAGTGAATGTCAGACCTACTGTGCAGCAAAATCATCTTGGAGCTTTATAAAAAATCAGCCATTTGAGCCTCATCCAGCCCTACCAAATTAGAATCTCCAGGGGTGAGCCCTGGTACCTGGAGTGCAGAACTATGATCCCATAGGATTTAGGGGTTGTCACTGCAAAAAGAGTCACTCTAGGATTCCCTACAGTAGTAATAGTAATGTAGTAATGTAATAGTAATGTAGGATTCCCTACAGTGAATAGTGTGTTTCAATAAGATAGTCAAAAAGCATTCAACTCTTTGAAACCTTCATTGATTGCATTAAATAAGTACAACATCACCTGATTTACCCAGAAATCACTTATCCAGTGACTTCAACTGTATGAAGCATAATGGAGAACTTAGAAAAAAGGAGGGAAATGTCTCTGAGCAGCCATAATTGATGATGTCTCAATGTCCATAAACCGAAGATAACATCCTTGTTTTTCTTTTTTCTTTTTTTTTTTCTTTTTGTGAGACAGGGTCTCGCTGTGTCACCCAGGCTGTAGTACAGTGGCAGGATGACAGATCACTGCAGCCTCGACCTGCTAGTCTTAAGAGATCCTCCCACTTCAGCTACCTCACACCTGGTACTACAGGCGTGCGCCATCATGCCCAGCTAATTTTTTAAATTTTTTGTAGAGACGAAGTCTCACTATTCTGCCCAGGCTGGTCTCAAACTCCTGAGCTCAAGTGATCCTCCTGCCTTGGCCTCCCAAAGTGCTAGGATTACAGGTGCGAGCCACCATGCCTGGCCTGATAACATGCTCTTCTTAGAGGAATCCTCAGTCAGAGTCCATTTACTTTTTGTTTCAATCCACTTCTCACAATAATAGAGAGCCAGCTTGGAGCCAGCATAGCCAGATAGGTATCTGGCCTCACTCCTTGGTAGCTATGTGACCTCGACCTAATTACTATCTCTGTCTGTAATGGGCATAATGGACTTCATGTTATCGTTCTTTCTTCAATGAGTGTTGAGGGATTTAATGAGATAATCCATGTAGAGCTCTGCATTTAGTAAGTGCTTACTAAGTGTTACTTGACGTAGGGACAGGAAAGCCTTGTACATCCAGATAGCTTTCAAGGGCATTGCCCTACTCCATCCCTGCATAACTCTCCATGACTACAGATTACCAGGAGCAGCTTAAATGCTTTGTCTAACTAGTGGTTCTTAAACTTTTTAGGAGTCCCATACTTCTGTTAGCCTCTGATAAAACAACAAACTGTCTACAAAAAATTCACATATGCTCACATACCTGTGAAATTTGGGGTGAGTTTTAGGTGGTTCACACTTTCTTTTCCTTTTGTAGAGACAGGGCCTTGCTCTGTCACCAAGGCCAGGGTATAGTAGCATGATCATAGATAGCTTACTGTAACCTCGAACTCCTGGGCTCAAGCAATCCTCCTGCCATAGTCTCCCAAGTAACTGAGATTACAGGCATGCACCACCATGCCTGGCTAATTTTTAAAAGTTTTTTTTGTAAAGAAACCCAGCCTAGCTGTGTTGCCCAGGGTGGTCTTGAGCTCCTGGCCTCAAGTGATCCTCCCGCTTCAGCCTCCCAAAGTGCTGGGATTATAGGCATGAGCCACCATGCCTAACTGGTTCACAGTTTTTTGTGTTTTTTGAGACAGGGTCTCATTCTGGTTGTCCAGGCTGGAGTGCAGTGGCATGATCTTGGCTCACTGCAGCCTCGACCTCCCAGGCTCAGGTGATTTCCCCACCTTAGCTTCCCAAGTAGCTGGGACCATAGGCACGTGCCACCATGCCAGGCTAGGTTCACACTCTTCTAAGGATCTATGTAGCCCACTTAAAGACTGTCATGTTAAATGCCTTCAATTGCAGTAAGATTTTCATCAAACATGATTTAATTTTTTTTAACTTTTAACACGGGAAAAGATAGGTTATCTGGTCATTATTTATAGAATGATTGGTTCCTCAATAAGACATTACAAGTAACGTATGCTTACCTTTTATCTCTTTTTATATTCTTTTTTTTTTTTTTTTTGAGACAGGGTCTTACTTTTTCACCCAGGCTGGAGTGCAGTGGTGTGATCTTGGCTCACTGCAGCCTCTACCTCCTGGGTTCAAGTGATCCTCCCACCTCAGCCCCACAAGCATCTGGGACTACAGGGACACGCCACCACGCCTGGCTAATTTTTTTTTTGTACTTTGAGTAGAGAGGGGGGTTTTGCCATGTTGCCAAGGCTGGTCTCGAACTCCTGGGCTCAAGGAATCCACCCACCTTGGCCTCCCAGAGTGCTGGGATTACAGGCATGAGCCACCACGCCAAGCCTCTTTTTATATTCTTGTTCATTCAACTACAGATATTTATTGAGCACTTACTTTGGGCCAAGTACTGTGCCCAGCATTACTCTATTGACCCAATAAGAATGAAAAAACTAAACTAGTGTTATTTTGTTATTCATAAATTTTGCCTTCTGTTTCACATGATAATAAATTACAAGAAATGCACAACAGTTGTGATAATAGATACTATTTGGTGAGTGCTTTCTATGTGCCAGGCTTTCTTCTAAGTGCTGTACATGAAATTACTCATTGTAATCTTCACAATAATCCTGTGAAGTGGAGACAGGTACCATTTTAATCACTGTTTTACAGGTGGGAAAACTGAAGCAAAGGATGATTAGATAACTTTACCACAGAGGTGATCCTTCTCCAGAACTTCTTCTCTAACCACTGTCCCATACCAGGAAGGACAGCGGCATTCCCCATACTCATCCTGTTTGTGTACAACAGGGAAGAGTAAAGGCGCTCTCCCTCGAAAACTGAGCTCTTGGGAGACTGATATGTTAAGAAAGAGAGAGTGGAAATATAGTAAAATCTCTAAGTATTTTTTCTATACCAGTGTGTTAAAATGTCGCTTTTCATCTCCTGTCCCAGGATTAGCAGAGTGGAGGAGTCGGCTCTGAGAGCTCTGAGGGAGAAGCTGTTTGCTCATTCTTCAGATCTTCTCAGTGAATTTAAGAAGCATGATGCAGATAAAGTCGGTAAGAATGATCAAGTTAAAGATTCACAGAGGAAGGAAGCTAGCCAGAAAATCTCTGTCTTACACTAGTTAGCAAATAAATATTTGTTGCTTTAATGAGTGACCCAAAGTTCCCTTTGGCTATATCCTCCATTTTATTCAACTTAATGTCTCATTTATTCTAACTAAATTTTAAAATTGTAAGCTTTTAACAAAATATGAACTTAGCCAAATAGAGAGGGTGAAAACAAATAGAGTCAGGGAAGGATAACATGGCCAGAACCAAGCAAAGAACAAGTGGGAGAAGTTATAAGAGTATAAGACTGGCAAAAGATGAATGACTTGAGTTGTTGAAGCTGAGTCTTTGTTTACCTAGGTATTTCATGATTTATTATCCAAGCTAAAAATGTTGTCTGCTCAACTAATGGAATTTCTAATGGACATTGACAAAATATATTCCTATTTAAAAACAGCAGTAACATTTATGAATTCATAGTAATATCTTTTCACGTACACATACTGTAGCCTTCCAAGAGTTTCAGTGGATATATTCTAAGGAATTTAGGTGGTTTAATTTTTTTTAAATAACCAATGCTGTAGATATATAATATTTTATGATATCATTTACAAGACTTTTATGTGGCTTGCAGAAGTATTGCCAGATTTAGTAAACAAAAATGTAAAATGCCTCAATAAGTTTGAATTACAGACAAACAGACAACAAATAATTTTTATGCAATATTTGGCACTTTTATATACTTTACTGTCTGTCTTCAATTAAAATTTAACTGGACATCTTGTATTTTATCTGGCAAGCCTAGCTTCCAGCCAACTCTGCTACTATCAACAAAAATAGTGACAGTGCCCATTATTTCTATTACCTGCAGATAGTAAGAAGGATGTCAGGATAAAAATATACACACCATTGGGCAGGAAACTAGACTTCTAGGTGACAAGGCAACAGGTTAGCTCTCACCTGTAGGTTTAATCACCTTGAGTGACTGGGCAGCAGCGGTGGAGTCTGTGTTGCACCTAGGACTGCCATGGCGGATGCTGAGGCCACAGCTGGTGAACAGCTCAGCAGACAACATGCTGGAGTACAAGTCTTGGCTGAAGAACTTGGCCAAGGAACAACTGAGTCGCGAGGTAACGGTGTGGTAATGGTGGATGAGAGCACATGTGGACTATGATACTCCTTAGAGAGAATTTGATTCAGAAACAACCAACTAGTAATAACCCAAAAAGCTGGATGGGTGAGAAAGGGGAATAACTATTTCTTGAGTTTCTATGTGTCAGGCTTTTGTGTTAAGTGGTTTTCATACATTGCCTCAGTTAATCCTCAAAACCACTCCAAGAAGTACATATTATCAGCACCATTACACGTATGAGGACACTGCCCACAGAGGTTAGCAACTTGCCTGAGGTCATAGAACGACTAAGTTGGGACTCAAGCCAAGGTCTGTCTTACCTCAAGGCCCATTTTCTTTCTTCAACACCATGGTGCTTACCCTACTTAAAAAGTATTTATTCAATAACTGCTTATAAAATATGTAACGTATGTGCAACCTTGGGCTAGGTACTTCTTTTAACAGTGTTACTGCAATATAATTTACATACCATGCAATTCATCCATTTAAAGTGTATAATTCAGCTGGGTGCGGTGGCTCACTCCTGTAATCCTAGCACTTTGGGAGGCTGAGGAGGGTGGATCACTTGAGGCCAGGAGTTCGAGACCAGCCTGGCCAACACGATGAAACCCCGTCTCTTCTAAAAATACAAAAATTAGCTGGCTGTGGTGGCATATGCCTGTAGACCCAGCTATTGGGAGGCGAGGTGGGAGAATTGCTTGAACCCAGGAGGCAGAGGTTGCAGTGAGCCAAGACCATGCCACTGCACTCCAGCCTGGGCAACACAGCAAGACTCTGTTTAAAAAAACAAATCTGAAAGGCTCCAAAGTCCAAAACTTTTTGAGTGCCAACACGATGCCACAAGTGAAAAATTCCACATCTGACACCTTTGCTTTCTGATGGTTCAATGTATGCAAAGTTTGTTTCATGCACAAAATTATTAAAAATATTTTATAAAATTACCTTCAGGCAACCAGGCGCGGTGGCTCATGCTTGTAATCCCAGCACTTTGGGAGACCGAGGCGGGCAGATCACCTGAGGTCGGAAGTTCGAGACTAGCCTGACCAAAATGGAGAAACCCCGTCTCTACTAAAAATACAAAAATTAGCCGGGCATGGTGGTGCATGTCTGTAATCCCAGCTACTTGGGAGGCCGAGACAGGAGAATCGCTTGAACCCGGGAGGCGGAGGTTGCAGTGAGCTGAGATTGGGCCATTGCACTCCAGCCTGGACAACAAGAGTGAAACTCCATCTGAAAACAAACAAACAAAAATTACATTCAGGCTAGATGTATAAGGTGTATATGAAACAAAAATTAATTTTATGTTTAAACTTGGGTCCTATACCCAAGATATCTCATTATGTACATGTAAATATTACAATGTCCGAAAAAATCCAAAATTCACAACATTTCTGGTCCCAAGCATTTCAGACAAGGCATACACAACCTGTATGTGCAACCATCACCAGTCAATTTTAGAAGATTTTCATCATGGGTGAGGTGCTTCTTAAACCACTAGATTATTTGATGGGCTGAACTGGGTAGAGGGAATGGAGGGATGGCAAAATATTTTCAGGTTTTTTCAAGAATGTGTGATTGTCAGGGTTGATTGTGTGTTAATTATATATTGGAACAAGTCTAAACGTATGACAAAGAAGGAAAATGAATTTTTTCTTGCAGAACATACAATCAAGTTTGCTGGAAACATTGTATCGAAACCGATCCAACCTAGAGACCATTTTTAGGATCATAGACAGTGATCATTCAGGTAAAGGCACTCATTATTCTATCACTTTTGAAGCACTGCAAGTATTTTACCTTAAACCCTTAATCTCCTTCCTGATTCATCCTCATTCATCTCCACTCAGGCATTTGGAGAGCAAGGTAAGAAGATTAGTGCTTATAAATGACAGAAACTAGGAAAGTACTTGAGTAGTATCAGCAGCCCATAGAGAAAGAAGTGGGGCAGAGAAGAATGAAGACAAACTGAATGAGAGCTTCTTATAGGAAGAATAATTATTAGAAGATGTGATATCCTCTGGACATGGTGGCTCCTGCCTTAATCCCAGCACTTTGGGAGGCTGAGGCAGGTGAATCACCTGAAGTCAGGAGTTCGAGACCAGTCTGGCCAACATGAAGAAACCCAGTCTCTACTAAAAACACAAAAATTAGGCGGGCATGGTGGCACATGTCCGTAATCCCAGGTACTTGGGAGGCTGAGGCAGGAGAATTGCTTGTACCCGGGAGGCGGAGGTTGCAGTGAGCCGAGGTCGTGCCACTGGACTCCAGCCTCGGCGACAGAGTGAGACTCTGTCGCGGAAAAAAAAAAAAAGAAGAAAGAAAGAAAGATGTGATATCCTTTATATTACCATCGAAGATAGCCACAAAGTAATGAAAAGTGCTTAGAATAGAAAGGTGTTTGCAACCTCACTCTCAAAATGTTTTTTTTAACTTTAAATTTTGAAATAATTATAGATTCACAGGAAGTTATAAAAAAAAATATGGTGAGGTCCTGTACATCCTCATCCTGTTCCCGCAATGGTCCAAAGGCTTTTTTCAATGTTATTATTGGTTTCTTTTAAGGCATAATTCACAAACCATATAATTCACCTGTATGAAGTATGCAACTTAGTGGTTCTCAGTATAGTCACAAGATTGTGTAACCATCACCACTATCTAATTTTATAACTTTTTTTTTTTTTTTTTTTGAGACGGAGTCTCCCTCTGTCACCCAAGCTGGAGTGCAGTGGCACAATCTCGGATCACTGCAACCTCCACCTCCCGGGTTCAAGTGATTCTCCTGCCTCAGCCTCCTGAGTAGCTAGGACTACAGGCGTGTGCCACCACACCTGGCTATTTTTTTTTTTTTTTTGTATTTTTAGTAGAGACAGGATTTCACCATGTTAGCCAGGATGGTCTCGATCTCCTGACCTCGTGATTCACCCACCTAGATCTCCCAAAGTGCTGGGATTACAGGCGTGAACCACTGCACCTGGCCTAGAACATTTTAATCACCCCAGAAAGAAATCTCATACCTATTAGCAATTACTCCTCATTCCCTATCCCTCCTCCACGAGTCCCTGGCAACCACTAATCTACTTTCTGTCTCTATGGATTTGCCTGTTCTGGACATTTGATATAAATGGAGTCAAAATATGGCCTTTGGTGTCTGGATTATGTCACCTAGCCTGTGTTCAAGATTCATCCATGTTGCAGCAGTATCAGTTTTTCATTCCTTTTTTATGACTGAATAATATTCCACTGTGTGGACAGAACTTTTATTTATCCAGTCATTAGTTGATTGACTTTGGATTGTTTCTACTTTTGGCTATTATGAACAATGCTGCTATGAACATTCATGTGTGACTTTTTGTGTCAATATGTGTTTTCAGTTTTCTTGGGTTTATATCTAGGAGTGTAATTGCCTGGTCATATGGTGATTCTATGTTTAACTTTTTGAGGAATTACCAAATCATTTCTCACAGTAGCTGTACATATTTATATTGCCACCAACAATGTATGAGGGTTCCAGTTTCTCTACATCCTCACCAATGCTTGTTATTTTCCATTTTTGTTTTTTGTGGGGTTTTTTTTTAGTTTTTATTATACCCATTCTGCGGTTTTGACTTTCATTTCCTTAATAACTAATGATGTTGAACATTTTCATGTGCTTATTGGCCATTTGTATATCTCTTTTGGAGAAATGTCTATTCAAATCCTTTGTCCATTTTTAAATTGGGCTATTTGTCTTTTTATTTGAGTTGTAAGAGTTATTCATATATTCTGGGTACTAGGATAGTATCAGACATATGCCTTGCAAATTTTTTTTCTGATTTTGTGGATTGTCTTTTCACTTTCTTGGTAGTGTCCTTTGATGCCCGAAAGTTTTTTTTTTTTTTTTTTTTTTTTTTTTTTGAGATGGAGTCTCGCTCTGTCACCTAGGCTGGAGTGCAGTGGTACGATCTTGGCTCACTGCAACCTCCGCCTCCTGGGTTCAAGCAATTCTTCTGCCTCAGCCTGCTGAGTAGCTGGGACTACAGGCACCTGCCACCATGCCCAGCTAATTTTTGTATTTTTAGTAGAGACGGGGTTTCACCATATTGGCCAGACTGGTCTTAAACTCCTGACCTTGTGATCTGCCCACCTCTGCCTCCCAAAGTGCTGGGATTACAGGCGTGAGCCACTGCGACCAGCCTGATACCCAAAAGTTTTTAATTTTGAAAAAGTCCAATTTATTTTTTTTTTTGTTGTTTATGCTTTTGGTGTTATAGCTTTTTTTAGCTATAAAACTGTTGCATAGGCTAGTCACGGTGGCTCACGCCTGTAATCCCAGCACTTTGGGAGGCCGAGGTAGGTGGATCACGAGGTCAGGAGATCGAGACCATCCTGGCTAACATGGTGAAACCCCGTCTCTACTAAAAATACAAAAAATTAGCCGGGAGTGGTGGCGGGTGCCTGTAGTCCCAGCTACTCGGGAGGCTGAGGCAGGAGAATGGCGTGAACCCAGGAGGCAGAGCTTGTAGTGAGCTGAGATTGTGCCACTGCACTCCAGCCTGGGTGACAGAGCGAGACTCCCTCTCAAAAAAAAAAAAACTGTTGCATAACCTAAGATCACAAAGATTTACACTTATGTTTGCTTCTAAGAGTTTTAGAGTTTTAGCTCTTACATTTAGGTCTTTGATCCATATAGAGTTAGTTTTTTTTATATAGTGTTAGGTAGGTATCTAGCTTTACTCTTTTTGCATGTGAATATCTGCTTGTCCCCCATCATTGTTGAAAAAAACTATTCTTTCCCCATTAAATGATCTTGGGACCCTTGTAAAAAAATCAATTGACTATAGATGTATGGGGTCCAGAGGATTTTAATGGCCAGAATAAATTAGGATATGTTTGAGATGATTAAATGCAGGGTTTCTCAACAGTGGTACTGTTGATAATTCTTTGTTTTAGGGTCCATCTTGTGCATTATAAGATGTTTGGCAGCATGTCTGGCCTTTATTTATTAGATGCCAGTAGCACCTCACCTCCATCTTAGTCATAACAAACAACAATGTCTCCAGACATTGCCAAATGTCCCCTGGAGGGAGGGGAGCACAATTACTCCCAGCTGAAAATCATTGGTGAGCCAGTGGGTTTGTGTGATCCTCTTGGGAGTTTAAATTAGATACTAGGATTTGTGTGTCTCTCTGTTGAGCAGTAGGGAGCAGGTGTCCTTGTAAGAATGTCAGAGAAAATGAACATTAAAAACTAGACTAACTCACTGAAGTGATTTCCTCCCTCTGATAAGGGTTCATCTCACTGGACGAGTTCAGGCAGACCTGGAAGCTGTTCAGCTCTCACATGAATATCGACATTACAGATGACTGCATCTGTGACCTTGCTCGGAGCATTGATTTCAACAAAGATGGCCACATTGATATCAATGAGTTCCTGGAGGCCTTCCGCCTTGTGGAGAAATCCTGCCCAGAGGGCGATGCCTCAGAATGCCCACAAGCTACAAATGCTAAAGACAGTGGCTGCAGCAGTCCAGGTGCACACTAAGAACAGCCTGGTCTTCATCACCCAAAGTGCCTCATAGGCAATGCTCAGCTTCTCACTAGACTATCTCCCTTATTCTCCATGTGAAACTTTATGCTGAAAATTTACCTATCCATATGCATCAGAATCACCTGTGTATTTCAGTGTGGAGGGGTGGGTTGGGGTGTTGTGTATGTATGTGTTTTAAGTATATGAGTGCCCCAACCCCACCTCACAATCTTCACAAAGTAGAACTTAGGTATAGTGTTTTCAAATTCTAAAGTCCACTTCAGTTAAGAACCACTGACAATGTAACTCTCTCATTGTTTTCATTTTATACGTTTTTTTGAGATGGAGTTTCTCTCTTGTTGCCCAGGCTGGAGTGCATTGGCGCGATCTCGGCTCACCGCAAAGTCCGCCTCCCAGGCGATTCTCCTGCCTCAGCCTCCTGAGTAGCTGGGATTACAGGCATGCACCACCACACCAGGCTAATTTTGTATTTTTAGTAGACACAGGGTTTCTCCATGTTGGTCAGGCTGGTCTTGAACTCCCAACCTCAGGTGATCCACCCTCCTCAGCCTCCCAAAGTGCTGGGATTACAGGCATGAGCCACCGCACCCAGCCTATTTTATACTTTTTATTTATTGTCTTTAACAATGTCTATTGGTAAAGGAAAGTTATTTTTAAAAATTGTATTGTAATTCCATGACCCAAGCATATGGATTTTCTTCATTATTTACTTTTTCTTACTTGTTACTGTAGTGTTTATATAATTTTATGTTCTACTTTTAAAAAAATAAATTAATATCTAATTGTAAACCCTTTCCCATGTGCTTCCCTTGTGATTCTGTATTCTTCATGATAATTAGTTTAATGCTTGCATAATTTTCTTTGAAGTGAATGTGCTATAATCTATGCAGCCCTTCTCCAATTGTTAAACATGTGTATTATTTCCACTTTTTCATTATTAGAAATAACACTAGGGAGAGTGTTAGGACAAATACCTAATGCATGCGGGGCTTAAAACCTAGATAACAGCCGGGCGCGGTGGCTCACGCCTGTAATTCCAGCACTTTAGGAGGCTGAGGCGGGCGGATCACGAGGTCAGGAGATCGAGACCATCCTGGCTAACACGGCGAAACCCCGTCTCTACTAAAAAAATACAAAAAATTAGCTGGGCGGGTGCCTGTAGTTCCAGCTACTCGGGAGGCTGAGGCAGGAGAATGGCGTGAACCCGGGAGGCGGAGCTTGAGATCGCGCCACTGCACTCCAGCCTGGGTGACAGAGCGAGATTCCATCTCAAAAAAAAAAAAAAACAAAAACCTAGATGACAGGTTGATAGGTGCAGCGAACCACCATGGCACATGTATACCTATGTGTATACATATGTGTAACAAACCTGCATGTTCAGCACATGTAGCCAAGAACTTAAAGTAAAATAAAAAAAAAAAAACACTGTAGTTAATAACATAGTGCATACAGCTTATTTTACACAAATCTTTTGAATTTTACATTTTAGTGGTATAAATTCCCAGGAATGGGATTACTTTGACAAAGGATGTTGTATTAGTCTAGGTGCTTCAGAGAAACAGAACCAATATGAAATTTACATAAGTATTTACTATTAAGAATTGGCTTACATGATTATGGAGGCTGAAAAGTCCTAAGATCTGCAGCTGGCAAGCTAGAGAACCAGGAGAGCCAATGGTGTCAGTTACAGTCTAAGTCCAAAGGCCTGAGACTCAGAAGATCCAACGGAGTCAGTTCCAGTTCATGTTTGAGTAGGCAGGAAAAAACCAATGTCCCTGCTCAAAGGCAGTGAGACAGAGAAAAATAACTCTTTCTTATTCAGCCTTTTATTATATTCAGGCTTTCAACAGATTGGATGAGGTCCACTCACCTTGGCAAGGACAATCTCCTTTACTCAGCCTACAGATTCAAATGTCATATCTCATCCAGAAACATCTTTACAGACACACCCACATATAATATTTAACCAAATATCTAAATATCCTGTGGCTCAATCAAGTTGACACGTAAAGTTAACCATCACAGGTATGAACATTTTAATGGCATGATACGTATTGCCAGGTTGCTCTTCAGAACTGGGCATACCAATTCTACCATAAACTCATAAGCTTTTAGTGGGATCATTTCTAACTTATGCAAAAGGTGAATGATAGTGCTTCCATGATATTTTACTATGCATTTATGTAATTAACATCCAATGTTGGGAACAAGCCCCCCAAAATCTGGACATAAACTGGCCCCAAAACTGGCCATAAACAAAATCTCTGCAGCACTGTGACGTGTTCATCATGGCCATAACGCCCATGCTGGAAGGTGGTGGGCTTTCCAGAATGAGGGCAAGGAACATCTGGCCCGCCCAGGGCAGAAAACTGCTTAAAGGCATTCTTAAGCCACAAACAATTGCATGAGCGATCTGTGCCTTAAGGACACACTCCTGCTACAGTTAACTAGCCCAAACTATTCCTTTAATTTGGCCCATCCCTTCATTTCCCATAAGGGATACTTTTAGTTAATTTAATATCTATAGAAACAATGCTAATGACTGGCTTGCTGTTAATAAATACGTGGGTAAATCTCTGTTCAGGGCTCTCAGCTCTGAAGGCTGTGAGACCCCTGATTTCCCACTTCACACCTCTATATTTCTGTGTGTGTGTCTTTAATTCCTCTAGCGCTGCTGGGTTAGGGTCTCCCCAGCCAAGCTGGTCTTGGCAATCCAAAGCTGTCTCCACAACCTTATTTTATTTATAAACTAAGGAAATTGAGGTTTAGAGAACTTGCTGTGTATATGTGATCTAAGTTACTAACACAGCCAGGACTGGAGCCCATGATTTCTGCCTCCACCTAGGATTCTTTCCAGTTATACCCATGACTGTATTATCTGTTTGGATTGTCTATATACAATCTATGGCTCTTTCTTGTGTGACAAGCAGACCCTATCCCTATAGTGACCCCCAACCCCAGTGATTTTCCACCTCATGGTGTTTGTGCCTTTGTGTGATCTCCCCATGAGTGTAGGTGGGACCTGTGACTTGCTTCTAACCAAGAAACTATGACACAGGTGATGGGGTGTTACTCTTGTGATTATATTACATTATATAAAATTCCATGTTAGTAGACTGAAGAAAGAGAGATTTTCCTTGCTGGCTGGACAAGCTAGGAGCTATGTTAAGGAAACTCACATAAGGAATGATGGGTGCCCTGTAGGATCTGCCAACAGCCTCCGACAAATGGCTACAAAACGCCGGGGTCTTCAAAAATATATTCACAAGGAAATACATTCTCAAATAAGTTGTGTTAGTTTGGAAGCAGGTTCTTCCTTAGTTGAGCCTCCAAATGAGAATGCAGTCTGGCCAACACCTTGAATAAAGCTTGTGAGACCCTAAGTAGAGGATCCAGTAAAGCCATGCTCAGCTTCTTTATCCACTAAGTTTGTTGTAATTTGTTCCACAGCATAGAAAATATACCTTGCCACCAGGCGCGGTGGCTCACGCCTGTAATCCCAGCACTTTGGGAGGCCGAGGCACATGGATCACTTGAGGTCAGGAGTTCAAGACCAGCCTGGCCAACATGGTGAAACTTCATCTCTACTAAAAACACAAAAATTAGCTGGGCATGGTGGCACATGCCTGTAGTCCTAGCTACTCAGGAGGCTGAGGTGAGAGGCTCGCTTGAACCTGGGAAGCAGAGGTTGCAGTGAATCAAGATGGTGCCATTGCACTCCATCCTGGGCAACACAGTGAGACCCTGTCTCAGAAAAAAAAAAAAAAAAAAAAAAAAATATATATATATATATATATATATATATATATATATACCTTGCTTCCCAGAAAACGTCTTATTTTCTTATTCCACTATTCAGGAAAATCTGAATTTTCATCAGTGGGTAGAATCCAGAGAAGCGTCAGGGTCATTTTTGGTAAGGCATTTGAGTGAATACTTACGACCGTGGGTTTATCTTGCCTGACTTAGTAACTGAGAGGCAAAGTATTGGTTGCAAACGCATGTCTGCATCTGTCTGTCCTATCTTGTGCAAACAGCTCAAATTCAACAAAGTGCTTATTTATTTGAGATTGTGATTTATTGTGATTAAAAGTAAGCAAATGTTCTGAGACATCAAAAGAATAATTCAGAGACAATGGGGTAAAGCCCTGGGGGTTTACTCATATAGAGAGATACAAAAGGGAGAATAGCCCAGGAAGTCCATCTCTCTCCACCAAGGGCAAGGGGCTTATCAAGACAGAAGCCACAAAGCTACATAAGGTAAAGTGATTGGTCAGTCTAAATGAGTCTTTGGTTTGTCAATTCAGGATTTGTTGATAGTGGAGGTTGATGGGGGGCTTGCTGAACCCTGAGATCCTTTCTTGAGTCTAGATAGCATAGTCACCAATTCACATCAGGCTGTTCTGCTTATTCTGATGGGTTTTCTGCGAGCTGTTGTTCCGGTTCCTTCTTCAGGGGCCCTCACTACTTGCTGTCTTATACTCTTCAGCCTCAGTATCCCACATGTCCTGTGCACATATGCAAGGCTCACAAAAAATTTCCTTAGTCAGTTAACACAGTGAATTAATAGGGGTTTGCTTCAAGGGAGTTTTAATCTAAAATGAATTTTTTAATTGTGCTAGAAAAACATAGCAAAATCATACCTCTAATCCAGTGATTTACCCTTGACTGCTAATTAAAATCATCAGGAAGAACTTTTCAAACCTAGAATGCCTATGGCCCCCTCCAGACCAATCAAACCAAAATCTCTTGGTGAGACGTCATGCCACTGGTATGTTGGTACGTTTGAGTTTTGCTTTATTTTTAATTGACTATTATTATTATTATTATTATTATTATTATTAGAGACAGGATCTCACTCTGTCACTCAGGATGGGGTGCAGTGGTGTGATCATAGCTCACAGCTCACTGCAGCCTCAAATTCCTGGGCTCAGGTGATCCTCCTGCCTCAGCCGCTTGAGTAGCTAGGACTACAAGCGTGTACCACAATGCTTGGCTAAGTTTTAAAGAAAAATTTGTAGAGACAAGGTCATGCTACATTGCCAGGCAGGTCTCAAACACCTGGGCTCAAGCAATCCTCCCTCCTTTGTCTCCCAAAGTGTGGGATTAAAGGTGTGAACCACCACACCAGACCGACAAATAATGATTATATACATTTATGGAGTACAATGTACTGTTTCCTTACATGCAGACATTATGGAATGATCGAATCAGCCTAATTAACCCTAATTAACATATCCATCACTTCAAATGTTTATAATTTATTTTGGTAAGAACATTGAAAATAATCTCTTTTAGCTGTTTCGAAATCTACAAAACACTATTAACAGTTATAGTCACCATGTTGTACATGGCACACCAGAACTTATTTCTCTTGTCTAACTGAAACGTTGTACCCTTTGACCCAATGTCTCCCCTTTTCCCATCTATCCCCCTGTCTCTAGCCTGTGGTAACCATCATTCTACTCTCTATTTCTATGAGTTAGACTTTTTAAGATTTCACATATAAGTGAGATTATGTGGTATTTATCTTTCTGTGCCTGGTTTATTTCATTTAGCATAATGTACTCTAGGTTCATCCATATTGTCACAAATGACAAAATTTCTACTTTAGGCTGGTCTCAAACTCTTGAGCTCAAGAGATCCACCTGCCTTGGCCTAACAAAGTGCTGGGATTACAGGCATGAACCACCACACCCAGGAAAGGTTCTATTTTCTACACATCCCAGCCAATACTTGTTGTCACTCATCTATTTGATAACAGCCAATGTAACATGAGTGAGGTGATAACTCCTTGTGGTTTTACTTTGCATTTTTCTGATTATTAGAGACGTTTATTGGTATGTTTGAAATACTCCCCAGGTGGTGCTAATGTGCAGCCAGGCTTAGTACCGTTCATCTAATTGGTTTACCCTGCAATAATAAAGGGTGATTATTTGGTAAGACTATCCTACTGCTATCTGCACTGGTATAACCATCAATATGAGAAGTCAATTCAGAAACCAAACGTTTTCAGATTTAGATGACTAAACTGCTAAATACCCTCAAATTATATTAACAGACCCAAGAACTCTTGATGAAAACAGATTAAAACATACAAAGTTCTCCAAGAATTATTAATTTTTTAAACTGGAAATTTACTAAAATTAGTTTTTCTTTAGAAAGCTGGGACATATAAACCAGTTGAGACTTTACATTAGTACCACTCTAAAGATCTTCTCCCTTGGTTTTTACGCCTGAATACCCAACTGCTTTCTAGACATCTCCACCTACATCTCTCATGAACATCTCAAATATAACATGTTCAAATGTGACAATCTCTTCACCCCCAAACTGTTTTGGCTCCTAATTTCTGTATTTCAGGTTGGTACCCCACTTTCTATGCAGTCTGTTACCCAGGCTTAATTCCTCTACCTCTCTCACTCCCCCAGTCGCAACGGTTTCCAAATTTTGAGAATTCTGCTTCCTAAATATTCCTGATCAACTCTCTCTTCTCCATCCCCACATCCATGGCTGAAATGCACACCTTCACTGTCTCTGGCCCTCTCCTATTACAGCCTCCACTTCCTTGAGCCCCTTGCTCGGTTTGGCTCAGTCCCATCCTCTATCCTCCCCACCCTTCCCAAGCATCCAGAATGATCTATCTAAAATGCAAATTGGACTGTGTCACTTTTCAGCCTAAATCCTCTAAGTGGCTTCCCCAAACCCACAGCATAAAGTCTAAGTCTTTAATATGGAATGCCAGGCCCTTCACAAGCTGACTCCTGCCTGCGCTCCCATCTCATCCCTGCCCCTTATGCTCTAGCACAACACACTGCTCCTGATTTGGGCTTTTTGCTCACATTATTCCCCTCTCTGGCACACAGTCCCTCAGATACCAATGATCTATTTGTCTTTATCTTACTTGACCTATCAGTAGCATTTGACAGTTCAAATTACCATTCTCTCCTTTTTTTTTTTTTTAACTACCTGACAGCTTTCTCAGTCTCAGCTCACTGCAACTTCCGCCTCCCAGCTTCAAGCGATTCTCCTGCCTCAGCCTCCTGAGTAGCTGGGATTACAGATGCGTGCCACTGTGCCCGGCTAATTTTTGTATTTTTAGTAGAGACGAGGGTTTCACCATGTTGACTAGGCTAGTCTTGAACTCCCGACCTCAGATGATCCACCGACCTTGGCCTCCCAAAGTGCTGGAATTACAGGCGTGAGCCACCGCGCCCTGCCAGGCTGTTTTTCAACCTCTTTTTTCTTCTATCTTCATTCACTCCTTTGTTGATCTCATCCAGTCTCTTTTTTTTTTTTGAGACTGAGTCTCGCTCTGTCGCCCAGGCTGGAGTGCAGTGGCGCAATCTCGGCTCATTGCAGGCTCCGCCTCCCGGGTTCAAGCCATTCTCCTGCCTCAGCCTCCCGAGTAGCTGGGATTACAGGTGACCGTCACCACGCCTAGCTAATTTTTTGTATTTTTAGTAGAGACGGGGTTTCACCGTGTTAGCCACGATGGTCTCGATCTGCTGACCTCGTGATCCGCCCACCTCGGCCTCCCAAAGTGCTGGGATGACAGGCATGAGCCAACACACCCGGCCGATCTCATTCAGTCTCATTGTTTTAAATGCAATCCATATGGTTAAGACTCTGAAGGTTATATCTCCACCCGAGACAACTCCCCTAACACTTAAATATTTAATGAACATCTCAAACTCAACATTCTCCAAATAAGTTCACTATATTTCCCCTACATCTCTTCTTCCCTGGTCTTTTCTAATTAAATATCAATGCCATCCTACCAGTTCACTCAGGTGAAAGACAAAGCAAAAACTAAAACAAAACCCTTGGAATAATACTTGACTTCTCTCCTCATTTCCCACATCTGATCGATCTTGTTGACTTTCCCTTCAAAACACATCTAAAATTGAGCCGTTTTTACTCCCCATTGCTACCACCTTAAAATCATTAGTCCAGTTATTTATTAGTCCATACTATTTCTCACGTGTCCCCAATTCTTCTTTTGCCTCTATTGAAGGGCTTCTCAAATGTTTTCATCTCAGGATCCTTTTATACTCCCAAAAAGTACTGACGATCCCAAAGAACTTTTGCTGATGTGGCTTATATCTATTGATATTTACTGTATTAGAAATTAAAACTGAGAATGGCAAGGCATAGTGGCTCATGTCTGGCACTTTGGGAGGCCAGCTGATAACACATGGAGCAGAAGAATCACCCCAGTTAACTCACAGAATTGTGAAATATCATAGGTGGTTATTGTTGTTTTAAACCACTAACTTTTGAGGTATTTGTTATGTAGCAGTAGATAACTCAAAACATTGACAATCCAAGGAATTAAAGTTTAGTTGTATTAATCAAAATAGAAGGATAATTTCAGGAAGGGCTCATACTTCCCAGAAACGATCTTTTCTGAGAAAATGCTAATAGTCATAAAAGAATTTCTCTGTTTTAGCATTTTTGACATGTCTTCAAGTTGTAAATAAGTGTTTTAGGTTTTGGTTATTTATTTATTTATTTATTTATTGAGACAGTTTTCGCTCTTTTTGCCCAGGCTGGAGTGCAATGGCCCGATCTTGGCTCACTGCAACCTCCACCTCCCGGATTCAAGCGATTCTCCCTCCTGCCTCAGCCTCCTGAGTAATTGGGTTTACAGGCATGTGTCACCATGCCCAGCTAATTTTGTATTTTTAATAGAGATGGGGTTTCTCCATGTTGGTCAGGCTGGTCTCGAACTCCCAACCTCAGGTGATCCACCCGCCTTGGCCTCCCAAAGTGCTGGGATTACAGCTGTGAGCCACCGTGCCCGGCCTTGTTTTGTTTTTTTAAAAAAACAATTATTACTAATGCTGGACATAGAACTCACATGCAGACATAATTAGGGTTTCATAAATCTCTAAAGACCATTATTTTATTTTGTTTACTTATTTATTTGAGATAGAGTTTTGCTCTGTCGCCCAGGCTGGAGTGCAATGGCACAGTCTCAGCTCACTGCAACCTCTGCCTCCCGGGTTCAAGCGATTCTCCTGCCTCAGCTTCCTGAGTAGCTGAGATTACAGGCACCCACCACCACACCCAGCTACTTTATTTGTACTTTTAGTAGGGATGGGGTTTCACCATGTTGGTCAGGCCGGTCTCGAATTCCTAACGTCAGGTGATCTACCCGCCTCAGCCTCCCAAAGTGCTGGGATTACAGGCATGAGCTACTGTGTTCAGCCATAAAGACCATTATTTTAAATTTGAGTGTTTATTTCTATAGAACTCAAAACCTCCTTTAGTCTGCATTTTAATTATTAAAACAAAGGGATAAAGTTTTTAATCCCTGTGTTAGTGTCTTGAAATATTTCTCAGTCACAGACTCAGAGACTGTTAAGAATTATAAGGAATTTCAGATATTAAGTACAACCTCTAAAGCATTTCTCTGGAGAAAAACCTCGAAAGATACACGTGTCCTCCAGGCTTTGTGGAAATGCTCCAGGGTAGAGGTCACTGCTCCTACAGGCAGCCTAGTTCTGTATGTGGAGAGATATATGAATTAGAAAGGTTTTTTTCTGTTAACTTTTATACCAGGCATCGGCCTGGTATAAGAATGTGGAGTCAGAAGATTTGGATTTCAGTTCCTGGCTGTAGGATCTAGGTTATCTGAGCTACAGTGGCCACCCTGAGCTTCTGCGACTCTGCTTTTCAGGAGCAGGGGGAAGCTCTACCTACCTACATCAGTGTGTCGAGATTTCTGGGGGCGTGGGGGGATGGGTGGGGGAGATGCTGATTAACATACACAAAAAGACACAGAATTGTCATTGACATAACCCTCATCTTAGTCTTAAACTAAATGATACAGAGCTGAATCTCTTTATTACTATTGATTGATCATAAACTGGTTTATTTTTCTCACAGATGAAGATAATTTTAGACATGATTTTTTTGTAAACAGATTAGTTATTAGATTTCATTTTAATTTTTTTAACTCTTTTTTTAAAGACAAAGTCTCGCTCTTGTCCCCCAGGCTGGAGTGCAATGGTGCAAACTCGGCTTACTGCAGCCTCCGCCTCCCGGGTTCAGAGCTCCCGAGTAGCTGGGATTACAGGCGCCTGCCACCACGCCTGGCTAATTTTTGTATTTTTAGTAGAGATGGAGTTTCACCATGTTGGCCAGACTGGTCTCGAACTCCTCACCTCAGGTGATCCGCCCACCTCGGCCTCCCAGAGTGCAGGGATTACAGGCGTGAGCCACTGCACCCGGCCTAGATTTCATTTTAATTTTTGAACTGTTTTAAACACACTTGGTTTTTTTTTTCTGTTCTGTAAATTAATTTTTATGGTTCTATTTATGGCAAATGATATTGATTTCTCTATTACAGTATTGAGGTAATACTATCTTTTTTTTTTTTTTTTTTTTTTTTTTTTTTTTTTGAGACGGAGGACGGAGTCTCAATCTGTTTCCCAGGCTGGAGTGCAGTGGTGTGATCTCAGCTCACTGCAACCTCCGCCTCCCGGGTTCAAGCGATTCTCCTGCCTCAGCCTCCTGAGTAGCTGAGATTACAGGCGTGTGCCATCACACCTGGCTAATTTTAGTATTTTTAGTAGAGACAGGGTTTCGCTATGTTGTGGCTGGTCTCGAACTCCAGACCTCAAGCGATCCGCCCACCTCAGCCTCCAAAAGTGCTGGGATTACAGGCGTAAGCCACTGAGCCCGGCCGTGTTTTCTTTTAAAATAAAATTATCTAGAGTTTGAAAATCTCTTTGTCTTGCAGATAAAGTACAAACTCTGTGACCCAGCCTGTGCCATATGTGCAGTCTCAAAACTCTTTCTAGACACTTGGATCTTCCTGCAGCCTGCAAACACACCACTCCTCTCACATTCTGTTTCCCCTCCCTGAGTTGCCCTCCTTCCTGTGGGCCTGGCCTTTATTCTTCAAGACCCAGCTTCAACGCCCTCCCCTCTGTGCAGCCTTCCCTTGACTGCTTCCTCCTCACTGCCTCCTCTCGGGCACCAGCTTGCCTTATGTTGCTCAAGGTAGAGCCTGAATCACCCACTCATTGCAGTGACTGGCGTGCATGCCGGCGGCCTCCACTGCTCTGCGAGTTCCCTCAGAAGACAGGGCAGGTTTCATGTGTCTGCATGGGCACACAGTAGGCAATCCATAAATATAATTTGAGTTCACAAATATTAATAAGGGTCCAAATATCCTTGTTTCTATGTTGGAATCCACCACCAGTTACAAATTCAGTATGAACTGTCTCTAGGAAGATAATGGTCAGAAAAAAATTGCATCACACAGAACCCAACCTAGTCACCACAACACCAAAAATTCATTTTTTCTTTTAAACAGAAAGATTAAAAGCCAACATGCACAAACGTTTTTATTTAAGTGATAATATTCTGGGGTTGTGAGCACACGGAGAAACAGGCACATTATTGGTAGAGGTGTAAATCAGAGCAAAAAATGCTCATTCTCTTTGACTCAGAATTCCATTTTCTATATGACTGTTGACAGAAACACTCTCAAGAATGCAAAGGCCATATGTACAAAGACTTCCTGGAAGCATTGTTTGTAAAAGCAAAAACCCCGAAATCTACCCATAAAGTCCACTAATAAGAGATGAGGTGAGCAATTATCCCCATCCCTATGTTCCAGGAAATACTATGCGGCCACTGGGAAGCATGATCTATGATTCACTGTGGTTACTCTTGGGGCTTGAGATCTGGTGGGATTTTCATTTTGCATTCAGTGGTGCACCAGGAAAGACTTGAATGAAATTTCGGAAGCCAATCTGATTGCCAAGGCTATTACTATTCAATATCTTTTGGGGTTTTTCTTATGATGATGAGTTACTTTTGTAATTAAAAATTACGATAAAATACATATTTTAAAATCAGATGTCGCTTTAGAAAAGGGCCATGGCCAGGCATGGTGGCTCATGCCTGTAATCTCAGCACTTTGAGAGGCCAAGGCGGGTGGATCACCTGAGGTCAGGAGTTCGAGATCAGCCTGACCAACATGGCAAAACCCCATTTCTACTAAAAAATACAAAAGTTAGCTGGGCACGGTGACAGGCGCCTGTAATCTTAGGAGAATCGCTTGAACCCCCGGGGAGGCGGAGGTTGCAGTAAGCCGAGATTGCGCCATTGCACTCCAGCCTGGGAGACAGAGCAAGACTCCGTCTAAAAAAAAAAGGGCCACTACACCTCACTACATTATTTTTTTAAGAGCCACTAGATGTCGCTCTGAGCAAATGCTCTGTGTGGCAACAGTAGCTGCTAGAAAATGCTGATCCCTTATCACCAACTAGCTAGAAATAGCAATGTTACCAGGTCACAGGAAAACGCTGACTCCCAAGGAAGAGTCCCCATAGAATGCCTGCCTATGCTGGCACCAAATGGTAGAAATCAGGAGAGGAGAGGAGCAAACACACAGAGCTGAAGGGGCCGGGACGTCTGATGGGGATGTGCAGGGCTAAACTTGGACCCAGAGTTAGAAAAGGGGTCCTCCCAGCCTAAACTGGGCACTTCATGGTCACAATTACACAGGTCCCTCCTTAATTCTGGGCCATGATTTTATGTGTATTAGCTGCCTAGCCTTCACAATTGGTTTTGTTACCAAAATTTGTCCCTTTATGTAAGACCTTACAAGCATCTAGGAAGTTTTGAGAAAAAAAAATTGGCCGGGAGTAGTGGCTCACACCTGTATTTCCAGCACTTTGGGAGCCAGAAGTAGGTGGATCGCTTGAGCTCAGGAGCTTGAGACCAGCCTGGCCAACATTGTGAAACCCCTTCTCTACAAAAATACAAAAGTCAGCTGGGCATGGTGGCACACGTCTGTAGTCCCAGCTGAGGCAAGAGGACCACTTGAGCCCGGAGACAGAGGTTGCAGTGAGCACTCTAGCCTGGAGGACAGAGGGAGACTCTGTCTCAAAAAAAAAAAAAAAAAGAAAGAAAGAAAAAGAAAAAAAATTAACCCAAATCGAATCAAGCTTCTGGATCTACCTATTAAATTATAGGAGCTACAAGGCCCAGAGGAATGTGTTAAATGATGCCAGGAGGCTGTGGTCAGTGAAATCCAGACTGTGGGGACTTGGCAAGACAAATGGTTTCTTCAACAAATAAATTAAAAGGAGGCAAACAGAGAGAAATGAAGGGAAACCTATAGATTAAAACAGACTTATGAGACATATCAACCAATTGCAATGTGTAGAACTTACTTGGATCCCTAATCAAAGAAGCTGTTTATTTTTTTAATTTCTTTTTCTGATAAAATGTACAGCAAACAAAGAAACTGTTTGTTTATTTATTTATTTATTTATTTATTTATTTTTGAGACAGTGTCTCAGTCTGTCGCCCAGGCTGCAGTGCAGTGGCATAATATCGACTCACTGCAACCTCCACCTCCTGGGTTCAAATGATTCTCCTGCGTCAGCCTTTCAAGTAGCCTGGATTACAGGCATGCACCACTACACCGGGCTAATTGTTTTTGTTTTTGTTCTTTTGAGATGGAGTTTCGCTCTTGTTGCCCAGGCTGGAGTGCAGTGGCACGACCTCAGTTCACTGCAACCTCTGCCTCCTGGATTCAAGCGATTCTCCTGCCTCAGCCTCCCTAGAAGCTGGGATTACAAGCACCCGCCACCATGCCCGGAAAATTTTTTGTATTGTTAGTAGAGACAGGGTTTCACCATGTTGGCCAGGCTGGTCTCTAACTCCTGACCTCAGGTGATCCACCTACCTTGGCCTCACAAAATGCTAGGATTACAGGTGTGAGCCATCGCACCTGGCCAGAATTTTTTTTTTTTTTTTAAAAAGACAAGAGATGTGTGAATGCCCACTGAGTATTTGGTGATATTAAGAATTTATTCTTTTTTTGGGTGGGGGGGGGTATGGTGATGATATTGAGGTTATTTTATTATTATTATTTTTTGAGACAGAGTTTTTGCTCTGTTACCCAGGCTGGAGTGCAGTGGCATGATCTCGTCTCACTACAACCTCTGCTTCCTGGGTTCAAGCGATTCTCCTGCCTCAGCCTATTAGTAGCTGGGAGTACAGGTGCCCACCACCATGCCCGGCTAATTTTTGTATTTTTAGCAGAGAGGAAGTTTCACCATGTTGGCCAGGCTGATCTCGAACTCTTGACCTCAGGTGATCCACCCTCCTCAGCCTCCCAAAGTGCTGGGATTACAGGCGTGAGCCACTGCGCCTGGCCAGAGGTAATTTTTTTTAAATTCTTAGAGATACATACTGACATAGTTACTGGGATTTGTTTCAAAATAGAGGCAGGGGTGTGAACAAAATGAGGCTGGCCCTGAGTTGATCGCTGTTGAAGCTGGGTGATGATTACATGAAGGTTAATTATACTATTTTATAACCTTTTTTGTTTGAATTTTTCTATAATAAGCAGTTTTCAGACCTCAAGGTGGGAAGAATAAATGACATACTTGCCAAGGCAAACAAACTTTCTCAGGGCATGACTGGAGCCAGATGAGAACCATCCTTAGTCATTAAACCTTATGAGTGGAAAAGAGTTAAATAAACAAGAGTTCCATTTATTAGTTTTGTTGGATTTGGGGTGGAGGTGGAAATCACCTAATCTCTTTAAGCCTCGGCTTCCCCATCTGTAAGATGAGCATCATACAGTGATATTTTTCAGAGAACATGAGATCTGTTAAAGTAAATTAAAATGGAGACCAGGCTAGAAGAATCATTGAGCAGACAAAGCCAGCTAGGCCTCATAGGTGATCTTAACCTCGCTTGATTTGCAAACATAAGAAAAACTTATTTCTTGTAAATGTCTGTGTTAAAGAAAAACAGAACTTAAGCTCCACCAATCAGAAATAGCCAACAAACTTATCTAAGTAGGGACTTTCCAGTAGTATAGACCAAATAAGGCAACTTTATAGCTGTAACAAATCAAATCTTTCCTATGTGTTACTTAGGTATTCATGGTATAAAAGCCTGTTCCTAGGGCTGGGCATGGTGGCTCACGCCTGTAATCCCTGCACTATGGGAGGCAGAGGTGGATGGATCACCTGAGGTCAGGAGTTCGAGACCAGCCTGACCAAAATGGTGAAACTCTGTCTCTACTAAAAATACAAAAATTGGCCAGGCATGGTGGCGGTTGCCTGTAATCCCAGCTACTCAGGAGGTTGAGGCAGAAGAATCACTTGAACCCGGGAGGCGGAGGTTGCAGTGAACTGAGATCGTGCCACTGCACTCCAGCCTGGGCAAAGAGTGAAACTCCATCTCAAAAAATAAATAAATAAATAAAATAAAAGAGCCTGTCCCTCTTTCATACTTCCTTAATGGAGCCCCTAAACTGCTCCTGGTTTGGAGCTGTGTGATTCATGATTCATTGTTTGCTCAAATAAACCTTAAAAATAATTTTTTGTGCCTCAGTTTACCTTTTTAACAGACTAAAATGAGAGCAGCACATACAAAAGTATTTTGAAACCCATAAAGTGCAACCTAAGTGCTGAAAGTTGTTTATGTGATGACACTAGTTCATTTATTCACATACATATTCCATGAACTCTTACGGAATACCTAACTAAGGGACAGATACTGTGTTAGGCATAGCAAATACAAAAATAAATGACAGTTTTGCCCTACTTTGTCTAATTCAGTGTTTCTCAACATTGGACACATTGGAAAATACCTGGGCCTGGGTGTCACTCCAGACCAATTAAATCCAAATCTCTGGGAATGGGTCCTGGGCATCCGGATTCTTAAAGAAATTTTACAGGTGATCGATTCTAGCGTTAGCCAGGATTGAGAACCATTTGCCTAACTGATCTTTGATCATGAGTAGTTCTGAAACAATCATTAAGAAGACCAGGACTGGGAACAGTGGCTCATGCCGGTAATCCCAGCACTTCAGGAGGCCGAGGCCAGGAGTTCAACACCAGTCTGGGAACACAGAGACTCTGTTTCTACAAGGAAATTTAAAAAGTTAACTGGGTGTGGTGGTGGCAGTGCACCTGTAGTCCTAACTATTCCAGAGGCTGAGGCAAAAGGATCGCTTGAGCCCAGGAATAATAGGTGACAGTGAGCTATGATTGCGCCACTGCACATACACGCACAAACACAACACTGGGTCTTAGTTTCTACAGTTTTCAAGCAACTTTTAATGACCAGAAGTACCCTCCAGGAATCCACTTCCTAGAAGGATAGATCTTGTCCAACTGTGTACTCTTTGTGGCCATCTGACCTCCCAGTTGCTGACACAAGAGTCAGGCAATTTCAGATATCTCCAGTGGAATTTTCCATTGTGTTTCTCTTCCTTATAGGGATTTATTCTTTCTGATTATGCAAGGTTTTGGGTTTTGAAAATTTCCCAGTTTCAGATCTGAGCAAGGGAGACTGGCCAGAGTTCCTAAGTCACATTCCAAGTTAGACCTTTTGGAGTTTGCACCCCCTGAGTCATGCTGAAACCTTGGGGTTTGAGGTAGTAGAACAGTGAGCCTGGCCACACTATCCTATCCAACACAGAACTCCCCAGCAGCAGCTTCCTGTTTGATTTCTCTGTTTTTCTAGAAGAGTCCAAAAAGAAAGAAATAGGAGCAGCTGAAATGCCTAAGAAAGGAAAGAAAATCTTAATTAGGAGACTCAAGTTTCTGGGGAGACAAAATGAAATAATGCTGTGAAAGCACAGTCCCAGATTCTCCAGATCTCTTTACTGGATGCCAGAGCTGTGTAAAACTACAGATAAAAGATTTATTTGCAGTGGGGATCTTATTTTACTTCTTCCCTCTCCATATTCAGGCATCTTTCTTCCTCAATGCACATTCTCAAATGCAAGACACCTGCTGGGATATTTCTGGGCACAGAAAAGGTCTGGAGGGAGCCTGGGCAAGATGGTGAGACTCCCGCTCTACAAAAAATACAAAAATTAGCCAGACATGGTGGCACATGCCTGTGGTCCCAGCTACATGGGAGTCTGAGGCAGGAAGATCACTTGAGCCCAAGAAGCTGAGGCTGCAGTGAGCCGGGTTTGCATCACTGCACTCTGGCTTGGGTGACAGAGTGAGACCCTGTCTCAAAAAGAAGAAAAAGGGCTGGGCGCAGTGGCTCACGCCTCTAAGTCCAGCACTTTGGGAGGCCAAGGCGGGCGGATCACAAGGTCAGGAGTTTGAGACCAGCCTGGCCAATATGGTGAAACCCCGTCTCTGCTAAAAATACAAAAAAAAATTAGCCGGGCGTGGTGGCACACGCCTGTAATCCCAGCTACTCAGGAGGCTGAGGCAGGAGAATTGCTTGAACCTGGGAGGCAGAGGTTGTGGTGAGCCAAGATCGCGCCACTGCACTCCAGCCTAGGCGACAGAGCAAGACTCCGTCTCAAAAAAAAAAAAAAAAAAAGAGAAAAAGTTCAGAGGGAGTAAAGCACACACTCTGGAATCACAGACCCAGCTCCATCCCTTCAAATTGTACAACCTTGAGTACAAACGCTTACATGTTTCCCTATCTGTACAGTGAGTTCATGATAGTATCTACTTCATCAGGTTGCTGAGAGGATTAGATGAGATAAGACATGCAGAATACTTAGTACAGGGTCTACCACACAGTATGCTATTAGGTTTACCATGGTGAGAAGTCTCCTAGAACAGTGCTTCCCAGCTTTACTGTGCATATGAACCACCTGGAGATCCTGTTTAAAAGTACATGTGGGGCCGGGCATGGTGGTTCATGCCTGTAATCCCAACACTTTGGGAGGCTGAGGCAGGTGGATCACTTGAGATCAAGAGTTCGAGACCAGCCTGGCCAACATGGAAAAACCCCATCTCTACTAAAAATACAAAATTTATCTGGGGTGTTGTGGCGTATGCCTGTAATCCCAGCTACTTGGGAGGCTGGGGCAGGAGAATCACTTGAACCTGGGAGGTGGAGGTTGCAGTGAGCCGAGATTGCACCACTGCACTCCAGCCTGGGAGACAGAGCGAGACTCCATCTCAAAAAAAGAAAGAAAAAAAAAAAAAGCACATTCAAGGTACAGAGTTTCAGTTTCAGATGATAAAAAAAGTTCTGGAGATGGAGTAATGAGGTTGTACGATAATGTGAATGTACCTAATGCCACAGAACTGTACTTAAAAGTGGTTAAAACAGTAAATTTTATTATGTACATTTTACTACAATTAAAAAAAATAAAAAGCACATTCAATAGCGTTTCTAGCAACTTCCTAGGTGAGGCTGATGATGCTGGTTAAAGACCACACTTTGAGTAGCAAGGTCCTCTAGGTAATGAACCACCACCATCAAATTGGTATTACACTTTACAGTTTACATAGGCATTCTATATTCCTTGTCTCTGTGATCCCCATGGTAACAGTACATGGTACTGTGTCCAGGCCAAATGCAAATCTTAGTCACCTGCAGACAACATCTTGACCTTGGGTAGTAGCCCTTTCTATCAAATTAGGGCTGTCTCTCTCTATAGGCAAATAGGATGTTATTTGAGAGGTCCTTGACTTTTTCCTGTTTTGACTGCTCCTTTTTTCAGGTCAAGTCTCCCAAGTAAATGCTTACTACATCAGTGTAGTCCTTGCCTTCCCATTTATGTTTCGTGTTCTGGCTAAAGACAGGCCCTCCAGCCTAAATAGGGAGCATTTGCTTTGCCACTGGATGCCTGTCTTCATTACACCCTGGGAGTGGGTAGGCTATTCCTATTTCAAACATTTCCCTGTGTATTTACCATCTTTACTGATACGGTATATCGAAAACTGCTTTGTCATGCCTGTTGAGTTGGGACAGACAGCATTGTTGAAATTCTAGTCTTCTTTGTTTAGTTGTCACTACTACCAACAGCCGCTGAAAATAGAGCTGAGAGCTCTCAACCATGCTGTGTGAGCTGCACAGCCAACATCACATGTAAAACAAGAGTTCTCAAAGTGTTTCTCAGGCTAGTGAGAGATTATTCCCCCCAAGAGAGCTCAAATAGGACGCTAATGAGTTTATTTGCTAACAGCGGTTTTCTGTACCGGATGTTGATGAAAGTTTAGACTTTGGGCTGTCATTCTTCATCTTTCCTCAGAGGAGTCTGCAGTAGCCCTGCAGTAATGTGTTCGTTTCCTGAGCTTTTAGGAGTAAGTATAAGATCACTGGACCATCCTTAACTGTACTCAAAAGAGCAAGATGTCCTGTCAACTTTCCCATTCTTACAGCGAACCATATTGCAGAGACCAAAGTGCCTGCTGCTGGCCCCGCAAATAGTAAGGTACCCTAGAAACCAGTAGCAGAAACTCTCAGGGGTCTCAAAACTCAAAGATGAAAGGATATGGACTCCAGGGTTCAAGTCCCTTAGAACAGTATTTCTCCACACTAGAATGGTCTAGGGAGGTGAGTGTTTTTTAAAAAAATATTGATGCCTTGGTCCCATCCCAGATCAAGTGAATCAAAATGTCTGAGGGTGGGACCCAGGCATCAACAATTATTTTTAGAAGTAAGTCTAATAAGGCCAGGCATGGTGGCTCAAGCCTATTATCCTAGCATTTTGGGAGGCCGAGATGGGCAGATCACTTGAGGTCAAGAGTTTGAGACCAGCCTGGCAAATATGGTGAAACCCCATCTCTACTAAAAAATACAAAAATTAGCCAGGCATAGTGGCAGGTGCCTGTAATCCCAGCTACTTGGGAGGCTGAGGCAGGAGAATCTCTTGAACCCGGGAGGCAGAGGTTGCAGTGAGCCGAGGTCACACCATTTTCTAGCCTGGGCAACAGAGCAAGACTCTATCTCAAAAAAATAAAACAAACAAACAAACAAAATAACCAAAAAAGTAAATCTAATATACAGTCACATTGTAAATCTCTAACTTAGAAAATTTTCCCCCCACTTAATCAAGGCAAAAATTATAGTTGGAGACAAAGAAGCCACAGCTATAATCATCACAAAACATCATAAGATGCCATGGTTTTGTTTTTGTTTGTTTGTTTGTTTTGAGATGGAATCTCACTCTGTTGCTTAGGCTGGAGTGCAGTGGCGTGATCTCAGCTCACTGCAACCTCCACCCCCTGGGTTCAAGCAATTCTCTGCCTCAGCCTCCCGAGTAGCTGGGACTGCAGGTGCACGCCACCACGCCAGGCTAAGTTTTGTGTTTTTAGTAGAGATGGGGTTTCACCATCTTGGCCAGGCTTGTCTTGAACTCCTGACCTCAGGTGATCCACCCGCCTTGGCCTCTCAAAGTGCGGGGATTACAGGCGTGAACCACTGCGCCCAGCCACCAGACGCCACGGTTTTTATTACAAAATGAAAACTCCTTTTTTTTTTTTTGAGACGACATCTCACTCTTGTCCCCCAGGTTGGAGTGCAATGGCGCAATCTCAGCTCACTTGCAACCTCCGCCTCCTGGATTCAAGCGATTCTCCTGCATCAGCCTCCCAAATAGCTGGGATTACAGGTGCCTACCACCACGCCCAGCTAATTTTTGTATTTTTAGTAGGGATGGGGTTTCACCATGTTGGCCAGACTGATCTCAGACTCCTGACCTCAGGTGATCCGCCTGCCTCGGCCTCCCAAAGTGCTGGGATTACAGGCATGAGCCACCGCTCCCGGCCCAGCAAAATGAAAACTCTTGTGTCAAAGCTAAGCAGCAGTTTTAACCACTGGAATTATGGTCACCCTGAGAATGAGAATTTGCCCTTATGTAAGAGTACAGAACCAAGGGCTAGTATTGGCCAGGTCCAGGTCCATTCTGCCCACGTGCAGTAAATCAATCACTGTAACACAGGTTTTGCAAAAGAGGGAAGATTTATTCACAAAGCCCCAGCGCTAAGACAGGAGAACAGCTCTCAAATCCACCTGACCGAAGATAAAGTTTAGGGATATTTATGCGTTAGGGAAGTGGGATGGTCTAAGGCATGGGGAAAGGTGATTGGCACTGGGGGAAAAAAAGACGTTAACAGGTTTGTTCTGCACAAGTATAGTCAGGGCTCATCGCATTTTATAGAACATACGTACAGAAAATGGTGGTGTTAGCATGATCTGAGGGTGGAGTTTTTGGCCTTCTCACATCAAAAGGCCACCTCTTGAGCACTAGTGCAGGCCCAGTTGAAGCATTGGTGGTTTCCACCAGTTTGAACTAGACAGGAGCTGGCCCAAATTCCTGAGAAACAACCATCTTTTTGCTCCCATTACCATGGTGACCTGCGAACACTGTCTACAAAGTAGTGAAGGTTAAGTTTCAGCATTCAGTGGCAAGGCCTTCAGCTATCTTGGCTTTCAGCTTCATGGAAAAAGGAAAACAGATAACAAAAAGCAAGGGACCAAAAGCAAGAAAGGCAGGCAGACCCGATCAAATTTACTCCTTGGTGTCAGGGCCAAGGGCCACCTTAGGAACCTGTGCACTGCTGACTTGTCCCGGGAAGGACCTGGAGGGCAAAGGGGTTTGGTGTACCTCACACAGGAAATGCTCACCAAATACCAACTGGGTGCTTTGAATTTTGAAATAAAAACAATTTCAACTATACAAGGAAATTTCCTAAACTAATCTTTACCTGGGAGATAAATTTAGAATTAGCTCTTCCATGAAGTAGAGAGAAAACAGAACTTGGCAAAATGTTAATGCTTTTATCAAAATCGCTTAAAATGATTATGGATTAAAACTTGACTTTGAGAATTCCTGGCCACTTTGTCACATTTATACTTCTCCTTCCCCCGCCCCAATAAGAGACATATTTGTTTGACATGCTTTATTTATTTTTCTTGTCATTTTCTTGTTGTTGTTGTTGTTGTTGCTGTTTTGTCGACAGGCAGGAATGCAGTGGTTCCATCTTGGCTCACTGCAGCATTCACCTCCCCACCCTCCCCCACACCCTCCTCCTGCTCAAGCAATCCTCCCACCTCAGCCTCCTGAGTAGCTGGGATTATAGGCGCATGCCACCATTCCAACTAATTTTTGTATTTTTTGTAGAGATGGGGTCTCACTGTGTTGCCCAGGCTGGTCTCGAATTCCTAGGCTGCCTGCCTTGGCCTCCCAAAGTGCTGGGATTACAGGTTTGAGCCACCATGCCCGGCCTGGCTGCTTTTACTTTTTCCCTTTTTTCTTTCCTTATTTTCAGCTGCAGGAATGTAGCCAATTCAGAGGCCTTATTCCCCATAATTTGGAACTTTCCTTTGGATTTGATCAAGTCAGATAGAGTTGGTCAAACCCAAAATAAATCTAATATATTAGATTTATAATTTATATTAGATTACTGAGTGCTCTAATGGTAAGAAGAAATTAAGACCAGCTGGTTGTTAATCTTAACTTTAGCCATTAAGGAGAATTTCCAAAACAAAACCCCAATTCAGCTACTTACCTAGGAATGGGGCTCAGGATGAAGACTGCTCTCTGCCATCCTAGAAGCAGAAAAAAAACCTCAAACTCGCCTTACCTGTTCAAAGCAAGTTGAAACTCCAGAAAGGAGTTGCCTGCTCTCCATCATTATGGAAGCAGGAAAAGCTCACTTTCCTTGTTGAAAGTGAGTAAAACTCCAGAAAAGGAGTTGTACAGCAAAATAAACCTTAGATTTCAACCAAATTTTGGGAGATCAGGGATTCTCTGGAGGGGGCAGCTCCCAGGCCTAAGCAAATTGACCTATTAGTTTGAGCAATAAAGATAGCTCCAGCCAGATAGGAGATTTGCCAAAGGTCAAGGGCATCTCCACCTGACTTCCTTCATGGTTGCCAATCTGTGAACCAAAAAGTATCTGAGACAGGCCTCAATCAACTTAGAAAATTTGGCTGGATGCTGTGGCCCATGCCTGTAATCTCAGCACTGTGGAAGGCCAAGGCAGGCAGATCACTTGAGGTCAGGGGTTTAAGACTAGCCTGGCCAACATGGTGAAACCCCGTCTCTACAAAATTATCCAGGTGTGGTGGCGGGTGCCTGCAATCCCAGCTACTCAGGAGGCTGAGGCAGGAGAATCACTTGAACCCAGGAGGTGGAGGGTGCAGTAAGCTGAGATTGCACCACTGCACTCCAGCCTGGGTGACACAGTAAGACCCCACCTGGGGAAAAAAAAAAAAAAGAAATTTTAGAAAATTTATTTTGTCAAGATTAAGAATGCATGCCCAGGGGCCAGGTCTGTGCCTTCTCCAAAGATGATTTTAAGGGCTTCAATATTTAAAGGGGAAAGGACAGATATTGGGGAAAGAGAAAGAAATTTTAAAAGATGTGGGTAGATAAGAGACAAACATTTGCATTCTTTTGAGCCTTTGGCCATCACCGAATACACAATTTACACGTGAGAGGGCCTTAGAGGAAAGTTACTTACGTCTTCGTCTAACTCAGCAAATCTGCATTTTTACATCAGTGGAAGCAATCAGACATGCATTTGTCTCAGGTGAGCACAGGGATGACTTAGAGTTCTGTCCTTTGTCCTGCATCTGTGAAGATAGGCTGTCAATTTACCTTGCCAGAGTAAAATTCAACAGAACAATTTTAGGGTAAAGATCTTGGGGCCCACAAGAAATTTCCTAATGGGCAAATTGTGAAGAAGGTATGTAGCTTTTTAAATTCTTTGTAGCTATCTTATTTAGGAATAAAATAAAAGGCAGGTTTGCCTGACGCAGTTCCCAGCTTGACTTTTCCCTTTGGCTTAGTGATTTTGGGGTCTTAAGATTTATTTTTCAGGGCCGGTCGCGGTGGCTCACGCCTGTAATCCCAGCACTTTGGGAGGCTGAGGCGGGCGGATCACGAAGTCAGGAGATCCAGACCATCCTGGCTAACACGGTGAAACCCCGTCTCTACTAAAAGTACAAAAAATTAGCCGGGTGTGGTAGTGGGTGCCTGTAGTCCCAGCTACTGGGGAGGCTGAGGCAGGAGAATGGCGTGGACCCGGGAGGCGGAGCTTGCAGTGAGCCAAGATCGCGCCACTGCACTCCAGCTTGGGCAACACAGCAAGACTCCATCTCAAAAAAAAAAAAAAAAAAAAAAGATTTATTTTTCTTTCACGTAAGAATGAGATGCTCTGAGTAGTTTGAAATTTGTATAACTATTTGTTGGGACTCAGAAGACAATATCCCCAAACAAAGGCCTCAGAAGCGAGTTTTCCTCTGACCTTCTCCTGTTCTGTCTCTCAGTCCCATTGTTCCCAAGGCAGGTCATAGAAACCAGAACCCTGTTTCCCGAAAGCCAGTCATAAAACTTAAAATAACATCTAACTTTCCCTCCATCTTTTTTTTTTTTTTTTTTTTTGAGAAGGAGTCTCGCCCTGTCACCAGGCTGGAGTGCAGTGGTGTGATCTCAGCTCAGTGCAGTGCAACCTCCACCTCCCGGGTTCAAGTGATTCTCCTGCCTCAGCCTCCTGAGTAGCTGGGACTACAGGCGTGTGCCACCATGCCCAGCTAATTTTTGTATTTTTAGTAGAAACGAGGTTTCACCATATTGGCCAGGCTGGTCTCAAACTCCTGACCTTGTGATCCACCCGCCTCAGCCTCCCAAAGTGCTGGGATTACAGGCGTGAGCCACCGCAGCCCGGCGCCTCCATCTTTCTGTGTGAAACCTGACCATAAAGAAATGATCTGACCTACCTTGTTTGACTGTAGGTCATAAGACCCCCATTCCAGAGAGGGTTCTGCCCCATCTCCAGCAGGAAGGAATGTATGCACACAGAGGCCAAGAAGAATCTGAACAGACAGGCCTTACTACATTTCCCCACTCAGTCTATTGGCATTGGATCTACCCTTTTTGTTCAATCAGATTTCTACACAGCTGTCCATACTTTGTTGAACCTAAGCATAAAAATGGACAATGTCCTCTTTATCTTTGGGTCTTCACTCTGAAGACTTCTGTGTAAATTTGTATGCCTTTTCTCCTATTAATCTGCCTCTTGTCAGTGATTTTCAGTGAACCTTCAGAGGGTAAAGGGGAAGTTTTCCCTTGGCCTCTGCATATCTATAGTTTTGTAAAGGAGAAACAAAAATGAATTCACGGGAAAACTAGAGTCCTAGGGAATAGAGGTGAAAAAAGGATTTACAGTTCTTGTAAATCCTTCCTTTTCCACAGCCTATCATTATTTTAATTAATTCTTTTTCGAGATGGAGTTTCACTCTTGTTGCCCAGGCTGGAGTGCAGTGGCGCAATCTCGGCTCACCGCAACCTCCGCCTCCTGGGCTCAAGCGATTCTCCTGCCTCAGCCCCCCGAGTAGCTGGGATTACAGGCATGCGCCACCACGCCCAGCTAATTTTGTATTTTTAGTAGAGAGATGGGGTTTCTCCATGTTGGTCAGGCTGGTCTCGAACTCCCGACCTCAGGTGATCCGCCTGCCTCAGCCTCCCAAAGTGCTGGGATTACAGGCGTGAGCCACTGCGCCTGGTCCGTAGCCACTTTTAAATAGCAGAATTAAATAACCTGCTTTTCAACATTGACATCCTGGTAAAAAACAAATGGGTTAATGGTGTCAACTTCCTTTATGAAATTCTAATAGAATGTCTTTTCCTACAATCAGAAACACATTTCTATTTGCATCTATCTTTATAATTTAAATAACAACTTGAATCTGTTCCTTGCTCCACAAATCTTGTAATGGTGCTTGGCTTAAACAATGCAATTTTGTTTAACCTGAAACTGTAGCTGCTGTTTGCTATTAGGAAAAGTAGCACTTTAGAATTTGTTTGGTATATCGTAAGAACAGATTCCTAAAATTCTATTTTATTTACCCAGTAAATATAAGTCATTGGGCTAAAGAAGACACTCAAGGGCAGCAACCTCTAATTCAGAGCTTTTGCTTGAAGAACAATGTAGCAAGAGTACATGAGTAACCGGGGTAAAACAATTCTTTTTAGTTGTGAAACAAAAATTCTGAAATAGGAGATGCCTTGTGATTTGAGAAGTGCCCCATTGTTGGAGCCATTTTTAATACAGTTTCCTTCTCTGTACTTAGGGGATAGCAACTTTATAAACTCCTCCACCCTTTTAGGAAATTTAGAAGAAGATACTTGAAAGAGAGTAAAACAGAAAGGATTGAATTCAGTGGTAAATAAAATTTAAGGGAGCCCACTGTTTTTGACTGAGCTCCTGCACTCAGCCCCAACAACCAAACCAAAATGGAGTCACCCACTGTTTTTGACTGAGCTCCTGCACTTGGCCCCAACAGACCAAACCAAAATGGAGTCACTCACGTCAAGCACCACACAATCAAACTGAAACTTTAAAAAACAGAACAATTTCCAAATAGGTAGTTTTCCCAAAAACCAAAGAGATTCACAGCAACCACTTGTAAAGGACCCAGTTAACCTGAGCAGACATGATAAGGAAGCCCCCTCTGCTTTAACCCATCAAGGAAAGTAACCTGAAGTAGTAACCTAATGTCACTTTTTGCCCTATGCTGTTTCCTTGTTCTTGCTCAAGCTATCTTATAAAAACCAACTGTTCTGCCATGCCCAAGGGAGCTCCCTCTAGTTTATAAACAGGATGCTGCCTGATTCATGAATTGCTAACACATGTCAGTTAGTTCCTTAAATTAAATTCACTGATATTTTGTTTTTTAATGTATTGTGAGATTCAGAAGTGGGAGTAATTTTAGGCAAAGATATTCTCACATTCAAAGAAAGCTTGATCTATTCTCTCAAACAATGATGGACCAAATTTAAAAGATTACCTAACTGAAAGTCATGGGAAACCAAGCTCTGAATCTACTAAGTGACATAATAATGTTTTTAATATTTATACGGCCAGAAATTAATGTCACTTTTGGCATCGTAAACACTGCTGGTGGCTGGGTGTGGTGGCTCATGCCTGCAATCCCAGCACTTTGGGAAGCCAGGGAGGGTAGATCGCTTGAGCTTGGAGTTCAAGAACAGCCTAGGCAATATAGCAAACTCTTGTCTCTACGAAAAATACAAAAATTAGCTGGGCGTGTGGCAGGTGCCTCTAGTCCCAGCTACTTGAGAGGCTGAGGTGGGAGGATGATGGCTTGAGCCTGGGAGGTGGAGGTTGCAGTGAGCCGAGATCATGCCACCGTACTCCAGTCTGTGCAACATAGTGAGATCCTCTCAAAGTAAAAGAAAAAAAAGAAACATTGTTTATTTTGGTTTTGTTTTCTAATCAATTTTCTCTTGTCAGTCATGTATAAAATGGCTTTTAATTTCCTAGCATTTTGTGAAACGTTTTTCACAATTTTTAATATACACTGTGAGAGTGCCCCATTTTCCTGCTCTTCTAATTATATAGATGGATGTGACCAAATTGTCTAGTAGTATGGTGTAAAAATATGCTGAATTTATTTTCCAAGTCACAGTTGCCAATACCAGATGAGTTCGTGCCTGTAAGTTATTTAAAAATACTTTACAAAATATTAAAATATATCTTCTGGCAATCTTTCTTCACAACTATTTTTTTTTAAACCTTCTAGATACTTTTACAAAATGGCAATAGACAAGAGGTGAACATTACAGACCAATGTTCAGTGAGGCTAGTTAGAGAACTGAAGTTCAGACCAAAGAATTAATACTTTGAGGCACAAATAATTGAATTTTTTTAGACAAAGTTATTTTCCTTGGTATTTATCCAAATTTGTACATTTTTATGTCACCTGAATCTAGTAAAACTGCTAATGGTCTCAAGATAAAGGTTTAATTGCCAAGCTACTGTGAGGGTAGTTAGCAAAGCTGATCAGACATTGGATTTAGGATTAGTTGTAGCTTTGCCACTTTGTCTGAGAGCAATGGTTAAAAATGACTTTGAACTATATGGCCAGAGCAGGATTCAAGTATTGGAAGTATTATCTTTGGAATTGTAATTTTTGCAATTCCTAAGTATATTGATTTTCCAGGGCTGAAGTAACCACAAACTTGGTGGCTTAAAACGAAAGATGATTGTTTTGTACTTTCAGAGGCCACAATTCAGAAATCAAGGTGTCAGCAGGGCCATGCTCCCTCCGAAGGCTCTAGGGGAGAATCCTTCCAGCCACCAGAAGCTGCAAGGAGAATCCTTTCTGCTTCTGGTGGCTCTTGAAGCTCCTTGGCTTGTGGGATCATAACTTCAACCCCTGCCATTTTCACTTTTTTTTTTTTTTTCCAGACACAGTCTTGCTCTGTCACCCAGGCTGGAGTGCAGTGGCAGAATCTCAGCTCATTGCAACCTCTGCCTCCTGGGTTCAAGAAATTCTCCTGCCTCAGCCTCCCAAGGAGCTGGGATTATAGGTGCGTGCCACCAAGGCCGGCTAATTTTTGTATTTTTAGTAGAGATGGGGCTTCACCATGTTGGTCAGGCTGGTCTTGAACTCCTGACCTCAGGTGATCCGCCTGCCTTGGCCTCCCAAAGTGCTGGGATTACAGGCATGAGCCACCAAGCCAGGGCGTCTCCTACCATTTTCTTAGTCCATTATTTTTGTTGCTATAACAGAACACTTTAGACTGGGTAATTTATAAAGAAAAGAGGCTTATTTAGCTCACAGTTCTGTAGGCTGGAAATTCAAGATTGGGTAGCTGCAACTGGTCAGGGTCCCACACCACTTCAACTCATGGAAGAAAGAGGAAGGGGAAGCGGGTGTGTGCCAAAAGATCACATGGTGAGAGAGGAAGCAAGAGAGAGAGTCTAGGAGGCTGAACTCACTGTTATAACAACCTGCTCTTCAGTAATTAATCCAGTCCCACAAGAATGAGAATGCTCTCCACTGGGAGGGCATTAACCTATTCATGAGACACCTGCTCCCATGACCCAAACACTTCCCATCTCCCAATACTGCCACACTGGGGATCAAATTTCAACAGGAGTTTTAGTGGGGACAAACCACATCCAAACCATAGCAGCCTCCTTCTTCATATGACTGTCTCCCCTGTTTCTTTGGGTCTCAGATCTCTCTCATTGGATTAAATCCAGCATTATCTCATTTTGAGATCCTCAACTTAATTATATCTGCAAAGACCCGTATATCCAAATAAGGTCACATTCACAGAAAAAGGAGTGGGGTAGCTAGAGCTTATGCATATCTTTTTTTTTTTTTTTGAGGCAGAGTCTTGCTCTGTCACCCAGGCTATAGTGCAGTGGTGCAATCTTGTCTCACTGCAAACTCTGCCTCCCAGGTTCAAGCGATTCTCCTGCCTCAGCCTCCTGAGTAGCTGGGATTATGGGCACCTGCCATCACGCCTGGCTAATTTTTGTACTTTTAGTAGAGATGGGATTTCACCATGTTGGCCAGCCTAGTCTCAAACTCCTGACCTCCAGTGATCTGCCTGCCTTGGCCTCCCACAGTGCTGGGATTACAGGTGTGAGCCACCACACCCAGCTGAGCTTGTGCATATCTTTTGGGGGGACACAATTCAACCTACTGCATTGACCAAGTTCCATGGATTACACTCACCTTTCTCATCTGTCATGTGCTCCTTGGACTTGATGATATGCCAAGACACAAGCTAAACATGATACATCTTCTGGGACTATCAGCTTTTTCAAAATTTTTTAGAAAAATTTAAGAAATTTAACTGGTAATTTAATGTTAATATTATAATAAATATGTATTGTGGCATAAAATCCAAAATTCACATGAAATTTTAAGACAAAATGTGAGACTCCAGCATATTTTTTAGTTAGGCAATGACTTTTTTTGGCAAGGCCTCCAGAAGAATGAATGGCATTTACTGTTTTGCTGATAGGGTACCTCAGGGTGAAAATCTGGGATTTATCATCACAGCTTTCATTATTTACAAGCAAACTAGAAATCTCTGACATGTAGTAATTCGTCATTTTATCAAGGTGGAAATTTCAATCATTTGTTGCCATAGGCTGCTTTCTAGGAACAAATTACCTACTGAGTCTTTCCAGTTGATCATATAGCTTGGGCTCCTGGGCTTAACAATATTTTTCTCTGGTTCTCACCTATTCTATGGGAGATATGATAAAATACAGGGTCATATGTGAATTTTAGAATTTGCACAAGTGATTTATTCAACACATATTTATTGTTTGATTGTATGGGATATAGGAGAGAACCCCGAAAAGAACCAATTCTTGCTCTTTCCAAACGGATAGATAGTTATAGACATTGTATAGATATAGATATAAACATAGACATAGATATGACATAGTACAGGTCTACCATATATCTAGAATTTATGTCAAAATAGTTGGCATACCTGCCATCAGTGCCCGTGCTTGATCAGGATAAACATTGCCAAGTGATCTTGGTGCTCTTTCCTGCTGAATCCTGATACGGCTTCAGGAACAAAAGACAGCTGTGCTTCCTGAATACCTTATTCACAAGACTGGTATCAAAAACAAGAGTGCTATATGTTGCTTTAACCAGTGATTTTGATAACGTTACATTTAGAGCAATGCTTTTTATTCATGTTTTTTTTTCCATGAGATGCTTTGGCATCATTATTCACTTAAATTCATCTGAAAAATGAGAGAGCATTAAAGGTAACTCAATGGCTTTCAAAGGTTGCCTAAAGGCTTCACTGTGCTTACTTGATGGCAGATGTACAACCCATCACCAATATCCATTCTCTTTCCCATGGCAGACATCACTAAGGGAGCAGGACATCTTGCCCCACTGAGCAAAATGTGGTCTCATAATCTCAACCAAATTGCACCAGTGCACCAAGTTGTCATACAGGTAAAATCTGCTAGCCAATCCTGGCCAAGGCAAGTCATCAAAAAGACCTAGAATAAATGAATTCTGCTAAAAACCAAGCAAAAACTTCATAGTGTTACCAGAAACACACTGAAATGATCTAATCTACCACTCAAGAAAGTGATTGGCTGTTTAAAGTCAAATGACTTTGGGAGGCTGAAGCAGGAGGGTTGTTGAGCCCAGGAGTTCAGGACCAGCCTGGGCAATATAGTGAGTGAGACTCCCATCTCTACAAAAAAAGTTTTTTAATATATAACAAATATAAATATGTCTGGTGCAGTGGCTCATGCTTGTAATCCTAGCACTTTGGGAGGCCAAGGCAGAAGAATTGCTTGAACTCATGAGTTCGAGACCAGACTGAGCAACATGAAAAAAAACCCATTTCTACAAAAAATAGAAAAATTGACTGCGCTTGGTGCAGTGTGCATGTAGTCCCAGCTACTTGGGAGGCTGAGGTGGGAGGATCACCTGAGCCCAGAGGTTGAGGCTGCAGTGAGCTGTGATTGTGCCACTGCACTCCCAGTGACAGAGTGAGACTCTATCGCTTCTTGGCCTTTTGGCTAAGATCAAGTGTAGTATCTGTTCTTATCAGAGTGAGACCTTGTCTCACAACCAATAAATAAATAAAGTCAAATATATGGCTGCAAAGACTTCAAAACTAAAAGCCATTGCTACACACTCTAATTATAAAAATTTTCATCTAATGCTCAAGGGCTTGGAAAAGATCCTAATGGTTATTTTATCTCCATTAAAGGCAATTGGATGTGCTTGTGCCCAAGTGGAGACATTTATATTTCATGCCTTTTTAAAAAATTACTATAATTTAGATGTAGTCAATAGGTACTTGGTGAGACTTTAATGCAGTAATAAACACCGAATAGATAAACTTCTCCATCTGTACTTCCTTAATAAGAGGAATAGAGTTCAATGTGCAGATATCTATAATACAACAATTTTCCAAGGTCATTGTCTATTCTAACATTCTTTTGACGATGACTAAGACTTTTTACTCATGTAGACATACAGTTCTCTCACTTGATAATATTAATTTAATCAGTCTGAGCAATTTCAATTATATAAAGTAGGAAAGATAGAAAATGAAGACCAAAGCCCCGTTTTTAAAACACAAAGAATAATAAAGAATCAGATTGGTGGAATGATGACTCAATTATTATGTAACAGGCTGTACTAAAACATTCAAAAACAGTGACTGACAATGGGTCCATTTTCATCCAAGGTTCCACAAATCACTTCTTATATTGCTTTCAAATCAATTTGAATAAAAGTAACTGCCTTTCTTAACCAAAACAAGAAAAAAATACAAAACCATCACAGAAGTGTAGGCATTATACAAAACTACTGAAAGTTAGGAGACCTGTCAGGGCCAAGGGAAAATTTCCCCTTTACTCTCTGGAGGTTCTCTGAAAAAATCATGGACAAGAGCCAGATTAATAGAAAAGGCATATAAATTTATTATTAACATGTGCACAGTAGCCTTCAGAACGAAGACCCAAAGATACAGGGGACAGTGTCCATTTTTATGCTTACATTCAACAAAGTATGGAACAATGTGTAGAAATATGATTGGACAAAAGAGCATGCTACCAGACTGAGCGGAAACTCAGCAAGGGCTGTCTGTCTAGATTCTTCTTGGCTTCTCTGAGCAGCATTCCTACTTTTCCTTCCTTCTGGGTACGGGGCAGAACCCTCTCTGGAATGGGGGTCTTGTGACCTACATTCAAACGAAGTAGGTCAGATAATTTCTTTTCTTTCTTTTTTTTTTTTTTGAGGTGGAGTTTCGTTCTTGTTGCCCAGGCTGGAGTGCAATGGCACAATCTTGGCTCACTGCAAACTCCGCCTCCCCGGTTCAAGCGATTCTCTTGCCTCAGCCTCCCAAGTAGCTGGGATTACAGGCACCCACCATGCCTGGCTAATGTTTTGTATTTTTAGTAGAGACGGGGTTTCGCCATATTGGCCAGGCTGGTCTCGAACTCCTGACCTCAGGTGATCCACCCACCTCAGCCTCCCAAAGTGCTGGGATTATAGGCACCAGCCACCGCACCTGGCCAGATAATTTCTTTATGGCTAGGTTTTACACAGACAGGCAAAGGGAAAGTTAAGAGTGAAAAGGTGTTCTGGTTTCTATGACTTGCCTTGGGAAAGAGGGATTCTAGTTTCTAGCACTAGCTTTGGGGGATAATGGGACTGAGAGACAGGAGGGCAGAAGGTCAGATAAAACTTTTTGCTTCTGAAGCTACTTCTGAGGCCTTCATTTTGGAGTAGTGTTCTCTGAGTCCCAACAGAATAAAGAAAAAGTATGGAGAGCACAACTCAAAGTAATTTACATAAAAGAGGAACTAAGGAAAATGTTTCTATTTTTAAAATATATATATATACTTTTTTTTTTTTAAGAGATAGGGCCTGGGTCTGTGTTGTCCAGGCTGGAGTACAATGGCTCAATCATAGCTCACTTCAGCCTCAAACTCTTGAGCTCAAGTGATCCTCCTACCTCAGCCTCCCAAGTAGCTAGGACTACAGGTGAGTCACCACACCTAGCTAGCTAATTTTTTTTTTTTTTTGTAAGAGACAGGATCTTACTATGTTACCCAGGCTAGACTCAAACTCCTAGGCTCAAGTGATCCTCCCACTTCGGCCTCCTGAAATGTTTGGATTACAGGTGTGAGCCACCATGCCTGGCCATGGCAAATATTTATCTGCCCAAATAAATGTAAATACAGTGGAACACTTAAACCAAGGATCCTTGGTTTTGTAGTGAAGACAGGACCCAGCTACCACTGCCCCCCCCCCATATTCTGCACCTTGAGCCTTCCTCATTATGAACACATTTTCTACAAAGCTAAATATAGATCGGAAGGGCTTATAAAACATTGTTGAAGATACTGCTGCATCATTTGAAAATGAGTTCTTTAAAAACAATGGTATCTTCACAAATGGTTTATTTGTATCTTTAACACACATGCACACACGCATGGGAAAAAAGAACTCAAAAACAAGGAAACTCTGGAAACAAATGGGCACAATAAATACATTTATTTTAAAATTTTGATGAGTGCTTAAATTCACTAAATGGTATTTTAGCCCATAGAAAAATTTCTCATTTAGAGGAGAGCAAACAAAAATGAGCCATACAGATCCACATTACTCCTTAATTAAGATGGGAAATTGCTTATCTCCATATTAACAAAGATTAAATACCTAACTAGAAAAAAATATTTGGCTGGGCATGGTGGCTCAGGCCTATAATCCCAGCACTTTGGGAGGCCGAGGCGGGCGGATCACCTGAGGTCAAGGGTTCAAGACCAGCCTGGCCAACATGGAGAAACCCCGTCTCTACAAAACTAGCTGGGCATGGTGGCGCATGCCTGTAATCCCAGCTACTCGGGAGGCTGAGGCAGGAGAATCGTTTGAACCTGGGAGGTAGAGGTTGCGGTGAACTGAGATCGTGCCATTGCACTCCAACCTGGGCAACAAGAGTGAAACTCCATTTCCAAAACAACAACAAAAAAAAAAAAAAAAGAAAAAGAAAAAATATTTATTGTGATCAAAACAGATTTATCAAGAACAGGAACTTGGTGGATAATATGAGAAACATTTTAGTCTATTACTATAAATTGCACAAAATGCCCATGTTAATTGCCTGCTTATAAAGGGCATTCCTTTGACTATTTTGGAAGGTAAAGGCAATTTGAAGGGAACTTCTTCTGGATAAATAATGTTCCATAAAAGTCACACATAAAACCAAGCAATCATGTGCCTTTGGATTTCATAACAAAGACAGGAACAAACCATGACAGCCCCCTCTCCTTTTGTTGAGGGCTCCTCATTATAATCCATGGGAGTGGTTGGGAGAAATCATCCTAGATCATTCTGCATGATGGTTGGTGAGGTTTCACACATTATTGGCTGTCTTGAAGGGTTGCTCCACTAAAACTCATTCCATGTAGTAAAGTCTCATCATTTTTAAAGTCTCAGACTTCATATCCCCAATTCTGTTAAATTCTCAATAACTCAAAGCAGGTAACAAGATCTTTGAAACAATAGGACAGAAGCTCTCAAAATTTTAATTTGATTATGGAGGGTTCAGAATATATTACCCCAAAATATGGCACACTGGCATACTGAATATTTTAAGCTGAGGGATTTGATAAATGGCAGGTGCTGGAAGGACTCTCTGAGCTTCCTTTGAAACAGCTTACAAGACCCTCATGTGAGAGGTGTCCTCCCTATATCTGCAGAAAAGGAGCATCCTTATCTCCAAAGACGGAAGACTGCTGAGAGGAACCCGAATGAATGTGCCTTGCCCCAGTTTACCACTCTTAGCTCATACCCCTTTTTGTCCTATCACATTTACCCACGATTTTCCACTCTTCATCGAGCTCGAGTTTCACCATTTATTTGGGTCTCCATTTCCTTATGAAGGCTCCCACAACATGTAAATTTTGTATTAAATCAATTTGCATACTTTTATTAGTCTATCTTTATTCAGTCTAATTTACTGGGGCCTCAGCCAATGAATTTAAGATGGATAGAAGGAACATAATTTTTTCCTCCCCTACAATTGTGAACAAGTAAATAGAATTCATTTATTCGGCCAATGTTTATGGAGTGCCCACTATATACCAAGCATTGATTGAGGTCCTGGGAATTCAGTGGTAGGAAAAACAATCTTCCTGCCCTCATAGCACTTACATCCATTCCTGTGGGTGTAGATACACAAATAAATAGTCAAGTATTTTTAGAGAGTAATTAGTGTTACTAAGTGAATAAATAAGTGGGGTAGGATGGCGACTGTTGGGTGTATTGATGGTAGGGTTGTCCTGCAGCCCCTGTCTCTCTCCCATCCCACCTTGTCTCTGCTTCATCCTACTCTGCAGATACACATTCTCTACTTCTCTGTGTACTCATCTGGTGAAGACATCTACTCCACAGCTCTCAGCCCACATCTTCCTGGTTAAAGAAGCCAGACCGGACTGAAAAAGAATACAGATATGAATTTCCCTCGTCTAGTCAACTATAGCCAAGATAGAAACATTTTAGAAAACAAAAGACAGAGTTTACTTACAAAGAAAGAGGGAGTTAGACTTTGGAAAAACAGACTTTTCAAATTAGAAAACAAAAACATATATTGTATATGTATATATTATATATATGTGTGTATATATAAATATATATAATATATATAGATATATATTATATATTGATATATATATTATATATAGATATGTTATATATTATATATATAATATATGTTATATATTATATATATAGATATATATATTATATATATCTATATATAGATATATATATTATATATATCTATATATAGATATATATTTTTTTGACAACGTCTCACACTGTTTTCCAGGCTGGAGTGCAGTGACATGACCATGGCTCACTGTAACCTCAAAATCCTGGGCTCAAGCAATCCTCTTGCTTCAGCCTCCTAAGTAGCTGAGACTACAGGCATGCCCCACCACACCCGGCTAATTTTTGTACTGTTAGTAGAGACAGGGTTTTGCCATGTTGGCCAGGCTGGTCTTGAACTCCTGACCTCAAGTGATCAACCTGCCTTGGCCTCCCAAAGTGCTGGGATTACAGGCATGAGTCACCATGACCGGCCCCAAACAAACATTTAAAGGAAAAAAAACCCCTCAAAGTTACCAAGATTATAATAGTTACATTGGCCAGCTTGTGGTGGGGAAACAGCACCATTCCCACATGATTAGCATTGTCACAAAGGTTATGATGTGTCTTCAGACATTCCTTAGCAAAAATCAGAGGTAAAATTATTTTGGTTAGGGAGTTTAGTTTTACAAGAAATAAGTCAAGGTTTTCTTATTTTAGAGATCAGAACTAGTCGGGGTGGTTTTGGTTTATCTCAGGGTGCAAAGCTTTGTTTGTCCTGAATTTGATTTGTAAAGTGCTCAATCATGTTGGAAACAGGGTGAAGTATCAGCTTTTGCTTCTACAAGTTATAAGGTACAAGCACAGCAGCCAGGGCCCATCCCCATGAAAGGAAACAGTTAAGGAGGTCCCTCTGCACCAGACAGGCTTCCAGAAGAAAGTGCTTGCCACTGGCTGGACATGCTAAGCCTGGTTAAGCCTAACGACATAGCCATAGACTTCTATACTGCAGATTCCTGAGTCTCCGTGTTTGACCACTGCTTTTCATAAAGCATTTTCATGCCTGTTCATACAGCCAATCCCCTCATAGCCTGTGAGAATAGTTAACACTTATGAAGCACTTCCTCTATGTGCCAAACAGTTAATGAACCTTTGTTAAGCACCAGGCACTATTCTAACAATGTTGCATGTCAACTGTTAATCCACTTAATTCTCATACTATTCCTGTGAAGGTAAGGTATGATGATTGTCCCTGTGTTATGGATAATAAAATTGAAGTAATTTGCCCAAAGTCACACAGTTTGAAAGTGGTGGAGTTGGAATTTGATCCAAGGTATTCCAGCTCCACAGTCCATACTTTTAACCATTGTCCTAAGTGGCCTCTCCAGAAATGAGTGTTATTCTAATTTTACAGACGAAGGAATAAGCGGTTTGCAGAAATTATGTAACTTGCTCAAAGTCACTATTAGAATTATAATGCAGCCGGGCACGCTGGCTCACGCCTGTAATCCCAGCACTTTGGGAGGCCAAGGTGGGCGGATCACAAGGTCAGGAGCTCGAGACCAGCCTGACCAACATGGTGAAATCCCATCTCTACTAAAAATACAAAAAAAATTAGCTGGGCATGGTGGCGCGCACCTGTAATCCCAGCTACTCTGGAGGCTGAGGCAGGAGAATCGCTGGAACCCAGCAGGAGGTTGCAGTGAGCCTAGATCACGCCATTGCACTTCAGCCTGGGCGACAGAGCAAGACTCCATCTTAAAAAAAAAAAAAAAGAATTATAATGCTGAGATTTTATATTAGGTCTTTTGACTTCCCACCAGGTTTCCTTCAATAATGACAGGAGCAATAACAAAGTTAACACTTTCATATAGGGCTTACCATGTACTATGCACTTTACTTACATGGGCTCATTTCATCCACAGCTCTGTGGCATTCGTATTATTATTACTGCCAGTTTACATGAAGAAGTTGAGGCACAGAGAGGTTAAATAACTTGCCCAAAGCCACACAGCTGGAAAATGGCAGAGTAAGGATTTGAACTCAGGCAGTCTGTTCTCAGAATCTACACTCTTAATTATGACATCACACAGCCTCTCCATGCTGTACACTTGTGTTTCTCAGGGGGAACCAGTAAGGGAAAAGAGGAAAGGGAAGGACACTAACATTTACTGGTTATGCTTCTGTATCCTCTCATAGATTATATTATTGTTGACATTTTCACTGCCCCTCTATATCAGATGTGTCCTTATGGGATTATGCTTTGCATTGATATTAGTTTGGACATGACTTGCTTTGGCCAATGACATGTGAATGGAAATGTTGCCACTTCAAAGCAGAAGTTATAAATGCCACTGTGAGATTCTGCCATCTCTCGTTTGCCTCTGTCACAAGACCTGCCTTTCCCAGAGAGAAGTTGCTGCTTTTTTTTGAGACAGGGTTTCACTCTGTTGCCCAGGCTGGAATGTAACGGCACGATCTCTGCTCATTGCAATCTCTGCCTCCTGGTCCCAAGCGATCCTCCCACCTTAGCCTCCTGAGTAGCTGGGACTATCGGCATGTGCCACCACTCCTGGCTAATTTTTGTATTTTTTTTTTGTAGAGATGGGGGTTTTGCCATGTTGGCCAGGCTGGTCTCCAATTCCTGGGCTCAAGCGATACACCTGCCTCACCTTCCCAAAGTGCTGGGATTACAGGCACGAGGCACTATACCCAGCCAGAAGCTGCTTCTTCAGTGTTGGTCTTGAAATGAAGATTTGGAGCAGAGCCACAGCTGGCATGCCAAAGATATGAATGTGTACAAGAAGTACCTTTGGGTAAGCCACTGAAATTTAAGACTTGTTTGTTTCTACAGCATAACTCAGCCTAAGCAGACTTTTATGTGTGTATTAAAAGTTTAAGGCTGGGCGTGGTGGCTCATGCCTGTAATCCCAGCCCTTCGGGAGGCTGAGGCAGGTGGATCACTTGAGGTCAGGAGTTCGAGACCAACCTGGCCAACATGGTGAAACCCACTCTTAGGCCAGACGTGGTGGCTCACGCCTGTAATCCCAGCACTTTGGGAGGCTGAGGCGGGCAGATCACGAGGTCAGGAGATCGAAACCATCCTGGTTAACATGGTGAAACCCCATCTCTACTAAAAATACAAAAAATTAGCCAGGCGTGGTGGCCGGCGCCTGTAGTCCCAGCTACTCGGGAGGCTGAAGCAGGAGAATGGCGTGAACCTGGGAGGCGGAGCTTGCAGTGAGCCGAGATCGTGCCACTGCACTCCAGCCTGGGCAACAGAGCTTCTGTCTCAAAAAAGAAAAAAGAAATTCAATAATTTTAATCTTCACAATAACCCTATTAGGTAGGTATAATTAGCTCCAGGAAGAAACTAAGATTCTTAGAGGTTTTGTAATTCGCTCAGAAATTTAAAAGTGTAGGAGCAAGGGTTTAGGTTTCCTTCTTCCTAACATAACCCTTGTTTTGTTTATGTATCTATCACCCACCCCGAGAAGTGTGCTTTAAGAGGTGCTGCCCACTCACCTACTACACACCAGGAACGTGAGTGACTAACTGCAATTAGTCAAGGCAATCATGGTGGTTTCATTCCCTTTGACAGTAATAGGTTTGCCAGTAAATGGGTCTGTGAGCCAATTATGACCATAAAACAGGAAGATGCAAATTGAGGATCTGAATGCCAATCCTGCTTCAAATACAATTCTGTCCCTATCAGCACCAGTCACAGGTTTTGGTTGCCAGTAAAACTCATATGATATAACAGACTTCATTCTAATACTTCATTTGTTAACTTTATAGAGTGATACAATACAGGAATACGGAGTGCATAGTATCTTCATGTCGTCTGGAGGCTCAGAGACTACTATGTATACATTTTCTTGGCCTCCATCACCTTTCTAGGGTGTGTATAGCTCCTGAGGAAGATTGAAGTGCCCGGCTTCACTTGGTAGGTCTCTCATCAGTTGTCTGTCTGGGTGCCAACTCATAGCTCTCCCAGTTCACGTGGAGATCCACAGATAGGGGATTTCACAGCAAACAAGGCAGGTAGTCAGTTCCTAGCACAAAGCATTCCTCAACTAGCTTAACTTGGTAGTTGCCAAGGGAACAGTGCTGTGAGAAGGCAGACCCAAGGTCACCTTCCCAGGTAGACCTAAACATGTTCAGAGATGTTAACCCTTACTGATAGGCAGTCGGCTGGAAGCTTCAAGAAAAGATTTCCAGGCCCTCAAAAAGAGACACAGACAATAAAGTCTCACTCCTCTGGACATTTTTGTGTCTGAAGTTGATGCTTGGAACTACATTTTCCTGGCCCATTCAGTTTCCCACACTCCACTCTAAGACATCTATCTTTATAATATCTCCACTTTCATCAAATTTCTTCCCCAGTTCTTACTTTCAATGGGTATCTTGCTTCCTGTTTAAATTAGAAAATGGAAGCAATGAGATAAAATTTTGACACATTCCCACCACCACAGACCCATCAATTTCCTTTTTAATCCATATTCTCCACCTTCTCTCCTGTTACTACAGATATATTGTTTATAAACCAATCCAAGGTTTCCCTTGCCACTGTGCTTTAGACCTTATCCCCAAGGACGACTCTAGCACTGTAAACACCTCCTCTTTTCTAGCCAAACATTTCCATCAGTGTATTTCCTTTAGTATTTCCTATTTTAAAATATGTCTCCCTGTTGACCCCACATCCTACTCCAATTATTGGCTCATTTCTCAACTCTCTATGACAGCAAGATATCTCACGGGAGTTTTCTATGCTCATTTCCAAATATTCTAGTCTCACTTATTCTGAATTAGGTTCTCTGTTACTTATAACCCAAGTTACCTTAAATATTAAAATCTTTTAACTCAAAACTTTTTTCCTTTGAATACTGATTGTTACTATGACTCAAGATTATTAAATTGGGAGAAAGAGTGCTTTGATATGAGAAATTTGTCACTGAAATGGCAGCATATTGTTAACACCCTTCAAAAATGACCAAACAGAATAAAGATATGCTCATACCGCAACTTGAACAAGGAAGATACTGCTTTGAATTCAATATCTACATAATTTTTGTCATAATGTATTCATTTACTTGCCTTAGTATGAAAGTTTTGAGAGATTATGATTTAAGACAAATTAATGTCTTACTTTTGCAATGTACTTTGCAAAAGTACTTTGTGTACTTTTTCAACACTAGATGCTTTGTATTTATTAACAAGAAAAATACCAATTATATAAGATTAGAAAATTTTAAAGTTATTTAGATATATTAAATGAGGTTCAGAATCCTATTATCTTTATTATATGTTTATTCTGTATCTTTATTAGATATCTAATAGCACTTCTAAACCATAAGCAATCTCAATTATATAATGTGTTATAACTGATCTTAAATAAAAAAATAAACCTGAAATTTTATGAGTTTTCCACTGCATGAGCATATTGAATTGTGGCAATAACATGGTGAGGTCCGCAGGGTAAAACAATTCCTCCACCAGTTTTTTTCTTTAGAGATGGAGAATATGAAGTGTTTATGATAAAAATCAGAATATAAAAAAGAGCCTGAAAGGCTGCAGCAATGTAGGGAACTTTACAAGTTGAAATTTAAACTGGAGCGTCCTTGGGAGTCAAAAAGAACAGCTGCTCAAATACAAAACTGCTTAACAACAGCACTTGTGGAAAATAAGCAGGCAACAAGTCTGCAATGCTACAGTGTCTCCTAAAAAGCTACTAAAATGTTGGACTACATTGAGAACATGATTTTTTATTTATTTTTTTTTTTTTGAGATAGAGTTTTGCTCTTGTCACCCAGGCTGGAGTGCAATGGCGCCATCGTGGCTCACTGCAACCTCCACTTCCTGAGTTCAAGTGATTCTCCTGCCTCAGCCTCCTGAGTAGCTGGGATTACAGGTGCACGCCACCACACCCAGCTAATTTTTAGATTTTTAGTAGAGGCGGGGTTTCCATGTTGGCCAGGCTGGTCTCAAACTCCTGACCTCAGGTGATCCACTCGCCTCGGCCTCCCAAAATGCTGGGATTACAGGCATGAGCCACTGCACCCGGCCTGAGAACATGATTTTAACAGCCAACATTTACTGAGCACCTTACCAGCCTTGCTTCACATGGAGTAAGTGGCTTTCAGACAAGGAAAGTATTCAAAACATGGAGGTGATTGTCTTTTCTGCTCAATCTGGGTACAGTGTACACAGACAGAGTTTATTCAAGGAACCACCAAGGAACACTTGAAAAAGCAGGGAAGATTGCCTAGAGAGCAGGCACGGGGGTACCTACTTGCTGCTTAAGACTGCAGGATCATAACGAAGCAAACTACAATCAACAACAGGAAAGCAGATTTCATCCCAACACATAAGGTAGAAATTTGTAGTGGTAAAAACTATCAAAATTGTGAAAGAGACATTAAAAAGAAAGGGGGCAGGGTGCAATGGCTCACTGCCTTCCAACACTTTGGGAGGCTGAGGCAGGTGGATTGCTTGAGCCCAGGAGTTTGAGACCAGCGTGGGCAACATATGAGACCCCCGTCTCTAAAAATAAAAAATAAAAACAATTTAAAAAAGAAGATAACTAGGTACTATGTACTACCACCTCCTATATATTTGTTATTCATTGCTGCAGAATAAATTATCCCCAAACTAAGTGGCTTAAAACAATACACACTTACCATCTCCCAATGTCTGTGGGTCAGAAATCTGGCATGGCTTTGCTAGGCCCTCTGCTTCAGGGTCTCTCATAAAACTACAATCAAGGTGTCAGCCAGGTCTACAGTCAGCTCATGTTCTGCTGGGGCAGGAACCACTTCCAAGCTCAGTTAGTGGTTGTTGAGCAGGTTGATTTCTTTCTGAGCGGCTGGACTGAGGGCCTCAGTTCCTTGCTGACTGTCGGTGGGAGGCTGCCCCAGTTTCTTGCCAAGTGGCCCTTTCAGTTAGAGCAAGTGCTTAAGAGCCAGGAGAGAATACCAGGCAGATGGAAGAAGATGGACAAATATGAGAACTTTTTAGGCATTCAGACCAAAACTGAGGTAGTTATTAAAGATGAGTCTGAGCTGTCCTGTTTGTGCAATTGGATAAAAGATGGTGCCAAATTACTGAGATATGCATAAGAGAGGACCAGATATGGGGAGGAGAGGAACATGAATTTGATTTTTAACATTTGATACATGTGAGATGTCTGAGATACTAGAGACAACAAGTGGAAATGAAGGTCAGAGAACTGACCTGAACATACAAATTTGTAAGAGACTAATATCTAGATCGTGGTTGACAGCTTTACACTATTACATCTCTCTCTTTATACTGTTACATTTCTCTTTTTTTTTTTTTTTGTTTTTTGCCTTTTGTTTTTAAAGACAGAGTCTTGCTCTGTTGCTCAGGCAGGATGCAGTGGCGTGATCTTGGCTCACTGCAACCTCCATCTCCCGGGTTCAAGCAATTCTTGTATCTCAGCCTCCCCAGTGGCTGGGACTACAGGTGCACGCCACTATACCTGGCTGATTTTTGTATTTTTAGTAGAGATAGGGTTTCACTATGTTGGCCAGGCTGGTCTCAAACTCCTGACCTCAAGTGATCCGCCCGCCTTGGCCTCCCAAAGTGCTGGGATTACAGGTCTGAGCAACCACACCTGGCCATTGTTACATTTCTTATTGACTAATGTGATAGGTACTTTGACCTATTTAGTTGTCCATTTGCAAAGATCTCAGTCTGAAACTAAATAAGGTGGGTGGGGTTTCACACAAACCTTTGCTGTTAAACGTATTATCCCCTTCCAACTGTACCTCCCCAGTTCCCCTTACCCCTATGTTATTTTGAAAACATCTTGAGACTAACAATTAGGTTCAAGAAAATAAAAGTATGTGGCAACTTAATGATCTCTATATTCTGGTAGTCATGCCTTTGTGTGATGCCCTATCCTGACGGTGGGTAGGACCTGACTGGCTTCTAACCAATAAAACATGGCAAAAGTGATGGGCAATCTCTCCCATGATTGTGTTACATCATATGGCAAGGTGATGGATGTCACCCCCGTGATCATGTTACATTATATGAGACTCAGTCTTGCTGCCTTCATGAAGCAAGTGAGCATGTTGAAGAAGCCCATTAGGCAAAGAACTAGGGGTTCTAGGGCCATTAGTAGCTGAAGGCACACTTCAATCAACAGCCAGCAAAAAAACTGAAGCCCTCAGTTTTACAGTTATAAGAAAATGAATTTTGCTAACAACCTCAGTGAGTTTGTGGAGCAGATTCTCTCCCAGTTGGATCTGCAGATGAGTACACAACCTGGCTGATACCTTGATTGTGGCCTGTGACCAAGAGTGACATGACATACCACCTTGTGAAGTGCTGAAGGAAAAAAAGCCTTTTGCTCTAGAACAGTAAATCCAGTGAAAATATCCCTCAGACATGAAAGGAAAATAATTTCCAAGACAAAAGCTGAGGGATTTCATCAACACCAGATATGTCCTACAAGAAATGCTAAAGGGAGTACTTCAGTCAGAAAGAAAAGGATGTTCATGAGCAGTAAGTAACCACCTGAAGGTTAGTACACAGAAAAACACAGAATATTATAACACTGTAATTGTGGTGTATAAACCACTCTTATTCTACATAGGAAGACTAAATGATGAACCTATCAAAAATAGTAACTACAACTTTCCAAGACATAGACAGTACAGTAAGATATAAACAATAGGTTAAAAAGTGGGGGGAGGGCTGGGTGTGGTGGCTCACGCCTATAATCCCAGCACTGGGAGGCTGAGGCAGGCGGATCACCTGAGGTCAGGAGTTTGAGACCAGACTGGCCAACATGGAGAAACCCTGTCTTTACTAAAAATACAAAACTTAGCTGGATGGGGTGGCAGGCACCCATAGTCCCAGCTACTCGGGGAGGCTGAGGCAGGAGAATTGCTTGAACCCAGGAAGTGGAGGTTGCAGTGAGCCGAGAATGCCCCACTGCACTCCAGTCTGGGTGACAGAGCAAGACTCTGTCTCAAAAAAACAAAACAAAAAAAAGGTGGGGGGAAACAAGGTAAAGGTGTAGAATTTTTATTAGATTTATTCTTGCTTGTTTACACTCTAGAATGTAAGTTATATGAGGAAAGGGACTTTGTCTTTTTCACCGTTATATTCCCAATGCCTATAGTTGAATGATTTAATACGTTTTGCTATACCAGTGAAGATTACTAGTTCTGATGAGCATCATGAGACCCTTAACTGGTTGTAACAAAACTATGAAACATAAGGGTTTGCTTTTTCTATCAGCATAATTTCAGACCAGTAACTCAACCCATTAAAATGTGAGCTGTCACTTTACCTCTTTTAGTAACTTTGGGTACTCTTTTCTTTTGGAGGTGCTAGAGGTATAAACTACACTTGAATAAGTTTCAAATCATAAGGACAAATATGGTTTCATGCTTTATGATTATTGCTCCACTACTGTAGCCCTGGGCTGACCCAGAGGAAAGGGCATGTGCAAAAGCAAAGTGAGAAAGGAGAAAGCAGAATTTATGTCATCTGTCATGTCTGTTTGGAATGCTGTAACAAAATACCATAGATCAGGTGGTTTATAAACAACAGAAATTTACTTAGCCCAATTCTGGAGGTTGGGAAGTCCAAGATCAAGGCATTGGCAGTTGTGCTGTCTGGTCAAGGCCCACTTCCTCATAGACACATCTTCTCACTCTACTCGCACATGGCGGAAGGGCAAGGTGTCTCTTCAGGGCCTCTTTCATAAGGGCACTAATCCCATTATTGAGACCACTGTCCCCAAGACTGTATTGTCTTCCAAGGGCTCCAATTCCCAATACCAACACCTTAGGGGTAAGAATCTTATCTACTGTACTAAGGACTCCAAACTGTAGGCACCTGCCATAGCTCACTGTGGTGAAGATGGAGAATGGTGGGAGTGTGGGGTCGGAGAGGTAACAACCGGACTGGAGACAGAGACCAGTTTAGGATGCTCACCAGCAAAAAATTACAGCTGGGGTTGGGAAGATGTCCCTTTGGCTCTGGGCTGAACTGTGCAGCTATGAGGCCTCCTGTCTTCTCTACTACAAGCCATCCTGAGTGACTGAGTTCAGCACAGCAGCACTGATTCTGCTGATGTTTCTTAATGAAGATCTTTGGTGTTCTGTATTTACAAATTCTCACTCCTGATCCATTTTTCTTTAACCGTACGTTAGCCTGAAAGGTAGTCATTAACTCATGGTTCATTATGTGGTTGTCAACTTTAGGAAGACCTCACCTATCTGAGCTGGTCTGGTGACAGTAATATAGTTCTTTCTCTGATGGCAAGTGCCACCTTAGGATGGCAGTAGTGGTGGAACATGGGCACAGTGCAGCATTCACGAGTGCTCTGTAACACACAGCTGTCTCCTTCATCAAGACAGTGACCTTCCTTCTCTTTCAAAAGTTGTGTCCTATTCCTGACCCCAGAAGGCAGATAAATACGTTATTTTCTAGCCCAGGCTATCTTGTCTTTAAGTAAACCCACTTCTTCAACAGGAAATCATTGCCAAGAACTCCAGTGCTGAATTTAAAAACGTCCAAACCCTTTTCCAACCTCTTCTACTTCTGTACTTCTAACCCCCTCCAATCTTAGGGAATCATAATCATTGGTTTTAAAGAAGATTGTTTTTAACATTCAGTTATAGTTGTGTACCCCTAATAAGAAAAGTCGCCTCATCATTTTCACTTGCCTCATCTTTTATTAAGAATAAAATACTTTTAAGATGTAAACAAAGGGAACCATGACCAAGGATTAAGTCAACGTATCTATTTTTATTATGAAACATTAAATTTTGACACATTGCCTCATTTGCTTTTTTAAAATCTATTATCTGACTTAAACCTATTCAGCAAAAATGCCAATAAATTATATTAATCATACTTTGGGTCTTTTTAAAACTAGGAACATAATATGTTTTATGATAAACAATACTACTAAATCTGAGTTGTATGAACTGTTAACTTGAAATTTGTTTTAGATGTTTAGCTTAAAACAAAAAGAAAACCAATCACATTAATACACTGTTGCAAAAGTTTCTCCGGAATGCCCTCCACATCACTGTGTGTCAGCATCCTTCGGCTTCTTCACTGAGGTATGGAATGCAGCCATATGTAGGTGTCAAGGCACTCATTCTAAGCTGTCCTATCCTGCACATCTTAGCAATCACATTAGATGGAGGGCTGATGATATGCACTAACTCCCAACCCAGGCTATCTTGCTTTTAAATAAACTAATTTCTTTAAAAGAAAATCATCAACTAAGGACTCAAATGCTGAATTTAGAAATAATAATTCCAATTCAATACACATTCAATCAAATGTGTTAGTACTTAAAAGTCACAAATTTTGCAAAGTAAACAACGAATGAACTAAGGCAAATAGCATTGTCACCACATGCCTTAAAATGGTATATTTTTGGTGTTTGAAGCTCTTTGCAAATTACATTTTGGGACAGTTCAGATGGATTTAAATAAAAGATGTGTGTTCTACATAAATTCAGTTTTAAGGTTTTCAACATGGGTGGCAACATTACAAAAATATATCAATAGTCTTAATAGTGAATGTTTTCCACCTGGTTTCTAAATCTTTATTTTCCATGGAGGTAAACCAAAGTTTAGAGTCCATCTTCAGAGTTATGATATAATCTCTATTGTTCCTAGAGATTTGAAAACTAGATATGATCTAGATCCTTGCCAGGATCTTCACTTTCATCATCCTCATCCTCTTGGTCTCCAGATTCAAGTTCATCCTCTTCTTCAACCTAGAGGAAAAAGACGTATTTAATATTGTGAAAATCTGTTCATGTCACATTCAACATTTAACAATATATACTACTGATAATTTTTTTTTTTTCTGAGATGGAGTTTTGCTCGTTACCCAGGCTGGAGTGCAATGGTGCGATCTCGGCTCACTGCAACCTCTGCCTGCCAGGTTCAAGCGATTATCCTGTCTCAGCCTCCCGAGTAGCTGGGATTACAGGTGCCTGCCACCAAGCGCCCTGCTAATTTTTGTATTTTTAGTAGAGATGGGGTTTCACCATGTTGGCCAGGCTGGTCTCGAACCCCTGACCTCAGGTAATCTGCCCACCTCAGCCCCCCAAAGTGCTAGGATTACAGGTGTGAGCACTGTGCCCAGACAAATTTTGTATTCTAGTAACTACAGTAGAATATAAGCCATCTGATTTCTTTGATTTGATGCCAAGGCTCTCTGTCATTTCTAATATGAATGAGATATATCAGTTAACTTTGCTGATAAATGGCTACACCTCTTTACACACAAATCTGAAACAAACATGGCAAAAGATAATGACATGCTTGGGTGACTACAGTCTTGTTACCAATCAAATCAATTCACTTTCTAGGCTTACGGTCCAAAAGAAAATAGTCTGTAAGTACTGAAAACTGAACCTAATCTGTGTATTAAGTAAATTCAATGAAAACAGTGAAAACAGTATAGATGGTACCATATTCATGAACCCACATATCCATTCCTATAATACAGGCACAACTTTTCCATGTTACATTAAAAATCTTTTAAATGCATTATACTAAAACATAATACAAATCATTTTTGGAGACATTTTAATCTTACTGGATGACCAAGATCCTTGAGTTTATTCTTCAATGACAGTATTTTCTGATCTTGATCGGCCAAGAGCACCAAGAGATCATCTTGTTCTTTTTTAGAATCTGTAATTTCCAACTCTAGTTTGTCTTTCTCAGTTTGTAAAATGGCAATGGTACTATTAGATGAATCCAGCTGCTCTTTAATGGCAGTTCTTTCCTCAGACAGAGCTTTAATTTCATTCTAGGAAAAGAAAGGTGAAAGGCAGGAATCTAAAATTAGCACTCACTTTCCTAGAGTTTTTAACAAATAGTTTCTTTCTATGACAAATCACTGTACTTGTTCAACCTAAGGAATTTAGGGGTGGAGGTTAAGGGTACAGGAGGTTTAACACACACACTAACATGAATTTATTAGACTGTTCATCAAAAATGGTTATTGCCAAAAAATAGTTTAACATCCAAAAAATAGTTTTAGTTAGCTATCCCTGAAAAAACCTTTAAGAGACTTAAAAAAAACAGTACCATTTCAGATAATCAAAGGAGTAAACAGAAACACAAAGCATTTTACAGAAGAAGTCTGATTAGTACCAGAATTTTAGAACTCAAAGCTCAAGTTAAAAAAAAATTTTTTATCCCAACTTCAAGCATACAATTAAATGAAAATAGCTTCAAATAAAAATCTATGGTTTAAAAATAAAATAATTTGGCCACAATCCAAAAAGCACAATTATACATTATTTTCCTTATTTTCCTTAATGTGACCTCATTCCTTTCTTCATGCTATTTATTCTGATGTCTCTGTCACACAATAATATGCTGACAGGATTTAATGTGCCTATGTTCCACGGCTTATGGAAAGCCTACATGTGGCTTGTGTATTAGCTAAATTTGTACTCCTTGTTTTGTTATTGTGATTAGATGTTGATCTTAAAAAGAAAACACAGGCCGGGTGTGGTGGCTCACGCCTGTAATCCCAGCACTTTGGGGGGGGCCAATGCGGGCAGATCACCTGAGGTCAGGAGTTTGAGACCAGCCTGGCCAACATGGCGAATCCTCGTCTCTACTAAAAGTACAAAAATTAGCTGAGCATGTTGGCAGGTGCCTGAAATCCCAGCTACTCAGGAGGCTGAGGCAGGAGAATCGCTTGAATCTGGGAGGTGGAGGCTGCAGTGAGCTGAGATCATGCCACTGCACTCCATCCAGCCTGGAACACAAAATTGAGACTCTCTCTCAAAAAAAAAAAGAAAAAGAAAGAAAGAAAACAAAAATATTTTCAATAAATTTTACTTTTATAGTACATGCATATGTATGCTTATCTTACATATTATCATTATTTGAAATAGTATTTTAAAAGCTTCATTTGTGGCTGGGTGCGGCAGCTCACACCTGTAATTCCAGCATTCCAGCACTTTGGGAGGCCAAGGCAGGTGGATCACGAGGTCAAGAGATGGAGACCATCCTGGCCAACGTGGTGAAACCCTGTCTGTACTAAAAATACAAAAATTAGCTGGGTGTGGTGGTGCACGCCTGTAGTCCCAGCTACTCAGTAGGTTGAGGCGGGAGAATTGCTTGAACCTGGGAGGCAGAGGTTGTGGTGAGCCGAGATCGCGCCACTGTACTCCAGTCTGGTGACAGAGCGAAACTCCATCTCAAAAAAACAAAACAAAACAAAAAAACCCAAAACAAAAAAAATTTTCATTTGTGCCATCTTAAATCATCAATATAGGAGTGAAAATGTTGTGAGATAAAATTACACATCATTAGCTTTCTTCATAAATCTAAGAATTTGAAAGATATATAAAATTTCCTAGAGTTCATTTCATATCATATGCAGTAAATAAAAGTTGCACCAAAAACAAACCTTTAACTCTTTGGTCTCTTGTAATAATGCTGACAGTCTTCCTTCTACATCAGTAGTTTTGGTGGCTATTATAGTCTCGGTCTCTCCTTGTACCTCAACTGATTTTGCCTGAAATTAGAAATTGGAAAAAAAGATGTCTCTTAAACATTACAATCAATATGAACTCCCAAAGGGTTATTTAATTTTTTTGCCATTTTGATATTTTACTTTCACTAACAGAAAATATAATTCCTTATGTATTTATGTGCAACAAAGTGCTCTCCACTGTCAGATGAGCTGTTCCCACATGGAAGAGCATCAAATCTCATAAGAGTACGAGGAAGGCTGGGCTAAGGTGCCTCAAGGTAGGTAAGCCCAGAAAAGTAATCAGCAAGGCAGCTCTAATGTAACTGTAACCCAGCATTTAATAAACACAGAATATTTTTCAAAGCCTTTCCTTCATAAATTTCCTATAAGTCCATACTACCACCCTAGATAGGTAGATAAATTGAGCCAAATATCATTATTAGTGAAATGCAAATCTTTTCTCAAGTGCTAGAGGAGACACTCCTGAATAACAGTTTTTCAGTCTTTCCTTGTCTTTTTTCTAAAATACTAGGAAGTCGGGTAGTGACACAACAAATATCTAAAAATGTGGAAGTAGCTTTGGAACTGTGTAATGAGTAGAGGCTGTAAGAGAGGTGCATGGTAGACAAAGCCTGCATTACCTTGATGAGACTGTTGCTAGAGATATGGACATTAAGTGATTCTGGTGAGAGCTCAGAAAGAAAAGAGCGGAGTTGGAAAGAAGCTTCATGGTCATAGTGAGAAGAAGAATGCTGGCAGAAATATGAATGTTAAAGGTGCTTTTGGTGAGGTCTCAGATGAAAACTAGGAACATGTTACTGGGAATCGGAGGAAAGGCAATCCTTGTTATAAAGTGGCAAATAACTTGGCCAAATAGTGTTGCAGTGTTTTGTGGACAGCAGAACTTGTAAATAATGAATTTGGATATTTTACTGAGGTTTCTAAGCAAAGTGTTGGAGTGCAGCCTGGTTTCTCCTTGTTGCTTAAAGTTAAATGTGAGAGAAGAGAGATAAATTGAAGAAGAAATTGCTAAGCAAAAAAGAATCAGAATTAGAAGATTTGGAAAATTCTCAGTCTACCTATATTGCAAAAGTATGAGAAGGAATGTTCTGGAGAAAACAACAACGGTTTCTGAATATTTTATGACAGCAGAAAAACTGCCAGCTTGGACTGAAGGGACAGAAATAGAATGTAATACCAGCAAAATAAACTATTAAGTAACTGAATAAACTAATCTGGTGAGACTGACTATAAAACGACTGTCACCATGAACATGAAGCCTATGTTACTAGAATACCGGCTAGTAAGTAATCTAAAGAGAAGGTGCTATCTGATGAATTTGTTTCTTTTTAATTGTGGCTAAGAAATAATACATCAACCTTGTCTTTATTACCTTCCAGAGAAAAAAGAGAAAATACTTACAAACGCTTCTGTTTTCTGTAACAGTTCCTGCTTTTCTGTCTGTAGTTTGGTGATCTCCACAGATTGTGAGTTTAACTGAGACTTTAAAGTTGCCAGTTCCTAAGAGACAAAAATAGTTGAGTCATAACATTAAATGGTATTAAATTCATCAAGGAAATATTTACAGGGAGACATTTAAAAAAATGATTTACAACCTCCTACTTTTAAAATCTAACTCTAAAGAACTATTCTTGAATTTTGGGTTCAAGATGGAAAATTCAACACATTCATTTACCTCTGCTCCCTCCTGAAATCCCATGCAAAAAAAAAAAATCATAAAAGACAGGAAGGGAGGGGAGAAGGAAGAAAGAAAGGAAGGATGGGAGGGAGAGAGGAAGAAACCTACAAAAACAAGAACAGTAAGAGAAGAGAGCAATATAATTGGGGAATTTTGAGAAAGCAAGTAACAGTGATAACTAAATCAGCACACCTGAGAAAGCTGAAAGCTAGGATGACCACTGAGAAAGTTAAGATAGTACCTGACTTACAATGAATGCATTAACTACCAGAAAGGTTAGGAACTGGTATCATTAGATACCACTGGAAGTACAGATAAAAATGAGGTTAAAAACTGCAGGCCTGGTTAAAAGACTATTTAAGAAATAGATCATCAGATCCCTGTCTCAATCTTAGGCATCAGGCAACCGTTCCTCCTTTCCTGGATGAAGACTTGAGGTTTATTATGTGGCTGGGCAAAACAGGACATCTTTAGACTAGGGACCACCAAACACAGATGAAAGCAGTAGTACTATAATGAAAACCAGGGTATTAATTGAAAGTTTTTATTAATGTTGAATTTCCAAACTTCTCACCTTCTCCTCCCCCAAAAAAAGTACAGGAAAAGAAAGGCAATTATAACAATGGCTCTCAGCAGGAGTGATTTCTCCCCATATCCCCCCATCCCCGAGGACATTTGGTAATGTCTGGAGACACTGAGTAAGTGGTGGGACAATGGCAAGTAAAAGGCTCTTTTCTTTTGGTTCTCTTTAAAATTTCTATCATGTACATTTGTGGCTTTTCTAATTTATTTTGTTTAGTTATTAAAATGAGTTACAGTTTTCTATATATAGTACTTTACTATATATTATAAAAAACAAAACTGTCACTTAAAAAATACATATATTTTAACAATCTAAAGTTTATAAAAGTAAATAAACTGGAGAAAGTAAAAAAACTAAAAGGCAATTCTCTTTTTATAAAAATATCTAATTAAAGTTTCACTGGGAAAGATAATTAAATGGCTTATTTTTACTTAGAATTTACAAACTAAGGCTATATATTAGTAACTTAATTCCCTTTAATTTTAATACAGTTCTAGTATAGGTACACTTAATAAAACCAAAAGAGCATATTAATCTTCCCACACAAATAAAACATTGTGAACAAATATTGGAGACCTGAAAATCCTCAAATGATAAGTGATTCTTTTTTTAAAAAGAGGTCAGATATTTAGAATCTACTCTGAGGTACATGGACATTATCAAAATAAGACAAAATTTCTCTATGTTCAGTCATTTCTCTTTCAAAGCAGCCATGTCAGTGGACTAGGGCCAGTTGCTTAGTGGAGAGAGAAGGAAGACAGTTAGTCCTAGGTTAGTGAGGATGGTCATTTTTTAGTATTGCTTGGATTAAAAAAAAAAAAGTATGCATTTCTTTTATAATAAGAAAGAAAGGAGGGAAAGAAGAAAAGAGAGAGAAGAAAAGAGAGGAGGAAAGAAAAACAACCCCAGAACCTGTTTAGGGATAATATACTCTAGAGTTTTCTTCCAATTGCTACATTATTTAATTGTAAGTATACAGAGTTCATTTCTCTCTTTTGATTCTTTTCTTGAACAATACATTTAAATTTTTTCATTGGATAAAGGTAAATCTGTATGATCTAGTTTAACAGGAATTTATAAATACTATAAGCAAGTAGAAAAAAGTTTAACTTGCTTTTCTAGATGTTATAAATTACCACAGAAAAAGTTTATTTTGCTTTTTAGCTGGAGTCATTTAATTGAGATATAGGTAAGTTTACCTTTCTTCTCTTTTCCAATTCTAAAATTCTATATTTTCTAGACAAAACAGTTTAAAAACCCCATACATTTAGTCAAGCAATTATCATAGTATATTAAAATTAGGCATAAGATTTTACATTTTCATATTTGCAAGTTATAAATTTAAATTTTTCCTTGTTAGTTCACTGATAATCTATAAATAACATGGGTGAGATGCTGAGATTTTTTAAAAGGAATACCTCTGAAAAATAAAAACACAATAAAAAGCAAAGTACTATTACCATATAAATAGAAACAGCTTCTGGATTTTCAAATGGCTGTCTTAACTTAAATTTTACTTACATCTGCTAATATAGTTCTAGATTTGTGAAACTATAGGGCTGTTATTCTATTATAATTAAAACATGACAAAGTAGAATTGGATCAAAGTGGAAAATTACCTGTTTTAATTCTGCAACTTGTTCAGAATCTCTAGCTGAAACTATTGCTGAAGACTGTTCATTTGTGCCAGATGTTTGGGAAGATTTCTGCAAATAGCACAAAAATAAACTATAAAATATATTCAGTCTAAAGAGATGAGAAAAAAAAACAGAACTGTACACATATAAACTATATCATATGTGCTTACCAAAAAATTCACACCAACCTTTTAATTTTTATGCCCAAGATAAAATTCCAACACAGCACATATTGTCTACAACTTTTTCATGGCTAAAAATCCATTTGTAGGCTGGGTGCGGTGGCTCATGCCTGTAATCCTTGGGAGGCCAAGGCCAGTGGATTGCTTGAGCTCAGGAATGCAAGATCAGCTTGGGCAACACGGTGAAACCCTATCTCTACTAAAATACAAAAAATTAGCCGGACGTGGCAGCGTGCACCTATAATCCCAGCTACTCGGGAGGCTGAGGCAGGAGAACTGCTAGAACCTGGGAGGTGGAGGTTGCAGTGAGCCGAGATTGTGCCACTGCGCTCCAGACTGGGCTAACAGAGCGAGACTCTGTCTCTAAAGAAAAAAAAATAAAATTTTTATTTTACCGAGCAATTTATTAAATCTAAGCATTTACCTGCGTTCATATGGAGAAAGAGCATAAAAGCAAACATTTATTAAATAATTTCCATCTATTAGAAGAGTAAATTAAATCTCACAACAATGAACTAGACATTACCACTACCATTTTATAGATCAGGAAACAAGTTTAAAGAGGTTAACTAAATTGCTTAAATTCAATGAGCCAGGAAGCATTGAAGTTTAAACAGTTTGACTCTAAAGCTCATCCTGTAAAATCTTTTTTTTTTTTTTTTTAGATGGAAAGTCTCCCTCTGTCGCACAGGCAATGAGGTGAAGTGGGGTGATCTCGGCTCACTGCAACCTCTACCTCCTGGGTTTAAGAGATTCTCCTGCCTCAGCCTCCTGCGTAGCTGGGACTACAGGTGCCTGCCACCATGCCCGGCTAATTTTTGTATTTTTAGTAGAGACAGGGTTTCGCCATATTGGCCAGGCTAGTCTTGAACTCCTGACCTCAGGTGATCCGCCCACCTCAGCCTCCCAAAGTGCTAGGATTACAGGCGTAAGCCACTGTGCCTGGCCCATCCTGTAAAATCTTAACATATGATATTCTGGCTTAAGAGATCCAAGGAAAAAAAAAAAAGGCAGGATAATGAGAACCACTCTTGAACTCTTATTTTAACTTCTTAAACATTTACTTTACCATATTTTCAATCATAGAGTCCTTTTCAGTCAGCTGGCTTTGTAAAAGTTCCTGATTACGTTTTAATTCTTCTATCTCTTCTCGCAATCTACCAATTTCTTCTGGCTGAATGCCATTCATCTGAGCCCCCTCACTGTAAGAACCTTGATGCTGATTGTCTTTTCCTGTTAGACAGACATAACATTTTAAAAGCCAACGGGAAACTTCAGTTTTTCATTTTTGAAGTAGAAGATTCAAATATGTAATTTTCTTCATTCAATTACTTTGGCAGCACTTTTGCAATCACATTTCATCTTTGCAGAATGGTATACTGATAAAAATAGTGAACTGATAGTATTTTCCAGATTTCTGGGAGAAAAAACAGCACAGCCTTGACTAAACTGCATGGTCTGGTGATCTATGATTAAGAATTACAGTAATTTTAATTCCAATTCTGTCAACTGAATATGAGAAAATAAAATCCTTTTAAAAAATCTTCACAAGCACCGTAGGATAATACTATTTAAAAGCAGTGGAGCTCTTGCCATTTTCCAGGCACAACTTAAATTTTTCATTTATTATATCATTTAGTTCTCAAATGTTATTACTATCTTCATTTTGCAGAAGAGGAAACTGAAAGATTACAGCGGTCATTCTTAATCAGCTATACATTAGAATCACCTGGTGGGCTTATACTAGTTACTGATCCCTGGACCTAATCCCAGATTTATTAAATCAGAAACACTATTGTGGTATCAGCATTGGTATTTTTTTTTAAAAAAGCATCTCAGGAGATTCTAATATGCAGCCAGGGTTGAGAATCAATGGGCCAGATAAACAGGTAGCAAGAAGCTTGGACTTCAATCTCTAAAGGTCCAGTCTTAACTGCTCTTAACTATCATGCTATTTTGCTTTAAACTCCGATTTACATTTTTGTCACCATGATTAAGGTTAGAAAAATACTAGTCCACAGAAAGAATCTTTTACTTTGTCTAGCTCTTGAGGAAAGAATGACCTGAGTGCTATCATAGTGATGGCTTAGCTATGCTTACCTAGCTGTATTTTAAGAAGATTATACTGGTCTTTGTGCTGCTGGATCTGTGATACTTGCTGTGTGACTGCCGTCTGGAGCTGTTCATTTTGACATTTTAATGTAGAAACCTGCTGCCTTAATTCCTCAAGTTGGAGATCCTGTGAAACAAAACATAATTCATGTGTTTTAAAGTCATACTCGTTAGCATTAAGAAGGTGAACACATTTTAAAAATTAGAGGTCATTTTGGGACAGTATGCTAAAGTGCTTAACACTTCCAAAATCGTTCAGTAATTAAGCAACTTGGTGTGTTAATATATCCATCAAGGCCAATTAACATGCAGCAGAACTACAAGATTTCAAAGAAGGCTCCATTAATAAACATCATGGCATAGCCTGCAATTATAGTGGGAAATAAAATGAAAAAACTCCATTTTATGGTCATAAAACCATTTAAAAATTTACATCAAACTATTTAAGAAATTTAGTATATGTATGTATACATATGCTTCTATATTATTTTTAATATTAAAAGCCAATGAGAAAATAAATATAGGAAATTGAAAAAAGAGCTTCCAACTTTTACCATCATAATAAAACTATAGTTGGAATTTGATGTATTTTTTTTCTTTTTTTTTTTTTTGAGACGGAGTTTCGCTCTTATCGCCCAGGCTGGAGTGCAGTGGTGCAATCCAGCTCACTGCAACCTCTGCCTCCAAGGTTCAAGCAATTCTCCTGCGTCAGCCTCCTGAGTAGCTGGGATTACAGGCGCCCGCTGCCATGCCCAGCTAATGTTTTTGTATTTTTAGTAGAGATGGGGTTTCACCATGTTGGCCAGGCTGGTCTCAAACTCCTGACCTCAGGTGATCCACCGGTCTCAGCCTCCCAAAGTGCTGGGATTACAGGCGTGAGCCACCGTGCCCGGCCAGAATTTTATGTATTTCTTTATTTTCTTCTAATTTTTTCCCAATCCATGGTTTAAAATTTGTCACAATAGGTATATATATATAATTATGTAGCCTTTAATTTACTTAACATTCTATCATAATTTCCCCATATTGCTACATAGTTTTCAAACCATAATTTTTAATCCTATCTAATTAAGTAGATGCAATACAATTTATATTCAATGTTTTTGATGCTAAGGTTGCTTTCCATTTTTTTTCTTTTCTTTCTTTCTTTTTTTCTTGGGTTTTTTTTTTTTTGAGACAGAGTTTCGCTCTTGTTGCCCAGGCTGGAGTGCAATGGTGCGATCTCGGCTCACTGTAACCTCCGCCTCCCAGGTTGTTCAAGCGATTCTCCTACCTCATCCTCCTGAGTAGCTGGGATTATAGGCATGTGCCACCATCCCCAGCTAATTTTTTGTATTTTTAGTAGAGACAGGGTTTCTCCATGTTGGTCAGATTGGTCTCGAACTCCCGACCTCAGGTAATCTGCCCACCTTGGCCTCCCAAAGTGCTGGGATTACAGGCATGAGGCACCGTGCTCAGCCACTGCACTCCAGCCTGGGCAACAAGAGCGAAACTGTCTCAAAAAAAAAAAAAAAAAAAAAAAAAGAAAAGAAAAAGAAAAATGGAAAGCAACCTCAGCATCAAAAACACTGAATATAAATTGTATTGCATCTACTTAATATTGCTTTCCATTTTTCAAAGTGACAAATTTCATTACATTATATATTTTAGTCCATATAATTGTTTTCCTGAATTTTGGAGAATTCCCTTAGGATGAATTATCAAATGTCATTCAAAGGATATAAACATTTTATAGTTCTAGATGCTTGTGGACTAATGCCAAATAGCATTTTAAATGGTAAGAATATTTAAAATGAACATTTCTAAGGAAGTCATTAGAGTAATTGTGTCAATCACTCTTTTCTTTTGCCAAATCAACTGTATTTGCAGCCCCAAGTATAGACTCTATATCACATTACAACTATTTGTTTTTTTCACTGTTCCAAAGATATTATTACATTTTAGCAACTGGAAATGGCTCCATCTTTGTACCCAGATATAGATGAAAAATCCTAATAACCATAGGTAGTTTGATGATTCAAATTTTACCATTCTAAGATTATAATTTATTGATTGATTTACTTTTAAACTGAAAAGCTTAGAATGAATGCTAAATATACCACAATATTTTCATTCTTTCTTAAAATTTTAATCTCAGTAGGCTGGGCGCGCTGGCTTATGCCTATAATCCCAGCATTTCGGAAGGCTGAGGCAGGGAAGGGAAGGGATCACCCGAGGTCAGGAGATCAACACCAGCCAACATGGTGAAACCTCATCTCTACTAAAAATATAAAAATTAGGCAGCGTGGTGGCACACGCCTATAATCCCAGCTACTTGCGAGGCTGAGGCAAGAGAATTGCTTGAACCTGGGAGGCGGAGGTTGCAGTGAGCCGAGACTGCGCCACTGCACTCCAGCCTGGGAAACAAGAGCAAGACTCTGTCTAAACAAAAAACAAACTAATCTCAGTAATGTAGATTGTGAGGAAGAAAATAAGATATAAACAGTTGTCAATTTAAAGGGTTCTATCTATGCTTTTACTTGCCACACCTGCCATAAACTGTGCACAATTAGTAGACAGGTGTGGAGAGCAGTAGAGGGAAGGGGATGAATCTGTCCCACAGGGTCTGCCACTATTGTATTTTTTTATGACACTGGAATTTTAACAACATTAATAACCTCATTTTTCAGCACTTTCTAGAATTCCAATCAAGGTAAATATCATAAGAAATTAAATGAGAGTAAAAGTCAAGAAAACATTTTGAAGGAATATAATGAAGGTTTAGGGTACTCAACACAATGCAAGTAATGAAAGTTCACTGGTATCCTGGAAAGAAAATGTCAACTGATGATTCCGCAATTGTAGTTTCATCTTTATCCACTCATCATTATCTAATAAATCAGCTGCATGGTGCTTAGCACATATTAAGCACTCTGTTTGTTGAATACTCAGATGCTTTGAAAAATGATGGGTTTTGCTTTCTATATCCTCTTTCATTTGAAATGTCAGAAAAAAAGGCTCCCTTAAAGCAGAAAGTGCCTATTGGTAATCAGAGGGTATATACAGTTCATTAGTACTTACCTGCTCTCGAATCATATTTTTGTAGTGAGTCACAATATTGTCATGCTGTTCTAATGTTTTTTTCACCTCTTCTTCTTTTTTATCTTCTTCACTGGACTTATAAATAGCCTTAGTTATAACACCTATAAAAGGAAGCTTATTTAAAATTTGTTTTAAATGTTTTAAATACTATTTTACTACTAAGACTTAGTAAAAACATATAACCTAACTCCATGATAGGTAAGAAATAATCTTTTCAATCCTACTGAAAGCCAAATGTCCTTCAATGGGCTACAGATCAAGAGCTAGGAAGAAAATATACCTTTAGAGTTACCATATAACCTGTATGCATCCAGAATATACATGTACAATATAAATATAATTACTTTCCATCAAATATCAATATAAATCTTCAGTCTTACCTTCAAGTTCTTTTACCAGCTTCGTAAACTCATGATCAAATATCATGTATTCTGGACTGGGAAAGTTTGGCTGGGGTTTCTGAGATGCTCTGGAATACAACTCATGTTTGCTAATAAATCCTAGTTTCTCTATGAAATTCTCTTTGCCAATCCTCTTCTCAATCAGTTGTTTTAGCTTCTCTCTACGGAGATAAGCATATTGAGATGCTTTAAAAAAAATAAAATCAAAACAAAACATAAAAGCTTGGTCTACATAATGCTTTGGCAAAAAAAAAAAAAAAGCATCATTATCTCTTGATGCCATTAGAAAACCATCTTCCCCTTACTTACTTCATGTAGCTCTCAAGTGAGTTATCATTGAAATAAATCGAAATGCCCAACAAAAGGGCACATAAGCCTTGGACCAACTGCTCTTCTTCTCCAAGATTTTCTGCAATTTGTCCTGTAAGCTGAAATCTTTGTTAAGGAGGCTAAGGATTGAAAATATCTAGTACATTTTGCAATTTGAATTTGACATACATTAATACTTCACATAAGAGTTCCCATAAGAAATTCCATATATAGGCTAGGTGTGGTGGCTCATGCCTGTAATCTCAGCACTTTGGGAGGCCAAGGTGGGTGGATCACCTGAGGTCAGGAGTTTGAGACCAGCCTGGCCAACATGTCTCTACTAAAAATACAAAATTAGCCGGGTTGTGGTTGCGCACACCTGTAATCCTAGCTACTCAGGAGGCTGAGTGAGGCAGGAGAATTGCTTGAACCTGGGAGGCGGAAGTTGCAGTGAGCCGAGATCGCGCCACTACACTCCAGCCTGGGCGACAGAGCAAGACTTCATTTCAAAAAAAAAAAAAAGAAATTTCATATATATATTCCAACCCGGCATAAAACAAACCACACACACACAACTTAAACAAGCATCATAACAACTTTAACAGTTTAAAAAGTTGCAACACAGATAAGATAGTGGAGAATTCAAATATTTTGGGCATAGAACTACTTCTAATTGAGGAGAAAAACTAAAAAAGATATAAATACTTACATGTACGTTACTAAAACATAAAGGATACAAATGGAACATTGGCTGAATTGTGAAGAAAATGCGTTACTGCAATGGGACAATTGCTTAGCCAGGTACAAAGCAACATTAATAATCCAACTCTTGTTTGTATTTTGCTTCCCTGCAACAGATAAATTGGTAGAAATCTTTCCATTCATTTTATATTTTTCAAACTTAAAGTTGCCCTAAGATCCCTTCCATTTGCATGAAAAGAACTTTAACATCTTACAAGAGATGAGCCAGAAATCCAGTTTTAAAAAACTAAACAAGAGAATAAATTATTGTATGCACCACAGGCTGCACTTCCTAAAATGAACAGAGTGCAGAAATTAGAACTGATTCATGTTCAGAGGCATATACTGGGTTATTTAAAATATGATTAGTTTAAAAACCTTGTCTGCTAAGGAAAAAAATCAGTGTGGAGGCTTTAAAATAATCTATTAATCCCAAGACCCTTTACAATAAATTTGCCAAGCAAATTTATGATATTTCAGTCACAAGTTTAAAAACAAGTTCCTGATAAAAGGAAAATTCTACTTCCTTCAAAAAAAACCAAAAAACAAAAAAATCAAGAAAAATGCAAAAAATAATCCCCTGAATCATTTAGTCAAATTCCATGAGAGAATATATTCTCTAACAATAAATAAACCATACTACAAATTCAGTCATCACACACCAGATGAGAAATCACAAACATAATCAAGAGGAAGATTTAAATTAGCCAAGTGCCCCCAAACCATTAACAGCTGCCAAGTATAGTTAATAATGAAAATTAGCATATCCAGCAAAATTAGTTTTCAAAATTTTAATACAACACATTTACATCTCCTAGGTAGAATATTCTCTTAGTTCACAATATTGACAGTGCCCATATTTATATTCCTATAACCTGTATCTTTTTTTAAAAAAACAAAACAAAACTTGTTTGAAATAAAATAATGAAAATCAGAATAGTAATGCATCACTTTGGGGAAAGTCTCATAAAATGTCCGAAATATAATTCAAAGATCTAGACAAGGAATGAATTTAAAGTAATCATCACTGTGTTCCGAAAAATTTCTACCACCCAGACTATTCTAATTTCACAAACCTTGATGCCAATATCTTGACTCTTCTATAATCTATTTTTAGGTATATTTAATATTGAATTAAGTTCAAACAGGACCTCTTCAAATGATTTGCCAGGTAAGCACTGATACAAATTTAGTTTTTACATGATGCATTATTTTTACTGTTTCCTTGCCTCTACGTCATTACCATGCCCACAATATATCTTCAAGTCATCCATGTAAATTGGAAAGTTAAAAACCAGTCACTGCCAACTGACTATGTGCCACAGAAAACTTACAACTACTCGAGTTACAAATGCAAATGTTTTGTTCATCTACCTGGTTATATATAAGTTCATTATTACTTAGCATAACCATTTGCAGGTACCAAATATACCCACAATGTATATATAAGAACATCCTATCAAATCACTGGCTGATGTATGAGTAAAAAAAAACAGAGTAAGATTTAAATCAGAATCTTCTAAAAGCATGGCTTTTGGGGTCTAATTGAAGGATAAGAAGAGCAAAGTCAAATATAACCAGTTAAAAGACAGAATGAAACACTCCATTTATTACAGAGACAAAAAAAGATAAAGTACTCAGGAGTGAACCTAATCAAAATGGTATAAAATCTAAACAAGGAAAATTTTAAAACACTCCTAAAGAGCACAAAAGTGGACATAAACCAATAGAAAGCCACCATGTTCTTAGATAGGAGACTCAACATCACAAAGGTGTTAATTCTAAGTTAATTTATAAAATTAATGTGCCTGTAATCCCAGCACTTTGGGAGGCTGAGGTGCGTTGGATCACCTGAGGTCCAGAGTTCGAGACCAGCCTGACGAACATGGTGAAACACTGTCTCTACTAAAAATACAAAAATTAGCCAGGCGAGGTGGCGCGCGCCTGTAGTCCCAGCTACTCAGGAGGCTGAGGCAGGCGAATCACTTGAATCTGGGAGGTAGAGGTTGCAGTGAGCCGAGATCACAACACTGCGCTCCAGTCTGGGTGACAGAGTGAGACTCCATTTCAAAAAAAATAATAATTGTAAAATAAATTAAAAATAAATAAATGAATAAAATTAATGTGATTCAAATAAAAATTACTAAAAGGCTTTTTTTTTTTTTTTTGCTTCTGGAACAAAACAACATGATTCTGAAGATCATATGAAAAAAGTGAGATTAACTAGGGACACTGTAAAAAAAAAGAAAAAAGAGAGAATAATGGATCACGAACAAGCAGGAATCAAGAGACAGAATACAAAAATCCAGAAAAATGGGCCCATATACAAATGAGAATTTAATATATGAAAAAGTAGCATACAACTATCAGTGAGTTACAAATAGACTTAAAAGATTTTGGGACAACTGGAGAGCTATCTAGAAAAAGATCAGTGGATCTGTATCTCATACAGTTCGCTGAGAAAAACAGAACAAAGAATTAAATGAAAAAAAAAGAAACCAGAAAGTATAAGATAAACATTGAAGTATAATTCCTTATAAAGTCTTTTTTGGGGGGATTGGAGACCAGGTCTCGCTCTGTCTATCAGGCTGGAGTGCAGCAATCATAGCTCACTGCAGCCTTGAACTCCAAAGCTCAAGCGATGCCCCCACCTCAGCTTCCAAAGTGTTAACATATAGGTGTGAGCTACCATGCCTGGCCTAGTAAATTCCTTAAAATCTGAACATGGAAAGGCCTTTTCTAAGTATGACTTAAAATGCAGAAGCCATAAAAGATAAGTCTGAGAAAAAAAAAAATCCATAACAAAACACCAAGGTCAAAAGACAAATGACATACCAGAAAAAAAAAAAAAAATCTGTAACTCATATTAAAAACAAGGGTTAAGTATGTTAATATAAAATGGGCAGAGGATATAAATAAAAGGAAAAGTACACACCTCTTTTCAGAGCCCCTAGAGTGTGTGAACCATTGAGGAGATTTGAGAAAACAAATGGAGGCTAAAACTGTAATTTGAGAGCATTCTCGGGGGTAATTATAAACCACAGATTTTACACGATAAAAGAGAACTACAAACAAAATATTTGAAGCTGCGGGCTGGGCGCGGTGTCTCACACCTGTAATCCCAGCACTTTGGGAGGCCAGGTGGGTGGATCACCTGCGATCATCAGGAGTTCGAGACCAGCCTGGCCAACATGATGAAACCCTGTCTCTACTAAAAATACAAAAATTCGCTGGGTGTGGTGGTGCGCACCTGTAATCCCAGCTACTCAGGAGGCTGAGGCAGGAGAATCGCTTGAACCCAGAAGGCAGAGGTTGCGGTGAGCCAAGATCGTGCCATTGCACTCCAGTCTGGGCAACGGAGTGAGACTCCGTCTCAAAAAAAAAAAAGAGCATGATGGAACTTTCTGGGATTATGAAAACGTTCTACATCTAGTTTTGGGTGGTGGTTACAGAGATACACTCAAACACCAAAAATCATCACATGAAACACAGAAGGTCTGTGCATTTTATTGTATATAAATTAATACCTCAAAAAAAATTCCCTTTCAAATGACTGACATGTATACTTATAAAATACTTTCCCTAATATAAAATTCTGCAGGCTAAAGCTGCAAAATATGTATGTGTGTGTGTAAGTTAATGACACATGTTAAATCATGCTCATACACAAAGATACAATTCATAACAGGACCTCATTTATTACTACCCACATTATTCAACTGAAACCCATGCCCAAACATAGATATTAAGGTACACTCCTTTTCTGCCAAATACTCACACAAAACAAAACAAAACAAAACAAAACAAAACAAAAATAGCACTTTCCCCACACACAACAAAAACGAATCCTCAGTGGTAGCTGTAGCATATGGATTATATTCAGAATAATCCATAATATTTCATTTAAAATATTTCAAATTATAAAATTATACTTACTATTGCACATTTTAAATAATCTAGTATAAAAATCATCATCAGATTCTTTCATATGCTGATTAATTAAAGACAAAATTCTTAATCCTGAATTCTACTTCCTTTGAAATGGCTTCAGAGGAAATAAATAGGCAAGCTTGGAGAAAAAACACAAAAAACCGAAACCAAGGAAATCCAGAAAGTGCAAGCATCCCCAGAAGAAGCACAAGTATAGATTCAGATTCTCATTCCCACAGTGTTTAGTAACACCAATACAATATCCCATGGAGAAAAACTGGAGAGCCATTTACAATAGAAATAAATTGGCTGACACGCAAAAGTGTGAGTAGAATGTAACTTCAAACAAGCAGTTAAAAAAAAACCAATCAGCAAAACCCAAGACAGAGAAAAAGCTTTGCTATAAGAGGAAAATGCCTAAGCTTAATCAAGTGATACATACCCGTCTGTCGATCTTATCACCCTGCAAATTATACATTACAAATTATTCATACATATTACTACTTTAGAAAAGTCTAAATCTGGAAAAATCCCTCAAATACTTTTTCATAGTCTCTCTACAAACTCAAGCCAATAATTTGGGACAGGATGGTTCTAATGATACTTCTTTTATACAATAAAAAGTTAGAGGATACATTTAGAGGCTATATATTTTAGAAGATAAAGGATAATTTTATAGCACTGTGATTACTTAAGAGTGGGGAAGACACCACCATCTTTAGCACTTCTCATCAGGCATTCATTGTAATTTCAATGTTAAAGTGAAGTCTGTGGTGATGGTGATGAGAGAGATAATTACTGTTTGGCTTTAAAATAAAACTGTTGTTAACAGATAGCAACATGAGAATGCCAAGTAATAAGTAAAGACATAAAAATTTGGGATAGTTTTTTTAATCTCTAAGAGATAAGTGATAAAGACAAAATAAGCTTTCAATTAAAGTAAACCAATTTTAAACTTCAACTTCCTTTTCACTATAGTTACTTTTTAAGCTTTCATTTATAATTTCTATGGATGGAGCTAATGTTTCTTTAAAAGCTCAAAATAAGGAAAAATTCAACGAGTGTGGCAGGATTAAAACTAAAGAAGGACACAACCACATTATTATGGGGAGTGGGTAGGATAACTACTGCTAGAGCAGTGTACAGAACAATTTTAGATTTAGTCACATTTTTACTTTCCCTGAGTGACTCTAAACGTCAATGACTTTAGAGTTTTGCTAAAGCATGAACTTGAACTGTTCAATAGCAAGGCTGGTACATGTGGGGAAATCACATAACAAAAAGTGACATTCCTAAATGCCTAGCAACTACACTTCAATAAAGCTTTGTTGTTCTCATTAGGAGTCTAAGACATGCAAAAATTTTTTGTTATGTTTTCCTCCATCTTACTAGGTAAATTATATGCACCGGGGACTTAAGGATTGAAGAACTCACAAACTTCAAGGGGATATACTGTATAACTATATATACAAGGGACCACTGTTCCATTGTTTCTAGATGATCAATTGCTTTGGGAAGAGAAAGAGGGAAATACACAGCTATGAACTACTTTACTCCCTCCCATAAACTAACCTGAATTCAGTTACTGAGAAGAAAGAGAAAAATGACATGCAAGAACACTGTGGATAATTTAAAAACAAGACAAAACCCTCAAAATACCTTTCTGCCCAGAACATGTATTTTCATCATGATGCAGACCTTATAACTATTTAGCAAAACTATTCCTCTAAGAGTATTTATTGCTTTTTCTCCACAAAACTGTTTCTGATTATGATGAACTAATAAACAGAATAAGTCTTCTCTGTCCTTTTTCATCTGCATCTTCTAAAGACATCCTTAAATCCTGTATCACTGACATCAAAATGTATAGAACTTTTTCCCTTATGCAAAACTTTACCTGTGAAAGAATATTGGTGCACTGTTGAAGTAAAGAAACTGGAGGGTTGCCAATACTTGTAGCAAGTTGAACCCTGAGCAACTGTTCTTTCTGGGTGGCATTTTCTTGCAACGCATGGGCAAGGGCCACAGCAGCACACCAGTTTGAAAGTGAATCAGTAGAAAACAAACCTCCACATAATAACTGGCCAGCTGAAACTGAATTACCTGTTGCTACAAAGATGGCAGGCAGACAATAAAAATATATTAGATTTTGACGTAAACCAAATTTTAAATAAATTGTTTTCTGTACACATAAAATAGTGTGAAATACCATTAAATATAATCATTAAACATGTATTAATGAGTAGTATTAAATATACTTTCAAAATGATAAAAGTCTGCTTTTCAAAGCAAAATGAACAATGAGAGAAAGTTATCTTGGAAGAAAAGTAATAGAACAAAGAAATACAGGTGGAGGCTGGGCATGGTGGCTCACGCCTGTAATTCTCGCACTTTGGAAGGCTGAGGTGGGAGGATCCCTTGAGGCCAGGAGTTGGTGGTGCATGCCTGCAGTCCCAGCTACTCGGGAGGCTAAGGCCTGAGGATCACTTGAGCCCAGGAGTTTGAGGCTGCAGTGAGCTATGGACTGCGCCACTGCACTCCAACCTGGACAAGAGTGATACCTTATCTTCAAAAAAAAAAAAAAAAAAAAAAAGGAGAGAGAGAAAAGAAACATAGGTTGAGTATCCCTTATCCAAAATGCTTGGGACCAGAAGTATTTCAGAAAGAAAATGTGGTATATACACACAATGGAGTACTATTCAGCCATACAAAACAATGAGATCTAGTCATTTACAACAACACAGATGAACCTGGAGATCATTATATTAAGTGAAATAAGCCAGGTATGTAAAGACTAACATTTGTTCTCACTTACTTGTGAGAACAAATAAAAATCAGAACTAAATTATTTATCATCAATGGTAGAAGGTAAAATTTATTTGCCTTTATTTGTGGGATCTAAAAATTTGTGGGAATTCATGGACACAGAGATTAGAAAGGTGGTTATCAGAGGCAGGGCAGGGTAGTGGGAAGTTAGAGGGAAGATGGGGATAATGAGTACAAAAATATTGTTAGAAAGAATGAATAAGATATACCATTTGATTGCACAACAGGGTGACTATAATAAAAAATAAGTGTATATTTTATTTTTTGTTTTTTTTTGGAGACAGGGTCTCACTGTTTGCCCAGACTGGAGTGCAGTGGTGCAATTTCAGTTCACTGCAGCCTCGACCTCCCAGGCTCAGGTGATTCTCGCACCTCAGCCTCCCATGTAGCTAGGACTACCGGTGTGTGCCACCATGCCTGGCTAGTATTTTTTTTGAGATAGAGTCTCACTCTTGTTGCCCAGGCTGGAGTGCAATGGCGTGATCTCAGTTCACTGCAACCTCCGCCTCCCAAGTTCAAGCGATTCTCCTGCCTCAGTCTCCCCCATAGCTGGGATTACAGGCATGCATCACCATGCCCGGATAATTTTTGTATTTTTAATAGAGATGGGTTTTCACCATGTTCGCCAGGCTGGTCTTGAACTCCTACCTTCAGGTGATCCACCCGCCTTGGCCTCCCAAAGTGCTGGGATTACAGGAGTGAGCCACCAAGCCCAGCCTAAATTTTTGTATTTTTAGTAGAGATGGGGTTTCACTATGTTGCCCAAGCTGTTCTTGAACTCCTATACTCAAGCAATATACCTGCCTTGGCCTCCCAAAATGCTGGAATTGCAGGTGTAAGCCACCACGCCTGGCTTAAGTATACATTTCAAAATTACTTAATGAGTACAATTAGATTATTTGAAACACAAAGGCTAAATGTTTGAAGGAATGTTAAAAAAAAAAAAAAAAGAAGCATTTCAGATTTCAGATTTGGGATGCTCAACTTGTATTACAGTATTTTCGGCATTAAACTGATGATGGTAACATTCCAAAAAATTACCTTAATTAAAAACAACATTTCTAAAACAAACTTAAGGAAATGCCACATTTTGATCATTCTACTACATCAGGGTCTTATTTTCATTAATGATCAATAATTTTTTATGGTAATTTTTTACCAAATTTTTTTTTGGTAAATATAATTAAACAGACTTAAATTCTAACAAAAAACCTCAATGTATGTAATTAAAATGAGTTTTATTGATGTTTCCAATTACCTTTATGAAACTGCTCTTGAAGTTTAAAAGTTAACAAAGGTAAACATTTAAAAAATTTATCTTAGGTAAGATGAAATATTTAAAGACCCCATAAAAAGGGTAATGACTCTAACCTATACTAGAACAACAGACTGAAAGTTAAATGTGATTTAATGGTAAAATTCATCTTCTTTTTCTTAATTTTTATTTTTGAGGCACAGTCTCTCTCTGTTGCCCAGGCTGGAGTGCAGTGGCACAATCTCAGCTCACTGCAACCTCTGCCTCCAGGATTTGAGCGATTCTCCTGCCTCAGCCTCCTGAGTAGCTGGGATTAAAGGCACCTGCCACCACGCCCAGCTAATTTTTGTATTTTTAGTAGAGACGGGGTTTCACCATGTTGGCTAGGCTGGTCTCGAACTCCTGGTCTTAGGTTATCTGCCCGCCTTGGCCTCCCAAAATGTTGGGATTACGGGCGTGAGCCACCGCACCTGGCAAAATTCATCTTTAGAATGACAATTATAATTAACAGTAGATTCTGTTTACTGGCATCTATACATGCTAAGTTTTGGCGTGAGTACTTTATGTAATGTAATGCATGTAACTGCATTAATCCTCACAATGTTCCTAATGGGGTATTAACCCCACATAGAGATGAGTATTATTATCCCCCATAACTCAGTGAGGCTCAAGTTAAAAAGTTATACGGCAGAAGTTATACAGCAAAAGTGAAAATTCTGCAATGCAAACTCTGGTCTGACTCCAAAGCCTGTTGTCTAAATTTACCTGCAGGCCTTAGAATTCAGGTGTTTTTGTTTTTTTTTTTTCTCTCCTAAGCATGCAAAGTATTTTAGGCTAAAGCATAAAAAGAAAGAATCAATTAAAAGCTTGGAAGACAATGATTTACTTTTTCAAATAAAAATTAGAACTAAATTATTTACCATCAATGGTAGAAGGTAAAAGTGTTGACACGATTTCTCCTTGTCCTTTTTGGTTTTTATACAAGAAACACTGGAAACAATAGAGAACAGCACAGCGCAAAACAAATGGCTGCCTTTCATTAACCATGGACATGAGAAGTACTACAATTGCCGGTCTGTTGCATTTAAAAAGAAAAGAACAAAATGAAACATTGCAACCCAAGTATACAAGTCAATAACTAGTCATTTTTGTTGATTGAAGAATCATAACCAGAACACCAGCAAGTTAAGTATTTCCATCTCTATTTCACAGAAAACTGTAACTGACAGAAGTGAAGTGACTGCTTGCTTAAGGCATACAGCTAGGATGTGGACGACATGATATCTGAATCTAAGTATCTAAATTCCAAAGACTACCAACTCTTTTAAAATATCAATATCATTTATCTTGTCAGATAATTTCTAGTTCCAAAACATACAACTAAACTTCTTTAAAAAGAGTAAGATGTGTATATGAGATACATTAACAACCCAAAGTTTTTACTTCCTCAGAGTAATCTCAGTATTTCCCTTTTTCTACCTTGGTGGGTTTGAAGGTGCATTTACAGATGCAAAGTAGTCTTGGTTTACTTGGCAGCCTCGAATAACTTCTGATACAGTATTTATGGTCTGTTAAGGGGAAGAAAGAAAAAGAACATTTAGAGAAATTAAGTCAAGAAGGAAAATATGTTTTCAATAGAAAAAAAATCTTTTTTTTTTGTTTTTTTTTTTATTATACTTTAAGTTTTAGGGTACATGTGCACATTGTGCAGGTTAGTTACATATGTATACATGAAAAAAAATCTTATATCCCACTTTTTAAGTGCCAAAATTCAGGCACAAAAACATCAATGATAACATTATAATCTTGTAACACTTCCTCAAGGGAAAATTTTAAAGCATTAAGCATGGGTCTCCAATAAAATAACACTTGACAGGCATTTTAAATCTCAAAAACTATACTATTCTCTATGAGATAAAATATTTTATAAAAACAGAAAAAGGTTTTAAAATAATAATCAAAGAACAAATTTAAAGAGTTAAAAAATTCAATTTAAGGATAAAGTTAAAAAATAAAAAGACTATTTCAAAACATGTTATACAAGATAAATATATACCATTTTTGTTAATTAAAAATTAATTTTTAAAAAGACAAATTACCCAGAAAGTCTACTAATGGAATTGCAGAAAGAGAACAGAAAAGAGGCCAGGCGTGGTGACTCATGCTTGTAATCCCAGCACTTTGGGAGGCCCAGGTGGGTGGAACACTTGGGGTCAGGAGTTTGAGACCAGCCTGACCAACATGGTGAAACCCTGTCTCTACTACAAATACAAAATTAGCTGGGTAAGGTGGTGTGCCTATAATCCCCATTACTTGTGAGGCTAAGGCAGGAGAATTGCTTGAACCCAGAAGGTGGAGGTTGAAGTAAGCCGAAATAGTGCCACTGCACTCCAGCCTGGGAAATAGAGCAAGACTGCCTCAAAACAACAACAACAGCAACACAAAACAGAAAAGAGAAAATTATCAGGCAATGCCAAAAACATCCTCAGAACTGAAGGATGTATATTTCCAGCTGAAAGTGCTCAGTGAATGATGATAATAACTGGGGAGCAAGGGAGTGGGGAAAAGGTCCACAGTTCAGCACATCATCAGTAAATTTCAGAAAATCAAAAATAACAGATCTCAAAAGTTTCTAGAGAGAAAAAGATTACAATAAAAAAAAAAGGAGGATTATAATGGCTTCAAACTTCAAACTTCCTAATAGCAACACTGGAATGATGTTTGGAAAGTTGAGTATTAGTGATTTCCAACCCTGAATTCCATATCTAGCCAAACATTAAATTAATTCTGAAAGTAGAGAAATGACATTTTCAGACATGAAAGAGCAAAAAATAAAAAAATTTCTCGTTACTTATTCTTTTTTTTAGAAAATTAAGACAAATAACGGCCGGGTGCAGTGGCTCACGCCTGTAATCCTAGCACTTCACGAGGCTGAGGTGGGCGGATCACTTGAGGTCAAGAGCCTGGCCAATGTGGTGGAACCCCGTCTCTACTAAAAATACAAAAAATTAGCTGGGCATGGTGGCAGTCGCCTGTAATCCCAGCTACTCTGGAGGCTGAGGCAGAAGAATTGCTCAAACCCAGGAAGCGGAGGTTGCAGTGAGCCGAGATCATGCCATTGCACTCCAGCCTGGGCAACAAGAGCGAAACTCCATCTCAAAAAAAAAAAAGAAAAGAAAAGAAAAGAAAAGAAAATTAAGAAAAATAAAGTTAATGAACCAAGGGATAGAGGAAAAAGATATGTGATCCAGGCCAGGAGCATTGGCTCCTGTCTGTAATTCCAACATTTCGGGAGGCCAAGATGGGTGGATCATTTGAGGTCAGGAGTTCGAGACCAGCTTGGCCAACATGGTGAGACCCTGTCTCTACTAAAATTACAAAAATTAGCCGGGCATGGTGGCGGGTGCCTGTAATCCCAGCTACTCAGGAGGCTGAGGTAGGAGAATTGCTCGAACCCGGAAGGCGGGGGTTGCAGTGAGCTGAGATCATGCCACTGTACTACAGCCTGGGCAACAGACTGAGACTCTGTACAAAAAAAAAAAAAAATAAATAAATAAATAAATAAAGATATAGGATCCAGATAATCAAGGAAGCCAAGTCAGGAGACAAGTAAAGGAAATCCTAGGAAGATGGCAAAAAAAATTCCCAGGACAAGAGACATGGGGAAGAATTAGAGCACAGATTGGAGTAGGAGAATGGAGGGTCTGCAGGTGGCCTGTGGTGGGAAACAAAGTGTTAAGTATATGATTATTAAGCATATATACCTATGCATATATAGAGTAACAGTAAAATGAAGAACACAATTACAACTCATGGATGAGAAAAATATATATTTAAAAAAGGATATAGGACTCTATTTGGCTTAGCAGGAATGGTATCAATACAGCTGTAAAAATATAAACCCCAACTACTGATTTAAATATAAATTCCATAAAATAATTATGAGGTGACATGAGGAAGTAAAGTGGGACTTACAGTAAGGACAATTGAGGCTGAAGGCAGTTATTTTTGTTATAAAATTTTTATTATTTGTACTTTCGATATTGCACGTGTTAATTTGAGAAAAATTTTAAAAATATAAACAAACTTTTTTTCTTCAAACTAACTTCTTTTTCTTATAGGTAAGCAACAGAGAATGCCACACATTAGGGGAAAAGAATTTACTATTCAATGAATCTGCCGGTTGAGTAAGACTAAGTCACTTTGTTCTCAAAATAAAAACGAAATCATACTGTGCACTCCTGTTGAATATAACAAAATTAATGAGAAATCTTTGTAGATGGATCTGCAAAGCTTTAACATTATTATTTATGTACTATAAAACTTGAGGGATGAGTATATCTTTTGGAATCAATACTTTTATCATTATGTGAATTATATTTTAGTAAGATCATTAAAAATTTTAACCTAAAAAATGGTTAACTATTGTAGTTTTTCCTTCAACAAATATCTAATTCTTCCTAGGATTCAGGATTTCAACTTCCACAGAGTTGGCTTTGACTTCATTTGCTTTACCTCAGTCAGGATATCAGCAGGAACCCCAGTAGCCATTAGGATAGTACAAAGCTGCTGCAATAACCCACACTGGAACATAGCCTTCTGGCAGCTACTGGTAGCACCAGGAGGGTTGGTGGGAGATACCAATACACGAACAAGCTGTGAAAGAAAGAGAAAACAAAATTTGTCTTTTAAAGATTTGAAAAGGCTTGAGGCAAATCTGATCTATGTGAACAAGAAAGTCTGCATGAAGTACTCCCTTAGCTGCTTAGCTACATTTAGGTGCTCTTTCTTTCGTGCTCCCATGGCAATAAGTTCTGTGATAGTAATATTACATTATGCCTCTTAAACTTAAGGTTGTCTTCTTCAGGTGACTGTGAACTCCCAGAGAGAAACTGCCTTGGTCATTTTTGTTTCCCAAAGAAGCATAGTACTTGTAACAGTACATATTTAATAAGTAAATGAATGAATAAGTTACAGAGTGGCAGATTTCTTTTCAAAGTTAATAATGAACTACCTAGTAAGAGAGCAGGTCTGAAAACAGAATGACCTGATGTGTGATAAATCTCCCCTAAACTGGAAATATTTAAAGAGAGGCTAAAACCAAAACTGGAGAGATGGTAAAAGATTCATGTATTAGGCATGGGGTGGGCTGCATTGATTGCTAATGCCAATTAAATCCCTATGATTCTATGATTACTTGGACTGTAAACATAAAATTTCAGAAACATGAAAAAAGTCATCTCAAATAACTATTTAACACAGTTATGTCTCCAAATTCATTTTACATGTGTGTCACATTTTAAAACTAGAGTTATGTGTATATATATGTGCAAAATCTTCTAAATCAAGATCAAATGGGGGTATTTATGATAATACCTTGTTAACAACAAAGTGCTATACAAACATTAACCATTATTTTATAGGAGATACACAGAAGTAATCAATGATTTAAGAGAGTAAACTAAAACACTTGTATTACTACAGCCGACACATATTGTGATCTATGGATTGACTCCACTAAGAAAGGGGATTTTTTGTGAGGGAGGAGTTAAATACTAAAACAAAAAAAAGTTTGAAAAGTGGTACTTTTTATTGTTGGTGAATAAAAAGGTAACCAGAAATCACTAGAATTAGAGAAAAACTTCAACCAGTAGTTAACTCAGTGAGTAATGACAAAACAGATTTAGATGTTTCCATGTCTGGCTTAACAGACATCTCAAAGAGGGTTCATTAATAAATTGATGTCACTAAAGAGAAGGTCAGGATTACATTGGTTCCTGTCCTTGGACTTTTCTAGTGAGATTTCTGGTGTTTTTTCCTCCCTTAATTTATTTCCCTCCTATCCTTACTACTTCTTTTCCTTCTTTTTTTGAGTATTTAAAACAAATACTACGCAATATGTCAATTGTACCACAAATAATTCTGTATGCATCTCCACTTGATATTTTTTGAAATATAATCATACCATTATTACAATGGACAAAATCAACAGTAATTTTCTACTATCCTCTAATAGCAGTTGAGTGTCTTTACTGATGATGTAAATAAAGAAAAAGGGAATATTTATGAGGATAAAAAGAGATCTAATAGCAACATGTAAATATATGAAATATTCACAAGGAATGAACATGTGTCATTCCAGAAAGCAAAAGTAAATTTACAGAAGTCATATCAGGACAGTTTATGACTTAATATATAAAGTTTCTAATAATTAAAACTACCCTAGAATGAAAATGATTATCTTATAAGGTTATGAACTTTCTGGGAGCTATTGGCAGTATCTTCCCAATAAAATGCCATAGAAGAGACTCCTGCAGGGATAAAAAGTAGACTAGCCATAAAACTATAATTTTTTAAAAAAATAAAATATTTTATAACTAAAAAACTTTTCAAAAGATGTTTTCCCTAAATATAGTCTGCAAAATTTGAATTAAAACTCAGCAAGCAGATCAATTCTGTTTTTAGTAGCTCAGAATGCAATCATGATAACTGTGATGATGAATAGTTCCAACACAGAATGTGTATGTCCCAACAGGAAAACAATGATGCATTTTTATTTAGTGTATAATAGAGAACTTAAAATCCAAGCAACTCTAAATAAAGTTATACATAAAGTATTCCAACAGGTTCTAACAGAATAGCAGAAGATAACTCCTGGCCTGTAAAGTCATGAGTGAATCTACTATTCAGTATTGCAGGTGGAGAATATATTAAAATGAATTAAACTCAGTTCCTCTGCTTTGGAGTTTACGGTCTTCACGACAAGTGTAAGAGATAAAAGCTTTACTAAGCTACAGAAAGTCAGTTTATTCACTTTTTAAAAGTAAAGAATTCTTAAAGAATCAACTTGTTATATAACGAGAATACTGTATTTTTCTGTTTACATGCTGTACTCTAATAATTTTTTGGTAATTTTTTTTTTTTTTCCTGAGATAGAGTCTCACTCTGTTCCCAGGCTGGAGTGCGTGGCGTGATTATGGTTCAATGCAGCCTCAACCTCCTGGGCTTAAGTGATCCTCCCCTTCAGCCTCCTGAGTAGTTGGGACAATAGGTGGACACCACCACACCGGGCTGATAAAGACCATGTTGCCTAGGTTGGTCTCAAACTCCTAAGCTCAAGTGATCCCCACCTGCCTTGGGCTCCCCAAGTGCTGGGATCATAGGTGTGAGTCACCACACCTGACCTACTTTACTTTTTAACAGTGACACTTCCTTCAGAATAATTCTTTACATAGTACCCTAAACCATAAAACATGTGTAGCTTCCTCAAACAATTTAAATTTTCACTGTTTGATACGAAATACATGCTTTTTTATATCATCAGATTCTCTCACCCTCTCTAATCACATTTTGGAAATTACTTTTCTAGAGGAATTTCCTTATTTAAGAAAGCAGTGTAGGCCGGGCATGTGGCTCACACCTATAACAGCAGCACTTTGGGAAGCTGAGGCAGGAGAATTGCTTGAGCTCAGGAATTCCTGACCAGCCTGGCAATACAGTGAGACCTCATGTCTACTAAAAATAAAAAATCCAGTCAGGTCTGGTGGCTTGCGCCTGTAGTCCCAGCTATTCAGGATGCTGAGGTGGGGGGATTTCTTGAGCCAGGGAGGTTGAGGCTGCAATAAGCTGTGAAGACACCACTGCACTCAGCCTAGGCAACTAAGTAAGAACCTGTCTCTTAAACAAAACAAAACAAAATAAAGCAGTTTTGAACAAAGGTATCAAGGTTACCACTTGGTGACACTGTTTCTAAAACATTAAAAAACTATTAACTTCTTAAATGTATAATACCAACATTTGAAAACAGAAATGATGAGTTGGGAGTACAAATAGACTCTGTAACTAAGTTCTCCTGGTAAATACTTTTGTAACAGTTTTTAGGCATATTCTAACTAGGGTAACTGCATAATTTATAATCCAAACCAGGACACTTTTGAAGTGAAAGAGGATGCTATTAGTAATTACAAAACGAGTAATGTACTGGCAAACTGGGACACAGATTACCCTAATTATCAGTCCTATGCAGGCAACTCCCATGGCATGGGACAACATTCAGCCTCTAATTACTAGCGGACCTAACCATCTAGTTAGGTCCACAACTTCCGAGAAACACAGGTATAATTCAGAGACATTCAAAGGCCCACAAGAATTATGAGTTCATAAGTAAGGAGACTAGTATAAACTTAACAGTTTGGAGAAGGAGGATTCAATAAAGGAGTAAGTAGACTACTTCAAAGAACTTCAAAATTTTCTCTGATGAGGAAATAATTTGGGATCCTACTGTCCTCACTTTTATTATTACCACTAAGCTTTCACCATAAAGGATCAATAAATCACAGGTGGTCTGTCAATTTAACATGTTTTGGACTTAAAACTCAGACTAATCATCTTTGGGGGCAGGACATGATCATTTATTTCCTAGCATCCAGTGCCTGGCTCTCAGTAAATGCTTACTGAATGAATTTATTTGAACTTAATAGTTTGAATATTAAAATTTATCCTATTAGAGCCCTAAGTGAAGAAAGCAGGTTTTTAAAAATTCAAATCAACAATGTAACCTATTATTCCTTAATGTAAAACCCATCAGGAAACTGTATGTCTGAATTTGCTTTAAAATCATACAGCAGAGAGGAATAAACGATGAAACAAAATTGCCAGATGTTAATAACTGTCAAAGCTAAGTAATGGGTAGGCAAGATCTCTAGCTAGAGGATAACTGCAAATTTCCATATTACAGTTTTTTTAAGCCAACCTGAAATCCATCAAATATTCTGGATTTATCAAATACAAGCGATTTTCTTCTCTTTGAAAAGATCACTGTCAAAATTCTTACCACATTTATGTCTAAGGATAGTATACCTGTAGCATTAGATGTAGATTGGTCACTTTCTGTGCAGACCAGCCAGAATTTTCATCTCCAACTTCAAACCAAGGTTTCATACGTTGAATATATGAGCCTTCTTTAAAAAAATTTTGATTGGAGTTGTTGTTTTTTAATAAGTTTTGGAGCAAAATCAAACAATCTTCAACTACTATACCTGGGGAAATAATGTAAAACACAAGCGTTAAGGCTCGTAAAACCTGACGCAAAACTCCCAAACATTTTTAAAAAGATAAATCTCCATGCTCAGCATCTCTTCAATATGGCCAGGCAGATAGACAGTCTGCTCTGACACCTGATGGCCACAGGCCATAACCTGCATGCTCTTTCTCAGGTACCCCAAAGATCTCTTGACTTCTATGTCAAGTAACCAATCGCCTTAGTAACTCATTGTTTATCTTCAAATCCCAGCTTAAACATCATTTCTTCAGGAATGATTACCAAGACTACAGGACTAGGTTAGCGTCACCAGCTACATGCTCTTACAGTAGCCTTCTCCTTTTATTATTAGGTAGTGTTTGTCTTCTCCACTAGATTATAATTCACAAACGCTTGTGAACAGTCTACTTACCTCTGTATCTTTAGCAGAGACAGAGACATGATATCATGTATATACACAGTACTTAACTATTAAACATTTGTTGAATGAATCAACCATATCTTATTTGATCTCTAAGAAGCTCTTAACATTGTCGGTTTGTCTCTTCCTTGAAACTTCCCTTGATTTCTAAAACATTATGCTCTCTTGATTTTCCTTACAGCTCTGCAGGTGCTCAATCTTTCATTGTTTCTGTCCTCCATGGTTTTATCCTTTTTCTTCTTTGTTTACAGCATATACTCTCCAGGGCAGTTTCATCCACACTACAGCTTTCACTATTATCACAGTGAAAACTCTCCAATTGATCTCTACTTTACCAAGTACTAATAGATTAACCAATAGCCTCCGTTTCTTCTGATAAACATATTGACTGATGCTGGATGCTGTACGTAACGACAAGTAAGCTCATCTGGTACATCAACACTTTTATTCCTAATAGTTGAGCTGTATGTTGACAAAAATAAATTATTTTTTTTTTAAAAAGACATCATTTTTTAGAGCAGTTTTAGGCTTATAGAAAAAGTAAGTACAAATAGAGTTTCTCTACACAGACATCTACTTATTGGTTCTAGACTTCTGCAATAAAGCAAGTATCACAATCAAGTCAGTCCCACAAATTTTTTGGTTTCTTAGTGTATACAAAAGTTACATTTACACTATAATGTAATTTATTAAGTGTGCAATAGCATCATGTCCAAAGAATGTACATAACTTAATTTAAAAATATTTCATTGCTAAAAAAATGCTAATGACCACCTGAGTCTTCAGTGAGTCATTTTACTTCCAGTAGAAATTCTTTCAAAACTGGAGTCAATTCTCTCAAACCCTGACACTGCTTTATCAACTAAGTTGATGTAATATTCTAAATCCTTTGTTGTCATTTCACCAATGTTCACAGCATCTTCACCACCTTCTTTGCTCATCCATAAGTAATAACCCCTCATCTGTTGAAGTTTGATCATGAGATTGCAAAAATTCAATCACATTTTCAGGCTCCACTTCTAATTCTCCTGTTATTTATACCACATCTTCAGTTGGTTCCTCCACTAAAGTCTTGAACCCCTCCAAGTCATCCATGAGGGTTGCCGGAATCAACTTCTTCCAAACTCCTGTAAATCTTGGTATTTTGACTTCCCATGAATTACAAATGTTCTTAATGGTATCTAGAATGGCAAATCGTTTCCAGAAAGTTTTCAATTTACTTTGCCCAGATGCGTTACAGAAATCACTATCTATGTAGCTATAGCCTTATGAAATGTATTTCTTAAATATTAAGACTTGAAAGTCAAAATTGCTGGGTGCAGTGACTCACACCTGTAATCCCAGCACTTTGGGAGGCTGAGGTGGATGGATCACTTGAGGTCAGGAGTTCAAGGCCAGCCTGGCCAACATGGTGAAACCCTGTCTCTAATAAATTACAAAAATTAGCTGGGCATGGTGGTGCATACCTGTAATCCCAGCTACTCACGAGGCTGAGGTACGAGAATTGCTTGAACCTGGGAGGCAGAGGCTGCAATGAGCCGAGATTGTACCACTGCATTCCAGCCTGGGGGACAGAGTGAGACTCCATCTCAAAAAAAAAAAAAAAAAAAAAAAAAGTCAAAATTTATCCTTGATCCATGGGCTGCAAAATGCATGTTGTGTTAACAGTATGAAAACAATATTATTGGCTGGGCACAGTGGCTCACGTCTGTAATCCCAGCACTTTGGGAGGCCACGTGGGCGAATCATGAGGTCAGGAGTTCAAGATCAGCCTGGCCAACATAGTGAAGCCCCATCTCTACTAAAAAAAAAAATACAAAAAATTAGCCGGGCACAGTAGTGGGTGCCTGTAATGTTAGCTACTCAGGAGGCTGAGGCAGGAGAATTGCTTGAACCTAGGAGGCAGAGGTGGCAGTGAGCCGAGATCACACCACTACACACCAGCCCAAGTGACAGTGCGAGACTCCATCTCAAAAAAAAAGAAAACAGTATTATTCTCTTTTTACATCTCCATCAGAGCTCTTGCGTGATCAGGTGCATTGTCAATGAGAAGTAATATTTTGAAAATCGTTTTTTCTAATGCACTGGGCCTAGAAAACCATGCTCTTACACAGAAGTGTAAGAGATGTGTGTTCAGTAAATGTGTGCTCAGTAAATCATGCTATTACATAGATGTGCTGTCTTCCAGGCTTTGTTGTCCATTTATAGAGGGCAGACAGAGTAGATTTAGTATATTTCTTAAGGGTCCTAGGATTTTCAGAATGGTAAGTGAGCACTGGCTTCAACTTAAAGTCAACAGTGCATTAGCTCTTAACAAGAGAGTCAGCTTGTCCTTTGAAGCTCTGAAGCCAGGGGGTGACTTCTTTCTAGATACAAAAGTTCTAGATGGCATCTTCTTCCAATAGAAGGCTGTTTTGTCTATGCTGAACATTTAGCATAATTCATCAATTATCTTAACTAAATCTTCTGGATACACTTGCTGCAGTTTCTACATCAGCACTTGCTGTTTCACCTTGTACTTTTGTTAGGGAGACAGCTTCTTTCCTTAGATCTCACGCAGCAACATCTGCTACTTTCATGCACAATATCCATTCTTCCAACTTTCCTTGTGCAGCTTGTTCACCTCTCTCAGTCTTCACAGAATTGAAGAGTCAGGGCGTCACTCTGGATTACGCTTGGCTTAATGAAGTGTTGTGGCTGGTTTCATTTTCAATCTGGACAACTAAAACTTTCTCTATATCAGCAATAAGGCTGTTTTGCTTTCTAATTATTCATGTGTTCACTGCTGTAGAACTTTTAATTTTCTTAAGAACGTTTCCTTTGCATTCACAACTTGGCTATTGGGCCTAGCTTTTGGCCTCAGCTTTTAACATGCCTTCCTCTGTATCTTCAGCAGAGAAAGCTTAATCATTTCTAGCTTTTGATTAAAAGTGAGAGATATACAACTCTTCTTTCACTTGAACACTTAGAGGCCACTGTAGGGTTATTAATTTGCCTGATTTCAATATTGTTATGTCTCAGGGAATAGGGAGGCCCGAGGGAGGGAGGGGAAGAGGGGAAGACAGAGTGGGAGAGAGAGAGGATGGGCCAGTCTGTGGAGCTGTCAGAATGCATAAAACATTTTTGCTTAAGTTTGCCCTCTTATATGGGCACTGTTTGTGGTACCCCAAAACAATTACAATAGTAACATCAAAAATCACTGATCACATCACCATAACAGATATAATAATGAAACTTTTGAAATATTAATTGTGACAGAGACATGAAGTGAGGGCGTGCTGTTGGATAAATGGAGTCAACAGACTTATTCAATGCAGGGTTGACACAAGCCTTCAGCTGGTAAAAAACATATTCCCTGGGAAATACAATGAAATAATGTATGCCTGTACTTTCCAGTTCCCCCATCATTAATATATTGCATTAATGTGGTACATTTCTTGCAATACAATTCATAAATGAATACTAATACACTATTATTAATTAAAGTCCACAGTTTACATTAAGGTTCACTCTGTGCTATAAAGTTCTATGAGTTTTAACAGAAGTATAATCTCTTGTCTCCACCATTACAGTATCATACAGAATAGTTTCATGGCCCTAAAAAATACCCTGAGCTTCACCTATTCATCTCTTCTTTCCTCTATCCCCAAATCCCTGGCAACCACTGATCTAAATATTTATGGTCCACATAGTCTTGCCTTTTCCAGAATGTCATATACAGCCGACCCTTGAACAACAGTTGGGTTTGAACTGCGTGGGTCCACTTATATATATGTTTTCTTCCTCTCTGCCATCCCTGAAACAGCAAGACCAATCCTTCCTTTTGCTCCTCAGCCTACTCAACATGAAGATGACAAGGATGAAGACCTTTATGATAATCCACTTTACTTAATGAACAGTAAATATATTTTCTCTTCCCTCTGATTTTAATGTTTTCTTTTTTCTACCTTATTTTACTGTAAAAATCGAGTATATAATACATACAACGTACAAAATGTATTAATCCACTGCTTATGTTATTGGTAAGGCTTCTGGTAAACATAGTCTATTAGCGGTTAAGTTTTGGGGGAGCCAAAAGTTAAAAAGTAGATTTTCAACTGGGGCATTGGTGTCCCTAAATCCTAAGTTATTCAAAGGTCAACTATAGTTGGAATAATATATTATGTAGCTTTTTCAGACTGGTTTATTTCACTCAGCAATATGCCTTTATGGTTCCTTTATGTCCTTTCATGGTTTGATAACTCTTTTCTTTTCATTGCTAAATAACATCCCATTGTATAGATGTAGTACAGTTTATCTATCCATTCAACTACTAAAGGACATTTTGGTTGCTTCCAAGTCTTGGCAATTATGAACAAAGGTGTTTTAATATTCATGTGCAGATGTTTGTGTGAATATGTCTTAAACTAATTTGGGTAAATACCAAAGAGCGTGATTGTTGAGTCATAAGACTATGTTTAGCTTTGTGAGAAACCACCAAACTGTTTTCTAAAGTAGTTGTACCATTTTGCATTCCCATCAGCAACAAATGTGTTTTTGTTGTTCCACATCTTCGCCATCATTTGGTGGTGTCAATGTTTTCTTTAGTTTTCCTCATTCTAAAAGGTATGTAGTGATATCTCATTGTTTTAATTTGCAGTTCCCTAGTGATATATAATGTTGAGCATCTTTTCATATGGTCATTTGCCATCTGTATATCTTTTTGGTGAGATGTCTGTTCAGATCATTTGTCTATCTTTAAATTGGCTTATTGTTTTCTTATTTTTCAGTTTTAAGAGTTCTAAATATATTTTAGATACAAGTCCCTTTTCAAACATGTGTTTTGCAAATATTTTCTTCTCATCTGTGAAGTATCTTTTCATTCTCTCAACAGAATCTTTTGCAGGGCACAAGTTCTCAACTTTAATGAAGTCTCATTTATCAATTTTTTTCTATGGATCACACTTTTGGTATTGCATCTAAGAATCAATTGTTTCATTCACAAATCTACCATGCTATTTGCACTGGTTATTAATTAAATACTATATAAAACTACCAAAATATGTGTGAAAACAGTTATTTTGCTGAAAATTAAATTTAAGTCTTTGGCAAAACTCAATGAAAGGACGTCACTAAAAATATAGCTGTTAAATATGGATAATACAATTCTAAAAGATAGAAAAGTAATTTTAAAAACCCAGATATATCCTGCAATCTATTTTAAAGAAAACAAAATGCAAATCCTACATGATATATTATAGGCGTGATGTATGCAAGGAAGATGATGAAAAACTTTAATCAGCATACCCATATTCAAGGTAGTAGTTCTGGCCCTATTCCAAAGATTAGTACATAAATATACACCTTTATTTTATTACATTTAACTTTAAAATGCTTAAGGTGCACATTTTAAATGCTTTTCAAGAATTCCTGATTTAACCAGACCTAATCTCTCCAGATTAGAGGCTTCCTCACCTCCTACTGAGGAACCATATGGATCCTCATCTTATGAGGAGGAACCACTCTATCTGCCTCTTAGGTAGGACCATAAATATCTATTAAATATGGTCTGCCATTAGGACCATCTGAAGGCTTTGAAGGAAAAAGCATGTCAAAAGCCCTCACTACAACTGGCAGGCCTTCTTTCCAGCATGCACCTTAGTGAACCCTAGAGCCTTAATGGCCACTATCACTTACAAAGAGCCACTGAAACTTGTTTTAGCAACTAGGAAAACTTAGCAAATTCTATCTTTCCTTAAAACCCTATTTTCTTCAATTGCCTCCAAAAATGTACACCTCTCTGGTCATCTCTGCTTTCCCAGTTTTTCATTTTACAATAGTTTGCATTTCCCCTCTTCCATTTAATCTTTTCAAACCCTTTCATGATGCCATTGCCAACTCTCAGATATTGGTTAATAAAACACCCTATAACCCAATTATATCTTGAAATGCTCCGTTTCTTTAAAGAATCTGCTTTATCTTGTAATGTTCTCAAGTGAAAGTAATTCATGTTCTCAATCCCATGTACCTTAGAGTCAGCATGTTGAAGCTGTGACCCTCCCAGCCCAGTGTACTTTCGAGAGACCATAGTTCCTCTACTCTCATAAAATCTCCTGTTCCCTTGAGGCTTGGCTATATGGCTGTACCATCTCTTACGACTTCTCATTGCAGATATATAACAAATTCATAGTCACTATCCTTTGTCCACGGAAAACATCATTGGCATCTTGCTCAAAGTCTTCTTTCTCTAAGCTCTGCTGTCTACTTAATTTTAATTTCAACAGCAACCCGTCTAATACCTAGACCACTCAGTTTTTTTGCCTCATCTTTGGCGATAATCCTCTCTTACTAAAACCTATTTTTGTGGCTCAAGTATTTTCAACACATTTGTTCCATGGCTTCCTTGAGTCTCTTGGCCCACCAACCAAATGCCTTTTTTAGAAACTCCCTTGTTTTTATTTCCTTCCCTATCTAGCTTAGATTATAGAGATTTTCGTTTCTTCCACTCTACAGAAGTGGAATAGGAATATACTATGTTCTCTTGTCTTACTGTCTTTTCATAGCACCTTCCCAGAAAAGGCCCAACCCTGTGAAAAACTGAGTTTTTTTTCTATATTTGCACCTAGGCAGCTGAGTGCTGCTAGGGGAGAAAATAAATTACACACTCAAGTAGTTGGTGCTATTGTAAAATCATGGTGAATACCCTTAATGGGGCCCTTATCCCCCTTTTTATTTTTTTGAGGCAGAGTCTCATTCTGTTACCCAGGCTGGAGTACAGCGGTGCGATCTCAGCTCATTGCAATCTCCACCTCCCGGGTTCAAGTGATTCTCGTTTCTCAGCCTCCCAAGTAGCTGGGATTACAGGTGTTTACCACCACGCCCAGCTAATTTTTGTATTTTTAGTAAAGATGAGGTTTTGCCATGTTGGCCCGACTGGTCTCGAACTCCTGGCCTAAAGTGATCCACCCACTTCAGCCTCCCAAAGTGCTGGCATTACAGGTATGAGCCATCAAGCCCAGCTGGGGTTCGTATCACTTTGAAAATCTTCCTAATTACAATAATTAACTAGCTCTCCTATTCTCCAAAAGACTATTTCTAACCTTTCCCATTAATTCTCAATTGTGTCCTCCCTATTCACTCAGTATATAATTCTGCCTTCAACTCAACTCCCTATCACCAAATCTGCAAAAGGACATGCATAATAATCTATAGCTTCAGAAAAATAAAAGAAACCTAGCAATACAGTATTTGAAGAGATATAGGTGAGATTTTCTAAACAAGGAAAGACACCAACCTAGATTGTAAAAGCCTAACAAATATGAAACAGGATAAAGAGAAATCGATAGTCAACATGCCATAGTGAAAGAAAAACAAAGAGTATAAATAAGAGTCCCCATTTCTCCCTCCAACTGTATTCCCTATACCCTAACAAGTCAGTGAGTACAAAAGGAATGTCTTCAAATAATTTCTTCATACTATACCTCCATCACTGTTCCCCTCCTCTGAAATAATGTCCAGTAGTCTCTCGAAAGCATTTTCAAAAGCAACAATTTTCTGGATTGCACCATTGCTTCTTGTTAGTGCCTGCAGTAGTAAGACGCCCTATAGAGAAGAAAGAGAATGTTTAGTGGAGTACAAAATTTATGAGACATTTTTAAATTACTTCAAAAATCACAGAATTTTAGAACTGGCAGAGATTTTGCAAGCCCAACTCCTTTACTTTATACATAAGGAAAACAAGAACAGAATAGTTAAGCAATTTGTCTCCCTAAGGTTATAAACCTCAAAGAGACAGACACTAGACTAGAATCCTCTTCTAACAATTCCTAGTTCAGTTATCTTTCAACTTTATGATATAAACATACTAGAATTCCTTTATATTCATTAACCACTACATAGCTTTCGTTGCAGCTAAAGAGTTGAGCATGAAAGTATCTGTCTCAGGAATGCCACTGTACCTGCTTCACAACAGTAATAATGAAAAACTTGCAATTCAATAATATAAATCAATGAACACCACCACAGTCTAGTAGAGAAAGTTCAGAAATTCTTGTAAACATCTGGCCTTCAAATCCCCAAAACTTGATTCTAAGTCAAAATAAAAAAGGAAGATGAAAATTGATGCTTCGTGAATGGCATGTCCAACACAAGACAATTCACAGCAGCCATTGCCTCTGACTTCCAGTTTTTCTCAGCTCCTGGTAAGCTGGATACAGTTTATATATTTTATAATATCTTTATCATTCAATAAAAACTCACTGTTACCCATTTTTGCTTATTTTGGTATTATGCAATTTATGAGTCCCTAAGTATTAAATAATAGCATGATGGTAAAAGAGACAACAAATATTTTACGAAAAAAAAGCACAGATATTATTGTAGAGGAAGAGGAATAGCAAATAGGTAGTAAAAAGTCCCATAGAGGCAAACTAGCTGTTGGCTACCAGTACTGAGTAGGTAAGTATTCATATAAGACAAAAAATGCCTATGACTTTATTGGGCTTATTCCACTCATTTTCTTGTCAACTTTCAACATTAATATGAGAGAAAAAGGTGAAAACAGTTATTTTTGGATGTCAAATTCTCCCACTTAATGCTGCCAACTTCAGTTTAACTACTAACAAAGAGAAGAAGAAATACAGTGGAGAAAATATTTAGGCTCTGAGTTATATAAAGTGGGTTTAAAAACTGGTTGCCCAAACACTGTTCCCCAAAAACTGTTCCCCAAAAACTAATGAAATAAAAAAATAAAAAATTGGTTGCCCTACTGACTAGTTGTGCCAACTTTAAGCAAATTACATGAACTTATAGTATACTCATGTAATATCTTTGTCACAGGGTTTTTATAAAGACTAAAGGAGACAAAATAAGTTCTATAGAACCCACTAGCTTTCAAGGTCTTAGTATATTTTAGTTTCTTTTCTCTTTACCCTCTTGAATAGGTTTATTAAAATAAAAAAAAGGTTATAAAACATGTAAAAACCAATAATCCAGACATTACAACAAAAACAGAACTTAATCTGTGATCATAAAATTAATAAAAACCAATATAAATAGACACTTATTTGTCTGTCTCAAATAAAAGTTGAAAAAAGGTTAGGAGCAGAATAAAAAGGTAAAGAGTTAAAGGAAAACAGGAGATTCCAGAATTAATGCAGTTATTATTATTATTTTTTTTTGAGACAGAGTTACTTTCTTGTTGCCCACGCTGGAGTGCAATGGCACAGTCTCAGCTCACTGCAACCTCCGCCTCCCAGGTTCAAGCGATTCTCCTGCCTCAGCCTCCCAAGTAGCTGGTATTACAGGCGCCCGCCACTACACCCAGTTAATTTTTTGTATTTTTAGTAGAGACAGGGTTTCATCATGTTGACCAGGCTGGTCTCAAACTCCTGACCTCAGGTGATCCACCCATCTTGACCTTCCAAAGTGCTGGGATTACAGATATAAGCCACCACGCCTGGCCTAATGCAGTTATTTTTTTTAAGAGCACTTTTATATCTGAAAATGAAAATAAGTGGTAATGAAATTAAAAGATGTGGGGAGACATAATTTATGATTTGCATGATATCCTCTTATTTAAATTGCAGGACATGGAAAGAATAGAACAGAAGCTTTAAAGATACATAGTCATATTTTAGTCAAGGAAAGATACCCCAAATTTCTAATAGATAGATACCTAGTTAAATAAGACATTTCTTAAAAATGACACTTAAATATTAAAGAATAAAAAATGTACTTCTCGGCCGGGCGCGGTGGCTCACGCCTGTAATCCCAGCACTTTGGGAGGTCGAGGTGGGTGGATCACAAGGTCAGGAGTTCGAGACCAGCCTGGCCAATATGGTGAAACCCTGTCTCTACTAAAAATACAAAAAAATTAGCTGGGGGTGATGTCACATGCCTGTAATCCCAGCTACTCGAGAGGCTGAGGCAGAAAAATTGCTTGAATCCGGGAGGCAGAGGTTGCAGTGAGCCGAGATCATGCCACTGCACTCCAGCCTGGGTGACAGAGCTAGACTCCATCTCAAAAAAAAATGTCCTTCTTGTAAGTTACATACTGTATTAAGTTCACTACCTATAATACTGAATTGATATACATATTACAAAATTTTAAGTACAACAAATTTTAAAAACTGTATCCATAGACTAGGAGTTAAGAATGCTTCAGTTTTGTCTCTGCTTTGCCATTAACCAGTTATAAGGCTAAGAGCAATCCAAATGATATTTACTAAAACTTAGGATGAAAAAGTCACACGGCCAATACCATAAATAAAAAGATGAGTAAGACATGGCTAACAAAGAACACTTAACTTTACTTGGTTTCTGTGGGTCTTGGGCATTTCACTATAAATATGGAGATTTAATTAGCTTGATATGATCTCCTAGCTCCAGAATTTAATTTTTCTAATTGCTATTTTAAATATTACAGAATTTTTATCAAGTTGTAGGTAACAATAGAGAAAAATGCTTATGCAACAAAATATACAGCATCAAATACAAAATATTCAAACTTATATGCAAATATAAAATAAATCGGAATGGAAAATAAGTCCAGAGCAAATCATGCTCCATGATTAACAAGGCAAATCCTTAGAAATACACACTCAATCAAATAAGGGCAAGGATTCCAAATATAATGCTTTGTTGGGTTTACACAGTTCAATGTCTGGAGGTATCTCCGCTACTCTTTATGAGGAAAAGAAAATTGCAGAGGTAGAGTTTGGTGTCAAATACAACCTTTCAGCAGATAGTATAAGAAATCCTAAACTAATGGAAGAAATAAATTTGAATGGCAAAATGGTTTGTCTAACCCAAAATACTGGATAGCCAGGAAAGAATGAAACAATGTGGCCTTGTACAACTTTAAAAGGTCATTACTCCAGCCACGCTCAGTGGCTCATGTCTGTAATCCCAGCATCTTGGGAGGCCAAGACAGGAGGATTGCTTGAGCCCAGAAATTCAAGACCAACCTGGGCAACATAGAGAGACCCCCATCTCTGTTTACTAATTTTTAATTTTTTTAAAAAAAGGTCATTACTCCAGCTTTCTAAATCTAATTTCCTAAAACTCAACAACAAGGATTTCATTTGCAAGAGAAAAAAAAGCCACATATTTTTGTATTTCTTTTTGAAATTTAACTTACATCATTACGTATAACTTCCCTGGAATCCGCTAGTAAGTCCATCAATCTTGAAACACCTAGAACATACAACCATGTGAAAAATGCTGGCAGACCAAAAATACAAATAGTGACTCAAATTATTAACAATTTACTAACACACCATTTCAGTCCCTTTCTCTAGGAAATGATACTCATGCTTGAATCAAAATAATATAAAAAAGATAAGTCACTTACCCATAGGACTGACTAAAATAATTTGTTGCACCTGAGGCCCTAGTTGTTTTAAAAGAGAAGTAAGAAGCTTCACACCAGGCCAGCGGACATGGAAATCAAACTCCTGCAATGTAAGAATTCAAAATATTTAACATCTGTAATTCACATTTTCGAGAAAAACATTTTTTCCACTAATAACTTTTACCAGAAACTACAAGTAAAACATGGAAGTTTAGCATACTTTAAGTGATTACATAGTTCTTGAAACATCCATGTGGATCTCTTGCTATAATACAATAAACTTTACTACCTTTAAAGGTATATACATGTTACTTCCTCAATAACATCCAAAAGGCAACAAAAGCAGCTTATTAAGATGACAAAAACATCAAGGTTCCCTATTTACCTCCAATAAAGATAACAGAAGAGTGACATTTTCCTGCTGCTTAATGAAAATTTCTGTAAATTGGCTTCCCAAATCTTCACTCTGTCTTGTGGAATTTTCTTCTGTAATATTCAAAAATAAAGAATTTCAATTTAATAGTAGGTTATTTTAAAATATCCTTTCATTGAAGAGTTAAGCGTGAATGATAATTTTCCTGGTAAACAATTCAACACTGGAACAGTGTGGCTGGTAGCAATATCACAATTATTATGTAAAGCTATATCCTTAAAATAATGTTCAAATTCATTTAAATACATTTTATTGGCTAAATGTTTAAATATGATATCTAAAAAAAGGATACTTAAATACTCATATTTTCTCAAGGGCATTTTTAGGTTACTCTTCTATTAGGGCATAAGGAAACAATTTGGGATAGAAATAGTCTATCTAGAATGTGGTAGTGGTGACACTTCTGTATACTTCTGCCCAAACTCAGACTACAATTCAGAGTAAATTTTATTGTATATAAGTTGTATCTTAAAACCCTTGTCCCCAAAACAATATTGAACATATAGTCCTTGCTGACTGTTAGTGTTACTGGGTTAAATAATTTAATTATGAAATTAAACCAATCTACTCCAGATTTCTCAGTATCTTTTTCATATACATATCCTACAAAATTCTTTGGCAATAAAATCAGAATTTGACATCTAATTTCTCACTTATTGTTTAAAGGATTTTACATTTGTCTTTAATGTTTAAATGTCTTTTAATTAAAGTATTTGTTGTCTCAATGTACTATGTAAAAAAAAAAAAAAAAGATCACTAAAAATGAAAGCAACAACTGCCAAAGCAAACTACTTAAGATCTGCCTATATTATAAACTCAAATTAGTGATGCAAACATACTACTTCCCATTCTCTCACTCACACCAGACACAGCTAATTAATCACAGCATTGGCTGAGCGTCAGAATACTTTTCCATATAGTACTCCACTAAGTGACTATCAGCCAATGGAGCTGAAAGTCAAGATCAAACCCATTATCCCTCAGAAAATTCTTTTCTAAATGTGAGGGAAAAAACCCAGCAGATGACAGGAAAAGCAAAGCAATCCAAGATTGACAGTCATAATCCCATCTAATTGTTTATAGAGGAAAAAGAAGAGACCAAAAGTAGAAATGAAATGTTTTCCAGTTGATTAATTACCTAAATATGCTGGGTTTATCCTTCAGAAACTCCAAGAAATATTTCTCTTAATCATCTCTTATATCAGTAAAAGAATTCACTGCTTTATACTTTCATTTTAAAAGGATTACTCTGGTTGCTATGCTGAGAACACACTGTCAGTGAGTAAGGAAAATAGGGAGACAGGTCAGGAGGCATAATCAAGAAAAGAGTCACATGAAGGTGGCTTAGACCTTAGATGTCATAATTTTTATTACAAAGGATTATGATTTGTTGACATGTTGCACAGAGGAGTGTGGGGAAAGAAAAGGAAGAGTGATTCCAAGCTTTTGGCCTAAAGAACTAGAAGGATAGGGTTGCCATTTACTGAGATTGGAAACACTGTGGGAGAAGCAAGCTGGAAGTATACAGAGAATCAGAAGTTTAGTTTTGGACATATTAAGTTTGAGATACCTTATAAAAATCCAAGTGCATATACCAAGTAAGAAGCTGGATAAATACTAACATAGATATCAGTGGAGAAGTCTGTGTGGATAAACACATTAGAGTGGTAAACATATAAATGATATTTAAAGTCACAAGACTGGATGACAAAGTGCAACTACAAAAACCTTACAGCTAACATCATACTTAATGGTGAAAGACTGAATGTTTTCCTCTTTAAGATCAGAAGGAGGCAAGAATGTCCAATCTCATCAATTCTAGTCAACATTGACCTGAAGATCCTAGTCAGTGCCATAAGGCAGGAAAAAGAAAAGGAATACAGATTAGAAAAGAAGTAAAACTGTCTTTATTTACAGATGACATGTTTGTCTATGAGGAAAATCCTATGGAATCTACAAAAGAGCTAATAGAACTAATAAGTAAGCTTAGAAAGTTGCAGGATAAAAGGTCATACACAAAATTAATTGTATTTCTATTAATAGATACTAGTAATGACAATCGGAAATTAAAATTCAAAAAACAGTACCACTTTCAATAGCATCAACAAAAACATTTGACAATAGGTGTGTGCTACTTACACTCTGAAAACTCCAAAACACTGCTGAGAGAAATTGAACAGGCCAGGTACAGTGGCTCCCACCTGTAATCCTAGCATTTTGGGAGGCTGAGGCAGAATTGTTTAAGCTCAGGAATTCAAGACCAGCCTGGGCAACATAGTGAGAACTTGTCTCTACAAAAAATAAAAATTTAGGCTGGCTTGGTGGCGCATGCCTGTAGTCCCAGCTACTCGGGAGGCTGAGGTGGGAGGATCCCTTGAGCCCAGGAGTTAGAGGCTGCAGTGAGCCATGATTGTACCACTGAACTCTAGCCTGGGTGACAAAGTAAGACCCTGTCCCAAAAAAGGAGAAGAAAAAAAAAGAAATTAAAGAAGACCTGCAAAAACAGAGATATACTGTGTTCTTGTATTAGAAGGTACAATATTTTTATGTCAGGTTTTCACAAATTGATCTACAGTCAACAGAATCCCAAATTCTCAGTTGACCCTTTTTGTAGAAATTCACAAGCTGATTCTAAAATTGGTTTGCAAATGCAAAAAACCTAAAACAGTCAAAACAATTCTGAGCAACAAAGTTAGAAGACTTAACACTACATAATTTCAAGATTTATTATACAGCTACAGTAATCAAGATGATGTACCATGCATAGATCAATAGAAGAGAACAGACCAAAAATACACCCATTAACTCAAAATGGATGATCTCCTGACCTCGTGATCCGCTCGCCTCAGCCTCCCGAGTAGCTGGGACTTCAGATGCCTGCTACCACGCCCGGCTAATTTTTTCTACGTTTAGTATAGATGGGGTTTCACTGTGTTAGCCAGGATGGTCTCCATCTCCTGACCTTGTGATCCGCCTGCCTTGGCCTCCCAAAGTGCTGGGATTACAGGCGTGAGCCACCATGCCCGGCCAAGAGTTACAAACTTTTAAAAGAAAAAGCCAAGCATGTTTATACATGTATCAAAAGTCATCAAATTGTTTATTTACATATGTTCATTATTTTACATTAATTAGATGTCAATAAAGCTGTATGTGTTAGGGGGTATCTAAGTAAAGATATTGAGTGAATATCTGAATATACAATGATGAACTTCAGGGGAGAGGTCTGGGTTGGACATGCACATTTGAGTGGCAAGCATATAAATTATATTTGAAGTTACAAGCCTAGATGAAATCAACAAGGGAGGGAAGGGGGAAGGAAAGAAATCTGTGCCCTGTGGCATTCTAATATTAAGAGGTTGGGGAGATGGGGAGGAAAACTGCGAAGGAGACAAAGAGTAACCAATGAAAAAGGAAGAAAGCCAGGAGACTTCGCAGACTGACAAACAAATGAAGAAAGTACTCAATGAGAAAGGAGTGACTATCAAATACTAATGATAGGTAGAATCCCCTCTGAACTTCAAGAAATGAGGTACATTACTAACACAGGTAGAGGTAATTTCCATTCATTTACAAAATGACTAGGGTTGAGTAGTTAAATACTTTCCTGAGTAGCAGTACAGTATAATGGAAGAAGCTCACAAAGATTTTTGAGTAAGACCAGTTAAACTCATATTCAACCACTTAATAGCCATGTTACTTTGGGCAAGTAGCCTAACTCTGTCAAGTCTCAGTTTCCTTATTTGTAAAATGGAGATAATGTCTTCACATGGGGTTTTCTGTGAGGATTTAAAATAAGTAGAACATCTAGCATAGGGCTTTGTAAATAATGTGCTCAATAAACAGAAGCACTGTCATCATCACCATCATCAAAATCATCATCCCCAAGACAGGATTTCTCAACCTTGGCACTCCTGACATTTCTGGCCAGGTACGTCTTTGTTGTATGACCTCCTCGTGCAGTTTAAGATGTTTAGCACTGTCCCTGGCCTTACCCACTAGACGCAGTAGCACTCTCTTACTTCCTCTTACTGTGACAACCAAAAATGTCTCCAGACGTTGCGGAATGTACTAGGAGTGGGGTAAAGGAGGGTAAATTGCCCTCACTTGAGAACCATGGTCCTAAGATTTACAACATAAGCTATATATTTACTAAGTTTTCAAATGAAACAGAACCTAACAATCTTCCTTTGATGATTCAGAATTTTGGATTCTTATAAGGTTATCATTAATAAGTATTATCACCAAGATGCAAAAGACATAAGAAAAAGTATATCCTATACTTCCAGAAAGTTGTCTGTAAGTCTTGATATTTTACCTTATATTTCTCTCTTTCTCATAAAAGTTATATGCAATCTATCAAAAAAAGTAACTGACTCTAAATAAAAGTAAATTCACTGTATTTTAATTAAAGTTTTATATCTTAGGTTAGTGGTGGCTTCAGAAGAATTATATCGGGAAGCAGTCACTACTTCCACTTCAGGAAAACAGGTAGAGGAGAGGATAAAGGATAAAAAACAAACAAAAAACAAACACCAAAAGTACACTTGAAAGCTATCATGTTACTACATAATCACAGATATACTGAGGGTATTAAGTGAAGGTGGCAGAGGATTGATGCTACAAAGGCCTGATAATAATCATAAGGAAGCCTAATACTCAAACATAACTAGAGTGGATTCAAGGGACATTCTCTGCTACAGATCTCCTTAAAGGATTTCCTGTTGTTCCTTTGTGAGCTGATAAAATTGTGTCCTAATTACTTACACACGCTTGAAGGTAAAACCTTGCTTGGTAAATTGTGATTTTCAAAGCTCAAAGGTGAACTTATGAATGGAGTTGGAAAAAAAAAAAAAAGAACTGGTACCAGGCACATAGCAAGAACTGCACACCCTTCCCATTTTATTTACAAACTGACAGGATGATGGAAAAGGAGACTGTGAAAAAATTGGAAAAGATAATGGGAACTTGGGAGCTGGTAGAATCTTTTGAAAGCTTTCATCTTTAGAATCAGCTATGAACAGAAGTCCTGATTCCCACAGTATGGTAAATGTTACATACCCAATAAAATCTCACAAGAGCTGGTGGGCTAATGAGCCTACCTTGTTTTTTAAGCCACCCCAGAACCCTAACAAATCATGGAGATGTTAGCCAAATTCTAGTGAAACTGTATAGATAAAAAAGCAGATAAAGAAATTATACAAAAAGGGCCCATTGGGAATGCATGTCAAATAAATTATTCTCCAAATACATGAGAAATCTATGTTCAAAAGACAAGTAATATTCTCTCAGAATTGTCTCCCTCAAGAAATTAAAATCACAGCAATATTAACTTAGTCATGGGTGCTTTGTAGGGCTAGTTTCCATTTGCATATATTCATATTTGTTGAATGAGATATATAACTTTAAAAATCATGCGTTTGAAAGTAATTTATAGCATAATTATTTTTTATCTCAGTGGTGTGAAGATAGCAGAGAATGAAAACTTGACTACAAACAAAAGACAGTAATGTGAGTGAGTGAAGCAGGCTAACATTAGAGGATGGGGAGTATATGCTCTGTCTAAGGAAAACAGCAGTTACTCAACTCCAGCTGCCTGTTGCCATGTAGGAATGCAGATCCAGGTATTGCCAATCTTCAGGTTTTTTCAAAAAGAAGTCTAAAATACAAACGTTGACACAAGCTCCCAATTTATAATAGTGGCAACTTATTCACCTTACTTAAAATACTATGTGGGTCAAACAGCCTTGCTTACAAGATAGACAATGCCCTTGGGCCAAAAGTTTGTGACCTCATGAGAAAAGCTAAAAATTATAGTTATTGACATTTGGGAAAACATTAAAAATTATAAACTAATCTAAAAAGGAAGAAAAAAAACCACATATAGACTTGATGGATTCTTCCCCTAAAATGTATTTTAAAATGTTGAAATATTTTTACATATGTAAACATAAACAACTAACCAAGCCTTGGTTAGTATATTTCAAAACAAAGGATAGTGTGGCATGTTAATAGGTACATGGCAGAACTAAGCCCCTGTGGACAAATATATTTGGATTAAACAAAGTTGAACAAGATTTTTCACTGCAGGCTTCTCAGCACTTACTACACCAGTGTAAATTTTATGAAGCTTCAGAGGGGAATATAGTATTTATGTTTATTTAACTATGAACCCGTTTTAATACAGAACACTCTCTAGAACTTCTGTGCTATGCTTTAAGGAAGTCAGGTCTAATACCAGAAAAAGTTTAATTCAGTGTTTGCACTGGGCACAAGCAAATAACTTAGGAAGAAGTAGAGTTAATATCTTTAATTTATTCTGTAGCTATATTGTATAATATGCTGTAGCTTATCAGTATAGAATTAAAATTTACATTTTGAACTGAACTAGTAAAATATGGTCCTATTACAAGGATCAATGGTTCCTTCTGGTTTAACACTGTCAATTTGAAAAAGTGTGAGATATACGCCATTTCTTTTAAGTTACAGTCATAAGACAGCACTTCTGAACTTTAATGAAGTATCCCCAAATTAGCTAAGCAATTAAGGTAATACACAAAGCTTTAAGTGTAGCAGTAAATTAAGCTACAAACTACTATAAACTACTACACTAATATCTAAAAGTTGTGAACAAAAACTAGAACCATGAGAAATTATACCAATTATACGTGTAAGCAAAGGCATGAAACAAGTAAACCATCTTCTCTCATCATTAATCATTAGATTACAACCTTTATAGCTAAGTTTTTTATAGCCTATAGTTTATATATTATATTGTGCATTTATAACCTGTAAATGACCATTTATTGTAAGGTAAATGAAAAAAATAAGATAAAAATGAAATGGCCCTTTGTTACCATAGTAAAAATAAATTTAATATAGGAATGTAAAATAAAAAAATGCCCGTTCTAAGTACTTACACAGATGCTCCTCAATTTACAATGGGGTTATGTCCTGATAAGCCCATCAAAAACTGAAAATATCATAGGTTGAAAATGTATTTAATATGTTTAACCTACTTTAAATGTGCCCAGAACACTTACATTATCCTACAGCTAGGCAAAATATAACAGAAATCATATTTTATAATAAAGTATTATCTCATGTAATTTACTGAATACTGTACTGAAGGTGAAAAAACAGAATGGTTGTATGGGTATTCGAAGTATAGATTCTACTGAATGTATATTGCTTTCACACCATCGTAAATCAAAAAATCGTGAAGTTGAACCATCATCTGTCTGTATAGCTCTGGATAGTTTTCAGGCCTGTTTATATGGCTGGCATTTAAGTACGCATGCATAGATATATTTACTCTTCAAATGTATTTCTAGTAGTACTTTTTCCAGAGGTGTAAACAATATTTAAAAACATTTCTGGATCTTCTCTTTGGAATTCTATTCTATACTAAGTTCACAATCTATATTATGAAGAAAAGAAATTGCTTTATAAAAGGAGATATCCTAATAAAATCAGTCCTCAGAGTGAAGAAATATCAAATAATCTTCGTTTATACTGGTAGTTAATTAAACAGGTACATGTATACTTTTTTTGTTGTTTTTGTTTTGAGACGGAGTCTCGCACTGTCGCCCAGTCTGGAGTGCAGTGGCACGATCTCTGCTCACTGCAAGCTCCGCCTCCCAGGTTCACACCATTCTCCTGCCTCAGCCTCCCAAGTAGCTGGGACTACAGGGGCCCGCCACCACGCCTGGCTAATTTTTTGTATTTTTAGTAGAGATGGGGTTTCACCATGTTAGCCAGGATGGTCTTGATCTCCTGACCTTGTGATCTGCCTGCCTCAGCCTCCCAAAGTGCTGGCATTACAGGCGTGAGCCACCGTACCTGGCCAGGTACATGTATACTTTTTAACATTTATCTGAATATTCTATAAACTAGTTTTGTGAATTACATGATTTAATAAAGAACCCAGTCAGAAAAATAAAGAAAAATTGGCCACAATTTATTGAATTAAAAATCTAAGAAATACTTTAAAAAAAAAAGGAAGGAAAAAATGTATTTAAAAATATTGTTCTGGCTGGGCGTGGTGGCTCATGCCTGTAATCCCAACACTTTGGGAGGCCAAGAAGGGCGGATCATGAAGTCTGGAGATCGAGACCATCCTGGCCAATATAGTGAAACCCTGTCTCTACTAAAAATACAAAAATTAGCTGGGTGTGGTGACACTAATCCCAGCTACTTGGGAGGCTGAGGCATGAGAATCGCTTGAATACAGGAGGCAGAGGTTGCAGTGAGCCGAGACTGTGCCACTGCACCCTAGCCTGGCAACAGAGTGAGACTCTGTCTCAAAAAAAAAAAAAAAAAAAAAAAAAGTAAAATTGTTCTTCTACTTACTCAGTGATACCATATAAGTTACATCATCTCTGGGCTTCCATTTTCTCATCTTTAGAAAGTAGAAAAATACCACCTACCTCACTGGCTGCTATGAGGATTACATAAGATAAACATGAAAGATAAATTTTAAAGCTCTCTACAGTATCACAATAATAGAAACAACTACTGATCTTTACTACCCAGCAAGGAAATAGCTTGACAAGAGTCAAGGCACAATGCTCTGGTATCATCTGATGTCAAACAAGAGATTCAAATGTCACAAAAGGTAATGCTTCATACTTTAATAAGTTAGTTTATTTGTTAGTATTTTTATTATATATAGGCAACTTTGTGATGTACCTTTTAAACACTGCTTTAGATACGAATATTTCCTTCTTCATTTAAAAAAGTTAAGCACCTCAAGGAAATTGGTAAAACAAAACAAACCAAAAAAACTTGGTTACTTTAGTTATGAAGAAAACAAGTATCAATGTTAAAAGTAAATGAAACTTAAAAGAGATTAGAGAGAAGAAAATAAAAAAACTAGTGAGTTCTACGAGTTAAGGTAAGAAATGTCAGTAACTAAAACATCATTACTGAGTATGCATTATTTTAAAGGGACAATATCAATATACATTCTCTGAACTAGAATACCTTCCAGTTCTTACTGAATATAGGTAAAAAATATATGTATACATACTGAAATATTACTTTTATAGATTTTTGTTTGTTTGTTTTTTAGAGGCAGGGTTTCACTATGTTGTCTAGCCTTGAGTGCAGTGGGTATTCACAGGTGCAATCATTGCTCACTGCAGCCTCGAACTCCTGGGCTCAAGCAGTTTTCCCACTTTAGTCTCCCAAGTAGTTGGCACTACAGGCATGCACCACTGCACTTGGCAAGTATTTTTAAATGAACTGTCTAAAAACTTTTTTCCAGGAAATACACACAAGTAATTTTGAATAAATTGTCCTACCAGAGAAAAAGCTTTAATTTTTATTTATTAATTTTTTTTTTTGAGACAAGTCTCACTCTGTCGCCCAGGCTGGATCGTGCAGTGGCACAATCTTAGCTCACTGCAACCTCTGTCTCCTGGGTTCAAGCAATTCTCCTGCCTCAGCCTCCCAAGTAACTGGGATTACAGGCACCAGCCACCACACCTGGCTAATTTTTATATTTTTAGTAGAGACAGGGTTTCACCACGCTGGCTAGGCTGGTCTTGAACTCCCGACCTCAAGTGATCTGCCCGCCTTGGCCTCCCAAAGTGCTGGGATTACAAGTGTGAGCCACCACGCCTGGCCAGAAAAACCTTTAATTTTATTTAAAGGTGCACTAGAATATTTTATGTGTTCTGGACAGTAAACAGATTTAGTAGCTGCAGAAATAATAGTAATGTAAGTTTATTAAAATATTCCTCTTCAATTAAAGAATTCTTATATAGTAAAACAAATTTCAGATTTTTTTTTTACCAGCCAGAAGAAACAGTACTTGACAGTGTCCTTTTATATTATCAGAAACTATGCCTAAAAGCATCATGCAGATGTAAATGCAATCTTTTACCTTCAACATCATCTGAAAAGGTAGATAAAAATAAATAAATAAAAAGTGGATGATAAAGACAATAGTTTTTTAATGTAGTAGTATACACGTAAAATAGGAGCTTAAAAATGTTTAATAAGCTACATAATCCTTTGGAAGAAGAGATCCATATGTACTTTGGTCAAATACCTCAGATATACTAAAAGAGATTTAGCATACGCTATATTTTTAGGACTACGAGACAGATTTATCATTAGAGGGTTGTAAAACAGTCCTAAAGAACTCTAAAATGTAGTTCATTGTGTCAGCTAAGAATTACATTTCATGAAGCAATAAAAGCAAAGTATCAATAACAGAACTGAAGGACATGTCTCAATGTCTATTTTTATTTTTATTTTTATTTTATTTTATTTTTGAGACAGAGTCTCCCTCTGTCGCCCAGGCTGGAGTACAATGGTGCGATCTCCGCTCACTGCAACCTCCGCCTCCCGGGTTCAAGCAATTCTACTGCCTCAGCCTCCTGAGTAGCTGGGATTACAGGTGTGCACCACCACGCCCGGCTAATTTTGGTATTTTTAGTAGAGATGGGGTTTCACCATGTTGGTGAGACTGGTCTCGAACTCCTGACCTCAGGTGATCCACCCACCTTGGCCTCCCAAAGTGCTGGAATTACAGGCGTGAGCCACCATGTCTGGTCTATTTTTTTTTTTTTTTTTAAGACAGAGTCTTGTTCTGTTGCCCAGGCTGGAGAGTGCAGTGGCACAATCTTGGCTCACTGCAACCTCTGCCTCCCAGGTTCAAGTGATTCTCCTGCCTCAGTCTCTCAAGTAGCTGAGATTACAGGTGTGCAACACCATGGCTGGCTAATTTTTGTGTTTTTAGTAGAGACGGGGTTTCTCCAGGTTGGCCAGGCTGGTCTTGAACTCCTGACCTCAGGTGACCTGCCTGTCTCGGTGTCCCGAAGTACTGGGATTACAGGCGTGAGCCACCGTGCCCAGCCAATGTCTACTTTCTTTCTTTTCTTTTTTTTTTTGAGACAGAGTCTCACTCTGGTGCCCAGGCTGAAGTGCAATGGCACAATCTCGGCTCACTCCAACCTGTACCTCCTGGGTTCAAGCAGTTCTCCTGCCTCAGCTTCCTGAGTAGTTGGGATTACAGGTGTGTGCGACCACGCCCAGCTAATTTTTGTATTTTTAGTAAAGACAAGGTTTCACCATGTTGGCCAGGCTGGTCTCGAACTCCTGACCTCAAGTGATCCACCCGCCTCGGCCTCCCAAAGTGCTGGGATTACAGGCGCGAGCCACCGCGCCCAGCCCAATGTCTACTTTTTAACTGACTCTTTCAGGATGACTAAATTTTCAGAAAAAAAAAAAAAAAAAAGGTCCTTAATAAAAGTGATTCTATTACTGTTTATCCAAAGGATCATTTTTGGATGCTAAATTAAAGAGCCTAAAAACACAAAGAAAAATGCAACAGGTGGGCTCTAAACATGATTATAAATTTATTAAAAAAAAACCTCCTAACTAAAAAATATTGTTGCTACACATTTTTTTTAAGAACAGAAAAAATTATCCCAGCAAATTAACTGGAAAAAGAGCTAAATTTTTAATCTGAAACAACTAAGGGGGATAAAAGGAAAGAAAAGAATGTCATTTTTAAAAATGTATTTGAACAACTGCGTTGCATCTAATTTTCTCATTGTAGAAATAACTAGGGAAAATAAGTATCTTTTTCTTCAAAGTATATTCTTGTGTGTATTGTATCTATGTATTGTCACGTGACTGACAACCTCTTTTTCCATGGGTACCAAATTACATTTACTAAATATTTTTCACCCTTAAGAAATTAATAAAGTTAAGCTATAGGATAGATATCATGGAGAAATTTGTTTAAAAAATTTTTTTTAAATGAGATGGGGTCTCACTTATGTTGCCCAGGCTGCTCTTGAACTCCTAGGTTCAAGCAATCCTTCCACCCCAGCCTCCCAAAGTGCTGGGATTGCAGACATGAGCCATAACACCCAGCCAAAATAAAAGTTTTTTAAAAAGGATATTTATGTCTAAGAAATTGTGACTATGCAACATGATCCAGTTTCAGATGTTCTCAATACTAGTATTCTGTGAAGTTAATATTGACATATATTCCTGCTCTACTTTTAATTTTAATAAAATATGAGCAAGGTCAGTATGTATCTATACTTCTTTATTATTTGTCTACTCAGAATTTTGAGAGATCATATAACTTCAGTCTAAATTAGATTTATAAAATGTATGAATATATCCACTGTTCTGACTTTACAGAATAATGAAAAATCTACTACGTCCTACTGTAACAGCCAATTTGATATGACAAATACACTCTTCAACAGAATTGTGAAATGTTACTGCGAATGTTTTGCAACATATAGAACAAAATGTATACAGGACAAAATGTATACAGACTTCCAATCAAGCTTCACACAGTGACAATAAATAAGACAGATAACTTTATGTTAAGTGTGCAAATATTTTAAAACAAAAAAGAAAATGAATGTGCCAAAGAAATGTGTGGATTTCAAACCGATTTATAGCAATGTTCACCAAACAGACAAAATGTAAAGAAAAAAAATCTAAATTTAAAAAATTGTTGCACTTTATAAATTAACATAAGTCCTATGTAAAAAGTTTAAGTATTTATTAGGAAAAACTCTCTAATTTTATATTGCTCACTAGATAATAATATAAATTTTCAATCAATAGCCATAAATAATTATTTAATCCAGAACTGGCTAATATGCATACTGCCTAACTAAAACCAAACACAAGCGGGCAAAAATATTAGTTAAAAAGAAGGATCTTATTCCATCTCACTATAATGTTCTGACTTACACACAAAGCAATCATCCTAAAGACACTTTTCTAGATCTAAGCCTATGTGTTTATTAAATTTTTTAATGAAAAAAGTAAAAAAACTTATACATTTATAAAACAAGTCCAACTTTAAAACCAGCAAAATTAGCACAACCCAGTTGGTTTTAAGTACAGAAAACACAGTAAAAATAACTGGAAACTTACCTACTTCTTCTTCTTCTTCATTAGATATTATATTATATAGTGTGTCCAAAGCATAACCTATTATTTCAGAATCTGAACTGGAAAAAAGAAATTATTACACTTATACACTGCTGATGAGAGTATAAACTGTTATGACCATTTTTAGTTATTTAGCAATTTTAGAAAATTCCATTTCTAAAGGCATACTCTAAGAAAATATCAGAGTGCAAACTGTAAAAAATGTGTAGTTTTATTTCTAATTGTGAAAATTTAGAAGCAACCTAAATGCTCAATAATAAAAAAACACAGTATGGCAAATTCATACATATAAGGCGGCAATTTAAAAAATGTATTTTGTTTTTTTACTTTGAATCCTGAGAAGCTAAAAAATGTATTTCCGAAGAATATTTAGTGACATGATAATTTTAAAAATTCTTGATATAATAGCAAGTGGAAAAATATAAAAATTTATGCACAGTTATTCCATTTAGTAAAATATATATGTATACGTTTGTATCTATGCATATTTTAAAACATTATAAATTTACAAAATAAGTACAACTTTAAAACCAGCAAAACTAGCATGACTCAGTTAATTTTATGTGTGTCTGTGTATGTTTACATATGTATATATATGTATACATATATAAAAATCTAACTGTTCATATCTAGAGGAACGAAGTAGACTTAAAAATATAAAGAAAAGTAACTGTTATCTCTAGTTCAACTACTAGAGTGTTTTTCTTCTTTATATATTATTTTCTTAAAAAAAAATCTTATGGTGCCCGGTGCGGTTGCTCACGCCTGTAATCCCAGCACTTTGGGAGGCTGAGGCAGGTGGATCACCTGAAGTTGGGAGTTCGAGACCAGCCTGACCAAAAGTAGAGACGGAGAAACCCCGTCTCTATTAAAAATACAAAATTAGCCGGGCGTGGTGGTGCATGCCTGTAACCCCAGCTGCTCAGGAGGCTGAGGCAGGAGAATCGCTTGAACCTGGGAGGCAGAGGTTGCAGTGAGCCGAGATTGTGCCACTGCACTCTAGCCTGGGCAACAAGAGCAAAACTCCGTCTCAAAAAAAAAAAAAAAATTATTATGAAAGACAATAAAGACCACTTTACATAAGAGATGCATTCTATTTTCCATATTGAGATGTTAATCATTTCATCATTAACTTTATAAGACTCAGTAATAAAATATGCGTGTGATTTAACACTCATAGAATAAAGAAGATTATAAGTATGTATAATCATCACACTAATCTGCTTCTTTTTTCCTGCTCTTCTAAAGGCCACCCACATTCTCTGGCTCACGGCTCCTTCTCTCCATTTTCAAAGCCACCAAGAGCAGGTTGAGTCCTTTTTTTCTATCACTACACTCTGACTTCCTCTTCTGCGTTCCTGTTCTACTTCTTTTTTTTTTTTTTTTGAGACGGAGTCTTGTTCTGTCACCCAGGCTGGAGTGCAGTGGCGCGATCTTGACTCACTGCAAGCTCCCCCTCCTGGGTTCTTGCCATTCTCCTGCCTCAGCCTCCTGAGTAGCTGGGACTACAGGCGCCCGCCACCACTCCCGGCTAATTTTTTGTATTTTTAGTAGAGATGGGGTTTCACCGTGTTAGCCAGGATGGTCTCGATCTCCTGACCTTGGGATTCGCTCACCTCGGCTTCCCAAAGTGCTGGGATTACAGGCATGAGCCACCGTGCCCAGCCTTTTCCTGTTCTACTTCTAAGGACCCTGTGATAACACTGGGTCCACCAGGGTCAAAGTCCTTAACTTAAGCATATCTGGAAAGTCTCTCTCACTATCTAAGGTAAAATTCACAGGTTTTGTTGATTAGGATATAGATATCTTTGGGAGGCCATAATTCTGTCTACCACAGTTACCTACTGTGATGTTAATAACACAGACAGTCCTGATGCATCCAATTCGCTTATTCAAATGCATTAGACTTAGTGGCTTTGAAAAGGTAGTCAATTTGAGTTACACTGTCTGGGGAGAAGAAAAAAGGTCCTAACTGTTATGGACAAGCAGCTGGGCATAACTGAAATATAACTGAAAACGAGTCTACGAGATTAGACAGGCAGTACACAGATCTTTAAAAAGCTTGTATCTTTAGCTTTGTTTGAGAAACATGAACTTCACACTTCACTGAACTGGTGAAATGCATTAAATGAGAGAATGACTGAAGATACGCATTTCAGAAGGATAATTCTTGCAACATATAGACTGAATGGAAATACAAAGAGACTGGAGGAAAATAATACTTTGGAGATGACGATTGTTTTAAACTATGTCCAAAACTTTTCGATTCATCTCTTTTCAAAAAAGTGAAGCCTAATTCTCCTCTCCTTAAGTATAGGCTGTACTTATTAACCTGCTTCTAACAACTAGAATATGATGGGATTGCCAGTACATGACTCTGGAGATTGAGTTATAAAAGGCACTGTGGCTTTCTATTTTTCTCTCTCTAGGATAGTTTGCTCTGGGAGAGCAGTTGCCATATCAAACAGCCTTACCAAGAGAGAAACATGTTGAGGAACTGAGGCCTCTTGCCAATAGCAATGTAAGACATCTTGGAATCAGATCCTCCAGCCCCAGTCAAGCCTTCAGATGACTGCAGACCTGGCTGATGGCTTCATGGCAACCTCATGAGAGACCCTGAGCCCACTTAGCTAAGTTGATCCTCAATTCCTGATCCACAGAAACTATGAGGTGATAAATATTTTATTTTGAACCACTAAGTTTTGAAGTAATTTGTTACACGGCCAAAGATAACAAACACAGAGGCTGTGGAAATTATTTAAGTGATTGACACTGAGCCAGAACTAAGGCCAAAAAAGGAAACGGAAAGAAAATAATGGACTCTAGCTGTTTTTTGGCCTGTGTAGGCATGATGGGTTCAGGAGAGGAATGAGTTCCCTAAGAATCCTCCAGTTTCTCGCTTGAATGGAAAGATGCTCATGACTGAGATGAACTTAGGGTAAAAGTGGTCGAAGGGGGCATGGAAAGCCTAGAAGGATTGGAGGACCAGAGATAAATTAACTTTGAACATTTTGAATTTGAGAGGCTTATGAGAGATCTTGGTAGAGTAGAAATGTACAATGCACAGCTAAAGCTTGTAAGACACATTCAACTGTAGCTAAGATCTGGAAGCTATCCATGCACAGTTAATGAAAACCAAAGATGGAGATAAAATCTCTTAAAAAGAAATTGAGGGCCAGGTGTGGTGGCTCACACCTGTAATCCCAGCACTTTGGGAGGCTGAGGTGGGCGGATCACCTGAGTTCAGGAGTTCGAGACCAGCCTGATCAACATGGAGAAACCCCATCTCTATTAAACATACAAAATTAGCCAGGCATGGTGGCGCATGCCTGTAATCCCAGGTACTCGGGAGGCTGAGGCAGGAGAAATCACTTGAACCCAGGAGGCAGAGGCTGCAGTGAGCCTAGACTGCAACATTGTACTCCAGCCTGGGCAATGAGAGCGAAACTCTATCTGAAAAAAAAAAAAAGGCTGGGCGCGGTGGCTCACGCCTGTAATCCCAGCACTTTGGGAGGCCAAGGCAGGTGGATCACGAGATCAGGAGATCGAGACCATCCTGGCTAACATGGTAAAACCCCGTCTCTACTAAAAATACAAAAAATTAGCCAGGTGTGGTGGTGGGCACCTGTAACAGGTACCAGCTACTTGGGAGGCTGAGGCAGGAGAATGGCATAAACTCGGGAGGCGGAGCTTGCAGTGAGCTGAGATCATGCCACTGCACTCCAGCCTGGGCGACAGAGCGAGACTTAATCTCAAAAAAAAAAAAAAAAAAAAATTGAAAGAGCTAAAAATGGGCTAAATGATGCTTCTTTTTCTTTAAATTTATATTTATTTTGTCAAGACAAGGTCTCACTCTGCTGCCCAGGTTGGAATACAGTGGTATGATCACGGCTCACTGCAGCCTTGACTTCCTGGGCTCGAGTGATCCTCCCACCTCAGCCTCCCGAGAAGCTGGGACCACAGGTATGTGACAACACACCCAGCTAATTTTTATTTTATTATTTATCTTTTTTGTTTTTTTGAGACAGAGTCTTGCTCTGTTGCCCAGGCTGAAGTGCAGTTGGACGATCTTGGTTAACTGTAATCTCCATCTCCTGGGTTCAAGTGATTTCTCCCACCTCAGACTCCCAAGTAGCTGGGATTACAGGCATGCACCACCAGGCCTGGCTAATTTTTGTTATTTTTAGTAGAGACCGGGTTTCACCATTTGACCAGGCTGGTCTCGAACTCCTGACCTCAAGTAATCCACCTGCCTCGGCTTCCCAAAGTGCTGGGATTACAGGCATGAGACACCATGCCTGGCCTAATTTTTATTTTTTATGTTGCCCAGGCTAGTATCGAACTCCTGGGCTCAAGCAATCCTCCCACCTCAGCCTTCCAAGGTGCTGGAATTACAAGCTTGAGCCACCATATCTGGCAATCTTTCTCTTACGACAGGCTCATATTTAACACTTAACTCTTATTACTGCAGTTTATTTCTCTTAAAAAAGCAAGTCTGAATACCAAAATATGTATATTATATGTAAATGAATATCTACTTGCCCAGTGTAAATGAATACCACTTGCCCAATTCAAACTCAAAATCTCAAGGCATTAAAGAGTTGCTTTATCCCATTTTTATATGTCTGTTTTATGCTTAACACAGTGGCTCGCACTCTGTCCAATAAATCTTTATCGAAATGACATCTGAAGTAAAAACTTAACAGCTTTAGTATGTCAACAACTTTTAGGGCCAGGCGCAGTGGCTCACACCTGCAATCCCAGCACTTTGGGAGGCCGAGGTGGGCAGATCGCCTGAGCCCAGGAGTTCGAGACCAGCGTGGGCAACATGGCAAACCCCATCTCTACCAAAAAATACCAAAAAAAAAGCAATCTTTTGGAATAGTGATGCTGACTCTAAAACAAAAGTTCAAGAAAAATTAGGGAAAAAAATCATTAAACAGAGACTTACCGATCTGTTTGTAAAACATGAATAAGATGTTCCATAGCTTGTATACCCACTTCCAAGCGGTATTTCTGCACATAAAAAATAAAAATGTTACTAAAGTAACTAATATCCAACTTAAGAAACTTAAAACATTTACAAAGTTACAAACCTTAGATAATGATTTGAGAGCACGAACAGCATTTCTTCGATCATCCAATAAAGTAGATGAAGCTACTCTGTCACAAAGCTTTTGAATCTGTCATGAAAAAATAAAATGGCATTAAAAGAATAAAAAAAACCGTGAAATTTTTGTCCCCTAAATTTATGCCATGTAATTAAAAAAAAAATCAGCACATGGGATGTAACAGAAATGGTCTTTCAGAAATCTAACTATGCATTTAGGTAGTATTATAATCTCATTACAGAGATCAAATAGTTTTGCAGAGACTTAAAAAGTGGGAGGGGCTGAAAGAGAAGTCAAAATAAATCATATAAATTGAGGAATTAAAAGAAATAATTGGTAAAATCAGAGCTTTCTAATTAGGCCTATTATGACTGTTTGAACCAGGAGGGGAGCATAATCCAATATGGTTATGATAGAAGACAGAAAGTTATTTAAAATTTTTAAAATAGTAATTGTTTACATCATCTTTTTCCTAACATTTTCATCATATATCTGAACAAGAAGAAGTCAAAACTTTATATCAAAACTTTTAAGTGTGCCTCAAAATATACAAGGATGAAACGCTTCATTATAAAATAATTTATAGAAACCAAAAAAAAAATTTTTTTTTTTGAGACGAAGTCTCGCTCTTGTCCCCCAGGCTGGAGTGCGACAATGCGATCTCGGCTCACTGCAACCTCCGCCTCCTGGGTTCAAGTGATTCTACTGCCTCGGCCCCCCTGAAAAGATGGGATTACAGGCACCTGCCACCATGCCTGGCTAATTTTAGTATTTTTAGTAGAGACAGGGTTTCACCATATTGGCCAAGCTCATCTAGAGCTCCTGACTTCAGGTGATCCACCCGCCTCGGCCTCCCAAAGTGCTGGGATTACAGGCATGAGCCACTGCGCCCGGCCAAAACCAAAATTTAAACTGAATTTTAAAACGAATCTTGGCCGGGCTCAGTGGCTCATGCCTGTAATCCCAGCACTTTGGGAGGCCGAGGCGGGTGGATCACCTGAAGTCAGGAGCTCTAGATGAGCTTGGCCAATATGGTGAAACCCTGTCTCTACTAAAAATACTAAAATTAGCCGGGCATGGTGGCACGTGTCTGTAGTCCCAGCTACTTGGGAGGCTGAGGCAGAAGAATTGCTTGAACCTGGCAGGCGGAGGTTGCAGTGAGCCGAGATTGCACCACTGCACTCCAGCCTGAGTGACAGAGTGAGGTTCCGTTTCAAATAAATAAATAAATAAAAATAAAATAAAATAAAATAAAATAATTTATAGAAACCAAACTTTCAACTGAATTTTAAAACAAATCTTGGAACATTATTAATAATAGGAAAAAACAGATAACAACTTAACTATCCAATATGAGAAGAAAGCTAAACAATTGTAATACATTCTTTGATGGAACGCCATGTAGGTATTCAAAAGAATTAACTACTGATATGAAAATACCATGGTATAATAATGAGATGAAAAAAAGCAAGTTATAAAACTAAATTTAAACTACGGATTCAGTAAAGCAAAAGTATCAGACTGTGCATATAAAATTACATTAAAAAAGAATTTGGAAACCTAAAACTGTAAAACTTCTAGAAGAAAGCATACGAGAAAATCCTCGTGACCTCTGTTTAGGCGAAGACTTCTCAGATGCCACATTCATAAAAGAAAAATGTAGAATGGGCACGGTGGCTCACACCTGTAATCTCAGCACTTTGGGAGGTCGAGGTGGGTGGATCACAAAGTCAAGAGATCGAGACCATCCTGGCCAACATGGTGAAACCCTGTCTCTACTAAAAATACAAAAATTAGCTGGGTGAGGTGGTGCGCACCTATAGTCCCCAGCTACTCGGGAAGCTGAGGCAGGAGAATCGCTTGAACCCGGGAGGCAGAGGTTGCAGCGAGCTAAGATCGCACCACTACACTCCAGCCTGTTGACAGAGCGAGACCCTGTCTCAAAAATAAATAAATAAAAATTAAAAAAAGAAAAATGTAATAAATTAGATTTCATCACTTTTTTTTTAGATGGGGTCTTGCTCTATCTCCTAGGTTGAAGTGCAGTGGTGCAATCATGGCTCCCTGTAGCCACAACCTCCTGTCCTCAAGCAATCCTCCCACCTCAGCCTCTCGAGTAGCTGGGCCCACAGGCACACAACCACAACTACATCTGGCTAATTTTCTTGTAATTTTTAGAGACAGGGTCTAACTATATTGCTCAGTCTGCTCTCAAACTCCTGGGCTCAAGTGATTCTCCCACGTTGGCCTCCCAAAGTGCTGGGATTACAGGTGTGAGCCACTGCACCCAACCCCACTTCTGCTGTTCGAAAGACACTATGAAGAGACTGAAAAGGTAAACCACAGACTGGGTGAAAATATTTGGAAAACATCTGATGAAGAACATAGTTTAGGCCGGGCGTGGTGGCTCACGCCTATAATCCTAGCACTTTGGGAGGCTGAGGTGGGTGGATCACGAGGTCAGGAGATCGAGACCATGCTGGCTAACATGATGAAACCCTGTCTCTACTAAAAATGCAATAAAAATTAGCTGGGCCTGGTGACGGGTGCCTGTAGTCCCAGCTACTCAGGAGGCTGAGGCAGGAGAATGGCATGAACCTAGAGGCGGAGCTTGCAGTGAGCCGAGATCGCACCACTGCACTCCAGCCTGGGCGACAGTGCAAGACTCCGTCTCGGGAGAAAAAAAAAAAAAAGAACATAGTTTAAAAAACACTTGGGTCCTTTCTAGCTCGGCCAATTAGTATTTTAACTTTTTTTTTTTCAAGACTATCATTAAAAAAGCAAGTATTTTAACTTACTAAAGAATGTACTTTAGGCCAGGAGTTTGAGACCAGCCTGGGCAACATAGTGAGACCATGTCTCTACAAAAAATAAAATTAGCTAGGTATGATGGTGTGAGCCTGTAGTCATAGCTACTCAGCAGGCTAAGGCAGGTGGATCACTTGAACTCAGAAGTTAAGAGGTTGCAGCAAGCTATGATCACGCCACTGCACTCCAGCCTGAGCAACAGAGTGAGACCTTGTTTCTCCATTAAAAAAAACAAAAAGAAAGTATAAGTTTATTATATTCTTTAAAGATTCTGTACATTAAGATTTTGGCAATGCAAATGTTTGCACCCTACGTATCTGAATTAATGGTGTTCAAATACATATAGCATTTCCCAAATTATGTTTTGCAGACTTCTAGTGTCCCAGAAGATATTAATAGATTCCCTACGATCACAGAACAAGTGGGAAACACAAGGTTATACGAAATTAACTCGGTTTGTGCATTGCATGATTTCTAGGAGTCTTTACAATTGCTGATTTGCATTTCTTCATATAGCAGATATAGCAGGATAACCAAGCCTAGCTTTACATTCTTTCTTTATTCATTCTAACTGTTCACATTTAAAAATCATTCATGGAAATGATATAATTTTCTCTTTATTATATAACTGGTTGACACTTTTCCTAATATATACATATATATACACATATATGTATATATATATTTTTTTTACTACTTAGAAAAACTACTTAGTTATCTCTTAAAAACATGAACCTCATTACTCTCAGCTTAAAGAATTTATTGAGTCAAAATAGTTTTCCAAAGCAAGACTGCAATTGCCTTTACTTAGGACTTGTACATCTTTTGCTCATTTTTTTAAGGTAGCTTATAGTTGATACTATGAATGGTAAATTTTTTTTCCAGGCGTTTTCTGCTTCTTCTTAGTCTTAGACCTCAAGTACTGGTTCTAGATCTGGGATTCTTATCTACCTTGAGGTACTTAGTCCCAGTACCATGCAGGGCTTGAATCTAGCCTCAACCTTACCTTTGGTTGGTGTATAGAGCTACTTGTCTCAAAATATAAATTTCCATGTCTGGATGCTCTTCAATCATTACTTGCTAAACGCAGAAATATAAAAGCTGTTCAATGTTGGTAGAGAAACTTAGCTTTAGAAATACTGGAGGATGGCCAGGCGCGGTGGCTCATGCCTGTAATCCCAGCACTTTGGGAGGCTGAGAGGGGTGGATTGCCTGAGCTCAGGAGTTCAAGACCAGTGTAGGCAATGTGGCAAAACCCCGTCCCTACTAAACTACAACAAATTAGCCAGGCATGGTCATGCACGCCTGTAGTCTCAGCTGTTCAGAAGGCCGAGGCACAAGAATTGCTTGAGCCTGGGAGGTGGAGGTTGCAGTGAGCCAAAGTGACACCACTGCACTCCAGCCTGTAAAAAAAAAAAAAAAAAAGAAATACCAGCTGGGCACGATGGCTCACGCCTGTAATCCCAGCACTTTGGGAGGCTGAAGGGGGCGGATCACCTGAGGTCAGGAGTTCGAGACCAGCCTCAACACAGAGAAACCCCGTCTCTACTGAAAATACAAAATTAGCTGGGCGTGGTGATACATGCCTGTAATTCCAGCTGCTCAGGAGGCTGAGGCAGGAGAACTGCTTGAACCCAGGAGGCGGAGGTTGCGGTGAGCCGAGATCGCACCATTGCACTCTAGCCTGGGCAACAAGAGTGAAACTCTGTCTCAAAAAAAAAAAAAAAAAAAAAAAAGGCCAGGTGAGGTGGCTCAGCACTCTGGGAGGCCGAGGTGGGCGGATCAGGAGGTCAGGAGATCGAGACCATCTTGGTTAACACAGTGAAACCCCATCTCTACTAAAAAAAAAAATACAAAAAATTAGCTGGGTATGGTGGTGGACATCTGTAGTCCCAGCTACTCAGGACGCTGAGGCAGGAGAATGGCATGAACCCAGGAGGCGGAGCTTGCAGTGAGCCAAGATTGCGCCACTGCACTCCAGCCTGGGCCACAGAGCGAGACTCCATCTCAAAAAAAAAAAAAAAAAAAAAAAAAGTCAAAGGTGAATATAAGAACAACTTATGGCTGAGAATGGCAGCTCACACTTGTAATCCTAACACTTTGGGATACTGAAGTGGGAGGAATGCTTGAGGCTAGGAACTCAAGCCCAGCCTGGGCAACATAGTGAGATCCCATCTCTACAGAAAATAAAAAAATTAAGTGGGCGTGGTGGTATGTTTGTAGTCCTAGCTACTCCAGAGGCTGAGGTAGGAGGACTGCTTGAGCAGTCCGAGGCTACAGTGAGTGTGGCTGTGGATGCGTCACTGTACTTCAGCCTGGATGACAGAGCAAGACCCTGCCTCAAAATATAATAATAATTTTAAAAAGAACAACTTATTTACCTAGCACCATTAGACTGAGCTCTTTCAGATACCTCTGTCAAGCACCAAAATGGCCTTTTCATTTTAATGATTTCTGATGGTGATCTAAAATTAGTTACATGCTTCTCTATCTTCATAAACAAAGAAGAATGTAATTATGAGCTTTCTTAGCATATAAACCTAAATCCTCCCCTATATGATATAGAGGATGTCTTAGATATTAAATGAAATAATACATATAAAAGCTTTATATAATACCTGGCACCTATGAATCTTCAATAAATGTTAGCAAATTTTATTATTACCAAGCTTATGACTTCTTTGTATTTTTCTTCCTTGTATTATTCTTCTATCCTATCAGGCTTTTGGCTATCATTTCCATCATATATACCTTTAATGGACCATTCAAATATTGCAGATTTAAATTTGCTACTGAGCGAGGTACTAAATAATTAAGTTGAATAGTAATATGTCTATACCCCAAAATTACTCAAGCTTGAAATCAAGATTGAGAACACGGACTATGCAACTTATACTTTTGCTACCTTGAGGCCTTATTACCTCCTAACAATATTCCAGATAGTTGAAGTTTCTGAAAAAGTGATCTCTCTATAAGAAAGCATTATGTTTGCTATTTACAGACAACTGAAGCCAAATGAAAGGAAAACATATTACTTATGTTCCAAACCCTACAAAGACCTAGTCATGTTTTAGTCTATACACAAGTCTATATTTTTCTGTTGATATTTACCAAACAAAAATTCTGTACAAAAGTACGCTTAGTTTCTACTCAGAAATTGTAGATCTCAAAACTATTATTCCATTTATTTCCTACTTGAAAAACCAACTCAGTGCAGTATAATTGTGCCACATTGTCCATTCTATCCTTCTTCCTTTCAGTTACTAGACGTCTCTGTGCTTTAGCTGGGCACATGACTGTCCACCTATATCCTATTTTCAGGCTTTCCTTGCAGCTAGGCATGGACAGAAACTATAATACATTCTGGCCAATGAGTTGTGAGTATCTTTAAGTTCACGTCCCTAAAGGAAGCTACTTGTTCTTCATTGCTCTTTCTCCTTCCCTTGGCCTAGAACTTAGGCTGGTGGTTATTAGGTGCCTTTAACAATTCAAACTACAGCAAGAGGGAGGGGACAGGAAGATGGCAGAATAAGATAAAAAGCAGGACCTGGTCCCCTGGACCACCTAAGGAACAGAACTACATACCGTAGGGATTATCTACTAGCTTGGACTTTTATCAGACAAAGACATAAATTTTTATCTTGGTTAGACTTCTGTTTCCTGGCCTGTGTTACAGCGGCTGAAACAATGCCCAAACTAATAAACTGTTTTTTTCGTTTTTTTTTTATTTTTTATTTGACACGGAGTCTCACTCTGTCGCCTAGGCTGGAGTGCAGTGGTACAATTTCAGCTCACTGCAACCTCTGCCTCCTGGATTCAAGCGATTCTCTCACCTCAGCCTCCTGAGTAGTTGGGATTACAAACATGTGCCACTACGTCCGGCTAATTTTTGTAATTTTAGTAGAAACGGGGTTTCACCCTGTTGGCCAGGCTGGTCTTGAACTCCTGACCTCAGGTGATCCACCAACCTCAGCCTCCCAAAGTGCTGGAATTACAGGTGTGAGCCACTGCGCCTGGCTACAAACTAATAAACTCTTTATAAGGAAGAAATGAAGGCTCAGAAACATAGCAGTGCACCCCAAAATACACTACCAGTTTGGGAGCAGAGTCTAGATCCTAACCGAGCTATAGATGTATCACTCCAAAGTCCATACTCTTTCTCCTATGTAGAGAAATATGAGTCAGAGTATCTGTTGCGAACTACAGGGACTGCAAGAATTTTTTTTTAGTAACAAAGGAACATAGTAATACAGTCCCTGTGAATAGCTCCACTTGCACAACTGTCTACTAAACACCCTGACAAGCCTTTGACTAAACTGCCCAGCCAGGGCAGTTCCTTGTTCTAAGGAAATGAAAGCCTCAATTTGGGAAAGTTATAATCAGAAGCTACTAACTGAAAAATATCAGTACTATATATATATATAAAAAAGAAAGATTCCAAGGATTAATATACTCACTTTTAAGAATTAAACTAGCTGAGATAATAAGGACAAGGTGGAGTGGGGAGATTAAAGATAGAAAGAACAGGGCAGCTCATTACTATAACAGATAAAATAAGGTCAAAGAAGGCATTAATGTGATGGCAGTGGGCAAAGATTTGAAGGGATAAGGGAGAAGGTAAGGGAATAACGGAAAGACCTAAATTTAAGAGGCTTGGGGTCCTAAAAAATAAGACATCTGGAACAGTCACTGTTTGGAATTCAACTTCTAGAAATTTGTTTTAGAGCAATATATGCACATGTACCATCACAAGTACAGTAACAAATACTGCAGCAATAGAAAACAAAACACATCGGAAGTATCTTAATGTCCATTCATGGGGGCCTTTTACTTTTCATTTTATACACTTACACAGCATTTATTTAAACAATCATGTATTCAGATATTACTTTTATAATAAAAAACAAAAAGGATAGGGGCTGGGCGCGGTGGCTTACGCCTCTAATCCCAGCACTTTGGGAGGCCAAGGCAGGCAGATCACCTGAGGTCAGGAGTTCAAGACCAGCCTGCCCAAAATGGTGAAACCTTGTCTCTACTAAAAATACAAAAAAGAGCTGGGTGTGATGGTGGGTGCCTGTAATCTCAGCTACTCGGGAGTCTGAGGCACGAGAACTGCTTGAACCTGAGAGGCGGAGGTTGCAGTGAGCCAAGATCACACCACTGCACTCTGGCCTGGGCGACAGAGTGAGACTCCGTCTCAAAATAATAATTATTATAGAATCAAAAAACAGCAGTGAATAAGCCAGCTGAAGTCTGATATCATGAATGAGCCATCATCCTTCCGTATCTCAGTATATACTCTGGGGTTTAGGAAAGTTAAAGGTCAAAGGAATAATACAGTCTGAAGAATTTATTGTGGTAACCCTGAGGCTGGTAATCCATTCATTTGTTCAACAAATACTAGAGTGCTGCCACACTTATGGGGGGGCCAAGAACAGTGCAACCTGAAGCAGTGGTTTATAATAAACTAACTTCAGAAATAGAGACTAAGCATTTAGAAACCTCTATAGACAATGGATACTTTTATGGCTGTTGGATCTAATAAAAAAAAGAAAAACAGGGGCGAGGCACAGTGGCTCATGCCTGTAATCCCAGCACTTTGGGAGGCCATGGCGGGCGGATCATGAGGTCAGGAGATCCAGACTATCCTGGCTAACACGGTGAAACCCCATCTCTACTAAAAATACAAAAAATTAGCCGGCCGTGGTGGCGGGCGCCTGTAGTCCCAGCTACTTGGGAGGCTGAGGCAGGAGAATGGCGTGAATCCAGGAGGCGGAGCTTGCAGTGAGCCAAGATCGCGCCACTGCACTCCAGCCTAGGTGACAGAGCGAGACTCTGTCTCAAAAAAAAGGGCTTGTATGTGATGTCATTTTTTCTAGTAATTGATTTTTATTGTATTTTATAACAAAATGTATTTACTGGCCTATGATGAAATTTGAAAAACAAACTAAAAAATCAACTGGTCCTTCACTACAGACAGTCTGGGAAACACCGTTCAAGTACTTAACATTTTGCAAGGCACTGGTCTACGCTGGGAAAATAGCAGAGAACCAGTACAGAAGGTACCTATTCTAATGAAACTATAATGGCAAAGAGACAGAATATATTAAAAACAAGTAAGACAAACACAGAAAGTGAGGGAAGTGAGACCGTGACTGAGTGAAGGTGCTACTTTGGACAGCACAGCCAGGCAGAGGGGCCTTAGAGAAACACAATTTTGGATACAGATGGAAGTGTGAGTAAGGGTAACAAGAATGAAGCAAAAAGAAGAGTAGGAAAACCGACTCAATGAGTATGTTACCATCAGAAGGAAAAACAATTTAATTGTACAGTTAAAAGATAACACTTATTCGGCCAGGCATGGTGGCTCACGCTTGTAATCCCAGCACTTTGGGAGGCCGACACGGGTGGATCACGAGGTCAGGAGATCGTGACCATCCTGGCTAACACGGTGAAACCCTGTCTCTACTAAAAATACAAGAAAATTAGCCAGGCATGGTGGTGGGTGCCTGTAGTCCCAGCCACTCGGGAGGCTGAGGCAGGAGAATGGCTTGAACCCGGGAGGTGGAGCCTGCAGTGAGCCGAGATCGTGCCACTGCACTCCAGCCTGGGCAACTGAGCGAGACTCTGTCTCAAAAAAAAAAAAAAAAAGATATGCTTATTCACTTTCCCAGATGGGATCCTGAAGCAGGCTTTGTTGCTGGAACCTCATTCTCTTGGAAACCGACCAAAGAAGACGATTAGTAGTTTTAAGCAAAATTCATAAACTCACTGGTCATCTGAAGTCACAAACTCTTATCTTAGTTCTCAACACTCTCATCTACATGATAGGAAAGTTGGGAAGGATGTAAAACATTTAGATATCAGATTTTAATGTAATCTAGCACCTTATCAATTAGTGATCAAAAGAGGGAGTTACAACACAGAAGAAATTGATCCACTCTATTTTCATGAGAAAGTCAGAAATGTTTGCCCCTAGGCCTTTTAACAAAGTATTTCTTATCTCAGCATACTACCAAGGCACACATTTCAACCATTCTGTACTTGAAACAAGTAACTTTTCCAAAATTTCACCATCTGAATAACACATATGTAAATACAGTGAAGATAGGTAAGATTACAGAATAGAAAAGTGTTAACAAGAAACAAATGCCTCAGCCTATTTGTTTGAAACAAATCTCCAAAACCCACTGTTAAAAATTTTAAAATACGCATGGCCTACGTAACGACATTCAAGTCAACAATGGACCACTGCACAGACGTCCCATATGATGATAATGGAAATGCAAAATTCCTATCACCTACCGATGTCCTAGCCTTAGCACAACACATTACTCATGTGTTTGTGGTGATGCTGGTGTAAACAAACCCACTGCACTGCCAGGCTTATGAAAGTATGGCACAGACAATTGTGTACAGTACATAATACTTGATAACAGTAACAAATGACTGTTACTTGTTTATGTATTTACTATATTATACTTTTAATGGTTATGTTAGAGTGTACTTCTACTCACAAAAAATAAAAGTTAACTGTAAAACAGCCTCAGGCAGGTCCTTCAAGAAGTATTCCAGAAGAAGGCATTATTATTATAGGAGTTGACAGCTCTATTGCATGTTACTGCCCCTGAAGACCTTCCAGTGGAACAAGAGATGAGGGTAGAAGACAGTGATATTGATGACCCTGCCCTGTGTAGGCCTAGGCTAACAGGTGTTTGTGTCTTAGTTTTTAACAAAAAAGTGGCCGGGCATGGTAGCTCACGCCTATAATCCCAGCACTTTGGGAGGCCGAATCACCTGAGGTCAGGAGTTCAACACCAGCCTGGCCAACATGGTGAAACCCCATCTCTACAAAAATGGAAAAATTAGCCAGGCATGATGGCAGGTGCCTGTAATCCCAGCTACTCGAGAGGCTGAGGCGGGAGAATTACTTGAGCTTGGGAGGCGGAGGTTGCAGTGAGCCGATATTGCGCCATTGCACTTCAGCCTGGCTGACAGAGCGAGACTGTCTCAAAAAAAAAAAAAAAAAAAAAAAGTTTAAAAAGTAAAAATTTTAAAATAGGAAAAAGCTTATAGAAGAAGGATATAGAAGAAAAATATCGTACAATGTGTTTGTGTTTTAAACTAAGCATTATTACAGAAAGCTTTAAAAAAAGTTTAAAACTTTATGAAGTTAAAAAGTTATAGTAAACTAAGGTCAATTACTGAAGAAAATTTTAAAAAATGAATTTAGTGTAGCCTTAAGTGTATAGTGTTTATAAAGTATACTTTACATAATGTCCTTGGTCTTCACATTCATTCACCACTCACTCACTTGACTCATCCAGAGCAACTTCTGGTCCTGCAAGCTCTATTCATGATTAAGCGACCTATATAGGCATACTATTTACTATCTTTTATGCCACATTTTACTGTAGATGCATAGATACACAAATATTTACCATTGTTATAATTGCCTACAGTATTCATTACAGTAACACGCTGTACAGGTTTATGGCCCAAGAGCAATAGGCTACACCATACAGCCTAGGTGAATAGTAGGCTATACTATCTAGGTTTGCTTTAAGTACACTCTAGGATGTTTGCACAACAAAACTGCCTAATAATGCATTTCTCAGAATTTAGCCCCGACACTGAGCTACCAAGAACTATCACAGTTACAGATTTTTATAAAGAAACTCATTTGTGTAAATATATATATTGGTAAATACAAAAGACAACACTGTAGAAGGATGTACACCAAACTTTACTAGAGATTACTTCGAGTGATGCGAAGTAAGACTGTGAAGGAAGAAAGAGGCAATTTTAGACTACATACTGATTTGGATTATTTACAGCAAGCATATTTCCATTATTGCTTCAATAAATAAAGAGAAAAAAATTAAAGAAATTTCCATATTAGATCTTGCTTTTATTACCTACTCTAAAATACCACCTGATTGACTATTCACCTGGTTTATGAATATAACTGTTTGTTGCTATTTACAGTAGCTATGTTTTATAAAGTTACCATGAAAACTGAATTAGTGAATACTAAACCACTGCTCCTAGGCCAGGCGCAGTAGCTCATGTCTGTAATCTCAGAGTTCTGGGAGGCCGAAAAGGAGGACTGCTTGAAGCCAGGAATTTGTGATCAGCCTGGGCAACACAGCTAGATCCTGTCTTTATAAGAAATTTAAAAATTAACCAGGCATGTTGGCGAGTGCCTGTAGTCCTAGCTACTCAGGAGGCTGAGGCAGGAGGATCACTTGAGCCCAGTAGTTTGAGACTGCAGTGAGCCACAGTCGTGCCACTGAACTCCAGACTGGGTAACAGAGTGAGACTCCATCTCTAAAAACAAAACCCACTGGTCCTAGAGAAAATACAGGGTTAGTTTCCCGCAAGCCTCTGATCACATTTTCATCAACTGATCAATATAAAACCTTTTATGTGTATTTCTGTTTAAAGACACCTTTTTAAAATTTTTTTAGAGATGAGGTGTCACTATGTTGCCCAGGCTGATCTTGAACTAATGAGCTCAAGTGGTCCTCCTGCCTCTGTCTTCCAAAGTGCTAGGATTACATGTGTGAGCTACTGCATGTGGCCAAAGACATCTTATTTAATATACATCCTTGACCATTAATATTGATCTCATGGCCAACAGCACTATAACACATGCCTCAGTGATGCTTACATAATATACATATCACCTCTGTAAGGAACATCACAGCCTTCTTGTGCTTAGGAACACCAGACAACACTACACGGGGTCTATTTTTAATAGGGAAATCCCAAACAAAACAATACAAAGATGAGGCTGGGTGTGGTGGCTCACGCCTGTAATCCCAGCACTTTGGGAAGCTGAGGTGGATCACTTGAGGTCAGGAGTTCGAGACCAGCCTGGCCAACATGGTGAAACCCTGTCTCTACTAAAAATACAAAAACTAGCTGAGTGTGGTGGAGCATGACTGTAAACCCAGCTACTCAGGAGGGTGAGGCAGGAGAATCACTTAAACTCGGGAGGCGGAGGCAGAGCTTGCAGTGAGCCGAGATCACGCCACTGCACTCCACCCTGGGCAACAGAGTCAGACTCTGTCTCAAAAAAAAAAAAAAAAAAAAGAAAAAGATAAAATACAAAAATGCAAAAAGCATAACACTAAACAGACCATGAAAGGACACACTTACAGCATGAGAACTGAAACAAGAAGGCAAAGCATCACCTTCTTTGACCTCAATTGGAGATGTGTATGTTGGGAGAATCAAATTTTTCACTGCTGTACCATCTACAAATAACCATAAAGTGCTCAAAGTACTGATTTGTGCGATACAAATATATTTTAGTGAGTAGGTGAATTTGCAAGTAAGAAATTGACAAATAATGAGGATGGACTGTCCCTTAAATATAATCTTTTAAAGTAAAATTCATTATCTGCAAAATGGAAAGATAAAGTAGAATAACTCTAAGGTTACTTAACGCTCAAAATTTACAACACTTTAAAAAAACTTGGCTGGGCTCAGTGGCTCACGCCTGTAATCTCAGCACTTTGGGAGGACGAGGCGGGCGGATCACGAGGTCAGGAGTTTGAGACCAGCCTGGCGAACCTGGTGAAACCCTGTCTCTACTAAAGTTACAAAAAATTAGCTGGGCATGGTGGCGGGCACCTGTAATCCCAGCTACTCGGGAGGCTGAGGCAGGAGAATCGCTTGAACCCGGGAAGTGGAGGTTGCAGTGAGCCCAGTTTGCACCATTGCACTCCAGCCTGGGCAACAGGGTGAGACTCCAAAAAAATAAACCAAACAAAACAAACAAACAAAAAAACACTTGGCCAGTCAGGTCTGACAGAACTTAAAGGATAAAAAAATATATATATATACTTGGCCCGGCACAGTGACTCTCACCTGTAATCCCAACACTTTGGGGACCTAAGCCAGGAAGATTGCTTGAGCCCAGGAGTTCAAGAACAGCCTGGGCAACATGGCGAAACCCCTATCTCCATTAAAAATTTTTAAAAATTAGCCAAGCATTGTGTTGTACACCTGTGGTCACAGCTACTCAGGAGGCTGACGTGGGAGGATTGCTTAAAGCCAGGAGGTTGAAGCCACTGTAACCCATGTTTACGCCACTGCACTCCAACCTGCAAGACAGAGTGAGATCCTGTCTCAAAACAAACAAACAAAAAAAGACTTAATTTTTTTTTTTTGAGACGAAGTCTCACTCTGTCATCCAGGCTGGAGTGCAATGGAGTGATCTCGGCTCACTGCAACCTCCGCCTCCCAGGTTCCAGCAATCCTCCTGCCTCAGCCTCCCAAGCAGCTAGGCTTACATGCATGTGCCACCATGCCCAGCTAATTTTTATATTATTAGTAGAGATGGGGTTTGACCATGTTGGCCAGGCTGGTCTTGAACTCCTGACCTTGGATGATCCACTGGCTTTGGCCTCCCAAAGTGCTGGGATTACAGGCATGACCTACTGTGCCTGGCCCCCAACTTAATATTATAGAATTTTAAAAAATAATAGTGTATTAGCCAGGCCCAATGACTCATACCTATAATCCCAGCACTCTGGGAGGCCAAGGCAGGCAGATCACAAGGTCAGGAGTTCGAGACCAGCCTGGCCAACATGGTGAAACTCTGTCTCTACTAAAAATACAAAAGTGAAAAATTGGCTGGGTGTGATGGCACATGCCCGTGATCCCAGCTACTCAGGAGGCTGAGGCAGGAGAATCGCTTGAACCTGGGAGGTGGAGGTTGCAGTGAGCCGAGATCACGCCACTACACTCCAGCCTCGGTGACAGAGCAAGATTCTGACTCAAAATAACAATAATAATAATAATAATAATGTATTATATTTACTATATTATTTGAAAAATCTATTTGACTCATACAGCATTTAAAATAAATTTTAAGCCAGCATTTAAAAATCCAGATTTCTATGTTTTCTTCACTGTTCTTTTTTTAGAGCCAGGATCTTCTTGCTCTGCTGTACAGGCTGGAGTGCAGTGGCACTATTCATAGCTCACTATATCCTTGAACTCCTGAGCTCAAGCAATTTTCCCACCTCAGTCTAACAAGTAGCTGGGACTACACGCATGCAACACAGAGCTCAGCTCAAATTTGTATCTTTTCTTGAAAAACATCAGCCTGACAGCTAATGGTAGCTAACACTCTTATTTTGTACAATTTAAGAAGCCATCAATTTTAAGACCCCCCATCTTTTTAATGAAATCACGAAGAAAAAAGAAATACCCCCAGTTATAATTACAAGATGTATCCTGATTTCAAAGAGGTTTACATGCTAATGTGCATCTCAGAATTGGTAAAATGTGGTATCTATGCCAATTACTATGTGCTAACTCTGTCCTAATGTGTTTTACATTTTGAAATTCATTTAATCTTCACAAAAACAGTAAGATAGGCAATATTACTATTTATATTTTAGAGATGAGGAAACAGAGGCACAGTGGTTAAGTAACTCGTCCACATTTATAAAGTAAGTAGTGAGATAGCATTCAGCCAAGTAGTTTGAGTGCTTTCCCACTACATTAAATTGGTTCTCTGGGCCAACATTTCATGAGGCAATAACTGGCTGGATTTGAGCACTAGCCACATCCTCAAATCAGGATATGCAGGCTCGAGTAACATCCCAAACCTCTGCCTTCTCTATGACCTGACCAGCTACATTGAACCTCCCCAACTGGACTTTGAATTTGTGACCCTTGTGTTAAACAACAGAATACTATATATTAACAAAAGTGAAAAAGAAACATATATGAGTACAATTTAGCCCACTGTTTTATTTAGAAGGACCAGAAAGGAATGACAGTAGAAAAAAGAGACAGTTTGACTAATCTATATTATGCTAACTAGGTATTAGGTGCTCTGAGAAACATAATAATGAATAAGACATGGATTCTATTATCAAGAAGCTTTTACAGTTTATTAGAAGAGACTTTAGTGTAATTAACAAAAGTAACTGAAAATCTGGTATTTTAAAGTACCTCTGTATGTTTTAACATGGAAAGATCTCCAAACACATCAATGAAAAAGGTAAGCTGGCCAGGCGCGGTGGCCCACGCCTGTAGTCCCAGAACTTTGGTAGGCCAAGGTGGGTGGATCACATGAGGTCAGGAGTTCGAGACCAGCCTGGGCAACATGGTGAAACCCCATTTCTACTGAAAATACAAAAATTAGCCAGGCCTGTAATCCCAGCTACTCGGGAGGTGGAGGCAGAGAATTGCTTGAACCCAGGAGGCGGAGGTGAGCTGAGAACCCAGTGAGCTGAAATTGCGCCAGCCTGGGTGACAGAATGAGGCTTTGCCTCAAAAAAAAAAAAAAAAAAAAAAAAAAAAGGTAAGCTGTAGAACACAATAAACAGTATACCATTTATGTAAATAAGAATAAATATGCTAATACAAATATATATTTGTATATTACACAGAGGCATGATTACGTATAAAGGTCTGGAAGGATTTATGCCAAACTAGTAATAGTGGTTATCTCTGGAAAGAGAACTGAAATTGGTGACAGGAGTAAAGAGAACTTAAACTTTACTCATTTTGTCTGCCATTTTGTAAAATCAAAAAATGATAATTGCTACATGATGTTCACAATTTCACTTACCAAGGGAAACATGAAAATGACAAACAATCCATTTAACAACTGGTAAATTGGGCATAATCAGAATTATAGTCTAACAACTGGTCAATTAAAAAAAACATTTTTTGCTAGCCAATAGGGCTATTTATTTATATTCATTGCTACACAAAGATGACCAAAAAAGACACAATGGGAACAGGAGTGACTAGGAAAGAAAAAACTGAGATGAGGAATGTGAAAATGAAAAACTACTGGCTGGGTGCAGGGGCTCATGGCTGCAATCCCAGCACTTTGAGAGGATCACTTGAGTCCAGGAATTCAAGACCAGCCTGGGCAACATAGCAAGACCCTGTCTCTACAAGAAAATTAAAAATCAGCCAAGCGTGGTGCCTTGTACCTGTAGTCCCAGCTACTTAGGAGGCTGAGGTGGGAAGGTTGCTTGAGTATAGGAGGTTGAGGCTGAAGTGAGACGTGATCACACCACTGCACTCCAGCCTGTTCAACAGAGTGAGACCCTGTTTCCAAAAAAAGAAAAACTATCAAAAGATTAAAAAGAAGACAGCATAGAACTAGGATGGTGAAAGTACACTTAAAATTTAAAGGAGGAAGTCCTAATCAGAGCAATCAGGCAAGAGAAAGAATTGACATCCGAATAGGAAAAAATGACAAACTATCTCTTTGCTAATAATATGATTCTAAACCTGGAAAACCCAACAGGTTCCACTAAAAGGCACCTAGAGCTGATAAACGACTTCAATAATGTTTCAGGATACAAAATCAATGTACAAAAATCAGTAGCATTTCTATACATCAATAACGTTCAAGCTGAGAGCCAAATCAAGAATGCAATCCCATTTACCCTAGACAGACAGACAGACACACACACACACCCCAAAACCTTGGAATACATCTAACCAAGGAGGTCTCTACAAAGAGAACTATAAAACATTGCTGAAAGAAATAATAGGTGATACAAACCACTGGAAAAACATCCCATGCTCATGGATCAAAGAATCAATATTGTTAAAATGGGGCCAGGTATGGTGGCTCATGTCTGTAATCCCAGCACTTTGGGAGGCTGAGGCGGGTGGATCACTTGAGGCAAGGAGTTTGAAACCAGCCTGGCCAATATGGTGAAACCCTGTTTCTACTAAAAATACAAAAATTGGCTGGGTGTGGTGGTGGGTGCCTGTAATCCCAGCTACTTGGGAGGCTGAGGCAGGAGAATCACTTGAACCCGGGAGACAGAGGTTGCAGTGAGCTGAGATTGTGCCACTGCACCCCAGCCTGGGCAACAGAGCAAGGCTCTAATTCAAAAAAAAAAAAAAAAAAAAAAAAAAAAGCCATACTGCCCAAAGCAATCTACAGATTCAACGCTATTCCTATCAAACTACCAATGTCATTTTTCACAGAATTAGAACAAACTATTCTAAAATTCATATGGAACCAAAAGAGCCTGAACAGCCAAAGCAATCCTAAGCAAAAAGAACAAAGCTGGAAAAATCACACTACCCCACTTCAAACTATACTACAAAGCTACACTAACCAAAACAGCCTATTACAGACATGGAGCAATGGAACAGGATAGAGAACCCAAAACTAAAGCCACACACCTACAACCATCTGATCTTTGACAAAATTGACAGTAACAAGCAATGGAGAAAGGACTACCTATCCAATAAATGGTGCTGGGATAACTGGATAGCCTTATGCAGAAGAATGAAACTGGGCCCTTACCTTTTACCATATACAAAAATTAACTCAAGATGGATTAAAGACATAAATATAAGACCTAAAACTATAAAAAGCCGAGAAGAGGCTGGGCATGGTGGCTTACGCCTGTAATCCCAGCACTTTGGGAGGTCAAGGTGGGAGGATCACGAGGTCAGGAGATCGAGACCATCCTGGCCAACATGGTGAAACCCTGTCTCTACTAAAAATACAAAAATTATCTGGGTGTGGTGGTGTGCATCTGTAGTCCCAGCTACTTGGGAGGCTGAAGCAGGAGAATCGCTTGAATCCGGGAGGCAGAGGTTGCAGTGAGCCAATCGCACCATTGCACTCACTCCAGCCTGGGTGACAGGGCCAGACTCCTACTCAAAAAAAAAAAAAAAAAAAAAAAAAATCCTCGAAGAAAATCTAGGAGATATCATCCTGGACATTGGCCTTGGCAAAGAATTTATGACTAAGTGCCCAAAAGCAATTGTGACAAAAACAAAAATTGACAAGTGGGACCTAATTATACTAAAGAGCTTCTGCACAGCAAAAGAAACTATCAACAGAGTAAACAAACAACTTATAACCTGGGAGAAAACATCTGCAAACCATGCATCTGACAAAGGTCTAATATTCAGAATCTGTAAGGAACTTAATTCAACAGGCAAAAACCAAAAACTCTTAAAAAATGGGCAAAGGACATGAACAGACACTTCTCCAAACAATACATATACATAGGCAAGAAATATATGGAAAAATGTTCCACACCACTAAATCATCTGACAAATGCAAGTCAAAACCACAGTGAAATACCATCTCCCACCAGTCAGAATGACTATTATTAAAAAGACAAAACAAACAAACAAAAAACAGATGTTAGAGAGGTTATAGAGAAAAGGGAATGCTATATACTGTTGGTGGGAATGTAATTTTAGTTCAGTCACTGTAGAGAGCAGTTGGGATATCTCTCAAAGAACTTAAAACAGAACTACCATTCGACCCAGCAGTCTCACTACTGTATTTTTTCAACAAATATTTGTCATGCAGCTAATACAGACTTAATTTATTTTTTTTAATTTTTTTTTTGAGACAGAGTCTCACTGTGTTGCCCAGGCTGGACTGCAGTGGCGTGATCTCGGCTCACTGCAACCTCTGCCTCCTGGGTTCAAGCTATTCTCCTGCCTCAGCCTCCCAAGTAGCTGGGACTACAGGTGCCCGCCACCACGCCCGGCTAATTTTTGTATTTGTAGTAGAGACGGGGTTTCACCATATTGGCCAGGCTGGTCTCGAACTCCTGACCTTGTAATCTGCCCGCCTCGGCCTCCCAAAGTGCTAAGATTATAGGCATGAGCCACCGCACCCGGCCCTACAGACGTGATTTTATGATATAACCTTACCTTCATGAAGCTTAAAACATTCCTAAAACAGAACTCCCCCAACTATGACTTTTTTTTTTTTTTTTTTTTTTAGATGGAATCTCGCTCTGTCGCCAGGCTGGAGTGCAGTGGCGCGATCTTGGCTCACTGCAACCTCCAACTCCCTGGTTCAAGTGATTCTCCTGCCTCAGCTTCCCAAGTAGCTGGGATTACAGGCACAGGTGCCACCATGCCCAGCTAATTTTTGTATTTTTAGTAGAGACGGGGTTTCACCATGTTGGCCAGGATGGTCTTGATCTCCTCACCTCGTGATCTGCCCGCCTCAGCCTCCCAAAGTGCTGGGATTACAGGCTTGAGCCACTGCGTCCAGTAACTATGACTATTTATTGTAAGACTAAAATAATCCATGCTAATAGTCATTTCAATTATAATGTTTTTAATGAAATAAGGGAAAATAAAGAAAAATAAATCATTCTATCAAAAAGCCATATGCACTTGCATATTCACTGGAGCACTATTCACAACTGCAAAGATGTGGAGTCAACCTAGGTGTCCATCAATAGTGGACTGGATAAAGAAAATGCAGTACATATATGCCATGGAATACTATGTCGACATGAAAAAGAATAAAATCATGCCCTTTGCAGCAACATAGATGCAGCTGGTAGCCATTATCCTAAGCGAATTAATATAGGAACAGAAAACCAAATACTGCATTTCCTCACTTACAAGTGGGAGCTAAACAATGAGTAAGCACGGACCTAAAGATGGGAGCAGTCAACACTGGGGACAACAACGGGGGGAAGGTGGGAGAGGGGGCGAGAGTTAAGAAACTACCCATCAGGTACCATCCTCACTACCTGGGTGATGGTTATACATCAAACCTTAGCAACAGGCAATTTACCCATGTAACAACTTGCACATGTAACCTTCTAAAACTTTAAAGTTATGGGGAAAAAATATTGTTTAGAGAAATGTTTATTTTCATAAACACATTTGCTTATGAAACAATACTAATTTACGTTTAATCGTTTATAAAAATATAAAAGCAAAAAAATTAAAGGACACTAGTGTAATACAGCTTGCAGTATTTTTTCACAATTCTTTTTTTTAAGTATTCAGTAACTACTTAACTGACAGGAAAAAATAAAGAACAGGAATGGCAATTAAAATGCTAACTCTAATCAATCAATCATTTATCCAACAAATATTTGTCAAGCACCTAATATTGATTTAATTTTATGATATAATCTTACCTTGAAATTTAAAACATAGTTGTACCTTCCTAAAACAGAATTTCCCTAACTGTAAGACAAATAATTCATGCTAATAGTCAATTCACTTATGTTTTAGATGAAATAAAAATATTATTGTTTTAGATTACAAAAGTCATTTTTTTTTTTTTTTGAGACGGAGTCTCACTCCATTGCCCAGGCTAGAGTGCAGTGGTGCGATCTTGGCTCATTGTAACCTCCACCTCGTGGGTTCAAGTGATTCTCCTGCCTCAGCCTCCCTAGTAGCTGGGATTACAGGCACCTGCCACCATGTCCAGCTAATTTTTGTATTTTTAGCAGAGACAGGGTTTCGTCATGTTGGCCAGGCTGGTCTCAAACTCCTGACCTCAGGTGATCCACCCGCCTCAGCCTACCAAAGTGCTGGGATTACAGGCGTGAGCCACCAGGCCTGGCCCAGAAATTTGTTTTAAATTTAACTCTGTTACTGAGAAGACTTTATTAAAACAGCAAAAGCAAATCTTATCTTCATATGACCTAAATTATTATAATCTATAAAAAGAGATGTGGGAACATTAAAAAATCAAACACAAGTCTCTTTGTAGACAAATCCAATGAATCCATTTCCATTATAGTTACCTTAAGTCAGCCAAGTAATATACTGCTTCATTTATTCTCCATGCTCTTTCCCATAAATGAACTATGCTTTTCAAAAGGACATCGTTTTAAGCAAGGGGTCATAATGAAACATGTCTACCAAATAACCTATCACAAATGCTAGCATCTCAAAATCTAACACCACAAAAGTTTTTCTGTAATCCCAGCACTTTGGGAAGCTGACAGGAGGATTGTTTGAGGCCAGGAGTTCAAGACCAGCCTGGGCAACATATTGTGAGCCTGTCTCTTTAAAAAAAAAAAAAAGTTTTCAAATTAATGGTGAATAACTTTTGACACAAAAAATGTTTATGGCACTTCTGCTTGAGGTATAAAAATAATAAGCATAACTTTACTATACCTACAACAGACAAAAAGCAGAGTACAAAGCAGTAATATTAATAATAAAAGGTAAATACATAAAAAGAAAGAGGAACAGTATTTGGTATCAACAAATGTATATAAGGAATTCTAATATTCTTTCCTAATCAGATTCAAGAGTAATGTTTTTAATGAAATAAAGGAAAATAAAGAAAAAGGCATCAGAATTATATATCCTCTTGGACAATTTTTCCCTAAGTATGCTTCTCAAAATAATAGATAACAAAGTTCCCTAGAGGAAAAAAAAAGGTCTGGTCAGATAAATTTGGCAAACAGCTTACTTTTTATCTACATTTTAAAAATATCTGAAACTATAACACAGTGCCTGCTTACAAAACCTTGCATAAATACTAGAGGTTTTTTCTTTGTTAGTGGTCGTTGCACACACTTCTTTGCTGACAAAATTTTTTTCATGGACATCTATTCAAATTTTTTGAAGCATACCTTGGTAATGCTACGGCATGTATAATTTAAATGATTCTAACTTTTAAATGAACCCTATATAATCTACAAAATTAACCTTCCAAAAAGCCATGTAGTATTCAATAGGCCCTACTTAAAAAGAGTGCTTCGATATAGAAATGACCAAAACACAAATCATTATTACAGTTCTCTCCGACATTGTTATTGCAAAACAGGCCAAGAGAGAAAACACATTCCAGTTATGACATTGACCTGGTTATTAATGTAGAATACATCAACCCAAATAGGAATTTCAGACTACACATTTATAGTAACATGGTATAAAATGTGCTTGACTAAACGAAAACTATGTCTAAATTTAAGTCCACACTCTTTAATAACAATTTTTATTAAAAGAAAATATGGCTGTGTTTATATTGTTAGCCCTTCTGCTTTCTGAGACAGCTGATGAAAGTTTGATCTGGAAAGAGACCCCATAACAATGTTCTAATTCTGTATGCTTTTTCTGGACATTAGCAACTTTCATGTCTCGGGGTCCAACTTGAGAACAGAAAATGCCTCTATGATTCATCATCAAATGTAGTTAACACTTGCTTGGAATTTTCAAGAAACTAGCTTTAAAAAAGGTACAAGTTGGGGGCTGGGCGCAGTGGCTCACGCCTATAATCCTAGCACTTTGAGAGGCCGAGGCGGGCAGACTGCCTGAGCTCAGGAGTTCAAGACCAGCCTGGGCATCACAGTGCAACCCTGTCTCTACTAAAATACAAAAAAATTAGCCTGGCGTGGTGGCGTGCACCTGTAGTCCCAGCTGCTCGGGAGACTGAGCCAGGAGAACTGCTTGAACCCAGGAGGCGGAGGCTGCAGTGAGCCGAGATTACGTCACTGCACTCCAGCCTGGGCGACAGAGCGAGACTTCGTACCCCACCCCCCTACCCAAAAAAAAGGTGCTAGATAGAAGGCAGATATAACACTAAGCACACATAAGCTTACATTCAAAAGCATGAAGTCCCTGGTGGTCTAGTGGTTAGGGAAAAAGAGAAAACTAAAAAACAAAAGCATGAGTAGGATTTGTACTATAATAATATGCACCCAGCAAACTGTGTCAAGGCTAAAGAGGCTTCAATCACCAGAAATCAGTGTCAAGTAAAAAAGAGAAATGAAATGTAAAAGTACCCGACTCTGGGGCCAGGTGCCGTGGCTCACACCTGTAATTCCAGCACTTTGGGAGGCCAAGGCAGGCGGATCACGAAGTCAGGAGATCGAGACCATCCTGGTTAACACGGTGAAACCCCATCTCCACTAAAAATACAAAAATTAGCCGGTGTGGTGGCAGACACCTGTAGTCCCAGCTACTTGGGAGGCTGAGGCAGAAGAATGGCGTGAACCCGGGAGGGGGAGCTTGCAGTGAGCCAAGATTGCGCCACTGCACTCCAGCCTGGGCCACAGAGCGAGACTCTGTCTCAAAACAAAACAAAACAAAAACAAAAACAAAAGTACATGACTCTAAAACAGAAAAAGTTTAATGTGGATGAAATTCTGAATTTAAAATATCCAGTACTTTATAGAATTGACTATCCTATGATAAAATATTTACTACTTGACAGGTTCTCAAGAACATCTTTCTTTTTGAGACAGTCTCGCTCTCTCGCCCAGGCTGGAATGCAGTGGCACAATCTTAACCACTCAGTGGTTGCTCACTGCCAACCACCGCCTCGATTCTCCTGCCTCAGCCTCCTGAGTAGCTGAGATTATAGGCATGTGCCACCATGCCCAGCTAATTTTTGTATTTTTAGTAGAGACAGGGTTTCACCATAAAAATGTGCTTGACTCCAGAAAGGAGTTTGGCCAGGCTGGTCTCAAACTCCTGACCTCAAGTGCTCCATCTGCCTTGGCCTCCCAAAGTGCTGGGATTATAGGCGTGAGCCCCCGGCCTGAAGAACATCTTAATATCAGTCCAAAGTTACTCTTAACTAAGAGTATGAAAAGCTAGATACTATACAATCAATCACATAACTCTCACACATTTAAAAGATACTTAAATTCAATAAGAAAAAAAAAAACAAGAAAGCAGTCAAAGCATTTAGTAAATATGAAAAAATCCCTTAAGTAAAAAGCTTGACACAATGAACTTCATTTGAGAACTTCAGTTTCTAGTCTTTAAAAAGTGTTTTAGTACCTAGTAACGTAAGTTGCTATAATTACAGATCTGTGATTTCTTTCAAATAAAACTATAATTAATTCATTTCACAAGTATTTACTGGGCATCTACTACTGTGGAAAAACAAAGATTAAAATACATTATGAACCCTGCCCTAAAGACACTTTAAGAGTCTAGAAGGAATAAGATATATGCACACTGTAGTTAAAATGTAAAGGTAGCTCAGAAAGGAAAAAGCATCTGAAACGTGCTGGGGGAAAGTACAGATTAGGGGAGGCGCTGATGATGAATTTAAATAACAGGTCTAATTCAGACAAAGAAAAGAGCCCTTCCATTGGAAAAAAGATGTTAGAAAAAGCAAGAAAGATGGAAAGCCACCATGAAAAAAATTTAATTTTGCAGAAATGGAAAAAACTACAAAATAATAAATGATAATATAGAAGCTAGGGGTTCCAAGCTCTGGTAACTCAAATATCCTGGCCAGACTAAATCATCAATTAAAACATCTAAAATTGTATATACACTCCACTGATGCTCTATAAATACTTCTAAATTAGTAATCCATGACCCCTTTTACCTGTTGTACTTCCTGGTGGAACGAAATAGTGAAACAAATTTTATTCATACTGTACCTCAGAATAATAATTTTCAGAAGGCAAATTGCTTTATTGTGGAGGTGATTAAAAAGAAAAAATAGAAGACAAATTACTTTTCCAATTTTAAATGTACATACTCAAAGTTAGGCAAGAACAAGAAAGGACCCTTTCAGTTTATATATACAACATACGCAAGTGATACTCAAGTTTCACTTTGAAATTGTGATATAAAAACTATGTTGTTCCATCCACAGTGGCAAGATCAAAATGTTCTAGCTCCAACTCTTCAACCTTGTGCAAGCTACTTTAGTGCTCTGTGACTATAAAATGAAGAGGCTCTATCTGGGACTTTCTAGCTTTAAAATCCTATACACTGTGAATTCTATTCCATCTTTTCTACAGAAGTCACTGTGACAAGGCCAATAATAACAAAAACAGGAAAGGGTATTCTTCGTTCAACCCACACATAGTAAAAATTACCTCTCATTATACATCTACTAAGTGCCAGGCTCTTTCTACTTATTTCACTTAATCTTCATTACATCCTAAAAAGCAGGCATTTTCCTCATTTTACTTAGAGGGTATTAGCTATCTCTTACATATCCAATCCAATCAGGGGTGGAAAGCCAGGATTCAAATCAAAGTCTAACTCCACAAAGCAAGCTGTAATAAACCATATTTCATAACCTGGTGCCACAAACACAAATATCAGACAAAAAAGTGGTGGGCTGTGATTATGGTATGACTCTGGTAATCTAGACAGAACATGATCTTCTAGTAGGGTAGCTCAGGCTGCCTTGTTGCCAAGTGGGAATGGATGAGTGAAGCCAAATGTGTGCGTGTGTTACAGTGAGAGACAGAAAAGTGATTTTCAAATGAAAGAAACAGATTTACCGGCTTTCATCTTATGCTTTAAACAATTCTAACCAGACCTGCGCAGTTATTTTTTTTTTTTTTGAGATGGAGTCTCTTCATGCTGCCCAGGCTAGTCTCAAACTCCTGGGCTCAAGCGATCCTCCTGGCTTAGCATCCCCTTAGCTGGGATTATAGGCCTGTGTCACTGCGACTAGCTGCAGTTAATTTTAGTAATACTATATAAAGTTCCCAAAAAGTATTGAAATACAGGCATGAGCAATAAAGTGAAGGCTTTGAAGTAAGGTACCTCTTGGTTGAATCCTGGCTCTATTATTAGCAGTGTGACATTGGTCAAGTTACTTCACCCCTTTTTTTTTTTTTTTTTTTTGAGACAGAGTTTCGCTCTTGTTGCCCAGGCTAGAGTGCAATGGCACGATCTCTGCTCACCGTAACCTCCGCCTCCCGAGTTCAAGCGATTCTCCTGCCTCAGCCTTCCGAGTGGCTGGGATTACAGGCATGTGCCACCACGGCCGGCTAATTCTGTATTTTTAGTAGAGACGGGGTTTCTCCATGTTGGTCAGGCTGGTCTCGAACTCCCGACCTCAGGTGATCCGCCGGCCTCAGCCTCCCAAAGTGCTGGGATTAGAGGCGTGAGCCACCGCGTCCGGCCTACTTCACCCCTCTCAGTCTCATTTTTTGACTTTTAAGGTGAGAATACTCTCACCTATCTTGCAGGGTAGTTAACGATTAAAGCATAATGTGGAATATAAAGAGCTCAGCACAGAACCTAGCACAAGGTAAGAGCCTGACAAATGAAAGCTACTATATTATCCCTCAGGATCCCATTAACAAAGTTAGCCATTAAAGTGTTATACTTAGTCTCTTTTATGTAGATCTAAAATTCTTCTCAAATAAAAAGTTTATTTCAAAAAGGCATACACCCTCGATTCCATTAAACACTAACCAAACTTCAAAATAAGTGTATTCTAAACCTAGAATCTAAGCAACTATTAAATAATGTTTTCAGCGGCTAACCATTTTTTTTTTTTTTTAAATAACGCCGCAAATCATGTCATTAGGAGTTCAGGCAGAAAGCGGTGGACGTGTCCCCAAAGCAGTTTGAGCGCTTAAGATCCCTACTACGTTCAAGGTAGCATTTGCCAAATGATATATATTTGGGTGAGCCCGAAAAGCCGGATCTGAACAAATAACACCAGGCAGAACGACCGCTCTTCCAGTTGATGGGACAGGAGCAGGTGGATTTGTCCTTCAAAGAATATCGTTTTATTCTTAGCCAAATGCTCTCACCAACAGCTGGGTTTTAAACCTTCTCGCAGTTTTCCCCAACGCCCCAGTTTCAGACTGCGAGGGAGGGAGCAGGACTTCAGGCTCCTCTCGGCCAGTGCAGACGAGCGAAAGAGAAAGAGGGAGGGGCCCACGGCCCCGAGGGGCGTGGGAGGCAGTTCGGGCCAGCTCGGCCGCGCATCCGTCCCTTCCCGTGCGGTACCACCTGCGGACCACTCTCCTAGCCCGAGCTTCAGGGCCTACAGAGCTGCGGGGCGCGGCCGCCGTCAGTCCGGCCGAACGGCAGCAATGGGGACTGAGCTGGGGGCGTGATTGAATAACTCTGGGATTTCAGGAGCGGAAGGAGGGCAAAGGGGGAGGCGGCATGTGGATGCCCCCTCCATGGTGGGACGCTGGAGGTGACCTTCGGGTCTCCGAGTGCTCCGTCCCCGTCCCTGCCCGGACCCCTTCCCAAGTCCCAGACCCGCTGCTCCTCTCACCGTCTCGGCTTCTGTGTGCTGGGGTCCGGCACTCTGACCCCCCATTACCCCGCGGAGGAAATTCATCTTGCCGTTCAGCCACCAGGTTTACCGGCCCCTCCGGAAAAAAAAGAAGACAACTTCCCCCGCCCTCCGCAGGGCCTGGGCCCCAATCCCGCACTCTACACACTCCTACTGCTGCCACCACCGCCTCCAACTCGGCGGCCACTCCAGCCCTCTAAGCCCGGAAACAGCCGCCAGCAGCGGCCAAGATGCGCATGCGCGGGGACGTGGCATTACGTGGCGGCTCGAAGGTTGAAGGCAAAAGGGGAGCGGAGGCGAGAGGAACCTCTTAGCTAGGTTCCGCCGAAGCCCCACCCACTGCGCAGACCCCGCCTCCCACCGCAGGGGCACGCCTCCTACCCCCACCCTTCGCGGATTGATCCTGCTGGCCGCAGCCACCCACGTGGTGGAAGCCCGGCCCTGCAGGCTGGAGAGGATTTGATTAGACTACGCGTTTCGACTTGCAGGGTGTTTAATCGTCGCCAAGCGGGACTTACTGCAAGCTATCAAATCTGAGGTCTTATTTTGTTGAGTCGAAAGTGAAATTTTCCTTTGGCCAACGTGACAGGTAAGGCTTCCTGGCGCCTGAGAGGGTTCGCTTGGTTTGACGGTTTACTGGTACCAGCATTGTGGCTTTCTGATCCCGGTAAATTGCATTTCTTTACAGGGCTTTGTTTGGTGGTAAAAAGGGTTACTAGACACCCCTCATTCCACTGCCACTGGAGGGCGCATTTCTCAGCTCTTGCTCTTCAAACCTGCTGAAAGGAATTCCTAGATCTAAACACCAGGTACACCTCTATTTTCAAGTGTCGTCAGGAGGAAACCCATCAAACCCTACATTTAGCTTACTAGAGAAATACATTGTTCTGCTGTGTCAGTTTGGCGAGTAACATAATGTTTCGTTATTAACTCTCAACCCCTGTGTTTTCAGTTTTTTTTTTTTTAACATGAAAAATTGTCATTTTCTCTAATTGGTATGCCTGTTCCTTTGGCAGTGAGGTTGTCAGTACACATGCTTCTGGAATAGTCTTGTAAATTTCTTGAGGCTAAAAAGCACAGGTCTAGTTAGCTAACTGACTCATGCACCTCTCCCCTTGGATTCCCCACAGGTCTCAGATTCAGCATTTAAAATTGAACTCGTCATCTTTCCCTGCCTCCCTTAAAGAAAAAAAGTCAATATGCTGCTTCTACTGTGTGCGTGCCGTGCTCAGTAGTACCACTGTCCAAATAATTGCCTAAGCTAGACAGAGGAAGCTGGGAAGAATCTTAGACTCTGGCTTTCCACCCACACATGTCCAATCAATAGTCATGTCCTATCATTTCTATTTATAGAATATTTCTCAAATAGGTGTTCTGCTCTCCATCCTCTGTGCCTGTGACATAGATTATGTTCTTCTCATCATTTCTCATTGAGATGACAGCAACAGCCTCCTAATTAGTTTGTCTGCATTCAGCCCTGGCTTCCTTCCAGTCCAATCTCCAGTCCATCCTTGGGTGAGACTAACAACAACAAAACATCTGTTCATGTCATTCCTCTTAAAATCCTCCAGTTGTTCCCCATTCTGTCCAGAATAAAGTGCAAACTCCTTAGTTTGTCATACAGGCCTGTTATGATTTAGCTCCTGCCTACTTTTTCAGCTCCTGCCTCCCCCACATACTCTGGGCATTTTTCTCAGACCTGGATATGCCCTTCCCTTCCTTTCTCTTCATCAAGCAAACTCCTGCTAATTCCTTAAGGCTCAACTCTGACATCATTCTTGAAAGCTTTCCCTAAAATGTAGGTACACATCTATATGTTAGCACTTTGCAGTTATTGATACTGTATATGGTGTACATTGAATAAATGCTTGCTAAACCAAACTGTTAAGGGCAGGACTATGTTATTCATTTTATATCTCTGTTGCTTACCACTGTCTCATAAAAGGTGATATTGATGGATAAATGAATAAATTATTGAAAGAATATATGAATATTATACTAAGAGGAGGTTCCCTTTTTTTAATCTGTAAAGTGAAATTGTAGGGAAGACATCATAAGCTATGTGTTTCCTAGTGCCAACATTTTAAGCCTGGGCAACTTGGAGAATGGTGGGGTCATACTGCCAAAAATACTGTGCGCTAAGCATTGTCCTCTGCTTTAAAGCTATACACTTGACATTTTACCGTAGACATTTTCCATGGGAGCATTTTGTTGCAGCCTAAAAAAAGTAACCAGTAAATTACTCAGCATTTTTGTTACTAAGAAATGCATGCAAAGAACTTCACTTAAGCCCCTAAGCCTCACCCCTCCCTGAACCTCACTTCACCTTGTCCCTGAAACTCACTCTACCCCATCATCAGGAATGAGGCTCATAGACGGAGTGGGCCACAAATGTCTATTACTCCTCTTATTTAATAATTAAAAAGAGTGCCTTGACATTTTAGCAAAGTTGTTTAAAGGCACCAGCCTTGTCAAATGTCCTGTTTTGTTTTAAACTTTGGTGGGTACAGTAGGTTACTGTACTTCAGTGAGTAAAGTAGGTTACTATACTTTCGTGAGTGTAGTAGTAACAGCTTACTATGAATTTTCCCTGCATTTGACCTGTTTTCTTCCCCAGCAGCATCCCCTGCACAGGAGTGATGGACAGTTGGGTGCAAAGGTGATGAAGGTGGGATCCCCGAGGCATTGTCACTACAGAACAACCATGAAATAGACTCCTTATTTCAGAGGAAGAGTTACATATTAATCCACTTCTACTGATTTTGTAGAGGGAGAAAAGTCAGGGACTGTGTTGTATTCCTGTTTGCATCCTTTAATCATCTAGTATAATTCCTTTAATATGGTAGATGCTCAGGAACTACCTGAGTTAATAAAGGAAGAGAAAACTTGAACAAATTGTGACGGCCTGACTTGCACTGTTAATACTTCTGGCTTTCATAAATCTAAGCATTCAGGATAAGAGTCCTATGAATCATTAAAATACATATAATCAAAATTAAGAGTGATCTTTTTCTAAACCAAACCTGACAATAGATCAACGAACAAAATTCATTGGTTTGAAATTCATTTTTTCAAATTGCTTTTTTCAGTGGCCCACTTAACTTTCTAGTGGAAAACTCGCAAAAACAACGAAATATAATTGCATAAGATTGTTTTTTAGTTGGGGTGGTAGTAAGGTGGAATGTTGTCTATGCCTGCTTGGGAGGATAAATATAAATGATCATTTGTATTTGAAATCTATCATATATAGGTTTTTATTTATTTATTATTTTGGTAGGTTATAAGCCCCTTCAGTATCGTATATAGGTTTTTAAAGACGTAGCTCATGGCTATAATCCCAGCACTTTGGGAGGCCAAGGTGGGAGGATCATTTAAGCTCAGGAGTTCAACACCAGCCTGGGCAATGTGGCAAAACCCTGTCTCTACAAAAAATAAAATATTAGCTGAGCATGGTGGCATGCGCCTGTATTCCCAGCCAGTAGTCCCACTTACTTGGGAGGGTGTGGGAGGATCGCTGGAGCCTGGGAGATCAAGGCTGCATTGAGCCATGATTGTGCCACTGCATTCCAGCTGGGAGGATGGAGTGAGACCCTGTCCCAAAAAAAAAAAAAAAAGACTAGTTGAGGCTGGGCGAGGTGGCTCACGCCTGTAATCCCAGCACTTTGGGAGGCTGAGGTGGACGGATCACCTGAAGTTGGGAGTTCCAGACCAGCCTGACCAACATGGAGAAACCCCGTTGTCTACTAAAAATACAAAATTAGCTCGGCGTGGTGGCACATACATCCTGGAACTCCTGGGTTCAAGAGCTCTTCCTGCCTCAGCCTCCTGAGTAGCTAGGACTACAGGTGCACACCATCATGCCTGGCTAATTTTTTTTTTTTTTTTTTTTTTGTAGAGATGAAGTCTTGCTATGTTACCCAGACTGATGTCAAACTCCCGGCCTCAAGCTATTCTCCTGCCTCAGCCTCCCAAAATACTGGGATTGCAGGTGTGAGCCAACTGCCCCAGGCTTCAAAATATTTTTATTTATTTATTTATTTATTTATTTATTTATTTATTTATTTATTTTGAGATGGAGCCTCGCTCTGTCACCCAGGCTGGAGTGTAGTGGCGCGATCTCGGCTCACTGCAACCTCGGCCTCCCGGGTTCAAGCGATTCTCCTGCCTCAGCCTTCCAAGTAGCTGGGAATAGAGGCACATGCCACCATGCCTGGCTAATTTTTTGTATTTTTAGTAGAGACAGGTTTTCACCGTGTTAGTTAGGATGGCCTCGATCTCCTGACCTTATGATCCGCCTGCCTCAGCCTCTCAAAGTGCGTGAGCCACCGCGCCTAGCCCTCAAAATATTTTTTTTTTTTTTTTTGAGACGGAGTCTCGCTCTGTTGCCCAGGCTGGAGTGCAGTGACGCGATCTCAGCTCACTGCAAGCTCTGCCTCCTGGGTTCATGCCATTCTCCTGCCTCAGCCTCTGGAGTAGCTGGGACTACAGGCGCCCGCCACCGCGCCCGGCTAATTTTTTGTATTTTTGGTAGAGACGGAGTTTCTCCGTGGTCTCGATCTCCTCATCTCGTGATCCGCCCGCCTCGGCCTCCCAGAGTGCTGGGATTACAGGCATGAGCCACCGCGCCCGGCGCCCTCAAAATATTTTTAAAAGCCTTAGGAAATCCTTGGGAGAGGAGAGTCCAAGAAAGAAGGTTTTGGTAGCTGGGCGTGGTGGCCTATCATTCCAGCTATGCGCAGGAGGCTGAGGCATGAGAATTGCTTGAAGTTGCAGTGAGTCAAGATTGTGCCACTGCACTCCAGCCCAGGTGACGGAGTGAGACCCTTTCTCAAAAAAAAAAAAGGGTTCTGGGCCCCCCCATCCTGCTCCATTTGATTGGTTTCATTTGTTTATACTTCCTGTTTCGCTTGAACAAAAAGATTCAGAGGCTAAAATGTTGGACAGCTACCTCTCTCAGGAGATAAGAAATGAGACCAGGCCGGGCACGGTAACTCACCCTTGTAATCCCAGCACTTTGGGAGGCCGAGGCGGGTGGATCACCTGAGGTCGGGAGCTTGAGACCAGCCTGACCAACATGGAGAAATCCCGTCTCTACTAAAAATACAGAATTAGCCGAGCGTGGTGGTGCATGCCTGTAATCCTAGCTACTCGGGAGGCTGAGGCAGGAGAATCGCTTAAACTGGGAGGCGGAGGTTGCAGTGAGCCAGGATCTTGCCATTGCCCTCCAGCCTGCGCAACAAGAGCGAAACTCCGTCTCAAAAAAGAAATGAGACCAAGGTAAGGACTTGGAATAGTTGAGGTGTCTCACATGCTATAGAGCCCAGAGTTCCTGCTTTACTTTTTTTTAAAGGAATGGTAATTGTTGCCTCCTGTGGTTGTTTTTGGGATTTTATTAGATAATATCTGTAACGTTCATATTACTTAGTACTTGAAACATAGTAAGTACTCAATAATGATTAGAGTGGAGACCCTGATCATCTTCGGTATTATCAATTTCTTTTTTTTTTTTTTTTTTTTGAGACGGAGTCTTGCTCTGTCGCCCAGGCTGGAGTGCAGTGGCGGGATCTCGGCTCACTGCAAGCTCCGCCTCCCGGGTTCACACCATTCTCCTGCCTCAGCCTCCCAAGTAGCTGGGACTACAGGCGCCCGCCACTAAGCCCGGCTAATTTTTTGTATTTTTAGTAGAGACGGGGTTTCACCGTTTTAGCCGGGATGGTCTCGATCTCCTGACCTCGTGATCCGCCCGCCTCGGCCTCCCAAAGTGCTGGGATTACAGGCGTGAGCCACGGTATTATCAATTTCTTAACAACTGAACGTTTAAAGATATTACCCTGTAAGTCTTCAACTCCAGCCCTACTAGCTCATGTTACTGAGAAGTCTGTTACTTCAGATGAGGCTTAATCTGGGGTATCAAGCCAATTTCCCTGTTATCTGGGTTTTCACTATTTCTGGACTCTGCTCTCCTTAACTGTTTTTGTTTTTTTTTCTCTAGCTCCATGCGGGGCAAGATGGCTGCCAGGACCTATAGTCCTAGTATCCTAGGCCCAAGTTCATCAAAGACTCCCAACCTCTCTCCTAAGAGTCCCAGCAAAAGTCTCCTTGTGACTCATTTTACCTGATAGGGTCGCATGCCTATGTGGTGAGCTAATTCCTGTAGTTTAAGGTTTGAGATGTTCTGATTGGCCTTGAGTCACATTCCCACCTCTAAAGCAAGGAGTAGAAGTCTTCATCTCATCTCAAAGCATATGGCATAGGAGCTGGGGAACAGGGACATTCACATTTCTCCTAGGAAATCTGGAATAGTATGCCAGGAGAATGTTTATCAGGATAAGAAAAACAATACATGCTCACTGTATCCCCTAACGTACTTAAACTGCTTGCCAGTTTTTTTTGAAATTATTTTTCCAGCCTTATCACTAGTGTATGCTAGCATAAGTTCTGCCTCTCTGCAAAGATTCAAAAGATCATGTTACATTATTTAATAAACGTAATTTGACATTGCATTGTACTTAAATCAGCAAGCAAATCTATACCCTTTTTTTAAAGAAAGTATAACCCAGGTGTGTTTCCATTTTTAAGAAAATACAATAAGCAGAATTACTTATGAAACACCTAAAAAAAAAAAAGAAAGAAAGAAAGAAGAAACACCTAAATTAGGAAATCCCATTTTCATTTCCAAAGGACTTTTTATTTTTATTTATTTATTTATTTTATTTGTAATTTTTTTTTTGCGACGGAGTCTCATTCTGTCTCCAGGCTGGAGTGCAGTGATGCTACCTTGGCTCACTACAATCTCTGCCTCCCAGGTTCAAGCTATTCTGCCTCAGCCTCCCAAGTAGCTGGGATTATAGGTGCGTGCCAGCACACCCAGCTAATTTTTGTATTTTTAGTAGAGACGGGGTTTCACCATGTTGGCCAGGATGGTCTTGATCTCCTTACCTCGTGACCCACCCGCCTCAGCCTCCCAAAGTGCTGGGATTACAGGCATGAGCCACCACGCCTGGCCAAAGGACTTTTTATAAAACTGTTTATCGAGGGACAAGTTTATCAGATCCAGGCCCTAGCACTGTTTCTTGTGGAGAATTTGACTGTTACCTCCCAACACCATTGTCTCTCCCCCAACACCTCAAGCCAGCTGAACAAGTATGTCCTGAATAGCCAGGGTAGGGTTGCAGTCTTTACTGTCCCATTCAATAGCTAGACCAAAGCCTTTGAAGTTCGCATTGGGTGATGCCAAGATTCCATGTAAGCTTAAGATGATTTTAATGGAGTCATTGCCAACTTCCCAGCAAGCTATGATTTTAGAGTAGTTGGCAGCTGATCTCTGTCATTTGCCTGAGGCTATGCCCCAAGCAAGTATTTGTGGCAGGAGGGAGTGACAGAGTTGTCTCTTGAGATCAGACTGGGCCTCCAGGCCAGCAGATGGTAGCTGACCTGGACCAAAACTTTCCAAAGTCAGCCCACACTTCCAAGGTCCCCTCTCTGCAACCCCCTTCTCCCAGGCTCAAGCGATCCTCCCATCTCAGCCTCCTGCGTAGCTGGGACTACAGGTGTGCACTACCACACCCAGCTAATTTTTATTTTATTTTATTGTAGAGATGGGGTTTCACCGTCTTGCCCAGGCTGCTCTCAAACTCCTGGAGACCCACCCGCCTCAACCTCCCAAAGTGCTGAGATTACAGGCATGAGTCACCATGCCCGGCCATAATTCCAGTTTTTTAATGAAGTTGACTTTAAGATGCCAATGGCCTGTGATTGACAAATACACTAGGGAGATAATCAGGATGGGCTCAGTAACCTGCAGATGTTATGTGGAGGGTCCAGAACTGGCATAGGCAGGTGGTTTGGGAAAAGGAGAGGTAGTTGGGTGTGGACATAATTTTCTGCCAGTAGCTTAGGAGTCCATGGGCAGAGGGATGGAAGATGAGAAGATTGTAAGTACAAAGAGGCAAAGAAGAGAAGTCTTCTGTTTGGCCTCTGTCCCCTGATGCTTCCTTACAGGATCGCACAAACACCATACTAGTTGTGGGTGGTATAAAGAACTAGAAGAGGCCGGGCACAGTGGCTCACGCCTGTAATCCCAGCACTTTGGGAGGCCAAGGCGGGTGGATCACCTGAGATTGGGAGTTCGAGACCAGCCTGACCAACATGGAGAAACCCCGTGTCTACTAAAAATACAAAATTAGCTGGGCATGGTGGTGCATGCCTGTAATCCCAGCTATTCGGGAGGCTGAGGCAGGAGAATCGCTTGAACCTGGGAGGCGGAGGTTGCGGTGAGCCGAGATCGCGCCACTGCACTCCAGCCTGGGTGACAAGAGGGAAACTCTGTCTCCAAAAACAACAACAAAAACAAAACAAAGAAAAACAAAAAAAAACAAGAACTAGAAGAGGGCCGGGTGTGGTGGCTCACGCCTGTAATTCCAGCACTTTGGGAGGCTGAGGTGGGCAGATCACCTGAGCTCAAGAGTTTGAGACTAGCCTGGCCAACATGGTGAAACCTCATCTCTACTAAAAATACAAAAAATTAGCTGGCTGGGCATCATGGCACGTGCCTGTAATCCTAGCTACTTGGGAGGCCGAGACACAAGAATCTCTTGAACCTGTGAGGCGGAGGTTGCAGTGAGCTGAGATTGCACCACTGCACTCCAGCCTGAGTGACAGAGCAATACTGTGTCTCCAGGGGAAAAAAAAGAACTAGAAAAGCTCCAACTTGCCCTTCCCACTGCCCTCTCCCCACCTCCAATACCTACACACATGACCTTTTCAGGACAGGGGCACAAAGTCTGTGACCCAAAGTGACCTAGACCCTAGTCCTAGATGTGCTCTCTCTTTCCCAAGTATGTGAGTATTGACTCCTAAAAAGCTCAGAATCTAAGGTCTGTATAGGTTATTGCAGCAGCCGGTCTCCTTCATGTGAGGGTGCTGCTATCTAGGTCTCGTTCTAGTATCTGGGTCAGAGAAAAATGACTATACTGGTATTTTGGTATTTATGGTGTAATAAATACCAGGATCTTTGTTTTTTAAAAAGTTCGTAATTTGTCCCATTTAAAACCAATCAGTGAAAGGAAGTATTTAACACATTTCATTTTAACATATATTAGTGATTGCTATCAACTTCAGAAAAGCCCCGGGGCATGGCTGATGGGTTGATTAGCTTTCAGTGTCTTCTTTCCTGCACCTTTAACTCTGTTGCATGAAGCTTTTTGAGCCTCAGCCTCTGGATAGCTGCTTAGCTCTGGCCAGAGGCTAGGCCTTCCTGGTGCAGCAGTTTTGATTTTTTTCTGACAACCTGGGAAGGATGGTCCTTCTTGTGGTCTAACACTTGCCTGCCCCAGCTGAGTAAGCCACTGTGTTCAGAGAGCTTTTCACATGGGATCCATACTCTGCCCCTTTGATGGGGACATGAGTTGCAGGAGCTGATGGACAAAGAGAGGGTAGAAGGATTTCTGTGAAGGATACAGTGAGGATCGAGTGTGAGAGAGATCCAAGAAACTGAATGAAATTGCTGACTAATATCTGCAGCAGCTAGAGTATTGCACCCACATAAATACAGTTTTTTTTTCCTTCAGTACTTAAAATAGCTCAGTATACCAGAATACTGAAAACAGATGTGCTTGGTTTCTTGAATTATTGATTCGGCAAACATTTGAGCCTCTGTCCTCTGTGCCAGGCCCTGCCATAGGCAGTCTTCTGTGTGTTTTTCGTTCTGGACTGCTAGAAATTCTTATTCCTGTTTCACAGAGAGAGAAGCCTAGACTTCAGCATGATACAGACCAGAAAAGCATGTTTTCTTTGCAAACCTAGACAGATGTTGCCACTTTTGGACTGCTGTAACCTTGGGCAAATTATTTAATTTTGCTGTATCAATTGGATTACCACGTGCTGCAATAGAACACCAAACTAAAGAGTGTCTTGAATAAATTAGGAGGTAGGCAGTGCAGGACTAACAACAGAGGCTGTAGGATGCCAGCTTGGATGCAAGCTGGAATTTTTCTGTGCAGGCATCCTTGGCCTGAGGTTACAGGCTGACTGTTCTATCTCCAGCATCACATTTCTTATTCTGGGCAAGAAAAGGGGCAAAGGTGAAGGGGAAAAAGTATCTACAAATGAGTGTGCCTTTCCCATTCTTCTACCCTTTTAACTTTTTATATTGAACTAATTTCAGAATTGCAGAGAGATTGCAAAAGGTGAACCTTTTTACCCCATTTGCTTTATCATTTCTTTTCTTTTTTTTCTGACATGGAGTTTCACTTTTGTTGCCCAGGCTGGAGTGCGGTGGTGCGATCTTGGCTCACTGCAACCTTCGCCTCCCGGGTTCAAGTGATTCTCCTGCCTCTGCCTCCTGAGTAGCTGGAATTACAGGCACTCGCCACCACGCCCAGTTAATTTTTTGTATTTTTAGTAGAGATGGGGTTTCGCCATGTTGGCCAGGCTGGTCTCGAACTCCTGACCTCACGTGATCTGCCCGCCCCGGCCTTCCAAAGTGCTGGGGTTACAGGCGTGGGCCACTGTGCCCAGCATCATTTCTTTTCTTTAAATGTATATATTTTCCCCCTGAATATGTGAGAGGAATTTGTAGGCATGATGTCACTTGACCACCTAAATACTTCAGTGTCTAATTACTAAAGACAAAAGTATTTTCTCAATGATTTTAATAATCAAAACCAGGAAATGAACACTGATACATTGCCATTATCTAATTAATCTACAGGCCTTATTCAAATTTTGGCAGTAGTCCCACTAATTTCCTTTTTGGGGAAAAAGTTTTTTTCTTTTGGTCTAGGATCCAATTCAGGATTATATGTTGTGTTTAGATGTCATGTCTCTTTAGCTGTCTTTAATCTGTAATAGTTACTCCATCTTTCTGTGTCTTTCATAATCTTGATGTTTTGGAGAGTACAGTATTGGTCAGTTATTTTGTAGAATGCCCCTCAATTTAGGTTTGTCTGAGCTTGCCTCACAATTAGAATATCACAGAAGTGCTGTCCTTCTCATAGTATATCCTCTCAGAAAGTATATGACATCTATTTTTCCCATTATTAGTGTTACCACTTTTTTGGTTTGTTTTTGTTTTTTGAGATGGGGTCTTACTGTGTCGCCTGGGCTGCAGTATAGTGCCCCATTCATAGCTCACTGTGACTTCAAATTCCTGGGCTCAAGGGATCCTCCTGCTTCAGCCTCCTGAGTCGCTAGGACTACAGGCACTTGTCAACATGCCTGACTAATGTATTTTATTTTATTTTGATTTCTGTTGAGAGTCTCGCTGTGTTGCCCAGGCTGGTCTTGAACTCCTGGCCTAAAGCAATCCTCCACCTTGGCCTCCCAAAGTGCCAAGATTACAGGCAGGATCCACCACTCCCTGCCAGTGATATCACTTTTGATTAATAGTTTAAAGTACTGTCTACCGGTCTTCTCCATTGTACAGTTACTATTTTTTCCCCTTGTAATTAGTAAGTATCATTTGGGAACATGCTTTAATACTGTATAAATATCCTGTTTCTCATCAAACTTTCACTCTCCAATTTTAGCATCCTTTCATATTCTTGCCTGAATCATTGGTGGTTGCCAGTCTGCCTCCTGTATGAAAAGCTTTCCAGGAATCTCCATCTTTCAACTTCCACCTATTTTGTTAAGAACTGTGTCCATTCTTAGCTGCCAGAGTGCCTGGGAAATGAATTATTTTCTTGTTTTGTTTTGATATGGACATATTCTCTCAATAGAAGGGAGGATAAAAACTAGGTAAGCAACTTGCCAACCTAATAGCATTGGTGTAAGGATTAAATTGAATTATGATTGATACTTAAAAATACCCACCTCTAACCTATGGGAATAGGGTTTTGTTTATTTGTTTTGTTTTGTTTTTTGATCACTTTTGGTCACATAGCTAGTAAATAGCATAACAGGTCTGCAACTCTAGTCTAGTCACTATACTATAGTTCCTTTTGCTGGTTTTAGAAATTCTATATTCTCTTAAATCTTTTGTCACTCCCTTCAGCTATATAACTAAGACTACTTCCATACTGTATTAATCTACAGAACTCTTTATGGAATGGTCTTATATACTAGATGAAGACAACATTATGTGTATATTAAGTAAAAAGCCTGATTCAAATTTCTTTCTATTTGGATATTTTCACCTCCCTTATAGTTCAAGATAATTGTTCACTTTTGGGGTTAATGGCTATTCATTTATTCTCCCAGTGATCGTAATCTAGAGGGACCTAGGAGGGGAAAATACTCAGAGAATAATGGCATTTGCTCAGCTTTATAAAGAAACACAATCATATGTTGTATTGATTCTTTGCAGTTTAAAAAATATTTGACAGAGGGAACTGTAAAAATCTTTCCTCTTGTCAGTTGTAAGAACTGGAATTTTAACATTCTCTTCTCACAGAATCAATGTGAAAAACATGAAAATTTAATACCAGTTGGCAGTAAAATCTCACTTTATTTAACTGAGAATTTTACATTGAGTATGATGAGATCATGTACCTCAAAATAATGTTAGTATATGACAGAAATTAAAAATGATGGTAAAAAAGGAATAAATCAAGATATGAAATTACTGAATGATCCCAGCTAAGTTTAAAATATTTACACAGGAAAAAGCTTAGAAGGAAATGTAGTAAGATATAAACTAAGAGTAGATATATATGTATATGTATATATATAAAATTGTTTAAATTGGCACATAATCGTACATATTTATGGGATACAATATGACATTTCAATACATGTATACAATGTATAATGATCAAATTAGGGTAATTAGCGTATCTATCACCTCAAACAGTTATCATTTCTTTGTGTTGAGGACATTCAAAATCTGCTAACAGTAGTTGTATTTTGATGGAAGGGTTTTGTGTGATTATTTCTTCTTTCAATTGTTCCATAATTTCCAGCTTTTCTTTTTTATAATCACAAATAACAACAGACTTAGGGAACAAATTAAGTAGAAGCAGTTGTGGAAGAGAAATGTCATCTGGAACCCCAACAAAACTACTAGTTTGCTAGGGAGGAGAGACCCAAGGGGCTCCATGTTGCAGCTGATGCCCGAGCCTGAATTTCATCCCATCCTCTTTGGTACCATCTCTTTCTCCTTCCCTTTCATTCTTCCTTTCCTTTATATTATATTATATTATTTATTTTTTGAGATGGAGTTTTGCTGTTGTTGCACAGGCTGGAGTGAAATGGCATGATCTTGGCTCACTGCAGCTTCCGCCTCCTGGATTCAAGCAGTTCTCCTGCCTCAGCCTCCTGAGTAGGTGGGATTACAGGCACGCACCACCATGCCCAGCTAATTTTTGTATTTTTAGTAGAGGCAGGATTTCACCACGTTGGCCAGGCTGGTCTCAAACTCCTGACCTCAGGTGATCCGCCCACCTTGGCCTCCCAAAGTGCTGGGATTATAGGCGTGAGCCACCATGCCCTGCCCCTTTCCTTTATTCTTTTTTTATTTTCCTCACACTATATGGTAGGTGATGAGAATAATTATAAGAGAGACAGACAGTAGGAAGAAAATTAGTCTTTTTTTTTTTTTTTCTTTGAGATGGGGTCTCACTCAACCGCCCAGGCTGGAGTGCAGTGGCACAATCTTGGCTCACTGCAACCACTGTCTCCTGGGTTCAAGAGATTCTCCCACCTCAGCCTCCCAAGTAGCTGGGATTACAGGCACCCGCCATCATGCCCAGCTAATTTTTGTATTTTAGTAGAGATGGGGTTTCACCATGTTGGCCAGGCTGGTCTTGAACTCCTGACCTCAGGTGATCTGTCCGTCTTGGCCTCCCAAAGTGTTAGGATTACAGGCGTGAGCCACTGCACCCAGCTGAAAATTACTCTTTAAAGCCAGACAGGTTGAATAGGAATGGTGAGAAAGGATAAAATAAAATAAAGCCAGACAGGGCCAGGCACGGTGTCTCCTGCTTATAATCCCAGCACTTTGGGAGGCCAAGGCAGAAGGATTGCCTGAAGCTAGGATTTCAAGACCAGCCTGGGCAACATAGTGAGACCCCCATCTCTTAAAAAAAAAAATTATCCAGGCCTAGTGGTGTGCACCTGTAGTTCCAGCTACGTGGGAGGCTGAGACAGGAGGATTGCTTGAGCCTAGCAGTTTGAGGATGTAGTGAGCTATTATTACACTACTGCACTCTAGCCTGGGCAACAAAGTGAGACCCCGTTCCTGAAAAATAAATAAATAAAGCCAGACAGACTTAAATTTGAATCCTGGCTTCATCATTTATTTATTCGACAAATAAATAAGCGGCTAGTGAGCAGCTACTATGCCACTGGGGATTTAGCAATGATTAAAACAGACAAAAATGTTTGCTTTTGTGGAGCTTGTATTCTTGTGGGAGAAAGTTCAAACCCCTATTGTTAAAGGGTCAATTTTGCTTACTTCCCAGCTAAGTTAGCTCACTTGGGGAAGTACATAATTTATGAGATGTGGAAAAGTAACCAATAGATTACAGAGGCCCACTTATAGAGGAAGTGTTTCCCAGTTGTTTCTGGCCTGTGACAAAGCTGCAATCTTGTCAGAGTACATGGAGACAAGGAGAGACAGTCCTCTTGGTTTCTCATGTCGTCATCCACCAACTCGAGAAGCAGGCTGGGTGTGGTACTCACATCTGTAATCCCAGCACTTTGGGAGGTCAAGGCAGGAGGATTGCTTGAGCCCAGGAATTCAAGACCAGCTTTGGTAACATAGTGAGACTCTGTCCCTAGAAAAAATAAAGCAGTCCAAACACATCCCACACCTTGTCATTTATAGAAGGTATCATTAACATTCAGTAATAGCTTGGTACCTAGCACATTACATTACCTAGTATGTGGTCATATGTTCAATAAGCTCTTTTTTCCCATTAAATGGAATTAGCTGACCTTAGTCTATACCCTTTCAATAAATTCAAGCCAAGGGCCATCAGAGCTGGTCTATTCTTACCCAAGTGAGGACCCAGAGTGAGTTGATGGAGTTGAAGGGAACAGGTTAGCAACCCTTGGAATAGATGATACTGTAAAAAACTGCATTATTTGAGCTGGGTGCAGTGATGTGTGCCTGTAGTCCTAGCTACTCCAGAGGCTGAGGTGGAAGGATCCCTTGAGCCCAGGAGTTAGAGTCCAGCCTGGGCAACATAATGAGACACGACCCCCTAACCCCATCTCTGAAACCCGCCCCACCACACACACACAACTGCATTCTTTAAATAAAAATGAAACCACAAATCAATCCTTCCTTCCTTCCTTTTTCTTTCTTTCTGAGATAGAGTCTTGCTCTGTTGCCCAGGCTGGAGTGCAGTGGCATGATCATGGCTCACTACAGCCTCTACCTCCTGGGCTCCAGCAATCGTTGTACCTCAGCCTACAGAGTAGTTGAGACTATAGGCATGTGCTACTACACCTGGCTGGTCGGTTTTTTTCGTAGTAGGTTTTTTTTTTTTTTTTTTTTTTTGAGACGGAGTCTCACCCTGTTGCCCAGGCTGGAGTGTGGTGGTGCAATCTCAGCTCACTGCAACCTCTGCCTCCAGGGTTCAAGCGATTCTCCTTCCTCAGCCTCCTGAGTAGCTGAGATTACAGGGGCCAACCACCGCACCTGGCTAATTTTTGTATTTTTAGTAGAGATAGGGTTTCACCATCTTGGCCGGGCTGGCCTCTAACTCCTGACCTTGTGATCCCCCTGCCTCAGCCTCCCAAAGTGCTGGGATTACAGGTGTGAGCCACCATGCCCTGCCTGGCTGGTTGTTTTGTTGTTGTTGTTATTGTTTCAGACAAGTTCTCTCTGTTGCCCAGGCTGGAGTGCAGTGACTGGTTATGACTCACTTTAGCTCCCAACTCCTGGACTCAGGTTATTCTCCCACCTCGGCCTCCCAAGTACCTGAAACTACAAGTGTGCGCCACCATGCCTGGCTATTTTTTTGTATTTTTTATAGACAGGGTTTCACCATGTTGCCCAGGCTGTTCTTGAATTCCTGGGCTCAAGCAGTCCTCCTGCCTTGGCTTCCCAAAGTACTGGGATTACAGGCATGAGCCACTGTGCCTGGACCCAGCTATTTTTGTTTTTTATTTTTGTAGAGAGTCTCACTCTGCTGCCCAGGCTGATCTCAAACTCCTCAGTGCAAGCGATCCTCCTGCCTTGGCCTCCCAAAGTGCTGGGACTACAGGCATGAGCCACCATGCCCAGCCCAAACTTTGTAACTTAATGGAGAAGATCCCAGTGGAGAGGTTCAACCGGACCATATTATCATTATTGTATTCCCCAAGATGTATGGACCATCTCCTCAGGTCTCACAAATTACTGCTTCCACCAGCATAATTGCCTCTAGGAGGCACTGCTTCCCCCTTTAAGGCTGTGGACCAGTTGCTGTGAATTATTATCTAGTCTACAGCTGAGCTGGGTTCTAGCTGCTAGGAGAAATAAATTCTATGAGTGAGAGTGACGTCAATCAAGATCATGTGGCTTATAGAATTTGTTTACCCTCTGCAGCTCACGGGGATCCCTGTCTTCCTAGGTCTTGGGCTATTCATGCATACTGGGCCCTCTTTACTCCCAGCATCCAAGGAATCATTAGCCAGGCTTGATGGTAGGGGCTAGAGTAGAACAAAACATGTTTGCCAAGTTCTTTGTAAGAGCCAAGTCTAGTGGGGAAGAAGGGTATTCACCTAGATTCCTCAAGACTAGGCCAAGAGACAGGGCAAGGAAAAGGTCCTGACAGCCTTCTTAACACCTTCCCTGACAGTTCCTAGTTTTCTGGTTTGAAATTGAAAAGGGTACTTCCCTAAGGCAATACCTATCCCTCTAGCAGAGGGCAACCATTTCAGCACACAGCACAGTAAGTAACACTTTGTCGATGCACATAGTTGGTTATAGAGGGTCTGTTAATTACATATACATGGAATTTACTATGAAATAAATCTCATTTTATGTATATATTGGCTGAAAAGCAGGTCATTTGTAGTAACAGTAGTTTAAAAAACCCAATGAGTTAATTAAATTAATGTTTACATTTTTATTCTGAAAATTAATGTGTAATATTGAATAATATATTCTGCTTTCAGTAAATCCAGTTCTGCTCTAAGTAAATGCCACAAAGTTTGAAAAATGCAAGTTCATTTTAATTTCATAAAATTTATCTTTGACAGGACTAAGGCCCAATCAACATTTTTCTACATTGATTTGTTAAACCACCGGATTATAATAAAGCTAACCATTAATGATCCTTTATAGCAAAAACTTAAAAACTGATAATTGTCTTTTTTTTTTTTTTTTTGAGTCTCGCTCTGTCACCCAGGCTGGAGTGCAGTGGCGCAGTCTCGGCTCACTGCAACCTCCGCCTCCCAGGTTCACGCCATTCTCCTGCCTCAGCCTCTCCGAGTAGCTGGGACTACAGGCTCCCGCCACCATGCCCGGCTAATTTTTTGTATTTTTAGTAGAGACGGGGTTTCACCGTGGCCTTGATCTCCTGACCTCGTGATCCGCCCACCTCGGCCTCCCAAAGTGCTGGGATTACAAGCGTGAGCCACGGCGCTGCCGATAATTGTCTTAAGTGTTGTAGACATTATCTCAGGTCAATTTCTTTATCCCAACCTGGTTGTGAATGTCTAGTTTTTATTTGAGGGCTGGAGGGTCACATGTCCCGTACATACCTGTCTTTTATTATACTATTTTCCGTGTTTTCTGTTTTTTTTTTTTTTTTTTCAAGACGGAGTTTCGCCCTTGTTGCCCAGGCTGGAGTGCAGTGGTGCGATCTTGGCTCACTGCAACTTCCACCTCCCTGCCCCAGCCTCCCGAGTAGCTGGGATTACAGGCATGCGCCACCACGCCCAGCTAATTTTGTATTTTTAGTAGAGACAGGGTTTCTCCATGTTGGTCAGGCTGCTCTCGAACTCCTGACCTCAGGTGATCCGCCCGCCTCAGCCTCTCAAAGTGCTGGGATTATAGGCATGAGCCACCAAGCCTGGCCACTCTTTTCCCTTTTGCTGTTAAGGTTGTTAGCAGTTCCCCTTGCTATGCATAATAGTCCTTTCCACTCCGATTTGCTACTTGTCATTTAACATAGACCTTTAGTGGTGGTCAACTTTGACCATATTGTAGACATTGTTCTAATAACTTTGCATATATTAGCTAATATAATCTTCATAACCACCCTGTAGAGTAGGCAGTATCATTATGCTCATTCTTTTTTTTTTTTTTTTTGAGATAGAGTTTCGCTCTTGTTGCCCAGCCTGGAGTGCAATGGCACGATCTCGGCTCACCGCAACCTCTGCCTCCTAGGTTCAAGCGATTCTACTACCTCAGCCTCCTGAGTAGCTGGTATTACAGGCATGCGCCACCACGCCCCGCTAATTTTGTATTTTTAGTAGACATGGGGTTTCTCCATGTTGGTCAGGCTGATTTCATTATGCTCATTCGGCTAAGGTCACACCACAGCTGCTAAGTGGCAGAGCTCAGGATTCAAGCCCAATCTAGCTCCAGAATCCATAACAGTATACAAGAGTACAATAGAGCAGCATGGCCCAGTAATCCCAGCACTTTGGGAGGCCAAGGCGGGAGGATCACTTGAGGCCAGGACTTAAAGACAGCCTGGTCAACATAGTGAGGCCCTATATCTACCAAAGGAAAAGCAAAAACAAAAACACAATGCTGCCTCAATATCCAGGTTTATAAGAATAGCTGAAGTTCAAGTGTAAGTAGGATCTTAGTAGAGTTTCCAAAGCACTCACCTATGAGTTACATCTGGTTACTTAACCTCTGTGAGCCTATATCATCATCTGTAAAATGGAAATAATAATAGAACCAACCTCATAGTGTCACTCCTTTCTGGTAACAATAGGATTGTTGAGAGGATTAAATGAGTGGAGACATATATAATGTTATGTGTGTGTATACATATATATGTATATGTATATATATTGTGTATGGGAAGAACTAGAAATAGTGCCTGACACATAGCAAGTATTCATTATTCCAGTCACTGTTCCTATGCTCACTAAATAAATATTATCCATGAGTTTTAAGGGCAGTAAAATTTTATGGCATTTGCTGGTCTATAGATGTTGAGAGGCTGTTACACCTGTTCTTTCTTCATAGCCCACTTCCACAGTAAGTGTGTTAACCTCCTACCCGTTCTTTTTAAGGCCCCCGCCTAGCTCACTTAGGAGATCCTGAATGTGGCTGTGGCAGAACTTCTGGAGGGACGGCCTTTCCACTACTCAGCCCTGATGCCTTTGTCCCTCACTCTCCTTCCCAGCCTGCCTTCCCTGCCATCCATCTTTCCTGGAAGGCCTCCCTCCTCCAGGCCTCCTGTAGGGTGGAATGTGCTCTTCTCTGGCTCTCCCAACCCACTCCCTGACCTGTGCAGGCCTTTTATTTTTCAAAATAAGCTTTACATCTGATCACCACAGGGAAGCGACTAGAGACAATACACAGGAAAATCCACTGGAAAGTAGGAATTTGACTTAATATGGCTCTGGTCTATAATTCCAGACTTCTGTTGAAATGGTAAAACATGATTTACTGTAGGTTGCCACCTCTTGTTTCTCTGTGTGGGCCTGTACCTCCCAGGTAGCCTGTAGGCGCAGCCCAGGCTTTTGTGGGCATTCTGTTTTGTGAAATGGGCTATCTGCATCTCTGAGGAACCCGAATGCTGGGAGGTCAGGCAGTTTAATGGACCTGAGCCCTCCACTGGGGAGGGGAAAGATTATCCCCTCTGGGCATGTTTTTCCCCAAGTGTGGCAATGGGTTTAGATCAGGGGTGTCCAATATTTTGGCTTCCCTGGGTCACACATAAAATACACTAAAACTAATGATAGCCGATGAACTAAAAAAAAAATCTCAATGTTTTAAGAAAGCATATGAATTTGTGGCCACATTCAAAGCTGTCCTGGGTTGTGGGTTGAACAGGCTTAAATCTCAGGGCAGGCCTAGAGATAAAAAATTAAGACTGGGTGTGGTGGTTCACGCCTGTAATCCTAGCACTTTGGGAGGCCAAGGCGGGTGGGTCACCTGAGGTCAGGAGTTTGAGACCAGCCTGGCCAACACGGCAAAACCCCGTCTCTACTAAAAATACAAAAATTAACCGGGCATGATGACACACAACTGTAATCCCAGCTATTTGGGAGGCTGAGGCAGAAGAATCGCTTGAACCCAGGAGGTGGAGGTTGCCGTTAGCCGAGATTGCGCCACTGCACTCCAGCCTGGGTGACAGAGCAAGGCTCTGTCTCAAAAAAATTAAATTAAATTAAAAAAATATATTGGGCCATCACAGTGGCTCACACCTACTATTCTAGTACTTTGGGAGGCCGAGGCGGGAGGATTACTTGAGCCTAGGAGTTCGAGACCATCCTGGGCATCATAGTGAGACCCTGTCTCTATAAAAAATTTTAAAAATTACCTGGGCATGGTGGCTCAAGCCTGTGGTCCCAGCTACTCAGGAGGCTGAGGCCCGAGGATCACTTGAGCCCAGGAGTTCCAAGCTGCAGTGAGCCATGATAGCACCACTGCACTCTAGCCTGGGTGACAGAGCAAGACTTTGTCTCAAAACAAAAACCAAACAAACAGGTCCGGCGGGGGCTCACGCCTGTAATCCCAGCACTTTGGGAGGCTGAGGTGGGCAGATCATGAGGTCAGGAGTTCAAGACCAGCTTGGCCAACATGGTGAAACCCCATCTCTACTAAAAATACAAAAATTAGCCGGGCATGGTGGCGCGTGCCTGTAATCCCAGCTACTTGGGAGGCTGAGGCGGGAGAATCCCTTGAACCCAGGAGGCGGAGGTTGCAGTGAGCCAAGACCACACCACGGCACTCCAGCCTGGCGACAGAGCGAGACTCTGTCTCAAAAAAAAAAAGAAAAAAAAAAAAACCTTTCATAGACATTACAGAGGACTATGCATTTTGCTTAAGATCTAAAATTTATTTATCAATCAAAAGAAGCATTTACTCTGAGATACCCTAGAAACATCGTGGTAAAATGAAATTATATTTAGGTTAAATTATCATTTAATTAAACTCTAATAATAAGAAAATGAAATGACCTTGGAAACATCTTATGAATCAAATAGATAGCCAAAGAAGGAAGGAAATTATGAATGAAAGGTAAGCTCAGGATCATTTTCCATCCACATCCTGGTGCCTGCTTATTCTTCAGTTTTCAGTCTGGAAGACTTCTCTCCCACTCTGTCAGAATCTGGTGCTCCCATATGCCTCTAGCATTGCTTTTATCCATTGTCTTAAACTCACCTCTTGCTATCTTGTATCCCCAGCTGAGGGGACCTCAATCCTCAAGAGGCTAAAAACCCTGTTTGTCTATTTCACAGTCGTATACATTTTAGGACTGGCTAAAAACCCTGTTTGTCTATTTCACAGTCGTATACATTTTAGGACTGGCCCTTTGTAGACATTTAGTAAATATTTATTCAATTAAAGGTCTAGGGGTTGGGGGAAACCAGTAGAAGTTGCATACGTGACTAAGGGTAAGTGGTGTGGATTGGGGGACTTTTGAGAGGTGGAGTGTTGTGGGGTGCTGGCTGCTGCCTCCGCAGTGTCTGGTCCTGGAGTGCTGTCTGGTTCTCATCACTGGTGCAGACACTGTTTAAGCCCTGTGAAATCTGCTTTTGCTATCTGAACCTTGCACCACACTCGTGTTTGATCATTTGTTAATGTGTAAGAAGAAATGTTAACTGTCTGAAGGAAGAGACTCCTCCTGTCTGCACATTCTCCCCATAGGAAGTTACAGGGAAGCCAGATTACAATCAGAAGGCTGCCTGGAGGAGCCTTCTTCATGCATTCAGTAAGCATTTACTGAGTGCCTACTTAGCATCGCAACAAAAGAATGTGGGTGATTTTAAGGAGTGTCCTTCAGCTGAGGGAGTTTAGGAGCCTCGACTCCTCCCTGATATGGAGATCATAGTATTCCAATGGAGTGGCCAAGTGGCCCTTGCCCCAGATAATGCATCCAGAAATCACTCCAAAGCTGTTCCCTGGGCTCCTTCTTATCCTTTTAGGGTCTCACTGACTCCTTCTGTTGATATATTTACATTGCAGTCTGGTTATAGTGCAGTTTACTTCATGGAAGCATTTGGAAGTCTCTTTCATGTCCCTTGCCAAATCTCTGCTGTGTCTGATGCCTTTCTTATTTCCAAATTCCAGGGTTGATGGCATAGGTAGGGACATCCATGGCAGTAATTGCCTTGCTATAGATTCATCACAAATAGTGATGCTAATGTAACCATGCATAATGCTTGCTTCTATAGTTGCACCTGTATAGAAAAACTGTTCCTTTAACCTCTTAGTTTCCATTCCTGGGGGCCTGCAAATTATGACAAAAGATAGACTAGCAAGAGAAAAGACAAAATTCAATTGTACATCTTAGTTAATGCATTTACAGGAGTTCACAGAACAATGTAACTCAAAGAGGTGGTTAGAATTCGGGGGTCCAGGCGTGGTGGCTCACGCCTGTAATCCCAGCACTTTGGGAGACCCAGGCGGTGGGTTGCTTGAGCTCAGGAGTTCAAGACCAGCCTAGGCAACATGGCAAAACCCCATCTCTACAAAAAATATAAGAATTAGCCGGGTGTGATGGCATGTGCCCGTAAGCCCGGCTACTTGGGAGATGGAAATTACAGTAAGCCAAGATTGTGTCACTGCATTCCAGCCTGGGCAACAGAGCCAGACCCTGTCTCAAAAAAAAAAAAAAAAAAAAAATTGGGGGGTTTATATACCATCTTAAGGTAGGGGGGAACGGCACTTATAGGAAAATAAATGATTTAAAAGGGCCTTTAGAAGAATACATGGGAGATATGGTAGTTCTGTGACAATATCTGTTTAGGTGTGGTATGGAGACATCTCATCTTCTGTGATAAGAGCCAGTCTTCCCTGGTTGCTCCCAGGGAGGGAACTGATAACAATTGAATTATACTGGGAGACTCTGCTTTTAGATAGGTAAGATCCCAGAAGCTCAAATACCTTCTGCTTGAAATAGTTTTTATGCCATAGTGGCATATTCTGGACCTCTTCAAGGTCTATCTTTCTCATCTATAGAGTATTCCAGTGGGTAGAATATAAGTGGATAAAATTATTCTCCAAAATTGTATCAGTATTTGTGTTTGAGTCCAAAAGCCTTCAAACAAGTAGCTAAAATATAAAACAGGCTGGGCACAGCAGGTCACGCCTGCAATCCCAGCACTTTGGGAGGCTGAGGTGGGCGGATCACCTGAGGTCAGGAGTTTGAAACCAGCCTGACCAACATGGTGAAACCCCATCCCTACTAAAAATACAAAATTAGCCGGGCATGGTGGTGCATGCCTGTAATCCCAGCTACTCAGGAGGCTGAGGCAGGAGAATCTCTTGAACCTGGGAGGCGGAGGTTGCTGCGAGCCAAGATCCGTGCCATTGCCCTCCAGTCTGGGCAACAAGAGCGAAACTCCATGTGAAAACAAACAAACAAAATTAGCCAGGTGTGGTGGCACACGCCTGTAATCCCAGCTACTCAGGAGGCGGAGGTTGCATTGAGCTTAGATAGTGCCACTGCACTCCAGCCTGGGCAGCAAGAGTGAGACTGTGTCTCAAAAAGAAATAAATGAAATATAAAACAAATATAAATGCAGTAACTAGAATATTATTTGTGGAGTCCAGATGACAGTGTTGTCCCAAGTCAACAAGATTCCTTTTTGCAAATTGGGGGGGATAAGAAAAATATTTTATTTAAACCAAATGGTTTAAAATTATTAGTCTGGCTGGGCGTGGTGGCTCACGCCTGTAATCCCAGCACTTTGGGAGGCTGAAGTGGGCGGATCACCTGAGGTCAGGAGTTTGAAACCAGCCTGACCAACATGGTAAAACCCTGTCTCTATTAAAAATACAAAAAAATATATAGCAGGTGTGGTGGTGCATGCCTGTAATCCCAGCTACTCCGGAGGCTGAGGCAGGAGAATCGCTTGAACCCAGTAGGTGGAGTTTGCAGTGAGCTGAGATCGCACCATTGCATTCCAGCCTGGTCAACAAGAGTGAAACTCCACCTCAAAAAAATAAAATTATTAGTCTGATTTTGTTTAATCCTTTTCTCCCTTTTAAGGGTCATCTTAATAAATACTAATAGTGTATTTTCAGCATCCTTTTCTTTTTCTTTTTTTTTTTAACCATAAAATGAAATGGTCTCAGCTGGGCGCAGTGGCTCATGCCTGTAATCCCAGCACTTTGGAAGCCCAAGGCAGGCGGATCACGAGGTCAGGAGTTTGAGACCAGCCTGACCAACATGGTGAAACCCTGCCTCTACTAAAAATACAAAAATTAGCTGGGTGTGGTGGCACGCGCCTATAGTCCCAGCTACTCAGGAGGCTGAGGCAGGAGAATCACTTGATCCTGGTAAGACGAGGTTGCAGTGAGCCAAGATCGCACCACTGCACTCCAGCCTGGGCGACAGAGCAAGACTTCGTCTCAAAAAAAAAAAGAAAGAAAGAAATTATGTCGCTGTTTTTATTAATGTTTTCATTTCGGTTTTTTCCTATGCTAAATTAAGCATTCAGGGCTGGGCGTGGTGGCTCACGCCTGTAATCCCAGCACTTTGGGAGGCCAAGTCTGGCAGATCAAGAGGTCAGGAGATCAAGACCATCCTAGCCAACGTGGTCAAACCCCGTCTCTACTAAAAATACAAAAAGTAGCTGGGTGTGGTGGCACGTGCCTGTAATCCCAGCTACTTGGGAGTCTGAGGCAGGAGAAAAGCTTGAACCAGGGAGTCAGAGGTTGCAGTGAGCTGAGATCACACCACTGTACTCTAGCCTGGCAACAGAGCGAGACTCTGCCTCAAAAAAAAAATTCATATCATATATCCTTGAGTACTGGTGCTTTTATTTTATGTTGATTTCTTTGCATATTTTAACAATAATTGCAAGATTACTTTTCTACATTTGCGATGATTAGAACTAAAAAAAATGAAAATCTAGAAGGAAACAGAAGTGCTAACAGTATTTGTATTTGGTGATGTAATTATGGTAAGTATATTTTTTGTTTCCCATTTCCTACATTCTTTATGAGCATGTGTTAAAATGAAAATAATAAATTTATGAATAAATAGTATAATATGGATTATAATAATATAGCCTCATGCCTAAAGAAATATTAATGAAATCCTTCTGAAAAACAACAACTATAAGAGAAAATATTATGTCAGTGTGAGCCATGACACAACCAGATAAGATCTGAAATATATTAGTTTCAAAATCAATACGTTATGGTTCATAAATGAATTGGAATCAAATCTAATAAACACTTTACAAGACATGTAACAAGGCCAGTGTTACAGGAGTCTGGCTAGGCAGTACAGTTTACATGTGAGTAAGAAACTAAAGTTTGAGGGCCAGGCTGAAGCAGTGAGTAGAAAGGGCATAGGCTTTAGGGTCAGGCTGAGTGTGATTTTGAATAAGTTGCCCAAACTCTCTGAAACTCTGCTCTTCTTCTGTACAATGGAAATAATGACTCCCACTGGGTAGAACTGTGCTGAGGATGGATTAACAGCCCATTGAAGTGGGTTCAAAAAGGATAGAAGAGGAATTGGAGACAGCAAGTATAAAAATCTCTTTTTAGGAGCTTTGCTCTAAGAAGGAGCAGAGAAACTGACTGATTGCTAGAGAGGGATATTGTAGGAGGAATTCTGTTGTTTTTACACTGGGTGCTTTAAAATCACGTCTGTATGCTGGTACAAATGAGCCAGTGGAGAGGAAAAATTTCACAATGATGGAGAACTACAGAAGCAATGTTCTTGAGGTGAGAGGGGAGGGATTGGTTTTAGACAGGAGCACAGTGTATTGAAAGTAACAAGTGGGACAGAGGAGTAGGTGGGTACAGATGCTGGCATACATAAGTAGAGGTAGGAGAGTTTCAACGTTCTGGGCCAGTTGCAGGATGTGGTGGCTCAAGCCTGTATTCCCAGCACTTTGGGAGGATGTCTTGAGCCCAGGAGTTTGACACCAACCTGGGCAACATAGTGAGACCCCCATCTCTATAAAAATTTAAAAATTAGCCAGGTGTGGTGGCATGCAGCTGTGGTCCTAGCGCCTTGGGTGGCTGAGGTAGGAGAATTGCTTGAGTTTGAGGCTTCAGTGAGCCGTGATCATGTCACTGCACTCCAGCTTGGGTGACAAAGTGAAACCCTGTATCAGATGAACAAAAAAGGAAGTTCTGGTTGCTCATGACCCCTTCGTAAGTATGTGGTGAAGTCCCTCCCTCCAGCAAACAGCATGACCCAAAAGAGAAGTTGGGAGATTTGAGGAAAGCTCAGAAGCTGTAAAATAGCTGTCTAGGAGAGTAGGAGGGTAAATTGGTGGGAAATATTGCATTATTGTAGTGTTGGCGGAGATAGGGACCCCTTCCAGCCCACTGGAAGTCAGTAGGCAAGAATTTAAAGTGGGATCAGATGGTATGTTGAGTGTTTTCCGGGCATAGTCAATGGGCTAACCTCTAGGTGTCAGCAGGGCTGCTTCCTTCTGAAGGCTCTAGGAAAGAATTGGTTTCCTTGCCCTTCCCAGATTCTAGAAGCCACCTGCATTTCTTGGCTCATGGCTCCTTCCTTCGTCTTCAGAGCCACCAACATGATGTCATTATATCTCCTTCACTGGCTGCTTCCTTCCTCACATAGCCTTCTCTCTAACATTAACACTCTTGTCTCCTTGTTATGAGGACTCTCTGTATTACAGTGGGCTCCCCTAGATATTTCAGGATAAACTCCCCATCTGAAGATTCTTAATTTAATCATAGCTGCAAAGTCCCTTTTTGTTCTGTAAGGAAATATATTCACAGGTCTGTGGATTAGAACATGGACACCTTTGGGAGGGCCATTATTCTGTCTTCTACAATTAGTGAAGTTGAGTGTATTTATACTTATATATAAAAATGTATAAGTGGTTGTTTGTATTTCATATTTTTTTGTGTTTTTTGTTTGTTTGTTTGAGATGAAGTTTCACTCTGTTGCCCAGGCTGGAGTGCAGTGGCACGATCTTGGCTCACTGAAGCCTCTGCCTCCCGGGTTCAAGGGATTCTCCTGCCTCAGCCTCCTGAGTAGCTGGGATCATAGGTGTGTGCCACCGCGCCTAGCTAATTTTTCTATTTTTAGTAGAGATTGGGTTTTGCCATGTTGGCCAGGCTTGTCTCAAACTCCTGACCTCAAGTGATCAGCCCACCTCAGCCTCCCAAAGTGCTGGGATTACAGGCGTGAGACACTGCACCTGGCCTGTATTTCTTCTTTTATGAATTACCCACTTATGACATTTTTTTCTGTTAGCTGCATATTGAAATACGCATATTGCATATTTTGCCCAGTTTATTGCTTGCCTTTCACTTGTTTACAAGATACTATCTAATTTACATAAATACATTAATTTTTAAAATCTATATTATGGAAAAAAGTCGAATAGTGTATTAAATCTCCACATACCCATCACCAAACTTAAATAATTATCGACACAAGGCTAATCTTATTTTATCTATACTTTTATCACTCCCCCATATTATTATTTTGAAATAAATCCCAGACATCATATCATCCATAAGTATTTCAACAAAACACCTCAATTTCATGATCTTTTTTTTTTTTTTTTTTTTTTTTTTTTGAGACAGAGTCTCGCTCTGTCAGCCAGGCTGGAGTGTAGTGGCATGATCTCGGCTCACTGCAAGCTCCGCCTCCTGGGTTCACGCCATTCTCCTGCCTCAGCCTCCTGAGTAGCTGGGACTACAGGCACGCGCTACCCAGCCCAGCTAATTTTTGTATTTTTAGTAGAGTTGGGGTTTCACCATGTTGGCCAGGATGGTCTCATCTCCTGACCTTGTGATCCGCCTGCCTTGGCCTCCCAAAGTGCTGGGATTATAGGCATGAGCCACAGTGCCTGTCCAACTTGTCTTTTTAAAGGGGATGAAAATAAAGTCTGAATATGTTGAAGAAAAGGGAAGATTTTCTTCAGCTTGTCTTTATGAGGAATGACCATCTTTAACTACTTACTCGAGTATTGTAGGGCATCTACTGTGCGGAAAGTGCTGAGTTTAACTTCATGTTACTCTTGCATGCATGTGAACATGGACCTGTGTTATGTAAAAGGATTACAGTTATAAAATTAGCAGGCTGCCCATTGGTGTCCACACTCCTGATTTAGTCCTCTTTCCATGACGACAATGATGATTGGGAACAACTGCTAGAAAGCTGGCAGTTGTCTGCCATGCTCACATCATTTACACATCTAATGTTTTTTACCAAGGCCACTGGGCACTGGGAAGTAAAAAGAAATGTACAAAGAGAAGGGAAGAACATAACTCCTTTCTTCATAGGCAGCCTGATGCGCAGTGACCCTTCCACACTCTCAAAACCATGGACACCATGATGCTTTTTTGACCCCATTCCACATGGTGAAGGACTGTTGGCAACCATGGGTGCATTAGGGAGCCGCTGGCTTCCACTTTGAAAAGGAAGAAATATAACAAGTTCAGTTATTCCTTAGGACTAGGTAAGACTAGGTGATCCAGGTGATTTCTGAGAATGCCAGACATAAAAACGGGCAGCAGAGCCGGAGTTCAGTGTGCACTTGTCATAACCTAGCAACTGCACAGCCCAAACAAACACAGCTCAAACCTCACTACCATAAATACTAGGGTTTGTCTGGCTCCTCTCTAACTTCCTCAACACCTACTCTCTTAACCCCTTGCAGTCTGGTTTCCACCCCTTTCTCTGAAAAATCTTTTGAAGGTTACCTGCTTTTGGTCTATTTTGGTCTTTGTCTTATGTGTCCTTTCTTCAGTAAGTGGCTGTTAACCACCCCCTTCTTTAAATTTATTTTCTTCGCTTCTGTGAAGCTGTAGGATTCTGTTCATCTCAGGTGCTTTTCTGTTAACTCTTTTTTTTTTTTTTTTTTTTTTTTTTTGAGACAGAGTTTCACTCTTGTGGCCCAGTCTGGAGTGAAGTGGTGTGGTCTTGGCTCACTGCAACCTCTGCCTCCCAGGTTCAAGCGATTCTCCTGCCTCAGCCTCCTGAATAGCTGGGATTACAGGGGCCCACCACCACGCCTGGCTAACTTTTGTATTTTTAGTAGAGACGGGTTTTACCATGTTGGCCAGGTTGGTCTTGAACTCCTGACCTCATGTGATTCACCCGCCTCGGCCTCCCAAAATGCTGGGATTACAGGCGTGAGCCACCATGCCTGGCCTCAGGTGTTTTGGGCTTTTGTGTATGCGTCTTTGACTGCCAGAGTAGCTGCCTCCTTTCCCTCCCTCCCTTAAATGTGGCTCCTCTATAGGCTTTGACAGTCATCTGTGTTTCTCTTGGCACTCTCTTCTTGGCTTCAGCTCTTGGGAGATTGCTCCCAAATCTCTATTTCAAGCCTAACTTTTTTCCTAAGTCCCATACCCACATTTTTGGCTAATTTCTGGGGAGGTCCAGGTTGACTTTGCTTACCTTAGACTTCTTAGCCCAGCTTCTGTCTTGACCCTCAGACCCTAGACACCTGTACCTGTCACCTCCAGGCACAGACCTGCCCAGTGCAGGAGACAATCATGGCAGCAACTGAGAAGGATTACAGCTTATGTGGATCTTAGAATTGAGTCTGATTGCCGCAAATCAGGCAGGCCTGAATGGACCCTGGGGCACCTGAGTGGCTGCAGCCACACAGCCTTCCCTCCTTGGGTCCTGGGTGCTGCTGTTATTACTGCCCAGTAACTTCACTCTCCCTCCAGGTCTGATGCCTTTTTTGTTTAGGCCCTGAAATGTTGATTAGTTTTACCATGTCTCTTCCCTGACAACCAAATCCTGTTGTGTTTTTTCCCAAGCCCATCAGTGCTGAGTTCCTATCTACAGTGGTTGAGTCTTCTGGATACTGGCTCTTGAGCCACAGGGCCATTCTCCCGGATATTCATCGGGTCTTGACGATTACCTCTTCTCACAGTCCTGCCTTTCTTGTCTTGCTGCTCCAGTTTCCTTCATGTCCTTATCGCTTCCTGTCCAAATCTACTGAAAACCCCTTCGGCTGTTACTTCTGGATGTGATGTCGCAGTCTTTAGCCCATCCTGTCTGCTAGTGCCATCTGAAATCCTTCCTGGAACTTGGTAAGGTATAAAGACATAGTGGTTTTTTGTTTGTTTGTTTGTTTGTTTGTTTGTTTTTCGAGACAGAGTCTCGCTCTTGTTGCCCAGGCTGGAGTGCAATGGCGCCATCTTGGCTCACTGCAACCGCCGCCTCGCGGATTCAAGCGATTCTCCCACCTCACCCTCCCGAGTAGGAGTCTCAGGACTCCTTTTTTGAGACGGAGTCTCGCCCTGTCGTCCAGGCTGGAGTGCAGTGGCGCGATCTCGGCTCAGTGCAAGCTCCGCCTACCGGGTTCGCGCCATTCTCCTGCCTCAGCTTTCCGCACAGCTGGGACTACAGGCGCCCGCCACCACGCCCGGCTAATTTTTTTTGTATTTTTAGTAGAGACGGGGGTTTCACCATGTTAGCCAGGATGGTCTCAATCTTCTCACCTCGTGATCCACCCGCCTCGGCCTCCCAAAGTGCTGGGATTCCAGGCGTGAGCCACCATGTCCGACCCTAAAATATTTTTAAACACTCGTCCTGATCATGTTGTTGCATGGGAAAGTACCTTCAGGTACCTTGTACTTCAGGCCACAGTCCAAACTTATCAATGTGCTATTTGAGGCCTTCCACACCTACTATTGTGAGTGTTATTAATAGAGGGATTCTCCTCATCCTCTTCTTCCACGTTTTTCTCCGTCTTTTCCACTTTAATTCATTCATTTACTAAATAGTTACTGAACATCTAGTTTAGGGAAGCCCTGTCTCTTTAGCAGGGATTGAAACCTCAGATATGGCTGGGCATAGTGCCTCACACCTGTAATCCCAACATTTTGGGAGACTGAGGCAGGAAGATTGCTTGAGACTAGGAGTTCAAGACCACCCTAGACAATATAGTAAGACCCCATCTGTACAAAAATTAAAAAAAAAAAATTAGCCAGACATGGTGGTGGCAGGCTTGTGGGCCTCGTTACTTGGGAGGCTAAGGCCTGAGGATTGCGTGAGCCCAGGAGTTTGAGGTTGCAGTCCAGCTCTTTTTTTTTTTTTTTAGACGGAGTCTTGCTTTGTCACCAGGCTAGAGTGCAGTGGTGCGATCTTGGCTCACTGCAAACTCTGCCTCCCGGGTTCAAGCAATTCTCCTGCCTCAGCCTCCTGAGTAGCTGGGATTACAGGTGCCCGCCACCGCGCCCAGCTAATTGTTGTATTTTTAGTAGAGATGGGGTTTCACCAACTTGGCCAGGCTGGTCTTGAACTCCTAACCTCGTGATCCACCCGCTTTGGCCTCCCAAAGTGCTGGGATTACAGGCATGAGCTACCGCGCCTGGCAGACTCCAACTCTTAAAAAAAAAAACAAAAAAAACTCAGATACCTGGAGAGGCTGGCCAGTCAATACAGTGAAGCAGGTGGTGGTTGTAGCTGCAAAAAACTGGAGAGAGGATACCCCATCCCAAGGAAGTAGCAGCTACTGATGTCCTCATTGGTTCCATGTGGAACAGTGAGTCCATTGTTGCCAGACTGTCGTCTTTTTCGAGAGAAGCTAGACATCTGGATTTTTGTTGAAATTTCTCAGTTTTATTTTATTTATTTATTTTGAGAGGGAGTCGCACTGTGTCAGCCAGGCTGGAGTGAAGTGGCATGCTCTCGGCTCACTGCAACCTCCACCTCCCAGGTTCAAGTGATTCTCCTGCCTCAGCCTCCTGAGTGGCTGGGACTACAGGCGTGTACCACCACACCCGTCTAATTTTTGTATTTTTAGTAGAGACAGGGTTTCACCATATTTGCCAGGCGGTCTCAAATTCCTGACCTCGTGATCCACCCGCCTTGGCCTCCCAAAGTTCTGGGATTACAGGAGTGAGCCACCGCGCCTGGCTGAAATTTCTCGATTTTAAAAGCCAGCAATCAGTTCAGAAACGTTTTGAACACTGTGAGGGCTAAACAGAACATTGGAGCTGGGTGCGGCCTGCAGGCCACCAGTTTGCAACCCCTGCTCTCTAGAAACCCCTTCAAGACCCTCCATGTTGCTTGACACCTTGTGTTCTCATGACTTTTCCTTTTTTTCTTCATAGCCCATTATCTAGACTGCCCAATTTCATTCTCCTTGTTGATCTAAATACGAATTCCTACTTCATAAAGATACAATGCAAAGCCTGTTACATGGCATGCTTGGCTTTTCAGCAGCGGTAAAGACAGCATGAAAAGGGAAAACCAGAATCAGAAAAGAACTGACGCCGGGTGCAGTGGCTCACACCTGTAATCTCAGCACTTTGGGAGGCCGAGGTGGGTGGATCACAAGGTCAGGAGTTCAAGACCAGCCTGTCCAATATGGTGAAACCGCGTCTCTACTAAAAACACAAAAATTAGCTGGGTGTGGTGGCCCGCGCCTGTAGTCCCAGCTACTCAGGAGGCTTAGGCAGGAGAATTGCTTGAACCTGGGAGGCGGAAGTTGCAGTGAGACAAGATCACACCACTGCACTCCAGCCTGGGCAACAGAGCGAAACTCTGTCTTAAAAAAAAAAAGAACTGACAGGTGGTCTGGTTACCAAATCCTGAGAGGTCAGCCAAGGCAGAGATCAGATTCTCAATCTACAAATCCAAGGTTCCAGGAAGCCAGAGCACAAGAGGTTCCTTAACTTACGTTAGAGAGCAAGCACTAGGCACAGGGTTCTGAAGAACAGAAAGGAACATAATAGTGACAACACAATTGCTTTTTTGAAAAATAAAATTCTCCAATTTTTGAAGGGAAAGACAAAAGGAAAGGCAGCTAACATTTTTTAAAAACCTAATATGCCCTAGGTATGTCTCAAAGTCATACTTGAAGTTCCGAGAGATTAAATAGTTTTACACATCACAGAACTAATAAATGGCAGAGAATTTAGATTTTCAGTTCTTTGGGAAAATCACTAAAAATTCTTTCAATTTGGGCTGCATATTAGAATCACCTGAGGAGTATGCGTGTGTATGTGTGTGTGTGTTTAGGTAATGTATCAGTGTATTATATCAATATATAATGTGTCTGGACTTTGGTTCCCGGAGAGCTTTAAAAAAATTTGTATACCTATATTGCACCCCAGCCAATTAAATAGAATCTGTAGAGGTAGGACTCGGGCATCAGTAGCTTTCAAAGTTCCCCAGGTGATTTCAACGTGCAACCAAGTTTGGGAATCACCGTATTCATCCCCCAATCCCAGACTCCTGTTGAGCGCTGCTCATACAGAGAAGGTAAGCAGTGAGTAATAAATAGGTGGAGGTCGGGGGTGGGGGTAGCAGAATGAAACTCAGGTAATGTGATTTTCATTAGCTTTTTCTTCAAATGAAAATGTACCTTTGGGATGGGCACAGTGGCTCACGCCTGTAATCCCAGTACTTTGGGAGGCCGAGGTGGGAGGATTGCTTGAGGCCAGGAGTTTGAAACCAGTCTGGCCAGCATAGTGAGACCCCATCTCTAAAAAATGAATAAATGAAGGCAGTGGCTCACAACCGGTAATCCCAGCACTTTGGGAGGCTGAGGTGGGCAGATCACCTGAGGTCAGGAGTTTGAGACCAGCCTGGCCAACATGGCAAAATGCGGTCTCTACTAAAAATACAAAAATTACCTGGGCAGGGTGGTGCACACCTGTAATCCCAGCTACTTTGGAGGCTGAGGCAGGAGAATCGCTTGAACCTGGGAGGCACAGGTTGAAGTGAGCAGAGATTGTGCCACTGCACTCCAGCTTGGGTGACAGATCAAGAGTCTGTCTCAAAAAAAAAAAAGAATAAATGAAACAAAATGTACATTTGTACTCATTCTACTGATACCCAGTCTGGGAGTCAGGGGAATAAAAAAGGAGGGACCAGTGAACGACACTGAGCAATTAAGATTATAAGGTAATAGTTTTCCTGTTTTTTTGTTTAAGTGTACAGTTCAATGGTTTTTATACTATATTCTCCATGTTGTGTTACTATCACCACATTCAATTTTAGAACATTTTTGTCTCCCTGGTACGGTGGCTCACACCTGTAATCCCAGCTCTCCAGAAGGCCGAGGCAGGTGGATTGCTTGAGCCCAGGAGATTGAGACTACTCTGGCCAACATGGTGAAACCCTGTCTCTACAAAAAATTTGCCATGCATGGTGGTGCATACCTGTGGTCCCAGGTACTCGAGAGGCTGAGGTGGGAGGATAATTTGACCCCGGGAGGCAGAGGTTGCAGTGAGCTGAGATGGCGCCACTGTACTCCAGTGGGGGCGACAGAGTGAGAAAAGAACACTTTTGTCACTTCAGAAAGAAACTCCATACCTTTCAACCCTCAGTCCTGCTATTCCTCCACCCACTCATCCCCAGCCCTTAAGCAACAACTAATCTACTGTAGGTTTTCCTATTCTGGACTCTAATGTTGAATTTTTTCTTTTCTTTTTTTTTTTTTGGAGATGGAGTTTTGCTCTTGTTGCCCAGGCTAGAGTGCAATAGCACGGTCTTGGCTCACTGCAACCTCTGCCTTCCGGATTCAAAAGCTATTCTCCTGTCTCAGTCTCCCAAGTAGCTGTGACTACAGGTGCCCACCACCACACCCGGCTTTTGTATTTTTAGTAGAGACAGGGTTTTGCCATGTTGGCCAGGCTGGTTTCGAACTCCTGACCTCAGGTGATCCGCCCACCTTGGCCTCCCAAAGTGCTGGGATTACAGGTGTGAGCCACCGCGCCTGTCCTCTAATGTTGATTTTTAACCCAGGCGCTTTATTGAAGCAGGACCCATGATGACCTTTGTGAATTTAATTTTTTACTTTTCCTGAAATATAACATATTTACAGAAAAAAGCATAAACCATAAGTTTACAGATTAATAAAAATTGGCAAACTGAACTCTCCCATGTAACCAGCACACAGATCAGGATACCAAACCTTATTGCCACCCCAGAAGCTTCTCTTGTGCCCCACTGCTGACTTTGAAAATAATCAGTTTTGCTCCTTTTGAACTTTATACCCATATACTTGTAAAATATATCTTCTTTTGTGTCTGGCGTCTTTTACTCAACATTGTGTTTGTAGGATTTATGCATATTATTGCCTGTAGCCAAGACAGTCTTTGATGGTATTAAATTTGCCCCATTTCCTTCAGAACAAATTATTTGAAAAGGTTTATTGAAACTAAAATTCTTCAGATGATTTATTGAATAAGCCACCTCCCTTGGTCAGTGTAAAAATAATTTGATCCTGAAGGATTTGTTTGGGAATTTAAATTCAGAGGACTGGCATCATTGAAAACAAATGGTAGTAGCATCTTTCTCTTGCAGAGCTAGTTGTACAAGTCATTAAACTTGAAGTTCTTAAAAAGAGAATAGCAGTATTAAATTCAAAATGATTTACTAAGAATCACAATATATTATAAACATTTGACAAATACAAGAGATTGAATTACTTATCTGGGTCTTCTTGGAATTATTTTTCCATTGGCATGATTTGGGAACTACTTTTTTTTTTTTTTTGAGATGGAGTCTTGCTCTGTCTGCCAGGCTGGAGTGCAGTGGCGGATCTTGGCTCACTGCAACCTCCACCTCCCGGGTTCAAGCGATTCTCCTGCCTCAGCCTCCCCAGTAGGTGGGATTACAGGCATGCGCCACCACGCCTGGCTAATTTTTATATTTTTAGTAGAGACGGGGTTTTGCCATGTTGGCAAGGGTGGTCTCGAACTCCTGGTCTCAAGTGATCCGCCCGCCTCCCAAAGTGCTGGGATTACAGGAGTGAGCCTCCACGCCCAGCCTTTGGAAACTGCTTATAATTTTTCTCCCATTATTTTTTTTTTCTCTTTCACATCTTATATCCAATACCATAGGACAACCCCTTTCCTTGCCTAGGAGTGTTTAATAGGAGGAAAGACTAATGAGTAAACATATAGCTAGGGATGAAGTAGTGTTTTTACACCTACAAGGAAATGTAAGAATATGTCTTCTGAATTATTTATATCAGCAGTCATGGATTGATTGTCATGCTTTTGAAGTACACTATCAAGTACCATATAATTTACTCATCGTTTCCTTAGCAATTTCTTCTCTCTGCACACTTACCATTCTCAAACGAGCTAGTGGAATTCTTGCTAAACATGGCAAAGTAGTTTTTACAGAAATCTGTTCCCTGTGGAATTTCTTTTTATGGATCATCCAAGGTTTTTGCCCTTCAGAGTAAAGGACAAGGAGGATTTTTGTGAATCAGGCCTTACCTAATGTATTTGAACATTCAGGTGCCTTGGAGAGGGTAAGGAAAGGGGCAGGGGATGCAGGTTTTGTGCTGTGTCCTCTTCCCCAAAATAAGTCTCAGTTGCTCACAGAGTGACTGGGTTATGAGATTGATATCTTTGATCGAGGCCAACTGGAACATTGAAAACAGAGCATTCAAAGCATTGAAAACAGAGGCTCTGTGACATTTAAAATACACACAACAAACAAAATAGCCATAAATATGCTCCCTTCACTGGATACTACTTCCCTGATGTTGTGCCGAACCTCTATCAATCTTAATGGGGGCCGGGTGTGGTGGCTTACGCCTGTAATCCCAGCACTTTGGGAGGCTGAGGCAGGTGGAACACTTGAGACCACGAGTTTGAGACCAGCCAGGTTAACATGGTAAAACCCCATCTCTACTAAGAAAGAAAAATATTTAAAAATAAACTCTCTGTTCTCTATTAAAAAAAAAAAGAAGGAAGGCACCAGGTTCAAGAAGCCAAAGAAGAGACCATAAGCCAGCAAAATGAGACGTAGAGTTTTATTAGGGGGTTACATACAGGGGAGAGAGTCCAGTGGCAGTATGCACCTTCCTACAGTTCAGTGACCATGGGCAGCACAGTGTAACTGCATAGCCCAGTGGCAGCAGGCTGGGCAGGAAAACTGCAGCCACCTGCAAACATTATGCATTTTATATAGCATTTTTAACTTAACACCCTCCTAATAGCTTTCACTTGGCCACCTTCATTTAACACAAAACTCAGGGCCTCAAACCCTTGTATGGCCCATGTTCCACAGGACAGGCCAGGGGCTCAGTTATTTATCATAGACAAGGAGTGTATCTCCAAGTTGGCCACTCCTGGATTCCCTAGCTCAGAGCACACATTCAGGAGCATCTGTCATACGGGTCACTCTCAGGGCATGGTTAAGTTATTGCTTTTAGGAGTGTTTAGCCTACATGTGTGCCCATAAAATTAGCAATGATGTTTAGCCCTCACATTTGAGTTCTCCAAAAATGATTTGAAAAATGTATTCCTAAGCAAAGAGTTACAAATCATTCGTCAGTTTTACAGGTTTCTATGACAAGTGTTGTCTCAGCTTCTGCTGTGATTCTTTTAGATCTCACATCTTATAGGAAAGGTCATCAGACCTCTATTAGTTTGTTTTCACACAGCTGGTAAAGACATACCTGGGACTGGGATGAAAAAGAGGTTCAGCGGACTTACAGTTCCACATGGCTGAGGAGGTCTCACAATCATGGTGGAAGGCAAGGAGGAGCTAGTCATGTCTTACATGGATGGCAGAGGGCAAAGACAGAAAGCCTGTGCAGGGAAACTCCTGTTTTTAAAACCATCAGATCTTATGAGACTTATTCACTATCATGAGAATAGCATGGAAAAGACCTACCCCCATGATTCAGTTATCTCCCAGCTGGGTCCCTTCCACAACCCATAGGAATTATGGGAACTATAAGATAAGATTTGGGTGGGGACACAGAGCCAAACCATATCAAGACTCCTGCCAGTTAAAAAAAAAAATACTGCTTTTATGTATGTAGGTATGTATGTATGCATGTATTTAGAGATGGGGGTCTTGCTATGTTGGCTAGGCTGGCATGGAACTCCTAGTCTCAAGCAATCCTCCTGCCTCAGTCTCCTCAAGTGCTGCGATTGCAGGCATGAGCCACCATGCTCAGCCAAAAGTACTGCTTTTAAATGCTTTAAATCTCAGTTTACAGAGAAAAGTAGGGAGGAAATGCAGACTATTTATGGAAGTTAAGCCCAGATTTCAAAAACTTAATGTCTTTGCTCACCATAGAAATAGGTATTCTAAGATGAAAGTGCTTATTTGAACAAATATTTTTGCTAGAATGTATTTTATTTTTTTCTAGGGTTTATTATATACAGTGGGAAAACTTGAAGAAAAAATTTCTTTAAATGCCATTTCCCCCCTTTGTGAGATACCACACTATTGTAAGCCATGCTCTACTTTAGACTTGATCTTGTGGTAATACTGAATTGCTTGTGGTTGCCAGCACATGTTAGTGCTGTGCCACCCGCCCCCCCACCCCCACCCCCCGCCACCCACCCTTTGCTCTTGCTGTTCCTTCTGCCAGGACAGCTATGTCAACCACTGCACTTCCTTCGCTGGCTCATTCTTACACCACCCACCACCTTCAAGACTCAGCTTAGGTGTCATCTCCTCCAGGAATTTGGAACCTGTAGTTTGACATTATTTCCCCATTTCCTCTGTTCTCACTGTACCCTGTACAAATCTGTCTGAAACCTTATTGTGTTACTGTGATATTAAAATTCTTTTTTGCCTGTGTCTCTTCCATTAGCATATACACTCCTTGAAAGCAAATGATTAATATGATTAACTACATGACCATCTTTTTGTTTTTCTTTTACTGGCCTTTTCCAGATTTTAGGTTTAGTTAAATAATCCTTAATGGAAAACATGTGCAGCTTTGGGAAATGAACACTATCATTAATTTGTCCATTGAACAAACAATTTAAATAAAGATTCTATCTAATTTTCAGTCTTTAAGCACACTGTTAGTGCTGAGCAAATATGGACTGGAATACCCATTTTAAAAAATTGTCTCATTCCCTGCTTTTGCTCTGTGTGTATGTGTGTGTGCACATGTGTGGTGTATGTGCACACACTTCCCTTCCTTTCTTCCTTCTCTCCTTCCTTAACTCCATATTATTCTGTTACACTGGACATTTTTCTTCTAATTTTCAAAGGGCAGTTCCTTGTTTATGATAGTTACTGTCACTTTATAGATTTGGTTTCCAAAACTACTCCAAAGGAGACAGTTTATTTCCACTTAGGAACCATGTCTGGAAGCTATGTACCTGTCACCCAGTGAAGAGTGATGTCTGCGTTATGACCATACTGTCTAAAAATAATCACGATAGTTTATATTTATGTGGTGCTTTGTGTGTCAGGCCCTGTGCTGAAAACCATGTATGCAACAGTTCTAACTGCAATTGTGCCTTTTTATCAATGAGGAAAGAAGCTGAGGGAACTTAGTAACTTGCCTAGCATCATATAGGTTTTAAATACAGAGCTGGGATTAAGAACCAAATACCATCAAATTTCAGGATCTGTGTTTTTGGTTTTTTTTTTTTTTTTTTGAGACGGAGTCTCATTCTGTCCCCCAGGTTGGAGTGCAGTGACGCGATCTCGGCTCACTGCAACCTCCACCTCCCAGGTTCAAGTGATTCTTCTGCCTCAGCCTCCTGAGTAGCTGGGATTACAGACATACCTCACCATGCCCAGTTAATTTTTGTGTTTTTAGTAGAGACAGGGTTTCACCATGTTGGCCAGGCTGGTGTCAAACTCCTGACCTCAGGTGATCCACGTGCCTCGGCCTCCCAAAGTGCTGGGATTACAGGCGTGAGCCACCATGCATGGCCTGTTTTTTTTTGTTTTGTGTTTTTTTTTTTAATAAACTTTTAAAAAAGTGTTTATTTTCAAAATAAAATATGTATAGATTAATAGGAAGTTGCAAAGAAATGTACAGGGAGGTTCTGTGCAACCTTCACCCATCTCTGCCAATATTGGTATCCTATATAACTACAGAACAAGATCAAAATCAGTAAATAGTTCAGCATCTCACAGTTATGACAAACTGAGGTCATTGATTAACAGAATTTTAGTGTAACATGACTTTTTAATAAAAAATAGTATTCTTTATACTATAAAGCCTTTATTTTGATAACTTATTACCAGGAAATATATCGAAAAAGAGCATGGTTTAGATAATTGGTTTTTAACCTTTTAGGACATAGACCCATTTTAGAAGACAATGAAATATGGATCTTTTCAGCAAAAAAAAAAAGAGACATACATGTATACAGAATGTTCATGGTTTCACAAACATTCCCTATATCCACCCTTCCAAAATATGCTTAGGCTTCAGATTAAAAACTCTGGTTTAGCTGGGCATGGTGGCATGTTCCTAGGGAGGCTAAGGTGGGAGGATCACCTGAACCGAGGAGTTTGAGGCTGCAGTTTGCTTTGCCATGATTATGCCTGTGATTGAATAGTCACTGCACTCCAGCCTGGGCAACATAGCCAGACTCTGTCAAAAACAAAAACAAAAAACTTCTAGTTTAGAGCAACATTTAAATAAATACATTTACTTTAAAAAATCCAGAAACTTGTTATATTTTTTATTTTTTTATTTATGATTTTTATTTTTATTATTTTTATTTATTTATTTATTTTTTGACAAAGTCTAACTCTGTCGCCCAGGCCAGAGTGCAGTGGTGTGATCTTGGTTCACTGCAACCTCTGCCTCCTGGGTTCAAGTGATTCTTCTGCCTTAGCCTCCTGAGTAGCTGGGACTACAGGCACATGCCACCATGCCTGGCTAATTTTTTTGTATTTTTAGTAGAGATGGGTTTCACCATATTGGCCAGGCTGGTCTCAAACGCTTGACCTCATGATCCGCCCACCTTGGCCTCCCAAAGTGCTGGGATTACAGGCATGAGCCACCGCACCCGGCCTATTTATGATTTTTAATATCTTTTTCCAGTTCTGCTTATAGCAAAGCTTCCCTCTGGCACCCAAGGAATAATAACCTTCTTATTATTCCTTGAATTACTCATTGAAAGTCTCTTGGATTCTCCATAGCTCTTTGTTGCTTAGAGAAAAAAAAAATCCTCTGCTTCCAACATTGCCCTTACAAACACATTTTATCTAGGACTGCTTTCTTGTGCACAAAAGGCCTTTGGTCAATAACTTTTGGTTCTCTTTCCCTTTTCATGTCACCACCATAAACATGGGTATTTTACGGCATGGCTATGGAGTTAGGGGTCAGGCCCAGCAGGGATCACTAGATACCCAGCTAGAAAAAGGGAGATAACTGGGAGCTCCTGTCAGTTCTGAGCCAGACACTAGCAGCCAGGTAATTTACTTCCACAGCCAGGACTCACCTAGGTAGTGAGTCAACAGAGGCATATAGGTCAGAGTGGCAGTCCAGCAGGAGGATATAGATGTTTAAAAAGCCAGGCTTATGAACTAACCAGAAGTGCAGGTTACATCTTTATTCTTTTTTTTTTTTAATTGAGATGGAATTTCGCTCGTTGTCCAGGCTGGAGTGCAATGGCACAATCTCGGCTCACTGCAACCTCCACCTCCCAGGTTCAAGTGATTCTCCTGCCTCAGCCTCCCGAGTAGCTGGGATTACAGGTACACGCCACCACGCCCAGCTAATTTTTATATTTTTAGTAGAGACAGGGTTTCGCACCACGTTGGCCAGGCTGGTCTCAAATTCCTGACCTCAGGTGATCTGCCCGCCTTGGCCTCACAAAATGCTGGGATTACAGGTGTGAGCTACCGTGCTCGGCCTACATCTTTATTCTGAGGACCATTCCTGCCCTAGTTATAATCTCATGTATGCTTCCTGCTGAGGTAAAGCAGAGAGAAGTATTTTGCTGCCATGGAGCCAGATCCCCCAGTTTTGCTAGTCTAGACTCTACAAGGAAGTGGTTACACCTAGAAATGTGTGGGTGGAAAATGAGAGCTGATGCGGACCCTGCATGAGGGACTGGCTGTGTTCTGCTCCAGACTGGCCAAGGTAGAAGAAAGTCACAATGCGCTGTGTCTATCAGCTGCATGATTTCTTTCTTTCTTTTTTTTTTTTTTGAGACGGAGTCTCGCTCTGTCACCAGGCTGGAGTGCAATGGCGCCATCTCAGCTCACTGCAACCTCTGCCTCCCAGGTTCAAGCAATTCTCCTGCTTCAGCCTTCCAAGTAGCTAGGATTACAGGCACACGTCACCCACCATGCCCAGCTAATTTTTGTATTTTTAGTAGACACGGGGTTTCACCGTGTTGGCCAGGATGGTCTCGATCTCCTGACCTCGTGATCTGCCCGCCTTGGCCTCCCAAAGTGCTGGGATTACAGGCATGAGCAACCGTGCCCAGCCCAGCTGCATGATTTCTTTATGGAGATCTTTTCCCAATGAGAAGTTTCACAACTACCAAGTTTTCTGTCTGCTGATGAAAGCCCTGTATTTTCCATACAGTTGATTTTTTACTACCCTGAATAGTTTTATAACCTGGGAGCTGAACGAAATTAATAAAACACATTTGCTTTCAAAAGTACTACACTATTCCTCCCCCTTCGAGTTACCCATGTTCAACTGCTATCCAAAAATATTACATGGAAAACTCCAGAAATAAAGTTCATAATTTTTTTTTTTTTTTTTTTTGAGACGGAGTCTCGCTCTGTCACAAGGCCGGAGTGCAGTGGCACAATCTTGGCTCACTGCAACCTCTGCCTCCCTGGTTCAAGGGATTTTCCTGCCTCAGCCCTCCCGAGCAGCTGGGACTACAGGCGTGTGCCACCACACCCAGCTAATTTTTGTATTTTTAGTAGAGACGGGGTTTCACCATGTTGGCTAGGATAGTCTCGAGCTCTTGACCTCGTGATCCGCCTGCCTCGGCCTCCCAAAGTGCTGGGATTACAGGCATGAGCCACCGCACCTGGCCAACAGTTTATAAGTTTGAAAGTGCACACCATTCTGAGTAGTGTGATGAAATATTGCACCTTCCTCTGTCATCCCACCCAAGATGTTAATCATTCTTGTCCAGTGTATCCATGCTGTCTGCTCTACCCTCTGGTTGGTCATGTCATAGCCTTCTCAGTTATCAGATCAACTATCCCAGTTTCACTGTGTTTGTGTTCAGGTAACCCTTACTTTACTTAATAATGGCCCCAAAGTATAAGAGTAGTGATGCTGGCATATTGTTATAATTTTTCTTTTTTTTTTTTTTTGAGATGGAGTCTTGCTCTGTTGCCCAGACTGGGGTGCAGTGGTGCGATCTTGGCTCACTGCAACCTCCGCCTCCTGGGTTCAAGCCATTCTCCTGCCTCAGCCTCCCGAGTAGCTGGGACTACAGGCACACACCACCACGCCCGGCTAAGTTTTGTATTTTTAGTAGAGACAGGGTTCGCCATGTTGGCCAGGCTGGTCTCGAACTCCTGACCTCAGGTGATCCACCTGCCTCAGCCTCCCAAAGTGCTAGGATTACAGGGGTGAGCCACCACGCCTGGCCTGTTATAATTTTTCTATTTTATCATTAGTAATTGTTAATCTCTTACTGTGCCTAATGTATAAACTTTATCGTAGGTATGTATGTGTAGGAAAAAACATAGTATATATAGGGTTTGGTATTGTCTGGTGTTTCAGGCATCCACTGAGGGTCCTGGAATGTACCCTCTGCAGATAAGGGGGGACTACTATATATCCTTTTCCTCCTCCTTCTGAATTTGACTATATTTATTTATTTATTTATTTTTGAGACGGAGTCTCGCTCTTTCGCCCAGGCTGGAGTGCAGTGGCACGATCTCGGCTCACTGCAACCTCTGCCTCCCGGGTTCAAGCGATTCTCCTGCCTCAGCCTCCCGAGTAGCTGGGACTACAGGTGCATGCCACCACGCCCGGCAAATTTTTATATTTTTAATAGAGACGGGGTTTCACCATGTTGGCCAGGCTGGTCTTGAACTCCTGACCTCAGGTGATCCACCCACCTTGGCCTCCCAAAGTGCTGGGTTACAGGCATGAGCCACCACGCCTGGCTGAATTTGACTATATTTAAGAGAAAGACTTAGGCCACGGTTTTTCTTTTTTTTTTTTTAATTTTTTATTTATTTTTTGAGACGGGGTCTTGCTCTGTCGCCAGGGTGGAATGCAGCGGCATGATCTCAGCTCACTGCAACCTCTGCCTCCTGGGTTCAAGCTATTCTCCTGCCTCGGCCTCCCGAGTAGCTGGGACTACAGGCACATGCCACCACCACACCCAGCTAATTTTTGTATTTTTAGTACAGATGGGGTTTCACCATGTTGGCCAGGATGGTCTTGATTTCTTGACCTCGCGATCCGCCCGCCTCAGCCTCCCAAAGTGCTGGGATTACAGGCGTGAGCCACTGCGCCTGGCTAGGCCACAGTTTCTTTACACTGCCAAACAACCAAGTATTTGTCCCAAGAGGAGAGTGGGAAATGGAAGGATGGATGGGAAACCTGGCTAGCTGTCTATGAAGTTGCGTGGCACTGTGTTGGGGTCCCCTGATGTTGAAGGTTTGCCTCGGTTTTATAACAGGAATCATGCACATATACACACTTTGCCAGAAAGTATGCTAAATGCCATAAAGAATCTTCAGAACAATCCTAAGTAGGCTGTTTATCCACTGAGGAAAGTCAAGGTCAGAGGAATGAACTAACCTGACTAGTGTCACAGAAGTAGTTAGTGAAGAAAATGCGATTTGATCCCATGTGTTTCATGCTTCTATATTTAAGTGGAGGATTTGCTCTCAGCCCTGACTTCTTTCAGTACAACTTCCTATCCCCCCTCAGAAGGAAATCTGTCTCTGACACACTCTTTTATATTAACTTAATCTATAAGAGACTGATGAACAAACCACAGGAATTCCATTTCACAAAGGGATATGCCATCCAAAGACATAGAATATCTGCTGATCAGGCCCCCTTCTCTGTGTCACAGTGCTTGGTGAGGAGAGAATTGGATAACCTTGTGGCGTCTCATATCCAGACTGTAAGGCTTGAAGAATTAAACACACCCTGCAGCCCACTGAGGGCTAGGATATTCCTGCCTGACAAATATAGTCTATCTTGGACAGTGTGAGATAAACACTGGTGAAATATTTCCTCTTTTCAAAGTCATTTTCTGGATTCAGGGCAAATGCCTCCTCATTCATTTATGTTATCTTTAGTTGTTCTGCTTTCCAGGATTATTTTATCTCTGAAAAGCACCTCATTTACTCAGCCTGAGGTGCTTTTAGCTGGCATCATGGCTTCAAGAGTGTTAAATGGAATCCGTTAGAATTCACAAATTCAGGGTGGGTTATTTTCATAATTGATAATCTGATTCTTTGTATGTTGATTTTTTTATGAGACTATTGCCTCTAAATTCTGAAGAAGTGACTTTCTTAGAACTTGCAACCTTTGTTCTCTCAAACTCAGGTAGCATGTAGAATCTCACCTACTTATAGACTTTCATAGATATGATCAAAACAAGTTACATACCTAAAATCTACCACCTATAGCAGTCATTCATATTGTGACATTTTGTACTTCATCACACAGATTGGCAGGCCATTTCATGCACTTTTCTGGATGTGAGACATATTTTACACACTCACAATGATTGGAGAGGAAAACACTCCTTTATACCCTAACCTGTCCCAGCCTCACAAACAGATAATGGCTGGAAAGATTGCAGGGAGAAATTAACATTTGATTCTTTCTTTAGGTCATAATAGGCTTTCTCCTCTCTTGCTCTAAAATGAATGGATTCATCCTACTCATGGGAGTAGGTTTCTCTGTGCATTAAAAAGCTTTGTAAAGGATCCAGTTGCACCAAGAGAGAGCCCTGGGATTCTCAAGTAACATGTTTTCAATCAGTAAGTCTTGTTCAAAGTCTATAAAAGTTCATCATTTAGCAGTAGGACATGGTGTAGTGGCATGAGTCAGAGGGACTCTGGGCTCTCTTTCTAAATTGGCCATTTTTAGCCTTGTGCAGCTTGCCTGCTTTGTGAATTGCTGTGAAATTGAAATGAGATAATGTGTTTGAAAGTGTTTTGAAAACTGTAAAATGCTATACAAATGTAAGTTGTTACTTCAGAACAAAGCAGTGGGCAGTCTGCGAAAAAGGAATCAGTTGAAAGCAATTGGTGCATATACTTTTTCAAGAACCAAACATTAAGTGCCGATGTTTATTGAGCACTTACCATGTGCCAGACACTGTTAAAATGTTTTACATGTATTGTCTAAACCTTACTGTACCCTAATAAGGTAGATATTATTATTGTCCCCATTTTACAGATGAGAAACACTGAGGCACATAAAAGTGAAACATCCTGCCTATAGTGATATACCTAGTAAGTGATGAGATAAAGCTGGGATTCAAATCCAGGCAGTGTGGTTCTGGAGCCCAGATTCTTTTTTATTTTTTTTGGAAATGGGGTCTTGCTATATTGCCCAGGCTGAACTCAAACTCCTGGGTTCAAGTGATCCTCCTGCTTCAGCTTCCCAAGTAGTGGGGACAACAAGCATACCCCATTGTGCCCAGCCAGACTCTTTAAATACTATGCTGTTGACAGCATTATCATTTGTTTTAGTCTATTTGGGCTGCTATAACAAAATACCTTTAGGTCAGGTGTGGCTCATGCCCGTAATCTCAACACTTTGGGAGCCTGAGGCAAGAGGATGGCCTGAGGCCAGGCAATCAAGACCAGATTGGGCAACATAATGAGACCCTGTGTACACACACACACACACACACACACACACACACACACACACACACAAGCTAGGCACGGTAGTGCACACCTGTGGTCCCAGCTACTCAGGAGGCTGAGAAGTCGAGGCTGCAATGAGCTATGATCGCACCATTGCACTCCAGCCAGGTGACAGACAAAGCAAGAACCTGTCTCAAACAACAACAACAACAACAACAACAAAACCACCCTTCAACTGGGTAACTTATAAACAACAGAAACTTATTGCTTATAGTTCTAAAGGCTGAGTAGTTCAAGATCAAAGGGCCAACCCTAGTGAGGGCTTGCTCTGCTTCAAAGATGGTGCCTTCTTGCTGTGTTCTCACATGGTGAAAGGGGCAAAAGCACAAAAGAGACTAATGAACTCCCTCAATCCCCTTTTATGAGCACACGAATTCCATTCATGAAGGTGAGGCCCTCATGACCTAGTTGCCGCCTGAAGGTCCCACCCACCTTTTAATACTTTTGCATTGGAGATTAAGTTTCAACATGAATTTTGGAGGGGCACATACATTCAATCCACAGCATCATCCTTCCTAACTGAATTAGTAGTGGGGCCAAGACATTTGTTTTGCAAGCCTTAAAAGTTTAAAAACATGGTGAGTAAAGACACTTTCCAAGAAAAATGCGTTTCCCTTAAGGACTTGGATTTTACTCCCTTCCAATGCTTGGTCTTCATAAACCTTATTTATGTGGGGTGTGTGACCCCTAAACATGCATGTAGTCATCTCTTTTTTTTTTTATTTTTTATTTTTTGAGACAGAGTCTCGCTCTGTTGCCCAGGCTGGAGTGAAGTGGTGCGATCTCGGGTTACCACAACCTCCGCCTCCTGGGTTCAAGTGATTCTCCTGCCTCAGCCTCCCCAGTAGCTGGGACTACAGGTGCGCACCACCATGCCTGGCTAATTTTTGTATTTTTAGTAGAGACGGGGTTTCACTATGTTGGCCAGGCTGGTCTCGAACTCCTGACCTCGTGATCCACCCACCTGGGCCTCCCAAAGTGTTGGGGTTACAGGCGTGAACCACTGCGCCCAGCCGCATGTAGTCATCTCGTATACACCTACTTCATCAGCAAAAGTGGTGATAATGGACTTGGTTGATCTTTTAGTATTCAGTAAAGTTGAGAATGGTCAAATGAAAGGGTGTAGAGGAAAAGCTTTATAAATTCAAATGTCTTATCTTATTCAAATACTTATCTAAGTATTTTATGCTGAAGTTTATAATAAAAATCAGGAATCAGGTAATATAATTCTAGTAATTTTACTTTTAAAAATTTACCTGCTAATGGTGATTGGGTCTGATTCATTTACTTTTATTTTTCACAGTGTTTTGATAAAGGTTCACATTAAAGGCCTTGGGGTGGTAATGTGATGAGAATGTCAAAGGAAGAGCTGGCTGGGGTGGTGTGAGAAAACCAGTGGTAAGAAAAGAAATGGAAGTAATAGGTAAGGACTAGATCAGGTAGGCCTTGTAGGCCATGGTAAGGACCTGAGATTTTGTGTTGCCTTTTAAAGGTTTTGGGACCATCTCAATTATAACTATGAAAGATCTGGCTGCTGTGAGGGGAACAGACTGTAGTGGAATAAGAGTGGAAGCATTGAGGCCAAGTAGAAAGCTATTGCAATAGGCAATGGTGGCCTGGACTACTATAGCAGCAGTAACAGTGATGCAAAGTATTTAATCCAGAATAAATGTTGAAGGTAGAGGGAACAGAAATGTATTGACAATTCGGCGAAGTGGGTGGATCACTTGAGGTCAGGAGTTCGAGATCAACCTGGCCAACATGGTGAAACCTCGTCTCTACTAAAAATAGAAAAATTAGATGGGCGTGGTGGCACATGCCTGTAGTCCTAGCCACTTGGGAGGCCAAGGCAGGAGAATGGCTTGAACCTGGGAGGTGGAGGTTGCAGTCAGCCCAGATCATGCCATTGCACTCCAGCCTGGATGACAGAGCGAGACTCCATCTCAAAAAAAAAAAAAAAAAAAAAAAATTATTGGCAATTGGCTGTCAATAAATTGGTGTGAGAAAAAGAGGTTTTTGGCCTGAGCCACCGAATGAATACCGTTCACACTGGTCTCCCTGCCTAGTCTATAGGAGGTGGACATTGCTTCATGGAGGCTATGTTTGAGAGGCAGGGAGATTAGTTAGGAGGCCACTGCAGTCTTCCTGGGAAGATGAAGGGGCCTGAACCTGGGCAGGGGCTATTTGTGTAGAGATATGTTTATGAGGTAAAAATCGCCAGTTAGAATAGGTTAGAGATATTTACTTAACATTGAAGATCGCTGAATCTTTTTTCCCATTAACTCCACTTATTGGTGTCTACTCAAGAGCAGGGTTACCTGAGGGCTGTTTCTGTGTAGCTCTAGAGCTAAACTAAAAATGTTTCTTAAATTTTTAAAGGATGCGAGAGAGAGAGGAATATGCAACAGAAACCATACGTGGCGCTCAAAACCAAAAATATTTACTATCTAATCCTTCCCTTATCAAACCGTTTGCCCACCTCTGCCCTAGATCAGTGGTGTTTGTTTTTTTTGAGACGGAGTTTTCACTGTTGTCACCCAGGCTGGAGTGCAATAGCGCGATCTCAGCTCACCGCAACCTCCGCCTCCCAGGTTCAAGCGATTCTCCTGCCTCAGCCTCCCGAGTAGCTGGGATTACAGGCATGCGCCACCACGCCCGGCTAATTTTGTATTTTTAGTAGAGACGAGGTTTCTCCATGTTGGTCAGGCTGGTCTCAAACTCCTGACCTCAGGTGATCCGCCCCCCTCGGCCTTCCAAAGTGCTGGGATTACAGTCGTGAGCTGCCGCGCCCGGCCTATATCAGTGGTTTTTAAAGTGTGGCTCCTAGAGCAGCAGTAGCACCATCAGCTGAGAACTTGTTAGAAGTGCAAATTCTCGGGCCTCTGTTGAATCAGAAACTTAGGGAGTGGGGCCCAACTATCTGTTTTAACAAGCCCTACAGGTGATTTCGGTGCACATTAAGGTCTGAGAACCACTGCTCTAGAGAAAGTTCTGCACCTCTGCAGGATACATGGTGAAGAATATTTATAATAGCATTGCACGGAAGAGCTCCAAACCGGAAACACTTGAAGGTTAGTCAGCAGTAGGGCAGATAAGTGAATTGCGGCAATTAGTACAATGGGAGTATTCTATAGTTTGCCTGAGGGTATGGACTGTGGAGGCAGATTGCCTGTGTTTGAATCCCAGCTCCAGTGAATAGTAGCAGTGTAGTCCTGGGTAAGTTACTTGACCTCTCCAAGCCTGTTTTCTCATCTATAAAATGGGCATAAAAATAGCAACTACTGGCCGGGTGCGGTGGCTCACGCCTGTAATCCCAACACTTTAGGAGGCCAAGGCGGGCGGATCACGAGGTCAGGTGTGTTCGAGACCAGCCTGGCCAACATAGTGAAACCTCGTCTCTACTAAAAATATAAAAATTAGTTGGGTGTGGTGGCATGCGCCTGTAGTCCCAGCTACTAGGGAGCCTGAGGCAGGAGAACCGCTTGAACCCGGGAGGCGGAGGTTGCAGTGAGCCAAGACCGTGCCATTGCACTCCAGCCTGGGCGACACAGAGAGACTCCATCTTAAAAAAAAAAAAAAAAAAAAAATATATATATATATATATATATATGTACATACATATAGCAACTAGCTCATAGGGTTACTGTGAGGCTCAGAAGGCTGTATAATTACAAGAATGCCTGGTATATAAGCCCAGTATATTAAAGGACAGCCGGCATGTAATGTATTTTGATGCTTTAAGGAAAAACATCAGGTTGATTTCATTAAAGTGATGGTCTGCCCAAATATTTTGCATATAACAGTATCTTTAAGCAGTCTAAAGGTAAAGATATTGTAGACTTTGGAGGCCCTAATGTTGGCATTGCCTCTGCCAATATTTAAGGTATTTGACGTATTGTCTTAACATGCCAAATACCTTAAAATTGCCCTTACAGGATTGCGAAGAAAACTGATGAGATGTACATGCTTGCGTCCACCATGTTTAGTTCGTAAGCATTCATTAATGTATTTTTTCCTTTCCGTTTCTTTGAACACTTCCTCAGTCCTTCATTCCAAAATTCCTGTGCTATCTCGGTATTCTCTGAAAACACTGCCAGACCTAAGATGCAAAGTGGCTTCCTTGACTACAAGATTTGGCTTGGCTTTGTCCATGAAACAAGGTCACCAGTGTCTCACCCTGGGGGCAAGTCTGGGCTTAGAGCTAGAACAGGACTGTAATCCTTGTATTTCAGGCCTTCTTTTAGCTTTAGTATGTAAAATGCTTTAGTATCTACTGATATTTAGCCATGCCTAAATTCGTAACAAGGACACAAAGAAATAGTCTTTTCCCCCTCTGTAAAGCCCACGTCATGTTCTTCCTTTACTGCAGGGCCTCTTAATGGGGCTTAAAACCTAGGATGGGTTAAGTAAACAATGTAGGTGAGTTTAGTGTGCAAACAGCTGAAATCACCGGCTGCATTTTAAGCTCGTCTACAGCAGCAACCTGCAGACACCTATTCAGAGAGATTACTAAATTCCCTCCTTCCCATTAATAAAAAGGACCAGAATATCAGTCTACAAAAGACACTGCGTTGCTGCGAACCAGCTCTCGCTTGCGCGATCAGGAAGAAGGGCGGCAAGGCTGGAGCCTCGGGACCGGAGAAAGGCAGCCTGCTTGTGACGTCAAATCAGCGGACTCTTATCTTGGCTTTAGGCCGGTTCCGGTTCCCCGGCTTTCCGGGCGCGAGCGTGTGCGAGCGCGGCAGCGTACTGCGCGTGCTCCGCAGAGGGACACGGGAAGGTTGGGTCCGGCTCTGGAGGAGATGCGTGATTGGCTGACGCTGTGCTCGGGGGTTCCCTGGCCCTTTCGGCAGGGGTAAAACAATAAGAGGGGGCGGTGGCAAAGGGGGCGGGACGTCCGTGGTCCTTGTCGCACGTCGCAGCGCCTGGCGCCCGGGAAGAGGTGGTTGTGAGGCAGACGAACTCGCGGCTCTCCGGCTTCCGAGGCTTCCGAGTTGTCGGAGGAAGGGGGCGGCGAGCAATAAGAACCCGCCGCACCCGGTCCTCAGCGACTCTTCTGACCTCCGCGCGACGTACCCGCCGCCGCCGTTGGCTGGAGGTGTGTACGGGCGCCGGGAGGGGAGGTCGGTGTGGTGGTCGGAAAGGGACATTCCATTCGCGCTCCGCGGCGCGAGGCAATCGTCCGGTGTGTGAGCCCGGGAGCCGGAGGTGTAGCGGCAGAGACATTGTTCTTGCCGGCTCCCTACGGTGCCGTGTGTGCGTGAGAGAAGACCAGTCTTTCCTCTAGGTGAGGGGTGGGAGGCCGCCTGGGAAGGGAGGTGACCCGCGAGCGTCTTGCGGGCAGAGGGCTCCGAGTGCACAGGTGGGGTTGAGGTTTATTGGGGATGAGGTGGCGAAGTGGGGGGGGAGGCACGCAGCAGCTCCCGAAGGCGCGCTGATGGAAGCTTAATACAGGAAGTGTGGGAGCAGGCTTTCTGGAGGGGATGTTTTAGGGTGGGTAGCCCACCGTTCCTGTTTCCGAATCGTTTTCGGCTCTTGTACCTTGTTCCTTCGGAGCGGAGAGGCCGTCGCCACCCCGCCCGTGGGGGGAGGGGAAAAGAGGTTGTGTCGACGGAGGCAGAAGCGACGCAGATGCGAAAGTGGCGGCCTCCGGGCACCATTTCTGTGCACGGAAACAGAATCCGGGTTTGAAGGCAGCCGCCGCTTCGCTTACCCAGTACCTAGTGTTCCGTCGTGTTTGACCAACCCCCCTCTCCCTGCCACCGCGGGTTTAATCCGAACGTGTTCGGATACTGGAACTGTAACGTGCGCCTTCTTCGTCCCCCTCTTATGCAGACGATCCCTTATTGACTCGGGAATGGCTTTTGGGGGATGGGTTCCCGCTTTTGTTGGGATGGGGGGACAGAAAGGAACAGAAGCTTCCCTAGATTGTGTTGATTTTGTTAGTGGAATCTGATAGAATTTTTCCTGCGTCTCTAAAAGCAGATTTCTTAAGATGGCCCTTTGCCGCTTTGGGGCGAATATAGATTTTCGTCTATAATTTCCTGCATAGATCAGCTTTTTTCCCCAAGACATACTTAATGTTCTAACGGATTTGGGGGGTGGGAGGAGAGTGCCTTTTCCTTCATAACAACAACAAAAAAAAGGCACTTGCACTTTTAGCTGGAATAGTAAAGTCCTGTTCTCCCTGTATGATTGTTGTGGGATATTAACTTGGATTAAGATACTGTGGTTTTAGGTTCAAGGCTCTGTACCTTGTTCTGGTCTTTCAAACGTTAGTGTTGCAGGTACCTGGATCTAGGAAACATTAACTGTCGTTAAGAGAGCCCCGGTGTACTAGAGTGGGAGATGATGGCAATTTTTCTCTAGCTCCATATTTGGCAGTTAATATAGCCTTAGGCATGTGAACCAAGTTTCTAAGTAAACTTTTGGCCCTGTTAGCATCCAGTGGTCTTTTTGATAATCCAAGATTCCTGGTCTTAGGAGATAAACGGTACGATGAGTTTGAACCTCAGGATTGAATTATCCTTTCTTTGGCAGTAACATTTTTCTTAAATGTTTAAGATTACTCTTATGGGCCTTTATGTTATGATTTAATCTTTACAAACTAATTCTGAAAAGCAGTCAAGGAATTGTAGGAATAATAAGGACCTAGAATGAATTTCTTACTAAGAGCTGTCATAGTTCAGATTGATATTCAGGGTCGAAATATTAGTAATAGTGAAAAAACATCAAGAGTGAACCAGAATGCTTGTGGGATGGATGGGGATAAAAATTAGAAGGTAAAGAAGAAAACACATTATTTGACCATTTCGTAGAGTAACTAACTTAACTGTTCAGTTAGCAGCTGAGCAGTTGATTTGTCAGCAGGCAACTCCTGGTTTGAAGAAAGTGTTGGCACTGTGTCTTTAGATTCTGAAAACTTCCCTCCTTATCCTGCAAAATTATCGCTGTTTATTACGCATAATTAGGATTGAACATTTTCCCCCTAGATTGCTTTAAAAAGACTTTCCACATATTTTGAGTGAATATGGAGACAGTGAATGACTCCTTTTCAATGTTGATTTTGAAAGGCACAAACTAAAGTGTTGCGTCTGAACTTAAATTCAGTAGAATTTAATGGACAAACATGACCTAGTTACTCTCCACTGGTAGACACTTGTTTTATATCCGATAGAATAAATTGGTCCACCCACCTTCAGGAAGGTCCTGGCCTACCTTCAGAAGCAATAGAATTAGTTTCTTGACTGTCGTGTTTCTGCTTACTTTTATCTGCTAATTTCCAAGTATTTTACCCTATCTTGAAACCATAGGTATATTGAAAATTATTCTTGGATTTTCTGTTGCTGTCCTGCTGTATTCCTTTGCTTTTCACTCTTCTCAACAGTTTCACATAAGCTAACAATTGCTTGTTTAAAATTAATTTTTTGTATTGTTGGAAGAGCTGGCTGCTCTTCCAAAGCGGTTGTTCCTAACCAAAGTGTAATGAAAACATCAGTTGAGTCAGGAGTCAGGAGACCTGATTTCAAATCCTCTTTCTTTTTACTGTAACTGAGGAACCCCAAACACCTTTCCTTAGGCTCTCTAAACATCCTTTTCTGTAAATGAAGATAATGCCCTATCTATTTTAAAGACAAAAGAAAATAGTAGGTTACTTGTTAAACTTTAAAACATAGTATAAATACATGCTTTATTTTTGTGGACAGCAAGCATTTCCATTTCTTACTGCTTGGTCACTTTTAATAGCTTCTGAATTTTAAAACTAGCCTCCCTCAACTTCTGAGAAGGACAGAAAACAAAAACACCTTTTGGAGCCTGAATAAGAGATTTAATCCATAACTTACTTTTATTATTTATTTGTACCACTATGATTCTTAGATCTTCTTTGTGAAGCTTTCATTCAATGGTGTACCACAAAAGATTGAAGGTCATTTCTTTAAAAAGGTATAGTGTTCCTTAGATTGTTTAAGTTACTTCAAACAAAAACCATCTGGAATTTCAGAAAGTTCCAGTATTAATATGCATTTAGCTGTTGGAAATGGATATAGTCCATGGTTCAATTAAAATAAATAAACCTGACTAGTTTGAGCCCAGCTATGAGTGAGGGACTCCAGAGGGGAAAGGGGTAAGTATCCTATAGTGGAGATAAGCTGTGTCTTAGCACCCACATAACCTTTGGTAACAGTATCTGGTAAAGAGAACTGCCTCCTATTACTAGAGGTCTTATTCTTTTTATAATAACTAATACCAAGTACTTACAACTCAGCTCACTGCAACCTCCGCCCCCGGGTTCAAGCGATTCTCCTGCTTCAGCCTCCTGAGTAGCTGGGATTACAGGCGCCCGCCACTGCACACGGCTAACTTTTTTGTGTTTTTAGTAGAGATGGGTTTTGCCATGTTGGTCAGGCTGGTCTCGAACTCCTGACCTCAGGTGATCCACCCATCTCGGCCTCCCGAAGTGCTAGAATTACAGGCGTGAGCCACTGCACCCGGCCTCTTTTTCCTTTTGTAGTTTCTGGTACATACATAGTAGCCATAAAATAAATGTTGAAATGAATTTATTTTGTATAACCCATTGACTCAGCTTGTGGATGGGAATGAATGAAGTAAGACAAAGGCGCAGAGAGTGAAATTGCAGAGAATAATATTAGGTGATTAAAATATTTGTATAGAATTTGATACAGGGATGAGAAAGTATAGTAGGAGATAAATTTGAAAGGTTGGTTATGACATTGAATGTCAGACTGGATTTCTGTGTAGGGCCTTAGATGCCAAACTGAATGCAGGTGTTTGGATTTTACTCAGTACAGTATATACTACACGTGATACAGGGGCTTGAAAGACTTTTGAAGAATAAAAGGTCTGAACAGTGGGAGTGAAAAGGAGGGCACAAATTCCACCTTCTGAATTGTAAGGATTTCACAGTTTAAGTGGCAAAGCTAAAGGGGAGAAAGTCACGACTGAGCTTTCAAGTTGAGAAGATTATGACACTTTTAACAGAAATAAGGAAATAGCTTTCTTTGGTGCATGCGTGTATTGGGACATATGTGGGTCATGTCTAGGTGTTCAGTATGTGGTGACAAATGTAAAATTTGAACTTATGGTATAGACTAGATACACGTTTAGGTAGACATGAGACCAGAAGCTGAAATTGCCAGGTTAGAAGACAGAACCTTGAGAAATTCTGCGTTTGGATGAGAAGGAAAATTTGCCTTATAGAACTCTAGAAGAGTTAGGAGGAGGTAGTCAACATTGATAATGCAGATGGGTGGAGGATTGAGAAGTCATTCGATTATTGAGAAGAATTGTGATGTTTCCAGAGAATTGCATTCAAAGGAGAGCTGAGTTATAATATTTGAGAGGGGAATAGAAGATGAAGACAGGTGTACAGTTAGTAATTTAGGGCAGAGCATGATCAATAAACTGCTATGATAAAGGCCAAAAGTGCTTTAAGAGTTAATAGAGAAGAGTTATATTCTGTTGAGGAATTCAGTAGGAGTAGAAAGATTTTCAAGGGGACAGGATTTCTGCTGGGCCCAGATAAATGCATAGGGTTTCAATCATTGCAGATAGGAAGGTGTGAGATGAGTATTGGAGGAGAAGTCAAAAGTCCTGCTTCTTGTTAACAGACTTTTAGGATCTTAGTGTTGGAATGGCCTAATCTTACTTTTTTGGATGTATGGACTCTACTATGTTTGTGCCAAACCATTCAGTTAGTCTCTGGAATACCTGTAGTGACTGGCTACTTGTTAAGTAGCTCTATTTGATATTTGGACAACTCGCGTTATTCTTGTGTTATGTTTCACCCAAATCTACCTTCTTATAATTTCCATTCACTATATTCAATTAGCAATCAACTCATTTTAGATATTACATCTAAATTAATGTAGCCTAAGATTGATTGTTTTGGAGGCAGCCCCATTATAGTAGTGATTCACTGAACTTTAAATGGTAAACAAAAAACCTAAATGTTTCTTACCTAAAAGGTGACGTTTTAGTCAAAGTTTGAGGAAAGGAGAGTGATAACTTTGGTTTTTACGTTATTTTGAAACTGAGGAAATATAAGTTCATTGTAGGATAATGAAGCTCAATGTGACTTTCTTTTCTAATCTGCATGTATGTCTACCAATGCTCCACTCCCTCTCAGTGTGTATTATCTACCAATACTCCACTCTCTCTCAATGTGTATAATTAATAGATTCAGAAAATATGGTGACAAATATAGAGCAATTTTCCGTGAGAGCTGAAGTGCATGTGCTTCAGGAATTAGGCAAATGCAGAGGAAACATTTTAAGAAACAGGAATGAATAAAATATTCTGATGAAGATTCACTGGGATTTTAGGTGCGATAGGCAGAGTTGGAGAGTAAAAAGCCTCTAAACTATACTGGATAATGTTTTCGGTTTTTTGTTTTTTGAGACAGAGTTTCGCTCTTGTTGCCCAGGCTGAAGTGCAAGGGTGTGATCTCAGCTTACTGCAACCTTTGCCTCTGAGTTCAAGCAATTCTGCTGCCTTAGCCTCCTGAGTAGCTGGGACTATAGGCGCGTACCACCAGGCCTGGCTAATTTTTTGTATTTTTAGTAGAGACGGGCTTTCACTGTGTTAGCCAGGATGGTCTCGATCTCCTGACCTTGTGATCCTCCTGCCATTGCCTCCCAAAGTGCTGGGAAGTAGGCATGAGCCACTGCGCCTGGCCTTGGATAATGTTTTCATTTGACAAGTAAAAGACGGATTTGTTCATGAGAGAGCTTTGACTGTGTATAGAGCTAATGTATCAGATAAAATTTTACACTGTGCATTCCTGTGTGAGATTCTTCACATTTTCAGGTGTCATTGGAAGAAGTGGAGTGTGATATATTGTATTTAACTTTTTCTAAAAAGGTTGTTAGGTGAGGCTAACAACCACCTTATTGAAGATGGTAGTTATCTTTGAAGGTGCTAATCTAAGAACTTTCTAAAGATTTCTTTTTGTGTATAAGTATCCTTTAATCTTGGCTATCTTTTTTTTTTTTTTTTTAAACAGTGTCTCACTCCTGTTACCCAGGTTTGAGTGCGGTGGTGCCATCTTGGCTCGCTGCAGCCTTGACTTCCCGGGCTCAGGCATTCCTCCCACCTCAGCTTCCCGAGTAGCTGGAGCTACGCTTGCACACTACCACGCCCCGCTAATTTTTTGTATTTTTTAGTAGAGACGGGGTTTTGCCATGTTGCCTGGGCTGGTCTCAAACACCTGAGCTCAAGCGATTCACCCACTTTGGCCTCCCAAAATATTGGGATTACAGGTGTGAGCCACTGCACCAGGCCTTCTTGGCTATCTTTGTAGAACTGTATAGTCTTGTAGGCTTGACCGGGGATTTCTTCTCAATTTGTAAACTAGGAAATCGAGATCCAGTAAGGTCATGAGTTTTTCATGGCCATGGATAAGATAGTTGAAACCTTTTACTCCCATATTCAGAATTTTGTTTCGTTTTGTTAACTTTTTTTAAGAAATGGAAGGTCCCAGATCTAGAAATGGATTACCTGTAAGATGATTTGCTATGAATAATAAAAATGGCACAATTCTTTCTTCTTGTAATCACTTTTATTCTGAAAGTGTAATTTGGCTTTTTTCCTTTTTCTCAACCTTCTTACGTACACTGCATGAATTATAAATACGAACTTTATATTACTTACTCAATTTTCATAGTCTTATTTCCTGCAATACCCAAACCACGTTGTTTGATGGTTGATCTCTAGTAGTCATTTTCTGGTTGATTTCTATCAATTATATTTTGGCTCTCTAAATTCTGAGTCACTTCAAATCGGAGTTATGGTTAAAGAAGTAACTGATGTAATTAGTTGAAACACTGTTCTCTCAGTAAATCTTGATTTTGTTTTACCATTCCTTTGGGAGCCTCCTCTGCACCTTAAAAGCTCAGCTTTCTATATAACCTGTTATATGCCTGTTTAGATTTTACCAGATTAGCATTGCCTTACTTATTTACCATTTGAAGTTAACTTTTCAAGTTACTGCCTTCCAATAGTTCTAAGTATTAATTTATTGAGTATTGATTAATCAAATATTACTTCTACTGCCCTTCCCTGTCTCTCTGTTCTAAATTGATGGTATGTTGGCCATTATACTTCAGTGACCATGTAGATAGTGGGCAATTTGAAGCTTTTTTTGAACCTTGTTACAACAAATCTTTAGAGCATTTTGACCTGTGATATTATATATGTATTATGTACCATTTTATTTTGGTTTGAGAAACAAATATGTAAGTGACAAAAATGATAGATCAGTATGTACTCTATGAATATGATGGGAAATTTGGGATAAATGACAACAGTGTTCCTGTAGAAAATCTGGAAATCCAGAGAGAAGAAAACAATTCCCAAACCCGGAAATTCCTAATAGTATTTCTGTCACTATCAATTTAAAGAAAACTATTTTGTGTATAGTTATTTTGTTCAGAGAGTAATGTAGTATTTTCCCATGTGTTAGTATTATTTTACCATCAGTTTTTATGGTGTTAAAATACATATAATTTCCATGTTTTAGTTATCTTGTTAAATTTTACCAGGTAAGTCTACTGTTCTTTACCCACCCTCATTATTCAAAATAAAAATGTTAGTTGCTTAGCTGTGTGTGTGTGTGTGTGTGTGTGTGTGTTTGTTTGTGTGTTTGTGTGTGTGTGTGTGTTTGTGTGTTTGTGACTACAGGTGTGCACCACCATGTCTGGCTAATTTTAGATGGGGTTTTGCCTTGTTGCCCAGGCTGGTCTTCAGCTCCTAAGCTCAAGCAGTCTGCCCACTTCGACGTCCCAAAGTGCTGGGATTACAGGCGTGAGCCACAGCCCAGTGCTTTGTTACTTTAAATGTAGCATATGTGAGTCCTTTTTGCACTAGGGTTGTTACCCTTATTGGGAGTTTTAAGTTTTCTGGAAAATCAATGACACCTGAAATGGCAGTATTTGGATCTGCTCTTTGTGAATTAACTATTTTTGAAAGCAAGTGAGGCATTATAAAAAATTTTAAACAGATTTGGGGATTTTTGTAAATCAAGTTTGAGAGTTTAAGAAGGACAGTTAGAGGAGGGATAGTTTGTTGGAAAGGAAGAAACAAGGAACCTAAAAACATAATGTAGAAGTTGAATTGTGAGTCACTAGAATTATGTAAAGCTACACTCTATCTGTAAGCTCTACTATAGTTGGTATTTGATTTTTATTAAAAACAGCATCACAATTTTAATGACCTATGCAGGGCTGTCTCTGAAATTGTTTTAGTTATTTAAAGTAAACACACATGGAAATTGACTTTTTATTTTTAATTTTTTGTATAGAGATGGGGTCTCTCTGTTGGCCAGGCTGGTCTTGAACTCCTGGCCTCAAGCTTTCCTGCCACCTCCACCTCCCAAAGTGCTGGGATTACAGGCATGATCCACTGTGCCAGCCTGCAGTGTTTTTTTGTCTGTTTGTTTTGAGACAGAGTCTTACTCAGTTGCCCAGGCTGGAGTGCAGTGGTGTGATCGCGGCTCACTGCAACCTTTGTCCCCCAGGTTAAAGTGATTTTTTGTGCCTCAGTCTCCTGAGTAGCTGAGATTACAGGTGTGTGCCATCAGCTCTGCTAATTATTTGTATTTTTAGTAGAGATGGGGTTTCACCATCTTGGTCAGGCTGGTCTCGAACTCCTGATCTCAAATGATCCTCCCAGCTCAACCTGAAGTTTAAGCAGGACTTTATTTATTTATTGAGATGGAGCCTCACTCTGTTGTTGCCCAGGCTGCAGTGCAGAGGCATGATCTTGGCCCACTACAAACTCTGCCTCCTGGGATCAAGCGATTCTCCTGCCTCAGCTTCCCAAGTAGCTGGGACTACAGGCGCCAGCCACCACGCCTGGCAAATTTTTGTATTTTACTAGAGAAGGGGTTTTACCATTTTGGCCAGGCTGGTCTCGAACTCCTGACCTCAGGCGATCTGCCCACCTTGGCCTCCTGAAGTGCTGGGATTACAGGCGTCAGCCACCGCACCTGGCTAAGCAGGAATTTCAACTGCATCCTGATTTACCCAGTAGATACATGCTTAGGAATTATGATTTTTTTTTTTTAGTACTTTTAAGTTTAATAGGTCTTTTTAAAATAAAACAGGTGGCTGGGCACGGTGGCTCACGCCTGTAATCCCAGCACTTTGGGAGGCTGAGGCAGGTGGATCACGAGGTCAGGAGTTCAAGACCAGTCTGGCTAACATGGTGAAACCCCGTCTCTACTAATAATACAAAAATTAGCCAGGTGTGGTGACACGTGCCTGTAGTCCCAGCTACTCGGGAGGCTGAGGCAAGAGAATTGCTCTGCCGGGAGGCAGAGGTTGCAGTGAGCCAAGATCGTACCACTGGACTCCAGCCTGGGCAACAGAGCAAGACTCCATCTCAAAAATAAAATAGGTTATATTTCATATTTTTATTTTTTATTTTTTTGAGACGAGTCTCGCTCTGTCGCCCAGGCTGGAGTGCACTGGCGCGATCTTGGTTCACTGCAACCTCCGCCTCCCGGGTTCAAGCAATTCTCTGCCTCAGCCTCCGGAGTGGCTGGGATTACAGGCACCCACCACCACACCTGGCTAATTTTTTTATTTTTAGTAGAGATGGGGTTTCACCATCTTGGCCAGGCTGGTCTTGAACTCCTGCCCTTGTGATCCACCCGCCTTGCCTCCCAAAGTGCTGGGATTACAGGTGTGAGCCACCGTACCTGGCCCTGGGGATTATATTCCTACAGTAAATGATAAGTTTTGTTTGTGGCTCACACCTGAAGTGAGAGGATCACTTGAGGCCAGGAGTTCGAGACCAGTCAGGGCATTGTAGCCAGACCTCGTCTCTGCTAAAAATAAAAATTAAAAAATTTAAAAAAATTAGCCAGGTGCATGCTTATAGTCCCAGCCACTCAGGAGATTTAGCGGGGAGGATCGCTTGAGCCTGAGCCTGAGCCTGGCAGTTGAGGCTGCAGTGAGCCATGATTGCACCACTAAACTCCAGCCTAGGTGACAGAGCGAGACCCTGTCTCAGAAGACAAAAATAGGAAATTGTATTTATTTCATGTTAGTTGTTCTTGTTGGTTTTAACTTTGAGGCACATTATCATAGCACCTAACCCATTCTGTTAAGTTTCCAGTTTGCTTGTTTATATTTCTTGACAGACTATAAACTCCTTGAGGGCTAGAGACTTATCTTGTTCACTAGAGTATTTCATTTATTATAAACAGTATCTCATGTAGTTAGATGCTTAATTAGTGGAAAGAAAGAGAGACATAATATCAAAGGTAAAAAATGATTCTCTCTAAGTACTGAAGTTATAGCTGGTGATTAATCATTGTTACCATTTTGAAAATGGTGAAATTAATTCCCAGAAGGAAAGAGAATACAAAAACACAAGTCATGGTGCTTTGCCATGAGTGTTATCTCTGAGTCTTAACTTGGGCCCTCTGTCTTGCTTCCTAGGATAAAACCACTGGAATCCAGGAATGTAGTAGATTTTGGTCCCCAAAGGAAAAAGGCACTGTGAATAGAAGGACTTGTACGTAGTCTGAGGCAGCATTGGACCTCCTGGGGATAAGAAATTGAACAAAGATGCTATTTCCCTTTACCGAAGGGTAGGGAAATCAAGAAAGAGAGAGAAAGGGAGACACAAATGTTGGAGGTTACCTTATGGATAGTAGTAGTTAGGAATGTATTGTTTTGCTATTTGTTGTAAGTTGCTTTTTAATAGTGGCATTAATTTTGTTCCCATTTGTATGACTAAGAAAATTTATTTCAGGTTAGGCCGGGCACGGTGGCTCACGCCTGTAATCCCAGCACTTTGGGAGGCCGAGGCGGGCGGATCATCTGAGGTCAGGAGTTCGAGGCCAGCCTGACCAACATGGAGAAACCCCGTCTCTACTAAAAATACATAATTAGCCAGGTGTGGTGGCGTATGCCTGTAATCCCAGCTACTCGGGAGGCTGAGGCAGGAGAATCGCTTGAACCCGGGAGGCGGAGGTTGCAGTGAGCTGAGATTGCGCCATTGCACTCCAGCCTGGGCAAGGAGAGTGAAACTCCGTCTCAAAAAAAAAAAAAAAAAATTATTTCAGGTTAGTCTGATGGTAGTGGGTTATCAGAACTTATTAACATTAGTGTCACTAAAATTGGTATACAACTCCCCACTGCTAAATTTGGCTAAAAAGAAAATTTATTTCATGGTGGTTGATGACAAAGATGACTTTTTAATAGTTATTCTTGTGTTTGCTCCCTCAGCATTTGACATTGTGCAGCAAAGAAATGGTTATGGAGAAGCCCAGTCCGCTGCTTGTAGGGCGGGAGTTTGTGAGGCAATATTATACTTTGCTGAATAAAGCTCCGGAATATTTACACAGGTAAATTTTAAACAAATAATTTGGTATTTTTATCTACTTTTTTTCTTGGGTATGACTATATATATTTTGCATTTCCTGTCTCCTCATTATCTGACAGTATCTTTGTAAACATGTCTAAACTGTATTCAATATTTTATTCATTTGATGGCAAAAAGTGTTTTTAACTGCAACTCACAGTAATAAAAACATTTTATGTCATATTCTGGTACATAACACATTCATATCTATATATGCACACGCTTATTCTTATATGTACTCTAGTATTTTATTTTTAGAGTCATGGTCTCCTCTGTCACTCAGGGTGGAGTGCAGTGATATGATCATAGCCCACTGTGGCCTCAAACTTTTGGCCTCAAGCGATCTCCCAGCTTGCAGCTTGCATTCCCAAAGTACTGGGATTACAGGCATGAGCCACCAAGCCCGACCTTTATTTCATTAAAAAAAAAAAAAAACAAACTTTGGGGGCAGGTGCTGGAGAACTATATAAGGTTTACATGAGGCTGGACACAGTGGCTCTCTCACTCATGTAATCCCAACGCTTTGGGAGGCTGAGGCAGGTGGATCACTTGAGGGTCAGGAGTTTGAGACCAGCCTGGCCAACATGGTGAAGCCTCGTCTCTGCTAAAAATACAAAAATTAGCCGGGTGTGTGGCAGGCGCCTGTAGTTGTATCTACTTAGGAGGCTGAGTCAGGAGAATTGCTTGAATCTGGGAGGTGGAGGCTGCAGTGAGCGAGCATCGTGCCACTGCACTCCAGCCTGGGTGACAGAGTGAGGCTTCGTCTCAAAAGACCATATCTTGGGTTTGACCAACTAATGGGTTCCAATATGCAATTTGAAATCAACAGCTTAAATCTTTTTTTTAAAGTTCTCCCAAACAGTGTTGGGGGATGAATCAGTTAAATGATTATACTGTGAAAATTTGTATTTCTTCTAATCTGTAAAATAGTATTCCTTTGTAAAACAGCAGCAATAACCTTATTTACTGTTTTAACAAGAAGTGGACATCTGTAGGCTTGTTTTTTCCAGAGATTGAAGTGAAATTGATTTATATTATGTGTAGTATTTAATTTTTGTTCTTCTTGGTGTATCTTAGCAAGTAGAAGATAGGTGAAACTCTTACAAGAATTAGACTTTGTAAGTATTGCAGAACACACTGGCCAGATGGGTTAAGGATAAATATATTGCCACTTACTGTGAGAAAGGCTGTTTAAAAGACTTAAATTCCTTTATCTGTAGGTCATCTTAATTAGCATTTTAGTAGCAATTTGTCTTGCTCTGTTGAACATACGTGTAATCTGTCTTACTTGAGGCATTTTTATATTTACTGTTTGCTTGGCTCTATTTGTAATTACTTTACGTATGTATATTATGTATTCCTTATGACAGTCTTAAAGTGAAGTTACTTTTATTAGCTCTCTACCTATTAGACAGTTGAGGTTAGTAATTCATCTAGGATCACTCAGTAAGTAAACAAGCTAACCATAGCCAGTATTCAGGCCCAGTTTTGAGTAGTGTCCCCAACCATTCTATTAGAATGTAGTATATATATAAAGTGTAACTAACATGTATCTTCCCCTCAAATAAATGCAAAATGAATAACTGCATGTCATTCTCTAATTGTAAAAATAAAGATTTTTTTATGACAATGTATGTGAGGGAGTTTGGGGGAAGATAAATAATTAATAGGGCCTTTTGATATCTGAAATTTGGTCTTTTCATGATACAGGGTTTTTTGTTTTCTTTAGTGACCAAGAACAAATTTTAAAACAATAAGGCCCTACACCATCATGTTTAAACAGTAACTGACTTCTGTTTTAGACCTAGCTTATTTGACCAATTTCTTTCTTAATGAAAATTCAGGTTGTTATAATTTTCCACTTGTGGTAAGCAACACTAATGAATATCCTGAAACATGCATTATTTGTGCACGTTGCTAGTTAGTTATTTTCTTAAGATACTTTCCTGGAAGAATTAATGCATCAAAGAGATGATCATTCTGAGGCTTTTCATGTGTATACACACACAGCCAAACTGTTCTGTAGAAAACATTGCCAGTAGTACATGAGAGAAAATAGTTTAATGATAAGAGTAGTGGTTAAAAGCATGGACTCTCAAGTTAGACTGACTAGGTTCTTATCTTGGGTGCCCCACTTGATAGGTATATTACCTTAGGGGAGTTAATTTAACCTCTTCTGAACCTCAGCTTGTTTATTTAGATAATAGCACTTCATGAGATTGTTAAGAAAGTTAAGTGAATCAGTACACATAATACACTAAAAACATTGCTTAGCATAAAGGAAGCTCTTACATGTTTTATTACTATAGGAGTTGTGTTTTCATTGTGAAAAAATTAGCTTCACATCTTTGAGCTTAATTTAGAAAGATGTTAATTCTAATTGCTTTGGATAATGCCAATAAAAGACTAATTTACACATACTTAAGAACAGTACAAAAATATTAAAAAGAAATTAGATGCTGGCGTAATTTTGGATTTTAGACTTGGTCTCTGAATTATTTCAGTTATTTTAAATCTAAACAGTTTAAGCCTTTAGAGTTAGTAATCATTTGGAGATCTGGATACAGTATTAAACTCTGATTCCCAAACAAATCTAGGTAGCTGAGTCTTTGTATCTGAAGAAAAAAACAGGGTCAATTACTATAGCATCTGTATTTAGAATGTACTAAATCATCAAAAATATCCGATTTTTCCACTTAACAAAAAATAGATGTGAATATCTAATGATTGTCTACTTACTGTGCCAGATAAACTAAGCATTCTATGTGCATTAGTCATTTAATCCTTACAACAACCATATGGAGTAGTTCCTGTTCCTGTTTTATAACCAAGGAAGCTGAACTTGAAGACCTTAAGTAACTTACCTGTCCAAGATCACGCAACTAATTAGTGACAGAGCGGGATCCGGAACCTAGTCTATGACACCAGAATTCTGCTTCTTAGGCTTCTCTTGACAATTCAGTGTTAATCATTAATTATGGTTTTGCAGGTTTTATGGCAGGAATTCTTCCTATGTTCATGGTGGAGTAGATGCTAGTGGAAAGCCCCAGGAAGCTGTTTATGGCCAAAATGTAAGTATCAATTTCATATGTAGTTTAGAAATTTTGTGTTAAGATGGAGATTTTAAAAAATAGCCTTCTTGTGTCCATGGCTTTTTTTTTCTTTCTTTCTTTCTCTTTTTTTTTTGAGACGGAGTTTTGCTCTTGTTGCCCAGGCTGGAGTGCAGTGGTGCGATCTCAGCTCACCACAACCTCCGCCTCCCAGGTTCAAGCAGTTCTCCTGCCTCAGCCTCCCAAGTAGCTGAGATTACAGGCATGCACCACCACACCCGGCTAATTTTGTATTTTTAGTAGAGACGGGGTTTCTCTATGTTGAGGCTGGTCTCGAACTCCCAACCTCAGGTGATCTGCCCGCCTCAGCCTCCCAAAGTGCTGGGATTACAGCCGTGAGCCACCGCGCCCGGCCGGCTTTTTTTTTTTTTCCCCAATATGATTGTTATTGGTAACTGAAATTTATGTTTGACAGTAATTGTCAGCATAAATTGTCAATAGTTGTTCAGTTTGACAATAATTGTCAAACATGCTTGAGTTCTTAAACATCATTTTTGTATGAAACATGGTGTTATATTACGATGGCTACAAAGGAGAAAATGGTATGTTTTATATCATTGATGTATTTTATACATGAGATAGTTGAGACAGTGTATTAAGTTTATACAAATCTGAGCTAAACCCTATGCTATAGGAATGCACAGAAATGTATGTTTCCTATGGCCTAACAGGGAAGGAAGACTTTGTGTAGAGGATGTGAGACCACAAGATTTGGCCTTACCAAATAAGGAATTATAAGTAGACAAAAAATAGCATCAGCAAACACACAGTAAAATTATGTGTAAGTTCAAGGAGCCGTCAACACAATTTGTGAGAATGACCAAATACTTACTACAGAAAAGTGGGAGAAAGCTGTATAAAGCCCAGATTACTGCACAATATTGGAGAGCTATTGTGATTTCTTCTTTAGGAACATCATTCTGGCAGTGATGCACAGCATGGTCGTTGGATTCAGTTCAGGAAGATTAGTTAATATTGCAGAGTTGTAAGGAAATCAATGAGGGTAGGTAATATTATTGTGTAGGTAATGCAGTATCACAGAGTTTATATTTTTCCCTCCCTCCCTAATAAAGGATATACACCACAAAGTATTATCTCTGAACTTCAGTGAATGTCATACTAAAATTCGTCATGTGGATGCTCATGCAACCTTGAGTGATGGAGTAGTTGTCCAGGTCATGGGTTTGCTGTCTAACAGTGGACAACCAGAAAGAAAGTTTATGCAAACCTTTGTTCTGGCTCCTGAAGTAAGTTTCTCAATTCACTTAGTTTTCATTTATATGGTTGCTAGTTGGTTGAAGTGTCCAGAGGTTTCTTCTAATAGGTTTAGATTTGCATATTGTTATTTTTGGGGAATTTGTGTTTGACCTGTTGTTTGAGTGAGTGCGTGTGTGTACATGTGCTTTGACTATTTGGAATTAAAAATCAAATACTGATACAAGTTTGTAAATAGATGATTAAGATTACATTAATACAAAAAATATATTGGTATATTTGAAAGGTTACATTTGAAAACAAAATAGAAGAGTTCTTTTGGTTTCTTTTCTATTAAATAGCTGTTTCTTGAGTTCTACTAGGTTGGTGCAAAAGTAATTGCGAGTTTTGCTATTATGTTTTTTTGAGTGACCTTTTTATTTTATATAAACATCATAGCATGTTCAGCATTGGAAAATTATATTGAGTCAAGATCTCTAGTATTAAAATGAGAAATTGTGTATGCCATGTAATTTGCTCTTTTATATAATACCAGATTTCTGGATATTTATGGAATAAATGTTGTTTCCTATAGGGATCTGTTCCAAATAAATTTTATGTTCACAATGATATGTTTCGTTATGAAGATGAAGTGTTTGGTGATTCTGAGCCTGAACTTGATGAAGGTGAGGTTACTTTGAAGATATGAAGATAGAAGGGTTCTGTTGGTACTCTTTATGGACTAATTTCTATAAGTATGACATCTACGGAAATTTGCTGCTTTATTGTAACTGTGTCAAACATCCTTTTTTCATGGTTTTGTTGTTGTTGTCGTTGTTACAAAAAGATGTCCATTGTTTGAAAATATACAAAATTTGGATGTCAAGGAAAAAGGTTCCCCTCAGTCTCATCCTCTGTAGATAACCAAGTTTGGTGCCTATTGGAGAAGGTTTTTGGATTCTATACTTGGCAACATGTATTTTTATAAATGTGGAATTACACTGACTCAAAGCTTCCTTTTTTTTAATGTAATAATATGTCTTTGTTGGCTGTCTATGTTGTGGCTATGCCGTAATTATTTAATTGATCTTCCATTGATGTACAGTGGTTAGTTTCTTTATCATTATTGCTCTATTAAATATATGTTACAAAGGAAGCTAAATTGTGGCTTTAATATAACTTTTTTCCTTTTACTGAAAGATTTGTTTTTTTCTAATAGAGTACAATAAATATTAAACTTCATCCTTGCTCTCCAGTTTTTGAGAGAACAGGGGATATTGTAGTTGAATGCCTTTGTTATTAAAAAAAAAAAAATTGGAGCCGAGCGCGGTGGCTCATGCCCGGAATCCCAGTGTTTTGGGAGGCCAGGGCGGGTGGATCACTTGAGGCCAGGAGTTCGGGACCAGCCTGGCCAATGCAGTGAAAACCCCATCTCTACTTAAAAAAAAAAAATTAGCTGGGCATGATGGTGCATACCTATAACCCCAGCTACTCAAGAGGCTGAGGCAGGAGAATCGTTTGAACCCAGAAGGCGGAGGTTGCAGTGAGCCAAGATCACACCACTGCACTCCAGCCTGGGCAACAGAACAAGACTCCATCTCAAAAAAAAAAAAAAAGGAAAGAAAATTGTCAAATTTTCTTTTTTGCTATCATACCACTTCCTTAAACATGTTAAAAATATGTCCGTTAGAAATTGTGAAGCCTCTTTAAAAAAGATGTGCTGTATTATGTATTTTCAGAATCAGAAGATGAAGTAGAAGAGGAACAAGAAGAAAGACAACCATCTCCTGAACCTGTGCAAGAAAATGCTAACAGTGGTTACTATGAAGCTCACCCTGTGACGTAAGCATACTATTTGCAAGGTTAAATTTGGTCTGAACTATGTCAGCAAGGTGGTTTCTGTTCCTAGAATTATTGTTGAAAGTAAATTCTTGATAAAACCACCTATTATGTCAGTATTTGAGTACCTATTGTGTATATGCAAGAAATTTGGAAAGAATGGTTTTATTTAATACAAAAATTGAACATGGCTTGCACCAAAACAGTGGTTCCTTACTGATAATGTAGAGTGTTGAAGACAACACAGAGTAAGCATTTTATTTTTATAAAAGATAAGGTTTATAGTTAGCACTAAAGTAAACATTCTTAGTAATTCAGTTTTGAAATGGTGGGATTAAAGAACTGCTACTTGAGAGTATTATTCCTTCTGTCTTATAGCTCTTTTTGGAATTTTGCTTTGAATACTTTGTAGATCTAGAACAAGTTATTGGCATATAACTAGTTACACCCATTGGATTAGAGAGAAATTGAATTTTTTCTTACTTGAACTCCTACTAAAAAGTGAACTAAATATTTTATTGTAGTAATGGCATAGAGGAGCCTTTGGAAGAATCCTCTCATGAACCTGAACCTGAGCCAGAATCTGAAACAAAGACTGAAGAGCTGAAACCACAAGTGGAGGAGAAGAACTTAGAAGAACTAGAGGAGAAATCTACTACTCCTCCTCCGGCAGAACCTGTTTCTCTGCCACAAGAACCACCAAAGGTTAGATCAAAGAACTCTTTAGACTTACAACATCACATGTTCAAATTTGGTGCTGTTAATGAAGTATGACCTTTTTCTATTATGTTAAATTGTTTAGTAAATTATTTTATGTATATGAAAGAAGCTGTGGGGTTTGTTTGTTACCTGAGAAAATGTTATTGTTTCCCTGCCCCGCAAAATACCCCTCTAAGAGTGAAACTTATAACTTAAGATGAATCCTTGTCTGTATGCATTGTTTAGTAACTTATATGAAATTATTTGGATCCATGTATAGAGCTGTCAGTTGTTCTTTCATTCTGTATTAAATTCTCTGAGCACAGATGCACCAGGAATCATGCAGTTTCCCAACTTAAACAAGTTGGTCTATAATTAAAAGAAGAGATACCTGTTGTTTGTGGTTTAAATGGGATCAGTTTCCTTTCTACACCAATTAAACTATCTTGGAAAGATGAGTGACATCCTTAGTGTATCATGTAAGCCTACCTGAAACTTCTTTTATCTTTCTTCAAAGTCAAAGGTTAAAGTATATTTGAGTGGTGATAGGAGGAGATTCTTTGTTCAATTTGTGAATGTCAGAGTTTCCAGCTAATACTCTCTTCTTTCCTATCCTTCCCTCTCCCGTTAACACCATCACACACCCTATCTTACCCCCAAAGGGGAAATAAATTGTTTCTATTAGGTTCAGGTTTTTCTAGCATGTTTGTTAGTGGTTTTGTTTGCCACTTGCTCATCTACTTAGAGTACGTAGGAACTTGCTTATGGTTTTACTTAGTAGTCAGACAAAAGTTATAAATAAGCTTGCATAATGAGATTTTGAAAGCTGGCACATAGACTGGCATGTGTGTGTGTGCCTTTCTTTTAGGAGTCTTCCAATATAGAGCAATAGTTTAGAAATGAAAAGAAAATATATATTTGGAAGTTTCCCTATAGGAATGTTGGTGGTTTTCCATGATTAGTAGTCTAGGTTTGTTGCATTTCCTGCAGGCTTTCTCCTGGGCTTCAGTGACCAGTAAAAACCTGCCTCCTAGTGGTACTGTTTCTTCCTCTGGAATTCCACCCCATGTTAAAGCACCAGTCTCACAGGTAACCAATCTGTGAACACATTGGATTGTATCCTTGTTACATTGCCAATTGCTTATTTTTAAAATACTTTTAAAAATGAGTCAATCAGAAATTATGGATTAAATATACAAAAAACTTGTATTATATGTCAGTGCACCCACTTTAAATGTCAAATCTCCATTCATCATCTACATAGGTGGTATTTGGGGTTTGGGTGTGTGAAATACAGATTAAGTTGGTTTTTACCAGTATATAATATTGTCATTTAAAAGGCTTCTTAAAATAACAAAAAGAATGTTCCTTTTTCAAAAGCTTCAAATTCTATTTAGCAAAAATATTTTAGGTAAGAAATTCGGAGAGGCACAAAGTAGTGTGGCGTAATAAAGAATCGTTTTTGTTTTTTTTTTTTTTTTTAAAGCAAAAAAAAAAAAAACCAGGAAACTTTTTAACATACGCTGCCTAAGCTCTCAGTGTGTAAGTGGTTCACACCACTTAATTGAAGCCTGTACCAACTTATGACTGTAGTGTTCACCTTAACTGATCATTCTAGTATTCTGCTTTTTGTCTGTTTGTCATCTTACCCATTTCAGAGCTTTCAAAAATGTGAAAATAAGACACTGCCTACCTAAGAAGTTTGTTAGATTTAGTTTAGAATGAACTAAATTCTAATTAAGTTTATCAGCATATAAAGGGTGTCCAATTTTTTCCCTACATTTTGCATTAAACTTCATTCCACTAGAAAATTTATGTTTGAAATGTTAGTATATAAATGTATCTTTTATATGTTCTAAGCAGTGAAATTTTGAGGTTTTAAAAGTAGTAATTTTTAGTTTTTTGGTGTTGGGACACATAATCAGCTACATAAAAGTAGAATACGCCCGTGATACTTTTTTTTTTTTTTCATTTGGGTATTCAGGCAATGCGTGGTTACCCTTATGTAAGATGGTCACCCAGAGTTCCATCTTAACAAAGGAAATTAGTTTGTGCAGTATTGTTTTGTGCTTTTCTACCCATATGAAGACCCAATAAATAACTTTTGGCCCTTCTTTTGGAATCTTCATTTCCTATCAGATTTGGATTTGGAACCTTTGGATTATTTCATTTCAGAGAGTTTAAACAGTTAAAAGTTAAAATAGCTAGTGCTTATGCCTTTGATATGCGCCAAGCATTGTGTGAAGCACTTTTTGTTCATTTTCAGTGAATCCTCACAACCACCCTGTCAGGGTGGGTACTATTGTTTCTGTTTTAGAGATCAAAAAATTGAGGTCTAGAGTAACTCACAGACATTTATGTACATAGTAGGGTTGGGCTTTGAAGTCATGCAGTGGGACATGAGTCCATATGTGGCTCATGTAAACGTTTATTTTTTTGAGACAGAGTCTCGCTCTGTCGCCCAGGCTGGAGTGCAGTGGTAGTGGCAGTGGCGTTATCTTAGCTCACTGCAACCTCCACCTCCCCAGCTCAAGTGATTCTCCTGCCTCAGCCTCCCGAATAGCTGGGATTGTAGGTGCCCGCCACCACGCCTGGCTAATTTTTGTATATTTAGTAGAGACGGGGTTTCACCATGTAGACCAGGCTGGTCTCAAACTCCTGACCCAAGTGATCCACCCGCATTGGCCTCCCAAACGGTGGGGATTACAGGCATGAGCCACTGCGCCCAGCCTCATGTAAACCTTATGCAATTCTCCAGCACCTTGCTGCAGAGTCATGTATCTTATCTGTATTTGCATCAAAGAGGACTCTTAAGACATGCCTGATTAAATCCTAGTCTCTTGCCCAGAAAAATACCTTCATATTTATCTCAAGTAGTTTGCCTTAAATATATTTTCAAAGTTAGTTGTAGGAAATGAAGTTGTATTTCCTATGCCACCCCTTTAATAAAACAAAAATTTTAAATGTTTAGAATTTAAACTTTAAAAGAACGTTCTAATGTCTTTAGGCTATACTTAAAATGGATTCATGATATTTCTACTTGATTTAATAATCCTTCAATTTTAGTTTGTTACTTTTGTGTAGTATTCATTTCCTTGTACTTTGAACATAGATTATTGATAAAAGGAAGTTAATTCCAGGGTATTGGTAGGCATTAACTTAGAAGTAGGTAAGTTAATTTCTTGAATAAAATATTTTGTCTGGAAATTGACTAGTTCACCTACAAAGCTTATGTTTAATTGAAGGGCTTATTATTTGTGGTTATACCTGCTTTTATTGACTTGATTTGATGGTTCTGTACTTACTTCATATTCTGTTTGACCTTCATTTGTGGGTTTGTCATTTGATCATACTTTCTGGTTGCATGGAATTAATTTTAAGGCCCTCTACTGTGTGGCATATTGGCCATGTTATCTGTTCAGAAAAACTAGTTTTAATCATGAAACTGGAGACCTGAAGAATTATAAGTATGCAGCTGACTTAGTTAACATATGTCAATCAGTTACTGAAAGGGACAGTGTTAGCTTTTTGTTCTTGTATTTTTCTTAAACTGGCATCATCAGATATCTACTTAAAGTCAGATTCCTAAATCAATGGCATGAATTATTTGTAAGATGTTGGAAATTATTAATATTTAACTTTATCTGTTTTTAATTTTCATCCTTAAAGAATAAGGAAGAACTTTATTTTGCTACTTGTAGTTACTCGTGTTTTGATAATCTGTTTTGAAAAGAATTTAAATCAGTCAAGACCAGGGCCTCAAGTTCTTTGATAACATTTGGATTGAATGAGTCTAAGGTTTTTCTTAAATTTTGTAATAAAGGTGCATTTAGTGTTTTTATTAATTGCCAGTAATACACTCACTTTATTAAACTTTGACAGAGTACGTTTATTCTCTAATTCTGTTTATATTCATACTGAAGTATGCCTTTAGACCCCCTTAGTTGAAGTTTCTAAATAACTGCCTTTTTCAGCATCACATTTTGCATCAAATTATTATATAGAATTAAACCCCAAATACAGATAGCGGTGGTCTCAGGGCTGTCACTTACGTATCTTTGTCAGACATAGAACATTATCCTGCATGTTTTGGGTCAGAGAACTAAAAATGTAATTTAATTTAAATGAACAAATAGTTACTGAACATCTGTGTCTAATAGCACTGTGCTTGGTTCTTTGGGTGATGTAAAAGTAAGTTAAGATATGGGCCTTGGGCACTGGCGTGCCTGTAGTCTCAGCTGCTTGGGAGGCTGAGGCAGGAGGATCACTTGAGCCTAGGAATTTGAGGTTACAGTGAGCTATGATTGTGCCACTGCACTCCAGCCTGGGCAATAGAGTAAGACTGTGTCTCTCTAAAAAAATAAAAGATACAGACTTTATAGGAGTAAATACATATAAATAACAACAAAACCTGGAGAGAGTTAAAAATATTCATTTTATAACTAGTAGAATTCTAGAATATGGTAAGCAACTTCATCTTGAGGGAAATAGGACATTGACATAGAGGAAAACAGAATTTAGGAAGAGGCAGGCAAACTTGGTTAAACTGTTAGCATAGGAGTTAATATTCCTTTTGGTTACAGTGGCTGAAATCATTTACATTAAATTGTCATTTTTGAAAGAAGCTTTTTTTTTTTTTTTTTTTGAGATGGAGTTTCTCTCTTGTTGCCCAGGCTGGAGTACAATGATCTGCTCACGCAACCTCCGCCTCCCAGGTTCAAGTGATTCTCCTGCCTCAGCCTCCCTAGTAGCTGGGATTACAGGCATGTGCCACCACACCCGGCTGATTTTGTATTTTTAGTAGAGACAGGGTTTCTCCATGTTAGTCAGGCTGGTCTCGAACTCCCGACCTCAGGTGATCTGCCCGCCTCGGCCTCCCAAAGTGCTGGGGTGATAGGCATGAGCTACTGTGCCTGGCTGAAGGAAGCATTTTTGTGTCAGAATTTGTCCTTGTAAATTACAATATCTGTTATATAAATGATTAAAGAGTTTGAGCCGCTGCATGGACTGAGGTCCTCAGAGATGACCACTTTTTTATTTATTTACTTATTTATTTCTGTGAGAAGGAGTTTCACTCTTGTTGCCCAGGCTGGAGTGCAGTGGCGTGATCTTGGCTCACTGCAACCTCCGTCTTCCGGGTTCAAGCGATTCTCCTGCCTCAGCCTCCCAAGTAGCTGGGGTTACAGGTGCCTGCCACCACACCCAGCTAATTTTTTGTATTTTTAGTAGAGACTGGGTTTCGCCATATTGGGCAGGCTGGTCTCAAACTCCTGACCTCAGGTGATCCGCGCAGCTTGGCCTCCCAAAGTGCTGGGATTACATGGAGATGACCATCTTTAAAGATGGGACTGAAATTACTAGCTTTCTGAGTTGAGGACATGTTCTCCATATCCTGTTGGGTGTTTTCAGCATCCTTTGTAGGCTCATATATTTGTCTCTCCTTGGACCATAAATATTTGGGTAGTAGAAGGTCTGAAGAGGTTGGGAATACTGAAAATGCTGTTGTCTTGAGGAAAAGGTAATAGCAGACGCCGATGTAATTTTGTTTTAAAAATAATTATATGTTTAATTCAGCAGTTGGCAGAAACTTTTGGGAGGCATCTTAAACTGTCCTATTACTCCCAGACCCCTAGTTAAGGAAAATCGTTGGGACCAATACTTCAAATGCATATTTTTCTCATAAGGAAGAACAGTAGGGAGCTAAAGGACTTTAACTATTTGAGATGCTACATACAAGTTCCTATAAGTTTCTGTCATTTTTTTAACATGCATTTTAACCTTACAGGTAGCAATTTCAGGTGTTAGAGCAAGCTAATTTTTATACTTTGAACTATAAAAATACTGATTTTAAGGTTATGGGCAGAGATTTAGGCAATACTACTGAGCACTGTTACATTTGAAGGATAGCAAATTAGATTTTCAGAAATTATGTGTTATGTATTCTTGTCTAAGATGAAGATGGCTTTTAATTTTGTTTATGTATTTACATGGAGTGGTTCATCTTGCATTTTTGTGATTTTTTTTTTTGGTAGCAATACCTTTTATGCTATTTCAGTGTTGATATAACTTTAATGAAAAAATGTGACTGTAAAAAGCAACTTATTGTGAGTTACACAGCATTAAGTGGGAAAACAAAAGCTACCTACAGTCCTAGATTGGTACAGAATATCTTGATAAAAATTTATTTTTCTCATACATAGGACACTATGTTAAAAACATTCTAAACTTAAAACTACTGTTATGTCTGCTAGTGACTTGTCGTTAGGTGCTTTGGTTGGTTTTTCTCCAGTGGAGTGTTTTTTATAATGTTTTTTTTTCTTTATATTTTAGCCAAGAGTCGAAGCTAAACCAGAAGTTCAATCTCAGCCACCTCGTGTGCGTGAACAACGACCTAGAGAACGACCTGGTTTTCCTCCTAGAGGACCAAGACCAGGTGAGTCAGCTCCTTTATAGCCTTTAGCATTTAACATTTGTAAGGCTGTAAAAGACTGAACTTAAACAAAAAACTATGATGCGTTCTATACACAGACCCATATAGTCTCAAATTGCTTAAAGATGTGATGTGAGCAACCTGCTAAATAGTGTCTGGGGCCAAATAACCAATTTTTAGGGAGGATTGGTTGACATGCCATGGTGACATATTTTGAAGGTGTAAAAGACTTAAGTCTTATTTGGTTATTGTCACGGTTTTTTGTTTTTTTTTTTTGTTTGTTTGTTTTTTTTTTGAGACGGAGTCTTGCTCTGTCGCCAGGCTGGAGTACAATGGCGTGATCTCAGCTCACTGCAACCTCTGTCTCCCGGGTTCAAATGATTCCCTTGCCTCAGCCTCCCAAGTAGCTGGGATTACAGGCACACGCCACCAGGCCCAGCTAATTTTCTGTATTTTAGTAGAGACAGGGTTTCACCATGTTGGCCAAGATGGTCTCGATCTGCTGACCTCATGATCTGCCCTACTCGTCCTCCCAAAGTGCTGGGATTACAGGCATGAGCCACTGTGCCCGGCCTAGTCACTGGTTTTAAGAGTTCAAAACCAAGCTGCCAATAACCTACTCTCTTAGCAGTCTTATCTCTTTACAGATAAACAATAAGCCCATTTTGATTCTTAGGTATTAAGTAAGTTGCCATGATTTTTGACTTGTTTACCTTGTTAGCTACACATGTAATACTTTTATTTGAACTCTGTAAGAATGTTTAGATTGCTTTGGGGAGGAGATGGGAGAGATGGAGATAGTATATATCACATTTACAATGTGAATTTTTAAAGTGATATGTTACCAAACTAGAAGTCCTAAATTTGTCAGTGATTAAACTTGGGATCTTGAGTGAAACCCTTAAATTCTGAGCTTCTTTTATGTCAAATATTACACAAATTATTCTTGTATTGCCTATTTTCCTCACTGTGTTCCTTGTGTTATTGGGAGAATCAAATAAGATTTTATGTATATCTATATACATACACACTTAATATGTATAGACTGCATAAATGTGATGATTGCTGTTAAAATTTACTGATTGCTGTAATGTCATAAAGCCAAAGAATTTTGAATTTCAAAAAACTAAGCAAATATTTAGTAAGCTATACCTCACTATCTGAAATCTGCTTGGTTCCTGGGTGATGGCAACAGTTTGGTTAAGGAGGAATACCTGTAGTACTAATATTTGATTTTTGTATAATCCAGTAGATCTAGAAGAAGCTATTTTAGCAACCTAGTCATTGTCCTCACTTTACATTTTAGTGTCATGCTGTTTTCTAACCTACTAGTAATAAGTACTTTTGCCTCTTTTTCAAGAAGCTCACCTAGTCTTATTAAACTAAAACAGGAATATCAATATTAAGTGATTTTTACATTCACTCCTTTGAAGTAGTTTTTATGATATTGTAAACTTTAGTATCTGCTCTATTTCTATTCTCAGGCAGAGGAGATATGGAACAGAATGACTCTGACAACCGTAGAATAATTCGCTATCCAGATAGTCATCAACTTTTTGTTGGTAACTTGCCACATGATATTGATGAAAATGAGCTAAAGGAATTCTTCATGAGTAAGTGATTTATTTTGCTGTTGGAGTTTTTAAATTATTTTAAATTAAGCAAGAGGCATATGGAGCTTTTTTAATAACTATTTTTTTTAAATGTTTCTCTCTTTATACTGTGTCCAGCTACCAGACCCACCTTAATTGTGCAGAAGGGAGTAGATGACTTATCTCACATGTTTCTCAGTGACTGCTTAGTGTTGATTTGGCCTGGCTCAGTAGTGTTTAGAAGAAACAGCTGGATAAATCAGTCATAAATTCAGAGATAAAGGATTCATTTGGCAAATGGGTCAATATATTAGGAGAAAATACATTGTCTTTCCAAAATTATGCAGTTAACTTTACTTATGAAAGGACTACCAAAGATGCAGAAAGGTAACACAGCAGGCGGGCAGGCTACTTGGTATCTTAGGGGATTGCCTGCTTGAGTAAACGTACCTTGGCTATCACTGTGTGTAGAAGCTTGCGAGTTTTATTTTAAAATGGATCGGGGAGATAACGATATTCATCCTGAACAATTAGAGCCATCAAGGTATTCTGTTAAAAATATTTAACCCTTGATGTAATGTATATTTTCACAGGTTTTGGAAACGTTGTGGAACTTCGCATCAATACCAAGGGTGTTGGGGGAAAGCTTCCAAATTTTGGTTTTGTGGTTTTTGATGACTCTGAACCAGTTCAGAGAATCTTAATTGCAAAAGTAAGTGATTTAAAGGGCATAATTCAAGACTTTATTATTTCTGTTGTATATATTAATTTGGGGTATTTAAAAACCATAGAAAATCTTTTAATAATAAAGCTAAAAATAGTTATTAAATGGTATTTATGCAAAGAATAAAGATTTGTTAGTTTGCAGATCATTTTAAATTTTGTTACTTGCTTTGCTGAAGAAGGTGGGAAAGATTGCAAGATTGCATGTTAAGAATTTTGGCTGGGTATAGTGGCTCACACTTGTAATCCCAGCACTTTGGGAAGTTAAGGCAGAAGGATTGCTTGAGCCCAGGAGAGTTCAAGACCAGCCTGGGCAACAGTGAGACATTGTCTCTACAAAAAAAGAAAAATAGCCGGCCATGGTGGTAGACACCTATAATCCCAGCTACTCAGGAGGCTGAGGTGGGAGTATCACTTGAGCCCAGGATGTCAAGGCTGCAGTGAGCCATGCTTGTGCCACTGGCTGTCACCAGCCTGGGTGACAGCTGAGACCCTATCTCTGGGGGGTGGGGGGCTGATAAAAGTGTTTTATTCCTTATGCTTATCTGACTGACCTGTTCAGAGTAATCATTTCTATTGCTGTCTAACCTGCCCATGTAAATATTTTTCTTCTCTTTTATAAAGCCGATTATGTTTCGAGGGGAAGTACGTTTAAATGTGGAAGAGAAAAAAACAAGAGCTGCAAGAGAGCGAGAAACCAGAGGTGGTGGTGATGATCGCAGGGATATTAGGCGCAATGATCGAGGTCCCGGTGGTCCACGTGGAATTGTGGGTGGTGGAATGATGCGTGATCGTGATGGAAGAGGACCTCCTCCAAGGGGTGGCATGGCACAGAAACTTGGCTCTGGAAGAGGAACCGGGCAAATGGAGGGCCGCTTCACAGGACAGCGTCGCTGAAGCTCCACTGTTGGCAAAGTCTTGGCAGTGGTACATTATTCATCGTGTTTGCATTCTTGTTAATTTTTTTTTTGGCTTTGGAATGTGACACAGCCTTTTTGATCATTTCTTTGATGTGAAAAGCATCTTTGGTTATCAGTTAAATTGAGGTGGACATTATTTCCCCAATTTCACAACAGGATTCACATTGTTAATTTATAAATCTAGACTTGGAGAATTAAGGACTGAGAAATGACCATATCTTAAACTATCTACGACAAAGTGAACTTAAAAGGACATGCCCACTGAATTCAGGTCCTTTGAGTAAAAAAAAAATCTTCTGCTGCACATTTTGTTTAAGTGTTACTGTTTCTGCCTGTTAATGCTGGGAACACAAATAGTGCAATTTGTGCAATTGGAGAATCTTGCCTTTTTTCTTGGCTCCCCCCAAAAATACAAACCAACAGAAACTTGTTATGCACTCATCAAAATGTACTAATGGGTACTCTGAACTCATTAACATTGACATCTGCAACAGGAGGCAACAGGGAAAAAATCTCATCTTCTTTTCCAGTAGAAAATAGTTTGTGAAATGATGAGGGCATTTTATCTGCTTGCTGTGACCAGCGTGTGTACACATAAACCTTAACAAGACTACAAGTATATTCCAGAAGGAAATCATTTTAGTTATGAACTAAATAATAAAAATTAGAACTTCAAATGCGATGGTCTTGACTATTAGACCAGATTTAGTAGCTCCATATCTAAGATTTTTCTACCTGCCCCTCTTCAGTACAGGGATGGCTGGCTGCTCAACACACTCCTCCTCCCCTTTTTTCCTTTCTTTAAGCTGTGTACAGTGAAAATTGTCTTTACTGTATTTTTGTTCTCTGGTAATGTAATAAGCATGATGGTGCCTTCTATTAATACATCATTCCAGTCTTGCTGGTAATTTTGTACAGTATAGTGTATGAATTGCTGTGCTGCAAAGCCAAACAGCTGCAAAATGTTGAAAAATCATCGAAATGTATAAAAATTGCAGTATCTTTAAAATCAGTAAAATGGACTAGCATATTATTTATCTTGTTCTTCAGTTAACAACTTTGTGTTCTCTGTGGGAGGGAGGGAGTCCTGTGTGTTTGTGGGGAGAGGGAAGGAGGAAGTCAGTTATTTGAGTAAGCCTCTAGTTGACTTTTCTCTTAGCCTGAATGTGGACGTTGAAACATATCACTTCAGGGCTTGGAAAAGTCAGTCAACTTGACGTACATTTTTAGTGACATTTTAAAAGCAGTCAGATTCTATAAATGGCAAGTAAGCCTGAAGTGAGGATACTGCAATTTTCGGAGAAAAGAACAGCAGCTCTTTAAGTGTTTGCATTTTCTATTTGGGGGGCAGGGAACTGTCATTCATTTTGCACAATTCTTGAACTGATGTCAGCACCCGAGTGGCTCCTGAATTTAAGTCTGGGACGACATCTTTTATTTTTACATGAATCTTTAAACAATTCTGTGAGCAAAGTTTGTAGCTGCTGGATTATTGTCTGTCTTTATAGCAAGTTCCAGTAAACCACAAGTATGGCAAAGCTTATCCAATTTTATGCTTGGAGCAGTCAGTACATACCAGTTTCTGATGTTTCAGGCAGGAGTGGGGTAAATAAGTGTGACCACTTAAAGCTGCTCGTTAGCATGGAAGACTTCTCCATTCTATCTTTGTAAAACAGACAAGATATGCACTTGACATAGTAGCAAATTGGTTCTGAATTATGCAACTGTTTGCTATTTAGTAAACTAGCAAATGATGCATGTATTTTGTTTTTCATGTACTGGGCAATATGAGTAAAATCTGTCCCTTTTTCCCCCTTTGAATGAGGTCTTCCATGTTTGAGGGAAAGTCTTGCACTATTGCATATATTTTGGGGACACAGATTTTCATAGTTTCCATTTTTGGGGGGCTTAAGGATTTTTTTTTTTTCTGTTTGAAACAGTTTTATACTTTCTGATATAGTACTTGAAATTCTTACCAGAAAATTACTTTGGAGTTTTGAAGCCTTTATTAATACTACTTTTAAAGAAGCAGTTGTTTTATTGTCAATGTTTTTTTTCCCCCAAGCATATTTTCTTGTATTTCTGTTTCCATATATATATATATATATATAATTTCCAATTCAGGATATTGCCCTGCCATCCATGAAAACTGTTCTGGCACCAAAAGTAATGACAAATGTTAAGTGTAATAATAGAAAAGTAGAGCAAAGAGCCATTCAGCTTCAGTCTTTACATACCATGAATAAAACATTAAAACATCATATGGAGAAGTTTACATGGTGATTGTTCACCTGCAGTACTGTGGAGTTTTAACATTTTGTCCTCTTTTCAGTGAAACAGAGTAAAAATATTCATCTACCATTACTGTTATTTGCTGATTTTGTTTTATTTTTTGATGGTAATATTCTATCCTTATGACACTATTGCAACCAAATTGGCTTTACCATCTTGGCTTTAGTAGGTATAGAAGACAATGGATTACCATCTTTATTGCTGTAATGTGTTAAGCATTATATGCTAGTAGAATCTAGTTTAATTGTTTCAGGTGGAAAGTATTCTTTGAGTTTCCATATTGAATGTGTTTGGACTAAACAAACAATAAACTACTGATGTCTGCAGCATTTATCTATGTCCCTAATTTAATCTATAGTTTTTATTGTTCCCAAATGTTTTCTCCCAGTTGCATTTCATACAAACTAAGTGGGAATAATAAGCAGTTGGGTTTTAAAACAATTTATTTGTGAAATTTGATACGTATAAAAAAAGTAAAACATTTAAGTAACACTTGACCATTGTAAGAGATCTATTCCGTCCAGTTAGACTGCTGGTATACAGGTTGAATGTTAGAATAATAAGTAGTAAGAATGATGAGAATGATCTAAAGCAGATTACAACCTTGGATTTTCTAAAGTATTTTCTGCCTTGCATCTCACAAGAAAGGAGAAGGGAAGGGATGAGAAGATTGAGGTTACCTGAAGTTAATGGACATGACTCAAGTTCAGAAATTGGAACTAATTTATCAAGCTCTCCAAAAATATTGATGTAACCATTAGCCATATTTAGTCATGCTTTCAATGAAAAATGAGGTCCTAAGGCATGTGTAATTTCAGAACTTGAACCTTTTCCTTCCTAAAAGGGGATGATATAGTTGAATTTTACCTGCTATTAATAACACTCTAAGATTTCTAAATCAGTCTTCACAAACTTGTACTGGGGAGAAACCAGAATAACCATTGCTTCATCTTAGGGGGGAAGGAAGACTTAAACCTTTTGTAAACTGACTTCTAATTATAATGTAATTTATCCAACTCTGGCAATGGAAAAACATTTTTTAAAGGGGATAAAATGTATATCTCACACTGTTGAAAATAGGTTCAAATTTAAAAGAGCAAATTATTACTTGGTCCCGGGAATTTATATGAACAACGTATTTGAAAACCTTAGCCACTCAAGAGGTTGAGTTGCTCATCATAACTTATATTTTAGCTACAGATCAATAGAGACCCTTGATTTTTTTTAATTTTGTGTTTATAAGACTTCCTAGTTAGAAGACTGTTTTGATCAGTTTGATGCCAGTGCTCTTTATTTATTTACAATTACTGGATAAACAAGTCACGAAAGAAATTTGTGATTTAAATATGTTCACATAGAAAATAATTTGCAACATTATCAGTTCCTAAATAATGAAGTTTCTGGCAGTTTTTGATAAGGAATAAAATCTTTTAATCTATGTAGTACCTGTACACATTATGTTTCATATGCTTCGGAAATATAAGAAGTTTAGAATTTACGAAATTTTTCAAAAGTCTTTTTAGCATTATCAAATATTGGGCAAAATACTGTAAGTGCAGATTCAGAATTAAGTAATAACAGAAACATTACTAGCTTTCTGTTAATGGCCAAATTAACTGATCTTTGTCTTTGACCTCTAAAGTTTTTTTTTTTTTTTTTTTTTTGAGATGGAGTGTTGCTCTGTCGCCCAGGCTGGAGTGCAGTGGCGCGATCTCAACTCACTGCAACCTCCACCTCCCAGGTTCAAGCAATTCTCCTGCCTCAGCCTCCCAAGTAGCTGGGACTACAGGCGTGTGCCACCACGCCCGGCTAACTTTTTGTACTTTTAGTAGAGACGGTTTCACCATGTTAGCCAGGATGGTCTCGATCTCCTGACGTCATGATCTGCCCCCCACCCCCTCAGCCTCCTAAAGTGCTGGGATTACAGGCATGAGCCACCGCACCCGGCTGACCTCTAAAATTTTGATGAAGCTGGCTGCCTCCTTGAAATGCTTTCACTTTTGTGACATTAATATTATTTTAACTGCTCCTGGTTTTTTTTGTTGTTGTTGAGATGGAGTCTCGCTCTTATTGCCCAGGCTGGAGTACAATGGCTCGATCTTGGCTCACCACAACCTCCGTCTCCCAGGTTCAAGCAATTCTCCTGCCTCAGTTTCCCGAGTGGCTGGGATTACAGGCGCGTGCCACCACGCCCAGCTAATTTTGTATTTTTAGTAGAGACGGGGTTTTCCCATGTTGGCCAGGCTGATCTCGAACTCCCGACCTCACGTGATCCACCTGCCTCGGCCTTCCAAAGTGCTGGGATTACAGGCGTGAGCCACCGCACGCGGCCTCACTGCTCCTGTTTTTCTATTGTCACCATACCCTACTAGTTCCTTCTGTCCCTTGTCTATTTTCCCCACAAAATTTATCTGGATCGTTCTATTTAGGCCAGGCACTACACTGGCTTCAATATATTATCCACTCAGTAAATTCCATATGCTATATGATGGTCAAGAGCAGAACTTTGGAGACAGCCTGGGCTTGCATGGCAGCTCCACCATCTAAGCATTTTCCTGTGCCTGTTTCCTTATTTGTGAAATGGGATGGGTGATTATGAGGACTCAGAGTTAACATGGAAAGCACCTAAAATGTCTGGTGTTAGCTGTTTTTTTGTGTGTTTTTGTTTTGTTTTGCTTTGTTTTTAGATGGAGTCTCGCTGTTGTTGCCCCAGGCTGGAGTGCAATAGCACAATCTCGGCTCACTGCAACCTCTGCCTCCCGGGTTCCAGCAATTCTGCCTCAGCCTCCCGCGTGGCTGAGATTACAGGCGCCCGCCACCATGCCCTGCTAATTTTTGTATTTTTAGTAGAGACAGGGTTTCACCATGTTGGCCAGGCTGGTCTTGAACTCCTGACCTCAGGTAATCCACCCACCTCGGCCTCCCAAAGTGCTGGGATTATAGGTGTGAGCCACCACCCCTGGCCAGTGTTAGCTGTTATTGACTTAGTTGCATTTCTACTGTCTACCTACCCTGCATTCCAAACATGTCTTTTTAAATATCCTTTTGGCTAGTTCCCTTTTGATAATTCAAAATTGGTAAGTCCAAAACAATGTATTTTTTTTCCTATGCAACTTAACCTGTGTATACCTGGCTCTGTAATGATGAACACCTCTTTTTCTGATTTAATCAGCCTAGAAATGTTTGAAGTCTCATCTTTTCCATTCAATACTTTCTGTCTTCCTCCTCCCTTATTGTCCATTTTCCCTTCCACAAGACTTGTTCATGTTATTCTAACTTCCACTGGCTTATTCAGTTCATTCATTAACCATTGAACTTCAAAATACCAAGCACTGTTCTAGGTACTACTAAGAAATGATTAAAGCCAGGCACGGTGGCTCACTCCTGTAATCCCAGCACTCTGGGAGGCCAAGGTGGGCAGATCACCTGAGGTCAGGAGTTTGAGACCATCCTGACCAACACGGTGAAACCCTGTCTCTACTAAAAATACAAAAAATTAACCAGGCATGGTGGCGCATTCCTGTAATCCCAGCTACTCAGGAGGCTGAGGCAGAAGAATCGCATGAACCCGGAGGCGGAGGTTACAGTGAGCCGAGATTGCGCCATTGTACTCCAGTCTGGGCAACAAGAGTGAAACTCCATCTCAAAAAAGGAAATGATTAAACAAGATTCCCACTCTTAAGTACTTAAAAGGGCTCCTGAAGAAGCTCTATGAGGAAATTGAGTGGGTGCCTATTTGGAAGGATAGCTAGGGGTCAGACAGTACAGAGTCTAGTTGGCCTAACAGAGGTTGGTCTTTATTCCAACTAAGTGCAATGGGGAAGTTAGTGATTTTTGGCAGGTAGGTAGGTGTAGGGGGAAGGTAATTAGTGACAGGATTTCTATTTTGAAATGTCTCTTGCTACAGAGTAAACAAATTGAAGGAGTTCAATAATGATGGAGTAAACCAGGTAAAGGGTTTCAAGAGCTATGATAGCTTAGACTAGAGTGGCAGTGCTAGAAATCTAAAGTTGATGCATTTGGAAGATTTGAAGGTGATATGCCCAGGTCTTGGTGAGAAAAGGGGTAGTATTGAAGAATCTGAAGTTCCTCACTTGTATAATTGGAGAAGTAAAATGTTATATGAAGGATAGGAACACAAGAGGGGAAAAAGCTTTAAAGGAGGGACAGGAGTGCTAGAGAAATGCTTTATGGGATTTTGATGTAAGACTTGAAAAGATCAGTCTAGCTAGGAGTGTTTGTAACTTCGTACATTGTGTTTGGCTCCCTTGACTTATGCTCTTTTTATTTTGAAAATAATACATGAAATATGTGTATTTTACCACAATTAAAAACAAATACATGCTGTGCACATTATGGAAAATACAGATGATCCAAAATAATGAACTCCCATAATGCAGCCCATACATGGTTCCTATAAATGACTTGGCATACGTATTTTTTTCTTCAGATATTTCTGTTATATATAGTTCATTGTTTTAGTGAAGACCAACCACTGAACAATGTTTATTTTTATTTATTTATTTATTTTATTTATTTTTTTGAGACGGAGTTTCACTCTTTGTCGCCCAGGCTGGAGTGCAATGGCGCGATCTTGGCTCACCGCAACCTCCGCCTCCCGGGTTCAAGTGATTCACATGCCTCAGGCTCCCAAGTAGCTCGGATTACAGGCATGCACCACCACTCCCAGCTAATTTTGTATTTTTAGTGGAGACAGGGTTTCTCCATGTTGGTCAGGCTGGTCTCAAACTCCCGACCTCAGGTGATCCACCCACCTCGGCCTCCCAGAGTGCTGGGATTACAGGCGTGAGCCACCGCGCCCGGCCTGAATGATGTTTATTAAGCACCTCTGTGCACTAGGACCTATTCTTGATGTTAAAGATACATGAATGAATAGGCCATTGGTCTCCCAGAGAGTAGTTACTTGGTAATGGGGAAGTAGTTGTAAATGTGATGTAGAACATTAAGATAATACAAAGCCTCTCAGTGGCAACTTGAGGCAGGTGTTACCCAGTCACATATTCTAGAGTTGACATTTAATGCAGGGGCACGCCACCAAAAGGACTAGCTAATGCAGTCTGTAAAACTGGAAAAGCTTGGAGGGTAACTGGGAGAGGCTGGATGGAGTGAGTCAAGGAGTGGCAAAGTGGTAAGAGGTGAGGTAGAAGACAGGATTCTCTCAAGATTGTAAGCCAGGGTAAGGAGTTTATTTAGATTTTTTTCTAATTGCCATAGGAAGACATTAAAGTAGAAAGCAGCAGAGTGATAAAATATGCTGTACTGAAAATAGGTGCTATAATCACAAGAATGGAAGCAGAACTGGTAAGCTGTTGTAGTCCAGGTCTATTACATCTGAGGGAGAGAAATAGCATCTGATCTAAACAAGCTAAGTCTACTTGTTTACAGCCAAAGATACGGAGGCTTAGGATACTATAGTATGAGACAATTTGAGTGATGGATTATCAAAGTGTTGATCTGCTTTAAACGGTGACACAGGCTGGGCATGGAGGCTCACACCTGTAATCTTAGCACGTTGGGAGGCTGAAGCAGGAAGATCACTTGAGCCCAAGAATTCAAGACCAGCCTGGCAACATGGCAAGACCTAGTCTCCACAAAAAATAAATTAACCAAGCATGTTAGCACATGCCTGTAGTCTCAGCTACTCAGGGGCTGATGTGGGAGGGTTGCTTGAGCCCAGGAGGTCAAGGCTGCACTGAGCCATGTTCACACCACTTGCACTCCAGTCTGGGAAACAGAGCGTGACCCTGTCTTAAAGGGCTATAAAATCAACCTCAGAATGAGTTATTTAATTTTAGAAAAGGGGTTTTAAACACCAGGAATGTAAACTTTGAATGGAATGCATTTTTATCCTTGCTTTATTTTAGAAAATTGTAAACTCAGTCTCTAGCACTAGCAGGCCTAAAATTAAGGATCCCTTAATCAGGAATTATATTGAGGAAGCAAAGCATTAAGTAATAAGGCAGAGTGGGGACTTGGAACAGAAGTTAATAGATGTTTAATACTGTGTCTATGAACTGAAAAAAGGGAATATTTTTTGATGAACTGTCATTTTATATACATTATACCTTTTATTCTGATAACCCTCTTTTTGTTTTTTAAGAGGTGCACTGAAGCTTGGAGAGGTTAAAAACAAACAAACAAAAAACTGCCTGACACAGTGACAAGCTTTTTGGAATAGAAAGCAGATGTGAGACATTTCATTGGAAGGTGACTTGGAATAACTTAGAGTGGTATTTCAAGGCAGGCACAAATAATAAAGTAACACATATATGTGAAAGATGTGAGAAGAACTTGTATAGCCATCAATGAATATTGGCACTGAATATGTGCCAGAAACTTGCCTAGATGCTGGCTGGAAGTACAGCAGACACAACCTACCTTTAGGAAATTTGCATTTTGAGAGAGAGAGGCAGCAAGCATGTTAATATCAGTTCTGATGTGTCCTGGGCAGAATACAACCTATTTAATCCTAATGGTAATCCTATGAGAGTAGTATGATTTACAGAAGGGTTAACTCAGGCACAAAGGGTTAGCTATTTGTTCAAGACCACATGGCTAATTGGAGTAGAACTAGTACAGGAGAATAGTGACTGGAGATGGGGCTGTTCTACCCAGGATGGTAATGAAAAGAGGTATACCTAAGATTTGAAGAGAAGGCAGACTTGAGTAAATCTAGGGGTAAAGTGTTCCAAGTGAAAATTTGGAGGCCCTGTTTTTGGAAGGAGCTTGGTATCTTAAAGGGCAATAAGAAGGCCAATATGGCTCTAATGATAATGCAGATGATATTAAGAGGTAGGCAGACATTAAGAGGTAGGAAGAGCTAAATTGAGGGTGGCCTTGTATTCTGAATTTTACTCGGGATGGTAGGGATCTGAACGTTGATGCGATCTGAATTAGGAGCTGTCAGGTGACAGGTGATGGTAGCTTGGATAAGGGTTGTAGCAGTGGAGACGGTGGTTAGTGGTCAGTTAACAGGATATGTTTTCAAGGTAGAACCTATAAAGTTGCTTAGGGATTGGATTTTGAATGTGAGGGAGGGAAGATTGAAGGATGACTCATAGGATTTGGGGGCAGCTTGGATGGAAGGCTATGGTACTCACATAGGGAAAGAGGAGAAGTGGATTGTGGAGGGGAAATCAACAGTTCTGTTTTAGCCATGTTAAGTTTCACATGCCAATTGGATATCCAAGAAGAAATGTCAGGCAATTAAATGTGTGATTCTGGAGTTCTGAGAAGTCTGTGCTGTGAGTGGTGCAAACAGATCTTTGCAGCCTTTGGATTAGATGAGATCACTTAAGAAGAGTATGTATAGAAGAGATGAGGCTGATGAATGAGACCTCAGATACTTCCAAAACTTAGGGTTATAGTACAGGAGAGGAGCATACAAAGAAAACAATGAGACAAAATATGATAAGTATTGGTGTCACGGAAAGCCAAGTTTCAAGAGTTTATCAGAAGGAAAGGATAGATAGTTGTGTCAAATGCTGCTGAAAGTTCAAATAAAATAGCAAGTGAATTAGAGTGGGCTAACTGCTACAATAAATAGATACCAAAATGTCTAATGGCTCAGATACAATAGTTTTTTTTTTTTTCCCTGCTTCCTGTAAAAAGTATTAGAGTGGCAGTGAAAAGACCAGTGGTCTGGCCCTCCCCCCTCGTAGCTATTTAGGGACACAGGTGAATGAAGGCTCTACCAACTTCAATAGGTGGCTTCAAGATCACGGAATCATCTCTAATATAGCCGACTAAAAGGGAAAAAGATTTTGGAGGATCATGAGTGCTAGATTTTTATGTGCCAGGAATGGGAACGTACACATCTCATATTCCATTGGCTTGAATTCAATCACATAGCCATTCCCAACTTCCACGGAGGTTGCAAAAAATAAGCCATGCATACAGGCAAAAAAGAAATCAGCTTATTGTGAGTAGCTAGTAAGCTCCACTACAGATGTCTTTGGCAGGATGTAGGTCATAGTGACTTTGGTAAGAACTATTTCAATGAAGTAATAAGGATGAAGTCCAAGAGAGGACTGGATATTGGAAATTGAACTAATGAACACCAACTTTTTCTGTAGTTTTGCTATAAGGATGAACAGAGGAATGGGGTGAAACTAGAAGGAAATGAAAAGTAAGTGAGGGTAATAAGAGGCATGTTACTAGTGCAAACAAACAGAAGGTATACTATTTTATTTATTACCATGGTTATCTAAGTAGGAAAGAATATATAGTATTTTTAATATTTGAGGAATGGATTCCTATGTTCACAACCACTATGGTATAGATGCTGGTGGCTGATACAGCAAGGTGTGATATATGTTGAACTTGGCAAAATAAGTGGCACATTATACTTTAGGTTTTCAAATCTAGTTGTCTTCATAATCTTTTAATGTAGTAATCAAGTCATTAAACTAGGTTTAGCAAATGTCCTCCCATCAAAAAAACTTAGAACTTCAAAATAAGTCAGTCCATTTTCTTAATAGAATGGGGAAATGTATTCATAGTTGCATGTTCTATAATATACTGATAATGAAGAACCTTTTGTAGTCTAAAGATTTTACGGCCCTTTCACTTGGTGACTCAATTGAGGTGATGCCAAAACCTCATCAGTCAGGATCTCATGGGGCCCGGGGGGACTAGTGGTGGACGGGCAAGAAAAGGGCCCAAGCACATTGTTTTTTGGATGTCAAGATATGTAGAAAATGATTGTTGTGGAGAGTAATTTAAGAGATGATTGCTAATGTGAGGAAGAATGGGTCTACTCTAAACTAAAATATATAAAATCATTGAAAAATATTTCTGGGCAGGCTTTAATTTCTAATCCCCCTCTAGTCTATTATTTTTAAGTTGAGATACAAATTACATAAAATTCACCTTTTTCAGCATACAGTTCAGTGGTTTTTAGTATATTCACAAGGTTATATAACCATCACCACTTCCTAATTCCAGAACATTTTCATCACCCCAAAAAGGAACCTCATACCTACCAGTAGTCACTTTCCATTCCCATCTAACCACAGCCCCTGGTAACCACTAATGTACTTTCTGTTTCTATGGATTTGCCTAGGCTGGACACTTTATATAACACGTGCCTTTTTGTGTCTGGCTTCTTTCCCTTGGCATAGTGTTTTCAAGATTCATCCATCATGTATCAGCACTTCCTTTTATGGTTGAGTAATATTCCATTAAATTGAATACACCAAATTTTATTCCTCCGCTGATGGACATTTGGGTTTTTTCTGTTTTTTTGGTTATTAATAATGCTGTTGTGAGCATTTGTGTGTAAGTTTTTATGTGAACATGTTTTTATTTCTCTTATAATACCTGGAAGTGGAATTGCTGGGTCATATGGTCCTTAATCTATTTCACATTTATTTCATTGCCATTGCCATCTCTCAAGCTGTCCTCTCTTGACATCTACCTCATGCACTCCCATACTGTTTTCTTTAGATTTTTAGAACATTTTCACTTTCTTCACTGATTAATGTCTTTCTCAGCCTCTTCCACTATAGTCCTACTTGGTAGTTCATGTTAATGAATTTTTCATACTGTGACCTCAAGTTTCTTTGAACTCAATGACATTTTCCACTCAACTTCAGCTACCCAAGGAACAGCCAAATACTCCACCCTTTAGAACTGATCATCCTGTGCCATTTCCAACATCTGGAATACACAAACTGCTTTCTCTGATAACTTTTTCCTCCTATATTGCTCCTTTAAACTTATTATTCATGCCTATGATGACTTCCAGACCCTCAGTGCCTCCGTTTTCAGTTTATTAGCTAACTGCTGTCAAAATTTATCTTCCTATTTAGCAGGAGCCCATGGCAAGCAATTTTAATGGTATTTTCTTCAGCATCTTTGATTCCTTTTTTTTTTCTCAGTGATCCTTGTTCTGAAATTCCTTAACTCCTTTGTTTAATCTTTTTGCATTACCAGTTCTCTAAAAGAGGCAGCTTATATATCATCTATTTTCTCCATTCTTTCCTTTGGGGTTGCCCAATTCTGGGCAACAGTGTCAGTTGGTTCACTGTAAATTCATGGTACCCAGGCTCAAGTGAGCACATTTTTACTATTTTGTGTTCCTTTTATATCAAAATGACTTCTTAACTATTCTAACGTATTTCTGCTCTCAAATCCTTAAGCCTCTATCTCACCATTACCTTTTTATGCAAAAATAAAGTTCTTTTACTGAGATGGCCTGGGCCCACAGTGTATGCCCTACACTTTTCTCAGTTTTTTCCATTTTCTCTAAACCTCTTCAAGCCTAACCCCTTCTCATATATTATTACCTACTCTTCAGTACCTCTCCTTGGTTTTTCATTAATTATTCATTTTCTTGCCCCTTTAAGGTCTCTCCCCACTCTTTTTCCCTATAAATATTTCCCTCTTTAAAAAGAAAAAATAGGCCGGGTGCGGTGGGTCACGCCTGTAATCCCAGCACTTTGGGAGGCTGAGGCGGGCGGATCAACTGAGGTCAGGAGTTCGAGACCAGTCTGACCAACATGGCGAAAACCTGCCTCTACTAAAAAAAGAAAAAAATTAGCCAGGCGTGGTGGTGGGGTCCTGTAATCCCAGCTACCTGGGAGGCTGAGACAGGAGAATCGCTTGAACCCAGGAAGCAGAGGTTGCAGTGAGCCAAGATCGTGCTGCTGCACTCCAGCCTGGGCAACAGAGTGAGACTCCGCCTCAGAAGAAAAGAAAGAAAAAATAGTAACACAATCCTGTTTCTACATAATACCTTCTCTATTAACAATCCTGTAGATGGCCAGAATGTGTAAGTCTTTAATAACCTCTGTCCTCTACAACTGGCTTTCAAACTCAGTTCTTACTGAAATTGTTTTTTTTTGGTTTGTTTGTTTTCTTTTTTTCAGTCTCCCAAGTAGCTGGGAGTACAGGCGTTCACAACCATGCCCAGCTAATTTTTGTATTGTTAGTAGAGACAGGGTTTCACCATGTTGGCCTGGCTGGTATCAAACTCCTGACCTCAGGTGATCTGCCCGCCTTGGCCTCCCAAAGTGCTAGGATTACAGGCATGAGCCACCGCATCTGGCTGAAATTGTTTCCTAAAGCATCACTTGTTCGCCAAATCCAGTATTTTCAGTCTTTATCCTTTGGTTCCCTGTGAGATATAAATAGATTATTGAAGCTTCTAGGCCTCTTGCATGAAGGGGCCTTAAAATGTTATACGGTTGAATATGATTATAAAGTTGCAAAAGTAAAATAGTTTTGCGCTCTTGTTCTTAAGCTTCAGGCCCAACAAAACTGAATCTACCCCCATATAAAAGAAGTTCATCAGATTCTCTTATAGCCTATAGAGGTACCAAATGGGACAGGGCTTCTCGCAACTTGGACACAGCTAAGGACAGAGCTAATTGCTACACTAAGAGTCACATCTTGAATTGACCAAATAATTCTATTCTTTCCATAACTAGGCCTCAGGTCTGGTTCTCAATATTACAGGTTCAGGAACTAGATTTTAAGCAGTCTGACCAAGGTAATTAACCACTGGGAGATTAATGCAAACTAACCAAACTCACAAAAGACTATAAAAAGAATGTCTATTTCTTAATGTACAAGAAGGAATCAATACCTTAACATTAATGATTAATACCTTAATATTGACTAGGGTATATGGTAGACATTTGTCTATCCAGGACACTCTATTCCCTAAATCAAAGTAGTTTCGAGACCAAAATGATCATGAACATTTAGTTATCATGATTGAAAGTGTTATTTTACTGGCCTTATGGCCTCCTCGCTGCCTCAGATTCTTTGAAAATGGGGTAAGCTCTGTTCCTGTGTGATTTAAGCCTGTGCATGATTCTGACCTACCAGTCTTGCTCAGTCGTGGATTGAGCTGCATTTTTGCATTTAAGGCAAGTTTTATCGCAAGCCCTAACTCCACCCCATTTGGCTGCCATACGCGGGTGTTGTGCGTGTCCTCCAGATCCCCAGCCATCCCAGCGCTTTCCCATTCCACTCATGCCCTCTCTTCCCCTTCCTCCATCTCAGTGTTTTCCCTCACTTTCAATGGCCAGACTGGCCTTCCCAAGGTCCCTCCTAACGTCAGGTCTGTCATCACCTACCTTCTTCCACCTTGCCTCGCCTACTAATCATCACCTCCTAAACTGTCACCGTTATCTCCTACCTGGCTCACACTGGCCCCACCGCCCAGAACAGAAAGGAAGCATGGAATCCCGGTCAGGCCGCGCCTACGCGACTCAGGGCGCCCGGCGCCCGCCCCTGCCCCAGCGGCGATGCTATGAGGGAAACCGTATCGCATTTTGCATAGTCTTCGCAGTCCTACATAACCGCCACCTTTACCCTTCGCGTGGGCATCACAATCGCCTCCTCCCGCTGGGGAAGGCAGAAAGGCGCCTCCTGACGAGAACCAAGGCGTGTGGGGACGCAGGGCCTCTGCGTGTCAGGGAGCAGAACCTGGGCCGAGCCCTAGGTGAAGGGGCGGGGTGGTTGGCCCTGAGCCAATCATGGCTCGTGACGACTCGGCTCGGCCAATCAGAAGAAGGGAGGCCTGGCGCTCTCGGGGCGGGTGAGAAACCGCCCCCCCTTGCAGCTCCGCGGCCAACGCCTTCGCCCAGGGGTAGTTGGAGCGGTGCAGGTTCCCAGGCTCCAGGTACTGGGCGCCTTACGAGCTGGGAGGTGGTGCCTCTCACCCAGCTAATTGCTCTCTAGCCCTTGGCCTTCACAGGTGTTGGTGCCTGCCGTGAACGCATTCTGACCTGGGCCGTATCTGTCTCCCAAGACTTTGTGCCTATGGTTGGGGACAGAGTGAGGTCGTTGCCTTGACGACGACAGCATGCGGCCCGTGGTCCTCCTAAGTGTGAGCTTGCGGCGGACCGAGGCCCACCTGCCTCCCTGCCTGCTTCGCCCTGGACTCGTGACTGCGTCCGCAGAAGAAATCACAACAGCGCTGGAATTGCTAGTTTGCTAGGCAGCATCTTTTGGACCTGCGAACCATATGCATTTCACCTCAAATTTGTTTCCAAGTTGAAAACCTTTGGGTCTTTCTATGCGAACGGATTGAAGAAACGGTAAGTATAGTACGTTTTAAAGCTTCTATTATCTCGTTCTTTGATCTATAAAAGATTTCAATCTTTTTTTTTTTTTTTTTTTTTTTTTTTTTTTTTTTTTTTTGAGACGGAGTTTCACTCTTGTTGCCCAGGCTGGAGTGCAATGGCATGGTCTCGGCTCACCGCAACCTCTGCCTCCTGGGTTCAAGCGATTATCCTGCCTCAGCCTCCCAAGTAGCTGGGATTACAGGCATCACCACCACGCCCGGCTAAGTTTGTATTTTTAGTAGAGACAGGGTTTCTCCATGTTGGTTAGGCTGGTCTCGAACTCGCAACCTCAGGTGATCCGCCCGCCTCGGCCTCCCAAAGTGTTGGGATTACAGGCGTGAGCCACCGCTCCCGGCCCTTTAATCTGTCTTAAACAAAATAAAAAATTAGCATTCTCCAAATATTTTTATCAAAATTGTTGCTTTTAGAACCATCCAGAAATAACACCTTGCCCATTGGCCAGGTTTCTTTTTCGTTTGTATTACCTTTCCGTTCAAGAGTAGAAGGCATGAGAAGTTATAGTTTATGAGTAACTGTTTCAGGAAACAGGAGGCTTTGTAGGCTGTGATACTTTTAAAGTATTTGTGGACAGTGTCACTTGAAAAAGCAGGTGTGTTCAATGTGGTGTGTCCAGATATGCAATTGGTTGGGAGAATAAACTTGAAGCAGTCAACTTGCATTAATGTTAGCTTGGGATATGCTTCAGAACACCTCAGACATGCTTAAAGTCATTTTTTTTGGTTCACTTTGTGCTTTCAAATATTGAGGACATCAATTACAAAATGTTTTAAAATAATCCAGGTTATAGATTCAAGCTATTTTTGTCATTGGTATGATAAACCTAAAGCCTAGTGCTTAATAAAACATACTCTCTTAATGGAAGAGAAAAAAATTAAGAAGGGATAGAATTATATGGAGATTTTTTTTTTCAAATACAAACAGTTTATTAAAAAATAGTTAATGGAAGTGGAATAGAAGGTAAAATGTCAAATGCATGGAAAGTTAGTGTCTGGGACACTGCTCTGTAAAAAGTTTGTAGTAGAATCTACTATGAAAACTGGTAGTAAAATAATAATTTAAGTCGATGTTCATTGGTATTGTTTTCATTTCCCACCCCTCAAGATCAATCTTCTGGTTCTCCACATATAGCTACATTAAAAATATATATATTATAAAATCTCAAACTATTATATGTCAAGTGTGGAAAACGTATTGTATACATTGGATTAGCATAGTTTGCTAGAACAAAGAGAATATTTGTTTTGTCTTTGCATCACTGTTCCAATAGAGAAATAGGAAAAACAGTTCACGATCTGAGTAAATTTTAGATTGCCGTAAGTATACAATTAATACAACAGGCAAGAATTATTTCTTGTTAAAATCTATCTGTATTTGGACTGAAATAATTTTTTATCTATTATTACTGAAATAATAGATAGTTAAAATCTATCTGTATTTGGACTGAAATAATTTTTTTCTGTACGAAAGCATTTTGTCCAATGATTGCTGGACCTTCGTCAATCATTGGTAAAACAAGAAAGATTCTCTTAGGATTGCCTTTATTCAGAAAATGTCATATAATATGAGTAAAAAATTTCAAGGCCGGGCGCGGTGGCTCACGCCTGTAATCCCAGAACTTTCGGAGGCCGAGGCGGGCAGATCACGAGGTCAGGAGATCGATACAATCCTGGCTAACACGGTGAAACCCCGTCTCTACTAAAAATACAAAAAGTTAGCTGGGCGTGGTGGCAGGCGCCTGTAGTCCCAGCTACTCGAGAGGTTGAGGCAGGAGAATGGCGTGGACCCGGGAGGCGGAGTTTGCAGTGAGCCAAGATCGCGCCACTGCACTCCAGCCTGGGCGACAGAGCAAGACTCCGTCTCAAAAAAAAAAAAAAAATTTCAAACACAAATTCAAATTATACTTATAGTGAGTAATCATTAACAGGGTTTTTGAAATACTTTTACTGTACTTGGTACTACTAATATTTAATTTAATTTAATAATTACATTAAATTTAATAAAATTTAATTTAATTTTAAAAATCTGCTTATATACCGATGTCATTACTCTTATTTTCTAAGTTCAATATAGTAACAGTAACATGGCGAAACCCCGTCTCTACTAAAAGTACAAAAATTAGCTGGGCGTGGTAGCGGTGCCTGTAACCCTAGCTACTGGGGAGGCAGAAACAGGGAATCGCTTGAACCTGGGAGGCAGAGGTTGCAGTGAGCCGAGATCGCGCCAGTGCACGAGACTCCGTTTCAAAAAAAAAAAAAAAAAAAAGAAAAAAAAAGTAAAGAAAAATATTTTATGAAAGATGCTCTGTGTTAATTTGTTATGTGATCAAATATTTTTTCCAATTAAGTGGAAGGTGCATAAGTATTTCCAACATTGATCTAAATCCAGTGTAACAAAAAAGTTGATCTTTATTAAAACTAAATTCAGGCCGGGCGCTCTGGCTCACGCCTGCAATCCCAGCACTTTGGGAGGCCAAGGTGGGTGGATCACTTGAGGTCAGGAGTTTGAGATCAGCCTGGGCAACATGGCAAAACCCCATCTCTATGAAAATACAAAACTTACCCGGGTGTGGTGGCTCACGCCTATAATCCCAGCTACTCAGAGGCGGAGGCAGGAGAATTGCTTGAACCCAGGAGGTGGAGGTTGCCGTGAGCCTAAATCTCACCACTGCACTCCAGCCTGGGCAACAGAGCAAGACTCCGTCCCAAACAAACAAACAAACAAACAAACAAAATCCCCCACCAAATTCAGTTATACATCTTTGAGTGAAAAGGAATTGTGCTTTTTTTTTTTTGAGACAGAGTCTCACTCTGTCACCCAGGCTGGAGTGCAATAGTGCTATCTTGGCTCACTGCAACCTCCGCCTCCTGGGTTCAAGGGATTCTCCTGCCTTAGCCTCCCGAGTAGCTGGGACTATAGGGGTGCACCACCATGCCTGGCTAATTTTTGTATTTTAGTAGAGACAGGGTTTCACCATGTTGGCCAGGCTGGTCTCAAACTCCTGACCTCAGGTGATCTGCCCGCCTCCGCCTTCTAAAGTGCTGGGATTACAGGTGTGAGCCACTGCACCTGGCCTGTGCATTTTGTTTATTTGTTTTGTTTTGTTTTTGAGACAGATTCTTGCTCCGTTGCTCAGGCTGGTGTGCAGTGCCATCACAGCTCACTGCAGCCTCAACCTCCTGGGCTCAAGCAATTCTCCTGCCTCAGCCTCCCAAGTAGCTGGGACCACAGGCATACACCACCACACCCAGCTAATTTAAAAATGTCTTTTGTAGAGACAGAGTCTCAGTATGTTGCCCAGGCTGGAATTGTGCTTTTTTTTTTTTTTTTGAGATGGAGTCTCACTCTGTTGCCCAGGCTGGAGTGCAGTGGTGTGATCTTGGCTCACTGCAAGCTCCGCCTCCCGGGTTCACGCCATTCTCCTGCCTCAGCCTCCCGAGTAGCTGGGACTACAGGCGCCTGCCACCAAGTCCGGCTAATTTTTCTGTATTTTTAGTAGAGACGGGGTTTCACCGTGTTAGCCAGGATGGTCTCAATCTCCCGACCTTGTGATCCGCCCACCTTGGCCTCCCAAAGTGTTGGGATTACAGGCGTGAGCCACTGCGCCCGGTCTGGAATTGTGCTTTTTAAAGTGAGTTGTAATTGTTATGTGTGATAGCTCAAGTATTGCTTTATTGGAATTAAAAATATATGGAATTTCATTAACATGACATTTAGTAATTTAAAGTTAATGGCTTCAATTCCATTTGCGTTGTCTATTATGAAATGTGTGTGACCATTTTGAAAACATAGCTTAATGTGTGTGACCATTTTGAAACATAGCTTACATGTAGAAACACTAGGAAATTGTGAATTAATACAGGACAGCCATGAACACAGTGACTAATATGGAAAACAAGCAGGGAAGAATTAATTTGCTGGGAAGGCGGAGGAAATTAACGTACTCAACTTTGTTAAATCTATGTTTTGGTTTTCACAGCAAAAAGTTTCTACGGACTTTAAATTAAAATGGAAAAATATGAAAACCTGGGTTTGGTTGGAGAAGGGAGTTATGGAATGGTGATGAAGTGTAGGAATAAAGATACTGGAAGAATTGTGGCCATAAAGAAGTTCTTAGAAAGTGACGATGACAAAATGGTTAAAAAGATTGCAATGCGAGAAATCAAGTTACTAAAGGTGAGTAAATGCATATATTGAATCAAAAAATATGAGTATAAGTTTCTTTTTTGGCAATAAGAAGAAATACAATGATTAGATATGCAAATTCATTTATCTGGTGAATGTAAACCTGATTTTAAAAGTGTTTGTTCCTTCTCTCTATATCTTTCTGTGTATTTATCAATCATCTATCTATAGTCTGTGTTAGGAGTCCCAAAGACCACCCCAGATTTGATGACTTGTTAGGAGGAATAGCATTAATTTTTGTTCTTTATTATTTCATTTTTTCTACTTATTTGTATGGGTTTATTTTGCAGCCCTTTTCCCTAATTTGTTGAGATAGATGCTTCTCTAATTTCCAGACTTTTTTCCCCTCAAATATGCATTTAAGGATATACATTTTCCTGTAGGAACAGCTTGGTATGTATCCTGGAAATTTTGATTGTTAACAATATTTTCTCATTTCTCTTATATTTTTCTTAATCCCTGAGTTATTTAAAAGTATATTTCTGTATTTCCAATCATGGACATTTTCTAGGTTATTCTTTCCTGGTTATTTATTTGTGAGACAACTGCCCTATGTTCTGAGTATACACCATATAAGAATTTATTTCTTTGAAATTTCTTGATATTTGCTTTTTGTTCAGAATATAGTCAACTAAAAAAAACCCTCTTGTTCTTGAAACGTATTTCATATATGTTCATGTTAATTGTGTTGTTCAAATCTTCCAAATTCTTATTTATTTTCCTTACATGCTTGTTTTATCCAACACTGAGAAGAAATATGTTAAAGTCTTCCTTTGTGATTATTGATTTTTCTACTTTTCATTGTAGTTCAGTTAATGTTTATTTTTATAAACAGAAACAGTATTATTAGTGTGTTATATTTAGAATTATTATATCTTGCTGTTGAGTTAAATCTTTTGTTATTATGCAATAACCCTTTTTATTATAGTAATATTTTGTTTCGTTGGTTTTTTTTGAGACGGAGTCTCACTCTGTTACCAGGCTGGAGTGCAATGGTGCTATCTCAGTTCACTACAACCTCCTCCTCCCGGGTTCAAGTGATGCCCCTGCCTCAGCCTCCCAAGCAGCTGGGACTACAGGTGTGCATCACCATGCCTGGATAATTTTTTTTTTTTTTTGTATTTTAGTAGAGACGGAGTTGCACCATGTTGATTGGGATGGTCTCGATCTCCTGACCTCATGATCCGCCCACCTCAGCCTCCCAAAGTGCTGGGATTACAGGTGTGAGCCACCACACCCGGTCGTTTCATTTTGTTTTTTTGAGACAGGGTCTTGCTCTGTCCTCCAGGCTGGAGTGCAGTGGCATGATCATGGCTCACTGCAGCCTTGAACTCCTGGGCTCAAGCAATCCTACACCTCAGTCTCCCAAGTAGCTGGGATTGCAGGTGTGTGCCGCTATGCCTGGCTAATTTTTTTATTTTCAGTAGAGATAAGGTCTCACTGTGTTGCTCAGGCTGGTCTCTAACTCCTGAGCTAAAGTAATCCTCCTACCTCGGCCTTTCAAAGTGTTCAGATTATAGGTGTGAGCCACCACACCTGGCCAGTATTTTGTTTTAAGATCTAATTTATTTGAAATTAATAAGAGTACATGCATTAGCTTAATTTTGGTTAGCGTTTCCATAGTAAATCTTTTCCATATTTTTACTTCTAATTTTTCTGAATTCTTTTTTTTTTTTTTTTGAGATGGAGTTTCACACTTGTCATCTAGGCTGGAGTGCAGTGGCGTAATCTTGGCTCACTGCAACCTCTGCCTCCTGGGTTCAAGCAATTCTGCCTCAGCCTCCTGAGTAGCTGGTACTATAGGCGCCCGCCACCACGCCTGGCTAATTTTTGTATTTTTAGTAGGGATGGGGTTTCACCATGTTGGCCAGGCTGGTCTCAAACTCCTGACCTCAGGTTATCCGCCTGCCTCAGCCTTCCAAAGTGCTGAGATTACAGGTGTAAGCCACCGCGCCTGGCCCCCTAATTTTTCTGAATTCTTGTTTAGATGTATCTCTTGTGAAAACCGTATAGTTATATTTTGCTTTTTTCCTGTTTGATAATATTTCCCTTTTAATTGGAGCATTTATTCCATTTACTTGTAATATAATATCTGATGTATTTTGAATATATATATCTACCACCTTAATATGTGCTATTTGTATTACCAGTTCTCTATTTCTTTGTCTTTTGTTACTTGGATTGATTACATTTATCATTCCTTTTTTTCTAATAACTTGGAAATTTTACATTGTGTTTCTGTCTTTTAGTGGTTACACTAGGGATTTGTTAAAGTCTAATTATCTAATACTTGTTCTTGATCTTAATAATGGTGTTTGACACAGTCAAATCTTATGACTTTTCCCTTATGGCTATCCAGTTGTCCCAGAAACATTTATTGAAAATACCATCTTTTTCCCCACTGTTCTGAATATTCCTTTTGCCACACGTTCTCCTATATAGGTAAGATTTTATTCTGTCCCATTGGTCTATTTGTTTAAGCTTGCGCCAGTAGCCCACAATCATGTTTATTCTAGTTAGTAGGTTTTTTTTTGAGACAGGGTTTTGCTGTATCACCCGGGCTGCAGTGCAGTGGCATGATCTTGACTCATTGCAATCTCTGCCTCCCAGGCTCAAGTGATTCTCCCACTTCAGCCTTCTGAGTAGCTGGGCCTACAGGCGTGTGCCACCATGCTTAGCTAATATTTGTATTTTTTTGGGTAAAGATAGGGTTTTTCCATGTTGCCCAGGCTAGTCTTGAGCTGCTTGGCTCAAGCAATCCGCCCTCCTCAGCCTTCCAAAGTGCTGGGATTACAGGTGTGAGCCACTGCAGCTGGCCTAGTTTGTAAGTTTTTATATCTGGTAGAATAAATCCTTCTGTTTTGTCCTTCTTCTATAAGACCATCTTCCCTATTTTTGTCTGTTTGCATTTCCATATAAATTTTAGAATCAATTTACCAATGTTCATAAACACTCTAGGAATTTATTGAATTTATACAATCAATTTGTGGAGAATTGATGTGTTTACAATATTGCATCCAGTTCATGAACATTGTATAATCCTTTTGTTTCTTGGTCTTCTTGTCTGTTTTTTTTTTTTTTTTTTTTTTTTTTTTTGATGGAGTCTTGCTCTGTCACCCAGGCTGGAGTACAGTGGTGCAATCTCGTCTCGCTGCAACTTCTACCCGCTGGGTTCAAGCAATTCTCCTGCCTCAGCCTCCCAAGTAGCTGGGATTACAGGTGCCCGCCACCACACCTGGCTAATTTTTGTATTTTAGTAGAGACGGGGTTTCACCATGTCGGCCAGGCTGGTCTCAAACTCCTGACCTCGTGATCCAGCCACTTTGGCTTCCCAAAGTGTTGGGATTACAGGCATGAGCCACCAGGCCTGGCCAGTCTTCTTGTCTTAACATACACTTCGTCATTAGTATGTTTGCACTTTTGATCATTATTTATATGATATATACTTTTTAATCCTTTCTCCTATTAACCTTCTGTGTCGTTAGATGTAAAGTATATCTCTTATAAGCAGATACAGTTATTTCTTTTGTTTATTCAGTCTGACAATCTTTGTATTTTACTTGGAGTGTTTGGTCTATTTATATTTAATATAAAACTTACATATTTGGATTTATACTTCTCTTCCTAGTTGCCTTCCATATATCTAGGTTTTTTCTTTTTAAAAATTATTTTGTTAAACATTCTTTTGCTGGTGTTTTAGAGATTGTTCTAGATATTTTAATATACAAACTTGACTTATTGATACTCAAACAGGTACTTTTACATGCAAAAATCTTAGAAATTTTAACTTCAGTTACCCCCTCCTTTCTCCCCTCCACCCATCAGATATATGTGTTATTGCTGCTATGTAACATTGTTAAATTCTGTGTATAGTTAAATCCCTTTTAAAATTGTTCACAGTCAGCAGTTATTAGGATATACCTAATATTACCCTTTCTATTACTCTTTAATTTTCCCTACATTTCTGAGTTTCCATCTGGGGTCAATTTCCTTATGCTTAAAGCACTTCCTTTATTTTCCTTAAAGCAAATCTGATGATAAGAAATTCTATTCATTTTTGTTAGTGTAAAAAAAAGTATGTATTCTACTTTGTGTTTAAAATACTATTTCAAGCTCGGTGCGATAGCGTGGGCCTATAGTCTTTGCTATTCAGGAGGCTGAGGTGGGAGGATCACTTGAGCCCAGGAGTTTGAGACTGTGGTGTGCTATGATCATGCCTGTGAATAGCCACTGCACTCCAGCCTGGGCACTGTAGTGAGATCTCATCGCTTCAAAAAAAAAGAAAAAAAGGCCGTTTTCTCAGGATATAGCATTCAGGGTTGTCAGTTAATTACATTCAGTATGTTCAAGATAGAATCCTACTGTTCTGGGCTCCGTTGCTTGTATTGAAAAAATCAGACATCAGTCTTACTGTGTTCCTTAATAACCATTTTCTTCTAGATACTTTTAAGGTTTTCTCTTTGGTTTTCAGGAGTTTACAATAATATGCCTAGGTGTGGGTTTTTTTTTTTTTTTGTCTGTTAATTTTATGGCTCTTGCTTCTATCAAATAATGTCATTTGTCATTTTAAAAAAATGCTGGGCATGGTGGCTCATGTCTGTTAATCTCAGCACTTTGGGAGGCCAAGGTGGGCGGATCACTTGAGGTCAGGGGTTCGAGACCAGCCTGGCCAACGTGGTGAAACCCTGTCCTTACTAAAAATACAAAAATTAGCTGGGCATGTTGGTGCGCGCCTATAGTCCCAGCTACTCAGGAGGCTGAGGCAGGAGAATCTCTTGAACCTCGCAGGCAGAGGTTGAAGTAAACCAAGATCATGCCACTGCACTCCAGCCTTGGCAACAGAGTAAGACTCCATCTCAAAAAAAAAAAAAAATGCTCAGCTATAATTGTTGCTTCACATACTGCTACTGTCCCATTTAAGAATTCAGCTTCATATACTAAGATTCATATCAGCTACTACTGATAGCTTGAGGACTTTTAGGGCTAACCCAAATGAAAGGATTTCACCAGCACTGTACTCCTTCTTTTCACCTTCACGGCCCCTGAACGTCAATCACTGCTACCTTAGGCCTGCAAAATGGTGAAAAGTGCTACTGATCCTCTTAGTCTTCCCTCTAAAGTGGCATATGTTTCTTGGGTTAAAAAAAATTTGGCCCTAATTGCCTGGCTCACTTTTCTGGGTTTCTGTCTTCCTAGCCCAGGTATTTTTTACTATATTATCTTTTTCGTTCCTCCAAGTAGTTATGTTATATATTTTGTCCAGCTTTTCTACTTGTATTCAGTTGGAGAATTGTTACAAATTACCAAGTCTACTGTTACTGTGAACAAAAGTAATTATACTTTTCTATCCTAGAATTTTTATTTGGGTCCACATCTGTTATGTTACTTTTCATGGTTTTAAGTTCCCTCCATTTTTTGAGGTTGGCTTTCTTTTTTAAAGAGTAGTAGTCCATATCTGATAATTACAATATCTGAAGTCATTCTGTATCTGTTTCAATCGCCGATATGTTCTGGTATTTCTTACTTATGGTGTCTTATTTCATTGTGTGCCTGCTTATCTTCAATTTTGTGCTGAACCTTATCTTTGAAATACTATTATTATCATTATTATTATTTTTTAGACAGGGTCTTGCTCTGTCACCCAGGCTGGAGTGCAGTGGTGCAATTATGGCTCACTTCAGCCTCAATCTTCCAGATTCAAGCAGTCCTCCTGCCTCAGCTTCCTAAGTAGCTTTGAAGCTTGGACTACAGGCATGTGCCACCATGCCCAGCTAATTTTTTTAATTTTTTGTGGAGACAGGGTCTCAGAATGTTGCCCAGACTAGTCTCAAACTACTGAGCTCAAGCAATTTTTCTGCCTCAACCTACCCAAATGCTAGAATCATAGGCGGGAGCCACCACGCCTGTCCTGAAAGATTACTTTTTAAAAATAATTTGAGGCTAAGGTAAAAATATTTTTCTCCACAGACAATTTTTATTTCATTCTTCCATGTTCATGGGCACTGTGCCAGTAATCAATTTATTGTCTCTCAACTCCAAATCACTCCTTTTTTTTACCTACTTTGTGATATTAGAACTGGACTCTGTAAACATTTCTTTTTTATTGCCCGCTGATTTGATTTTAGGTTTTGTCAACAGATAGAGGGCATGGAAAGACATTGTCGGTCCTTAGCAAGAGGAAGAGACTTTTCTTCCAGCTTCTGGTGTGCTTTTTTTTTTTTTTTTTTTTTTTTTATACAGCTGTGAGCCCATCACCATGTGGGAGGTCTGTTAGCTCACTTCAGCATCTTTCAAGTACCAGTTCTGGCCTACCTGCACATTCTGGTGAGTTTCTCTACCAACTGCTGGCCACTCTACAAACCATCTCTGGCCTGTGTGCTCTGGTGAATTTTTTCACTATTGGCAATCTTTAGATTTTTGTGGCTGCTGGGCCATTTCCAATGAGGACTATGTGTCTGGTGGTTATTGGGGGCTCTTCTACATTTTTAGTTCCTTCTTGTCCCTATGTATTTTCCTTCAGCCCTAAAAGTGGGGCTTCCTGTATTTGCTAGTTTAAACATATCCCTTACAGTCTTCTTTTACCCCCTTTAGTAATTAACTACCCTTCATAATGAAAAATATTTACATTAAAATTTTCCCAGTTCTGGTTTCTGTCTGATACAAGCACACTACCAGCTCAGGACCTCCTTAGTAAGTTCAAAGTTCTTGCTTATAGTCTCTTTTTATCTTGTGTTTCTCATTATCCTTTAGAATTGAATGTTGTTTTTGAAATTTTATTTGTAGAAATATTTTGAGGCTAAGGTAGGGTTTTCTTTGTCCAGAGGTGATATTCATTTGCTTCTGACAGGTACATGGAGATGCTCCCAGTCCAGTATGTGAATCCATGTTCAAGGCTTTTAGTTCCTTGAACGTGATGTTAAATTAAGTCTAGTGATGCCTCGTTTATTTCTGTTCATTTTCACTCTGGAGGATGTAGTTTTTTGGGTCCTAGCTTTAATTGGAGGTGGTTTCTCAGATATCCCACCTTTAGAAGGCTTTTGGACTTTGGCTTTTCCCTTTTAGCCCTGGGGAGCCACAAAAATCAAAGCTCATTTCCACACTTGTTACTTGATGTCAAAATTAGCTTTGAGTCCCGAGGTTAACTCTCTGGATTCTCATGTTCTTGATTTTAGCCCAGTAATCCTCACTGTCGTTTTAGCCTTTTATATGTTTAAGAAGATTTTTTGAAAATTAATCCAACTTTTAAAGAATTTTCAATGGCTGGGCGCGGCAACTCACGCTTGTAATCCCAGCACTTTGGGAGGCCAAGGCGGGCGGATCACCTAAGGTTGGGAGTTCCAGACCAGCCTGACCAACACGGAGAAACCCCGTCTCTACTAAAAATACAAAATTAGCTGGGCATGGTGGCGCATGTCTGTAATCCCAGCTATTCGGGAGGCTGAGGCAGGAGAATTGCTTGAACCTGGCAGGCGGAGGAGGTTGCGATGAGCCGAGATCGCGCCATTGCACTCCAGCCTGGGCAACAAGAGCGAAACTCCGTCTCAAAAAAAAAAAAAAAAAAAAAAAAAAAAAGAATTTTCAATTGGAGGCCTGGTCTGAGTTACTCAGTCTGCCATTACCAAAGAAGGTAACCATCTGCCATTAAAAATATAAGCACAAAGACAGAGAACCTGTGGAGCTGATAGTCTGTGCTTTTTTTTTTTTTTTTTTTGAGACAGAGTCTCGCTCTGTTGCCCAGGTTGGAGTGCAGTGGCACGATCTCGGCTCACTGCAACCTCCGCCTCCTGGGTTCAAGCGATTCTCATGCCTCAGCCTCCTGAGTAGCTGGGACTACAGGCACCTGCCACCACGCCTGGCTAATTTTTGTATTTTCAGTAGAGACAGGGATTCACCATTTTGGCCAGGCTGATCTTGAACTCCTGACCTCGTGATCCGTCCGCCTTGGCATCCCAAAGTGCTGGGATTACAGGCATGAGCCACCATGCCCGGCCGATAGTCTGTTTTAATTATGATTGCAGGTTTGGAGCTACTGTGGAAATCTTTGCAAGAAGGACTTGACATAGAGTAGAGAAAGATAAATTATCTGGTGCTATAGTGTGAATTTTTAAAGAGTAAAAAGTTTTAGTGTAATGTTTTCTTCTATTAGAAATGTGCCAAAACAGCCCAATGGAACAAGTGACATTCTAGTATTATTTAGATTTCTTAATTTGATAAAATAGAACTTGTCAGAATTTATAGTTCCATTAGGATATGAAATTTGTGGGTTTTGGGGCATTTTTGTTGGTTTGTTTAGTTTTTTTGGTTTTTTTGAGAAGGTGTTTTAATCATGCCTCTACCAGTTATTGCTGTGTGACCTTGGACAAGTTCCTTGACCTCTGTGTGAGTTAGTTGCTTCAGCTATAAAGCAGGATAATAATTGTACCTATTTCATAAGGCTTTTGTGCTTAGAATAGTACCTGGAACATAGTAAGCATTGTGTAAGTATTAGTTATTATTATGTATAATATCATACTCTTTTATAACTTTTATTTTTTTCTTGGCAACGCTTCTTTTACATTGTAAAATGTCTGTTTTAAGGGAAGGCAGGGTAGAAGTTTGTGTTTTTTTTTAACTTTTAAGTTCAGGGGTACATGTGCAGGATGTACAGGTTTGTTACATAGGTAAACATGTGTCATGGGGTTTGATGACTTGGAGCTCTTTCCAAATGGACTAGACTACCAACTAGTTCAAAAGTACTTGTTTCAGATTATTAATAATGGAATTGGATTTTGTCGCAGTCACGATGTAAGTCTTGGGTTTAAACAATTATTTGTCAGTCATTTTTCCTGGTCCTCTCCCTTCTCCCACCCTTTGCCCTCCGGTAGGCCCCAGTGTGTGTTGTTCCCCTCTATGTGCACTCATCATTTAGCTCCCACTTATAAGTGACAACATGTGGTATTTGGTTTTCTGTTCCTATTAGTTTGCTGAGGATAATGGCTTCTAGCTCCATCCATGTCCCTGCAAAGGACATGATCTCATTCTTTTTTATGGCTGCATAATATTCTATGATGTATAACTCTTTAAAAAACATTTTTCTATATGATATTTGAATTCCTTTTTTTTTTTTTTTTTGGAGATGGAGTCTTGCTCTGTCACCCAGGCTGGAGTGCAGTGGTGCAATCTTAGCTCACTGCAACTTCCGCCTCCTGGGTTCAAGCGATTCTCCTGCCTCAGCCTCCTTAGAAACTGGGATTACTTCATTGATATTACTTCATTACTTCATGGTGGTGGCCAGGCATGCCACCACGCCTGGGTAATTTTTTTGTATTTTTGGTAGAGATGGGGTTTTGCCATGTTGGCCAGGTTGGTCTTGAACTCCTGACCTCAGGTGATCCACCTGCCTCAGCCTCCCAAAGTGCTGGGATTACAGGTGTGAGCCACTGTGCCCGGCCCCTGAATTCCTTATATTATTTTTATATTTATATTGGATATGTTTCCTTGGTAATCTTTTTTCATTTTTTAATTTTTTAAGAGAGTCTCACTCTGCCCCACCCAGGCTGGAATGCAGTGGCATGATCATAGCTTATTGCAGCCTACAATTCCTGGCCTCAAGCTATCCCTCCACTTCAGCCTCCCAAAGCGCTGGGATTACAGGCATAAGCTACCATGCCTAGCCATATTGCTTACCTTGATAACTATAGTGTTAAATAACACAGTTACTTCTTTGTAAATTAATTATTCTATTTCTATTTCATTTTCTCTCCCACTCACCTACCATCTGATTTTAGAAAATATCTTATTTACTTTAGTGTTTTGTTTTTTCATTTTGTTTCAAGATAAGGTCTTGCTCTGTTGCTCGAGCTGAAGTGCAGTGGCATGATCATGGCTCACCACACTCATTGCAGCCTCCAACTCGTGGGCTTAAGTGATTCTCCCACATTAACCTCCCAAGTAGCTGGGACTAGAGGTGTGCCCAACCACACCAGGCTAATTTTTAAAATTTTTTGTAGAGATGGGGTCTCACCATGCCCAGGCTGGTCTCAAATTCCTGGCCTCAAGTGATTCTCTTGCTTTGTCCTCCCAAGTCACTGGGATTACAGGTGTGAGCCACTGCACCTGGTGTATATATACACTTTTATCTTGTTTACATCTTCTATATCATTTGTGCATTGTTGCATTTAAAATGTTCACTTTCTGTTTCATAACCATGATGCCCACATTTGTATAAGATTTAGTCCTGCCTTAAATGGATTCAATGCTCATGTTGTTTTTACTTGAATGCTCATTCATGCTTTTACTTGAATGACAGTTTGGTTGGGTATAAAGTTCCTGGATCATACTTGGATTTTCTTGAGGATTTTGAGAGCTGTATTCTGCATTCCATTGGTTTCTTTCCCTTTAAAGGTGGCAACATTTTTTTCTGGTGAGTGTTAATCTACCATTTATGTTTCTTTCTCCTTTCTTCCCCATTTCTTACATCTTTGAATAGATCCTTGATTGGTTCCTTTTTGATTGTTTCTTATAATAAAGTCTGAGTCTTTGGAGGACTATTTGTAGGAGGTTCTGGGGAGAGGCCATGACTTTGTTCCAGGCTAGCAGGAATTTACCATAATTCACAATGGTGTTCCTTATCACATATGCCTCAGTGTGGGATTTAATTCTATTAGGTTTAATTTCTCTAAAACTTGCAGTTGCAGGCTTGTTCATAATGAATTGTTTTGCCTTCTACACTGCCTCACTGAGAGATTGTTTCCAGCAAATGTGTTTCTGTGTGATTCCTTATCCAGCCCTTCCCCAATGCTGTTTCTTGGTGCCATTCAGTTCTAGGGATGTTTTCACTGCTGTCTATGAGCCTTATTTCATATATATATAGTGTATATATATATATGAATATACATATATATATATACTATATATATGTATACATAGTTTTCCATTATATTAAAGGAGGACTTTTTTGTCTTTTCAGGGTATGTCACTGGCTTCAGAGAACTCTTACGCTTCCAGCTTTGTAGCCACAGATGATCTTTTGGTGCCTTCCTATACTCCTGTTTGACCGTGATTAGATTTAGTAGTCCCATCTCATTTGTTGTGAGTAGGGGGTCATAGATCCCTCTTAGTTTTAGCAAAGATGGAGTTACACTTATTTTTCTTATTAGCTTTATTTTGTTCTCTGAGAGGAGAAAGGAGCAATATAGTCTCTCAATTGTAGTTTAAAAACCAGAATATGCTTTTACAATTTACACTATGTATGCATTTTATTTATATATTTTTCTTACGCTGAGATCTATTTTAAATAATTAATTGCTAATAATTTGATCTTAGTTTATATAAACTATTTTGCATTTTTAAATAACAGCTATTTTGCATTTTTTAATAACAGCAACTTAGGCATGAAAACTTGGTGAATCTCTTGGAAGTGTGTAAGAAAAAAAAACGATGGTACCTAGTCTTTGAATTTGTTGACCACACAATTCTTGATGACTTGGAGCTCTTTCCAAATGGACTAGACTACCAAGTAGTTCAAAAGTATTTGTTTCAGATTATTAATGGAATTGGATTTTGTCACAGTCACAATGTAAGTATTGGGTTTAAATAATTTGCTTTATCACATATTTATTCATTAATCCTTTAATCTGTCTTATTGATTTATGCATTTGAAAATAAGTTGCAGACATCAGTATACTTTAACACTAAATACTTCATCTGTGCATCTATTAATTGGAGTTAAATATTTGTTTTCTGAGTTTTTTGTTTGTTTGTTTTGTTTTTTTCCGAGACAGAGTCTCGCTCTTTCGCCCAGGCTGGAGTGCAGTGGCAAGATCTCAGCTCACTGCAACCTCTGCCCCCCAGGTTCAAGTGATTCTCTTGCCTCAGCCTCCTGAGTAGCTGGGATTACAGGCATGCACCACTACGCCTGGCTAATTTTTGTATTCTTAGTAGAGATGGGGTTTCACCATGTTGGCCAGGCTGGTCTCAAAACTCCTGACCTCAGGTGATCTGCCTGCCTTGGCCTCCCAAAGTGCTGGGATTACAGCCATGAGCCACCGTGCCTGGCTCTATTTTCTGTTCTTTTTTAAGGTAATATTTACTAAGCGAAATGCACAAATTTTAAGTGATGAATTTTGAGAAATGTATAGACCCAAGGGTCTGTGTATTTGTTAGTTTGTGTTCTCTTGCCTAATTACAAAGTGTGAATGTTTGAAAATTTCTACCCTTACCCTGTAGTCTATCACAATAATTTTATATACTTTGAGTATCATATAAAAGCACTTACAAGAAGAATGATACCTATAAAGTATAAATGAATAGCTCAACACATAGATTTTGCCAGTTTTACAAAATATTTTAAATGACATTCTTTGTGTGATTATAAGAGTAATAAATATTAATGGTAGAAAAATTTAAAACTAAAGATAATTATAAAAGAAAGAAAAAATCATTTTACATACCTGCCACCTAAATTGATATATTTCTTTTCGGTTATTATTATTATTCACTGTCTCTAATTTTTTAACTGTCTTTTATTGTGTAGTTTTGTTATGTTACTGAGTTATAGTGTGAAGTTTACATACATAAAAAAATTGCTCAGTAGAGGCAGATACCTAGTTTCCACTGGGAAAAACACTGCCCTTTTTTAGGAGGCCTTCCATAGTGGCCTCCTGGCAACTTTTTAATGATCCAGGCTCAGAAAATCTATTTTTTTTTGAAACGGAGTCTCCCTCTATCGCCCAGGCTGGAGTGCAGTGGCGCGATCTCGGCTCACGGCAAGCTCCGCCTCCCAGGCTCACGCCATTCTCCGGCCTCAGCCTCCGGAGTAGCTGGGACTACAGGCGCCCGCCACCACGCCCGGAGAATTTTTTTATATTTTTAGTAGAGACGGGGTTTCACCTTGTTAGCCAGGATGATCTCGATCTTCTGACCTCGTGATCCGCCTGCCTTGGCCTCCCAAAGTACTGGGATTACAGGCGTGAGCCACCGCTCCCGGCCCAGAAAATCTATTTTGAGAAACCTAATTTTGAGACTATCTGTCTCTTAGGGCAGACTCATATTGACCAAACTCAGGAGACTGAATGCCAGTTTAGTAAATTGCAAAGAGAGATAATTGTTACGGGGTGAAATATATAAAGTAGAATAACAATAATGTTGGATTTGCAGGAAATCAGATCAGCATGAGGTGTTAGTGAATCAAATACTTAATGTATCAGTTTAAAAGATACTGATTCATCCTTCTTCATAAAAATGATGATATCTTCCCAATGGGCCTGTAATATTTGGAGTTAGGTGGCTGAATGCCCTACATTCATCTCTGTACTAAGGATAGGCTTGCCAGTGGAACCAGTAAGCAAAAAGAACCATTGTCTCTCTCACATTAGAAGCGCATTTGAATGTGTCCTGCCTACATTGCTTCTGTGTCCCTTTATTTTTATACTTTCATGATGAATCAACCCATGTTTAATATAACACATTCTACCTTTAGATGTACAGATACATCCAGGCAGTTTAGAGTCAAGTACTGCTGGCATGAGTGCCATTCTGTGTTTAAGGAAAGAGATTTTAGGCCTGGTGTGGTGGCTCATGCATGTAATCCTAGCACTTTGTGGGGCCGACGTGGTCTGATCACTTGAGGTCAGGAGTTCGAAGCCAGCCTGGCCAACGTGGTGAAACCCCATCTCTACTAAAAATATAAAAAAATTAGCCGGGCATGGTGGCAGGCACCTGTAATCCCAGCTGCTTGGGAGGCTGAGGCAAGAGAATTGCTTGGACCCAGGAGGCGGAGGTTGCAGTGAGCTGAGATCGTGCCACTGCCCTCCAGCCTGGGCAACATGGCGAGACTCTGTCTCAAAAACAAAAAAAAAGATTTTAAAATCTAGTGTTTCTCCAGGCACAGTGGCTCACGCCTGTAATTCCAGCAATTTGGGAGGCCGAGGCGGGTGGATCACCTGAGGTCGGGAGTTTGAGACCAGCCTGGCCAACATGGTGAAACCCCGTCTCTACTAAAAATACAAAATTAGCTGGGCGTGGTGGCACATGCCTGTAATCCCAGCTACTCGGAAGGCTGAGGCAGGAGAATTGCTTGAACCTGGGAGGCAGAGGTTGCGGTAAGCTGAGATTGTGCCATTGCACTCCAGCCTGGGCAACAAGAACGAAACTCCATCTCAAAAAAAAAAAAAAAAAAGGTGGTTCCCTGCTAAGCTTCAGAACATTTACATATCTCTTTAAACTATAGAAAATGTGAATTTTTATGGGTGGAGAACTGATCTCACTCTAACTTATGAACACTTGTCTCAAGGGAGCATTAGTGTTATTAGTGTTGCCTGGCATACTACTTTTTTTCCAGTCCATTTACTCTTTTTTTTTTTTTTTTTTTTTTGAGACAGAATCTCACTCTGTCACCCATGCTAGAGTGCAGTGGCACGATCTTGGCTCACTGCAACCTCTGCCTCCTGGGTTCAAGCGGTTCTCCTGCCTCAGCCTCTCAAGTAGCTGGGATTACCGGTGTGCACCACCATGCCTGGCTAATTTTTGTATTTTTAGTAGAGATGGGGTTTCGCCATGTTGGCCAGGCTGGTCTTGAACTTTTGGCCTCAAGTGATCGGCCCACCTCGGCCTCCCAAAGTGCTGGGATTACAGGCGTGTGCCACTGTGCCCAGCCTCCATTTACTCTTAAACTCTTCTAGATTGTGATTTCTTACCCTCTTTCTTCTCAAACCCTAGTACCTTTTCTCCAATCCTTACTCCCAGCCCCTAGTTAAATGGAGATAATAATAGCACCTATCCTTAGGGTTATTATGAGAATAAAATAAGTTAAAACATGAAAAACATTTAGAATAGTGCCTGACACATAAGTATTCAAGTGTCAGCTATTATTACCATTATTATTAAAGGTATATTTTAAGGTTTTGTTTTCTGGGCAGTTAACATTTCTCTTTTTAATGTAGACAGATAATAACGGTAGTGGCTGGAATAAAACACACAGATATATACATACATACATACATATATATAAACACATATATGTACACATAAGGATGAGATGCTTGACTTTAAGAAAATGAGAACATTTATTCTCAAATATATTATTCATTTTTAAATGTATCTATATATGTGAGCACTTGAATTTTTTAAAATATAAATATGATTTTAATCCTTTATGAGCCAGACTGAATAACATATTTAAAAACAAATTTAAGATTGCTGCCCATTGAAGTTTGACCCAAATAGTACAGAACATTATGAGGTTTGTAGAACCCTAAACGACTTTTTTTACTGAAATTACTAGGTATCATAATTTATTTAGGTTATATCTAGTATTAAAGACCCATGTCAGAGCCTACCCTTTTCATAGTACTTTCTCTGGCCACCCCAGTCTGCAATGATGGATTTTAGGAAAAATTCAACTCATATCATCTTGGTTATACTTAGAATCTATTGTGTTACTTAAGTTATAAGGTATTAGAGTTGGGAAGAAACATGGTGATCATGCACTTTAGCCCTCTCATTTGTGGGCCGAGAGGATAGACTTAGAAAGATTGAGTTGTCTATGGCTGTACTGAAAACCAGGGACTAGACCCAGGTCTCCCGACTCCCAGTTTAGCTCTTTCTTTTTTTCTTTTTCTTTTTTTTTTTGAGATGGAGGCTCGCTCTGTCGCCCAGGATGGAGTGCAGTGGCTCGATTTCGGCTCACTGCAAGCTCCGCCTCCCAGGTTCACGCCATTCTCCCTGCCTCAGCCTCCCGAGTAGCTGGGACTACAGGCGCCTGCCACCACGCCTGGCTAATTTTTTGTATTTTTGGTAGAGACGGGGTTTCACTATATTAGCCAGGATGTCTCGATCTCCTGACCTCGTGATCCACCCGCCTCGGTCTCCCAAAGTGCTGGGATTACAGGTGTGAGCCACCGCACCCGGCCCCAGTTTAGCTCTTTCTACTACAGCACAGGTGGTCTGAGACTGGACCTGTGTCCTCATCACTGATATCTAGGGTAATAAAGTTGGTAGCCTATACAACGTGCTCAGCAATGGCAGATTGCCGTTTAGGATGCTGGTCTTCCGAAAGAGTTAAAACAAATCTATCTTTTTTAGTTTTCAAAATACAATTTGCTTATATTAGAGAATTAGGCCTAATAATGTCTTTTGCCTAGCTGTAGATTTTTAAATATATATATATTATATATATAATATATCATATATGATATATATCTATATAATATTTTTTATATATATATTTTTTGAGATGGAGTCTCTGTCGCCCAGGCTGGAGTGCAATGGCGCAATCTCGGCTCACTGCAACCTTCCCCCTCCTAGGTTCAAGAGATTCTCCTGCCTGAGCCTCCCAAGTAGCTGGGATTACAGGTGCCTGCCATAGTGCCTGGCTAATTTTTGTATTTTGACTAGGGACGGGGTTTCACCATGTTGGCCAGGCTGGTCTCAAACTCCTGACCTCATGATCCACCCACCTCAACCTCCCAAAGTGCTGGGATTACAGGCGTGAGCCACCGCACCTGGCCAGATTTTTAAATATTATCTGAATATCAGCATCCTGTTTTATTCTTACAAAGTCTCTCCTTTAGAAATTTTAATCACTAATGTTTTTGTTTACTCTTTACATTTCTAATTGCCTGATGAATGTCTATACTTGGGTGCTCAGCATTCCACCCAAAAGTCCAATGATTAAAACTAAACTAATTATTCCATTAAAACTAACTTTCTCTAGGCTTTTCTAATTTTGAAAATGAAACCACCATTCTTTTAAATTCTCAGGTTCAAACAAAATATCTACAAAATATCTACGACTCTTCTAAATTCTATTTCTTTCTTTTCTTTTTTTTTTTTTTTCTTGAGATGGAGTCTCGCTCTGTTGCCCAGGCTGGAATACAGTGGTGCGATCTTGGCTCACTGCAACCTCCACCTCCTGGGTACAAGCAATTCTCCTGCCTCAACCACTCAAGTAGCTGGGATTACAAGCGCGTGCCAGCACGCCCAGCTACTTTTTTGTATTTTAGTAAAGACAAGGTTTCACCAAGTTGGCCAGGCTGGTCTTGAACTCCTGACCTCAAGTGATCTGCCTGCCTCGGCCTCCCAAAGTGCTGGGATTACAGGCTTGAGCCACTGCGTGCGGCCTATTGATTTTTGATTTATTGTATTTCTAAACTGCATTTCCTCCTTCCCATTCCTCTGAGCACCAACCTAGGTTAGGCCTTTATCACCTCATACTGGTCCCACTGCTCTTCTTCCTGCCTCTCGTCTTTCTCTCTGATTTAGCTCATTTATGGCCAACATCAATTTTAAACACCACATTGTCTATCACTTCCATGGGTTCCCAGGGTCTTGCCACACTTCCTAGTATGTCAGCTGAGATATTCCGCCTCCACTTCACACAACCTATACTCTAGAAAAAACAGTTTTCTGGCCAGGCGTGGTGGCTCACGCCTGTAATCCCAGCACTTTGGGAGGCCGAGGCAGGTGGATCACCTGAGGTCAGGAGTTTGAGACCATCCTGGCCAACATGGTGAAACCCCGTCTCTACTAAAAGTACAAAAATTAGTTGGGCATGGTGGCAGGCGCCTGTAATCTCAGCTACTCGGGAGGCTGAGACAGTAGAATCGCTTGAACCCAGGAGGCGGAGGTTGAAGTGAGCCGAAATCGCGCCATTGCACTCCAGCCTGGGCGACAAGAGCAAGACGATGCCTAAAAAAAAAAAAAAAAAAAAGGTTTTTGGCCCGGGCGCGGTGGCTCACGCCTGTAATCTCAGCACTTCGGGAGGCCGAGGCGGGCAGATCACGAGGAGGTCAGGAGATCGAGACCATCCTGGCTAACACGGTGAAACGCCGTCTGTACTAAAAATACAAAAAATTAGCCGGGCGTGGTGGCAGGCGCCAGTAGTCCCACCTACTCGGGAGGCTGAGGCAGGAGAATGGCGTGAACCCGGGAGGTGGAGCTTGCAGTGAGCCGAGATCGCGCCACTGCACTCCATCCTGGGTGACAGAGCGAGACTCCGTCTCAAAAAAAAATTTTTTTTTCCCCACAATCTCTTATCTATCCCCATTTCCATTCTTGCTCTCCTTGTTACATTCACTTGGGCTGCCCTTCTTTCTCTTTATTTATCTAGGTCATACTTAGTATTAAAGACCTATGTTAGAGCCCACCCCTTTCATAAAAATTTCCCCTGACTGCCTCAGCTTCAATGATAGCTTTACTCTCTTAGTCTTGAGAGCAGTACATTAACTGAACAGTTGATTTAGTAATTTGAAAAAATATATTTTATCCAATGTTTTTGATTGTTTAAATAAAATTTCAAGTATAGATGTTCTTTCTTGCCCAACTAGGTCCTAGGTTGTTGAGGGCTAGGAGCAACTTTCTATGCTTTTGTTTGTATTCTTTATAGGGACAACATACAATGCCCTGCACATAGCAGGTGCCCCAAAATAATTAATTTTATTTAACATCCGTCACACTCTGCTTCTTGTCTAGATCATACACAGAGATATAAAGCCAGAGAATATATTAGTCTCCCAGTCTGGCGTTGTCAAGCTATGCGATTTTGGATTTGCGCGAACATTGGCAGCTCCTGGGGAGGTTTATACTGATTATGTGGCAACCCGATGGTACAGAGCTCCAGAACTATTGGTTGGTGATGTCAAGTATGGCAAGTAAGACATCAGTAATGGGGAGGAGTAGATTTTTACTCTTGCTTCTTGCTATAGTGGAATATGTTTATGATATAGTAAATGATCCCTCTAATACTGAAAGGAAGGCTTGAGTTTCAGGGACTATATAAAGTAAATTGTAATCATTTTTGGTGCTTCCCCTTTAAACATTCCTGTGAAACAAGTATACTTATTTTAGAGGTGGGGAAATTAAGTGGTCTATTTTATACAGTGGGTTGGAAATAGATATATTTATCACTTGTAAAGAGAGGTGAACATTGATTGGTTAAATGTGACATTGTTGGAATGGGGAAGATGGAGTAAGCAAGGGTGGAGGCAGAAATATAATTAAGTAAAATGTTTTTAAAACATAAATTTTCTTCACAAGGGAATTCTTCAAAGAAGAAAGGGTTGTAACTTTTACTGCTTTTGATTGAAATCTTTCTAAAATATTTTCTACAAGTTCTGTTGTCAGAGCACACTAAACATTATTTATTATTTTCTTGATTACTGAGTTCTTATTTTGCTACCATGTTATAATTTTTGTGCCATTTTATAATTCAGCAATAACCTTAAGCATTTTAAGGTAGTTGTTCCTATGCCAAATGATGCTTGCATATTCTTTGAGTTCTTGTAACTGATTTTTAAGATAGTTTCAAAATTTTTATCCCTAGGCTGGGTGCAGCGGCTCATGCCTGTAATCCCAGCACTTTGGGAGGCCCAGGCGGGAGGATCATGAGGTCAGGAGTTCAAGACCAGCCTGACCAACATGGTGAAACCCCATCTCTACTAAAAATACAAAAATTAGCCAGGCATGGTGGCATGCACCTGTAATCCCAGCTACTTGGGAGGCTGGGGCAGGAGAATCACTTGAACCTGGGAGGCAGAGGTTGCAGTGAGCTGAGATTACGCGACTGCACTCCAGCCTGGGCGACAGAGTGAGATTCTGTCTCAAGAAAAAAAAAAAAATTATCCCTATCATCCCTCAGTTCTCTTCATTGTTACTGTATTTATCCTTAGCAGCCACCTCCTCTTTCTGGTATGCTGTTTTCAGTGTATGATGGCATAGCATAGATTGGTCAAGCTTGCTAGAGTTATGCGTAAACAAAGAATGAATAGGCTCTAAATGGAGCCTGAGAGTTTTATTTCCAGAATAAAGTATACATAATAACTGTTTTGGCTTTTCAGAAGGCATTTCCCTTTTATGTCACATGATTGAAGTTTCTGGAAAGCTCACTTATGTAAAATTGGGAGTTAGAATTTTAATAGGGAAAAATCATTTCATGGGTAATTTAAGGCTTACTATAGGTTGAGTATTCCTTATCCTAAATGCTTGGGACCAGAAGTGTTGCAGATTTCAGATGGGTTTTTTTTTTTTTTTGGATTTTGGGATATTTGCATTATACCATTGGAGCATGCCAAATCTGAGAATCTGAAATCTGAAATGCTCTGGTTGGCATTTCCTTTGAGCATCACCTCAGTGCTCAAAAAGCTTTGGGTTTTGGAGCATATTAGGATGCCAGATTTTACACCACATTGCTTTTCTTTCAGGGCTGTTGATGTGTGGGCCATTGGTTGTCTGGTAACTGAAATGTTCATGGGGGAACCCCTATTTCCTGGAGATTCTGATATTGATCAGCTATATCATATTATGATGTGTTTAGGTAAGGTTACACATCTGCATTTTAAATTTTAGAGATTTTTCTGCATATTTGTTTGTGCCTGTGTGTTTGTGATTTTTTAAGCTGTTGCATTAAAGATTATATATGTTTTAAGTGAAGGTAGGGAGCATATAGGAAAACTCTGTGTGTGTGTGTGTGTGTGTGTGTTTTGAGATGGAGTTTCGCTCTCCTTGCCCAGGCTAGAGTGCAATGGCGCAATCTCGGCTCACTGCAACCTCTGCCTCCTGGGTTCAAGCGATTCTCCTGCCTCAGCCTCCCGAGTAGCTGGGATTACAGGCATGTGCCACCATGCCCAGCTAATTTCGTATTTTTAGTAGAGATGGCGTTTCTCCATGTTGGTCAGTCTGGACTCGAACTCCTGACTTCAGGTGATCTGCCCACCTTGGCCTCCCAAAGTGCTAGGATTACAGGCGTGAGCCACCGCGCCCAGCCACGTGTGTGTTTTAATTTATTTTTTCCTTCAGTCTGGCATTGGTCTATCTGATGCATGTTCTTTTTTATTTTTTGAGACGGAGTCTCGTTCTGTCACCAGGCTGGGGTGCAGTGGCAATCTTGGCTCACTGCAAACTCCGACTCCCAGGTTCAAGCGATTCTCCTGCCTCGGCCTCCCAAAATGCTGGGATTGCAGGCGTGAGCCACTGTGGCCCGCCCTGGTGCATGTTCTTAATCACGCTCACATCCCCTTTCCCCTCAAGAGAGAGGAAAAGAGCAGAGGTTGTGCATTTCTCTGTACTTTTACATACCGTTAATTACATGTAGAGAGGATGCAATGATCATTTATTATTCTTGAGTCAGTAAGCATTTGGTGTAATGTGACTACTGTCCTTACTTTCACATTCAAGAGGAGAGACACAGAGATTTCCAAGGTTGATTTAATCTTGGCACAGATTTGGACTTCTGCTATTAGTGCTTTTGACAGAATTTCAAAGCTGGACTATCAAAATCTTACGTTTGTTGAAATATCAACTTCATGTTTGAAGATGGAGCTTAGAAATGGAAATAATGGGAAAATACTTGGGGGTAATTTAACTATTTGATTTGAAGTTTTCAGATTAGAAATTAAATAAGCAGTACAATAGTTTCTTACAGTGGAATTTTCAGATATATTCTACATTCAACTAGATATTAAAGTTGAGAAAAAAGATTAAAGTGCTCAAATCTGACTTTAAGATAAGCACAAAATCAGTTGACCAAATATTAAATTCTTAAAGGGGAGAACTGATTTATCTAGATTAGATCCTGTCCATATGACTATTAATATATTTGTTGTTTTATTCAGCACTTTATGCTTTCTAGTTAGAAACGAAGTGCTGGTACTTATATCTGGAAAGTTATAAAATATTTTTTACCTGTCCTTTTCCTATGCTCCTTAAGACTGCCATATACCACCACAGTAACGGCATTGTCTTTGGTCAATTTTGCATGTTGAGAGAGCCCCAAACTCCATAAGCTGTGTTCCACTATTTCCTCTACTTCACACCACCTGTCTCTTCACCATTTCTATCATGTTGTATAATAACAGAGATATGTGCTGTTTTCACTTCCAGGTAATCTAATTCCAAGGCATCAGGAGCTTTTTAATAAAAATCCTGTGTTTGCTGGAGTAAGGTTGCCTGAAATCAAGGAAAGAGAACCTCTTGAAAGACGCTATCCTAAGCTCTCTGAAGTGGTGATAGATTTAGCAAAGGTAATCATACTTATTGTTTACACTTTATGACAGGGAATTTATGCACTATCAAGACCTTTTTTTTTTTTTTTTACTTGTCTAGTTGATCTTTTTTTTTTTTTTTTGATGGAGTCTTGCTCTGTCACACAGGCTGGAGTGCTGTGGCATGATCTCGGCTCACTGCAAGCTTCACCATTCTTCCGCCTCAACCTCTCTAGTAGCTGGGACTACAGGCGCTCGCCACCATGCCTGGCTAATTTTTTGTATTTTTAGTAGAAACGGGGTTTCACTGTGTTAGCCAGGATGGTCTCAATCTCCTGACCTCGTGATCCGCCCGCCTCGGCCTCCCAAAGTGCTGGGATTATAGGTGTGAGCCACCAGCCCTGGCCTCTAGTTGATCTTTTAGGTCAACAATTTCCTCTAATAATTTTAATTTTTGTACATTTAGAAACAATTTAAATAATTTGATGGGGGTAACTTCAGAGAAAAAGGACTGAAAATTTTACCTGTTTTAACACTCATTAAGAAACCATTTATTGGCCGGGCGCGGTGGCTCACGCCTGTAATCCCAGCACTTTGGGAGGCCGAGGCGGGTGGATCATGAGGTCAGGAGATCGAGACCATCCTGGCTAACAAGGTGAAACCCCGTCTCTACTAAAAAATACAAAAAATTAGCCGGGCGCGGTGGCGGGCGCCTGTAGTCCCAGCTACTGGGGAGGCTGAGGCAGGAGAATGGCGTGAACCCGGGAAGCGGAGCTTGCAGTGAGCCGAGATTGTGCCACTGCAGTCCGCAGTCCGGCCTGGGCGACAGAGCGAGACTCCGTCTCAAAAAAAAAAAAAAAAAAAAAAAGAAACCATTTATTGTTATCTAGCATTTTGTAAATGTGAAAACATCCTCACTGAAAAACACATTAAAAACATAAAAACACTGTATGATTTTTACGTTTAACATTTAAAATACACGCCTTGTTTAAATGGAAAAGAAAATAAAAGTAGGATAAGAAAATAAAAAGGGTCTGGGCATGGTGGCTCACACCTGTAATCCCAGCACTTTGGGAGGCTAAGGCCGGTGGATCACTTGAAGTCAGGAGTTGGAGACCAGCCTGGCCAACATGGCAAAACCCCATCTCTATTAGAAATACAAAAAAATTAGCTGGGCATGGTGGTGCATGTCTGTAATCCCAGCTACTCGGGATGCTGAGACAGGAGAATCACTTGAACCCAGGAGACAGAGGTTACAGTGAGCTGAGATCGCACCACTGCACTCCATCCTGGGTGACAGAGTGAAACTCTCTCTTTAAATAAATAAATAAATAAAGGATAGAGAAGTAGGAAAATATTAAAATGTAGGGCATAGGATGGCCGGGCATGGTGGCTCATGCCTGTAATCCCAGCAGTTTGGGCGGCCGAGGCACGTGGATCATGAGGTCAGGAGTTCAAGACCATCCTGGCCAAGATGGTGAAACCCCATCTCTACTAAAAATACAAAAATTAGCTGGGCGTGGTGGCACGTGCCTGTAACCCCCGCTACTCGGGAAGGTGAGGCAGAGAATTGCTTGAACCTGGGAGGTGGAGGTTTCAGTGAGCTGAGATTACGCCACTGCACTCCAGCCTGGGCAACAGAGCGAGACTCCATGTCAAAAAAAACAAACAAACAACAACAACAAAAAAAAAACAAAATGTAGGGCATAGGATCATGATCTGTATGATATTGTCAAAGGGGTTTTTGCTTAGCCACTGTATTGGCTGCAGCCAGTTTACAAATGGCCAATACTTTTTTGTTGTATTTGATTAAGGAAGATGTTAGGTTTTCATTCTATCAAGTGAGAATCAACTCTAAAATTTGACCTTTTTGGGGAATTTTTAGCTCAAAAAGTTCTCATCAGTTAAGATTGTTTAAATATTGATAAGATAGGTACCTCTAAAACACTAGGCTATAAGATTTACCCAATTTTTTTGTTTTTTAATTCTTTAACTCATGACGTTTAATAAGCTTATAACTAATTAAACAAGTTCTTAGAATAATACATTTCCAGTTTTTTACATAATCTTCTAACAGATGCAAATATTTTTAATTGGTACAAGCTTTGTGATCTATCTGTAAGGAGATATAAAGGGAATAAAGGTAAAACTATTGTCCAACTTGTGTACCTTAATCATACCTTAAGGAATCATATAAAACTTTTAAAACATTTTATTATGGAAAATTTCAAACGGAAAAGAAAATAGAAAGAATAGTTGTTTAACAAACCTTCATGTACTTATCATCTAGTTTCCACAATTATCAACCTTTTGATAATCTTGTTTAATTTATCTACACTCTTTAACTTTTTTTGGAGTATTTTGAAGCAAATCCCAGATGTATTATTTTACTTATAAGTAGCACAGTTATGCAGAGAAATTTTCTTGTTCATTTAAAGCTACTTATTGAGTCCCTTCTATTTTTACTGGCATGTTAGGGGTTTTAATGAATCAGAACAAGACTTTGCAATAAAATAAAATAAAATAAAATAATCTTTGTAAAGCATCTAGCATAGTGATAAGCACAGGATAAATCCTTTCCTTTCCATTCTGTAATAGCCTTAAGTTTTAAAAATTCCAAATAATTTCTTACTATCATAAAATATCTAATTGATGTTTAAAGTTTCATTAATTTTCACAAAATTTATTTCATTTCATAGTTTGAATTAGGATCTAAATGAAGACTATAGATTGCAATTGGTCGATATATTTTTAAAACTTTATTTATAAGCTTCTCTTCATCTCTTTCTTTTTTGTTTAAATCTTGCAATTTATTTGTTGAAGAAACTAAGTTGTTTGTCCTTAGAATTTTCTACATAATGCAGTATACATGTTCTTCTGTGTCCTGTATTTCTTATAAACTCACAGTAGAGCTAGAGCTCGATCAGAATCAGGTTGATTTTTTGGCAAAACTACTTCATAGGAGGTTTGTGTATTTCCATATAGAGACACTGAATGTTTGGTGGTCTTTTTGTGATACTAGCAACCACTGACGGTCATTGTCTAGATTTGTGCTTTATTCTTTATCCTTGATTATTGATGTGTAAAATTCATTGGCGGGCAAGTGTGGTGGCTTGCGCTGGTAATCCCAGCATTTTGGGAAGCTGAGGAGGGTGGATAGCTTGAGCTCAGAGTTCGAGACCAGCCTGGGCAACATGGCGAAACGCTGTCTCTACAAAAAATACAAAAATTAGCTGGGTGTGGTGGTGTGCACCTGTGGTCCCAGCTACTCAGGAGACTGAGATGGAAGGATCACCTGAGCCTAGAGAGGTCAAGGCTGCGGTTAAGTAGTGATCACACCACTGCACTCTAGCCTGGGCAACAGAGTGAGACCCTGTCTTAAAAAAAAAAATCGTTGACTATAAAGAGGATTTTTTTTCTATATTTATAAATTTAAATGTAGGTAGTTTTTCTTGATATGAACTCTAAGTGTTCTTAATTTTTCAGAAATGCTTACATATTGACCCCGACAAAAGACCCTTCTGTGCTGAGCTCCTACACCATGATTTCTTTCAAATGGATGGATTTGCTGAGAGGTATAGTACTTACCCATGTTTTTCAGGCCATACCAACCTAGGGTTAAAGTCTTCCACAATAGTCACAAATAGCACTTCTCTTATTTCTGTTCCCACCTACTTTGCAGGATCTCAGATATCTACCACTCTACCCCCATATTCCCTTAGCAATAATGCAGTTCCTAGGGGTGGTCTCCTACATTTACTAAATTAGTGCTCTTGGTTTTCATGAAGCGGTCATTTTATGTCTTCTTTCTGTCTCCCTGTGGTGACGTCTACCAGTCAGATCATTGATTTCTATGTTGCTACCAACTGTGTGATGCCATCATCTTAGATGCTGATGTAGTTACAAAAGTGCCATCTCCTATTGCTGCCAAACTCATACCACACCAAGTCCTTTGATACTGCTGACACTGCTGATGTGTTGGAGACCTTGATATGCCAAACCTGTGGGTGCCAGAGTTGCTGGCATGGTCTTCTGTGCTGCTCAAGCTGCTGGCAACAGTGCAGCTGACGAAACAAAGAATAGTGAGATGAGTGGCAGTAACACGTAGCTTAATAAAAGGTAGCTAGGTTTTCCTATTTGCTTTTGTACTCAATTAGTTGTGATATGTTGTTTTTGTGGAAGTATATGAAGAAACTCTGGCCTCACGTAAGTAGATAATTGTGGGTATTCTTTGATTCTATACCAAAACTCTGATACCATAGCAAAACTTGACAGTGGTAGTTTCTTTTTTTTTTTTTTTTTTTTTTGCTCTTGTTGCCCAGGCTGGAGTGCAGTGGTGCAATCTTGGCTCACTGCAACCTCTACCTCCTGGGTTCAAGCGATTCTCTTGCCTCAGCCTCCCGAGTAGCTGGGATTACAGGCATGTGCCACCACAACTGGCTAATTTTATATTTTTAGTAGAGATGGGGTTTCTCTGTGTTGGTCAGGCTGGTCTTGAACTCCTGACCTCAGGTGATCTGCCCACCTGGGCCTCCTAAAGTGCTGGGATTACAGGCATGAGCCACCGTTCCTGGCCCAGTGGTAGTTTCTTAAAGGCTGGTTGCATTGTGGAATGTGAAACCATATCATTGAGTCTTTCTTCCTTTGTTAAATTAAAATCCATTTGTCTGTCTTGCCTTTTTAATGGATCTTTTACCCATGCATGCTTTTGTAATATCATGCTTTAGTCATTTGGAAAATATTAGTTTGCTGAGTTAAGCAGATCTTAAAAATATTGATATATTTCTTGTACAGCATCAAAAATTACATTCTATCTCATAAAAGTTTTGTGAGTTTTGGGAAGCTGCTAAGCTCACAGTGGTGGATACAAGTTTAACAGAATTGTAATTTTTGCATAAAATTTTGAATTTTATCATTAACACAATTATTTCTGTTTTCCTTGAAGTGACAAGATCACTTTGTTTATTTGTTAAAAGAAAATGTTTCCCATAGACCCAAAGTCTTAATAACCATAGTTTTTCTGTCAGTCTTTCTTTCAAGTAAAAATATCTAGTTTAGTTTGTATCACAAATAATTATGCAAGCATTTTTCTTAAGACAACCATAGTGTTTCGGTTTGTAGCAGAGGTGCTTTACGTATATTCTCATTTTGTCACACAGACCATAAAAAAAGGATGCGTTTAAGAGTTTGGCTTTAATGAAGTCAATACCTTTTTGCTGATTCATCAGAGACATTCTTAAGCAAGACTGCCTTTTTTTTTTTTAAAAAAAAAAAGCAACTGAGAATGTGTGGTTATCAAGAAAGTAATGACTGCTAGTACATTTTGGTTTTGCTGCTTTTCTTCTTGGTAAGGTGTCAGCAGTTTTATCCACCACTGCTTTCATGTTAACCTGGTGAGAAAGACAAACATCTTTATGTTAAAATAATAGCATTGACTTTGTGAACCTTCTGAATGTTCTTAGGGATCCCCAAAGATCTACACACCACCCTTTCCAAACTGCTGATCTAGGCCAGGATTTTTCTCATTTTTAATAACATAGACTAGTTTAACATTCAATTTTTAAAAAATAAATATCTTGAAAGTCAATTTTTTTGTAGGTTTATCCATGTCTTACAATTTTATTTTATTATATTTTTATGTAGGTTTTCCCAAGAACTACAGTTAAAAGTACAGAAAGATGCCAGAAATGTTTCTTTATCTAAAAAATCCCAAAACAGAAAGAAGGAAAAAGAAAAAGATGATTCCTTAGTTGAAGAAAGAAAAACACTTGTGGTACAGGTAAATGTTCATGTTTCACATTTTAGATTTAATATACTTATTTTTTTAAATTTTTTGAGAAAAAATATGATTTTGAAAAAAGTTTTCTGAGCAGTGAGCAAATTGTTAACTTTTAGTTTAGTTGTAAAAATGTATCTTCTCAGTAGATATTACCTGTTTAGAAAACTTAACATATCATGTTTTGAGTACCTGTTATGTGCCAGACTGTGCAACAGTGCTTAAATCACATTCATCCAAGAACATCTAGATATGTGTTTTCATGAACACATATACACACAGACACATGGAACAAACAACCCTCACCCCACTTATCTTTCTTAAAGGATATGAGTGAAAAATATTGTCTGTAGAAATTTATATGAAGTAAAAATTTGAAAAGTGAGATTTGGATACTTAACTTAGGTTTGCTTTTCCTGGTGAACTACCCAGGATCTGTTCTTGATAAGGTAATTCAAATCCACCACCAATCCACTTATATCAAGTACACCAAAAGAAGAAAGAGTTATCAGTTTTGTGTTCCATGACTCTGAATATGTAAGAACAAAAGTGGAATTCTTGATTCCTCTTCCATGAGTTTTTCCACTGATGTGTGTGTATGTGTGTGTGTGTGTGTCTGAGTGAGCTGTGTGAATTGCATTTCCATTCTTTTTGTATTTTCCCAATAACTATCTGAATAAGAATCTGGCTTTAATTTTAATCCCCTAGGAAGAATAAAGAAAACAGTTTCAAAAAGGTGATACTTATGATATTCTGCTCTAGTTGACAAGTACTTTATAAGAAGAGGTAAATTTTCATTCTCTTCAGATCATTAACCTTATTAATATTTTTGTTAATGATCAGGATACCAATGCTGATCCCAAAATTAAGGATTATAAACTATTTAAAATAAAAGGCTCAAAAATTGATGGAGAAAAAGCTGAAAAAGGCAATAGAGCTTCAAATGCCAGCTGTCTCCATGACAGTAGGACAAGCCACAACAAAATAGTGCCTTCAACAAGCCTCAAAGACTGCAGCAATGTCAGCGTGGACCACACAAGGAATCCAAGCGTGGCAATTCCCCCACTTACACACAATCTTTCTGCAGTTGCTCCCAGCATTAATTCTGGAATGGGGACTGAGACTATACCAATTCAGGGTTACAGGTATGAATTAGTAAAATAAGATCAAAAAAGTGTTTAAGGACATATTTGCAAATTGCAAGGGTTTGTCAATTCATCCACATTGTTTTTATTCTCAGAATTCTGGATGCTATTCATTCTTGTCAGGTAGCTGTTTCAAAAGACTTTTTGGCTGTGTGATGAAGATTATTAGCATTTGATCAAAACAATTCACCAAAGTCCTGAGAAAGTAGGGTTTTATTGCTTAAGGTGAAGAGAATCTACAGCTATATAGTCTAATAATGTGAAAGCAGGTTGTCATACTAAAAGAGATAATTTTTGAGTGGCTGCTGCTGCATGGTGTGACTGTGAGCCTATAGTAGTATAAGGAAGCTCCATTTGGGAATTTTGCTGAAAGGAGGGTAATGTATTTGGTAGGAGTTGGGGGCTGCTGGGAGGCATGAGGGTAGTGTTAAAGAATAGAATGTTTCACCAGATTTATGTGCATTGTATATTTGAGAATAGACATTACACTCTGGTTAAACTGCTTGTTAGTTGGTGCTGTGTCATTTAGTTTTGTGCTTGAAAAAATAATTATTGCTGGTTCTAACTTAAAAACATTTTTTTTTGTCGTTACAGAGTGGATGAGAAAACTAAGAAGTGTTCTATTCCATTTGTTAAACCGAACAGACATTCCCCATCAGGCATTTATAACATTAATGTGACCACATTAGTAAGTAAGCAGTTCTCAGTAGTAGAAGAGCAAACACCAGTCAGCTCTAGACTTTTATTAAAATTAAATATGATAGTGAAGTATTGAGAATTTTGTTTGGATACACATAAAGTGAAACCTTAATTGTGCATATATTATCCCAACCCATCATAGTCATAAACGTGAAATTCTGAAAGTTTAAGTTTTATGAGTCTAAAAACTCCTTCCTTCCTTTCTTCCTTCCTTCCTTCCTTCCTTCCTTCCTTCCTTCCTTCCTTCCTTCCTTCCTTCTTTCCTTCCTTCCTTCCTTCCTCTCTTTCTTTTTCTTTTCTTTTTTTTTTCATGGAGTCTTGCTCTGTTGCCCAGGCTACAGTGCAGTGGTGAGATCTTGGCTCACTGTAACCTCCACCTCCTGGGTTCAAGTGATTCTCCTGCCTCAGCCTCCTGAGTAGCTGGGATTACAGGTGCCTGCCACCGCACCCAGCTAATTTTTTATTTTTAGTAGAGACAGGGTTTCACCATCTTGGCCAGGCTGGTCTTGAACTCCTGACCTCGTGATCCACCTGCCTTGGCCTCCCAAAGTGCTGGGATTACAGGTGTGAGCCATCTGTGCCTGGCTTGTTTTATTTTTTCTTTAGTAACATAGTAAATTTTCTCAACTTGATGATTGCTGGTCAGTTCTTTTTTAGAGTAGATGAAAAGATAAATTGTCTTATCTCACCCACACCAGATTTTTGGTGGCTGTATTCTATTGGCCAGGGACAGTAGCACACATCTATAATCCCAGCACTTTGGGAGGCCGAGGTGGGAGGATAGTTTGAGCCCAGGAGTTTGAGACAAGCTTGAGCAACATAGCAAGATCCTGTCTCTACAAAAAATTTTTTAAAAAGTTAGCTGGGTATGGTGGCACATGACTGTAGTCCTAGCTACTTGGGAGGCTAAGATGGGTGGGTTGCTTGAGCCTGGAAAGTTGAGGCTACAGTGGTAAGCTGTGGCTGTAATTGTGCCCCAGCACCTCAGCCTGGGTGACAGACCAAGACCCTGTCTCAAAAAAAAAAAAAAAAGAAGAAAGAAACGATTCTATTTATTTATATAATAAATATTTATCAATCGTTATGTGTGAGACACTGGAAATAAATAAGTCAATCTTTCTTTTCAAGGACTTCATGATCTAGAGGATCAGCAAATTAAAGCATAGTATCATATTGTATTTAGACAGAGCACAGGAAGGACCATTATTATTCTCAGCATGGCCTCCAGAATGTTTCTCTTTTGAAGTTAGGTGAAACCCTCATCATTCTTCTGCTAAACTTCCTCCATTAGCTTCTTATCACTGAGGAAAGGCCAAAGTCCTTATAGGGTCTATAAGTGCCTGCAGGATTGACTCCAACCAACCCTCTATCCCATCTCCACCTACTCTTTCTCCATCAATCTGTTCTACCACACTGATTTCCTTGTTATTCCTGGAACATAGTCAGACATACTCCCACCTTTGGGCTTTTGCACTTGCTATTTCTTTTGCTTTGGAACATTCTTCCCCCAGATAACCCAATGGATTTGCTTTTTCTCTTCTTAGCTCACATGAAACCTTACTGTGAAGTCTTGTAACTCATTATGCCTCCCTTTATGTTCGATGCCTTCTCCTTGCTTATTTTTTTTTCCATTGCATTTACCTGACATCGTCTATATACTCTTATTTATATATTGTCTGTCTCCCCCAGCTAGAACGTAAGATTCCAAGGCAGAGATTTGTGCTTTTGTTTTCTTCACTGTACTTTTCCTTCCTATGCAAGTAGAAAAAATAATTTTTTTTTTTTTTCGAGTCAGAATCTCGCTCTGTCGCCCAGGCTGGAGTGCAGTGGCATGATCTCGGCTCACTGCAACCTCCGCCTCCCAGATTTGAGCGATTCTCCTGCCTCAACCTCCCGAGTAGCTGGGATTACAGGCACCTGCCACCACACCCAGCTAATTTTTGTATTTTTAGTAGAGGCGGGGTTTCTCCATGTCGGCCAGGCTGGTTTCGAACTCCTGACCTCAGGTGATCTGCCCACCTTGGCCTCCCAAAATGCTGGGATTACAGGCGTGAGCCACCAGGGCTGGCCTAAAATTTAAAAATGAGTTCAAACTACCAGATTAATATATTCAAAGAGTGAAAATAAAACACAAAATAAATATTTATAATAATACATTTATTCACACCTTAGAATGGGGGTATAAAACATGGGAGAGAGGTATTGTCCTTTAACCTACAAGTTGAAGAAAGTCTAGGCTTATCTCTGCTTGCATTAATTTTCATTAAGGAAAGACTCCATACTGAATGAATGAATGCTTTTCACAACAAAGGGAGGTATGGATGTATTCCCAAAGGAATATTCCTTGTGTGTGTGTGTTTGTGTGTGTGTGAGACAAATTTCCCTCTCTATTTCTCTCACTATCTTCAGAGCTGAAAAATACAGCCTTTTCATCTCTCTCATGATTTGGACATTGTATTTGTTTTTCTTTTAATTATTCTTAGTTTATAATTTCTGTGCCAATAGTACTTTCTTTTTTGGTTTCTTTGTGGATATTTGTGTTTTAAAATCCTGATTTGCTTTGGAAGATTATTTTAATCAGGAAGGCTTTTCAAAATAGCTGGTTCAATACCATTTTGCCAGAACTGATATCAACCTGCTTTCAGGTATTGCATAATCAATGCTGGCTGATAATTTTAGATCTGATTTATTCTTCTTTGGAAGAGGTAATTTATTCTTCTTTGGAAGAGGTAATCAAGAGAGGAGGTGAAGATTAGGAGGGTGAAGACCCAGTGGAGTCTTTCCTTAACGAAAATTAATGCAAGCAGAGCTAAGCCTAGACTTTCTTCAACTTGTATGTTAAAGATCAATACCTCTCTCCCATGCTTTATGCCCCCATTCTGATGTGTGAATAAATATATTATATTATATATTATATATGTTTTATTTTCACTCTTTGAATATGTTAATCTGGTAGTTTAAACTCATTTTTAAATTTTATTTTTTGTACTTGCATATAGTTTTCTTTAACTATTTTATTTTATAACCAACTTGAACCAATAGCCTTAGCGCTTGTTCTATGAAAAGAGTAAGCAGAAACATCCAAAAGAAAGAAACTCAAAAGCTCACTGCAGGACTCTTGAAGACTTTCTGGTAGCCAGAATGGCATAATTCACAGAATATTAAGTTTGAGGCATCAAGGAACCTCCATAACTTAATGTCATTATACATATGTTTGTGTGTATGTAGCTCATTATACATACATATGAATACAGGCTTTCTGTGATTCTCGAATGAAAAATATTGGAAAAGTGTCAAATTCATAAGGATGCAGAATTGAAGTGCTGCTGCTATTCCTCACTATTTTTTCTGACTTTATCAACTGTGAAATAATAGTACTAAGAAAGATCAGGAAAATAATTGAAGTTATAATTCTTTCTGTGTCTTAATAAATTGTATTCCTGGGAAGATAGTATTATATTCTAACTCTGAGGAGCAAGACAAGGACATATATAGAAAAATGAACAACAAAATTATATTGGGAAAGTGAAAAATAAGCTAGGGGGAGATATGATATACATGTGAAGATAAACTGTTCAAAATTTATGAAGACAACAGCAACTATTTGCTGAAAAGCCTAGGAAGTGTAAGGCCCGACCTTGCTGGCCTGAAGAACCAGCGCATCAATGCCCATCTTTTAACCTTTTACTACTTGCTGGGACTTACACACTGATAATTGGCAAAGGAAGAAGGAGAAACTCATAGCACTCAAGTTATCTACTTGTTAGCAATTTTAATGAATTTAATGAGGAAGACATTTGAAATAATTGGATGAATTTTTTTTGTATTATTAATGTCCTTCAAATTTTTTATTATAGACCTTCAATTTCACAAATTTTAGGATATGAACATAGGAGTTACAGAAGAAGGAAAGCCTAGCTAACCTTGAAACTAATTCTTTTTTGTTGACTATGTTGATGATATTAGGTCTCTAGTGAAAAAAACCTCTTTTGGGCAAGTAAGAAAAGAAGAGAATACTCCAGGACAGATGTCCGTTTGCCTGAACTAAACTATAATCATCTCCCTGAACTAAGAGCACTGGGAGGCATAGGTGTGTTGATAATGCTTTTACTTTGTGTAGTCTGTTTAGATTATTTAAAATGTATGTTAGACAGAATTTAAAAATAAAAATTCATACTAACTTTACATATTTAAGTATGTAAATACCTGTTATAATAAGTACATACTGAGGAACACGTAGAGAATGTGAAAAACTAAAAACTAACAAAATGTCTAATATTTTCACTGTGTTTATGGTCATTTCTATCTAGCTCGAAATTCCAGGCTAACAAAGAAAGAGAGCAAAATTCTTTCAGAATCTCGAATTCCTTCTCTGGCTGCTATTGACCTGCACACCCCCAGTATTACATTACATCAGGTACAGAAATACTCTTTATAGGATGGACAGAACTCGGGTCTCTCTCTTACTTACTAGTAAAGTATTTTAGGGAGAGTTTGCTCTTAAGAATTGTGCAGGTTTATTGGTGGGATCTATAACATTTTGCTTGCAAATGTTGTTTGATTCATTGCACTTAGTACCTTTATTACATATATATTTACATAAACATTTCCTAACTTCCCATAATACTTTCTTTTTTTAGAGACATGGTCTCACTCTGGTGCCCAGGCTGGAGTGCAGTAACATGATCCCAGCTCACTGCAGCTTCAAACCCTTGAGCTTAAGCAATCCAACTACCTCAGCCTCCCAAGTAGCTGAGATTACAGGCATGCACCACCATATCTAATTAATTTTTAAATTTTTTGTAGAGATGAGGCCTTGCTATGTTGCCTGGGCTGGTCTCAAAACTCCTGGCCTCAAGCGATCCTTCTGCTTTAGCTTCCCAAAGTGTTGGAATTACAGATGTGAGCTATGGCTCCTGGCCAGTAATCCATTTTTTATAGGTTAAAAATGTGTGTGTCTGGGTATGCAGCCTAGCTACAGTTTTTGTTAGCTACTGGGGTTTTTTTTATATTTCGTAGTATTTCACTACATTAACTCCAAAGTAATAAACAACCTACCTTTCAAAGGGAGAAACTCTGGAATTGTTTTTATTCTTCCAGAATAGATTATCTATTTGACATATTTTCACCAAGACAATCCATTTTATCCATGTTAAAGATTTGCTATTCCATATAGTCATTTTTTTCTATCATTGCTCTTAACTTTTCAGAATATATGTGTTTCTATTACCTTTATATCAACAGCCATATCACTCATTTTTACACTGAAAAAACTGGCAAACTTAAATCTCCTTAGCCAACCATAACTAGCTACAAACTTTGGCTATGGACATTGTACTTTCCTTTTACTGCTTCAGACAGATTTTTCACCTTTGCTTGAAGCTAGGCAACTTTTGTTTTAGAATTAATTCTCCATCCTCATTATTAACACATTTCCATTTCATAGAGATTTCCTGTATGTTGTTCTTTATCCACGGTGATGCTTTTTCCACTGTTAACTCTTTTTTTATTTTTATTTTTTGAGACAGAGTCTCACTCTGTCGCCCAGGCTGGAGTGCAGTGGCACAATCTCAGCTCACTGCAACCTTTGCCTCCCAGGTTCAAGTGATTCTTGTGCCTCAGCCTCCCAATCAGCTGGGATTACAGGTGCATGCCACCACACCCAGCTAATTTTTGTATTTTTATTAGAGGCAGGGTTTCACCATGTTGGCCAGGCTGGTCTTGAACTCCTGACCTCAAGTGATCTGCCTGCCTCAGCCTCCTGAAGTGCTGGGATTATAGGCATGAGGCATTGCCCCCAGCCTCACTGTTAACTCTTCAATAGTTCTGTAGAGCTCTACAAAGGAGTAGTGTTACTGTGAGGATAACAAATTATCTAGAGATGCTGATGAAAGGGTTTATTGCCGTGATTGCTTTGCCTTATCTCTTGCCAACAATTTCTATAGCAACATTTAATTAAAACTGAACAAATTCCTGTCATGTGAAGAGATAATCACTGTCACAGATTCCACATTTAGGAACCATAGAGTATCAATACATTTCTTATATACTTCTTTACTTCTTTTTTTTGAGACAGGGTTTTGCTGTGTCATCCAGGCTGGAGTGCAGTGGCAACATCATGGCTCACTACAGCCTTGATCCCCTGGGCTTAGGCAATCTTCCCACCTCAGCTTCCTGAGTAGCTGGGACCACGGGAGTGCACCAACACACCTGGCTATGAGCCACTGTACCTGGCCTCTTTTTTTTTTTTTTTGGACACATGGTCTTGCTCTGTTGCCCAGGCTGGAGTGCAGTGGCATGCTCATAGCTCACTGCAGCCTTGAACTCCTGGGCTTAAGCCATCTTTCTACCTCAGTCTCCCAAGGAGCTGGGACTACAGGTGCAGGCTACCATGCCCAGCTAACACAATTTTTTTTTTTTTTAGAGATGGAGTCTATTTATCTGTTTATCCATTTTCCAGCTGAGGGACAGTTGAGTTGTTTGCAGTTTTTGACAATTAAACGTGAAGTGTTATATAAACATTTGTAAATGTGTTTTTTGTGTGTGAATATACAGTTTCACATTTAGTTGGTAAATACCTGAAAATGGATTTGCTGGGTCACTTGGTAAGTATATGTTTATAAGAAACTATCGGCCGGGCGCGGTGGCTCACGCCTGTAATCCCAGCACTTTGGGAGGCCGAGGCGGGCGGATCACGAGGTCAGGAGATCGAGACCATCCCGGCTAAAACGGTGAAACCCCGTCTCTACTAAAAATACAAAAAATTAGCCGGGCGTAGTGGCAGGCGCCTGTAGTCCCAGCTACTTGGGAGGCTGAGGCAGGAGAATGGCGTGAACCCGGGAGGCGGAGCTTGCAGTGAGCCGAGATCCCGCCACTGCACTCCAGCCTGGGCGACAGAGCGAGACTCCGTCTCAAAAAAAAAAAAAAAAAAAAAAAGAAACTATCAAATTTTTCCAAAATGACTACACTATTTTGTATTTCAACCAGCAATGCATAATAATTTCAGTTGTGCCTTATCCTCACCAATACTTGGTATTGTCAATTTAATTTTAGCCTTTCTAATAGGTGTGAAGTGGCATCTCATTGTGGTTTTAATTTGTATTTCCCTAACGACAAAGATGTTGAGAATCTTTTCATGTGCTTATTTGCACATGAGAGAGCTGTATATCTTCTTTGATGAAATATCTGCTCAAATCTTTTGCCCATTTTTAATGGTTGTTTGTTTTCACATTGTTGAGTCATTATTTATTTTGATGTTCAAATTAGTCCAGTTTTTCTAGTGGGATCCCCTTCAAGGTAGCTTCTGTCTCCTTTTGACAAGTCCTCATCATTCTTTGAGGAATTCCTTTGAGGAATTCCTTTGAGGAATTCCTTGCTATCTGGCACAACAGATAATGCAGATGGATTTGTACCAGCCAGAAATCAGCCATCTCTCTAAGGATCCCTAATTTCCTTTAGTAGAAAATCATATTTAGAAATTAAGATCTGGGCTCTAGGTGTGTCCACTGATTTGGGGGGAGTCATTGTTCCAAGGCCCTCTTAGTGGACAGAGCTAGGTACATAGACATATGTATATACATACACATTTACTGTGAGTTTATTTCTATTTCTACCTATGGTTACTGAAATCTACAAAGATACCTCTAATTGTGAATCCAACACCCAGGTTTGGCCTAGTTTACTATTCTCTTCTTTAACAGTAAGAAATTTAGCTGTATGTTATTCCATGTATAATTTAATATTTGTACTTATTTGATTAATTATTTTATATATATCTAAACTCCTATTACTGCTACTATGATTTCCCTTTTTTAAAAAAGATATATTTGTCATGTTTTAACATTAAGGTTTTGTTAGCTTCATAAAACAAGTTGAGCAGTGGTCTCTCTTTATTTCCTGAAAAAGTTTAATAAGTTGGTGTTATTTGTTCCTTGAATATTAATGGAATTCACTGGTGAAGCCATCTGTCTCAAGAGCTTTATTCTGGGGAAAGTTTTGGATAATTTTTTTTTTTTTTTTTTGAGACTGAGTTTTGCTCTTGTTGCCCAGGCTGGAGTGCAATGGTGCGATCTCGGCTCACGGCAACCTCCGCCTCCTGGGTTCAAGTGATTCTCCTGCCTCAGCCTCCTGAGTAGCTGGGATTACAGGCGTGCACCACCACGCCCGGCTAATTTTGTATTTTTAGTAGAGAAGGTGTTTCTCCATGTTGGTCAGGCTGGTCTTGAACTCCCGACCTCAGGTGATCCGCCTGCCTTGGCCTCCCAAAGTGCTGGGATTACAGGTGTGAGCCACCGCGCCCAGCCTGATTTCAGTTTCTTTTTTTTTTTTTTTTGAGACAGAATCTTGATCTGTCGCCCAGGCTGGAGTGCAATGGCTCGATCTCGGCTCACTGCAAGCTCTGCCTCCCAGGTTCATGCCATCCTCCTGCCTCAGCCTCCCAAGTAGCTGGGACTACAGGCGCCCGCCACTATGCCCGGCTAATTTTTTTGTATTTTTAGTAGAGATGGGGTTTCACCGTGTTAGCCAGGATGGTCTTGATCTCCTGATCTCGTGATCCGCCCGTCTCGGCCTCCCAAAGTGCTGGGAGTGTGAACCACTGCGCCCGGCCTCTCAATTTCTTTAAAATATACAGTGCTATTCAGATTTTCTGTTTCTTCTTGTGTCTCTTTTGGTAGGTTGTATTTTTTAATCCTTTTGTTCGTGTCATACAATTTTTAAAATTTGTTGGCATGACGTTGTTCATAGCATTCTCTTCTTGTCCTTTTGTTTTGTTTTTGCTTTTGAGACGGAGTCTTGCTCTGTCACCCAGACTGGAGTACAGTGGCACAATCTCAACTCGCTGCAACCTCTACCTCCTGGGATTAAGCGATTCTCCTGCCTCAGCCTCCCGAGTTACTGGGATTACAGGCATGAGCCACTACACTCGGCTAATTTTTGTATTTTTAGTAGAGACGGGGTTTCACCATGTTGGCCAGGCTGGTCTCAAACTTCTAACCTCCAGTGATACACCCACCTCAGCCTCCCGAAGTGCTGGGATTACAGGCGTGAGCCACTGCACCCGGCCTCTTATTGTCCTTTTAATATCTGTAAGGACTGTGATGATTATTCCTTATTTATTTTTACTTTATTATGTTCACTTTCTTTTTCTTGATCAGTATAGTTAGGAGTTTGTCAATTTTGTTGTGTTTTTCAACAAAATCAAGCCTTTGGCATTGTTAATTTCCTCTGTTATCTGTCAGTTCCCTATTTTATTGATGTCTCCTCTTAGTTTTCCCCTTTTACTTACTTTGAGTTTATTCTCTCAATTTTTCTAGGTTCTTAAGGAAACCCATCACTTGGTCACTTAGTTTTTTGTTTTTTGTTTTGTTTTGTTTTGTAATGTAAGCATGTAAAGCTACACATTTTCCTCTAAGCACTGCTTTACCTTCATCCCACAGCTTTTGATATGTTGTATTTTCATTTCTATGCTTACTGAAATCTACAAAGATACCTTTAATTCTAATCCAACATCACAGAGTTTGGTGTAGTTTGCTATCCTCTTCTTTGAGAGTGAGAAAATTAGCTGTATGTTATTCTATGTATAATTTAATATATTTACTTATTTGATTAATTATTTTGTATATATCTAACTTCCTATTACTGCTACTATAATTTCCTTTTTTTAAAAAAGATATCTTTGTCATGTTTTAACATTAAGGCTAGTCCAGGCTGGGCGCAGTGGCTCACGCCTGTAATCCCAGCACTTTGGGAGGCTGAGGTGGGCAGATCACAAGGTCAGGAGATCGAGACCTTACTGGCTAGCTAACATGGTGAAACCCCATCTCTACTAAAAATACAAAAAAATTAGCTGGGCGTGGTGGCAGGCGCCTGTAGTCCCAGCTACTCGGGAGGCTGAGGCAGGAGATTGATGTGAACCTGGGAGGCAGAGCTTGCAGTGAGCCAAGATGGTGCCACTGCACTCCAGCCTGGGTGACAGATCAAGACTCCATCTTAAAAAAAAAAAAAAAAGAAAGGTTAGTCCAAACGTTTTCTAATTTCCCTTGTAATTTCTTCTCTCACCTATGAATTATTTAGAAATGTTGTTTAATAGCCAGGTATTTGAGGTTTCCCTAGATATCTTATTACTGATTAATTTGTAATTTAATTCCATTGTAGTCAGAGAATACACTCAGTGTGATCTTGATTTTTTTAGATTCAATGAGACATGTTTTATGGTCTACGGTCTATCTTGGTGATTGACTTCATTCCCTTGAAAAAATGTATATTCTTTGTTGTTGGATTAATTGTTCTATAAATGTGAAATTAGATCAAGGTGGTTAATAGTACAGTATTCTTCAGGTCATCTATGCTCTTAATTTTTTTTGTTTAGGTCTATCAGTTCTTGAAAGAGTGCTGTTAAAATCTTTTATTATGTTGTAGAATTGCCTATTTCTCTCTTATATCTGTTTGTTTTAATTTAATTTAATTAATTAATTTATTTCAAGACAGAGTCTCGCTTTGTTGCCCACGCTGGTCTTGACCTCCTGAACTCAAGTGATCCACCCACATCGGCCTCCCAAAGTGCTGGGATTACAGGCATGAGCCACCATACCTGGCCTGTATCTATTTATTTTTGCTTCATGTATTTTATTATTATTTTTTTAGAAATGGGGTCTCACTCTGTTGCCCAGGCTGGAGTGCAGCGGCATGATCATAGCTCACTGCAACCTTGAATTCCTAGGATCAAGCGATCTTCCCCCATCAACCTCCTGAGTAACTAAGACTACAGGCACAGCTCACCACACCCAGCTAATTTTTTCTTTTTTGTTTTGAGAGATGGGGTCTTGCTCTGATGTTGTGGCTGGCCTTGCTGTGTTGCTCAAACTCCTGACCCAAACTCCTGACCTCCTCCTGAGCCTCTTGAGTAGCTGGGATTACAGGAGTGAGCCACCATGCCTGGCTGCTTTATGTATTTTAAATCTCTATTATTAGGTATTTGCACATAATTGTCTTGTCTTTCTGATACATTGTACCTTTTCTCATTATGAAATGCCTCTCTTTATCTCTGTAGTGGTCTGTGCTTTGAAGTCTATTTTATCTGATATTAAAATAGCCATTCCAAACTTCTTATACGTATGTTTGCATAGTAAATCTTGTTGATTTCATTTACTTTCACCCTATCTGTTTTTTATATTTATATTTAAAGTGTTTCTTTCACAGACAGCATATAAATAGGATTTTTCCTTTGTATACATTCTGTCAGTCTTTGCCTTTTAATTGGAATGTGTATTCGTTTATTATTTCTGCTACCTTAGAGATGTGGTAGTCCCCCCTTATCTATAGTTTTGCTTTCTGCACTTTCAGTTACCTATGGTCAACTGTGGTCTGAAAATGTTAGTGGAAAGTTCCAGAAATAAACAGTTCTTAAGTTTTAAATTGCACACCATTTTGAATAGCCTGATGAAATCTTGAGCTGTCTGGCTCTGTTCTGCTCAGGACATGAATTGTCCCATTGTCCCGTGTATCCATGTATGCTACCTACCCTTTTATTGCTTAGTAGCTGTCTAGGCTTTCAGATTAAAAAAAACACAATACTGTATATTTAGGGCTTGGTACTATCTGAGGTTTCAGGCATCCGCTGGGGGCCTTGGAACATATCCCTCATGGATCGGGGGGACTACTTAACACACTAAATTAATATCTATTTATTTTCTCACAGTTTCTGGGTCAGGAGCTAGGGCACAGCTGCTTCTCTGAATGAGTCTCACAGGTGGAAATCAAGGTGTCTGCAGGGCTGCATTATTTTCTGGAGGCATTGGGGAGAAACCATTTCCAGGTTCACTTGGGTTGTTGGGCTAATTTAGTTCCATATGGTTGTAGGGCAGAAGTCCCTATTTCCTTGCTGGCTAACAGCTGGGGGTTGTTCTCACCTTCTAGATGCCACTCACATTCCTTGGCTCATGGCCCACTTCCTCTGCCTTCAAAACCAGCAACAGTGGTCAAATCTCTCTTACACTTGAATCTCTCTGACCACTCCTTCTGCCACATCTCTGACTTACTCTGATGCTAAGAGCTCACATGATTACACTCGGCCCACGAAGATAATCTATCCTAATTAGTAACATTTAACAGCTAATTAGTAACAATTAACAGCTAATTAGTAACATTTATTCCATGCACAAAGTCCCTTCATATCGGTACTGAAATTAGTTTGATTAACTAGCTAGGGACAGGAATCTTAAGGGCATAGCTTTACAATCCTGCTGATCACAGAATGTTTAGACCATTAACATTTAATGTGATAATTGATATTTTTGAATCTAGTCCCATCTTTTTATTATTTGTTTTCTGTTTGCTCCTCTGTTTTTCCTTTCCAGTTTTCTTTTGTTTTTGAATAGTTTCAGTATTTTTTCGGCAATATCTTTTTATATTTTTTTTAGTGATTGCTCGAGGAATTACAATATACATCACTAATTTTTCGTAGTCTACATTGTACCCCTTGAAATAAAAAGTACGAATTGCCCATCCATTTCTCCATCATCCAGGAAAGACGTTGGTTTTGAGGTTGACATACCTATAAAGGACAGTAACTACCATGGCTTCCACCGCTTTGGCAAAACCTCAGATGTGTGGTCTTCTGGCCAAATGTCTGCAATTTCATATTGTTGGAGCCTTTATTGTATCCCTGGGGGTTGCAGCTGTCTGTAAGATTGCTGTGGCTGAACCAAGAAAGAAGACATATGCAGATTTCTACAGAAATTATGATTCCGTGAAAGATTTGGAGGAGATGGGGAAGGCTGGTATCTTTCAGAATACAAAGTGATTTTGGAATGCAAAGGATTTCTTTGGGTTGAATTACCTAGAAGTTTGTCACTTACCTGTGTTCCTGAGCTATGAAACATGAATATGTGGTCTAAGAAATAGTTTCTCTTGATAAATAATTAACAACAAAAAAAGTAGGAACATTGCTAACATATTCCCTTCTTCCCAGTTTGCACTTTAAGTTAGAACTTCATATGTACTACATTTACATATCTCCAGAACCCCAATACGTTATATGTTTTGTTTTAAACAGTCATAAATAGTTTAAACAATTTATGAGAAAAAGTTGTCTTTTATATTTACCTAGCTCTTTACCATTTCTGTCGGTCTCTCTTCTTCCCTAGATTTTCCTCTGGTATTATTTTCCTTCAGCCTGAAAATCTTCTTGTTAGCATTTCTTGCAGAGCAGGTCTGACGGTGACAAATGTTCTTAGTTTTTCTTCATTTGAGAATGACTTTATTTTACTTTAATTCTTGAAGTATATTTTATTGGATATGGAATTTGGGTTGACATATTTTTGTTTTTGTTTTTCCTCCCAGCACTATAAAGATGGGATTCTTCTGTCTTCTGATCTCTGTAATTTCTGGTGGGAAATTCTCAGGCATTTGAATTGTTTCCCTATATGTAATGTTTCATTTTCCTCTAGCTGCTTTCAAGATTTAATTTTTATCTTTTCTTTTCATTAGCTTAAATATGATGTATCTAGACATAGTTTTCTTTGAGTCTGTCCTGTTTGGGGTTTGCCAGCCTTCTTGAATCTTTAAACTTATATATTTTACCAGATTTGGGGAGTTGTTGGTCATGTTTTTTGAAATTTTTTTTTCTGCCATAATCTCTCACCTCTCCTTCTGAGAGTCTAATGATATGTATGGTAGACCATTTAGTATTTTCTCATAGGTTCCCGAGACTCTGTTCACTTTTTCTTAATCATTTTTCTTTCTGTTCTTCAGATTGGGCCACTTCTATTCATCTATCCTCAAGTTCTCTGACTTTTTACTTTATCATCTTCATTCTGCTATTAAGTCCATCCAGTGAGATTTTAAAATTTCAGATACTGTGCTTTTTAGTCCCAAAATATACATTTGGTTCCCTTTTATAGCATCTGTTTCTCTGCTAAGAATTCCTATCCCTTCATTCATTTCAAGTATGTTTTCCTTTACTTCATGTAGCAGAGTTATAAGGGCTGCTTCAAAGTCTTTATATGATGGTTCCAACAGGTTTCTGTTTTTGTATTTTTGTAATAAGTAGAAGAGATGGGCTGTAGTGGGCTTACACTGCCTTGGCAGATCAGAAGTATCTTTTAACATATGCATAAACTAAGATCAAAGAATAACATCCACTCAGCAGTCATGTTTGGGACTAAAGAAAAGGAAAAGAACAATGTCCCCTTACTTCATTCTTTTCCATGTAGGCAACTTGAGCTATGAATAGTTAATTATAAACATCTAATATTTGAACAAATAGAATTGAAATTTTGGGGAAGTGGAACTTTTGCAATTACTGAGAACCTATGATGCTCTATTATTAATTTATAGGTATCAGGACCTCCCCTGTCAGATGATTCAGGGGCTGATTTGCCTCAAATGGAACACCAGCACTGAGAACCATTTTGGTTCTGAACTGGGTAGGTGTGATTTCCCATACTTAAAGCTGTGCAGCCTTTCACAGGTACTATTTTGTGGCTTGCTGAATACCAATTTTTCAGCTGAAACCGTCTCCAGTGATTGATTCCATGAGAACTTCTGATAGAGAAAGAGTTGTGCCACTTAGAAAACCAGAAGTAGTATTTATCTCTGAGATGAAATCCCTTTTCGCAGAGCGTACATCTCTTGCTCTTAAACTAATCTCCTGCATTTTATTGGATATAGTAATGTGAATTTAGGGTGACAAGTGCTCAAGAAAGATATATACCTATCTCCCTTATCAGTCATTTGCCCTGTGGGCCTGTAAAGCAAGATTGATTGATTATAATGATGCCTCGGTTAATGTTCTGAAAGATGCATCCTTAGGTGATTTCACTGTTATGCTAACATCACAGTTTACTTACACAAACCTAGATGATATAACCTACTATACTCCTAGGCTATATGGTATAGCCTATTCCTCCTAGGCTACAAGCCTGCACAGCATGTTACTGTACTGAATACTGTAAGCAATTGTAACACAATAGTAAATATTCATATATCAAAACATAGAAAAGGTAATGCATTGCACTATGATGTTACTAGCTACAATGTCACTAGGCAATAAGAATTTTCAGCTTCATGATAATCTATGGGACTACCATTGTATATGCAGCTCATTGTTGACCTAAACATTGTTATACAGTGCATGATTATACTTGGCAATATTTTTCCCAATAAAGAGAGATCAGTGCTATACCAAATTATTGACTTCCTTTTAAATATAACTTTTTTAGTATTAAAAAAGCCAAGGCTGGGCGCGGTGGCTCACGCCTGTAATCCCAGCACTTTGGGAGGCTGAGGCGGGCGGATCACGAGGTCAGGAGATCGAGACCATCCTGGCTAACACGGTGAAACCCCGTCTCTACTAAAAATACAAAAAATTAGCCGGGTGTGGTAGCGGGCGCCTGTAGTCCCAGCTACTCGGGAGGCTGAGGCAGGAGAATGGCGTGAACCCGGGAGGCGGAGCTTGCAGTGAGCCGAGATCGCGCCACTGCACTCCAGCCTGGGCGACAGAGCGAGACTCCGTCTCAAAAAAAAAGAAAAAAAAAAAAAAGCCAAAACAAAAATCAGACATTTTTTTTGAGATGGGATCTTACTGTATTGTCCAGGCTGGAGTGCAGTGGCGTGATCTCGGCTCACTGCAATCTCTGCCTCCTAGGCTGAAGCGATCCTCCCACCCCAGCCTCCTGAGTAGCTGGGGCCACACGTGTGTGCCACAAAGCCCGGCTAATTTTTTGTATTTTTGGTAGAGATGGGGTTTCACCATGTTGCCCAGGGTGGCCTCAAACTCCTGAGCTCAAATGATCTGCCCGTCTTGGCCTCCCTAAGTGCTGGAATTAGAGGTGTGAGCCACCATGTCTGGCCAATCAGACCATTTTGAATGATAATTTATTTGCTCAAGCAAGTCATTCAATGTTTAATATCTCATTATGTAAAATATTATGATGATAAATTCCCACATTCTCACAACTGTATTTATTTATTTTTTTGAGACGGTGTCTTGCTCTGTCTCCCAGGCTGGAGTGCAGTGGCACAATCTCAGCTTACTGCAACCTCCAAGTGATCCTCATGCCTCAGCCTCCTGAGTAGCTGGGATCACAGGTGTGTGCCACCACGCCCAGCTAATTTTTGTATATTTAGTAGAGATGGGGTTTCACTATGTTGGCTAGGCTGGTCTTGAACTCCTGACCTCAGGTGATCTGCCCACCTTGGCCTCACAAAGTGCTGGGATTACAGTCATGAGTCACCATGCCCAGCCCCTAACTGTATTATTGGAATTAATCTGTTAACCTTTACAAAGCATTTTGAGCATCTGTGACATCAAAGGTGAATGTACTGTGAAGTGAACAAAGCTTAAGTTTTGATCTTTCATTTGCACAGGTCCTTTCAAGGCCGTGGGAGAGTCTTTGCAATGCATTCATTTGAGTTAATTCATGTTGAGCAATGAACAACTAATTCATACAAACCGTGTAAACTACAGGGTCTGCAAAACTTGGATGCATTTTGTCAAAATTAGTCATTATTTGCATAAAAGGAGATGTGTGTTACACATGATAGTTTTTCTTTTTTTTGAGACGGAGTTTCGCTCTTGTTGCCCAGGCTGGAGTGCAATGGCGTGATCTCTGCTCACTGCAACCTCCACCTCCCGGGTTCAAGTGATTCTCCTGCCTCAGCCTCCTGAGTAGCTGGGATTACAAGCATGGGCCACCATGCCGGGCTAATTTTTTTGTATTTTTAGTAGAGATGGGGTTTCTCCATGTTGGTCAGGCTGGTCTTGAACTCCCAACCTCAGGTGATCTGCCCGCCTCGGCCTCCCAAAGTGTTGGGATTACAGGCGTGAGCCACTGCACCCAGCCATACGCAAGATAGTTTTGATTGGTAATTATTCTAAAGATTGTCTTAAAAATTTGCTTTTGATACATCTAATTGAAATCTAAGGTTTTCTTAAACTACATAGTACCCACCAATGTTATCAATATATACGATGTGAGAAAGCAAGTGAGATAGAAATTAATTTTTAGAAAGATTTTTTGTAAAATAGTTGGTGGTATATCCTCCTGTGCTTTTAGATGATGCTCTTGCACTTGAGATGACATCTTCTTGCAGCAAGAGTGCTGATATCCCAAGAGGAGAGATTCATGGTTTTGATCATTTCCTTCTGAACTGCCTGCATTTTCTGAGGAAGGCCTTCTAGAAGAAGGAAAGACAAAGACTTCCAAATGTTTCAAAGGAAGATTGAACAAATGGCCCTCCCCAACTGTTATCCCATTACCTTTCACGTCCACCGATGCTATTTCAAGACATATCCAGTGGAATAACAGTGATATGGTTCTTGTTACATGAATGTGTATTTACTGTTAGGAGATTGTATATTTTAAGTTACCATGATTAAAAGTGTGTAAAAAAGGGGGACAGAGAGAAATACTATAAAAGGCCATGTTACTCATGCATTGAACTTTGTGTGTTTTCTGTATAAATGTGTACATTTATTTAGGAGTGGGTTTCTTGGGGGTAGGTGATAAAAATTAGGATCAGTTGAAGAAAATTGAAGAAACTAGGATCAGTAAGAGAAACTGTTTGCTTTACCTGAATTTAACTATGAAAACACACTTAACAATCTTACACGTTTCTAGATATTAAGTGAATATGTAACTCCTGTCCATGGGTAGATGTGTATCTTTGACTTCTGTAATTATTTTTGATATTCTATCAGTGTATTATGAGACTCTGGCCTCCCTGCAGATCTTCTAAGAACCACACTAATGCAAGCGTGACAGAGAAACCTCTTTCGAATGACTTACTACAACTCTGGCATTGGTTAGTTCCATGTATTGTAAGATTCTGGTGCTAATGCTCCATACAGAATTGATCAGGACTGATTACTCTTCTGTGGACCAATTGCTATTGAACTACCCAGCTGAAGAGGGTTTGGGGAGAGAACGTTCATTATTATGGACTCCACTTTTGTCCCCTGGTAGTTTAAGGGTGATACTAGAATCCAGAGAAGTTCCTGTCTCCTTGTGGCCTCAAACACTCAGGCCGTCTCAAAAGCTTTTCACCAAGGTGCAAAATCATTTACCTGCATTCCACACATCTTTTCCAATGCATGGATCCAAAACTTTTTAGGTGGGAGGAATAAACTAAGTTGGCTACAGGTTCTTGATTTCTGGGTTTCTACACATGCTCTGCATTTATCATTTTAGAGAATGGTTGTTTAGGGAACCAGAATTTGTGAGTTTTTTTTTTTTTTTTGCCTTAACTAATTAATAGTGTGTTGCTTTTTTTCCAAAGCCATTGACTAGAACTTAGCTGAAGAATTTAACTAGAACTTTTCTTTATTACTCTGAGGAGCTTAATACTGAAATTCTGACCTTGGATATTTAAGCCTCAAAAGAGTAGGACATTCAAGAGGAGGCAAATAAGGGGTTTCAATGTACAAGTCTATAGGTGGTGGTTAAATTAAAATTGGTCTTGATTTAAAAGCTCTACTTTTAATCTGTGACCAGCTGTTTGACAACATTAGTATGGATAACATGCTGAAAAAACTAGGGTATCAGCATTAATAGGCTGCATATTAAAAAGTTACTACTTTATTTTTACTTTGAAAAACACTGCCAATAGATTCTGCAGCATGGCAAACAGGTAATACTTAAAGCCAAATGGCGCTTCGGCTTATTTCAATACTATTTTTATGTAAAGATCAGTGTGAGAATATCAGCTCAATGGTTGAGGTTCTAGGATCAATTGCCTTGCAGTTTTTATACTAGCTTTTGATATCTTTTGCCTATTAAAACACTTTGTGAACTTTAGAATTAAGGAACTAAAAAATATTTACCATAAGTCCAAGTTATGACTTGAGGATCATATCTGATTAGAACTGTGGCAGAACTACTAGAAAAAGATTCTGCAAATTGGTTTCAGTGATTCTTGTTGATGTAATCAACAAGATTACATAATCAACAATAATAGATATTGAACCAAAATGATCCTTTTTTTAAGTTTAAGGTTATTTAGTTTCTCTTGCAAGGATATGATTTAGTCACACACTAATAGGGAATATGTGTATGTACTGGTGGGGAGCAGTGGGCTTGCTGCATGTATGTATGTTTTAAAATTAATAAATATTATCTTACTGGGCTCCATAGATGGTTTAAATTTAGATTTATTTAATTAAGAGGCTATAAATAATATATACACTACTGTATGGTATTTAACAAATAAGTTTTAAATCTGTTAATTCTTCTGGAAAACTTTGGATGTAGGGATGGCAAGCTAATTTTCTTGTATAGCTGGTGATATAAGCAGCATGGTCATAAAATAACATTTCTTATAAAGACTAACTGGTAATAGTTGTGACAGAACCTGGTTTTCCTGACTGAGAATCCCTTGCTTGCTTAGAATATCTGACTTCCCATTGAAATGGAACATAGAAAATGTGTTTTCTTATGTGACTCTCATTATTGGTTCCTTTATCTTAGTTGTGCTACAATATAAGGCTGGACCTGTAATACACTATGTATCAGACTAGACTGAAAAATGTGATCGATTTGTTTTCTAAGTCCTCCTCTATATAACTGAACCATGGTCAGGGGATTAGAGAAGCAACAGAGCACTGCTCCTAAGGCTTTAGGCTAGTCTTAGTGAATTGGACTGAATGGATTTTTCTCTGTTGTTTTTTGCATTAAGTGTTTTTGCACTAGAAGAGGGTGCTTAACACTCCTCTATCTATATGAATAAAAAATTATGTTCTCACATTGTTTTCTCAAGGGTCTTATTTTTTCTCTTGACAGCTTCAGACATGAAATAACTAGAAAATGTAATTAATGTACAGCATATTTTTTTCTTAACATGCCCTCTGAGAAGTAAGTACCTTATGTTATCACTCGTGGGTAACTTGTGATTTAGAGCTTTGTGTTTATAGATATTTGTGGATATCTGATGTTGAATATATTCTGAGAAATTTTCTTTAAAACCAAAACCCATCCACGAGACAGCACTTTTCTTTGTTTTCAGTGAAAATTTAGTTTTGCCCATTGCACATTCTTAATTTCTATATTCTCTACTTTGGCACTCAGGGCCATCTCCTGTAGAAGTGAAGTTTCTGGTAACATTTTGGAAAATGTATTGTCGATTAATATGAACATATAAGAAAGGTTCAGGGAAATGAAAACAACATATCTCAATTCAGCATGTTTTCCTATCCCTAAGCTAGGGTAGGTTCTCCTATCAGTCTGGAGAACAGGCTTTCATATCAGTTTACCTCCATCCAGCTATCCCACCTGCTCTAGACCTGGAAAGTGATCTTCATTAATCTTGCTGCTAGGATTTAAAAGTATCCCCTGACCACCCCCACCCCCCACCACAAAATAATGTTTTAATTGGTCACTTCCCTCCTTAACCTGTTTTATTATTTTATTTTATTATTATTATTTTTTATAGAGACGGGGTCTCACTATGTTGCCCAGGCTGGTCTTTAACTCCTGTGCCCAAACGATCCTCCTTCCTTGGCCTCCCAAAGTGCTAGAATTACAGGCAAGAGCCACCATACCTGGCTTCCTCAACCTGTTTTTAGTTGTCTTCCTTGGCTTCTCACTCTTTTGTTTACATGTATACCTATCTCCCCCGATTTTTTTTTCCCCTTTAACTAGAAAAGCCATTTATTGAAAGGAGTTAAGTTGCTCCTCAACCCACCAGAAGAGTCAGGGTTAGATTCTGAAGGCACACAGGCAAGAACAATACCCAGTGTCACTGCCTCACTAAATTTTCAGTGTCTATAAAGATGGGGAACCTTATTTATCTATTTTTGCTCTACACCATCTAGCACAGTAATAACCCTATGAAAGTAGGAATGTTATTCATGTTTTATAGGCAAGATAATAGGCTTAGAAAACTTAAGGAATTGACTCAGTGTCACTCAATAAATGATAGAGCCATGAGTGTTGAAATAAATATATGATTATGATTATTTAGAGCTGGAATTAATTTTTAAAATCTGTTTAGATAATATAACATTGAGAGCTTAGACTCCTGGAGCTACATGCTTCCTCATTTACTTCTAGAGGAGAAGAGAAGGAGTTTCCCCAGCCATTAAACAACACTTCACTGTCATTGAGCCTAATTTGGATACTGCTCATCCCTGAATCAATCACAGTAGCTAGGTGAATGACAAGCACTGATGGGCTTGAACCTTGGGCCTCTGTTAAATTCCCTTCCTTGAATTAATAATGGGATCAAAGGGAAACCGGATTATACTGATTGGCTTAGGCCAATTGCAGCCCACCCATGGAACCACATGGCTTCCACAAAGCAGGGCAGGCACAGAATGGACATTGGAAAAACGATCACAGTGCTAACCAGAGATGGACATTTTTGAAGCTGCAGAAGCGATGCTTTATTTTAGATTTGGATTGATTTTACCAAATTGTCCCTCAAAAAGACTGTACTAATTTATATTCTTACCAACAGTATATGAGAAAATTTTCTCACTTTAGATATTAATAGTTTCCATTTTGGCCAGATAGATGGGTGAAACTTATCTTGCTTTGGTTTACATTTTCTTGATTACTACTGAGGTTACACATATTCTGATATATTTTATATATATATATGTCATTTGAATTCCTACTGTGAATAAAAAATATTAAGGTCTTTAAAAAAGGTAAGGCAGATTTTAGTTTAAGTATTGGAGGCTTCCCTCTGTAGTTGGTTTTCCTATATCTGACAACAAGGGAGAAACCAGATTCAGATAATAAGGTTTGGCTCAAAACATATTGTGGATAAAAAATGATTTTTTAGAAATGCAACCCAGCCAGAAGAATGCTTTTTTTTTTTTTTTTTTTTTTTTTTTTTTTTTTTTTTGAGACGGAGTCTCCCGCTGTTGCCCAGGCTGGAGTGAAGTGGAGCGATCTTGGCTCACTGCAACCTCCGCCTCCCAGGTTCAAGAAATTCTCCTGCCTCAGCCTCCCGAGTAGTTGGGATTACAGGCATACACCACCACGCCTGGCTAATTTTTGTATTTTTAGTAGAGATGGGGTTTCTCCATGTTGGCCGAGTTGGTCGCAAACTCCTGACCTCAGGTGATCCGCACACCTCGGTCTCTCAAAGTGCTGGGATTACAGGCTTGAGCCACCGCGCCAGACCAGAATATATTTTAAAATTACACTTGTTTTAAGTACGATAGGTCCCCTTTCTTCTTCTGGGTTTTGGGAGGAAATAAGTCAATGAGAGATTAACACGTCTCCCTCCTGGGGCAGAGGGATGGAGAAGCCAGTTCTGCTTGGATGGACAGGAATTATTTAAGGAAAGTTATGAAAGATCTGAGCTCTGGGATTGCGCCGTTGACCTCACATCTATTTCACTAGGATGACACCTTATTCCCTTGGCTCTGTTGAGGACTGCCTGGTGCTGCCAAGCCGTGATCCGGGAGGTGGCAGTAAAGCCCCTCTTACTGCAAGCCATAGCTTTCCCAAGGGCAAAAATACTAAAATCTGTGACGAATTTTACCTGAGGGGTATTATCTGTTTCTTTTTGTCCATGCAATCAATAAATGGTCTTCTTTTTCCATTTTAAAGAGCAGTGTTAAGGAGCGCTCAAACTATTTGAACTACAGGCGTGGCCAGGGAGAACTGTAAGACAGGCCATCAGACGGCACTGCTGGTGGAGGGGCGCCCCCTGGTGGGTGAACATTGTTAGTTAAACACTAGTAGTGCAGGTTCCTAGGTGTTTAGGAAGCAGAAGAGATCCAATGCACTTGACCTGCTCAGTCTCTGCGATTATGTCAGGGCCTCCCTAATGTCAGCAGGTGGCCGGTAAACTCAGAGGTCAGCAAGGCAGAACTAGTGGCTAGAGGGGGGTCTAGGCTGGAGAGAGCATGGGGGTGGTGGGGAAGAGCTGTGGACTTCACTGAGAATCCCGAACAAGAAAAACAAGTTGGAGAATTATGAAAGTAAATTTGCCTCACAAAATGAAATGTTGGCAGGTGAGTAAAGGCAGAGTGGAAGGAAAAATTTCACTTCCAAGGATGCCAGCCTAATAAGGGTTCTGAACATCTTTGGAATTAATTGGAAACATGGTTTTCAATTGTGATATCTGTGTAAGTGGCAAAATGTAAGTCAATCTTCATAATGCTTGGAAACTTGAAGATAAGTCTGCACTGCCACTGGCTTTCTTTCTTGATTATGTTTGGAGTACAGCATAGGGAGTTTGCATGGTGCAACCCCAGACACATTTCCAACCTTTATAGCAGTTGGTTAATATGTGTATTTAGCCGTCAGTGCACTCAAATTCTGAATCTGAAAAAGTGCAGGGCATAATGTTGTTTCGGGAAAATAAGCCATGTATTTTGTGTCTAAAATTTAAACCCTTGAAACACTTCTCAACGTGTTGATTTGAAAAACAGAATCACCAAAGAAAAATGCAAAGGGACTGTAGAAAAGGAGAAATGTATTGCCAATACGGAAATAGAACTTTAAATTTTTATTGCTATGACTCTATGAAATCTATCTCTATCCTGAGTGAGGGTGAGCATCTAATTATCCAGGTGGAGTAAATTGTAAAAGATGTTTCTAAAGAAGTTAAAAAATTTATTATGTGCAGAACATGTAATAATCTTTTAATTTAGAACATAAGCCAGGAAGTAAATAAATTTTGCTGGCAGAAAATCAACTTCTCTGTGCTTATTGAACAGATCTTTGAAGAATAACAGTTTGAGGAGCCATCTCAAATAATTAGCCTTCCAAGGAAACCTATGTATCTTGACCTGGCCCTGGAGGAGGGGTTTTAGAAATAGGATTGGACTCAGTTTAAAAAAGAGAGAGTGATAGATTCTGCTAATAGAAGTTTGAGAGAATTACAAAATTAAGTCAGCAATTGAATCGGAGCCTTCTCTATCTCTTATTGCCGTTCCTACCTACCTTGCAACAGACTACAGAAAGAGAGAAAATTGCATCTACAGTGAAACAGATAATTCATTTTAAAAGAGAAATTCATTTAAAAAATCCTGAAAGGAGATTGAAAGCATACATCGGTGACCAGTAACTATTTTATTCAGGAGAGACGTGTGTGCCTCATCTTTCTCTCCTCAATAGTTCTTTTTTTTCTGGGTGAAGATTTTAAAATCTTGAGGCTTCCCTTGATATATATGAACTGATATGTAGAAGCAAATAGGGTTAAACAGCAGGATGTTTAAAAATTCATTTATTTAACAAATATTTATTGAGTGCAGACCATGTTTTAAGTCCTGGGGATAAGAAGTGAACAAAGGCCGGGTGTGGTGACCCACGCCTGTAATTCCAGCACTTTGGGAGGCTGAGGCGGGTGGATTGCTTGAGCTCAGGAGTTCAAGAACAGCCTGGGCAACATGACAAAAACCCATCTCCACAAAAAAATACAAAAATTGATCTGGCATCATGGTGCCTGCCTGTAGTCCCTGTCCCAGCTGAAGTGAGAGGATCTTTGGAGCTTGGGAGGCTGAGCCTGCCGTGAGCTGTGATCATGCCACTGCACTCCAGTCTGGGAAACAGAGCGAGACCCTGTCTCAAAAAAAAAAAAAAAAAAAAAAAAAAAAAAAAAAAAAAACACACAACAAAAAAAAGATCAAAATGGACAAAAATCTCTAAAAAAACCAAGATAACAAAGAATATCTATGGATGCTTAAATGTGAAACATGCTGGGTGTAAAAATAAAGCTGGGAACAGGGAGAGGAGTCTCTGCCTGCACATTTTGATAGGGTGGCCAGGGAACTGAGATAGAATTTTATGAATGTCCTGAAGAAAGGGAAGGAGCCATGTGGATATCTGGGGGAAGAGCAGACAGACCTGCAAGGGCACAGACCCTGAGGAGGGAGTGTGCTTGGTTAGTTTGGGAAACAGCGAGGAGGACAGTGTGTCTGGAGTGGGAAAGGAAGAGAGTGGTGTGAGATGAGTTCAGAGAGGAGGAGGGTGGGGATGGGGAGTGGGTAGGCCAGGTCCTGCAGGCCACCCTAAAGATCTGGAGATCTGTGTCAAAAGCTTGCAGAGGTGATTATTTGTTTGTGATGATCCCTTCCACACAAATCATTGAACTCCTACTCTCCAATCTACATTTTTCCAATGATGAATCTGAGAGAGAGGTTTTCTCTTTGGAATGTGTCTCTATCTGTTTTTGTGGTTCTCTGGCTAGCCAACTGTATGATGTCTGGCTAGCCAAATGTAACCTCTGCTAGGGTTACATTTAAGACTGTTGAAAGATTTCTGGTTTAAATATACCCTAGCTGGGAGGGACAAATATTTATTGATATATACTAAAAAATATTCAGGGAAATCCTACTTAATATGGCCTTGGTAACTGCCAGTCCACAGAATATTCAAATGCTTGTTTGATAAACGAAAGCTACAACTGTAATTAGGGTGCATTTACTGATTTCCTGCACACTGCAGCATTTTTTGTTTTTTGAGACAGAGTCTCGCTCCGTTGCCCAGGCTGGAGTGCAGTGGTGCGATCTCGGCTCACTACAACCTCCGCCTCCCGGGTACAAGCGATTCTCCTGTCTTAGCCTCCCGAGTAGCTGGGACTACAGGTGTGTGCCACCACATGGTAGCATTTAAAATTTTTCCAATTAATATGTAACTTATATCTAGTAAAATACATAAATCTTACATATATAACACGATAATTTTTATAAATGTATACACCCCTGTGACCACCACCCAGACCAAGCAAGATACAGACTACTTCCAGCTCCTACCACAGTCTCTCTTGCCCCTTTCTCAAACCAAGGTCATCATTATTCTGGCCTCTATCACCATGGATTAGTTTTACCTGTTCCTGAATTTCATGTAAATGGAATCTTACTCTATGTATCCTTTTGTGACTGACTTCTTTCACTCAGTATGGAATCTGTGAGAATCATCTATGTATTAATAGTAGTAATCTGTTGGTTTTCATTGATGCGTAGTATTTCGGCGTAGGAAACGAAAGCAATGGATTTACCCATTCTACTGCAGGTGGACGTTTGTGTTGTTTTCAGTTTAGAGCTATTTTGTCACACTTCAGTGTTTTTTGTTTGTTTTTTTTTTTTTTCTTTTTGAGACACAGTTTCACTCTTGTTGCCCAGGCTGGAGTGCAATGGCGCCATCTCGGCTCACTGCAACTTCTGCCTCCTGGGTTCAAGTGATTCTCCTGCCTCCCAAGTAGCTGAGATTACAGGTGCCCACCACCACACCTGGCTAATTTTTTGTATTTTTAGTAGAGATGGGGCTTCACCATGTTGGCCAGGCTGCTCTCAAACTCCAGACCTCAGGTGATCCGCCTGCCTCGGCCTCCCAAAGTGCTGGGATTACAGGCATGGGCCATTGTGCCCGGCCACTTCAGTGGTTTTACTTGATGATGACCCTATGTGTTGCTGAGGTTTATAGAACTGATTGCCCCATGCACATTGTTCAGTTGTGTCTACTCTTTCATACCTCCCACGCTTGGTTGGTTTGTCTCTCTGCTGTTTAGAACAAACCTGGAGCTTCCTATAGGAATCTGATCTCCACTTACGTTTGATTGTAAAACTAAGTAAAATATGCTCTGTGCTTGAAAAAATGGTAGTTCTCTTAATTTTATCTGTATTTATTATTCTTATTATTTTTGAGACCGGGTATCTCTCTGTTGCCCAGGCTGGAGTACAGTGGTGTGATCATAGCTCACTGCAGCCTCCTAAGCAGCTGGGACTACAGGCATGCGCCACCACACCCAGCTAATTTTTTTTTTTTTTTTTTTTTTTTTGTAGAAACTGGGTTTTGCCATGTTGTCCAGGCTGGTCTCAAACTCCTGGACTTGAGCAATCCGCCTGCCTCAGCCTCCCAAAGTGTTGGGATTATGAGTGCAAGCCACCAGGTCTGGCCTATTTTCTCTTTTATTATTATTATTGTTGTTGTTGTTGTTATTTTGAGACAGGGTCTCCTTCCATCATCCAGGTGGGAGTGCAATGGGGTGTGATCATGGGTCACTGCAACCTCGACCTCCTGGGCTCAAGCAATCCTCCCACCTTAGTCTCCTGAGTAGCTGAGACTACAGGCACATGCCACATGCCACTACTCCCAGCTAATTTTTTATTTTTGGATTTTTTTTGTAGAGATGGAGTTTCACCATGCTGCCCAGGCTGGTCTCCAAATCCTGGGTTCAAATGGTCTGCCCACCTCGGCCTCCCAAAATGCCAGGATTACAGGTGTAAGCCATCAGGCCTGGCCTATTTTTTCTTATGTAAAAAAGTGCTTGAGCCAGGTGCGGTGGCTCATACCTGTAATCCCAGCACTTTGGGAGGCTGAGGCAGGTGGATTGCTTGAGGTCAGGAGTTCCAGACCAGCCTGGCCAACATGGTGAAACCCTGTCTCTACCAAAAATACAAAAATTAGCCAGGCATGGTGGTGCACACCTGTAGTCCCAGCTACTTGGGAGGCCGAGGCAGAAGAATTGCTTGAACCTGGGAGGCGGAGGTTGCAGTGAGCCGAGATTGCACCATTGCAATCCAGCCTGGGTGACAAGGGCGAAACTCCATCTCAAAAAAAAAAAGGTGCTTGAGCATTGTAACCCTGTCTTCTTTAGAATCAGAGCCAGGTTTCTCTAGATTATGTAGCTGCTCTGGGAGTTTGTAGTTACTGCTATGAAAATTGGATACTTCTTGTTATGGACTGAAGTGTGTTCCCCCAAATTCACATGTTGAAGGCTTAGCCTCCTCAATACTTCACCATGTGACTGTTTGGAGATGGAGCCTTTAAAGAGGTGATTACTTTTTTTTTTTTTTTTTGATGGAGTCTTGCTCTGTCGCCCAGGTTGGAGTGCAGTGGCGCAATCTCGGCTCACTGCAAGCTCCGCCTCCCAGGATCACGCCATTCTCCTGCCTCAGCCTCCTGAGTAGCTGGGACTACAGGTGCCCACCACCATGCCTGGCTAATTTTTTGTATTTTTGATAGAGATGGGATTTCACCTTGTTAGCCAGGATGGTCTCGATCTCCTGACCTCATGATCCACCCACCTCGGCCTCACCAAAGAGGTGATTAATTTAAAATGAGGCTGTTAGGAAGGGCCCTAATCCAATCTGACTTGTGTCTTTATAAGAAGAAGAAATCTAGTCACACAAGAGAGACACCAGTAGCACATGTACACAGAGAAATGACCATGTGAAGAGGAGGAAGAGGGTGGCCATCTGCAAGACAGGGAGAGAGGCCTCACAGGAAACAAAGTAGGAAGCAGGAATGGACTCCAGAGGCGGGGCTTAGACATCAGACCAGATTGAGGACTAGCTAAAACAGGGGTGGAAAGTGAGGAGGAAGCACCCTTCAATACCCTTCAATCAGACACACCCACCAGTGTGCTGTGTCAATTTACCATTGTCATGGCAACACCCAGGAGTTACTGCCCCTTTCCATGGCACTGACCCAATGACCCAAAATTTACTACCCCTTCCCTACAAACTTCCCGAATAAGTCACCCCTTAATCTGCATGGACTTACAAGTGAGTATAAATATGACTGCAAAACTGCCCTGGGGTACTACTCTCTGCCTACAGGGTAGCCTTGCTCTGCAGGAGCAGTCACAAAGCTGTAACACTGCCTCTTCAATAAAGCTGTTTCCTTCTACCTCTGGCTTGCCCTTGAATTCTTTCCTAGGCAAAGCCAAGAACCCTCACAGGCTAAGCCCCACTTTGGGGCTCACCTGCCTTACATCAAAACCAACCCTGATGGCACTTTGATCTTAGACTTCTAGCCTCCAGAAATACATTTCTGTTGTTTAAGCCACCCAGTCTGACACTTTGTTATGGGAGCCCTAGCAAGCTAGTAGACCTCCTCAAATAATTTTTAAATATTGTTCTTGAAATAATATCGAACTCTAGAAGAGCTGCAAGAATAGTACAAACAACTCCCATATACCCTTTAGTCAAATACATCAACTGGAAAAACATTTGCCACATGTGGTTTATTACTTCCCATCTGTCTGCCTATCTATATATCTATCTATGTATCTATCTATCATATATATGCACATATCTGCATATCTATGCATATTTTTCCTGAATCTTTTGAGATTTAGTTGCAGAGATCATACTTATTTACCCTTAAATGCTTCAAAATCTATTTCCTTAAGAACAGGAATGTTCTCTTACAGAATTATGAAATTCAGGAAGTTTAACATTGACAGAATACTATTACCCAATACATGGTCCAAATTTAAAATTTGTCAGTTGTCCCAGTTATGCCAAAATGTCCTGTCCCTCCCCTTCTGACCTCCAGGATCTAATCGGAGATCACATATTGCACTGAATTGTCATCCACTTCAATCTCCTTTAATCTTTGTCTTTCATGACATCTACATTTTTGAAGATGCCAGTTTTGCAAATGTTCCTTAATTTGAGTTTTTTTTTGATGATTAGATTCAGGTTATGTGTTTTGGGCATAATTAGAACTTTAGACTTACAATACTATTGTTGTAATTCCTGCCTCAAAAGAAAAAAAATGCATTGAAGAGTTATTATACCCATCCCACAGACTCCCATTGCTTCAAAAACAGCTAGTCGAAAGGAACTAATTTGAGAAACTAATTCACATGGAGGTATTAGTGGTTCCACATTATCCTTCTAATTCAATAAACCTGCTAGGAATCTCTGTATTTAAAAAGTGAATTTATGAATCCAAAGGAATGATGCAAATTTTTCTAAGTCACAAAAGCATATTCTTCCCTCCCCCAAATAAGCCTTTTGCACTCCTAGGCCTATACTTTTAATAGCAGGTGTGGGCTGCTTCTCATATTCTATACATGTTCCAGGGTGAGGAATAATGCAATTTTACCTAGAGCTATGTTGAAAGGCCCTTACTCTGAAACACTGTAGGAGTAGCCTGCCTTCTATAATTAATGCAGTGATTAATGCATCGAAGCTGTTCATCCATCATTAGTTTGTCTTAGTTTACCTGAGGCTGGCATATTACTTAGCAAGTCCTTCAAGGACTAGATTTCAGAACGATTAAATTTTGAATTGCAAAAGTTCTAACATTTGGGAAGAGAAAGCCCAGTCAAAGGTAGGTTAGTTTTTGGCAGTTGCTGGCACTATGAGGACACTGAGTACCTAGGTGAGTGGTGAGCATGCCGGAATAAAGGAGGAGAGTCAGAAGGGGAGGTGGGTTTCAAATACAAACCTTTATCTGTCTTCAAGTTTGCCTGAAGCTGGCCCTTTTCTGGTATGTCCCCATCAACCAAAAAAAAGAGAGCAGGTAGGGTTTATTTCAAAATATAGTTTTGTTTTGTTTTTCTGAAGAGACTTTCAAGTAGGTTTTTATTGAAGCCTGTAAATTTGAAGCAAAAATCTATTCTTAAAATGAATATTTTCTAGAATGTGAATTAAATAGTTTTTTTCTTTTTTGATCATTTTAATAAAGCAAAGAAACATAGCATGATGATTTTATCTCTCTTTCCTTTTTTAGGGCAACCATTCCCAAAGTCCTTTCATGTCTTCATCCTGATTTTTTTTTTTCTGTTTTTGTAGCAGCAGCAGCAACAGCAACTTTTGCATGTAGATCTTGGGAGGAAAAAGTGCAAACCACTGACCACATATGCAGAACTAAAGTTCTTATGTTACAGGCAAGATAAGTGGCATAAACAGGAAGATGTGTTTTACAGAGTGGCCAAAACAAATAACCAATCAATGCAATCTGTGGGATTTGTTTCTCATATTGCACCCTGAGAATACAAGGTTCCAAGAGTTGAGTGAACTTATCTCTGTGGAGTTCTAGAGGTACCAGAATATTCTTGTAGCAGTTTAATCAGGCATTTTGAACCTGGAATTACGTTAAAAGTTTGAGAGGAAGTATATTATTTTAGCCAGCATCTATGTAATGATAACGGGAAACAGTGAGAAAATTATCAAATTAATTTGCATCAGTTGAAGTCAACATTAAAGTAAATTTAGATACTATAGTTTAAAAGTAATTATTTGGGGCTGGGCGCAGTGACTCATGCCTGTAATCCCAGCACTCTGGGAGGCCGAGGTGGGTGGATCACCTGAGGTCAGGAGTTCGAGACCAGCCTGGCCAACATGGTGAAACCCCATCTCTACTAAAAATACAAAAAATTGGCCAGGCTTGGTAGCGAGCACCTATAATCCCAGCTACTTGGGAGGCTGAGGCAAGAGAATTGCTTGAACCCGGGAGGCAGAGGTTGCAGTGAGCCGAGACAGCACCACTAAACTCCAGCCTGGGTAACAAGAGTGAAATTCTGTCTCCAAGAAAATAATAATAATTATTATTATTTGGGTTAGACAAGTCAGTTTATATCTTTAAAGTATTAGCTACAGTCAGACTCCTCATAACTTTTTAATTGCTTTAAGCTTTATAATTTCTTTTAAAGTTTACTTTGTCAATGCACCTTGCTCTGTATGTTTTCCAATGAGTATAAAAACGGTGTCATCAGTTTCTTCGTGTGGTTTATAATGATCTCAATTTATTTAAATCCTGTTTAATTTAGAGGAGGAGATGGATTCTCTCAGCATCTTAGTATGGATAGGAATTACTAGAGCCACCCATTTAAAGATTTTATTTGCATAAATATCCTGTGACCATAAGAGGTTGAGGATAAAAATAACGTGGTTATTGTCCAATTTTGCAACCATCAATAACCTATGATCCAATATCTTCACTGCTGACAAAGAGAACAGTTTCTAGTCAGTGATGTTTAGGATACTTAATCTTCAAATCCAATAGTTTTAGTTTCGAAAGATAAAACAGAAATCTTTTTGTTGCTTTTTTCTGAAGGATAGGCTTTTTTTTGCTTCAGTATGTTTGGGTTTCTCTTCCCTCTCAGCTTTCCTCAGATGAGCTTCCTCTCTGGAGTCTTCTTCTGGGGAAATACCTATAAGTAAGGTAACGGTGTGGCCAATAAAATGGCTGGAATGGAAAACGGTGGTTACACCTTGAAGGGACGAAAGGTCTGTTTGGAAACCTAAAATGGATTCTGGGCCTTCGTGGAAAAAAATGGAAGGGACACCTGGGTGTCTTTGTGATGGGCTGGGCCCTTGTGACCGGACTCCTCGGGGCAGGTGGAGGGGTGAGTGTAAAGATCTGGCAGTCGGTAGCGTCCGCATTATTTTGTGAATCTCCAGGAGGCGTAAATACCTCTTCTTGTCCTGTGGAGAGGAAAACGCAAGTCAGGAAACAGGTCTGGTAACAGAAGCAGAAGAGTGGTTTAGAGTGGTGGCAGAGGAGAAAGATGGGAAGAGAGAATTAGAGAAATCTCAATGTATATTTGAAAGAACTGCCAACGTTCAATGAAATGAGACACAGACACACTGGATGACCCAGCATTGCCACTGTGGGGAATTTACCCAAGAGAAATGAATGATTATGTCTATAAAAAGACTTGTTCGGGGTGTTCACAGTAGCCTTATTCATAATAGCCTAAATGGAAACAATCTAAGTGTCCATCAACAGAAGAATGCATGAAGAAACTGTGTATATTCATACAATGAAATAGTACTCAGCGATAAAAAGGAAGAACTACTAATACCCACAACATGGATACATCCCATGAATGTTGAGCAATAGAAGTTAGACACAGAAATGTACATACTGTACGACTCCCTTTATATGAAGTTCAAAAACAAGCAAAACTAATCTATAGTTAAGAAAAAGTCAAAATAATAATTCAGCTTAGGGAAAGGATAGGTATTTTTTAGCAGAAAGTGTAGCCAGGGACCACTCTTTAGAAATGTTTCATATCTTGATCTGGGTGGTTGTTACATAGATATGGTTATCTATATATCTACATGTATACACACACAGGTGTACCTACACATATATAATTTGTATATAAACAGATATATATGTACATACATATGTTTATACACATACACACATTTATATGTACCCATATGTAAAATGTAATCAAGCCTTACCTTTAAGATGTGCGGATTTTGGCCGGGCGCTGTGGCTCATGCCTGTAATCCCAGAACTTTGGGAGGCCGAGGCTGGCAGATCACGAGGTCAGGAGATCGAGACCATCCTGGCTAACATGGTGAAACCCCGTCTCTACTAAAAATACAAAAAAATTAGCCAGGTGTGGTGGCAGGCGCCTGTAGTCCCAGCTACTCGGGAGGCTGAGGCAGGAGAATGGCGTGAACCCGGGAGGCAGAGCTTGCAGTGAGCCGAAGATCGTGCCACTGCACACCAGCCTGGCTGACAGAGCGAGACTCTGTCTCAAAAAAAAAAAAAAAAAAAAAAAAAAAAAAAAAAAAAGATGTGTGGATTTTATTGCATGTAAATTATAACTAAATAAAGAAAATTCAGCTGAAAAAAAGAACTTAATTAATGTTAAGAAAATAAAAATAACTGTTCAAAAGTTCTGCTTCAACTGCCCAAGCAGTGAAATAATTTCCTAGGGGAAGGGAGGGACCATCTACAAGCAGCAGGAGAAAGAGCACTGAGAACCAGGATACAATTACTTTTTGAGAAGAAATTTGGATCAAACCCAAGTGTCATAGTCTTCCTTGGCTGTGTCATTGAATCAAATTGGCTACAAAAAAGTAATCTTTTCTTTAGAAAATTGTTCCTTCACTCCCTTAGAGGCTTACATATACAGCCTGGAAAGGGCTGCCAGTGTGAATGATGATAAAATGAACTTCCCTTGTAATCCCAGCACTTTGGGAGGCCGAGGTGGGCGGATCACCTGAGGTCAGTAGTTCGAGACCAGCCTGACCAACATGGAGAAACCCTGTCTCTACTAAAAATACAAAAATTAGCCGGGCGTGGTGGTGCATGCCTGTAATCCCAGCTACTCGGGAGGCTGAGGCAGGAGAATTGCTTGAACCCGGGAGGTGGAGGTTGCGGTGAGCCGAGATTGCGCCATTGCACTCCAGCCTGGGCAACGAGAGCAAAACTCCGTCTCAAAAAAAAAAAAAAAAAGAACTTCCCACAGGAAGTTGAGAGTGCTGAGGCACTTATAAAGGACTAGATTCCCCTCTCATTTGGGACAGTTGAATTCAGGTTTCTTGGCTGTATTGGATACGCTTGTTACTTGCCTATGTCCACAGTCCCTCATACATATATTCTGTTTCATCGACGAACCCTGGAAATGTCAGTTGTCAGTCCTACGCACCTTCTGGCTATGGCTGATTGGACCACTGATAGACACTCAACTCATTCACTGTCTGGTCAGTGACCAATCAGATTCTCACTTAAGAATTGAGCCACAGTGGAAGACGTCAGTGGAAGGTGTAGGGCAGGGGCTGGAGTGTCAGGTTTTGTCCTGTGGAATGTTGAGAATGCAGAGAAGCCAGTCTGCACATAGAAGCAGCAAAATAGGGAAGGCTTCCGGGACAGAGGAAGAGACCAGAGCCTTGTGGTAACAGAGTGATGTTGGGAGCAGCAGCCTTGGTGTGTGTGTGTTTCTTTTTTTTCGACGGAGTCTCCATCTGTTCCCCAGGCTTGAGTGCAGTGGTGAGATCTCGGCTCACTGCAGCCTCCACCTCCTGGGTTCAAGTGATTCTCCTGCCTCAGCCTCTTGAGTAGCTGGGATTACAGGTGCCCGCCACCACGCCTAGCTAATTTTTGTATTTTTAGTAGAGATGGGGTTTCCCCATGTTGGCCAGGCTGGTCTCAAACTCCTGACCTCAAGTGATCCACTTGCCTTGGGCCTCTCAAAGTGCTGGTGTTATAGGCGTGAGCCACCATGGCCGGCCAGTTTTTGGCTTTTCAGGGAGCCCTAGCTATTCTTAAGTTTCTTGGAGATATCCTTATAATAATCAATCTACCTCCAGCTCTACTTGTTTCTAAAGCTAGCTTGAATGGGTGTCTGTTCCTTGAACAAAATACCAACCCCTTCTCCCACAGCTACTCAGGGTACATTGAAATTCTAAAACTGAAACTAGATTGAGACACTTTAAACTGCAGAAAACGACCAAATCCCACATTAGTAGCTTTTTTCCTGCTAAGTTCTGAACCTTACAGGAAGAAGACATTCTGCCAAGAATCTAGTCGCTAGGAGAGAAGCTAGTCTCGTTTTTTTTTTTTTTTTTTTTTGAGATTGAGTTTCGCTCTGTTGCCCAGGCTGGAGTGCAGTGGCGCGATCTCGGCTCACTGCAAGCTCCGCCTCCCGGGTTCACGCCATTCTCCTGCCTCAGCCTCCCGAGTAGCCGGGACTACAGGCGCGCGCCACCACGCCCGGCTAATTCTTTTTTTAAAATACTTTTAGTAGAGACGAGGTTTCACCGTGTTAGCCAGGCTGGTCTCGATCTCCTGACCTCGTGATCCGCCCGCCTCGGCCTCCCAAAGTGCTGGGATTACAGGCGTGGCCACCACGCCCGGCCAAGCTAGCCTCTCTTTTAAGCCCCATCTTGACATTTTGCTGTCAGCTCAGGCTTAACGAGGCCTTGAGCTCTGCCACTAGGTTAACTGTGCTCCAGCTGTTAAAAACCACCCACCCACCCGCCTCTTGTGCTCATTTCATTTCTAGAAACCTGAAGCTACTCTCTAAATCCTCCTCTAACAATTGGGTTTCAGAGCCTGCAAGGCAAGTTTTCTCTGACTCTGGGATGTCCAGTAGTGTTCAGTGCTCTCTTTTTCTGGGAATTTTCAAGGGTTCAAGATCAAGGTATAAGCTTGCTTCAATCACTTACCCAGGAATGTGGGCAGGACCCCATAAAACCACATTCTTCCAAACAAACTAGACCTATGGTGATCCTATCGGGTCGCTAGTTAGCTAGCACAAGTGTCCTAAAATGTGGGAACAATAGTGATTGGTTTGGGAACCTGTCACATCTTACAAAGTTAGGGCCACACATCTGAGAAAGTGGGTTGATGCCATTTATGGTCTGTGACTTCAGCTGATCTAACACTGCTCATTAATTCTTTTATCTTTGTTCTTCTCTGTTCCTTATCTTCTAAACCTTTGCTATCTTCTCAAATTTCCCTCAAAATTTTCATTCTTCATTCATCTGAAGAATTTGCTTTGAAACTCTCTCTACCTTTCTAAGTTGATTAATCAGCTTCATATTCCGGAGAGAAAGCTGAGGTAATCTGCCATGAACTTCTTTGGTTCCTACTCCTCTCTCTTTAAAGTCTGTACACCTACTGATTCCACTTCTCCCCCTATTTAATCCATTGGAATCTAACCCTGCCTCCTTCCCTCTCCAAAAACCACTTTGGCAAAAGTCATCAATTGTCCTGGGCTTCTGAAAAGGTGGTTGCAGATGCCCAGAGCACTCTTTGCCTGGCTAACTCCTGTTCAAGTCTCTCTCTCTCTCTCTTTTTGTCAGGGAGGCCTTTCCTACCCAGAGGCTTGGTTAAAACCCTTTGCAACATGCTTTCTTAGCACCCTGTGAGTCCACTTTCATCATACTCATCAGCTGTGTGATTATTATTCAGTGGCTATATGCCTGCTCCACTGAAAGATCTACGTGACCGTCTTGTAGACTGCTGCCTCCTCATCCCTAGCACGGTGCCTCCAGTACAATTGAATTGATTGAGAGAAATCTCAGTTTCTATAATTGCAAAGTTACCAAGTTCCTACTTCTCAGGAGTAGTGTGTTGAATAATAAGCAAATATTTCCCCGTATGTAACATACTGACATGCTATCAAAGGCACTGGATGTCAAAGATGAGAGCTCTTCTGCAAGCTTAATAAGACCAAAGTAGGTCAAATATTTAAATGTAGATTAAAAACATTTTGAGAGGCAGAATAGCAAAGTGTTTAAAAGGATAGGCTCTAGAGCCAGGCTTCCTGAGCTCTGCCATTTCATAACTGGGTGAACACAGATAGATTCCTTAACCTCTTTGAGTCTCATTTTCCTCCTTTGTAAAATGAAGAAAAGAATACTACCCATCTCATCATCTCTTTGTGAGTGTTACCGGAAATAAAATGTGTAAAGTGCTGAGAACATTGCTGGACATACAGTTCACACTTAATAAGTGTTAGCTACGGTTATTAATCTTGAATGTTATGGAAACATTCTGTTAGCCTGAGCACCATTTTCTTAGGCCCATAAAATTTGTGCATTAAAGATAGGGCTACTGGGGACACACGTTACTAGAATAGGACCTCGCCAATGACAGGGACTGTTGACTCTTGGTCACTGCCGGTGTCTCCAGCACCTAGAATAGTCCCTGGCTTATAGTGGTGCTCAGTAAATACTTGATGAGTTAAATGGTCAGGCCGACCTTGAATGTTCCTCTCTGTATATTTTGTGGAGTTCAGTGAGTATTTAATTTCAGTCGCAGAAAATCTGCAATAATAAATTATATTAAAAATTGGCTGGGCGTGGTGGCTTACACTTATAATCCCAGCACTTTGGGAGGCTGAGCCAGGCAGATTACTTAAGCTCAGGAGTTCAAGACCAGCCTGGCCAACATGGTGAAACCTCGTCTCTACTAAAAACACAAAAATTAGCCGGGCATGGTGGCAGACACTTGTAATCCCAGCTACTCTGGAGGCTGAGGCAGGAGAATCATCTGAACCCAGGAGGCGGAGGTTGCAGTGAGCTGAGATAGTGCCACTGCACACTCCAGCCTGGGCGACAGAGGGAGACCCTGTCTCAAACAAACATACAAACAAACAAACAAAAAAATTAGAGTATAATAGAAAAAACAAGGCAAAATATTGCTTGGAATTTGAATATCAGTTTTAAGGTGGTTTATTATAGTCTAGACATGAAATTCACAGCATACCAACAACTACTTTAAAAACAAGTACTTTTTTAAAAAAAGGTAATGATGAAAGACCTTTTTTTTTTTTTATAATTACCTATACTCTGTGGTTATTTGGGCAGACAAAGCTGGCTTGCAGTGAACTATACTGATTTTAAGAGAAGTCAGCTTTCTACTTAAAGTTTAAGTGTGCAGTTCTTCCCTTACATGGTGCATGGAGTCTTAGAAACTAATTCTCATGTGCTTTCAGACTTGAGCCAGAAAGAATAAGTTCTATGATTGATTTACTCACAATAACTGCAAAACTCAATTTATTTTGTAGACTCAAAGAATGACTATCTTGGTCAAATCTCTAATTTCACAGATAAAATATCAGAGCCCAGAAAGTATCAGACAGGCCCCTTTCAATTCTATGCTGTGAGTCAAGTTGTTTCAACAGGTACAGGTTACTACATTAGGGGCTCTGGCAAACGCAGAGATGATTAAGATTAAGAGCCTGAGCTCAAGGAGTGGGCAGATGCTATGAAGCCAGGGATCTGCAGCAGAGAGCAGATGCCATACGTGCCGTAGGTGATGCACAAATAGCTGTAAGAATTCAAAGGTGTCAGAAAGAGAAACTGCAATTTTAAAATTATTATGTCTTAACAAAGACTTTGTCAAGGCAAAATCATAGTGGCATTTAAATGTTGTGCCTTAAAGCGGAACTGCAACAAACAGAGGTGAAAGCAAGTGGAGGGAGCAGCTGTGGTTGCTGCCGTGCATCAGTGAGAAGAGGATGAGTATGGAGATCCACACATGACCTTGTCGGGCAGACCCAGGGTGTGTGTGAACGAGCGATGAACTGGAAGCAGGGGCTGCTGGGATAGAATGAAGCTACATTTGAAGGACTTCGAGGGATTGTAGGGAAAAGTGAGCCAAATTCGGAAATCAAATCTGGTGTTTCAATGGGTGTTTTGTTTTTTGAGACAGAGTTTCACTCTTGTTCCCCAGGCTGGAGTGCAATGGCACGATCTTGGCTCATGGCAACCTCCACCTCCTGGGTTCAAGCGATTCTCCTGCCTCAGCCTCCCGAGTAGCTGGGATTACAGGCATGCACCACCACACCTGGCTAATTTTGTATTTTTTGTAGAGATGGGGTTTCTCCATGTTGGTCAGGCTGGTTTTGAACTCCCGACCTCAGGTGATCTGCCCACCTCGGCCTCCCAAAATGCTGGGATTACAGGTGTGAGCCACTGTACCCAGCCTCAGTGGGTGTTTTTAAGATGTGAATAAAATAAATCTCTAATCTCATTATAACTTGTTTAGCTATGTGTTTACAAAGCCTCCTGAAGAGCGGTTCACTTTTTGCAGAGAAAGTGGCAGGTGGCTAGTTTTGTTTTATGATGCTTCTTTTAGATGTCACTTTTAGTAGGTGAGGCTTGGGGGCCTTGCCTTGGGATATGGGGGCAGGTTTTGTTCATAATCTATGCCCTGTCCCCTGATTGCCAGAGTGTGTGCAGAGGTTGGATCAGGGGGTTTCTGAGTGTTCCACAACCAGCTCTTATGTCTCTCCCCTCCTCCTGTCTATTGTGAGCTCTGAGGGATGGGAACGGGGAATCTGTCTGGGGATGAGCAGGGTTTGGCTGAGCCCCTGCAAAGCCCCCTACCCAAGACATGTGAAAGGGGTGAAGTGCTCTGTTTGACTCCTAGGTCCATCTTCCGTAAACAGCATCTAGTTTTGGAATTAAAATAAACTGAAGAAAAGGTTAGATCTAGGCTCCCCAAGATTTCCTCCCCTTGTATTTCCCTCTTTTCATCCCTTCCCCAGCCTTTTCTTTCCTTTTCCTAGGGGTTTGCAAACCAATTGTAAGGCTCAGGACACATTTTGTAGTGGGAACAAAGAAAGAGAATAGGAACAGTTGAGAAATGGAATCTAATAAAATCCTAAAGAAAGAAACCTGTGCCCACCTCTGTGGCACCAAAATGCAGCTCAATAGATGTGATTAATTAAAGCAATGAACAAAGACTAAATACCCACCATGTGCAAATTAATATGCTGCTGGAGATAGAAAGTGGACAGTGCTGTAATTCAAAGTGGAATTGTTAGCTTTGTAACCATAATAACTAGTATTTGTACAGTGTTTTTAGCTTGAAGAGTTTTTCACAGATGATAGCTCATTTGGTCCTTGCAAACCCCATAACGATGGATATTGTTAATGTTGTCACTTCACATATGAGGAATCTGATACTCAGAGATTTTAAGTGTGTCTAAAGTCACAGAGCTATTGCTGAGACGAGGACCAAGGTCTTCAGGTGACAAAATCCAACTTCCTTCTCTTTAACCACACAGGCTGATGGAAGCTGAGGTAAATATTTCCAATTTATGGGAACGTATAATCATGGAGCCAGTTTTGTCTTTTCCTACAACTTATTAATTAGTGGACCCACAGTAGAATAAAAGCAAAACCCTTACCTTCTGCCACAGTTACCACCAACCAGCATACCAGTAACCAGTAGGAGAAGCAGTGTCTGCGAGCCATGGCTTCTACTGAGCAGTCACTGCGTTGAACCTGATGTTGCTTTAAAGGGGAGCTGGTGAGTCACCAGCAGCCTGATTCAGGTAATTTGCATTTGCACAGTGGACCACAGAGATCAGGGCTTGCGGTGTGAGGGTAAGAAATCAGCAAGGAAATACCAGACAGTATTTGTCAACCAGAAGCTTCTTGGAATGACAGCCAGATATCAATCATCTCCCCCCAGAGGGGGATTTTGGACAACCGCACCTTCACCATCCTTCTAATCTCTCAAATCTTCTCCCATGTTAGTGCCTTTTAGTTGTGTATATCAGTCTTCCTCTGCAAGAGAAATAAGCTGTCCAGAAATATGCAACAGTGCTTCTCTCTGTGCAGCTTACCTACTTAAAAAGCGAAACAAGAGGGAGAGGGCATTACCCGGAGGCTTCCTGACCCCGGTGGTTTGCAGTGGAGAGTTGGGGATCATTCTTAGGCCCCCAACCAGGGTTTATGCTGCTTCTCTGCTCTGCTTTTGTCCAGGAGGTGAGGGCAGCAGAATCAGAAAGTGATCTTCCCTAGTGGTCATGATGGTCACTGTCTAAACAAACATAAACATTGGGAGAGTAACTTAGTGAGTCGTCCTTTCACGGCTCCTCCTGATTCACCATATTGCATATAAAATGGACATGACATGTCTATGTCCAGTTGGTTTCCTGAGAGAAAGACTTCATCAGCTGCTGGATATATGAGAGGGGATTGTCACAGGTGATTAAGAACATGGACCTTGGAGTCAGGTAAAATTCCAGTCTTTGTTCCTTTTCTTACTAGCTGAGTGACTGTGGTGAGTCCCTGAGACTTGCTGAAGCCTCAGGGGCCTCACCTGTAAAATGGGACTTGTGGTACTACCCTCAGAGGAATTTGTGAATTAAGGAGATGCTTTTAAAAAAAATTTTTTTTAAATTTCAATCTTTTGGGGTACGAGTGGTTTTGGGTTACATGGATGGACTCTATGGTGGCGAACTCTGAGATTTTAGTGCACTCGTCACCCGAGCAGTGTACACTGCACCCAATATGTAGTCTTTTATCCCTCACCTCCTTCCCAACCTCCCCCACCCCTAGCCTCTAAAGTCCATTATATCATTCTGTATGTCTTTGTGTCCTCATAGCTCAGCTCCCACGTATAAGTGAGAACATACGATATTTGGTTTTCCATTCCTGAGTTACTTAACTTGGAATAATGGCCTCCAGCTCCATCCAAGTTGCTGCAAAAGACATTATTTCATTTTTTTATGGCTGAGTAGTATTCCATGGTGTATTTCTACCACATTTTCTTTATCCACTCGTTGGTCGATGGCCACTTAGTTGGTTTCATATCAAGGAGATAATTGACATACAGCTCCAACCACAGTGCCTGGCCTGTGAAAGGGAGTGTTTGTGATTGTCATTAAATTATAATAATCCCAACTGATAATTTATTCTCTTAGGAGGCTGTACTTGCCAAATCAGTTAATCACTGGAAAGACCTCCACTTTAAGCAGAACATTTTCCTGGGTATCATGGAAAAAAAAAAAAAAAAAAAAAAAGAACAAACTAAACATGGTCCCTGTCTTTGAAGGACTGACAATCTAACAAGAGAGGCTGTGCAAACTGAAAGTCTAAATGAATAAGGATGCAAACACTCACAGATAGAAAATGGAAAGTTCCTCAGGCTTGATGTTAGTCCTAGGCAAACTTCCAGAACAGATAATCAGATGGATGATTTGTCAGCAGTTTGAAAAGGAATCAGGAAACATCCAGGACAAATTGAGTTCCTTAGACTACCCATTCATTCAATAATTCTGTATTGACTTTTATTTATTCAGTGTCAGACACTGGTCAAGGTGCTGGGGCTAAAGATAAGATTCCTGCTCTCATGGAACTTATAGTTTAGGAGACATTAAAAATTAACTCAGGAATAACAATAAAGCGTTTTGAGTGCTAAGAGAGGGGAAGGACTGAAGGCTATGGGAGAACGAAGCAGACAAACACAGTCTGTAATTTTACATCAACGGGTCAGTATCACATATGCTACTTTGTCCCCTGCATTGTAAATACACCACAATGCCAATAGAATTAGATTCACATAATCACTTCAGCCACTGCCTGGTGTTTCATTTTATAGATTTACTGTAATTTATTTAACCAAACTTTTAACTGATGGACATTTCTATTACTTCTTCTGATTCTCTTTCTTTTTTGTTTTGGAGTGCTAATGAGCTTTCATCTTAAATGTTGATGAAAATAAATAACAAAAGCAAAATAACTTATTTTTTCATTCAAATCTGTTGTTCTGAAGTTTATAAAATAAAGGAACAAAATTTTAAAAGGAATACATTTTTTTTTCTTTTGAGATGGAGTGTCATTCTGTTGCCCAGGCTGGAGTGCAGTGGCACCATTTGGCTCACGGCAACCTCTGCTTCCTGGGCTCAAGCAATTCTCTTGCTTCAGCCTCCCGAGTAGCTGGGATTACAGGGCTACTCAGGAGGCTGAGGCATGAGGGTGTGCCACCACACCCAGCTAATTTTTTTGTATTTTTGGTAGAGACGGGATTTCACCATTTTGGCTAGGCTGGTCTCGAATGCCTGACCTCAGGTGATCTGCCCACCTCGACCTCCCAAAATGCTGGGATTACAGGTGTGTGCCACCGCGCCTGGCCAAGGAACACAATTTAAAAAAATTTTATCAAATTCTTATCCAGCAGAAAATTCCAACATTTCTTTGTTATTAGTGTATAGAATAACTAAGTCTCGGCATATCTTATGTCTTTGTATGTTATATATACAGTGGAGCCAAGTGTTTCCCAACATGTAAAATCAATGAAACTGTTGTGAAGTTATCAGATTCATTTGCCAAAAATCCTCATACCTTAAAAATATGAAAATATTTCTGAAAGCTTATTTCAAATGCAGTAGTTTTGGTAAAAATATCTTTTTAGTCATATACTTTAATTATCCACAAATCATTTAGTTGCAGACTGATCAATGAGACTCTAATGTGTATGTTTCCCAATGTCAAGAAGGCTATAAATGGCTTTGAGTCACAGTTGTTAATCCAGTGTGTTAAGGGGAAGAGCCCATGTACATAGGCCAGTTTGTGTTAGGTCTTTTTCTCACAATGAGAAATTATGAGGTATTGAGAGGAGTTAACATTTCTTTCCTCAAGACTGAAAGACATTAAGTGGTAAGATTGAGAGTCAGAACTGAGATTTTTCTGATTCCAAAATTTATGTTTTTTCTTCTAATTAAATATACAGTCATATGCTGTATAATGACTTCTTGTCAATGACAGATTGCATATATGACAGTGGTTCCATAAGATTATAATGGAACTGAAAAATTCCTATTGCCTAGTGACTTTGTAGATGCCATAAAGTCATAGCACAATACATTACTCACATGTTTGTGCTGATGATCCTGGTATAAACAAACCTGCTGCACTGCTAGACATGAAAAAAGTATAGCACTTAAAGTTATGCATAGTACATACTTGGTAATGATAAATGACTACATTACTGGTTTATGCATTTACTATACTATAGTTTTCATTGTTACTTAAGGCTGTACTCCTTCTATTTACAAAAAATAAGTCTGTTCTAAAATAGCTTCAGGCAGGTCCTTCAGGAAGTATTCCAGAAGAAGGCATGGTTATCATAGCAGATGGCAGCTCTATGCATGTTATTGCCCCTGAAGATCTTCCAGTGGAACAAGATGTGGAGGTGGAAGACAGTGACAGTGATGATCCTGACCCCGTGTAGGTCTAGGCTAATGTATATGTTTGTGTCTTAGTTTTTAATAAAAAAGTTTAAAAAGTAAAAAAAAAATTAAAATTTTAGAAATAGAATAAAACTTATAGAATAAGAATACAAAGAAAGTATGTTTATACTACTGTACAATGTGTTTGTATTTTAAGGTAAGTGTTATTACAAAAGGTCAAAAGGTTAAAAATTTTTAATTTTGGCCGGGCGCGGTGGCTCACGCCTGTAATCCCAGCACTTTGGGAGGCCGAGGCAGGCGGATCACGAGGCCAGGAGATCGAGACCATCCTGGCTAACATGGTGAAAACCCATCTCTATTAAGAATACAAAAAAATTAGCCAGGCGTGGTGGTGGGCGCCTGTAGTCCCGGCTACCGAGGAGGCTGAGGCAGAAGAAAGGCATGAATCCGGGAGGCGGAGCTTGCAGTGAGCCGAGATCAGGCCACTGCATTCCAGCCTGGGTGACAGAGTAAGACTCCGTCTCAAAAAAAAAAAAAAAAAAAAAAAATTAAATTAATTAAATAAATAAAATTTATTTATTTTTTCAGACAGAGTTTCACTCTTTTGCCCAGGCTGGAGTGCAATGGTGCAATCTCGGGTCAACACTGCAACTTCCACCTCCTGGGTTCAAGCAATTCTCCTGCCTCAGCCTCCGGAGTAGCTGAGATTATAGGCATGCAACACCATGCCCAGCTAATTTTTGTATTTTTAGTAGAGACGGGGTTACACCATGTTAGTCAGAATGGTCTCGAACTCCTGACCTCAGATGATCCACCTGCCTCGGCCTCCCAAAGTGTTGAGATTACAGACGTGAATCACCGCACCTGGCCAAATTTAATGTTTTTAATTTAAAGATTTATAAGTAAAATAGTTATAGTAAGATAAGGTTAATTTATTATTGAAGAAAATATTTCCATAAATTTAGTATAGCCTAAGTGTGCAGTGTTTATAAAGTCTTTAGGAGTGTAATGTCCTTCACGTTCACACACCACTCATTCACTCACTGCCCCACCCAGAGCAACTTCCCATCCTGCAAGCTCCATTTGTGGTAAGTACCCTACAGGTGTATTTTTTTTAATCGTTTATATGGTATTTTTACTCTTCCTTTTCTATGTTTGGATACACAAACACTTATCATTGTGTTACAACTGCCTACAGTATTCAGTACAGTAACATGCTCTACAGGTTTGTAGCCTAAGAATAATAGGCCTATACCATATAGCCAAAGTGCGTAGTAGGCTATACCAACTATGTTTGTGTAATGCCTACTATGATGTTGGCACAATGATGAAATTGCCTAATGATGCATTTCTTAGAGAATATCCATTTTGTTAAGCAATTCATGACTGAATTCCCTTTGTTTTAAACATCCATTCATTCATTCATTCATTTACTCAGTAATTCATTAGTGTATTTATGTTCTTATTTTAATGGACTCTTTTGTTTTATATCCTTCTTCTTAACAACCTGTGAGAAAGGAGGCTCTTTCCTGCCAGCACCACTTAGGAAAGTCCCAGGGAAGATCTCTGGTTGGCCAAGCCTAGGTCTTGTGCCTGGGGAGGGCGGGAAGTGTCCATTACTAGAGGAAGTGTGGGGACAGCAGAGACTGGGCCACTGGGGATGTCAGCCGAGGAGCTACCCTGATTCGTGTGTAGTGCACCTATAGCGTCAAGTGGCCTTCCCACACAATCAATCCCAGTATGTGTGTGTTACTCAGAATGCCGGATAACAGGTATAGGACAATCAACGTTCCTGTGAAAAAGAAAAGAGAACAACTGTTTATGACCCAAAGCCTGGGATTGCTATAAACAATACTTACACTGTAATGCTTCCTTGTGGGGAGAATGTTAGGAAATAGTTGTCAGTGACTGTAGGATCTTGTGGTTCAGTGACATCTTGGCATGTGAACTTGTCCCAACCAATTGTCAACCAAGACGGAATTATTCATTGGTTTGTCTGTTCAGTGTCTGTATCTAAGTCACCTTGAAAAAAAGTTTCCAATATATGTAGTGGGACATATTGTCACAGAAGGAATACTAATCTAAGAAGGCTTTGTTGAACTTCTTAGGGGAAAGTTCCTGATGTCCTCCACAACAGGTTTGGAGCCCAGAGAAGCAGGGCCTCTGGCACCTGGGAGCGTAGCTTAGGGAGTTGAACTTTGCTGTCTCATCACTTAGTTCATTCAACAACTATTTATTGGGTGCCCACTATCTGCCAGACACTATTCCAGGGGCTTGGGATACAGGTAAAAATATCTGTTCCAGTGGAGTTAACATTCTAGTGTGGTAGAGACAAAGAATAAACAATAAATACAACACATGAGTAAGTTAGTTAATATGTTAGAATATTCCAAAATAGGTGCTATAAAAAAATAAAAGATGATCAGGGTAAGGAATGTGGGGGAGTTGGAATTTTAATTAGAAGATGATATTCTGGTGGGCACCGTGGCTCATGCCTGTAGTCCCAGCACTTTGGGTGGCTGAGGTGGGCAGATCATTTGATCCCAGGAATTAGGAGTTCGAGATTGGCCTGGGCAACATGAGAAAACACTATCTTTGCAGAAAATACAAAAATTATCCAGGTGTGGTGGCCCATACCTGTAGTTCCAGCTACTTGGGAGGCTGAGGTGGAAGGATCACTTGAGCCTGGGAGGTCGAGGCTACAGTGAGCTGATGGTACCACTGCACATCAGCCTGGGTGACAGAGTAAGACCCTGTCTCAAAAAAAAAAAAAAAGAAAAAAATAGGTATTCCAACAAGGACTTGAGGGAGGTGGGTAAATTATCCATGTGCATATCTGGAGGAAGAATGTATCAGGCAGAGAGTACAACCAGTGCCAAGGTCCTGAGACCAAAGTAGGCTTGGGATGTAACGTAGGACAGCAGGGAGACTGTTGTACCTGAGGCTGAGTGAGTCAGGGGGACAGGCATAGAAGAGGTCAAGGATTAATGGGAGGGGAGATCATTATTCTGAGTGAAATGGGAGCCACTGGAGGGTTTTTCAGAGAGGTGTAACATGATCTTACATTTAAAAAGGACAACTCTGATCACTATGTAGAGATGGCTGGGGGCAGGACGGTCCAGTTATAGCAGACAGCTGCAATAGTTTTGTGGGGAGATGATGTGACTCAGATTGGGATGGTAGTGGTGGAGGTGTGAGAAATGGGGAAATTCAGGACATATTTTGAAGGTAGAATTGACAGGATTTCCTGATGAACTGGAAAAGGGTGTGAGAGACACTGGGGAGTCATAGATAATACCATGGCTTTTGGTCTGAGCATTTGACCGCTGGAGTTAGGTGTGTTCAGATGACGAGATTACGGTTGAATTAAAAAAAAGTTATTATTTATTTATTTTTTTGAGACAGAGTTTTGCTCCGTTGCCCAGGCTGGAATGCAACGGCATGATCTGGGCTCACAGCAACCTCCGCCTCCTGGGTTCAAGCGATTCTCGTGCCTCAGCCTCCCGAGTAGCTGGGATTAAAGGCACGCGCCACCACACCCGGCTAACTTTTTTTTTTGTATTTTTAGTAGAGACAGGGTTTCACCATGTCAGCCAGGCTGGTTTCAAACTGCTAACCTCAGGTGATCCACCCGCCTCAGTCTCCCAAAGTGTTAGGATTACAGGTGTGAGCCACTGCGCCCGGTCCTATTTTTTTTTTTTTTTAATAAATAAAAAATTGGGAGAATAAAAATGTCTTGTTTTGGAAGATACCTAGACACTTTAATGAGTAAATACTAAGAAATTTTACAACAAGTTATTGAAAGAGTGTGTGGAGGGGGGCTGGGCACAGTGGTTCACGCCCGTGATCCCTGCACTTTGGGAGGCCCAGGAGTTTGAGACCAGCTTGAGTCACATGGCAAAACCCCGTCTCTTAAAAAAAAAAAAAAATAAAAATTAGCTAGGTGTGGTGGCGCTGGTAGTCTCAGCTACTTGGGAGGCTGAGGTGGGAGGATCGCTTGACCCTGTGGAGGTCGAGGCTACAGTGAGCCATGATTGTGCCACCACACTCCAGCCTGGGTGACAGAGACCCTGTCTCAAAAAAAAAAAAAAAAAAAAGCGTCTGTGGAAGGATGGATAAGGGGCGAGCGCTGTGGAATGTCAACAATGGGGAAGTGAGATTTCCACATCTGGGCATGAAGGCCTGGTTGGCAGTGTGCCAGGAGCCTTGTGTCCAGAGCAGCTTTGTTGGGGGAGAAAGGACGAGGTGAGCAGATGAGCCGGTGGGTAAGGCACAGTTTCTGTTGACCCACATGGGCTCTGCATTCTCTGGCTTGCCCTGTTTTACCACCTGTGACCTCCTATAATAGCAGGCCCTTGAATAACAAAGTTTTGTTATAAAGTTGATGAGGGGGAAAAAAAGTTGATTTCTGGCTCGGGCCGCTGTGTGTGTGGAGTCTGAGTGTTCCCCCCAGGTCTGCATGGGTCTTCTCTGGGTGCTCTGGTTTCCTCCCACTTTCCACAGCTGTGCAGGTTAGGTGAACCGGCGTGTCCACGTGGTCCCAGTGTGAGTGAGTCTTGCTGTGTAAAGGAGCTTGCCCTGTAATGGGATGGTGTCCTGGCCAGGGCTGGTTCCCACCTTGAACCCTGAGCTGTCAGGACAGGCTGCGGCCACCGGTAATCCTGAACTGGAATCATTGGGTGAATAAATAACTTACTCGTTTTTATTAATTTTTCTTAAGTGTATGTAGAGCTCACATTTATTTCAATGTTTAATATTAGAAGTGTTTTGGCTCTGATGTTTACTACTTTATGTAGTAAGGTTTGGTAGTATTTTTATGACCAGAAATATGCGGTAGAATCTTAACTCCTGTTTCTATCCATTAGCTTATGGTAAAATTGGTTTCTTTATAGTTATTTCGTTTAAAATCGTGGTTTCCAAGAAACTGCTATCAACGCTGTTAGTGAGAACTTAGACTGAAATTGTGTTTTGTGTATGCCCTCCCTCTCTGAACGTTGGGACCCTTGATGGCAAGAACAGAGTCTTTTAATTTTTTTTCAAATTTATTTTAAATTGTGGTAAAATATACGTAACATAAAATTGACCATTTTAACCACTTTTAAGTGTACAGAAGAACCAAATCTTGATTAGTTTTAGCCCCAGGGCTTGGCACAGTGACACTCAGCAAATAGTTGTGAAAGGCATGGAGGAGGAGGGAAGGGAGAAGGGTCTGCCCCTGTACCTGCATGTTGACGCACCTGGTTGTCCAGCAAGTCTGCGTCAGGGAAGGACTTGGGGGCAGGAGGTGGCTTTACCCAGGGGTCTTTAGCTCTCTTGGTTGTGCCCTGCTTTCTGGATTTGGGCTCAGGGCAATCTCATCTCTTCTTTTTTCTCCTGCTCACACCCTGCAATGATTAATTTGATGTGCCAACTTGGCTGGGCTTTAGTACCCAGATAGTTGGTCAAACATTATTCTGGATGTTTCTGGGAGGGTGTTTTGGGATGAGGTTTATATTGAAATCAGTGGGCTTTGAGTAAACGGATGGCCCTCTGTAATGTGGGTGGGCCTCATCTGATCAACTGAAGGCTGGAATGGAATCAAAGACTGAGCTTCCCTGAGTAAGAGGGAACTGTGCAGCAGACAGCTTTTGGACTGGAACTGCAGTATAGGCTCTTCTCTGAGTCTTCAGCCTGCCTGGCCTACCCTGTAGATTTTGGACTTGCCAGCCTCCGTAACTGCATGAGGTACTTCCTTAAACTAAACCTCTCCTCTCCATATACTCACCCTATTGGTTCTGTTTCTCTAGGGAATCCTAACACATGCCCATATTCTTTCTCTGTCATGCTTAAATGTGTTGCTTGACAGGTTTAGTGAATAAATACATAGGAAAAGATTTGAGAAATCAATTGCTTCTAAATAAGAGCTTGGGTGTTTATGGACAATGAAGGGGCATGGACAGTGCTCCTTGACTGGAGATGTGTGGGAGGACTAAGAATTTCAGGCTGCTGTGTGAGCACTGAACTGCCTCTAACACAGACACTTCAGAAAGGTGCTGGTGAAGAGAGCAATCCCTCCGTCTCAGGATGGAATGTCCTTCACCCAGAGGCTGAACATCGGGATTTTGGGGAGAATCTCATAGTGACTTCCCTGCTTCAGTCCCCCTCTTCTCAGTCTCTCTTTCCCTCTTTCCTGGTGGTTTGAACATGTGTTTGGAATTTCAGAGAGCTCAAACTGAAGACACTGGGTTTGGATACAACGAAAATGGTTTTTGCTAAGTAATTTGTTTCAGATGCTTAAATTGAGACCATCCTTCTGTATTAAGTGAGATGGAAGCTAGCAGCCTGAGAAGGAAAAAAACCCTAAAGATGAAACCTCTTAGGCCAGCAATGTCAGAAAGGCTAGGCTTTCTAGCTGTCCACACGCAGTTCTAGGGTGGGCCCGCAGAGCTGCCTCTCACACCCTCAAGGGCCCACTGGAGGTCTGTCTGAGGCTGGATCAGCTTCACCTGCTTCTTTTATCATTCAAGTTCTGCTCAGAGAAAGGCCCTGTCCTGCTGCTGGGCCTTGAGGAAGCCAAGGTGAGCTGCTGGTAAGTCCAATTAGGCTAGTCTCCCATCTGTGGTCACAACTGCGGACGCTGCCTGGGAGAGGCATTCTTCTCACAGAGCCACGGTGAGTAATCCGGGGAAGCTGCTATTTGGGCTGCCTCAGCCAGGATTATGTGTGTCAGGGAGGATGGGGAGTGGTGGGCACCCCTGAGTCAGGTTGAGGGAGGTCTAGGGCTGCTTGGGGTTCTCTGTCAGAAGCACCACAAAGGGACAGGTGCTCTTTTGGGGGATCTAAAGATTCTGCGGTTGGCACTGACTTGAAGGTGGCCTAGATGACTTCCTGCAAGGCTTGCTTAGGCATCTTCTGCTGGGATTTCTCCTAAAAGGGGGTTCAGGCACCTTAACCACACCTCTAGTTCCTTCAGTTTGCAGAGCAGGAGCCTGAGGCCTGGAGAAGGTTCCTAACCTCATCCTGGTGATTTAGCAACAGAATGGCAGTAACATCCCGGTGAGGGGCAGAGTAATGCCCACGTCAACAAGAGCCTGCATTCATCGATGGTTTGAAACAGAGTATTAAACCAGTGGGGTGAATCCGCGCTGTGCTCTCTGCCCTGCCATTGTTTAGCTGCAGGACCTTGGACCAGTCAGCTTCCCTGCCTCTCAATTTCCTCATCTATGTTATCATTTACTATATCCTAAGCATCACTGTTCTAAGAATTGGACATACATTAAGTCATGTAATTCTTAAAACAACCCAATGAGGTAGTTACTATTGTCATCCCCATTTTAGAGATGAGAAAACCGAGGCACAGAGAGGTTGTCCTGTGGCTAAGAAGTGGCAGAGCCATGCTATGAACCCAGGCAATTTGGCTCCAGAATTCTTGATTTTAATTTCTATAGTAGGTGTGCTCTTGAGACTCTGGCTGTTGTCCTATTGCAGTGAGAGCCCTGTGATAGTATCCTTAAAATTCACCCAGGTTCTGTAGGGCAAAACACTTGGTTAATTTTTTTTCAAGGTAAAATAAATAATGGAGTGGGAACCTACAGATTAAAAGAGACTTTAGAGACATATCAACCCATTACAATGTTTGGAGGGAGATTATTGTTAAATGTTTTTAGATGAAACAGTGATATATACCTTTGTCTAAAAAAAAAAACAGAGTCCTAGGCCAGATGTGGTGGTGGGGACTCACACCTGTAATTCTAGCACTTTGGGAGGCCGAGGTTGGGGGGTATCACTTGAAGCCAGAAGTTTGAGACCAGCCTGGCCAACATGGTGAAACTCCGTCTCTACCAAAAAATACAAAAATTAGCTGGGCATGGTGGTGCACTCCTGTAGTCCCAGCTGATCAGGAGGCTGAAGCATGAGAATCACTTGAACTTGGGAGGCAGAGGTTGTAGTGAGCCGAGATTGCGCCACTGCATTCCAGCCTGGGCGACGGAGTGATGAGCCGAGATTGCGCCACTGCACTCCAGCCTGGGTGATGGAGTGAGACTCTGTCTCTAAAAAACAAACAAAAATTAAAAAATAAAGTCCTTATCTTTTAGAGATACATGCTGAAATAGCTACAGATTATATGTTGTTTGGGATGTGCTTCAAAATAATCAGAGGAGGGGAGAGAGTGAGGGTGTGGATAAAACAAGACTGTCCATGTTTTATAACTGTTGAAGCTGGGTGATGGATGCATTAGAGTATATTATACTCTCTACTTTTGTTTGGAACTTTCCATTATAAAAAGTGTTCAAAAAATCACCCTATATAAATGTTTGGTTTATTCTGAGAAATGTCAAAATGTCACATGGACCTACCTCATGGCTAGTGGGAAGAGCAATAGTCCACAGGGAGGGAGTGGATGGGACACTGCTAAGAAGAGTCAGCTTCCAAGAATGTAATTTACTGGGGGCGACCCATAGTGCCTATATTGTCTATCATGGCCATAACAAGGATAGAATACTTCTATGCTGTTCCCCTTGTTCTGGTAAACAAATGTACACGAAGCGATTTACTAACAAAAAATCTTCACTCTGCAGCTATGCTCTACCACTACAGAGCCAGCCTACTCTCTTCTCTCTGCTCCACTGCCATTATTTTGGCTTGCCCAGCCCAGTACCTATCCAGTTCTTCTGAGGACTTAACCCTGAGTTCCCTCTGGAAAACCATCATTTCTCTACTCTCTTGGTTCCAGGAATCGGCTGTAATCTATGACTGCCAATCATAGCATAGCATTCCTATGGCCACAGATATTTATTTAGGGTTGAGTATTTGACTCAAGCCATTTCAATCAGACTCAGTCCGAACTAGTCCTGGGACTGTCATATGAATGACTGGAAAGGAGGCACACATTTTGTCTTTGGACTTGAAGTTGTGAGGAACATACCTACATGAAGGGAGAGGCTGCTTGATAAAGCAGAGTTGAGAGACTCCAGATTCTGAAAACATCATTTGAACTCCTAGATCCAGCTGTACCTGAAGCCATACACAGTATGCCACAAGTGGTTTGCTAAAACTGGTTCTAAAATATTACTAATATACTATAGTAGCAAATCACATAGAGAATGAAAATTCTTAAGCCTAGTATTAAAATGGAGGAAGAAGAGCTATTAATTTTTTATGCTCTTGTATTTGATTATAGACTAGAGATGTAGACATAGAGTAAAAAATTGTGTCAGTTCCAGTGGCTGAGTAAAGCATTAGCAGAGATCAGGACCAATCTTTTATCATTCCATGCATTCTTCCTGAGAGCTGAGAGAAACCAGGTGACTAGACAGACTCCTTTGCTGGTGAGACCTGTGGATATTTGAATGTTTTGCCTGTGTATGTGGTAAGGTGACTTCATCCTGAGTGTGCATCTGCCCTGTTTATGCTTGGCAGTAGCATCAGACAGATCCAGATTGTGGTAATGAGTAACTATGGGCTTTCCTCAGCTTCAGACACAAGATGAGTTCACATTTTATCCTTCAGCCTCTAAATGCCCCAACTGGAGCTTCCAAATGGAGTGACTGAAGTCTGGCCTTTAAGACATTGTGAATGTTCAGCAACAATTCAACAATGAGTGAATCAAAGTCTCTGGGTCTCCAGAATAAATAAAAAAAGACAAAACAAAACAAAACAAAAGTCTCTGGCTCTTGCATTGTAGATCAGAACAAACAACAACGTGACTTCATATAATGATATGAAGACATCGTTATACCAGCTGTGAAACCTTGGGCAAATTACCTAGCTTTTCTCTGTTTAATTTCCTCTTCTGTAAAATGAGAATAATAATAATAGTACCTACCTTATAGGGTTGTTGTGAAGTTAAATGAGTTAATAAAGTTTAAGTGCTTTGAATAAAGATTGGCACCTTATAAATGTTAGCTATGATGGTTACTGAGAAATAATTTTTTGCCTTGAACAAACATTTCCTCTTGAACATGGATATCTGAAACAAAACACAGGCAGAAATACGAGGATTTATGAAAATTGCGATCAGCTCTATTAGAGCATGCAATACTTCCCAGATATCAGTACTCTGAAGTCACGTTCTTTAGTTTTCTGAGGTATTGGGTCAGTTGGAAAGCTGTATTGTGAGGTTCTCAACAAGGGATGGAGGCAGTCATTTGTAGGGTTCTGCTGGTGACCAGTCACAGGCAAGCTAATTAAAATCTTTAAAACACACCTACCCAGACAGTGGTTTCTTAAATCTCAAATAGTTGGGCTGGCAGGGGTTTGGGAGATTTCTTTGAAATATGTAGGTGTCACGGGAAATACTAGTAATTCAAGACTTACATCCAACTTTAGCCAATGTCCCAGGGGGATGATGAAGGTAATGATAACAAGTAATACCTCATTTTTCAGAGATGAAATGGTTTTGATTTTCTTTTTTTTTTTTTTTGGAGACAGTCTTGCTCTGTTGCCCAGGCTGGAGTACAGTGGTGCAATCTTGGCTCACTGAAACCTCCGCCCCTCTGCGCTCAAGCGATTCTCCTGCCTCAGCCTCCTGAGTAGCTGTGATTACAGGTGCCTGCTACCATGCCCAGCTAATGTTTGTATTTTTAGTAGAGACGAGGTCTTGCCATGTTGGCCAGGCTGGTCTTGAACTCCTGACCTCAAGTGATCCACCTGCCTCGGCCTCCCAAAGTGCTGGATTACAGGCATGAGCCACTGTGCCCGGCTGGTTTTGATTTAAATTTGTAGAATGCTGTTATTATAATTTTCTTTTCCTCCCTTCTTTCCTTTTTTTATTCTCCTTTCCTCCCTCCCTTCATCTCTCTTTCTTTCATGTGCACTCTCTGTCTCTGTTCCCAGGAAGTATATAACCCCCTCTCTAGAAGTAACCACTTTAAAAGTTTGCATATATCTTTTCTTTCTTTTTCTATATACTTACACACACACACACACACGTACACACTTATAAATTGTTTTGTAGGTAGGTTTCAAAACATTTTATATAAGTGAGATACTATTTTGAGTTGTGCTTTATATTGTTTTTATCCATGTTAAGGTCTTGTTTTCCCATGGCGATAATATGGATTGATGTCTTTTTGAATTGGTGCTTATTGTTTCATTCCATGGGCACGCCACGGTTTTATTTATCCATTTACTGCTTGATGGGTATTTGGGTTGCCTTCTACTTTATGCTTTCATGAACAGTCCTCACGTAGCCCTCACGTGGCACATACAGAGCCCCTTTGCTATCAGGTACATTTAAAAATAACTTACTAAAATGGTTTTTAGTTTTAATATATAGAATACATTTGCATTTCATCCTAAAATTTACCAGTCTTTATGGTGTCCTGGTGAGTTTGATCCTTTGGATAGCCATGTCTTGTTTCTGGTTACACCATTTTCCCATGTGATTTTCAACAAAATATGTCCAGATGATGGTGATGGCCATAGAAACTTGAATTGTACATCTCAATAATCAAGACATTCCCTACTCTTAAGACCCATCTACAAGTGTTATAATAAGAGTGACAATCCAAAATTTTTTTACATCCTCAGGATTTCAAAGGTAATTTCTTTCAGCTGTGTAGCCTGGCAACATTTTATACCGTTATAAAATCTACCTGTTTAATAAGCACCAGTATCCTTATTTTTATTGAAATTTTATGTTGAGTACATTTTACTGGCAAGTCTGTAGCTGAATGCTTGTCTCCATAAGGTACTAATCACTAGTATCTGTGGTTAGCATCCTGCATAGCACATACACTTCACTCTTTATTTAATAAAACTCTTCTGTTTTAAAAAGCACAAGGCCCAAATCTGCAAATTCAGATGCGATATTACCTTTCAACTGCACAAGCTGTACCACAAGGATTTGAGAAGTTTATTATTGGACACAAATCTGTCAGGAACTCCTCTGCTGTTAACTGACCACAGAACATGGAGCTCAGGTGAGTTCAAGGATTATCTGTTTAGTAAGTGACTTGATGCTCTGAGACACTGCTACACAAAGTAGCTAGCCTATGAACTCTTTCTGACTGGTTCAGAATGAGAAAAAGCTCTTGTTCCAGAATGTAAATCAACATATGATTTCATTTACTAAGGAAGTCTTGCTCAGAAAACATTCTGACTGAAAAAAAAATTGACTGAGCTAAATGGTGTGCTTTGTGATGTAGTCGATCTACATTCTGCTCCAAGTGCCTTGATTTGTATACACTGATCTGGGAACATTCTAAGTAACACTGTCAAGATGTTTTATAAAGTTGAATGAACGGGTGAATGAACGAAACATATCTAAGATAGATTAAATGGCTTGTCAGTATTGGAGTGAGAGGATGAAGAGGAGGATGGTGATTGAAATTTTCCCTTTCAGTGATACAATGTTCCTTGCCTGCTTCTGAGCTGCCACAAGAGAGGGAAGATTATTTAAGGCACAAATAGCCTACCTGACCACTGTTGCCTGTCCACTTGCCATTCCCTATGAAATGCATTTCTCTCTTCTTGGTTTTTGTTCTTCTTCCTGTTCTTGTTTCCTTTTCCTGTGTTTCTGGGATGGGATGGAATTTAAAGAAGAAAGAAAAACAGTATGTGGATGGCTCATTGTATGGTCTACGTTTTATACGCAATGAAATAAAATTCTCACCACCAATGGGTAAGGTGCTATTGTCTACTTTGTAAGTGCTCAGAGAAGTTCAGCAAGTTGACCCACTTCCCATATATAATGAAGTGGGAGGCTGGGAACTTGAACCCAAGTCTGTTTGGTTCTCCCCAGCTGGTTTGGTCTCCTACTCTCACATCCCAGGAAGGTGCTTACATAATCCAGGTTCTGGGACAGCACTTTCAAAGTGCCCACACTGACAAACTTATGTTCTATTTTGTAATTTTGAAGCTCCATTAATTTCATAGTTTCAGTACCTTTAATTGCCACAGACCCTGCTATATTGCCCACTTATCTGTATTTGTGTTATGTACTTGTATGTCCCTGTAGGTTGTGAATGTCTTCACCTTATTCCTGTTGTTCTCTCACACTATCGTATGGGGCTTCGAAAGCAGTATATGTGATGGGTTATTACACTAAACATGTTAGTCTGTAAACTTCTTCATGTACCTGAGAAGACAGATATAAAATGATAGACCCAAACACTTAAACTGTAAGATGCTGTGGTATAAATCTATTGAGCCATGTGTGTTGTCCAATAAAGTAGTGCACAATGAGGAGAAAGGCATTAGGCTGAATTCAAGAACCCATTGTCTTGAGATATATGGCTGCGCTCCCTGGTATCCTTGGAGTATGGCTTTTGGAACTTCATACTAGCATGTAATCTCCTTGAAGACAGGAAGTGAATCTATGTTGTTTCTCCAATGCCTAGCATATTCCCTGGCATACAGTTCCTGGCTCCTGAAAAATACGTGTGGAAATGTTGAATGTGCTAGGTTCTCAGCATTTCTTCCTCAACTGCTGTGACTAGTGCTCATCATGGACCCTCATGTGGTTCTTAGATTACAAATTGTAGGTCTTCTGCTCTTGGGTTTCCTGGTCCTAATCTAACATTTTCTTCATTCGTTTCAATCTCTGTCAGCTCCTGCTCTGCATCAGGCACAATTCTATGATCAGAAGCACAGCTAGCAGGAAGGTGAGGGATGTGGCAGCAGGGGGACAGTTGTTTATCTTGAGCGTGTTCTCCAAAGGGAGCTGTGACAGTTGTTAAAATATTAAATGAAGTTTGAGGCAGCAATGTGAAAGTAAAATAATGAGACCTATGAAGAGGGTAGTCAACAAGAGGCATCAATGGCTCAGGCGCTACCCAGGCTTGCCTTTAGGTTTTAGAAACCTGGCTTCCCTCTTCCCATTAGTCCAGTGGAAGAGCCAATTATACCTCTCATCTTCCTAGGGATAGAATATTTTTTCTTTTGGCCAGAGAATCAGGCCCTCTACAAGTAGAATTTATCTTCTCAGGCACAAGCCAGGCTTCCCTGGCCCACTCCAATGACATTCTTATGTTCCTGTTTTTTTTTTTTTTCACAATACTGAGGCTGTGAAACACAGGGCTTCCTAGTTCAGCTCACCTTTATCTGTTTTTGAGACTCTCAAATCCTACAATCTGGGTCATGTACGTAATTTCCTGTTTTGGGGCACTGTATGTGCATGTCCAGAGTCCCTTGCTAGAGGAATATGACACTTTTTTGAGTGTTTCAGGATATTTTTTAATGCTGTCTCCCAAACTGGGCTGTCTACTCATGTGCCATGCCCTACCTGGCTCATCATAACAAGCTAGAACCAGTCTTTCCTTTAGATTCTCTCTTTGCCTCTTGTTATATTTGACTAACTTTGCAGTTGCTCCCACTTCTTGGCTTGGTTCTCTGATATTGTCTTAGCCTAGTATTAGTTTCCTATTGCCATTGTAACAAATTACCACAAACTTAGTGGAGTAAAACACAACACAAATTATCTTACAGTTGTTCTGGAGGTCCAAAATCTAAAATGGGACAGCAGGGCTGCATTCCCTCTGGATGCTCTCTGGGAGACTTCATTTCCTTCCCTTTTCCAGCTTCTAGAGGCTGTCCACATTCCTTAGCTCATGGCTATTCATTACCACAACCTTTGCTTCCATAGTCACATCTCCTTGGACGCTGAGTCTCCTGCCTGTCTCTTGTAAGGACTCAGGTGGAGAATCCAGGATAATCTTTCCATATTTTAGATCCTTAATTTAATCAAATCTGCAAGCTCTCTTTCACCATGTAAGAAACGTGATCCTATTAGTCCATTTTCACACTGCTGATAGAGACATACCTGAGACTGGGCAATTTACCAAAGAAAGTAGTTTAATTGGACTCACAGTTCCACGTGGCGGGGGAGGCCTCACAATCATGGCAGAATGCAAGGAGAAGAAAGTCGCATCTTAAGAGGATGGTGGCAGGCAAAGAGAGAGAATGAGAGCCAAGCAAAATGGGTTTCCCCTTATCAAACCATCAGATCTTTTGAGACTTATTCACTACCATGAGAACAGTATGGGGGAAACCGCTCTCATGATTCAATTATCTCCCACCGGGCCCCTCCCACAACACATGGGAATTATGGGAGTACAATTCAATATGAGATTTGGGTGGGGACACTGAGCCAAACCATATTAGTGATATTCACATGTTCTAGGGATTAGGACCTGGACATCTTTGCAGGGGGCATTATTCTTTCACAGTCCCCGTTAGTTTTGGTGCCCCCCCTAGACTTCTGAGACCACGTTCTTCTCCCTGCAGGACTGTTTTCAGCTCTGCCCATACTCATATTTTTTTTTGACAACACTTGTATAAATTTATCTATTTCTTCTTGCAGTTCTGCAAGTTTTTGCATATGAATTTTAAGCTTTCTAATTAGGTGCATAAATATTAGGACCGTATATCCTCTTAATTGACCCTTTCATCATTGTGAAATAACCCTCGTTTTCCCTGTTTATATACTTTGCTCTGAAATCGATTTTGTCTATTATTACCCCAACTTTCTTTTGATTAGTGTTATCACAGGGATATCTTTTTCTATCCTTTAACCTACTGGATTCTTTGTATTTAAACTAGCTGTGGCCAGGCGCAGTGGCTCACACCTGTAATCCCGGCACTTTGGGAGGCCGAGGTGGGCAGATTGCGGGAGGCTGAGGTGGGCAGACTGCGTGAGCCCAGGAGTTCAAGACCAGCCTGGGCAACATGGTGAAACCTTGTCTCTACAAAAAATACAAAAATTAGCTAGGCACGGTGGTGCACACCTGTAGTCCCAGGTGGGAGGATCGCTTGAGCCCAGTAGGTGGAGGTTGCAGTGAGACGTGATCATGCCACTGCACCAGTCTGGGAGACAGAGTGAGACCCTGTTTCAATAACTAACTAAATAAAATAAATTAAAAATGAAGTAACTGTCTGTATCCAGCATATGATTGGGCTTCTCTCTTTTTTTTTAGATGGAGTTTTGCTCTTGTTGCCCAGGCTGCAGTGCAATGGCATGATCTCAGCTCACCGCAACCTCCACCTCCCAGGTTCAAGCAATTTTCCTGCCTCAGCCTCCTGAGTAGCTGGGATTACAGGCATGCACCACCACACCTGGCTAATTTTGTATTTTTAGTGGAGATGGGGTTTCTCCATGTTGGTCAGGCTGGTCTTGAACTCCCGACCTCAGGTGATCTGCCTGCCTTGGCCTCCCAAAGTGCTGGGATTACAGGCGTGAACCACTGTGCCCAGTCTGGGTTTTACTTTTTAATCCAGTCTCACAATCCCTGCCTTTTAATTGGGATTTTTAGATCACTTGTGTTTAATATAATTATTGATATATGCATTTTAGAAAAACCCCTCTGGAGATAGACTGGAAACAGGGAGACCAAAGACTTTCTTGCAGTAATCAAGTTAACAAATAACAGCTTAAACCAAGGAAATGGTCCTAGAGATTGAGTGGGAAAGGGGCTGTATCTGAGAGATGTTAAGGGTATACAATCAATAGAAGTGGAGCTAGGACAGAGAAATTTGTCAGTTATGATGTAGGTACCCAGGTAGATTGCAATGTACAGAAAGGCATTGTTTTAGATGTCTGGATAGTTTTGCAGACTGCCTGGTATTATACCAGCTCATGTCTGATTTTCCATCTTTACCCAGTTTATGCTGAATCTAATGCAAAAGGTACAAAAAGTACCTTAGTACTTAGTACTAAGTAAGCACCATAGTAAGTTAACATATTATATTAACTATGGTTAATACCATAGTAAATCTCCAACATACAACAGATCTTTGGGAAATGCATCTTTTCATAACTAGAGGGACCTGCTAGAGCAGTTTTACTCTGAAGTTGGTTGACATATCACTAATTCTTCATTACTGAGAGCATTAGATTACAGAGTAACTCTGGGTTAGAGCAGAATAGAAAGAAGTGAGTGCTAGGGAGTTCAAAAAGATGATGAACTCTGAGGTACAGAACTCCCTTCAGGAACAAAGGACTTATTCCTCCAGCTGCTGGGAGTGCTCCTGAAGACAGACCTCAGCCTTCTTCAGAAATTGCTTCAGTTGAACTGCCTTGCTGGATGGCATGCCCTCTTCATGGGGCAGCCCTCATCAAATAACTGGTGATACAAGTGTATAAAGGCATAGCTTCTGATATGGTTTGGCTCTGTGTCCCCACCTAAATTTCATCTTGTAGTTCCCCATGTGTTGTGGGAGGGACCCAGTTGGAGATGAATGAACCATGGGGGCAGGTCTTTCCTGTGCTGTTCTCATGATAGTGAATGGGTCTCATGAGATCTGATAGTTTCTTAAAAAACAGGAGTTTCTCATACGTGTGCATGTGTCTTTATAGCAGCCTGATTTATAATCCTTTGGGTATATACCCAGTAATGGGATGGCTGGGTCAAATGGTATTTCTAGTTCTAGATCCCTGAGGAATCACCACACTGACTTCCACAATGGTTGAACTAGTTGACAGTCCCACCAACAGTGTTCCTATTTCTCCACAACCTCTCCAGCACCTGTCGTTTCCTGACTTTTTAATGATCGCCCTTCTAACTGGTGTGAGATGGTATATCATTGTGGTTTTGATTTGCATTTCTCTGATGGCCAGTGATGATGAGCATTTTTTTCATGTGTCTGTTGGCTGCATAAATGTCTTCTTTTGAGAAGTGTCTGTTCATATCCTTTGCCCACTTGTTGATGGGGTTGTTTTTTTCTTGTAAATTTATTTGAGTTCTTTGTAGATTCTGGATATTAGCCCTTTGTCAGATGAGTAGATTGCAAAAATTTTCTCCCATTCTGTAGGTTGCCTGTTCACTCTGATGGTAGTTTCTTTTGCTGTGCAGAAGCTCTTTAGTTTCATTAGATCCAATTTGTCAATTTTGGCTTCTGTTGCCATTGCTTTTGGTGATTTAGACATGAAGTCCTTGCCCATGCCTACGTCCTGAATGGTATTGCCTAGGTTTTCTTCTAGGGTTTTTATGGTTTTAGGTCTAATATTTAAGTCTTTAATCCATCTTGAATTAATTTTTGTATAAGGTGTCAGGAAGGGATCCAGTTTCAGCTTTCTACATATGACTAGCCAGTTTTCCCAGCACCATTTGTTAAATAGGGAAACCTTTCCCCATTTCTTGTTTTTGTCAGGTTTGTCAAAGGTCAGATGGTTGTAGATGTGTGGTATTATTTCTGAGGGCTCTGTTCTGTTCCATTGTATGTTTATTGCAGCACTATTCACAATAGCAAAGACTTGGAACCAACCCAAATGTCCAACAATGATAGACTGGATTAAGAAAATGTGGCACATATACACCATAGAATACTATGCAGCCATGAAAAAGGATGAGTTCATGTCCTTTGTAGGGACATGGATGAAGCTGGAAACCATCATTCTCAGCAAACTATTGCAAGGACAAAAAACCAAACACTGCATGTTCTCACTCATAGGTGGGAATTGAACAATGAGAACACCTGGACACAGGAAGGGGAACATCACACACTGGGGCCTGTTGTGCGGTGGGGGGAGGGGGAGGGATAGCATTAGGATATATACATAATGTAAATGACGAGTTAATGGATGCAGCACACCAACATGGCACATGTATACATATGTAAGGAACCTGCATGTTGTGCACATGTACCCTAGAACTTAAAGTATAATAAAAAAAAATTTGAAAAAAAGGAAAAAAACAACAACAGGAGTTTCTCTGCACAAGCTCTTTTTGCCTGCTGCCATCCATGTAAGATGTGACTTGCTCCTCCTTGCCTTCCACCATGATTGTGAGGCCTCCCCAGCCATGTGGAACTGTAAATCCATTTAACTTCTTTCTTTTGTAAATTGCCCAGTCTCGGGTATGTCTTTATCAGCATTGTGAAAATGGACTAATACAGCAAATTGGTACCGAGAGTGGGGTGCTGATGGAAAGATACCTGAAAATGTGGAAGCAAGCTTGGAACTGGGTAACAGGCAGAGGTTGGAACAGTTTAGAGGGCTCAGAAGAAGATACGAAAATGTGGGAAAGTTTGGAACTCCCTAGAGACTTGTTGAATGGCTTTGACTAAAATGCTGGTAACAATATGGACAATGAAATCCAGGCTGAGGTGGTCTCAGATGGAGATGAGGAACTTGTTGGGAACTGGAGCAAAGGTGACTCTTGATATGTTTTAGTAAAGAAACTGGCAGCATTTTGCCCCTGCCCTAGAGATCTGTGGAACTTTGTACTTGAGAGAGATGATTTAGGGTATCTGGTGGAAGCAATTTCTAAGCGGCAAAGCATTCAAGAGGTGACTTGGGTACTGTTAAAGGCATTCAGTTTTATAAGGAAAGGAGAGCATAAAAGTTCAGAAAATTTGCAGCCCAACTTGCAATAAAAAGAAAATCCCATTTTCTGAAGAGAAATTCAAGCCGGCTGCAGAAACTTGCGTAAGTAATGAGGAGCTGAATGTTAATCCCCAAGACAATGGGGAAAATGTCTCCAGGGCATGTCAGCGATCTTCAAGGCAGCCCCTTCCATCACAGGTCTGGAGGCCTAGGAGGAAAGTATGGTTTTGTGGGCCAGGCCCAGGGTCCCCGTGTTGTGTGCAGCCCAGGGACTTGGTGCCCTGTGTCCCAGCCACTCCAGCCATGGCTGAAAGGAGCCAACATACACCTTGGGCCGTGGCTTCAGAGGGTGCAAGTCTCAAGCCTTGGCAGCTTCCATATGATGTTGAGCCTTTGAGTGCACAGAAGTCAAGAACTGAGGTTTGGGCATCTCCGCCTAAATTTCAGATGTATGGAAATGCCTGGATGCCCAGGCAGAAGTTTGTTGTAGGGCCAGGGTCCTCATGGAGAACCTCTGCTAGGGCAGTGCAGAAGGGAAATGTGGAGTTGGAACCCCCACACAGAGTCCCTACTGGGCACTGCCTAGTGGAGCTGTGAGAAGAGGACCAACGTCCTCCAGACCCTAGAATGGTAGATCCACCAACAGCTTGCACTGTGAGCCTGGAAAAGTCACAGACATTCAATGCCAGCCCATAAAGGCAGCCAGGAGGGAGGCTGTACCCTGCAAAGCCACAGGGAAGGAGCTGCCCAAGACTATAGAAACCTATGCCTTGCATTAGCATTACCTGAATGTGAGACATGGAGTCAAAGGAGATAATTTTGAAGCTTAAGATTTGCCTGCCCTGCTGGACTTCAGACTTGCATGGGGCCTGTAGCCTCTTTGTTTTGGCCAATTTCTCCCATTTGAATGGCTGTATTTACCTAATGCCTGTACCTCATTGTATCTAGGAAGTAACTAACTTGCTTTTGATTTTATAGGCTCATAGGCGGAAGGGAATTGCCCTGTCTCAGATGAGACTTTGGGCTGTGGACTTTTGAGTTAATGCTGAAATGAATTGAGACTTTGGGGGACTGTTGGAAAGGCATGATTGGTTTTGAAATGTGAAGATATGAGATTTGGGAGGGGCTGGGGCGGAATGACACGGTTTGGCTCTGTGTCCCCACCCAAATCTCATCTTGTAGCTCCCATAATTCCCATGTGTTGTGGGAGGGACCCAGTGGGAGAGACCCAGTGGGAGATGACTGAATCATGAGGGCGGGTCTTTCCTATGCCATTCTGGTAATAGTGAATGGGTCTCATGAGATCCGATGATTTGAAAGAAAAAAAAAAAAAAGGGGAGTTTCTCTGCAGAAGCTCTTTTTGCCTGCTGTCATCCATGTAAGATGTGACTTGCTCCTCCTTGCCTTCTGCCATGATTATGAGGCCTCCCCAGCCATGTGGAACTATAAGTCCATTAAACTTCTTTCTTTTATAAAGTGCTCAGTCTCGGGTATGTCTTTATCAGCAGTGTGAAAACGGATTAATATAGCTTCTTTGCCCTAATGCAGGACAAGTTTGGAAGGTCATCTGTGTTGAGGTCCCCAAGAGCACACACACAAGTTTCATGATTCACTAGAAGGACTCACAGAATTCGGCATATAGTTGTACTCAAGGCTATGATTATAGCAAAAGGATACAAAGAAGAAGCACAATCAGCTAAGGGAAAAGGCACATGGTACAAAGTCTAGAGGAAACCAGGTGTAGCTTCTGAGTCCTTCCTCAGTGTAATCACACAGGACACATTTAAGTCTTATAGTGCTGAACTGTGACAATACACGTTGCCTACCAGGGAAGCTCATTAAAGATTCAATGTTCAAGGTTTTATTTGGGGCTGGTCATACAGCCCCCCTTTACCTAACAGATTCTCAAATCCAGACTCCCAGAAGGAAACTGGGTGTTCTGCATAAACCACCTTGTCTGTACAAACAGTCTGGCACAGTGAGCTACTCTTATCAGTTAGGGAATGGTGGAATCCAAATTTCCAGATGCCACTCAAGAACTAACCTTGCAACCTTGCAGGCCTTTCCAAGGATAGCAGTTTCATGCCTATGTTAACTCATTTTTGTGTATGACCCCAGTTTCAGAGTTTTCTGTGGGGCTCACTGAGGTGCTACCTTTACAGACATACAAGATAGACATGAATGGTGGCCTCCACCATCTCTCTTCATTTAATTCACCATTCTGTCCCCTGCAAAATTTAGACAGACCCTGCAAGATGACAGTTGGACTAAGGACAATTCAACCAACGAGTAGCCCTGATTACAGCTGCTATGCATGATGTGGCATCTTTGTTAGAGCAGATTAACATGTCTATGGGTAGATGCCATACAACCATTGGGTGCATGGTTTTCCATCCCTATTAAAGGATCAGAAACAGCTCACATTCACATGGAAAAAACCACAGTATACATATATGGTCTTGTCCCCAAGGTTATGTTAATGATCTTGCTTCTGTTATAATTGAAAGAAGTCTAGACCAGACAGACATTCTATGGAAAATCACTTAGTTCACTCTACTGATGGATTATGTTAATCCAATGGGAGGACTAGTTAATTGGAGGCCTTGATAAAGCACATGTGCTCCAGATGGTGAGATAAAACTTATGAAATTCAGGGGCCTATAAACATCAGTAAAATTTTGGGGGAGAAGTATCCAGTGATCTGCGGCATGCTAAGACATCCCCTCTAAAGTAAGAGACAAGTTATTTACAACCTGTATGTTCCACTATGAAGAAGAAAGCACAATGCCTGACAGGCCTCTTTGGGTTCTAAAGGCAGCATATTTCACACCTAGGAATGCTGCTCTCCTTTATATACTGGGTGACATCATATCTGACAGTTTTGAGTGAGGGCCAATGCAGAAAAGGGCTCTATGATAGGTCCATATTGTGCTGAAAGCTGGCCTGCTACGTGGGTCATCTAACCTTGCAGACCCCATATTAGAGTTATTGGTGGAGGAGAAATTAGAGCAAAACCTCTACGTACGTACTCTTCATTTTTCTCTGCCCATTTTATTGAATAACTCAATGTATAAAACCACATAACACATTACTGGATAAAATGTTTTATTTTTCAAATAAATTATAATAGATTTTCTCTCTCTCAATTATTTCTGTAATAATTTTATCTTTTTATTAAAACTAAATATATATTAAATACATTTCACCTTTTCTCAAATTACAGACTATGGTATAACTGTAATTGTCATTAGCAACCAAAGTCTATTTCCAGAAATTTAAACTTGATATAGAGAAAAATTCCACGTATCAAGCGCTTCGTACCTGACTTGGTGCTGAGGTTGAACTGTTGTATTAATGTGTTCCTGGCTCTAGAGGCCACTCCTAGCTTTTAAAGCAAAGTGGAACCCTTAGGGTCAGGCTTGGCTGCCAGAGAAATTTCTGGAGGGGGATGACTTGGGTTTTGCTTTACACAGGCCAGTTCTTTCCTGGGCTAGGGTGGAATCTCTGGGAACAGAGGACTGAGATACATACTGTGTTTAGGCATTTGTTTGGAGCAGCAGGGAGGACCCTATTTTTAATCTCACATTTCTATCAGTAATTGCTTCCCTATTAGAACAAAGAGAAAATGGGCAGCTCTGGGTCCTTAATGATACCAATATTTTGCACACAGTTATTTATTTCTCAGTTATACTAGGTCCAGTGAAAAAGAAGTGCTGAGTCTACTATGAACACAAGTAGTAAAAGTGACTGTGGCAATTTTGATAGTGGCAGACTGGGATTTTACTCTTGGAAAGGTCTTCCAGGTTTGGTGTATTCTAAGCAGCCAGTAGAGTGCTAGAATTTAGACATACTGTGTTTGGATCTACCCTCTTACTTACTCCATTGTCTTACTTTAATTTATATATTCACAAATAGGGTGAGGGAAAAATAATCTCTATTGAAAACATCTCCATAAAACCTAAGATCATACCCAAACTTTCCATTAGGGTGGCCATTTATGAACTCAAAATTAAGTAACTAAAATAAATAATGGGTAATTAATGAAAGTAGTTTTGTTTTTTTGAGATGGAGTCTTGCTCTGTTGCTCAGGCTGGAGTGCAACGGCGTGATCTTGGCTCACTGCAATCTCCGCCTCCCGGGTTCAAGCAATTCTCCTGCCTCAGTCTCCCAAGTAGCTGGGATTACAGGCACGTGCCACCATGCCCGGCTAATTTTTTTTTGTATTTTTAGCAGAGATGGGGTTTCACCATCTTGGCCAGGCTGGTTTTGAACCCCTGACCTCAAGTGATCTGCCTGCCTTGGCCTCCCAAAGTGCTAGGATTACAGGTATGAGCCACCACCCGGCCTTTTTTTTTTTTAACTACCTTTTTACTACTTTTTTTTCAGATTGTAAAAAGATATGGCCTCAGTGATTTCCTCTTAGCATAACGCTGATCTCGCAGATGTGGGTTAAATCCCATTTAGAGGGAAGGTTTGGAATCCTACATAAAAGTATAACATGCATTAAAACAGAAAATTCTTAAATACAAAAAATTCAAGTGACCATATCTTAACTAATATTAATGTAACAAAAATAAAATTACAATAAACAACTGAGCACAAAATGCAATTCAATTTTTGTTACTACAATGAAATGGCTGATACTCAAATTCTAACTGCTACAACATGGACTTCTGAATGAGGTCCATGTATGTACATGTGCTTCTAAGTAGAGTGTTGCTTTGGCAAATGGTTTTTATTCTAACCCACAGTATTTATGACTCTCAATTTCAGTTGTTTTCGGTAAGGAATTATGACAAAAGCTAAATTTATGAGACTTGGATCAATTAGGAAATAACAAGGAATTATTCTTTTGCATATTCAGTAAGAAGCTATTCTAAAGCTGCTGTTTTAATTACCCGTTTCTCTAAATAAAAGCCTTTGGACAATAATCTACTCCCCTAATTAAAATATTCTAATCCTTTCTCTCCAATTCCTATTTCAACTGGAAGAGCCACAGTTATTAATTTCTAATGGTTTCTTTTGTATTTTGTATTTTTTTAAAATGTCAGCAATACTACTTTACATATAAAATACAAAGCAGTATTAAAAGTATAGAGCTAGTACTGCCATTCAGATTTTAAACATATACCTTTATGACGAAATAGTCATGAAGCAAAGTGTTCAGATCTGTCAGAGCAACCAACCATTTAAAAATCAGATCTACGATCCTTTTTGTCTTTTTAAAGCTATTCTGGTTTACATCAAAGTGCTCCTAGTGAGGAGGAATGATGTACTGTACTGAAAACTGAGACTTCATGAGGGGTCTTCTTAAATTGGCTGTGAACAATTTTAAAAGCCCACAGATCTTCACTATGTGTTATTCTCAGAGTCAATACCACAGGAAGCCTTGTAAAAAGATCCTTTGGTACTACTGATAGCTAAAGCACCTTGGATTGAATCCAAGATGGATATGCATTACAAATGAATTGTGCTTTGTAGTAAAATGCATTTAAAGTAAAATTCAATGTACTTACCATAAAGCACATGTAAGTAAAGGTACTCCTTTGAAGCCAAATATCTGGAGAAGTGTCCAATTCCTTCTACTATAGCTTAATGTGACTAATTTGACATCATTTCTTTAGCTCTGTGAAATTTTCTTGAGATTTTAACATCTTACAATAGTGACCTGGCACTAGTGTAGGTCTATAAAACATAATTGTCACAAGACACAAATACATAATTACCACAAATTTCTGCATATTTTCAAAAAAGTCTTTGGATAACAACTATAATGCATAATGCTCCAGAGAATCCAAAGCAGCACTTTAAATGATGGATATTATTTAGTGATGGTAAATGAGATTTTATAAAAATTTGTACCAATGACAATTTTAGGTGGAACGTAACATGAAATTATTTCATGAAATATAGTCCTGTTCTATGCTCTCCTGACAACAGTCCCAACAGAAAGTGTCCAGTCTATTTGCTGTTTCTTGGCTGATCAGACATTCATCCTTTAATTCCCTGATTGTCTTCCTCAATGATTTCTGAAAACGTTTTTCTCGGTCTAAAACATTCCGTAGACTTTCCTTTGTATCCTCTAGCTCGCCGATCACATGATCTAATTTATGCTTAAGTTTCTTTGGACTGTCCATTACACTGTAGCTATGTTCCTAAAAACATAAACACCAAGTTATTAAATCAGACAGATATGTAGTTGGATAAAAGCTTATAACTAGGTCTAAGCTGTTTCTTCATTTACAATGCCTGGAGAACATTTTTAAGTTGGTGATAGAGGTTTAAGGAACACAGGAAGAAGATGGGGGTAGAAGCAATATTTAGGGTGCTAAGGGCATCCCTCCTTTTACTAAGGCCAGGCATACACAAAGACTGCAGAATATTATGGATGGGAAGCACTTATCTCTATGAATAGCATGACACTTGCAATGACTCTACAGCTTTTGTTCATTCAATGTGGTGCTGCTAAGTTTAATTTTTACCTATCAAACAAATTTAAATTAAGTTTTTAACTGGGTTACTTTATTGGATGGCTATTGCATTTGATAAGGTGTGACAGGAAAAGAGTACTGCAGCAGGTTCTCAGGCTCGGTGTTGGGGATTTAGAGAGGACTCTGGTCTTGGAATTTTCAAGAGACAACTCCTCTTGGTGTTTATTATGGTTATGCTTAAATTTGCTGGGTATGCTTTTATTCCTTTTTCATTTGAGAATAGGGAAAATAACACTGACATAGCTTATAAAGGTACTATAAAATAATTTTGAAAAGCTATTATTTAATATTAAAATTAGTAAAGAAGACTTTTATTTCCAGCCAAGATGAAGTAACAGAGACTGGATTGACCCCTACCTCCAAGAACCAACACAAGGCTAAAAGACAGAAAAAAATAGCTCTTAAGATAATGGATATTTGGCAAGGACAGCAGCTATTGTGGACAGATGGGAAGCAAAGAGGTGAGACCTAAGACTGCTCCAGCTAACTGCCTGAGAGTTTCTCGGCCTCAGGGCAAGGAAGGGAAACCCAGGCAGAGCTTAGCAGACTGAGCTGAGGAGGTAGTGCAAAACATCCAGGGAGACCAAAGTAGCTACAGTTCACAGGACAAAGTACTAGACAGGTGAGAGCTGCACAGAAAAAACTCAAGATCTTCAGAGGCTCCCCTTTGAGTATTCCATGGAGTAAGATCAGCACATGCACATGAGGAAACTACTCAAGGCTGAGGAAAGAACAACCAGAGATTAGGAGTGCCCTGTGCTCACAGGGTATAGCCACTATTCCCACTAGCCAGACTTGAAAATGTCAAGATTCATGGACACTAAGTATGCAAAACAGTCTTGTCAAACAAAGTAAAATCTGAAAGGGTCGAACAGTTTCTAACTAACTGTACTCCAGAACAATGCTCAAGAAAACATGATACAAAAATATCTAGCATCTGGCAAATTAAAACCCAAAATTCATGGCATGCAAAATTTACCAGGCATGCAAATAAGCAGGAAAACATTAGTCATAATAAGAGATAAATCAATCAATGGAAACCAAGCCGGAACTGACACAAATGTTAGAATTAGCAGACAATTAAGAAAGTTATTAAAATTGTATTCTATATATTCAAAAAGTTAAGTACATAAAATATATAAAAAAGACTCTAATAGAATATCTACAGATAACTGATGTGTGAGGTAAAAAAATACACTGGAGAGAATGGCAGTGTATTTTTTGAAGAAGAAAAGATTTCGTGAATGTAAAGTTACAGCAACAGGAACTATCCAGTATGGACTACAGAGAGAAAAGGAGATAGAAAAAAAATAAAGCATCAGTAACATGTTGCACAATTTCAGACAGCCTAATATACACATAATTAGAATTCCTGAAGGAGGGGAAAAATTGGGATAGAAAGAAATATTTGAAGAAATCATGGCCAAAATTTTTCCAAGTTTGATAAAAAGTATAAACTGCTAAATAAAAAAGCTCAACAAATCTTAATTACAAGAAATATGAAGAAAATGAAACCAAGGCATATCATCATCAGATTAGGCAAAAGCAGTAGAAAAAAACAAAAATTATTGTCCAGCACGGTGGCTCACGCCTGGCCCAGCACTTAGGGAGGCCGAGGCAGGGGGATCGCCTGAGCTTAGGAGTTTGAGACCAGCCTGGGCAACATGGAGAAATCTGGTCTCTACAAAAACAAACAAAAATTAGCTTGGCATGGTGGCACATGTCTGTAAGTCCCAGCTACTCAGGAGGCTGAGGTGGAGGGATTGCTTGAGCCTGGGAGGTTGACGCTGCAGTGAGTTGTGAGTGTGCCACTGCACTCTAGCATGGGTGACAGAGGGAAACCCTGTCTCCAAAAATAAATAAATAAAAAATTTAAAAAAAGAAAAATTCTTAAAAGCAAAGAAAAAAAGAAGTATTAGGTACAGAGAATAAAGGTGAGTATGACATTAATTAAATTTTTCATTAGAAATGGTGCATGTAAGAATACAGCAGGGCAACGTCTTAAAAAGTACCAAAAACAACTGCCCCCGCCCCCAAAACTGTTAACCTAGAATTTGATTACCTAGTGAAAATATCTTTCAAAAGTGAAGATTAAACTTTTTAAGCAACAGAAATACTGAAAGAATTCATCACCAGCATAGTTGCACTATAGGAAATGTTAAAGTAAGTCCTGTAGGCAAAATGATAACAGGTGGAAATATGGACTGACACAAAGGAATGAAAAGCCCTGGAAATGGCACCTATATGGATAATATCAATTTTTTTCTTATTATCTAAATCTCTTTAAAGAATAATTTACTGTTTAAACAAAAATAATAACAATAATGGTGTGGAGTCTATAGCATATGTAAAAGTGAAATGCATGACAGCAATAGCACAAAGATTGAGAAAGGAAAAACGAAAGTATACGACTATAAGATTTTTGTACATAAAGGGGAGTAATACCACTTTAACATAGCCTGTGATAAGTTAAAGATGCCATAAACTTAAACACAAACACACAGACCAATGGAACAGAAAAGAGAACTCAGAAACAAATCCACACACCTACAGCGAACTCACTTTTGACAAAGGTGCCAAGAACATAAACTGGGGAAAAGACAGTCTCTTCAATAAACGGTGCTGGTAAAACTGGATATCCATATGCAGAAAAACTAAACTAGACCCCTACTTCTTACAATATACAAAAATCAAATCAAAATGGATTAAAGAATTAAATCTAAGACCTCAAACTATGAAACGACTACAAGAAAACATTGGGGAAACTCTCCAGGACATTGGTCTGGGCTAAGATTTCTTTTCTTTTTTTTTTTTTTTTTTTTTGAGACAGGTTCTCACTTTGTTGCCCAGGCTGGAGTACAGTGAATGCGATCAAGCTCACTGCAGCCTTGATCTCCAGGGCTCAAGCGATCCTCCCACTCAGCCTCCTGAGCAGCTGGGTAGGCATATGCCACCACCCCCAGCTAATTTTTTTGTATTTTTGGTAAAGATGGGGTTTCACCATGTTTCCCAGGCTGGTCTCGAACTCCTGAGCTCAAGCAATCTATCCACCTTGGCCTCCCAAAGTGCTGGGATTACAGGCATGAGCCATCACACCCGGCCTAAAGATTTCTTGAGTAATATCCCACAAGCACAGGCAACCAAAGCAAAACGGACAAATGGGATCACATCAAGTTAAAAAGCTTCTGCACAGCAAAGGAAACAATCAACAAAGTGAAGAGACAACCCACAGAATGGGACAAAATGTTTGCAAACTATCCATCTGACAAGGGATTGATAACCAGAATATATAAGGGGCTCAAAAAACTCAACAGGAAAGAAATCTAAAAATTCGATTAAATACTGGGCAAAACATCTGAATACACATTTTTTCAAAAGAAGACATAGGAATGGCAAACAGGCATATGAAAAGGTACGCATTATCACTGATCATCAGAGAAATGCAAATCAAATCTACAATAAGAAAATATCTCATGCCAGTTAAAATGGCTTTTATACCTAAAACAGGCAACAACAAATGCTGGCAAGGATGTGGAGAAAAAGGAACCCTGTACACTGTCGGGGGAAATTAGTACAACCACTATGGAGAACAGTTTGGAAGTTCCTCAAAAAACTAAAATAGAGCTACTGTATGATCCAGCAATCCCACTGCTGGGTGTGGTATACACCCTTTCCTTTCCAAAGAAAGGAAACCAGTACATCAAAGGGATATCTGCACTCCCATGTTTGTTGCAGACTGTTCACAATAGCCGATATTTGGAAAAAACCTAAGTGTCCATCAACAGATGAATGGATAAAGAAAATGTGGTGCTTAAACACCATGGAGTACTATTAAGCCATTAAAAAAAATGAGATTTAGACATTTGTAACAACACAGATAGAAATGGAGAACTTTATGTTAAGTGAAATAAGCCAGGCAAAGAAAGACAAACATTACATATTCTCACTTATTTGCAGGATCTAAAAATCAAAACAACTGAACCCACAGGGACAGGACAGTAAAATGATGGTTACGAGAGATTGGGAAAGGTAGTAGGATGGGGGGGAGGTGGGGATGGTTAATGGGTACAGAAATATAGTTAGACAGACTAAGATCTAGTATTTGATAGTACAATGGGGTGACGATAGCCAACAATAATTTATTGTATATTTAAAAATAACTAAAAGTATAATTGGATTTTTTGTAACATAAAAGATAAATGCTTAATGTGATGGATACCCTATTTACCCTAATGTGATTATCATGCATTGTATACCTAAATAAATCTCATGTATCCTATAAATATACATACCTACTATGTACCCACAAAAATAGAAAAAATTATTATAAACCTGTATTAATCAAGATAGTAAAAGAGATCTAGATTCCATGCCTGCCTCTAACATGAATAAGCAATGAGATGAATAAATAAATGCAAGCTTGAATACTCTGTATGTGTATGACTGAGAAAACTTAAATAGCTATTTTTTATTACATATTTCATACGGAAATTATAGCAGTTAGAGGGAAGAATTATTTCCTTGGTAGAAATATCCTTGCAAAAGCCTTCTTCAGTGAACTACATATGTAACCAAAGGATTAACTACCTCTATTTTGCTGTTGCATATATATAAATTACAATGACTCTAGGAAGCAATATTATTTGTAGATATTACATATTAACCCCTAGATTTTGCTAGGATTCTGAAAAATTTGATTGTAATGGAGAGGACATATTCATCTTAAAAGAATTAACATGAGCTCAGCAAGTAATTTACTTACAAAAATGAACTGGGATTGGAATTCTTCAATACATGAGGAAGCACCAACAAGATGGTGATTGTAGTTAGTGGCTGGAACGGTTTTGAGGGTGAAGTTTTTTCTACAATGAAGTTTTTCTCTTTTCCCCTGTTAAGAGTAGTTAATAATAATCATCAAGTGAGATACTTTTGTTCTTTCTTAAATTTTTATTCCTTCTTAACTTTGTATAGTGAAGTTAATACCACATTTCTTTTCATGGAAATTGCTTTTAAAAGTCAGCAAATTCCACCCAGATAATTTTAAAAGAACTTTCTGAAATCAACTCTAAGGTTATCTGAAAACACAAATTTTCCTAAAAAGGAAACACCCTACAAGCTATTAAAAATATAATATACAGTAACAATAATTAAAACAGTGTGTTCTTTTGTTAGGACTAGACAGAAAAACCTAGAAATAGATCATCAAGTAGATAGATGCCTTTAGGATAAAGGTGGCATTCTAAATAAGTAGAGTAAGGCGACAAACCATGTAAAAATCAACTAATTAAGAGAAGCAGTTGTATCCTTTATACATAATAAACCACAATGAAATTCCATGTACTGAAATTTTATGTAAAAAAGAAAACCATGAGGAGGTAGAAAAAATATAAAGAATATTTATATAATCTTAAAGTGAGAAAGGCTAACGTCATATAACACAAGAAAATATAGAATTGACTACATTGAAAAAAGCCTGAATTTCAAAAAAAAAATAAACCCATGCCGTAACTAGAACTGAAGACAAACAATAAAAAGTAACTGGGAAGGAATGTGGGAGAAAGGGGAGAAAAAAAAGGAACTGCAATGTAGATGGCAGTTAAATGATTCCTATCCTCAATATCCAGTGTTTTTACAAAACAGCATAGAAAAAGATAATAGAAGAGGACCTGAATAAGTAACTCACAAAAGAATACAAATATCCAATAAACACATGAAAAAACATAGACACGCACGAGTGTTCATAGATACATTAAAACAAAAAGATAACATTTTGCCTATCAATTTTAGCAAAGTTTACAAACACAACTTATACCAACGATTAGGGTAGGCAGACATTCTTACACATAGCTAGTAGGGGGATAGATTGGTGCAAGCCTTCTAATGAGGCTTTGGATGATCTTTATTGAAAGCAAATCTTTAAAAAGTGTATATAGTCTTTGATCCAACAATTTTATTTGCAGAATTTAGTTCAAGGAAATAAGGATATAAGCCAGCTACAATAATGTTCATTTTAGTCCTGTTTAAAATAAGGAAAGATGACAGCCTATACACAATATTGAAGACTGATTACACATACTATTGTTCATATGTAGGATCAACTACTATATGGTCAGTAAAAAATCGTCTATATAATTGACACCACCAACTACTATCAAGGATATGGAACCAAAGGAATTCTTATATGCTGATGGTAAGACTATAAATTTGCAAAAGTACTTTGGAAAGCTATGGCAATATGTATCCAAGCTGAACATCCACATCACCAGTAATTCCCACTTCTAATTGAAGCGTATATATACCCTATAGAAATGTGTACATAAATGGACCAAAAGATGTGCCCCGGCAACCTACAAAATGGGAGAAAATTTTCGCAACCTACTCATCTGACAAAGGGCTAATATCCAGAATCTACAATGAACTCACACAAATTTACAAGAAAAAAACAAACAACCCCATCAAAAAGTGGGCAAAGGACATGAACAGACACTTCTCAAAAGAAGATATTTACGCAGCCAAAAAACACATGAAAAAATGCTCACCATCACTGGCCATCAGAGAAATGCAAATCAAAACCACAATGAGATACCATCTCACACCAGTTAGAATGGCAATCATTAAAAAGTCAGGAAACAACAGGTGCTGGAGAGGATGTGGAGAAATAGGAACACTTTGACACTGTTGGTGGGACTGTAAACTAGTTCAACCATTGTGGAAGTCAGTGTGGCGACTCCTCAGGGATCTAGAACTAGAAATACCATTTGACCCAGCCATCCCATTACTGGGTATATACCCAAAGGACTATAAATCATGCTGCTATAAAGACACATGCACACGTATGTTTATTGCGGCATTATTCACAATAGCAAAGACTTGGAACCAAGCCAAATGTCCAACAATGATAGACTGGATTAAGAAAATGTGGCACATATACACCATGGAATACTATGCAGCCATAAAAAACGATGAGTTCATGTCCTTTGTAGGGACATGGATGAAACTGGAAATCATCATTCTCAGTAAACTATCGCAAGAACAAAAAACCAAACACCGCGTATTCTCACTCACAGGTGGGAAATGAACAATGAGATCACATGGACACAGGAAGGGGAATATCACACTCTGGGGACTGTGGTGGGGTCGGGGGAGGGGGGAAGGATAGCATTGGGAGATATACCTAATGCTAGATGATGAGTTACTGGGTGCAGCGCACCAGCATGGCACATGTATACATATGTAACTAACCTGCACAATGTGCACATGTACCCTAAAACTTAAAGCATAATTAAAAAAAAAAAAAAGATGTGCCCCAAAATGTTCAGAGCTGCACAATTTATAATAACCCCAGTGTGAAAAACTACCCAAACATTTATCAATAGTAGAATGAAGAAATTGTACAATGCAATACCATACAGCAAAGAAAATTAATGGACCAGTATCTCATGCTACAATGTGGATGAATCATACAAGATGTTGAGCTAAAGAAGCCAGAGTACATACTGTAGACAGGACTCCATGTATATAATTGACAGTGATAAAGTCAAGACAGTAGTGACTGGGAAAGCATGTGAGGGAGGCTTCTGGGTCACTTGCAATGTTTTATATCTTGGTCTGAGGGGAGTGACATGAGTGTACCCACTTTGTGAAAACTCATTGATTTGTACACTTACAAGCACTCTTCCACAAATATATTTTACTTCAACATAAAGTTTAGTTAAAAAAAAGTGATGTTCTACATAGGTTTCTCTTAAACATGTGATCCATAGATCTGCAGCACAAACAGATTGGGATGCTTTTTTAGAAAGTACACTCCAATTTACTGAATCTAATTCTCTGGAAGATGTAGGATTCTGTATTTTAAACAAACTCACTGGATAATCCTTACGTAGACTAAAGTTTGAAAGCTACGGTGTAGGAAAATATTTAATGTCATGGAGAGTAGTAGTTAATAGTAGACTCTGAAGTCAAAATGCCTGGGATCAAATCTAGCCTCTGCCATTTAATAGAGGTGTGACCCTGGGAAGGGCATTCTAGTTCTCTGGGCCTCAGTTTTCTCAAGTGATAAAATGAAAATAATAATAGTATTTACCTGACATGGTTCTTTCAAGGACTGAGTTAATAGACATGTAAAGTACTTGGAATAGTGCCTGGCACATAGTACACACTATTTTAAAAAACCCAATAAAGCAAATAAAGGAAAAGGTATACAGTATAATTCTATTTCCAGAAGATTATCTATATAAGTATAGATGCATATTTACGGATAATTACAAAGATACAGATCAAAGTGTTCACAGTATTATCTATGGATTATGTGATTATTTTATTTTTGCTCCTATAATCTTATTTTCTAAAATGAAAAATTTATTTGTTATAAGAAAATCAATAGTTTTTGAAAGTTGGTAACTTATGGTTTATTTGATTTATTATGCCCATATTTCTTAAGGTCCCCTTAACATTACGGCTAGATGACACCTTGGTGGTAGGAAAAAAAACAAAAGCCCTAGACCAACTTTCCCAAGATACTGTATATTTATTAGCACCGAAGAAAGTGAGGCATTCTCTACCTGATCACTCAGGTTCTACAATATGACCAACTGCAGAAAGTGACCAGGACTGCATGGGAGCGGGTACGCTTTTGGCTACTTCTCTTGTTTTTAGTTGCCAGGAAGGAGATCCCTTTCAATGGAGGCTCTCCCTGAATTTTCCACATTGGAATCAATCAATCAATGTCTATAGGTTCTAGAAATTCACTTTCAGGTATACAAAGTCAAGAGAGATACTGAGGGTGAGGCAGCCAACCCATGGGAATATTACCCAGAAAAAACATGGAATTCAATTAGCGTTTACTTATTTGACTGTTCTTTCTTTTCCTGACCTTTTCTTCTCCTGTTCTTAGATCTCTTTTTTGGTTTTCTTCCTTTTGATCCTACCTAGACTTTATGCTTGCATGTATGTGGCTCTTACAAGTACTTTAGTCCTGTTAGTGGTTCTACTCCTGACTTCTGCCCCAGTGTTAAGGACTGCCAACTTGGAACATCAGTTCAACCTTCTTACGTTAACTTCCATTTTTAGACAAAAATCTTCAGTTATGCTAATTCCTAAAGTCAGCCCACTTCATCAAACCTTAGTAATATACAAATATTTATGAGTGGTTACTGGTAAAATACTCCTACTACACATTACAAAAGTTGAAGATGCAGTCTACAAATTTAAAACTTCAAGAACAGACTTCAAATGAATAAGCAAACAATAAAAATGTTAGCAAGAGTGGTGAAGGTTCTTCAATAGTATCATAAAAAGTGAGCAATGGCCAGGCACGGTGGCTCATGCCTGTAATCCCAGCACTTTGGGACGCCGAGGAGGGTGGATCACGAGGTCAGGAGTTCAAGACCAGCCTGGCCAAGATGGTGAAACGCCATCTCTCCTAAAAATACAAAAATTAGCCAGGTGTGGTGGCAGGTGCCTGTAATCCCAGCTTCTCGGGAGGCTGAGGCAGAGAATTGCTTAAACCCTGGAGGCAGAGATTGCAGTGAGCTGAGATCGCGCCACTGCACTCCAGCCTTGGTGACAGAGCGAGACTCTATCTCAAAAAAAAAAAAAAAAAAAAGTGAGCAATGATGGTAAACAGTATCTCATAAACAAACCTGTAGGTGATATGGAGAATCAAAGATAGAAGGTATGACTCCAGGTTTCAGTTTAATATTTGGAGCACTTCTGTCAAAATCTGTCTTCTTAAAGTGCCTCGAACACAACACATCTCCTTTTTTAGGCTCCCAAATGCCGGCTGCATTCACATCAAGTCTTTTCATTGCTAATACCCATTTCCTTTTGATGTTTTCATCTGTGGGGAATCTAGAAAAAAAATACAAAAAATATTTTAAAATCAAATACTATTGCTATATAATTGAATTAAAGCTGCCTTATACAACTGTGACTAAATTGATTCGTTAACTAGTTTATTAGTCTTGAGAATTATAATATTTAGGAAACCATAATTCATGCTTTTGTTACTTTCCGTTTTAATATTCAGATTTTCTGCCAATCATGCTGCAGATATATGGCCCTCATTTCATTTTTTCTCACATTATAAGGAAGAAAAGTTTCAATGGATATTTAGCATCTTATAGTAAGATCCACAATTGAAGGTATTTATTCATCTATAGATGATAAAAGAATTATCACTTGGGCCTTTTCCTATCTGAAATGATATCCAGAATTTATCCTCGATAAAAAGGGCCCCTTGTAATTCCATTCTTCTGTCAGCACCAGAAAATTGCTTAGTACAGCATTTAATACATAGCAGGTCTACAGATGCTTAGTGAATGAATGCAGAGAATAGCTGCAGTGTGGAGTTCTGGAGATCAGAGCTATTTTGAGAGATATGAAGGCCTAATAGCCATATCTTACTCAATTTTCAAGCTGGTTCAAATTTTTCTAAAATAAGGTAGGATATATATGCTCAGTTTTGATTTATTATATCTAACAAAATAGCTAGGAGATCTTTCTCTAACACATAGGACAGTGCCTGGCACAAAAGCAGCAAAATAAACCTTTAACAAGTGAACAACTATTAAATCTTATTACTCCTTCACTTACTCCTTCATGGCTGTCAAGAGAATGGCTAAAATATGAAACTAAAATCATTTTGATTTATTTGCAACACAGCTAAAGATCCCTTGGTCTTAACTTGTAATTTGTATTTTTTCTCTATAACCTATGCTTGATCTACTTCTAAATAGAGAGGGCAATATATTCGAGCAAAGCTCCTTCATTCAGATTGTAAACTACATGTAAACAACATTGAATTTCTTTGGCGGTGTGATAAAATACAAAGTAATAATATTAGCAAAAGTTAGCCTTATGGTATTTTTTGTAAACCAGTCTCTGATATCTTAAAGTCTCTGATATCTTAAAACTTTTAAACTAAATTATAAACATGTAAAGGTATCACATTGTCACTTCAAATTTAACAAAAAGGTTATTTAAAAAGGACTCGGGAACTAAAGTTCAAAATTGAAGACTTAAGTAGAACTGTCTTTTGCTTTTTATAACATGGCCAAAGTATTTGGCTTAACTACAGCAAAATCTTACACGTGAAATGTCAGTCCTTTTAACTTCGAATTTGGCAAGCAGCGAGAAGCACATCCAATGGCGGAGCAGCATTTCACCATTTTAGCAACTCATAACAAAACTGAAAGAAAATTAGAATGTTAAGAGTTAGTAACCGGAAAGCTGAAGGGGAATATTTTCCCTTTCCCGGTGTTTTAGGAAACACAAAATCAGGATAGAAAGCTAAAGACAAATATCTTCTTCTAACACCTGCAGCTTTGCTTACATCATTTTCCAGGGCCTTGACTCTTTAATAAGGAGAAACATATTTAGCTGTGTACCCCGAGTATGATTTCAATTTTGTTGGCTTGTACATTTTCCTTCCACCTTCTAACAGGTACCATGTTCTTTGTGCCACAAAGCCTTTTGCACACTAACTCCTACCCATCTTTCAGCCCTCGGCTTGCATCGCTTCCCCAGGGAAGCCTTCCCTCACTGACACTCAGATTGTCAGAGCTGCTCTAATATTAGCTCTCACAGGACACACACTTCTTCCTAGCACTTCTCCAGGTTGTAATCTTACATTTATTGCAGTGATTGCTCTTATTAATGTCTTCCTCCTCCACCAGTCTTGTTAGTTCCATGAGGTCATGGTGGAGTGTGTCTATTTTTCCTTACTTTTTGTCCTCACGGTTTAGCTGGTGACTGGCAATAGTGAATGTCAGTACATATTTTGAAAGAACAGCAAGTAAACGGGAAAGGGAGGAAGCAAGAAGCACTTCGAGGTGCCAGCGAGCACCCTGGCGTCCAAGAGCAGCGCGCGGGACCCGCTGAGCCCAGGGCCCGGGCCGAGCTCCGCCCCTTTCTCCAGGCTCCCCGCCACCGGAGGGAGAGAGGGAGGACCCGTCACAGGTAACGATGCGCCCAGTGAGCGTCCTTTCCTCTGGGGCCAACCAGCGTCTCCGCGCCGCTGCCGCCAACCTCGCGCCGAACTACGCCCTGAGATTTGGGCGGGTAGCGATTGGGGGAAAACAGGCAACCTAAGAGTTATTACCGTTAGCAGCGAAGACTGCGACTAACGTCAACGACGGAGACTGCGTCTGCCTTCGCTTCCGCCTCGTAGCCCCGGGAACCGGAAATCCGTCTGCCCCGGGTCACGTGCTTAGGAGCCATATTGTCGCTAGTGGCCGCTGGGGCTGGGAGGGGTGTGCTAGAGAGGCGCAGCTTCTCTGGGCGTGGTTTTTATCCTGGGGGAAGGATCGGTGGAATGTGAGGGGAGGTGGAGGAGATGGCGGCGACGGCCCGGGAAGATGGCGCCAGCGGTCAAGAGCGAGGTCAGCGGGGCTGCGAGCACTATGACAGAGGATGTCTCCTAAAGGTGACGCCTTCTATGGACTCTTCCCTGACAAGCTTCCGTCAGGTTGGGCTGGGGCGGGCTGGGCAGGTGGTTAGGCTTGGATTTAAGTTTGAGGTTAACCTGATTTTCAGGATACCTTTTCCACCTGGAACTGGGTTCTTCTTGAGGAGAACGTTTTTGGCAAGGCGATAAGCCCCACCTTTCCTACCTGCTTCGTACCTTTAAAGCAAAACCCTTCTTGGGAAGTGATTAGGCTTGCACAGTGGTCTCTGCCAGTGGGCTTATTCGTCTTTTGCTGCCGAAGTAGACTGAGGCAGCCCCGGGCCTGTACTGGGGTTTTCCGTTCAGGTGTGTGATGAAATAATGGAAGTGGAGATAATGGAAATAAGCAAGTGGAGAACCCGAATACGATTTCAGCTCCTGTGGTAAAGTTTTATAGCCTGCCAGCTTCATGTTAAAGGCAGTGCACATGTTCAGACGTAGGAGAAAACGTGTGTCCCAAAAAAGAAGACAATCATGTAATTGCCATTAAATAGGAAATTATGCATAGGAAAGTGCCTAATAAGCATGTATTGTTACTCTGAGAAAACTTCTTAATCTGTATTTTTTTTTAAATTGGCACGTATTCAATTGAAGTTTCCTGATTTTCCTTGCAAGAAACAGTACAAAAATTTTGCTTAGAAAACTTGAGCTTTGGAACCTCAACCGCCCTATCCCCAAATCTTAGCTCTCCTCTTTAATAACTGATTTTAGCTAGCTCCTCTCTACCCCGTATGTAAAATGGAGATGATCGCGCCTGTTTCATAAAAGTGTATGAGGATTATATACTAAAGGGCGTGTATAGTGTTTAACAGGGCGCATTCCCTGAAGTAAATGAGTAGTAAATATATACCACCATGACTGTTACTATCATCGTCAATCTGAGTATTATTATTTTTTGTTCTTTCACTTCACAAGTCAGCCTTGCTGGTCACTGCCTCATTATTAGAAGCAAGTTCAAGTCTCAGGCCTGTACGTGCATCCTAAACTCTTTTCTATAGGTCATGGCTTGACGAACATTGCTCCACTGAACTGGATGAAGCTCCTTAAAAATGTTGGTCATCCACCAAGTGTTGTGTAAGGAAATTGAATGCTATCCTTATGATTCAATTTCTACTGAGATGTATTATTATTCTTTCAAACTTGAGGTCTAAAACGGAATTTAACATCTTGGTGCCCCCCATAAACCACACAATTAGATCTGTGTATCATAGCACTAAGATACTTCGCCCTAGGTGTCAAACAGTTTTTGCCTTCCCCCGCCCCCCCCCCCCCCTTAAATACCAGAGGCCAAGTGAAGTATTTCAAGGAGGATGTGGTCAGCTGGGTCAAATGCAGCTGTTTGAGTAAGATAACTGAGAATTGCCCTTTGGATTTGGCAAGGAAGAGGTCACTGGTGATCTTGACAAGAGGAGTTTTAGTGGAGAGATCAGGATTAGAGTGAATTTAGGAAAGAATGGGAGGAGTGGAATTGAAAATAGCACTTATAGGGTATTCTTGGGGTTTAGCTGTAAAGGGGAGCAAAAAAAAGATGTGGTTGCTGGGAGATCTGGCACCATATTTTTTCCTCTTTAAGAGAGGAAGTATTACAGCATGTTTGTATATTCTAGGAAATGATACAATAGAGTGAGAACGTTTTATAATGCAGGAGAGAGTGAGAAAACTGTAAGGGCATTGTCCCTGAGTAGCCAAAGGGGATGAAATCCAGTGCACAAGTGAAGGAGTTGGCCTTAGAAACATAGACTGTCAGTTCTTCCTAAGGGAAGGCAGAGAATGAGGTATATTTGCAAGTAAGTTAATAGAGATAATAGGAGGATGTTCTTTTCAGGCCTGTCAGCAGGAAGTATGTTTACTGTTTTTATAGTGAAATAAGGTCATCAGCAGAGTGTTAAGGAGGAAGAGTTGTTAGAGTTTTAAAGCCAGAGGAGAAGAAGTGAAATGATCATCTAAATCTTAGGTCTTAGACTCTGGAAGAATGAGAGAATTGACCAGGGAAACGTGGTAGTAAGTGTCCACCTCATATGAACCAGCAAGGACGGTGATGCTTTTTCTCTAGCCATATTCACCTGCTTCTGATAGAAGTCAAATAGGATTTAACTAGGGTTGGGATTGTTATCTATGAGTGTAGAGGAACTGAGAAGGGAACTAGGGTGTTGCAAGGGGAGACTTGGAGTAAGTTAGGGAGGAGGTAATGGTTAGAGAATTTCATGCTTGGAATTGAGATGCAAAGAGGGTGCCGTTGTTCTGTAGCATTGGTTTTCAAAGTGTGGTGAATGGAACCCTGGGGATTCCTGAAGTCCTTTCAGGGGCTCTGCAAGGCCAAAACTACTTTCTATGAACACTAAGATATTTGTTTTTTTTTTTTTTCAGTCTGTTGACACACGCATTGATGGTGGAAAAGCACTGTTTAGTATTGCTAGTATCTTAGCTTGAATCAAGACAGTGGCACTGAACTATACTACACCTATAGTTTTTTTAAAAAGCCAGCTTCACTTAAAAATGTTGATAAAGCAGTAAAATCGTTAATTTTAACCAAATCTCAACCCTTGAATATATCTTTTAATATGCTGTTCAATGACATGGGAAGTTTTGATCAAACACTTCTGCAAACTGAAATTAGAGGGTTGTCTTGAGGAAAAGCTCTTGTGCAAATTGGATTGTAAAGTGAACTAGTTGCTTTTTTTCATGGAACAGCATTTTTTACTTGAAAAAATTGTAGTCATTCACATTTGGGTAGTTGGCAGACATTTTCTCAAAAAGGAGAAAAGTGAGACTCACTACAAATGAAAATGACAGTATTTGTTGCCAGTGATAAAATTCAAGCTTTCACACAAAAATTAGAATTTTGGAAAACTTTTACTAGCTTTTGTGAGGTTGGAAGCTTTTTAAAAGACTTTTTTTGGTGAGATTTTCTTCAATACCTAAAGACTTTTAATGAATATGATTTTTTGATATTGCATGTTAAATGTGTGAACATTTAGAAGATGTAAATAACTCACTGAACTGGTATTCTCCAGATGACCAATGCATGAGTAAAACATCCATTTGAAGTGCAAGATAGAGCAATAGATTTTAATGTAACCAAGGAAGAAAAGAGGCATCATATCAATCATATTCCTTGATACGATTTCAGATTTCATGTTGCAACTACCCTTTAAGAGTTGTTGTTCTAGTGTAATATCAGAGAATGATATCCATAATTCTCCAAAAAGGCTATTAAAATACTCCTTTCTTTTCCAGTGTACATATTTGTGTGAGGCCAGAGTTTCTTTTTGTACTTCAGCCACAACTGTTTGAATGCATAAGCAGATAGAAGAATTCAGCTGTTTGGGGGGAAAAATATAGTTATTTTTCATTAAAACATGTTATTTATGTTAACAAGTAATGAGTTTGTTACTTTTAAAAAGAAGTAATATTTTAAAAACCTATTCTTTTTAATTTATGATGTGGTATATGTCAATAGATAAAATCCACATAAACCAAAGCTCTTTGGGATTCTCAGTAATTTTAAAAAGTGTGAAGGGATCCTGAGACCAAACCATTTGAGAACTACTGTTCTGCGGTATAACTATGAGAATAGTGGGTTGGAGGACAAGGTTATTGGAAATGACAAAGTTAAGGAACTGAGAGTTGCAGAAAAAGGAAGCCAGTTAAGTGTTAAAATCTTTAAGGAATGAACTACGTTATGGTAAGTCAAGGCATAGGAAGCCTTCAGAAATGAGTGGATCTGCAAGGTCACAGTGTATTGGAAAGTCACTGGCCTGGAAATCTCTTGATATACTTGTAATGGTAAAGTTGCTGTAATGAAAAAACCCAACAGTGATGTAGATTAAAGAGTAAAGGTTTTATTTCTTTCCATTTAACAATTCCAAGGCGAGTGATGCAGGTTGGTGATGAGGCTTTGCTCCACATGGTCACTCCAGGGATGAGATTTTTCTGTTGTATCATTTTGTCATGTTTTAGGGCATGTGGCCATCTGTCTGATATAGCTGAACAATTGTGCCCAGGAAGGAGAGGATAGATTTTGGTGGACAACTGGCAGTCTTTGCCGTGTTTGAAAACAAGGGCTGTCTCTTACATTTGTTGCATTTTGTGCAATATTAGATATGAGGTTGATGATTAATAAAAGCTAGTAAAATAAGAATATAATCTTTATTATTTTTAATGTAAATGAATTTATCTGGAAATGTCTAAGAAGAGGTTGCCTGTTTGCTGTTTAGGCTCAGAATGAAATTGGGGTGTTATATTAGTCTGTTTTCACACTGCTGATAAAGACATACCCAAGACTGGGAAGAAAAAGAGGTTTAATTGGACTTACAGTTCCACATGGCTAGGGAGGCCTGAGAATCATGGCGGGAGACAAAAGGCACTTCTTACATGGTGGTGGCAATAGAAAATGAGGAAGAAGCAAAAGTGGAAACTCCTGATAAACCCATCAGATCTCATGAGATTTTATTCATTATCACGAGAATGGCACGGGAGAGTCTGGCCCCCATGATTCAGTTACCTCCTTCTAAGTCCCTCCCACAACACGTGGGAATTCTGGGAGATACATTTCAAGTTGAGATTTGGGTGGGAACACAGCCAAAGCATATCAGGTGTTGTGGGATTAGTGTTTCAATCTAGGGATTTCCTTCATAATTCTTTTGTTTTAAAGTTGTGTTCAACTTCATACAGACGTAGTGATGTTGAAGGGAAGAATTAACATAAAATATGCCAAGAAACTAGTGAAATGTTATGTTTAGGATCAGTTTAGCAACTGATCTATTGGTTGTAATCTTTCAGTTCCATCCAGGAGGAGGAGGAAGAAATTTTCTTTTTGTATTGCACACTTAGTTTCTTTTGCTTCTTACTATATCTCTTTTTTCTCCGTGGGTGTTAGGCACCTTGCTGTGACAAGCTTTATACTTGCCGCTTGTGTCATGATAACAATGAAGATCATCAACTAGATCGCTTTAAAGTGAAGGAAGTGCAGTGCATAAACTGTGAAAAAATTCAACATGTAAGATTTTATGACATTTCTATTTTCTTTTTAAAAGCTGTATTAAGGTGGTTTGAAAAAATTTAATCAAAAGTATCATAAATAAGATTTCTTTAACTTCTAGAATAAGCAATATCTTTGGTTTAGGTGTTTCAAAACTTATAAAAATAAACTGCATATAGTTGAACATAAGTTCTAGATATTCAAATGGTAACTCAAAATGTTTAGTTTATTGCAGTTTTTAATTATGTTTCTTTTTTAGGCCCAACAGACTTGTGAAGAATGTAGCACATTGTTTGGAGAATATTATTGCGATATATGCCATTTGTTTGACAAAGATAAGAAGCAGTATCACTGTGAAAACTGTGGAATTTGTAGGTACTGTATGTAAAGTGTTCTTATCTAATTGCTTCTAATGTATATGCAATAATAGTTTTTAAAATCAACTTTATTAAGGTGTAATTTACATCTGATAAGATACATTCATTTTAAGTGTCCAATTAAGTGAGTTTTGATAAATACCGGTATCTCTTTTACTATCAGCACAATCAAGCTATAGAACATATCCATTCTAAAAAGTTTATTCATAATTTGTTAATAATTTAATTTACCCATCAATTATTGTATAACTATTTAGAATTTTACCTTTGGATTATAAAATATGTTTTATATAAAGTGTTTTATGGGCAACTGAGGTAGAGAATTGGGATAAATTTTTCCTTTGTAAAAATTAGTATTTAAAAAATTATCAAGAAATACAGGTGATTTTATAAAAATTGGAAAAAACAGAAAAGTAGAAATAATAAAAATAAAATAACCAGAGCCTAACCACAGACAAGCTACTGTTGACATGTCGGTGTATAAGGAATTATTTTCTTTCTTAAAAATCTCGAGTATTTTAGATGTATATTAAAGCATGTATGTAAAGTGTGTCTAAAGTACAGTACAGTGAATAAGCCACCGAGTTTAGGAAAGGAATGTTACCAATACTGTCAAAGCCCAAGGTGTTCCGTGTTCAGTCCTTTCTTCTTGTCCCTGCTGGAGGTAATCACTGTCTTGAATATTTTAAATCACTTTCTTGCTTTTTTTTTGTTTTTTTTGTTTTTTTAAAATATAGTTTGTTTTTAAGGAAGGATAACCAACCTACCAAAAGATAACAGAAATTATAAGCAAATGATTTTATGAATTTTAACAAATGAACATGCCTTTGTAACCACTACCCAGATCAAGAAACACAACATTCATAGCACCTTCATAGCTTCCTGTGTGCCCCCTCCAAATTAATACACTTCCCCAAAGGTAACCAGTATGCTGACTTTTGGAAGTTTTTAATGAATGGAATCATATAGTATATGCTCTTTTGTGTTTTGTTTTGTATGTTTTAAGGCCATGTCTTTCAGCGGTCACATACTTAAAATTATTACATTTTCCTGTATGATTGACCCATTTATTATTATATAATGTGTCTTTTTATCTTTAGTAATGTTTCCTGCCCTAGGCTCTACTGTATCTATATCAGCTTTCTTTCGATGAGTTTTTGCATGTATATCCTTTTCCATTTAGACATTTTTGTATACTTACATTTAAGTCATGTGTCTTGTAAAACAGCATATAGTTGAATTTTAATTTTTCAATCCAGTTTGATAAAACTGTCTTTTAATTGGAGTATATAGTTCGTTTTTTATTAAGGTAGTTAGGATATGTTCGTGTTTCAATCTACAGTTTTGGTAGTTTCTATTGCCTTAGTATTTGTCTTTTTTCCTCTCCTTTCTTGTCTTCTTTGGATTAATCTGTTGCTTTCCTATTTGCTTTTATTCTCTATAGGCTTGTTAGTTATACATTTTTCAATTATTTTCTTAGTGGTTATCCTAGAAATTATAACATACATCATTGGCTTACTAGAATAATATGTTTATCACTTCTTGGACAATATTAGGACCTTAAACACTAAGAGTCTTTATATGCTATTGTTGTTATATATTTACCGTTTCTATTGCCCTTCTTTCCTGTAGGTCTCCAGCATTATCTTTGGAGTTACTTTTCTTCTGCTTAAAGAATTGTCTTTAGTGTTTCTTTTAGTGAGGTCCTGCTGATGATACATTCTCTCAGTTTTTTTTGTCTCTGAAAAATGTCTTTTTTTTGCCTCCATTTTTGAATATTTTTGCTGGGTGTAGAATTCTAAGTTTACAGGTATTGGTTCCCCTGACCTCCCAACACTTTAAAGATATTCTGATTCCATGGTTTCTGTTTAAAAATATCATTTCTCAGGATTATTATTGCTTCTTTGAAGTTAAAATGTCTTTTATCCTCCTCTCGCTGTTTTTTAAGTCATTGGTTGTTAGTATTTTTTCCGTGTGTCCAGGTTTGATTGAGTGTAATATTTATCTGGCTTGGGGTTTGTAGCATTTGTTGAATCTGTGGCTTGATGTCTTCTGTCAATTTTGAAATATTTTTGGCCAGTTTCTCTTCAGATAATGTTTCTGTACCGTTTTCCCACCTCTTCTGAGACTCCATCCCATAGATCTTTTTACTACATCCCATGTCTCTTTTTTTTTTTCCTGTATTTCTCCTACTTTGATTTTCTTTATGCTTAAATTGGATACTTTCCACAGATTAACTTCCAGGTCTCTCTTCTGCTGCATTGAATCTGCTTTTAAGCCTACCAAGTTATCTATTTATTTAAGTTATAAAATTTATATTTTATCTTCATTCTTGTTATTTTCTAGTTGTCAGGTGAAATTCTTTACCTTTTTTTTCTTTGAATGTATTGATCACAGATGATTTAAAGGACTGTGCCTAATAACTCCAATATCTTGATTATCTATGGGTAAATTTTGTTTTCTGTTTTTTCTCCCTTGGTGTTTGGTTCTGCCTTTTGACATGCTTGATTTTTTTTTTTAGTTGATTGTTGGACATAATATGTAAAAATTTATTAAGCTCTCGATGCTATTTTTTTTTCAGAGAGAATTTAATTTTCTTTCAGAAGGCAGTTAATGTAGGGATGGATAACCTTAATCCAATTTAGCATTGATATGATTAGAGACTAATTTTTGTTTTTTTTTTTTTTGTATGTCCTGTTCTATTTTTTTTTTTTCCTCCCTTTATTCTTATGCTCCTAGGACATAGTCCCTTGGAGATCTTGACTTAAAGCTAGGGTTGTTTACCAGGCCCATCTCTTTCGTGGTGGAATCTGGACTCCAAATTTTGGCCCCCTAGCATAGGAGTACTTTCAGAGGGTTTACTTAGTTTCTTAGGCTCTTACCTGTTGCTCTCTGTTTAGTTTCTTAGCTTGTCACAGCACAGTTTAGGGTCTAAAAATCTCCCAAGGAAGAAAGAAGTAGAGACTATTGACTTTGCCTCAGTATATTTGCTTTCTCTCTGAGATCTTTGCCCTTCAAGCACTCAGTTGCTCTTTACTACTTTTAAACAGCTTGTTTGTTTTCTTTAAATTGAGTTTTTCTAGTTCTCAGTAGGAGTTTTAGTCCTATAGAAGCTATTTCGTCATTGTGGAAGTAGAAGTTACAATATATGTTTCATTTTGCTTATTTTAAAAATCATATATATGGCCTTTTTTTCTTTTTGTTTTTTTACTGAGCTCTGTTTCTAAGATTCATCCTATTTGATTAACTCTAATTCATTTTCACTTTTGTAGTGTTATTTTGTATATCATATCTACACATAGCTTCTAATTACCACACACAACCAAGAAAATCATACCCTCTTTTATTGGTTGATTTATTGACATTCAAGTTATTGTTACTGCAAAGTACACATCTCATGCTACATGGTAAATATTAAACTTCATGAGATCATGGTATTTTCATATTTTAAATTTCTATACCTGGGAGTGCCTTATATCAGGGTCCCCAGTGCTTGGGGTGCGGATTCTGGTGCATGGCCTGTTAGGAACTGAGCTGCGCCCAGTGCAGGGTGAGTGGTGGGTGATCGACCATTACTGTCTGAGCTCTGCCTCCTGTCACATCAGTAGTAGCATTAGATTCTCATAGGAGCACAAACCCTATTGTGAACTGTGCATTCAAGGGATCTAGGTTGTGTACTCCTTATGAGAATCTAATACCTGATTATCTGAGGTGGAACAGTTTCATCCCGAAACCATCCCCCAACCTCGGTCCATGGAAAAATTGTCTTCCATGAAACCAGTCCCTGGTGCCAGAAAGGTTGGTGACCGCTGCCGTATATACAGTAGGTGCACAGTAATGTGTAGGCAGTATATCTTTGGCAGTGTTTTCAGTATTATGATAACCCTGAATATACTAGAAAAATTAGTCATCGCCATTTACCATTTAAGTATAATGGATTCTTTTTACTTTAAAAAATATTTTAAAGCCCTTTTGTGAATAATGTGCAGACGAAAGAATAAAGGATAGTGAAAATTAACTTCACTGGAAATTTTACTAAGAATTTGAACACTGCAAACCCAAATTTTAATTCCATGTATTCCAAGTTGAAGATAATGTGTGCTCAAATATGTCAGTGTCCTCTGTAACTGCTTTTGACCCTTGAACAATGTTGGGGGTTAAGGGCACCAAGTGCCAGCTCAGTTGAAAATCTGAGTATAACTTTCAACTCCCCACAACTTAACTACTAATAGCCTGCTACTGACTGGAAGTCTTATCAATAACACAAATAGCCAATTAATACATATTTTGTATGTTATATGTATTATATACTATATTCTTAGGATAAACTAGAGAAAAATATTAGGACAATCATAAGGAGAAAATATGTTAACTGTTCATTAAGTGGAAATGGATCATCATAAAGGTCTTCATCCTTCTTCATGTTGAGTAGGCTGAAAAGAGGGAGGAAGAAGAGAGATTGGCTTTGCTATCTCAGGGGTGGCAGAGGTAGAAGAAAATCTGCTTATAAGTAGACCTGTGTACTTCAAATTTGTGTTGTTCAAGGGGTCAACTGTATTTACTTGTCAGTTGTCATGCTTGAATCTGGCACATGTGCATCGTGTAAATAACTGATACTAGATTTTAGATACATTTCTAATAGGTTCTAGCTTGTAATTACTTCTGGTTCTTCTTGTATTTGTATCATCAAAATGCAATACTAATTCCAGATCTCAAATACACCACTGATAAGTCTTGGCTTATCATTACTTCTGTACACATATTACCAAATTCAAATACATTTGAGAACTTTGAGAGTCGTAATTTGGTTGAAGAAAAGACGACCTTTCTTCATAATTGCATGCTCTGTAATTGCAAAACATTTTAATGAATTTTTTTCATTTTTACATCATCTGTTTCCTTTTAAGTACTTTAACATATGTACCTGCCTTCAACGTTTGTCCACTTATGAACCATATTAAGTAAATTTTGGTGTACAAACGTCATAAAAGATGGAAGAATATTATCACACATTCTTTAAGGATGTCCAGGTTTTTGTCATGAAATAATGTAATTTGAAGTCCTTCCTAATAAATGACTAAGTGAGGATACCATATTTTCTTTTTTTTTTTAATTAATTTTTTTTTGAGATGGAGTCCCACTCTGTCACCCAGGCTGGAGTGCAGTGGCGTGATCTCGGCTCACTGCAACCTCTGCCTCCTGGGTTCAAGCAATTCTGCCTCAGCCTCCCTAGTAGCTGGGATTACAGGCACTCGCCACCACAGCCAGCTAATTTTTGTATTTTTAGTAGAGATGAGGTTTCACTTTGTTAGCCAGGATGGTCTTGATCTCCTGACCTCGTGATCCGCCCACCTTGGCCTCCCAAAATGCTGGAATTACAGGTGTGAGCCACTGTGCCTGGCCACCATATTTTCTTTTTGTCCTTAGAAATATATTGTTCATTCCTTTTTTTCAGTGAGACCATTCATATGGTACATCATCTGAAAATCATAATCTGATTTATTGCTTATAGGATTGATTTCACCATCATTATAATTAGAGTCCAGAGCACTGGTTCTCAACTGGGGAGAGTTTTTTCCCAGGTGATATCTGGCAATGCCTGGAGACATTTTCAGCTGTTGTAACCAGGGAGTGAGGGGTAGCAGATGCTAATGACATCTACTGGATAGAGACCAGGGATGCTACTAAACATCCTATAATGTGCAAGACGCTTTCCTGCTACAAAGTATTATCTGGTTCAAAATGTAAATATTGCCTAGGTGGAGAACCTTCAGTCTAGAATGGTTATCTGCCTTTTTGCATTTATTTTCTGCTTTGTCTAAATTTTCCTTTTTTTTTTTCTATTTGTGAAAAATGAAAAATTCTGATTTCTCAACTGTGTTCAAGGAAAACTACAAAGAAGGTATCTGCGGACTCTTTAATGCCTTCTGGAAAGATGATGTAATACTTTGAGCAGTACAGAAAGAAAACCGAAGGATTATGCATTAGTGATTATTTCATGTCATTCTTTCATGTTTCTACATGAAAGGTCTTTCTACCATGCTTTGCATTTTAGTCTTTTTGTTAGGATAGTTGGGAATGATTGATAATGTGAAAGGATTCCTAGGATGCTGAAATACCAAAATTAGGAAAAATAAGATTAAGATTCCATAATGTATCAGATTTATGAAAGGGTTCAATGGACCCATATGATAATTGCAAACAGAATAGAATGAGTTTATTCTATTAAAGAAAAAGTAGATTTTCTTCTTTAGAAGATTTCTTTTCTCTTTTTTTTTGAGACGGAGTCTCACTCTGGCGCCCAGGCTGGAGTGCAGTGGCGCGATCTTGGCTCACTGCAAGCTCTGCCTCCTGGGTTCATGCCTTTTTCCTGCCTCAGCCTCCCAAGTAACTGGGACTACAGGCGCCCGCCACTATGCCTGGCTAATTTTTTGTATTTTTAGTAGAGACGGGGTTTCACCGTGTTAGCCAGCATGGTCTCGATCTCCTGACCTCGTGATCCACCTGCCTTGGCCTCCCAAAGTGCTGGGATTACAGGTGTGAGCCACCGCAGCTGGCCTTCTTTGGAAGATTTCTAAAGAAAGAATAAATGTCACAAAATATTCATCTTTAAAACAGAATTGATTAAAAAAAGAACTAGACCTGGGTACAGAGTGAATATTGTATAAAAAGGCTTTTGCAGTCATAAAAGCTTTGTTAAATGCTGAATTTAATCAAAATCCCTTCTCAGAACTTTTTTTTTTTTGAGACAGAGTTTCACTCTTGTTGCCCAGGCTGTTGTACAATGGCACTGTCTTGGCTCACCGCAACCTCTGCCTCCTGGGTTCAAGTCCTGCCTCAGCCTCCCGAGTAGCTGGCATTACAGGCATGTGCCACCATGCCTGGCTAATTTTGTATTTTTAGTAGAGATGGGGTTTCTCCATGTTGGTCAGGCTGGTCTTGAACTCCCTACCTCAGGTGATCCTCCCACCTTGGCCTCCCAAAGTGCTGGGATTATAGGCGTGAGCCACCGCACTGAGCCTTTTCAGAACTTTTAACTTGTTAATTGTACAGTGCAAATATCCAAGTATATTGAGTTTCTAATAACAGTATTTGATTATAGAATCCTTTTCATGTTCAGTGGAACATAATTAGGAGATGTTTAATGTATAGAATAACAGAATTTTCAAATAGAAAAGTTGTTTTATGTTATTGGGTATTGTAATATGTGACTCACGTTATAGACAAATAATTATGTTCACTTCAAGTAGGCATTTTAGGAGGCATTTTATCTTTTGTCATTGTTCAAAAATATTTGAAATGTTTATTTTCTGCAGTTGCTTTTAATGAGTGCATATGGCATACTGAAAAACTACCCTCGAGGATTTTTGAGTTCTTTTGATTTTTAAAAAATCTGCCAAAAGATATTGGAAGCAAAATCTATTAAGTTTGACAAATACTGTCTTTAGTCAAATGACATATGATCATCAATAATGACTATTATTTTTTAGATAATAAAAATATTAAAAGAGCTGGGCGCAGTGGCTCACGCCTCTAATCCTAGCACTTTGGGAGGCCAAGGCGGGCAGATCACCTGAGGTTGGGAGTTTGAGACCAGCCTGACCAACATGGAGAAACCCTGTCTCTACTAAAAATACAAAATTAGCCAGGCGTGGTGGTATATGTCTGTAATCCCAGCTATTCGGGGGGCTGAGGCAGGAGAATTGCTTGAACCCGTGGGCGGGAGGTTGCAGTGAGCCAAAATCGTGCCATTGCACTCCAGCCTGGGCAACAAGAGCAAAACTCTGTCTAAAAATATATACATATTTTATTGTATATAGTATGTATAAAAATTATAAATATATATTTGAGAAACTGGTTAGAGTTGAAAACTATCCTTTCATGATAACTTTTTAAAAAATCATGTTATTTGAATGTATTAATTCCTGTATTTTTGTTTGAAAATCAGTCTTTTTGGAGCTGCACATTCTTGATAGTCTTTTGCACCAAGTCTTTTTTGGGAATTAAACATTTTTGTCTTAGGTATATCATGAAAGTTTGTCATTGCTTTTAGTTCATTAAATAAATCTATAAGGCAAGGATGAACAGGTCTTCTTGGTATAGCTCTCCTACTGAAATTTCTACTCTTGACCCTATTGCTTCATCTAAGATATATCTGACTCTCATCTGGAGGTGTGGGCTTGAAAAATTGCTGTTCATCCTTAGGCAAGAATCACTGTAAGCAATTCAAGTGCTTCGTACAGAGTTTAATAGTGTATTATTCCTGATTTATGTTTTAAAATAGCTTCATTATAGTTATAGATAATCTTTGGACTGTGGCTATATTTCTCAAAGACAGATGTGCCCTAAAGATGGGGTTTCAGTTTTCGGTAAATACGGGCAAACATCTGGTCTTAATTTTTTGGTAATGAACATATATCCTTACTGTAATGTACAAGAATAAGCTTTTTAAAAAGTGAGGAAGTAACCAGTTTCTCATTGTTATTAAATAAGCACCAGAGCTTATTATAAGACAGAGTCGCATAGCAGAAGTGGTTGCTGTGTTCTGATTATCCTTATTTGTATTGACATGTATTAGGTGTACATATTTTTGGACTACATGTGGTAATTCAGTGCATTCATATAATCAAATCAGGCTAATTGGGTTATCCATTACCTTAAATATTTATTGTTTTTTGAGAAAGGGTCTTGCTCTGTTGCCCAGGCTGGAGTGCAATCGCACAATCATGACTCACTGCAGCCTTGACCTCCCAGGTTTATGTGATCCTCCCACCTCAGCCTCCTGGGTAGCTGGGACTATAGGAATGTGCCACCATGCCCAGCTAATTTTTTGTGGAGTTGGGGTTTCCCCTTGTTGCCCAGGCTTAAATATTTGTGCTAGAAACATTTGAATTAATTCTCTTTTAGCTAGTTTGAAATGTATAATCAATTAATGTAAACCGTAGTCACCCTACTGGTCTATCAAACACCAGGGCTTATTTCTTCTAAGTGTATATTTGTATCCATTAATCAACTTTTCTTCATCCCCTCCCCTGCCCCATCCTCCCTACCCTTGTAGGCTTCTGGTGTCTTCCAGCCTACTCTATCTTCATGACATCCTGTTTTTAGCTCCCACATATGATTGAGAACATGTGATATTTGTCTTTCTGTGGTTGGCTTGTTTCGCTTAACATAATGACCTCCATCCTATCCATGTTGCTGTAAATTACAGGATTTCATTCTTTTTAATGGCTGAGTAATACTCCGTAGTGTACATATACCATATTTTCTTTATCCATTCATCCACTGATGGACACTAAGGTTGCTTCCATATTTCAGCTATTTTGAATAGTGCTGCAGTAAACATGGGAGTGCAGATACCCTTTGAGGTACTGATTTCCCCTTAGATATGTACTTTTAGTGGACTTGCTGGATCATATGGTAGCTCTATGTTTAGTCTTTTTGAGGACTCTCCATTCAGATTGCCACAGTGGCTGTATTAATTTATATTTCTACAAGTAGTATACAAGGGTTCCACTTTCTCTATATCCTCACCAGCATCTGTTATTCCCTGTCTTTTATGATATAAGCCATTCTAACTGGGGTGTGATGATACCTCATTGTGGTTTTGATTTCTGTTTGTCTGATGATTAGTGATGTTGAGTATTTTCTCACATACCTGTTGGCCATTAGTTTGTCTTTTGAGAAATTACTGTACAGGTCTTTGGACTATTTTTAAATCTTTTTTTTTGTTATTAAGTTGTCTGAGCTCTTTATATATTTTGGTTATTAATTCCTTGTCAGGTGGATAGTTTGCAAATAGTTTCTCTCATTCTGTGGGTTGTCTCTTCACTTGTTTGTTTCCCTGTGCTGTGCAGAAGCTTTTTAGCTTGATGTAATTCCGTCTGTTTTTGTTTCAGTTGTGCGTGCTTTTGAGATCTTACACAAAAAAATCTTTGCCAAGATCAGTGTCCTGGAGAGTTTCCCCAGTGTTTTCTTTCATTAGTTTTATAGTTTCAGGTCTTAGGTTTAAGTCTTTAATCCATTTTGATTTGATTTCTGTGTACGGTGAGAGAGAAGCATCTAGTTTCATGCTTCTGCATATGGTATCCTGTTTTTTTCTGCACCATTTATTGAAGAGATTGTCCTTTTTCTGTTGTATATTTTTAGCACCTTTCTTGAATATGAGTTAGCCGTAAATGCATACATTTATATGTGGATTCTCTGTTCTGCATAATTGGTCTACTTGTCTCTTTTTATGCCAGTACCATGCTGATTTGATTACAATAGCTTTGTAGTATATTTTGAAGTTAGGTAGTGTGAAGCCTCTCCAGTTATGTTTTTTTTTTTTTTTTTTGCTCAGGATTGCTTTGACTATTCAGGGTCTTTTGTGGCTCCATATAAATTTTAGGATTTCTTTTCTTTCTCTTCCTTCCTTCCTTTCTTTAAATGTTTGCTATAATTCAGCAGTGAAGCCATCAGATTGTGGGCTTTTCTTTGATGTGAAACTTTTTGTCATGGCTTCAGTCTCATTACTTGTTACTGGCTTATTGAGGTTTTTTTGTGGTTCAATCTCAGAAGGTTGGATGTGTCCAGGAATTTATCTATTCTAGGTTTTCCAATTTGTGGTTAAATAGTTGTTCGTAATAGTATCTATCTTTGTATTTCTGTGGTCTGAGTTCTTACGTCTTCTCTTTTGTTTCTGGTTTTTTTTTTTTTAGTCTATTACATTTTTTTTTGATTTTATCTTTTCAAAAACACCAGCTTTTGTTTTATTGGTCTTTTGTATTGTGTTTTTAGTCTCACTCTCATTTTTTTCTGCTCTGCTCTTTATTATTTCTTTCCTTTTACCAATTTTGAGTTTGTGAAGTCTGTCCCGGGGGTAATCCAGTCATTTTTATTTTTCTCCTGTGCACGTCTTCTTTTCTTTCTTTCAAAATAGCTGCTTTTAAGATTTTTTTTCTTTGTCTCTGGTTTTGATAATTAGATTATGACATTCCATTGTATAGTTTTCTTCATGTTGCTTGTGCTTAGGGTTTGTTGAGCTTTTTGAATCCATTGGTTTATAGTTTTTTTCATTAATTTCAGGAAAGTTTTGGCTATTACTATTTCAGATGTTTTTTCGGTCCTCCTCCTTCCCCTGCTTCCTACCTTAGGGATCTCCAATTGCATGTGTTAAAAGAAAAACTTAAGACAAATTAAACTTAACAGAGTTTAAATTAAACTTAACAGAGTTTAAATTAAACTTAACAGAGTTTAATTGAGCAAAGAACGATTTGCAAGGTGGGTAGCTCCAAAATGATAATAGGTTCAGACCAACCTTGGCTCTGCCATGTGGTCAGAGAGGATTTATGGACAGACAAAGGAAAGTGACAGAAAATGAGTAAGGTATGGAAACAGCTGGATTGGTTACAGCTCAGCATTTGCCTTATTTAAACACAGTTTGAACCGAGGACTGCCTGTGATTGGATGAAACTTGGTGATTGATTGGTACTAGAGTAGGTTACTGTAGGTAAACACATCCAGTTAGGTTACAGTTAACTATGTACAGCAAAGCCTTTTAGGACGATCTTAAAATATGTAGGAGGCAGCGTTAGGCTCAACTGAACACATGTATGTTAGGTTGCTTGAAGTTGTCTCACAGCTTACTCATGCTCTGTCGTTTTAAAAAAATTCCCTTTTCTTCCTATTTCATTTCGGATAGTTTCTGTTACTGTGCCTTCAAGTTGACTAACCTTTTTGTTAGCAATATCAAACTTGCCATTAGTTTCATCAGTGTATTTTTAAATCTCAGACATTGTAGTTTTTATGTCTAGAAGTTTGATCTGGGTCTTTAAACATATTTTTCATATTTAATACTTTTTTAATGTAATGGTATACAGTTATAATAACTTTTAATGCCCTGTATTAATTCTAACATCTGTGTCTGTTCTGGGTTGATTGATTGATTATTCTTCTCATTTTAGGTTGTGTTTTTCTGCCTCTTTGTTGCCTGGTTATTGTGGGTTGGATATCAGATGTGATTTTTCTTTTTATCATGTTTAGTGCTGGGTATTTTTGTATTCCTATAAATCTTCTTGAGCTTTATTTTGGGATGCAGTTAAGTTACTTGGAAACAGTTTAGACTTTCTGGGATTTACTTTTCTAATTTGTTAGGTAGATCTACAGAAGGGCTTATCCCAGGGCTATTCTCCACTGTTGAGGCAATATCCTTCTGAATACTCCACCCGGAGCCTGCGAATTATGAGTTTCCCCAGTCTGTTTGATGGGATCAGGCACTGTTCCTAGCCATGTGTGAGTAGTACTGTTCTCATTCTTTAGAAGGTTGTTTCCCTGGCTTTGGGTAGTTTTCTTACATCCATGTGCTGATGGGTATCCTACTAAATATTTCAGAGGTTTCTCTGTGCAGCTCTCTCCTATCTGATGCTCTGTCCTATGAATCTGTCTTGGTTTCTCTAGACTGTCTCAGCTCATCATTTCAATCATGATGTCTTCCTAGCTCACCCTTAGTTCTTCTAACCTGTCCTGGCCTCAAAACTCTCTAGGCAATAAATGAGCAATTTTAGGGCTCACTTACTTTGTTTCTTATCTCTCACAGATCACTCTGTGTTGTTGCCTGATGTTCAGTGAAACTGCTGTTTCATATATTCTGTCTTTTGTCATTATTTTTTCAGATGGGAGGGTAGGTCTGATCTCCGTTATTCTATCTTTGGCAGTAGTGGAAACGTCCCTGCAGAATTTTACTTATGGAGTTTGACAGCCTATTCTAAAGTTCATTTGTAAGAGAAAATTCACAATAGCTGAGTAAATTTTGAAGGAAGGACAACGAAGAGTGGATTGCCGTTCCACATATCAAAACATGATAAAGCTATAGTAATTCAAATAGTTTGCTGTTTGTGCAGGAATAGACGAATAGATAAATATGTGTGTGTGTATATACACAGACAAATATTTATACATATGAATTTATGGCAAAAGTGACATTTCAAATCAGGAAAGGGTAGTATTAAGATAATTGATTATCCATTCGGAAACCAAAAATTGACTCTTCAAACTGTATTCATTAGAGTATGGATTTAGCATCTTGTGACAGAAACCCAAAGTAATGGTGGTTCAAGAAAGGCAGAAGTTCATTTCTCATGGAAATAAATCTGAGTTGTGTAGCTAAACAGGAACTCAGGCTCTTCTTGTTTTTTGCCTTGTCACCCATAAGATATTTTCTTGTCTCTGTAGTCTAAAATGCCTCATATTCTGGTCTGTAGAAAGGCTAGTTAGGTGAAGGGAAGGCATATTTTTCCTCTTGAGGGTACAATGCAGAATTTTCATGTATCTCTTCTGTTCCCAACGTCCAGGTATGTTGGAAAATAGTCTTTATTCAGGACAGTTCTGAATAGCTCAGTGCCTAGCTAAATACCCTATCATTGTAGAAGAAGTGGAGAATAGAAATTTAGGGACAAGTAGCAATCTAACCTTTGCCATATATAGCAAATTTCAAATGGATTAAAGAAAAATATAAAAATGAAAAGCTGTAAGTACTAGAAGTATACATAGGAGAGTCTGTTTATGATCTATAGGTTACAAAAGTTTCCTAAACAAGAGGCAGAAAGCATAAGCTATACAGGAAAATATTGATGACTTTTTACCACATAGTAATTAAAAATGGCTATATGACAAAGTTAAGAGAAATCACAGACCAGAAAAGTAAATATAAAATATGCAAATAAAAAATTGATATTGGTGATATATAAATATAATACATGCGAATGAAAACATTGATATTCATTATATAAATAACTAATATTCATGATATATTTTTTACCAGTAAATTGGTTAAAAACAAATACTTCAGTAGAAAAATGGACAGAACATATGAACAGACAATCCACAGAGAAATCCAAGTAGTTCATTAATGTACAGTCCCTGTCTCATTATTTGTGAAATGCAAATTAAAATGACATCTTTTGTTTGTCTATAATACAAGTAACCATGTTACCCAAAGTGTGGGGAACATGGTTACTCTCATGCAGTGTTGGTGGAAGTATAAATTGGTACTGTCTATTTGGAGGTCAGTTTGGCAGTATCACAATTAATGTTGCAACATCTTCTGACTCAGTAGTTTCACTTCTAGGAATCTCGTAAAAAATAATCAACATGTGAACTAAGTGATGTCTGGACAAGGATGTTTACTGTATCATTGTAGCAACTAAAGATCATAAATTATGATCTTTCTGAGGGAATATTTAAAAAAATTAGTATACATCCATGCCATTAATGTAGCTATTAAGAAGAATGAAGTGGTTCTGTGTAGACAGACATAAAATCCTCAGAATATATCAAGTGAAAAAAAGTTGCAGAATGGCATCTGTAGAAAGAATCCATTAATGTAAGAAATCAAACCCGAAATGTGTGTGTGTGTCTGTGTTTCTCTCTTTTTGCAATTTTATAGAAAAAGAAAAAAAAGCCCTAGAAGGGTAGATACCACTCTGTGTATAGTGCTTACATTTGGAGAGGGATGTTGGGGAGATAGGGATTTATCCCATATTCTCCATTGTGGCTGGAAATTTTTTTTACAGAGACTAAACTTGTGTTTTACATAATGAACAAATCATGACTGTAGTAAAAAATAATCTAATCTTTTGGCTTTCATGTGTTTTGCTAGGATTGGTCCAAAGGAAGATTTTTTCCATTGTTTGAAATGTAACTTATGCCTAGCTATGAATCTTCAAGGAAGACACAAGGTATATAATTTAGTTTGTATAATTTTAAAAATATTACAGTGTTTTTGCAATAAGCTTAACTTCTAATATGTTTTGGAAGCATGCTAATTTTCATGTATTTCCAAGTGCAACTATATTGCTTTTTTGAAAAGCAGTATTAACAAGTAGATATTTTAAAATATGTACCTCAGAATATCTGACCTACAGTTCCTTTTCTTCTCTGTAGTGTAAGAATGCTTATATCACTTACTAGCATAATGTTGGCAACTTCCAAGTTAGTTTATGGATTCTTACCATTGGTACTGCTTTTAAGAATAACTTTAAAACAGGAGAAATACTGAATGGTGTAACCTAATTAGCACAACATTCTAAGAAAATTCAGAAAATATTTTACTATTTCTTTTTATAATTAAGACATACATATTTTAAATCTGGATGTAGGAATTATGTCACAATCCCAGGCCCTTTTTCATTATTTAAAAAAAAATCTAATAAAGTATTACATTATAGTACTGATTCTATCTACTGTAAGAATTTAATTAAGAGAATGGAGGATTGGTGTAAAGTGAAGTGTAAATCGTACTTGTTCAAGTATAGGAAATTCCAGATAAGGCAGAACAGTATAAGTAGCAACATTGTAGCTGTTGAGAGAGAGAGAGACAGATAGACATTAATTGGAAAGAGACTGTTTGAAATCATTTACTTAGCAGTATAGTAGGTTCGATAGAATATAAGAATAAGAAGTTATTGCAGAAATATAATATTAGCTAGAACTTGGCCTAAATAGTAAAGTGGTGAGGAAAATTGAGATGAATAATGAACATATATGATGTGGTAATGGTATTAAGGAAAAAGAATGAGGCAGAGTAAAGATGACTCTGAAGATTTTCAGCCCCAGCTTAAGGTACTTGATTAGTAGATTGTAAATTTTTTGAAGATAAAAGATTGAGTTTGGTTTTTAAACTTGAGTTTGGGGTGATGGCAAGCTATGCTAATGGAGATAGCCAGGAGTCAATAGTATCTTATAGATTACATTTCTATGATGTTCTGGTTTCCAAAGCATGTGTAGTGTGTGTGCACACACTAATTCATTGCATCCTCACCTCAGCATTTACATTCCATCAACTCAGAGATGCCACTGATGATCAGATATGTTGTAATTGTGGGGATGTTAAAATGTATGTGTGAGGTGCACTTTAGAATCAAATGAAATATGTATTAATTTTATTTTATAAATAAGAAACGTTAAGACTAAAGTGGTGGCTAGTCCAAAATCTCAAGGGCTGGTAAATAGCAGAGCTAGGATTACAGTCTAGATTTTTAAACTTACTATTAAGCTTATTATTTTGAGGGTTTTTCTCCCCACTATACTGTCATCTTTCAAAAACTTACATCTATTTTTTTGTTATGGTTTTTTTTGTTATGTTGTTTTTCAGTTATCTTTTATTGTCTATATTACTAAGTGGTCCTGCCATCTATTAAGTGCTTCCGTTAAAAACCTGGGAGTCTTCCATGGCACAGTGCTTTCCCTTACCTCCTTGGATTTAATCAGACATTACATCTTGTCAAATTAAGAACTCTGGCTCTGAAGTTAGCCTGCTGGAGCTCCAGTTTAATTCTGCCTCTTATTAATGTGTGACTTTGGAAGTTCCTTAGCTTCTCTAGGCCTCCACTGCTTTAACTGTAAAATGGTATAACAATCATAGCCTATTTCATCTAGGATTGTGAGATTTAATTGATCTTATACAGGTACTGTGCTGAACATGGCATGTAGTAAATTTCAATAATATGAACTATTATTACCAATATTATTAGTAAGTTGAGCTTACTAATTTAGGTCACTGGCTTTGGAGTAAAACATACATAATATGCAAAGGTTCCAAATCTTATTATCTTTGGATCTTGGGTAAGTGTCTTGAATTCCTAAGTCACTTTCCTTATTTGTGAAATGAAGGTAATCTCAATAATGTTTATTGACATTTTCATTGTATCAGATAATATGCCAAGCCTGAAATAGTGTGAGATTTAAATAACTATTAAAAAACTCTTCTTACATATAAAAAGCATATATTAATGTTAGCTATTATTTTTAGTAAGTTGGTTTTGTTAATTTTTATTATTAATATTTTTATACCTGACATTTTAATCTAGTTAAGCTTTTGTTAATGTGAATTTCTCTTTTAAACAGTGTATTGAAAATGTGTCCCGACAGAATTGTCCAATATGTTTGGAGGTAGGCTTAAAATATTTTTTACTTTGGAAGTCTCAGCTCTTGAATTTAAAATACTTGGATGTTTATATTGTCTTCATACAAGCACTAACATTTATTTCATTTACAGGACATTCACACATCCCGTGTTGTTGCTCATGTCTTGCCATGTGGACATCTTTTACATAGGTAAAGTAACATCTTTTTCTCAATGATGTTTGAAAATAGTGGAGACAGTTTTTGTTTTACTAAAATAATCTTATATTTTCTTTCAGAACGTGTTATGAAGAAATGTTGAAAGAGTGAGTGTTTGGGATTTTAAAAATAATTGTAAGATGTTTGACTTTTTTGTGTGTGTGGTGTGGGGAGGTGGACAAACATTGTTACTTATACTATATTGGGCATGGCAATATTTATATTGAAATGGGTAGGGTAGATGAATATTGTTAAAACAGGACAAAGTGTCTTGGATATAGAACTACACTTTTGCCATATGTTTCTCTTAAATCTTGTCTCCTCCCACAATTTGAGGTAGTTACCTCTTTTTTTTCTGGCCATATATACCAGGAAGTGCAGTTTTTGCCAGATGCAGTTATAGTGTTGTAAAAATGCTGAAAAATATTGCCAAAAATTTGTTAGGTTGTTATATTGGCCAAGTATAGTAAACTAAAAGAAAGTAGGTGAAGTGATCATTAAAGCTAAGACTTTATTAATGGAAAAGATATTAAAATTAGATGAAAATAATTGAAAAGAGAAGACTGTATTTTGGTCCTACATATTGATGAGCAAAAATGTGAAGAGCTAGAGAGAGCATTCTTTTTTTCAAATTTTTAGAAAGGAAATAATATCTGAATAATTTTAAACAAATACAGTCTCTTTACATGAGTGTATTAAGAAATTAAGGTTGTTTAGATAAGGAGTAGCTTAATTAGTTTATAAAAATATATGAAGTGTATTCTACAAAGAATATGGACTAATTCCTCTCCATTTTAGAGTACTGAGGAAAAAGACTTAGTTTTAAATAAGTATACAGGAATTAATTTAAAAGTTTTATAGTGTGAAAGTTCCCAGGTTCCTAAGAGATTATCTTGAAATGGAGGAAAATGCCTGTTTTGAATGGTTCATGTGGCAGTTAGCCTGCATCTTCTTGTATACCTGAATTAATATATTCTTGTTTAATATTTGGAAAATAACCTTTCTATCTCTTTCAGAGGCTACAGATGTCCATTATGTATGCACTCTGCTTTAGATATGACCAGGTATTGGAGACAGCTGGATGATGAAGTAGCACAGACTCCTATGCCATCAGAATATCAGAACATGACTGTGGATGTGAGTAGAATCAATACTTAAAACTTTGTAGACTCCTTGTTGGCACTCTTATTTTTGCCCTCCTGCTTGAATTTGCCAAAAAAAAAATATATATATACTGGTTTGACACAGATGCTAATGTGATGATTAATGGAAAGCACAAAATGATTTTTAAATTTTAGTTAAGTAGCTCAGATCGGGAAAAAAAAAGTCTTAAGAATACCTTTATGTAGTTTTTCCCAACACTAGATGGCAGGCAAAAACTTCATTCTGAATTGTTTACATATTACTTGCCAGAGTCAGTCAGTAATATAACTGACTAGGGTTGGATCACTGGTGGGACTTTTTAAGTACATTTTATTTTTAATTATTTTACATTTTATTTCAGGAGAACATATTTGCTGATTTTTGAGATTACGTTTTGGTTTTTAGTGTTTATTACCCTTTTTATTCCATCTTAGACTTATTTTTATGGAGTGCACACAGGAGACCCCTTTTTCACTTCTGTTGTTCACAGAATCATAAGCAAGGAACAAATTGAGAGATAAGAGTCATAATTACAGAGAAGTCTTGATTCATGATCTTGGGAAAAAACTGTCCACACTAAAATGCTGCTTGCTTCTGGGGAGAAACTTTCCTGGTTAACTTTGTCTTAAGGTCTCTCATGGGTGTCCACTTCCAAGAGTGTGGAGGGTCCCTTCTGAAATGTGAGATAATGAACCTAAGTTCAAAGTCCAGAAGCTTTAGTGTAGGTGGAAAAGGCAGTCTTTCTCTGATGTTGTTCTCAGAGACCCAGTCTCCAGATTCTAGATTGTGAAGGGTTTGATTGTTCTTAGTCATTGGACCATCAAAATTTTCTTTACTTGGTGAAAATACACTTTGGCATAATGCATAAAAGCCTTGCGGCATTTAGTCATATCAGAGTTTGGTAGTGGAAGATACATGAGATTCTATTTATTATTAGGTATACAGGCCTTCCAGTGATTATTTCGTAAGGGGTCAACTTACGTTTTCCACTCCAAGGGGATCTGATTACCATCAATCTGCAATATCTTTGACCAAGGCAATCCAGTCAATTCAGTTAGTTTTGCCTAATGCTATTGTATCTGTAGTATCTTATTTAACTATTTTACAACTTATCCAGTGAAATAAGTACCTGTGTCACTGGAGATTTCTCTAGGAATGTCCCATGAGAGAAACACATTTTATAATAACCTTTTAGGTACTGTAATAGAGTTAACCCTCTTGCATGGGATACCTTCTATACAACCAGAAAACATGCATTCAAAATGACAATTGAATGTAATCCTTCTATAAATACTTAAATGGCCCATCAGGTAGCAGAAATGTACGTGAAGTTTTGATTGTCTTCCCAGGATTATGGTTTCGACAAAGCAAACATTGGTCATAAATTATTTTAGCAATTTAGCAATATATATAAATTTTATATATACATGTAAAATTTGGAATATTTTATCTTTTCCATGATGAGCCATGGAATGCAGACTTTTTTTTTTTGTTTGTTTTAGACAGAGTCTTGCTCTTGTTGTGCAGCCTGGAGTGCAGTGGCACAATCTCGGCTCACTGCAACCTCTGCCTCCAGGGTTCAAGCGATTCTCCTGCCTCAGCCTCCCAAGTAGCTGGGATTACAGGTGCCCGCCACCACACCTGGCTAATTTTTGTATTTTTAGTAGAGTCGGTGTTTCGCCATGTTGGCCAGGCTGGTCTTGAACTCCTGACCTCGTGATCCACCCGCCTCGGTCTCCCAAAGTGCTGGGATTATAGGAGTGATGAGCCACCTTGCCTGGCTGGAATGCAGAACTTTTAATAATGGAAGCTTTAAGGATTTAGGAAGGGCCAGGTGGCTGTCCAGGTTCTCCATGAGTCCATGCTTAACATTGGATTTGTGTCCTCTTAAATACCAGGTTAGGTGCCTACCACTGATAACTGAAGGGTTATTATAGGTAATTTGACTTGGATTGTGGAATTGATTGAAATCTAAACAATTTCAGTACTGGCTGCTTTAGTGTGAAAATCTGGCAAAGTATTTTCTTGGTATTCAATCAATTTTTATCCTGCTTGGGTTGGCAGTTTTATAAACCAGTCAGTCTCTCCATTAGAGTTCTAGGAATTGTTATCCAGTCCAAGTCCTAAAGTTGTCAGAAGTCTATATTTAAGAGAGTTTGTCAGGGTCCTTTTCATCCTTTCATGAACCTCCTTGAAGACACAGTACTGTAGGATTTTGCTTGCTTGTCTAGTTTTCAGAGAAACTGCATCAGAATTAAGCAGTTAACTGTGGAAACAACTTAAAATGGTTATAGTTAAAGACATGATTGACAAGGAAATTTGGTTATTTCTGTGGCCTGCAATAACACAGTAACCATAATTAAGACTGATAGCATATACCCCGACATAAAGAATTTTAGAATCTCATATAATTTTGGAATAAATCTTAATAAAAATATAACACAAAGGTTAAATATCATTTCTTATTTGACAGTGCTTCCTATGTAATTTAACAGATCAAATAATCATTTTTTTCTCTTTTGAATACCGCAGGGGCCCTTTGTAGCATGCCAAAGTTAGAGGTAAAAAAAAAAGACTTAATTTTGAAGTTGAAATTTGATTTTGGGAAGCTTGTCAAGTGTGTCGAAGATTTAAAATACTTGACCAAAATAGGATCACATTTATATATATGAATATATATATGAATATATATATTATGAATATATATTATGAATATATATATTATGAATATATATTATGAATATATATATTATGAATATATATTATGAATATATATATGAATATATATATTATGAATATATATATGAATATATATATTATGAATATATATATGAATATATATTATGAATATATATATGAATATATATTATGAATATATATATGAATATATATATTATGAATATATATGAATATATATATTATGAATATATATGAATATATATATTATGAATATATATATTATGAATATATATGAATATATATTATGAATATATATATGAATATATATATTATGAATATATTATGAATATATATATTATGAATATATTATGAATATATATATTATGAATATATATATTATGAATATATATGACTATATATATTGTGAATATATATATGACTATATATATATTTATATATAGTCATTTATATAGCCAATATGAGAATTAACAGGTTTTAAAAAGCAAAAACCTTTACTCTTCGAAACTCAGTTTTCTAAACAATTAAAAGTCCTGAGACAGCGTGAGACAAAATCTGTTTCCCCTTGTCTCCTCTTTTTATTGTTTGAAATTTACCCAAAAGTAAACAAAAATATTTAACTGTCTTATTAATACTACATGAAATCTTTGTTCAAGAGAGAAAACCAGATTTTACTTTTGTATTGTTAGGACTAAAGCGAATTTTAATAAAACCTTGTAAACAAATCCATCCAATCTGTCAGTTTTTTACCACGTAAGATTTCCATAAATCTTTTATATTCCCTTATAAACTTTTAAAATTCTTTCTTTTGAACGTTCTGTATTTTAATCTACACTTTTTTATTCCTTCAATTTGAAACAACCGTTAAGTAACTTCAAACTAGACCAAAATTTTTTTTTTAGACGGAGTCTTTCTCTGTCACCCAGGCTGGAGTACAGTGGAGCAATCTTGGCTCACTGCAACCTCTGCCTCCAGGGTTTAAGCAATTCTTCTGCCTCAGCCTCCCGAGTAGCTGGGACTACAAGCGCACACCACTACGCCTGGCTAATTTTTGTACTTTTAGTAGAGACGGGGTTTCACTGTATTGGCCAGGCTGGTCTCAAACTCCTGACCTTGTGATCTACCCGCCTTGGCCTCCTTGGCCTCCTGAAGCTGAATTTTTTTAAATACATGCCTTTGCAACTTGTCTTACCAAAAGTATATCTTGCTTGTTTTTACACTCCTTATAGGGAATTGTTTTTCTTACATCTAGTAGTTTTAATTACATATATTAACTACAGTTTTAACTCTTAGTAATCCTAATTTCCAGTGAAAACCCTAGGAAGTAATTTTGAACTGTTTTGTATCAGTATTTATAGATGGAAGCCATTTTAATTTTTTGGAAGGATGTTTCCTTAAATTATTATTTATTAAGATATCTAAATATATTTAGTTTTTCTATACTATATAAAAATAAGATGCCAAAGTATATAAACTTAAACTTATAATTAATGTTTTAGCATTTTAACTTATAAATGACTTAAAAGTTTTATGATTATTTACTTAAACATATGACTATAAGATTTTAAATTACTGAAAAAAAATTTGAAATTAGGACACAGATGTACCCTCCCGAATGTTTTCTCAGTCATCTTGAGTCTCAAGTAGTCATATGTCAACCAGGAGGGCTATGAAGGGCAGAGCCTGTCTGAGTCCTGAATTTACGTACCACTTACAGAGCTTTGAACAGAAGACAGAGCTGTAAAGATGATGCTTGGAGGATGGAACCCCTCCTAGAATAGCCAGGAGGCAAAGCTAAGACAGGGAAGAAGAAGCTCTAGTGGGCTTGATTCTGCTTTGTAGCTACAGGTCTAGGCACTGAGAACATGTACCCAGGTCTCACCTAGCCAGACTTGAGAATCTAGAGGTTCAAAACCCAAAACAAGCTCACAGTCAAATCAAGCAAGTGTTGAATTATATTCAACAGACACCTCTGAAGCCATTCCTATTTACTAACAATATAAAAACTGGCTTTATTTACCAAATGTTATCACATACACATAACACCTATAGGAATACAGACACAGACAGAAGCAGATCTTAGAGCTTTCCTAAAGGATTCTCATTTGCTGGCTTTTAAATAGTTTTTCTATTCACCATTCAGACTATCAGTTTACCAATTAACCTGTTTCATTGCCCTAAGCAATTGTTAGCTAGGCAGCCCTAAATATGCATTTCTAAAGGGCCAATTCTTAGGTCAAACAAGGTAGAAAATGTATATCTCAAAAGCACACAGCTAAGACTTTAGACGTAAATATTGTACCATCATTTGCTCAAACCAAGGAAAAAATGGTGTGAGTAAAAGTTAAGACAAGATGGCCAGTCACCTTAAACAAAGGTATGACTTACTATATAAATTTAAAATAGTGATAAGAGTTCCTAATGTACACAGACACCTTTACAAATGTAAATTTCCTTTATAGATATAAATTGATTTTACCAAAAGGGTTTCAGGATAGCCTTCAGTATAGCCAGTTGAATGCCAGAAAGGTATACTTTAGTTCCATAGATCGTTTTTAAAAATTTAACTACTGTTTCTTAGCTAAAATTACTGAGTTCAGGGTGGAGCCCACTAAGACAGTAGGGGAAAGACAGCGTTCTTTTTTATTGTTTGCAGTTTACTCAGAAATTAAACAGAAGTATCTTAGTGTCCATGTCCATGCCTGGGCACAGTATGGATAGATCTGAAAAAGAGGCAAGTCAGCTTTACCTAAGGGCCTATATTTTATAAACATTTAATCCAGGCTAGCTTTCTTTTAGCCTTCAGGGCAGTATAGTAACTAAGCCAAAAGGCTAGTAGATTTAATTTGTCTTATCAGTTAGTTAAGCTTTTTATTTGCCTTTTAAAACATCTTTTTTTTAAGGCAATAAAAATATTGAAATATTTTTAGAAGCTTCACTCAATAGGCATTCTTAGATGAGTCTAATTTGGGAGCCCTCATTTTCAAATGCACTTTTTTTTTTGGTTTGGTTTTTAACAGCTTATGGCCATCATCAAATGCACTTCTTAAAGTGTAGTTTTAAGTGTTCATTTGGGACGTTCCATTATAATTTTAAATTACTTTTAGTAAGGTTTTGCCATTTCTATAAGCAAATGGCATTTTATCCTTCTATAAAATGTTTAAAAAGTGCTGCTTCTGGGGCCTAATACTTACACTTGTAAATGTAGGCAGAGCCAGAAGGTAGATTGCTCAGTTCTTCAGAAATTAAGGATCCCATTTTCACCTTGAATCTTGGCTTTGGCTCTCATATTTCCTTGGTAAACTTAACCAGTGATTTTTCTCTACTTAAATGTGCAAGAAGAAGAATTGAAGAGGGCAGGACACAAAAAACCCTGTGAATTTCCAAAAGCCAAAATTTGCACCCCCACCCCCTGCTGTTTTGCCATTTACTGTGCTTCTGCCCGACCCAGTCAGGCATAAGAGGTCTTTAGCTAGATCCAAGGCAGTTGGATCCTGGACCCAGTCCAGTTTTTGTTGCGACTTCTGAATTCAGTTCAGATAGAAAATGTGTTCAAAAAAACTTGGATAGCTCAAAACACAAATGCGCAGAGCTTTAGAATCTGAGAACTTACCATGATTCCTAATGGCTGCAAGAGAGCAGTGGACACAAAGGGCCTAACGGTACCTTACTGGGTCCCCTTGGTGCTCCTGGCGGTCACTGAAAGCTGTACTTCAAATCCCACTTCTGATGCCAGCTGTTTGAAGCAAAACCTTACACAAATTAAATTTAACAGAACTTAATTGAGAAACAGTTTGTGAATCAGGCAGCCCTGAACCAGAATAGATTCAGAGGGTCTTGACTTTCTTTATTTGGTTGCAATTAGCTTGCAACCTAAAGCATAAAAGGTTGTTTCTGTGCCTTTTGGCTTATGGAGAGTGATCATCTTTTTTCGTTTAATTAAGATGTGTTGCTGTCTCTTCTCAGCCATACATGGTATTGAGTTTTAGATTAGAATGGGAAAGCCTAGTATTCTGGCTAGATAATTTTTGGTTATATTACACATTTTCTGAACATCTTCAGATACTTCAGCATACGAGGATAAAAACCACGTAGCAAAGCCAAATGAAAATTATTTTTTGTTTTATTTACACTGGAGTGTTTCATAATTCATGTGGATAATTGTTAGGGCAATGAAAAATCACTTTTGGAATACTAACCGATAATCATGTGATTGACTAGAGGCCGAAGTGTGCTATGTTCCATGTAGATAATTTTTGGAAATAATGGCTTCATTAAGATACAATTCACATATTATATAGTTCATTCATTTAAATTGTACAATTTGGTGCTTTTTAAAATATTCATGTAGTTATGCAAACATCACCACAATTTTAGAACATTTTTATCATCCCAAAAAGGAAACACTCATACCCATTAGCAGTCATTCCCTAACGCCCCAGGCCTAGGCAACCACTAATCCACTTTCTCCATTTAGATCATATTTTTTAAATAATTATTTTCCAAATTATAATTTAGAGCAAATTTGGAAATTTTCTGCTTATTATAGTGTGACTATTCAAAAACTAGTGCTTTTCTTGCATAGTAATGTATTGATTTTCAGGTTAACACCTTTGTTATTTTTCAGGTTCTTACTTAGCACTAGAAGAAATTAATTCTTAAACGGCATCTTATTGTTATTGTAGGGATGAGCGAAGAGCCTCTCTGTTTACTCAATTTTAGGAACACTCTTTTTGGAATTTAATTCATTCCTAAGGCAGAGAAGACAGGGAACAGTATACTAAACCTAAAAAATAAGCAAAAATATTATTTGTGTAAAAATTTTGGTTTTATTAATTGAGATACATTTCTGACTGAAAAATAATGAAATCATGTTGTTATTTTGAATTATAAGTATCAGGTATTCATCTGATTATGCCTAGGTTAATTTTCTTGCTTGTACTATTTATACTATTTAATATTTGGAAACTATTTTAAAATAAGCTTTTTTTTTGCTCAAATCTGCCTTTTCATTTTCTGAATTCAGAGCCACCTTAATAGCTTTTTAGAGTTTTCAGTGAAAAAATAAGAAGAAATTTCTACTTTTGGAAATTTTTAGACTTATGTATGTATTTTCACATCTTTAATATGATTTTCAAGGGATTATGAGTAGACAATGCTACTTGTATTTATAAGGTTTAAAATACTTAATTTGAATTAATCTCTTTTCAGATTCTCTGCAATGACTGTAATGGACGATCCACTGTTCAGTTTCATATATTAGGCATGAAATGTAAGATTTGTGAATCCTATAATACTGCTCAAGCTGGAGGACGTAGAATTTCACTGGATCAGCAATGACGAGCCTACACAGTACTGGAGAACTTGGCATTTTCTGATATAGAAAAAGGCTTTCCTTGGTATCGTGTTATCATGTGTCGTCATCTATGCATTAGAGTTGATGTGTTTTGTACTAGTGTCACAGCATAAAATCATATTACAAGTACGTAAGGATTCAGGGTCTCTTGATAGACTTATCATAGCTCTATATTGAATGAAAGCCACTGTGCTTGTGTTTTGATTGGAAATTCCTTTAGTGTCAGTTTTTTGGAAGCCAATGATGTTTGCCACTGATACATTCATAGAAGTGTATTATATTTTCATGAAGCTTTGCTTTAAGTGACACTACGCGTGCAGTTCATTTCTAGTTCTTGATAGAACTGCACTTAATTTTCAGTAGTAGTCTTGACTTTTTAAGGGCTGTGTTATATTAAGTTCTCCCTTACTGTTAAAACCTAATTAAATATGCTTTAGAATTTTCTAAGACAGTCCTCTGGATCCTCTAAATGTGAATTTTGATGTAATAACTGCTAATAAAATTATATTGAAACTGTTTTATAGAAAGTTTTTTCCAAAGTTTTCTATGTTTGGCTCAATTAGGGCAGTATCATCAGTTCTATAATGTAAAAGAAATTTTCTTTCTTTTGAGGTATTCCATAAAAGTAGTTGGGAAAATTATTATGTAAAATAATAAGACTCTTCCAAAGCCTTAATAAAAACATCAACATTGAAAACAGTTTTTTTTAGGTTGCCCAAAATTATTTCTTCAAAGAGTCATTCATTCCTTCATTTAGCAAGTATTTATTGAGCAACTGCTATGTGGCAGATATGTTTCTAGATGCTGTAGAGACAACAGTGAACAATAAAGATAAAAGTCCTTGTCCTCACAGCAGTACATTCTATTGTTCATCATATTTGATCAATGTACTCATTTTTCTTTATGCAAGGAGTGGATGTCTTATTGTAAATGAATAGAATATTTCTTCCCTAAGCGTGTGAAAATAGGGGATGGATGAGTGGGAAGGGCATGGGATATTCCTGGCAAGATCTCTGATTTCATAATACTTTTTTGGGCTCATGTAGTGGAATTAAATATACCTCTTACTTCAGGAACAAAGTTAACAAATATGTTTGATGATCCAGCCGACTTTGACACTGTTATCTCCGTAATAGCTTTACCATTAGGCTAGGATGTAAAATGTACATTTATCAGTTGATAAGTACCTATTGAGCACCAGTTGTATTTCCAACTTTGAGCTATTTGAATCTTCTTTGAATAAGGAAGTTAGCCTTTTAACTAGAAAGCCTAAGAGTTCTGGCACATTTATTTCTTCTTTTGTTGAAATTTATTCACCTAGATAAAGGCAGCAGTTTGGGACTCAGATCTTTATTTTATCCCACCTTCTTGTCTTCTGTATTCCACTCTTCTTATGTTCTTTCCCTTCATCTGTTTCCTTGGCCTGGCCAGAGCAGCAGTGCTGATCTTCATTTGGGAAAGGATGTTCCTGGGTATTACCAATTAGTATACAGATAAGTAAAGACTAGTTTTCCAGATCTAATACTTTTTTTTGAAGTGGTTTTGCTCTGTCATTTAGGCTAGAGTGTAGTGAAGTGATCGTAGCTCACTGCAGCCTTGACTTCCTGGGCTGAACTGATCCTTCCACCTCAGCCTCCTGAGTAGCTGGGACTACAGGTGTGTGCCACCATGCCCAGCTAATTTTTAATTGTTTTGTAGAAACAAAGTCCAGGCTGGTCTTGAACTCCTGGGCTCAAGCATTTCTCCTACCTCGGCCTTCCAAGGGCTAGGATTACAGGCATGAGCCACTGTGCTTGGTCCAGATGTATTACTTTTTATGTTTGGTATTATTCTGCCAAACCAATCATGTTATTGTTTTTAATCATTGAATCATTGGATCTTTAAATAGGAGTGAGTATATAATAATAAGGCTCTTCTGTTTTCAACATCTGTGCTGGGTCATGCATTAGCATTAATTACTACAATGATTCTGTGGGGTAAGTGTTGTCCTCATAGACAAGAAAGCTGAGGTTTAGAGGTTAAAATGACACATTGGGGGTAAATAACAGACACTATATGTTGGAGTTGGGAATCAGATCCAAGTTTGACTCCAAACCCACTTTTACCACATTGCTTTTGATCTAAACTTCTATTTTGCTAAAATACCCCTCACAGCTAGTCATCCATATCATTGAAGCGCTCATGATTTGATAGATTAACCTTTCATTTTTTTAGGTGACTCTAGTTAGAAAGTCTTATTTCACAATCTGATTGTTTCTTTAACTTAGGATCCAAACATGTCCAAAATAATGCAGAGTACATATGCAATCACTCGTTTATGCTGTCTAGTCATGCACTTAAAGCAATTTTCAAATGTACTCAAAGTCTCTAGGCTTCGGTACCCAGGGTTGCTTCAAGTATTTGTTCATGACACGTCAACTCGATGATTAAAATCCTTCAACACTTCTCATTCACAATAAGAATAAAATCTACATCCCTTACCATTCAGTATGCAAAACTTAAAATACATAACTTTACCCTTAAATATTTTTTCTTTCTCTGACTTCATAAGTATAGGTTATACCTCTATAAGAAAGAAGGTAAAAAACTCTCAACAATCCCTTCTTTCAGAGAGAACTACTGTTAACATTTTAACAGACAACTTCATTCTTTTCCTATTCTTTTTTATAATGCTTACAGGAATGTTAAATACTTAGACAGATCTTAAGTACACTAGAATTATCTGTCCCTGAAATAAGTTAGGTTGCCCTGCCGCAGAATTTGTATCTATAGTTTATTTGGATTATTTTTGAAAAAAGTAAAATAACAATACCCTTACGAATTTTTTGGTGCATAGCATCTCAGCTTCTTTTATCATTAAAGATGTATGTATAAAAAAAAAATGAGTGTATATCAAGTTGTTCATTTCTTAGTTTCTGGGGTCTTCTTAACCAGTACATAGAACTCTTTATGAATTAACTTTAGCTTATGTTGGAAGTAGTAGTTTGTTTATAGTGTCATGGATTTTAAAATCAAACTCAGTTTTTATTTCTTCACTAAAACCTATTTTCATATGATATACATGTTAAATTTCCCTTTTATTTTGGTCATGCATCAAAATAAATTTACTAAGTACTAAAGAGCCAACATTATTTTATAAGTGCCTGGCAATAGGTATTCACTAGTTGAATAGTTTAATTTGAAATGAATTAATTTTAAATGGGAGTTGTTCAAAACTATGCCACTTTTTCTTTTGTCCTTTGTGTTATTAAAATTTAATTGATAATTGTGTATATTATATATATGGAGTACAATGTGATGTTTTGATATATGTTTACAGTGTAGAATGATTAAATCAATGTAATAAATTTATTGCCTCATACCATTTTTTGTGGTAAAAAAACCACTTAAAATCTACTCTTAATATTTTTGAAATGTACAATGCATTATTTATTATACTCACCATTCTGTGTAATAGATCAGTAAAGTTTATTCCTCTTGTCTAACTGATATTTTGTACCCTTTGATCAGCATCTCCCCTTTTCCCATCCACTTCTCTCTCCCAGCCTCTGGTAACCACCATTCTACTTCTATGAATTCACCTTTTTTTTAGATTGCACAGATAGCTGAGATCACATAGTATTTACCTTTTTGTGCCTGGGTTATTTCATTTAGTATAATGTCTTCCAGGTTCCTGTCACAAGTGACAGGATTTCTTTCTTTTATAGGGCTGAATAGTATTCCATTGAGTATATATGCCACATTTTGTTTTCATTCATATGATGATGGACATTAAGATTGCTTCCATATCTTAGCTGTTGTGAATAATGCTGCAGTGAACGTGGTGGTACAGATACCTCTTTGACACACTGACTTCAGTTCCTTTAGCTATATGTCCAGAAGTGGGATTGCTGGATCATATGGTAATTCTATTTTTAGTTTTCTGTCTCCATGCTGATTTTAATATTGGCTGTTTTAATTTACATTCCCAACGTCAGTGCACAAGTGTTCCCTTTTTTCTACACCCTGTCAACACTTTTATCATTTTGATAATAGTAATTCTAACAGGTGTAAGGTGATACCTTGTGTTAATTTGCATTTTTCTGATTAGTGATGATGAGCATCTTTTCATATATTTGTTGGCCATTTGTGTCTTTTTTAGGAATATCTGTTTACATCCTTTGCCCATGTTTTAATTGAGTTCATTTTCTTATTAGTGGCTTCAGTACCTTATGTATTTTGGATATTAGCCCCTTATCAGATGTATGATTTATAAATATTTTCTTCGAATTCATGGGTTGTCTCTTCATTCTATCATTCACTTCACTATGCAGAAGCTTTTTAGTTTGATGCAGCGCCATGTATTTTTTGTTGTCTGTGTTCTTGGGGTTATATCCAAGAAATCTTTGCCCATACCAGTGTTATGGAGCATTTCCCCTGTGTTTTGTTCATGTAGTTTTATAGTTTCAGGTCTTATGTTTAAGTCTTTAAACCATTTTGAGTTGATTTTTATATGTGGTGTGAGATAAGGATCCAGTTTCATTCTTCTGCATGTGTATATTCAGTTTTACCAACACCATTTATTGAAGAGACTGGCTTCATTGTGTAGTGTTGGCATATTTATTGAAAGCCAATTGACTATAGGTGTGTTGGTTTATTTCTGGGCTCTCCTGTTCCACTAGTCAACATATCTGTTTTTATGCCAGTATCATGCTGTTTTGATTACTATTGTTTTATAATAGATTTTGAAGTCAGGTAGTGTGATGCCTCCAACTTTGTTCTTTATGTTTAAGATTGCTTTGGCTATTCAGGTCTTCTCTGGTACCATACAAATTATGGTATTGTTATTTCTATTTTTGTGAAAAATGACATTGGAATTTTGATAGGGGTTGTTATGAGAAAAACCTGGGACTATAATGTTCCAACTCAAAGTGGGAAGGAGCCGAGAGACCAAAGAATGACTGGGACAAGTCCAGCTTGAGGAGCAGATGAGTTTATTAGGACTTAATTACAGGAGAGTCTTGGATGGCAACAGGACACCACTAGAGCTCTGTGCCACCTCCCATCTCTAAACTGCTTTTAAGCTAATTTCCTGGCTCTTTGCCTATTGTGTTTGAGCAATAAGACTGTTTTTCTTGGTATGTTCTCAGATACTCTCTAGAATATTTAGATTCTCAGGGATACGTGCTCCTCGCCTGCACACCATGGTGTTGACTCATTGCCCAGCCTTCAGGATTTGGGCAGTGGACATACACCCTTAAGCAACCTTGTGGGGGACCTGTCATACTACAGGGATTGGATTGAACCTGTAGATTGTTTTGTCTAGTATGGACATTTTAACAATGGCTATGGTTCGGATCTGTGTCCCCACCAAAATCTCATGTTCTATTGTAATCCTCAATGTGGAGGTTGGGCCTGGTGGGAGGTGATTGGATCATGGGGGTGGATTTCCCCTTTTGCTGCTTGTGATAGAGCTCTTATGAGATCTGGTCATTTAAAAGTGTGTGGCACCTCCCCACCCTCCTTCTGCGCTAGCCATGTAAGATGTGCTTGCCTCCCCTTCACTTCCTGCTATGATTGAAAGTTTCCTGAGGTCTCCCAAGAAGCAGATGCCAGCATCATATTTCCTGTACAACCTGCAGAACCATGAGACAATTAAACCTTTTTTCTTTATAAATTAACCATTTTCAGGTATTTCTTTATAGCAATGCAAGAAAGGACTAATACAACAATATTCTTCCAATCCAGGAACACAGGATACCTTTACATCTATTTGTGTTGTCTACTATTTCTTTCATCAGTGTTTTATAGTTTTCAGTATACAGATCTTTCACTTATTTGATTCAATTTACTCCTAAGTATTTTTTGATGCTATTGAGAATTAGATTGATTTCTTACCTTTTCAATAGTTCATTGTCAGTGTAAATAAATGCTACTAATTTTAGGGCCAGACATTGTGGCTCACGCCTGTAATCCCAGCACTTTGGGAGGCCGAGGTGGGCGGATCATGAGGTCAGGAGATCGAGACCATCCTGGCCAACTTGGTGAAACTCTGTCTCTACTAAAAATACAAAAATTAGCCTGGCATGGTGGCGGGCGCCTGTAATCCCAGCTACTCAGGAGGCCGAGGCAGGAGAATCGCCGGAACCTGGGAGGTGGAGCTTGCAGTGAGCCAAGATTGCTCCATTGCACTCTAGCCCGGTTGACAGAGCGAGACTCCATCTCAAAAAAAAAAAAAAATAGCTGTCAGGTTTTCACTATTAAGTATGAGGTTAGCTGTGGGCGTTTCATATATGGCCTTAATTGTGTTGAGGTACGTTCCCTCTATGCCTAATTTGTTGAGTGTTTTTACCGTGAAATGCTGTTGAATTTTTCAAATGCTTTTTCTGCATCTATTGAAATGATCAAATGGTTTTTGTGCTGCACTCTTGTTAATATGGTATGTTATATTTATTGATTTGCATATGTTGGCCCATTCTTGCATCCCAGGGATAAATCCCACTTGATCATGGTGAATGATCTGTTTAATATGCTGTTGAATTTAGTTTGCTGGTATTTTGTTGAAGATTTTTGCATTGATGTTTATCAGGGATATTGGCCTGTAATTTTTCTTTTTTTGTAATGTCCTTGTTAGGTTTTCATCTCAGGGTAGTTCTGGTCTCATAAAGTGAGTTTGGAAGTATTCCTCCTTCAAAATTTTGGAAGAGTTTGAGAAGGATTGGTATTAGTTCCTCTTTAAATGTTTGGTAGAATTCTGCCATGCAGCCATCTGATCTTGGGCTTCTCTTTGATGGGAGATTTTTTTATTATTCATTCAATCTTCTTCTTTGTTCAGGTTTTCTGTTTTCTTCTGGATTCAGTCTTGCTAGATTGTTTGTTTCTAGGAATTTATCCATTTCTCCTGAGTTACCCAACTTGTAGATGTATAATTTTTAATAATAGTCTCTTATGATCCTTGGCATTTTGTAGTATCAGTTGTAGTGGCTCCACTTTCATTTCTGAGTTTACTTATTTTAACATTCTTTTTTTCTTAGTCTGGATAAAGGTTTATCAATTTTGTTTATTTTTCAAAGTACCCTATGCCACTTTAAATGCAGTCGACCTGTGGTATCTGTGGGGATTGGTTCCAGGACCCTCTGAGGTTACCAAAACCTGTGAATGCTCAAGTCTCTTATATAAAATGGTGTAGTGTTTGCCTACAACCTATGGACATCCTCCTGCATACTTGAAATAATTTCTAGATTACTTATAATACCTAATACAGTGCCTACACATAACTTCATTTGTGTGGATTTAACATAGTATTAGCACATGGTAAATTCAAGCTTTGCTTTTTGAAACTTTGTAGATTTGTTGTTGTTGTTTTTTTTTAATCCATGGTTGGTTGAATCCATAGATGCGGAACCCATGGATACAGAGGGGCTACTGTAATCAACTCTGTTTAAATTTATTTAAAATGTTTACTGTTTGCATTGTATTCATCTGAATTTATTTCTTACTAAGCAAACTTTTTTCCTATGGTAATTTTCATGTGAATTTTTCCTCACGTTCAGTTAATACATTGACAGGTCTGCCTTTTGTCCTTTGTTTGTTCTTATACATCTGTTTTTGTTCTCATACCAACCTAGTCTTCCTACACTCAGCTTCACTTTCTCCCTTATTATCCATCCTGCCAAATTACTTTTCCTAAGCTTAAATGTGTTACAGTTTTGGTCAAAATAATGTACAGTTTCCCCGCTGTGTATCTGACTAAGCCTAGATTCCTCATTTTTAAGTTTTTACAAATATTGTTCCAAACTTTTCAGTTTTATTTTTCATTATTTCCTTATGTATATTTCTTAAACATGCCTCTTCTTAATTTTTGCACCTTGCCTTGGCACATATGCTTCCCTCATGGAGCAACCTTTCTTAAGGAAAGGTTGTGAGAAACCTGCCTATTCTTTGTGTGTGTGTGTGTTTTTTTTTGAGACAGAGTTTCGCTCTATTGCACAGGCTAGAGTGCAGTGGTGCAATCTCGGCTCACTGCAACCTCTGCCTTCCGGTTTCAAGTGATTGTCCTGTCTCAGCCTCGCGAGTAGCTGGGATTACAGGCACCTGACACCACACCAGGTTAACTTTTGTATTTTTGACAGGGTTTCACCATGTTGGCCAGGCTGGTCTCGAACTCCTGACCTCAGGTGATCCACCCACCTCAGCCTCCCAAAGTGCTGGAATTACAGGCATGAGCCACCGCACCTGGCCGGAAACCTGCCTATTCTTCATGGACCAGCTCAGGGTTTACTTTCTTTACTATCAACTACTACTAACTATGCCTACAAATTGGATAACTTAGAAGGAATGGATAAATTCCTAGAAACATACAACCTACCAAGTCTTGATTCAAGACTAAATCAGGAAGAAATAGAAAATCTGAGCAGACCAACAAGTAAGGACATAGAATCTAATTAGTCTCCCATCAAAGAAAAGCCAGGAACAGATGACTTCATAGTGGAATTCTACCAAACATTTAAAGAAGAGCTAATAACAATCCTCAAACTCTTCCAAAAAGTTGAACAGGAAATACTTCCAAACTCATTTTATGAAGCCAACATTACCCTGATACCGAAGCCAGACAAGGACACTATAAGAAAAGAAAATTACAGGCCTATATCCCTGATTGTGAAAGGAGACTGGCTTGGAATGTTAATGTTAATGAATGTTATATAATGAATGTTAATTAATATCCAGATTCTTTTGTAACCTCTCTCTCTTCTAAACTCTATAGTACTTTGTACCAGTCTTAAAGGACTTAACCATTTCCTTTATTGTGGTTGAATTTTTCCCATTCCCTTCCTCATTTCAACAATGTATAAAAACAATTTATTTAAAGCTTACCATTGGATAAAACTGCAGGGCGGAGCTACAGTTGTGACCCTGAAAGCCCTCTGGCAGTTGGCTTGTGGAGGACAAACATAGGAGATAACAGTGTGATGAGAGCTAAGGTGGGCTGTGGAAGGACACTAACCCAGTGGGAGTGGGGATGAGAAAAAGAGCCTATTACTTTTTGAGGACAGTGATGGAGCCTTCATCTCTTGTAGTACCTTGCTTTATAGATACTAATAAGAATTTGTTGAATTTCTAGTGAGTTATAAAGCATAATGTGTTCCACGTTTTCACCATATGTAAGGATGTGATTAGAAGGGTGAGTGTATGTACACACATGCACAAAAATACAGAAATGTTTAATCTAGAACATATTGATTGAAATGTGATGGTATCACACTTTCTAAAACTAGGACACATAGGGATTAATTAAGTCATGCTGGAATCTGGTTGTTTGATTCCCTTATTTCATTTAACAAACATTTATTTTGCACCAATTATGTACAGAGCTGGGTTATTACAAAATGAGACATAGAGTGACCTCAAGTTGTTCCTGCACTAGGAGAAGTGGATGTGTCTGATAGAAAGTGCTAGAGGAATGCATTGACTGATTTCTAACATCCATGTTATGTGGCTCAATAAGTAAGGGGTTTTTAGAAATTGGCTGTTGATAACTTTTTGCCTTGGTTCTGCCACATAGGTACCGCAAAGGTATAGTCTTTGGGAGGTGTGTAAACCTGTGACTTATGTATTCTGTATTTTAGAATAAGTAGTCAAGCTTAAATTTCTGTAGATGTCAATTAGCAAAGAGGCCCAGTCTGTGATATGTGATACAATCGTTCTTGACCAGATTTTGTCCTTTAGGCATGCCAAGTGTTTAATCTTGTAAACCTCTGATCAAAGTGTCAGGCTGGTTGCACTTTTATTTTTCCTAAGGCAAACAACATATGTTCAAATTGGAGTCAAAACTTCTTGTAATCACCCACCTCCTTCCAGCTATTCTGTCCCATTTTCACTCTGTCCTTTTCCTCATCTTACGTATTCTATTTTTCTAGAGTCAGAGAATTCAGAACGAGCTAAGAATGGCAAAAAACAGTTTAGCCTGTCTAGAGGCTGCTGTAATTCCAACCATTGCCAGTAGAATGGGCTTAGGTGGGACTTGGCCATTGACTTCATATTTTACAAATGTATGGGGACACTGAGGAGCTGAGCCTGCCTGAGCCTGCAGAATCTTGACACGCAGGTACGGTTCTGGGTCTTCTCTCAGGGCCTGGTTACAACATCAAAAAATTTCTTTTGGAAACCTATCCTGATTGTCCTGGACTATTGTTCCCCATCCTCTCTCCCCACCTCCTACTTGGCATCCCAGCAGCATCTGCTTGAATCTATGACTGGGATTTATTACATTCTGCTTGCTTAGATTATTTACACACTCATCTCCTTTGTTGAATTCTGAATTACTTTAGAGCACTTAGTACAGTGCCTGATAATTGAACTCAATATGATCAGTGCCTTCTCTTAAAGTTTTAAAGGGGTATAATCCTCTTCTGGAGTTTTGAATCAAGTTCTGAATCAATTGTGTAGTAGATATGAGAGTCAGATATTGATGATAAAGCTGGAAAAGAGATTGTGGCTTGGAACCAAGGCCAAACTGAGTTTGTTCTTCCTTGCTCTAAATTGAACATACCCACATAGTCGCTGACTGAAGACCTTCCTCCCCACAGGGTAGGATCTACCCTGGGGAAGGGAGGAGTGAGTTTAAGCACTGCAGCTGCCTGGGGAAAGGCTAGATCCTAGAAAGGGGCCTAGACCATGCATATGCAATGCCTTTTTCCCCAAATCTTGCCAAGTTATTCCCTTGTCTGATGGGGTGGGATGAATGGTGGAGCCCTGAAAGAGGGAGGCTTTCTTTCCAATACTTCTAAAGGGGGAAGACTTTTCTGTTCAATTAGCTGAGTCAAGAAAATGGAGAAATCCCTCACTCCAAAGACCCTGAGACAGCCCTAGTATTGCCCTGACATCCTATGGATAGAAGGTAATCAGAGCCTGTGGGCCAAAGGTAACTTGTGGAGCATGAGATAAATAACCTCTTTCTGGTATAGATTCTAAAACTGACCTGACCTCCAGAGATAGTTGGCTGTGGCATCAGGCAAGGCCTGCCTTCCACTCTGTCATCTCAAGAATGAAGTAATACCAGCCAATGTAAATCTGTGCACTTAAAAAAAAATCACATTGATGTCCTAGGCACAAAGCAGTATTTGTCAGAATTAATCTGTCTCTTTTGACCTCTTTATAAGTTGATATATTTCTTTGTGGTTATTTTATTGTGAAGATTAGTGGATTTAGTTAAAAATAATAGAATTACAGACTCTAAAGCTGGAAGGGAATTAGAGATCATATAGTCCAACTCACTCTGGTTTTGCTTGGCCAAATTGAAGCCCAGCAAACTTCAATTTACTTGTCCAAGTTTTCTTAGAAGGTCTGCAAAGGAAGAGTTTCTCTTTATTTTCTGTATCATTATCCTTTAAGGTTCTGTATATGAATACCTTGGAGGCTGGCATAAATAGGGTGGTCTTCTTTGAGAAACACCTACCCAAATGATACAGCTCAAGAGAGATGATCTGGGATTGGAACAGGAAACAGGAATATGAGAGAAGAATAGAAAACTTGGAGTAAGTAGGAGAGGTATCCTTCCCAAGCTGTACTTCCTAGTGTTACAATAGTGTCACAATCTAGGTGTATTTTTATATCCAAACATTTGGCTTGTAGGCCGGTCTAAAATTTCAGGGGAGGAGTCAGAAACAACTATCATAGTTGCCCAATGTCATTAATTGTTGCATGGGCAGCTTGATATAATAGAAATGGCTTGGACTATGGAAAGAGACAGAAGTTCAAATTCTGTCCATACTGCTGTGTAACCTTGGGTCAGTTCTTAATTTCTTAGACACTTTCCTCTGTGTGAAATAGGGATATTGGTCACAGCCTCATGGGGTTTTTAATTGTGAGGTTTAAATAAGGGAAAGTCTGAAGCACTAGTGGCTGTGCCTGCAGTGGCACAGTGACTGGGCCATCAATAGATATTAGGGTTCATGCCCTTCCTGTTTGTAGCATTGAGGTGGTTTCCAACGTGTGCTCCTAGTGCACTGTACCAATTCCATCATGTCTCCTGTGACTGGAACAGAATCTAGGCCCTACTGTTATCACCTGGTTTCTGAGCAAGGGGGACTTGGAAGTCTGACCAGGGACAGAAGGCCTTGAGTGGATATGGCCTTGATCCTTACTCTGCCTACAGAGTCTCACTAACGTGATGTTCTTCTACCACCATACCAGGAAGTTTGTCCTGCTTCATTCAGTCTGCAGCCCAGAGCTCTCCAACCTTTTGAGCATCCCTCTCATTCTGGTGCAGAACTATTTGGCTCATTATTCTATGGAGGAAGAGAACTAGTTGCTCTGTCCTTCATTAGGAAAGGCTCCCTACTCCACTATAGGTTTCACTGGGTTAGTGAACCAGTCTTTGGATTTGGAACATCCTGAGTGACTGCTCAGTTGACTAGTTGGTTGGTGGATTAAACAATCAGGTTGCGCAAGCTTTGAGTCTGCTATAGGAGAATCCATTCTCTGTAAAAGCAGCTGACAGATTTTAGTGAGGTTGTGATGAGAGAAATTACTTTTGAGGTTAGTGTAATACATTTTGATTTCTCCAAAGAACAAATTTGTTTCTAAATTTAGAAGGGAAAGTAATCTTAAACTTCAGAATGGCTTAATTGTGGATGGGAGACTTGGATTACTTTTTCTCTGCTTTACGCGGGGCAAGAAATTTTCCTGACAGCCAATTTTAGGTAATGGCAATAATACCTGATAGTAGTTCTTGATATACTTAAGGAAGTTTTTTTCCCATTAGTAGTCATAGCTATTTATTAGGCAGTAGAGCAGAGTGGTTAAAGATACAGGCTCTAGAGACAGATTTCTGGGGTTTGTATCTTGGTTCTGCCATTTACTTGCTGTGTGACCTTGTGCTATATTTAACCTTTCTATGTTTCATGGGCAATTTGTCAAGATTAACTACTTATATAAAGGGCTTAGACAAGGATAGCTATATTATGTTTTTGATTGGCTACCTCTTGAGGTTCTATACAAAGCTTCTTTTCCTCTTTCAGACTTATTTACATTGAACTGCATACACTGATGTGTTTTTATTTTTTACCTTTACCTTTAATATCTTGCCTGCATTAAGCCCCTTGCTTTTCTGTACTTCTCCAAATTATGCTTTTACATCTGGATAAGATGATTGGCAGCCAGGCCGGGCGCGGTGGCTCACGCCTGTAATCTCAGCACTTTGGGAGGCCGAGGCGGGTGGATCATGAGGTCAGGAGATCGAGACCATCCTGGCTAACAAGGTGAAACCCCGTCTCTACTAAAAATACAAAAAATTAGCCGGGCGCGGTGGCGGGCGCCTGTAGTCCCAGCTACTCGGGAGGCTGAGGCAGGAGAATGGCGTGAACCCGGGAAGCGGAGCTTGCAGTGAGCCGAGATTGCGCCACTGCAGTCCGCAGTCCGGCCTGGGCGACAGAGCGAGACTCCGTCTCAGAAAAAAAAAAAAAAAAAAAAAAAAAAGATGATTGGCAGCCTACGGGAACAGGATGCTGGAGAATCCTGCAGGGAAAATGAACACAGGGTACCTTTAAATGTTGTTTCCTGACAGCAGAGGGTGCCATAATGTTTCTGGTGATAGGGATCTTCTATGTAGAATGATTTTTTTTTTCTACCTGGTACTTAAAAGTAAGAGCTTATCCAGGGCACTGACATTGAACACTTTTATTGTTCATTATATAATAATGACATAAACCAAACATTAAGAATGCACAGTCATTGACTAGTTTTAAAATTTAATTAAGCATGTTTATTTTCACTGTATTTCATATCAGCCTGTTTGTATTTCTTGGGTCAGGTTTGTAGAAGTAGGGTATTTTCAAGAGTATATGGCCAATGTTATTTTCTAATGTTATGTCCTTATACATTTTGGAGCAGACAAGACATGATGAAGGAGGAATAGAGGGGGTTAAGAGGTAAAGGCAGAAGTCTGTGAGCAAGCAGTACCAGTGGCTAGAATGTTGTGCAAGCTGAGCAGGATCAGATAGATGATAGTTCTAAGCAGAAAAAGTGCTGTTTGGCTTCCTAATAATTGGAAACTGGTCAGAGCCAGAGAAATAAATGTGTAGACCAAGGGGGATCCAAAGTATGGCAGACAGAATTTTCCACGATGGCTGCAGCAAGATTTCTGTTCCACACGCTCATCTCCAATGTGATATTGGCACTCCTTCCATCAAAAGGTGGGACCTATGTTTTCTACCCTTGAATGTTGGTGGGTTGGTGACTATGGTTGAAGTGATGTTTTCTAGACTATGGCATAAAGGTGATAGACTTATTACCTGGGATACTATTGGGATGCGAGCTCTTGAAACCTAGCCACCATACGGTGAGGAGGCCCGTGTCACACGGAAAACCCATGTATAGGTGTTCTGGCTGACAGCCTGAACTGACATCCCAACCAACAGCTGGCATTAACTGACAGACTTATGAGTGAGGAAGCTTTTGGATGGCTCTAGCCTCAATCACCTCCTGATTGTAACTACATGACAAACTCCTAGTGAGAACTGCCCAGCTCAACCTAGTCAACCCCCAGGATCAGAAGAAATAATAACAAAATGATTGTTGTTTTCATTCACCACGTTTTGGGGGAATTTGTTACCAGAAATAATACACATAGAGTTAAGGTCCATCAGCCAGAAAGAAGGTCTGGGGTAAGATAATTAAGTCAAGGATGCATTTCCAAAGTAAAAGCTAAATAACAGAAAGGAGGTTGAGCACAGAAGAAGGGTTTGAGATCAAGGATAGGGTAGCCTATAAGGATTCTACAGTGAAGCATACCAGGTCTGGGGTCTGTTGCTGTGGCAGACTACTTACCGTTTTGCTCCTAGTTCTTAAAAGTATGCCCACAGTTGTAGCCTCACCCACTCCCTTCTAACTTTTTATCATGGAAAATGTCAAACATACGCAAAAGTGGAGAGACTAATACGATGAATTTCCTATTTATTTCCACATGACCACCTCATGACCACTCTTATTTATCTATACGCTTATCCACTTTTCCCCATCACATTATTTTAAAGCAAATCCTGTTCATAATATCATTCCATCCCTACATATTTCATATGTAGCTATAAAAGATAAGGACTATTTAAAAAATTTTTAAAAGCATAATCACAATATCATTATCAAACCTAAAGTAATTAACTATTTTATATATATATTATTTGTGTATTTAAATCAGAATCCAAATAATATTAATAGCAATACTGTCATAGAGATGCAATATAAGCCACATATGAATTTTTAGTTTTAATTTAAAAAGTAAAAGTGAAATTAATTTGTTGTTTTAAGCCAATGTACCAAAATATTATCATTATTATGTCAACACATCAGTTAAAATGTTCTAATAAGATATTTTATATATATTTTTTCATACTAAGTCTTTGAAATCTGGTGTGTATTTTGCACACTTCAATTTGGACTAGCCACATGTGGGTAGTGGCTACTGAGTTGGACAGTGCAGGCCTATTTGTTGTAATTAATTTATGTGTTTCATGTTTATTTTAATCTATAGGATTCTTCCTTACCTCCCTACTCTTTTTTTTCCCTTTTATTTATTTGTTAGTGAACTGGTTTGTTTGACCTACGGAGTTTTCCACATTCTGGATTTTGCATTCCTGTACTATCATTTACTGTGTTCTTCTAGTTCCTGTGTTTCCTGTGAACAAGTAGCTTGATCCAGAAGCTCCAGATCAAATTTAAGTTATATTTTTGCTATGACAACTTGCAGGTTATGTTGTGTTTTCTCATTAGGAAACACATAATGACTGGTAGCCAGTGATGATCATTGTCTTAGATCCATTACTAGGACTTGAAAAATGGTGATATTCTGTTATTCATTTTTTGTTTATTGACTGAAACATTACTATAACGAGAAAATGTCCCTCATCAGCTTGGCAATGTAAACAACAATGATGGCTTATGTTTTCATTTTGTAAACTATTGCTTTAAAATGGATAAAAATCAGTGAAAACGCCTACTTCTTTGTCATTGTGAGAGTACTATGCAGTTACAGTTAGCTTTTCTTAAAATACAGTCATTTTTGTATCTTATTATAAGAGTAACACATATTCATGATAGAAAATTTAAAAATGTGGAAAAGTAGAAAGAAGAAGTAAAAGAAAATTAGTAGCCCTTAATGTACCACCCAAAGACAACTCTGTCAGCATTTTGATTTATTTCCTCACAATCTCTATTCTAAACATCTAAAAAACCTTGTTTGTGGTCATAATGTAATACATATTGTAACCTGCTTTTTTCATATAATAGAGCAAACATATCCCTGTAATACTACAGTCTCTCTGTAAACATCATTTAAATTCCTTGCACAATATTTCAATGTATAGATGTTGAGCATTTAGAGTGTTAACTGATGTTTTTTCCTTTATAAATATGCTGTGATGAAGGGTGATGTGCATAATGCATGGCCTGTATTTCAGATATTATTCTTAGGAAACGCAACGTATTTTAAAGAGATGTGCAAGGTTGGTGTGCAATGCAGCATAACAAGATCAAATAAGAACTCCACAATCTGAGAACTCTTAATTCAAACACCAAATGTTTCTTGAGCTTCCGCTATGACTCTCTTCTAGGCAATAGGGAGATAGTAAGCAAATAGGCAATGTCTCTCCTCTCATGAGTCTTATATTTTAGCGTGCATTTGGGAAGACAGACTATAAACAAGTAAACAAATAAGATTATCTCAGACAGTGATAGCTACTATGAAGAAAATAAAACATGGAGGGGTTTTATTTGTACACACCAGATTTCAAAGACCTACTTCCAAATCTACTTTTTAAAAAGTATATTTTTATGGGGTCTCTGGCTAGACACCAATTGTGGAATGATTGAAAGTATAGGGAAGAGGATGAAGGAGGCAAAAAATGGGGTACTAAAGTGGATGAATTATTGGTAGAAGGGGAGAGAACAGACATTTTAGAATTAAAGGAGGTGTTTCAAAGAGAACCCTAAAGTGAGAGAGTCTGTTGGCTTAAATCTGCTAGCCACATAAAAAGGTCCTCAACATCATTAGCCATCAGGGAAATGAGAATCAAAACCACTTCATGCCCAGTAGGATGGCTTGTATCAAAAAGACAGATAATTAAGTGTTGGCAAGGATGTGAAGAAATTGGAAACTTCATATATTGATGGTGGGAATGTAAAATGGAACTATTGCTTTGGAAAACAGTTTGGCAGTTCCAAAAATGGTTAAACATACAGTTACCATATGATCCAGGAATTCCACTTCTAGGTGTATGCCCAAGAGAAATGGAAATATATGTTCACACAAAAACTTGTGTGTGAATGTTCATAGCAGCATTACTCATAATAGCCAAAAAGTTGAAACAGCCTAAATGTCCATCAATTGAGGAAAGGAAAAACAAAATGTGGTATACCCATACAGTGGAATATTATTCAGCCATAAAAGGAATGAAGTACTCATACATGCTATGACATGGACGAAACTTGAAAACATTATACTGGTGAAAGAAGCCAGTCACAAAGGACCATGTATTATTGCATGATTCTGTTTATATAAAATGTTCAGATAATAGCCAAATCCATAGAGACAGAAAGTGAATTTGTGGTTGCCCGGAGTTGGCAGGAGGAGGAGATGGGATGTGACCATTAATGTTTATGGGGCTTCTTTTCGGGATGATAAAAATATTCTAATTGATTGTGGTAATAATTATGTAACTTTGTAAATATATACATGAAACATTTAATTATACAATTTAAAATGGGTAAATTTTATGGTATATATGATATAACTCATTTTCATGTGAGTTATATCTCAGTAAAGCTGTTATTAAAAATGATCTGGTAACATTGCACTCAAAAAGTGTTTTTAGATGGAATTATATGATGCCTGAAATTTACTTGAAAATAATTCATTATTGGAGATCAGAGTTTTAGATAAAACAAGATTGCCCATGATTTGATAATTGTAGAAGCTGAGATATGAGTATAAGGGGGTCCATAATACTATTTTCTCTACTTTTCTATGTATTTCATGTTTTCCATAAAAACATTCACAATTTATTTAAGGACTTTGATTCTGGGGTAATTACAAGCAGATCATAACCATGAGAGTTGGAACAGCACTGGCTAATAGCCTGACCTCCAGAAGCAGTCTGCATATTTTGAATCCTGGCCTTGCTGTGTGTCCCTGGGCAAAATATGTAACTTGTTTATGCCCCAGTTTCTTCATCTATAAAATGGAGGTTTAAAAACATCTACATCATAGGGATGTTACAAGTATTAATGAGTTCATATTCACAAAGTGCTTGAAACTTTTCCCTTAAAAACGAAGGGTTTTACATTTATGTCTTTAATCCATCTAGAGTTAATTTTTGTATAAGATGTAAGGAAGGGGTCCAGTTTCTGTTTTCTGCATATGGCTAGCCAGTTTTCCCAACACCATTTGTTAAATAGGGAATCCTTTCTCCATTGCTTGTTTTTGTCAGCTTTATCAGATGGTTGTAGATGTGTGGTGTTATTTCTGAGGTCTCTGTTCTGTTCCATTGGCCTATATATCTGTTTTGGTACCACTATCATGCCATTTTGGATACTGTAGCCTTACAGTATAGTTTGAAGTCAGCCTTTTGATGACTTCAAGTTTTGTTGAAGTGATGCCTCCAGTTGTGTTCTTTTTGCTTAGGATTGTCTTGGCTATGCGGGCTCTTTTTTTGGTTCCATATAAAATTTAAAGTAGTTTTTTTCTAATTCTGTGAAGAAAGTCAATTGTAGCTTGATGGGAATAGCATTGAATCTATAAATTACTTTGGGCACTATGGCCATTTTCACAATATTGATTCTTCCTATCCATGAGCATGGAATTTCTTTCCATTTGTGTATGTCCTCTCTTATTTCCTTGAGCAGCAGTTTGTAGTTCTCCTTAAAGAGGACCTTCACATTCCTTATAGGTTGTATTCTTAGGTATTTTATTCTCTTTGTAGCAATCGTGAATGGGAGTTCACTCATGATTTGGCTCTCTGCTTGTCTTATTGTTGGATTAAAGACTTAAATGTAAAACCCAAAACCATAAAAAACCTAAAAGAAAACCTAGGCAATACCATTCAGGACACAGGCCTGGGCAAAGACTTCATGACTAAAATACCAAAAGCAATTGCAACAAAATCCAAAATTGACAAGTGGGATCAATTAAACTAAAGAGCTTCTGCGCAGCAAAATAAACTATCATCAGAGTAAACAGGCAACCTACAGAATGGGAGAAAATTTTTGCCGTCTACCCATCTGACAAAGGTCTAATATCCAGAACCTACAAAGAACTTAAACAAATTTACAAGAAAAAGACAAACAACTCCATCAAAAAGTGGGCAAAGGATATGAACAGACACTTCTCAAAAGAAGACATTTATGCAGCCAACAAACATATGAAAAAAAGCTCATGATCACTGGTCATTAGAGAAATGCAAATCAAAACCACAATGAGATACCATCTCATGTCAGTCAGAATGGTGATTATTAAAAAGTCAGGAAACAACAGATGCTGGCAAGGGTGTGGAGAAATAGGAATGCTTTTACACCGTTGGTGGGAGTGTAAATTACTTCAACCATTTTGGAAGACAGTGTGGTGATTCCTCAAGGATCTAGAACCAGAAATACCATTTGACCCAGCAATCTCATTACTGGGTATATACCTAACGGATTATAAATCATTCTACCCTAAAGACACATGCACACGTATGTTTACTGTGGCACTATTTACAATAGCAAAGACTTGGAACCCACCCAAATGCCCATCAATGATAGACTGGATAAAGAAAATGTGGCACATATACACCATGGAATACTATGCAGCCATAAAATCGAATGAGTTCATGTCCTTTGCAGGGACATGGATGAAGCTGGAAACCATCATTCTCAGCAAACTAACACAGGAAAAGAAAACCAAACACTGCATGTTCTTACTCATAAGTGGAAGTTGAACAATGAGAACACATGCACACAGGGAGGGGAACATCACACCCCGGGTCCTGTTGGGGTATGGGAGGCAAGGCGAAGGAGAGCATTAGGACAAGTACCTAATGCATGCGAGGCTTAAAACATAGATGATGGGTTGATAGGTGCAATAAACCACCATGGCACATGTATACCTATGAAATGAACCTGCAAGTTCTGCACCTGTATCCCAGAACTTAACGTAAAACAAACAAACAAACAAACATACAAAAAACAAACAAAAAAAAAAAAAGAAGGAAGGAAGGTAGGCAGGAATGATTTTCTTCTTATTTTTAAAGGAAGAACTTTATCTTCTCTCTCTTCTTGCTTTTAAACTGAGGCTATGCTTTTACTTTAAACATCTGTACTAGCTGCTCATCTGCAGAGACATAAGTGCTGTTGACATGCCCAAGGGAAAGTGTGGCTCAGATGCAGAAAGCAGAGCAGGAAGTCAGGGCAGCCTGTCCTCATCAGCCTGCTGTTCCTAGACACTTAGCACACTGTTTTTTTTGTTTCTTTGTTTTGTTTTTGTTTTTGTTTTTCAGATGCTCTGGGAGTGCATTTCCATAGAATATGTTGAAAGAGGCAGATTCCCTCTTTTCCTTCTGGCTGCTGTTCAATCTTACCTTACCCTTACAGCTGACCTTGGAAGCCATTTTCCTGTTTGCAGTGAAGTGGGAGGATAGAAGAGATATTGTGCTTCTCAGTGGTGGTTTTGTTAATGTTTTCTATTCAAATGCTTAAAAATTATCTCTTTGCCCTGAAAGCATACAGTAGCTCCAGTTAGAGGGCCAGGTATAGGTTTCCTTTTCTCTACATGGATGAGTGCACTTATAGGCTCACATCCACTCTTGTCAGGAATAATTTTCCACTATGTTTTTTTCCATTGCTGAAGCATGATTCTCTGTCTGACCCCAACCTTGGGATGGATCCTTGGATTACCTCCATGGAGATATTCTTGATTTTGTCAAAGAAGGAATGAGCTTTTCCGTGCTGTCAACTACCTATCTCTCATCCCTTTCTACCCCACAGACCCTCAATTCTCATCCATTGATTTATTTGCTTAGTAAGAATTTGTTGTCTGTCCACTGCATGAGGAATGCTGTACTCAAGGCTTTGGGGATTCCACAAAAGGAAGAAAGGTAATTCCTGTCTAGTTAAATAATTAAAATGCATAAGTAAACTTCTGTAGCAAATTACCAATGTCTTATGACACTTTCCTTGCTTATACTTATATATTAGTCCATTTTCACAGTGCTATAAAGATGCTACCTGAGACTGGATAATTTATAAATAAAAGAGGTTTAATTGACTCACAGTTCCACATGGCTGGAGAGGCCTCAGGAAATTTATAATCATAGCAGAAGGCGAAGGGGAAGCAAGGCACATCTTACATGGTGGCAGGAGAGAGCAAGAATGAGGTGGGAACTGCCACACACTTTTAAACCATCAGATCTCATGAGAACTCCCTCACTATCATGATAACAGCATGAGGGAATCCACCCCCACGATCCAATCTCCTCCCACCAGTTCTCTCGCTCAACATGTGGGGATTACAATTCGAGATGAGATTTGGGTGGAAACACAAGCCAAACCATATCAACTTATAACACTTGTAAAATCTTCTATCTTTGTAATTTTCCATTTACAACCCCCCATCCTTTATTCTAATTCTTCCCTTTATTCAAATCCCCCTCTATGAGAAGTAAGCTTCTTATTTTGATGCTTTTATATCCTTTACCCACCCTGACTCATGTCCAACACATGCAAGTCTGTTTCTCTTCCTTTTTCCCTTCTCTCCCTCCCTCCCTCCCTTCCTTCCTCCCCACTTTCCTTCCTTCCTCCCTCCCTCTCCACTTTCCGCCTTCCCTCCCTCTCAGTATTTGGATTGTGGTAAAGACTTTATAGAAACCATTCATATACTTAGAGTTACTCTTTTTAGACTTACCAGACCATCAATACTTTACAGTGGCTCCCAGTTGCTTCCTGGAGCGGGGTGGAGCAGCAGCAGATGAGCCTGAAGACATAAGCCAACAGAAGATGATGTAGTACTTGATTTTCATGATAAGAAATTTGGATTGTATTCAGAAAGTAATGGTAATTAATGCATCACATATATTTATTGAACATTTACTATGGACAAGCACTGTTCAAGGCTTGAGGATATAGCAGTGATTAGGTCAGATGAAGTCCCTACCTTTATTAAGGGACTTGTATTCTAATGGGAGGAGATAGATAATACACACAGAAATAAAGCAGTGATATGTGGTATAAAGAAGATAGAGTATTGTGAAGGAGAGGGTCTGACTGGGGACAGTTGCTTTAGCTAGGGTGGTCCACTCAGGCATTTCTGAGGTGAGAACTGAAAATGGGAAGGAGAGAAGCATGCTGTCGTGGGGGATGGGGCAGGCTGGGGGGCGCAGAGCATGCCAAGCACAAAGAACAGCAGACACAGAGCACCCGAGATGGAACCAAGTGTGGCTTCTTTAGGGAGAAAGAAAGAGGCCAGAGTGGCTGGAGCATGGTGCTGGGTGTGAGTAGAACAAGGCGTGCTGGAGAGTTTAAAAGCTGGTCCATTCACGTAGATCTTGGAATGCCGTGTCAAGAAGTGTAGATGTTTATTCTGGTCATTGGGAAGCTCTGGACAGTTCTAAGAAAGACAGTTCATCTGATTTTACCTTTAAATATCATTTTGGTAGTTACCTGGTCTGTAAGAGACAAAACAGGTTTTCTTACACAGTCGACACAACCCTATTCCCCTCTGGTCACCAAAATCCTCCAGCAGACACCAGTTGGGTGTCTTCCAATTCAATTCTGATGCTACCTGGAGTTAGAATCACATCCCATAAGTCACATCCCGTAAGTCAGTCCCACAAGACTGCCCCCACACTATACATGCCAAGTGGCAAGTAGTAGATTGTTACTTATAATTCTGACTGGCTATAAATCGGAATTCTCATGACCCCCTTTTTGGGTTTGATTAATTTGCTAGGATGGCTCACAGAACACAGGAAACACATTTACTAGTTTATTATAAAGGATATTACAAGGCATACAGATGAATGATCAGCTGAAGAGATGCATAGGGTGAGGAATGGTGTGGAGCTTCCATGTCCTGTCTGGGCACGCTAACCTCTATGTACCTCCACATGTCCAGCAACCTGGAAGCTCTCTGAGCTCTCCTTTGGGGTTTTTATGGAGGCTTCCTTTTATCACACAGTTGGTTCCCTTGGCAACCAGCCCCATCCTGAAGCTATCCAGGAGCCCACCAAGAGTCACCTCATTAGTTCAAAAAATGCTGCTATTGTGCAGAAAATTCCAAGTGACTTAGGAACTCTATGTCTCTTATCACTCAGGAAGTTACAAAGGTCTTAGGAGTTCTGTGTCAGGAACTGTGGTCAAACACCAAATACTAGAACAAAAGATTCTCGCACCCCTATCTACCATGGCTTGAGGAGCTCTACATCAGGAACCCGGGGTGGAGACCAAAATATATATTTATTATTTCACACCTGGAGAATAGCCTATACTGAGGCAAGAAACAGAAGAACCAGGCTGGGTGCGGTGGCTCATGCCTGTAATCCCAGCACTTTGGGAGGCCGAGGTCGGTGGATCACTTGAGGTCAAGAGTTCGAGACCAGCTTGGCCAACATGGTGAAACCCCATCTCTACTTAAAATACAAAAATTAGCCAGGGATGATGGTGGGCACCTGTAATCCCAGTATTCAGGAGGCTGAGGTGGGATAATCACTTGAACCCAGGAGGTTGAGGATGCAATGAGCCGAGATAACGCCACTGCACTCCAGCCTGGGAGACAGAGAGAGACTCTAACTAAAATAAAACAAAACAAAACAACACAACAAAAAAATCAGGAGAACCAGTTAAGATGCTGTTGCAGTCCAGGGACAAGATTAGAGTGACTCTAACTGGGGTTGTAGCAGAGGGTCACATGTCTAGGAAGTGGTAGATAGAAACTCAGTGTGTCTTACCCATTCCCCTGACCGGTCTGGAGCAGCAACCTAATGCCACGCAGGAACACAGACAAATGATGAAGAAGAACAGTATTTACAACTGAGAGAGAAGCTGCTGAGTTTCCGAGGCTCTCATTTTATTTTACTCTATTTATTTATTAGTTCATAATCAGGCAGGGTTTTGTGTCTCACACTGCTGTTAAGCTCCTCATGAAATGGAAGAAACAAAACTAGGGTAACAGGAGGCTTTGCTAAGTGTGCTACTGTAAATTTTTTCTGAGATGTCAAGTGAAGCCATCAGGCTTTTTGAGAGAGTTATTTGATATGTGGACAGAGGAGAAAATTGCCAATATTCTTCTGTTTTTAACAAAAACTTATTCCCCCAAAATGTTGGCCAACCTTTCTTCACCCCACTTCTCTTTCTCCCTCTCTCCTTCCTTACTAGGCCCTATATGATCTGGCCCCATTACCTGGCTCCCTTCTCTCCCACTTATTATTTCTCCCAGCCACATCGACCTCTTCATGGCTTCTAGAACATGCCAGATAGTGTTGGCATTTGCTGTTCCTTTGGCACGCATGCTCTTCTTTCCAGTAGTTGTATGACTTGAACTCCTAGGTCCTCTGGTCTTAGTTTAATCCCCAATCCCTCTCTGAAAGGCCAACAGAGACATATTTGGCTTATTTGGTATGTTAAAATTATATGGGAAACATTGTCAAATAAGAAATGATATTTAGCTTCCTTGAGTTGTATTTGTAAGACTATGTTATTAATATGTATTCTGAAATTGTGAGAGTCCTAAAATCTTATATGTCTTGGTATATGCAGTAAATTGTTTTATTCTGATGCTTTTTTTCTAAAAGCTTTTTGCAAATTCTAAAGTGTTTGGTGTTCAAGGAAATTAATGGGAAGGACTCTGACAACTAATCAAGAATACAGGTTTTAAGGATAACTTCGGAGATCATACCATTGGACTAGGTAAAAATTTCTGGAATTCTAATAAAAAATTGATGTGTTCATGAAATTGCTAACTCAGCATCAAGCAAAACAAGAATTACATGGAACTGAACTGATGAAAGACTAAAAAATGATTTTTTAAAAATGACTTTTTGTTTGAAACATTGCTGATTCTTTTTATATACTGTTTTCCAGAGTCAAGAAAACTTTATGGCTGGGTGTGGTGGCTAACGCCTGTAATCCATGCACTTTGGGAGGCCGAGGTGGGTGGATTGCTTAAGCTCAGTAGTTGGAGACCAGCCTGGGCAACATGGCAAAAACCTGTCACTACAGAAAATACAAAAATCAGCTGGGCGGGGTGGCATGCGCCTATAATCCCAGCTACTCAGAAGGCTAAGGCAGGAGAATTGCTTGAGCCCAGGAGGTGGAGGTTGCAGTAAGCCAAGATTACACCATTGCTCTCCAGACTGGGCAACAGGAGTAAAACCTCGTCTCAACACAAAACAAAACAAACAAACAAAAAACAAACAATGACAACAAAAGAAAATTTTACCTACAGTAAAAAAAGAGAAGTTGCTTACAGCCATTGGGTAAATTATACTTTTATGAGCAAAATGGAAACATTTACCTTTCTCTGTACCGAATTTCTCCAAAATTTCTAAACTATTCAAGAATATTATTATTTTTACAACAATATATTTATTTGCATTACTTCAGTAAGAATGTACAAAAGCCAAAATTGACAAATGGGATCTAATTAAACTAAAGAGCTTCTGCATAGCAAAAGAAACTACGATCAGAGTGAACAGGCAATCTACAAAATGGGAGAAAATTTTCATAACCTACTCATCTGACAAAGGGCTAATATCCAGAATCTACAATGAACTCAAACAAATTTACAAGAAAAAAACAAACAACCCCATCAAAAAGTGGGCAAAGGATATGAACAGACACTTCTCAAAAGAAGACATTTATGCAGCCAAAAGACACATGAAAAAATGCTCATCATCACTGGCCATCAGAGAAATGCAAATCAAAACCACAGTGAGATACCATCTCACACCAGTTAGAATGGCAATCATTAAAAAGTCAGGAAACAACAGGTGCTGGAGAGGATGTGGAGAAATAGGAACACTTTGACACTGTTGGTGGGACTGTAAACTAGTTCAACCATTGTGGAAGTCAGTGAGGCGATTCCTCAGGGATCTAGAACTAGAAATACCATTTGACCCAGCCATCCCATTACTGGGTATATACCCAAAGGACTATAAATCATGCTGCTAAAAAGACACATGCACACGTATGTTTATTGCGGCACTATTCACAATAGCAAAAACTTGGAACCAATCCAAATGTCCATCAATGATAGACTGGATTAAGAAAATGTGGCACATATACACCATGGAATACTATGCAGCCATAAAAATGATGAGTTCATGTTCTTTGTAGGGACATGGATGAAATTAGAAATCATCATTCTCAGTAAACTATCGCAAGGATAAAAAACCAAACACCGCATGTTCTCACTCATAGATGGGAATTGAACAAGGAGAACACATGGACACAGGAAGGGGAACATCACACTCTGGGGACTGTTGTGGGGTAGGGGGAGAGGGGAGGGATAGCATTAGGAGATACACCTAATCCTAAATGACGAGTTAATGGGGGCAGCACACCAGCATGGCACATGTATACATATGTAACTAACCTGCACATTGTGCACATGTACCCTAAAACTTAAAGTATAATAATAATTAAAAAAAGAATGTTTTCTTTTATAATAGGACACACTGGAAACATTGGTAATTTTCAGATATGACCAAACAGTTTTGAGGAATTGAGGTTGACTTTACAGAGCCAATACGAACCCCCTTGGAAAACTGGCCCGGTACCTTGTCTATATGCTTCACTTACAAGATTCCTGACCTTACAAGATTCCTGACCTTGTGGTAAGTAAAGAGTGTTAACTTTCTGACAGGCCCAGGAACCTCAAGATATTTTGAGACCTTGAGAAGAAAGGAATTCATCCAATTTATACAGGCATTACAGGATGGCAAATCCTTGGCTTGGCTTCTAAACATCTAGAGGCTTTTAAAAGTTTAATCTCAAAATCCTTATGAAAAAGTTCCAGCAAAGGCAAATTTAAAGGAGCCTATATGGCCAATTGCTATTCTTGCACTTTATGCAAATTATCAGGTCAAGTATAATAAGTCTAAAATTTATTTTGCAAATAAATTGGTCTTACTATTTCTTTTTGGTAGAAAAGGGGGACTGAAGAGAGGAAAATTATGTTTCAGAACAAAACCATATCTAATAAGCACACCTGCTTATTAGATTTTAACCCTGACCATTGTTTTTAAGTTTTTATTATTTATCTACAATTTGGGTTAAATCTTGGATTATTTCCTGGCTACAATAAATCTCTAAAGAAGAACCCGGTTTTAATTTTCTTCATGATGTTTTTAGTTGGCTCCCTAATGGAATAAGGTTTTCTTTCTTTCTATTCTGACATAGAATTTCTCTCTTTGATTGTAATCCTTGTGTGCATTTTATTTCTGCTATTCACATTACTAATGTTATGTATCTCTCATTGTTTTTCTTCTTCCAAGGAAACCAGAACCATGGTATTCCAAAGACTAGAGATGATTCAACAAAGCATGTGAATCTCCTTCATTTGGAGTCCTGCTGAGCCTGCTCTGTTTTCCATTGCCAATGCACCACTATTAAAGCTATATAACATTAAGCACCCTCCCTCTTGGTGCAGGGACTATTGTGAAAGACGCAGGTATGTGAGATTGTAAGGGCCAATGTTAAGGGGTGAAGTGTAGGAAAACAGACTGTTGCATGGCAAGAGTGACACTATATTGAATCGAAACTGCCATGGTGTCTGATGTTTGACCCCTCTATATCAACATGTTCTGTAGCAAGAACTTTAAACAACAGATAACCCCTTGTAAGATGCTTATCTAACCACCTTAGCAGTCACAAGTTTTGCAAGAAAAGTTGGAGGCATAACCAGCTGCACATGCTGGTTCTGTAAAGGATATATAAGCTTGCTATATAAAGGATATTTTCTGGAGGGCAGGTGGGGGACTCCACCATTTGATGGTCACTTGAGTCCTCATTTCTGTTCATAACTCCCTATTAAAGATTTTTTTTCGGAGAAACTGTATTTGTCAACCTCTTTCTTTGGCCTTTCAACACCCTCAGTGTTTAGAGTTAGGTTTGCATAGACCTGCTCACCTCACTCAGGCTCTGACATCCTGATCCATGGGGATGGAGGAAACCTCCACCTCCTTACCCCACTTGGCTAAGTTGGGCCACTCCTCGGCATGGTTGCCCTTATGCTTCTCAGACTCCAACTCCATGCTCTGGGCCACCATGGCTCACCCTCTCCCCATTCCTATGGCGTGGATGCCTACTTCTGTTGGGGTCATTTAATACATTAAGGGCTGAATTATTTGAGAAGGGAAGAAAGGAAAAAGATTGGAGGAGAGAGAAAGAGAAAGAGAAATAGTTAATTTGTTTTTAATCTTCCTTCAATGTATTCAAAGACTTAAATTTCCCTCTAAGTACTATTTAGGTGAATCTTACAGGTTTTAATATATAGTATATATTATTATCATTCAGTTCTAAGTAGCTGAGAATTTTTCCCATGATATTTTGTTTAACCCATGTGTTATTCATTTATTTAAATAAGAAAAGACTTTCAATCAGGCTCTGCGTAAAATAGAAATCTAAAACTCATTTTACTTGTCTTTGCTAGGCATGTTAAGTGCCAATAATCTCTTTCTGGTTTAACAAAGTCAACAAGTAGGGGAGGGGGGAGGGATAGCTTTAGGAGATATATCTAATGCTAAATGACGAGTTAATGGGTGCAGCACACCAGCATGGCACATGTATACATATGTAACTAACCTGCACATTGTGCACATGTACCCTAAAACTTAAAGTATAATAATAATAAAATAAAAAAAAAGAAAAAAAAGATGCCAATTTAAATATTATTACCAGGGCAACACATAATAAGACAACCAATCAGCATTATAAACTTCTTAGAGATGAGACACTATTTCCCCAGGATATAACAACAGTCTCTGAAGTCTGAGTGTCTTACAAATCTTTGTTCGATTAACGTTAGGTTAGTTTTATGATGCAGAATATTCTTTGCTTCTGGCAGCTTCAGCCGGAAGTAGGAATCTTTGCTCCTTACCTTGCAAGGGCTTTATGCCAGAGTTAGAAGAGCATCTAGTTTTTCAGAGCTAAACATTAAAATTTATGAAAAGAAAGACGCAGCTCTGAGAAAGCCTGAAGTGCAGTTTGGAAAGGGTTACATAATTTGTGCACCTATGCTTAGTAGCATATTTTTTAGTTTCAGACATTAGGTATTTTGATTATTATCCGTGTATAATCAGTGTGATAATATAATAGTATTGAGAATTTCTAAATGCTTATTTGTGTTTTTGTATAGGTTTACTCGTTAGTCTATACTATAGGCAATTTTGGTGTGTATATTCTGAGTGTGGGATAACATTCTGTAGATTTCTTAGCTTGAGTTTATATGTTCATTAATTTGAGATTAAAATATTATATGTGTTTTTCCCTCCTCTACTTGGGCAATCAGTTTCTGAGAATGGTGCTATGGATCTGAATGTTTGTGTCCCCTTAAAATTTATATGTTGAGGCCAGGCGCAGCAATCCTGTAATCCCAGCACTTTGGGAGGCCTGTAATCCCAGCACTTTGGGAGGCCGAGGTGGGCGGATCACAAGGTTAGGAGATAGAGACCATCCTGGCTAACACAGTGAAACCCCGTGTCTACCAAGAAATTAAAAAAAAAAAAAAAAAAAAAGCCGGGCGTGGTGACGGACGCCTGTATTCACAGCTCCTTGGGAGGCTGAGTCAGGAGAATGGCGTGAACCTGGGAGGTGGAGCTTGCAGTGAGCTGAGATCGTGCCACTGCACTCCAGCCTGGGCGATAGAGCGAGACTATCTCAAAAAAATAAAAAAAATTATATGTTGAAACCTAATCCCCAGAGTGATAGTATTAAGAGGTGAGGCTTTTGGGACCTTATTAAGTCATGAGGGTAGAGCCCTCATGAGTGAGATTAGTGCCGTAATAAAAAAGGCCACAGAAACCTGCTGTGCCTCTTCCAGCATGTGAATATGAAGTGAGAAGGTGCAGTCTATGAGGAATGAATTTTCCCCAGACACCAAATCTGTTGAGTTACCATGACCTTGGACTTCCCAGCCTCCAGAACTGTGAGAAATAAATTATAAAAGCCACCCAGTTTATGGCATTTTTGTTACAGTGCCTGAATGGACTAAGATAAAATGTGAGTTAAAAACTCTCCAAGTAGATCTTCAGAGGTAGTTACATCAGAAAATGCATGTATTAAAACATCACCAAGTACCCCATGAATATGTACAATTATTATTTGTCAATCAAAAGTAAATACATTTAAAAAAATCTTCAAAAAACGAGAAGAATTCAGAGCAATGCTTCCCTCTGGAGGGGGAAGGAAATGAGAATTAGCAGAAAAAAAAAGACACAAAGAAACTTTCTGAGATAACAGAAAGAATTTATATCTTGAATATGGAGATTATGTGGATATATATTCATCTGTCAATGCCCACCTAACCGTAAGACTTAAAATATCTGTGAATTATTTTGCACAAAAATTATACCTCAATTAAAAAGTTCTCTAGAATTGAAAGTCATTATTTTAAAAAGAAATTACCATTAAACCAATAAATTAATTAACAATCACAAATCTGCATGTAGAATGACTAATTTTTTTTCTCCCCATGTTCTGTCAGTTATTGTTCCATATATATTTAAGCCTGCATGGTTCACTGCATATTGGTTCATGATCATTAAGTCTTCTTGGTCCATTATTTCTAATATTAGTATACCGTACCCCTATTTGTCGTTTGATGTTTCACATCTTATTTGTTCTTTTTTAATCTAATATTAAAATTGCTATACTTGATTTCTTCTGTTTAATATCTAGCTAGTTTACCTTTCTTAATTCCTTTCTTGCATAGCTTTTCTTTTAAATTTTAACTCACCATCTGACTCAAGAACTAAAACAATAACAATTACATCTACCTAAGTACTTATCTTCACCCTGTTCCCCTGCTTGCCTTTGGAAATAATAGCTGTCCTAAATTTTGTGTTTGCCTTGCTTTTAAAAATAGTTTATATATATATATATATATATATGTATGTATATACACATATACACACACGTGTGTATATATGTTTGTGTGTATATGTTTGTGTATATATGTATATGTGTATATATGTGTGCTAAAACAATACATTGTTTATTATTGACTGTCTTTAAACTTCAAAGAGTCATGTAGCCTTCGAAGACTTGATTTTATCATTCAGCATTTATTACTAAGATTTATCCATACTATAATAGCTGCATTTCATTCACTTTTTACTGCTATAAAACATTTAACCATTTGAATATCTTACCAAAAGGTGTTAAGTTTTTTGCTGTTACAAACAATGCTGCTATGAACATTCCAGTGCATGTCTCCCAGTGTTCATGGGCAAGAGTTTTTTTTTGCAGATACACTTAGGCATGGAATTGCTAAGTCATATGTTATGCAAATGTTCAACCTGAGTAAATTTTGTTTTTCCCTGTATTATCTATCTATCTATCTATCTATCTATCTATCTATCATCTATCATCTATCTCTCTATCTTCTATCTATTAACTGTCATCTATCTATCAATTATCTCTCTCTCTCTGTCTCTCTCTCTCTCTAATCTATTTGTTTTTGTTGCATACCAAAGTCTATATGCAATTGCGGTAGAATAAAAACAGTTTGGTTTTTGTCCACGGTTCCTGGCACACGGTTTCTAAAACCCTTAGAATCTTAGGAATAATAAGAGTATCTTTTGTATTTGAGTGAAATGACTGGTGGCTAGAGGCCTCTAGATAGCTTCAGGTTGAGGGTTGATTGCCAGAAAGCCCATGGCATGATTGGATCGTTGGAACTTTAAGCCCCACCCCCAAATTTCTCGGGGTGGGGGGAAGAAGGTGGAGATTGAACTAATCTTCAACAGCCCATGATTTAATCAACCATGTCTAAATAATAAAACTTCCATAAAAATCCCAAACAATGGGATTTGGAGAGCTTTGGGTTGGTGAACACATCAAGGTGCTAGGGGAGGATGCTCTCAAGAGGTCATGGAACCGTTCTACCCCTGCTTCCCCATACTTTATGAATCTCTTCTGCTTGGCTGCTTCTGCTTTGTATCCTTTATAATAAACCAGTAAACATGAGTAAACTGCTTTCCTGAGTTTTATGAGCTGTTCTACAAAGTATTAAACCTGTAGGGGAGGGAAATGTGAGACTCCGAATTTGAAATTAAGTTGAACAGAAATATGGGTAACCTGGAGACCCAATACTCATGACTGGCCTCTGAAGTGAGGGTAGTCTTGTGGACCGAACCACACTGCAAACAAAATTAAAATTGAAAATAAATTGCAGAAATTGAAAATAAAGTTATAATTACTGAGCTGTTTTTATTCACTTCTGACTCCAAATGTGTGGACTTTTTCCTCACATCAACCAAATTTCTGATCCTCTGTGGGTCTTGTAAACAACACATTGTTGGATTTTATTTTTTCTTCTTATCATCCAAACCAAGAGTACAATTTACATTTGTTATAACTATGATTATTTAGAACTCATTCTTGCCGTTTTATTTCATGTTTTCACAATTTTTTATTTTAGCCATTCTGAGGTGTATAGTGATAACTCGTTGTGGTTTTAATTTGTATTTTCCTGATGACTAATGATGTTGAACATCTTTGCATCTATTTATTTGCTTTCTGTATATATTCTTTGGTGAAATGTCCCTTCATGTCTTTTGCACATGTTTTAGTTGGATTTTTTAAATTGTTGAATTTTGAGTGTTCTTTATATATTATAGGAACTAGTCATTCATCAGCTATGTTGTTTGCAGATATTTTTTACCAGTCCGTAGCTTGCCTTTTCTTATTCTTAATTAGGTCTTCCCAAGAACAAAAGTTTTAAATTTTAATGAATTACAATTTACTAATTTTTTCCTTTTATGAATTATGCTTTTAGTTTCAAGTTGAAGAACTTGTTGTCTAGCCCTAGGTTTTCAAGGATTTTCTCTTTTTTTTTCCTAAAAGTTTTATAGTTTTAGTTTTGTCTTATGTTTAAGTCAGTAATTTATTTTTTTGTGTAAGATATAAGACTTACATGAGTGGTGGCCCATGCCTGTAATCTCAGCACTTTGAGAGGCCAAGGTGAGGTGATTGCTTGAATCCAGGAGTTCAAGATCAGCCTGGGCAACATGACAAAATCCCCTCTCAAAAAAAAAAAAAAAAAATTAGCTGGGAGTGATGGCATGCTCATGTAGTCTCAGGAGGCTGAGGTGGGAGAATCGCTTGAGCCCTGAAGGCAGCGGTTGCAGTGAGGTGAGATTGCACAACTGCACTCCAGTCTGGGTGACAGTCTGGGCATCCCCCATCCACCATAAAAAGATATAAGACTTACGTTGTGATTTACTTTTTGCCTATGAATGTCCAATTGCTCCAGCACCATTTGTTGAAAATGCTGCCTTTCCTCTATTACATTGCTTTTGCACCTTTGTAAAAAGTCAGTTAGACATTATCTACTGCGTTCTTTGTTCTGTTGCATTGGTCTATGTCTATCCCTCTGCCAATACTATACACTCTTGATCACTGTTGCTATATAATAGGTATCGATATTAGGTAGACTGATTCCTCATTTTCTTTTTCAAAATTGTTTTTAGTTATTCTACTTCCTTTGCTTCTCCATATAATATTATAATAATCTTGTCTATCTACAAAAGATTTTGCTGGGATTTTGATACAAATTATATTAAACTTGTATATTTATTTGGGGAGAATTTACTATGTTGAGTCTTCCAATCTAACAATATGGTATGTCTCCACATTTGTTCAGGTCTTCTTTATTGTACAGCTGCTCCTTAACTTACGATGGGGTTATATCCTGATAAACTCATCATAAATTGAAAATATAATATGTTGACATAGAGCTGCTATTACCTGAAGATGGCTGAATAGGAACAGCTCCGGTCTACAGCTCCCAGCGTGAGCGATGCAGAAGACGGGTGATTTCTGCATTTCCATCTGAGGTACCGGGTTCATCTCACTAGGGAGTGCCAGATAGTGGGCGCAGGTCAGTGGGTGCGTGCACCGTGCGCGAGCCAAAGCAGGGCGAGGCATTGCCTCACTTGGGAAGCGCAAGGGGTCAGGGAGTTCCCTTTCTGAGTCAAAGAAAGGGGTGATGGACGGCACCTGGAAAATTGGGTCACTCCCACCCGAATACTGCGCTTTTCCGATGGGCTTAAAAAACGGCGCACCACGAGATTATATCCCGCACCTGGCTCGGAGGGTCCTATGCCCACGGAGTCTCGCTGATTGCTAGCACAGCAGTCTGAGATCAAACTGCAAGGTGGCAGCGAGGCTGGGGGAGGGGCGCCCGCCATTGCCCAGGCTTGATTAGGTAAACAAAGCAGCTGGGAAGCTCCAACTGGGTGGAGCCCACCACAGCTCAAGGAGGCCTGCCTGCCACTGTAGGCTCCACCTCTGGGGGCAGGGCACAGACAAACAAAAAGACAGCAGTAACCTCTGCAGACTTAAATGTCCCTGTCTGACAGCTTCGAAGAGAGCAGTGGTTCTCCCAGCATGCAGCTGGAGATCTGAGAATGGGCAGACTGCCTCCTCAAGTGGGTCCCTGACCCCTGACCCCCGGGCAGCCTAACTGGGAGGCATCCCCCAGCAGGGGCACACTGACACCTCACACGGCAGGGTATTCCAACAGACCTGCAGCTGAGGGTCCTCTCTGTTAGAAGGAAAACTAACAAACAGAAAGGACATTCACACCAAAAACCCATCTGTACGTCACCATCATCAAAGACCAAAAGTAGATAAAAGCACAAAGATGGGGAAAAAACAGAACAGAAAAACTGGAAACTCTAAAAAGCAGAGTGCCTCTCCTCCTCCAAAGGAACGCAGTTCCTCACCAGCAACGGAACAAAGCTGGATGGAGAATGACTTTGACGAGCTGAGAGGAGAAGGCTTCAGACGATCAAATTACTCTGAGCTACGGGAGGACATTCAAACCAAAGGCAAAGAAGTTGAAAACTTCGAAAAAAATTTGGAAGAATGTATAACTAGAATAACCAATACAGAGAAGTGCTTAAAGGAGCTGATGGAGCTGAAAACCAAGGCTCGAGAATTACGTGAAGAATGCAGAAGCCTCAGGAGCTGATGAAATCAACTGGAAGAAAGGATATCAGCAATGGAAGATGAAATGAATGAAATGAAGCAAGAAGGGAAGTTTAGAGAAAAAAGAATAAAAAGAAATGAGCAAAGCCTCCAAGAAATATGGGACTATGTGAAAAGACCAAATCTACGTCTGATTGGTGTACCTGAAAGTGATGGGGAGAATGGAACCAAGTTGGAAAACACTCTGCAGGATATTATCCAGGAGAACCTCCCCAATCTAGCAAGGCAGGCCAATGTTCTGATTCAGGAAATACAGTGAACACCACAAAGATACTCCTCGAGAAGAGCAACTCCAAGACACATAATTGTCAGATTCACCAAAGTTGAAATGAAGGAAAAAATGTTAAGGGCAGCCAGAGAGAAAGGTCGGGTTACCCTCAAAGGGAAGCCCATCAGACTAACAGCAGATCTCTCGGCAGAAACCCTACAAGCCAGAAGAGAGTGGGGGCCAATATTCAACATTCTTAAAGAAAAGAATTTTCAACCCAGAATTTCATATCCAGCCAAACTAAGCTTCATAAGTGAAGGTGAAATAAAATCCTTTACAGACAAGCAAATGCTGAGAGATTTTGTCACCACCAGGCCTGCCCTACAAGAGCTCCTGAAGGAAGCACTAAATATGGAAAGGAACAACCAGTACCAGCTGCTGCAAAATCATGCCAAAATGTAAAGACCATCGAAACTAGGAAGAAACTGCATCAACTAACGAGCAAAATAACCAGCTAACATCATAATGACAGGATCAAAATCACACATAATAATATTAACTTTAAATGTAAATGGACTAAATGCTCCAATTAAAAGACACAGACTGGCAAATTGGATAAAGAGTCAAGACCCATCAGTGTGCTGTATTCAGGAAACCCATCTCACGTGCAGAGACACACATAGGCTCAAAATAAAAGGATGGAGGAAGATCTACCAAGCCAATGGAAAACAAAAAAAGGCAGGGGTTGCAATCCTAGTCTCTGATAAAACAGACTTTAAGCCAACAAAGATCAAAAGAGACAAAGAAGGCCATTACATAATGGTAAAGGGATCAATTCAACAAGAAGAGCTAACTATCCTAAATATATATGCACCCAATACAGGAGCACCAAGATTCATAAAGCAAGTCCTGAGTGACCTACAAAGAGACTTAGACTCCCACACATTAATAATGGGAGACTTTAACACCCCACTGTCAACATTAGACAGATCAACGAGACAGAAAGTCAACAAGGATACCCAGGAATTGAACTCAGCTCTGCACCAAGCAGACCTAATAGACATCTACAGAACTCTCCACCCCAAATCAAGAGAATATACATTTTTTTCAGCACCACACCACACCTATTCCAAAATTGACCACATACTGGGAAGTAAAGCTCTCCTCAGCAAATGTAAAAGAACAGAAATTATAACAAACTATCTCTCAGACCACAGTGCAATCAAACTAGAACTCAGGATTAAGAATCTCACTCAAAACCGCTCAACTACATGGAAACTGAACAACCTGCTCCTGAATGACTACTGGGTACATAACGAAATGAAGGCAGAAATAAAGATGTTCTTTGAAACCAACGAGAACAAAGACACAACATACCAGAATCTTTGGGACGCATTCAAAGCAGTGTGTAGAGGGAAATTTATAGCACTAAATGCCCACAAGAGAAAGCAGGAAAGATCCAAAATTGACACCCTAACATCACAATTAAAAGAACTAGAAAAGCAAGAGCAAATACATTCAAAAGCTAGCAGAAGGCAAGAAATAACTAAAATCAGAGCAGAACTGAAGGAAATAGAGACACAAAAAACCCTCCAAAAAATTAATGAATCCAGGAGCTGGTTTTTTGAAAGGATCAACAAAATTGATAGACTTCTAGCAAGACTAATAAAGAAAAAAAGAGAGAAGAATCAAATAGATGCAATAAAAAATGATAAAGGGGATATCACCACTGATCCCACAGAAATACAAACTACCATCAGAGAATACTACAAACACCTCTACGCAAATAAACTAGAAAATCTAGAAGAAATGGATGAATTCCTGGACACATACACTCTCCTAAGACTAAACCAGGAAGAAGTTGAATCTCTGAATAGACCAATAACAGGAGCTGAAATTGTGGCAATAATCAATAGCTTACCAACCAAAAAGAGTCCAGGACCAGATGGATTCACAGCCGAATTCTACCAGAGGTACAAGGAGGAATTGGTACCATTCCTTCTGAAACTATTCCAATCAATAGAAAAAGAGGGAATCCTCCCTATCTCATTTTACAAGGCCAGCATCATTCTGATACCAAAGCCAGGCAGAGACACAACAAAAAAAGAGAATTTTAGACCAATATCCTTGATGAACATTGATGCAAAAATCCTCAATAAAATACTGGCAAAACGAATCCAGCAGCACATCAAAAAGCTTATCCACCATGATCAAGTGGGCTTCATCCCTGGGATGCAAGGCTGGTTCAATATACGCAAATCAATAAATGTAATCCAGCATATAAACAGAGCCAAAGACAAAAACCACATGATTATCTCAATAGATGCAGAAAAAGCCTTTGACAAAATTCAACAACCCTTCATGCTAAAAACTCTCAATAAATTAGGTATTGATGGGACGTATTTCAAAATAATAAGAGCTATCTATGACAAACCCACAGCCAATATCATACTGAATGGGCAAAAACTGGAAGCATTCCCTTTGAAAACTGGCACAAGACAGGGATGCCCTCTCTCACCACTCCTATTCAACATAGTGTTGGAAGTTCTGGCCAGGGCAATTAGGCAGGAGAAGGAAATAAAGGGTATTCAATTAGGAAAAGAGGAAGTCAAATTGTCCCTGTTTGCAGATGACATGATTGTATATCTAGAAAACCCCATTGTCTCAGCCCAAAATCTCCTTAAGCTCATAAGCAACTTCAGCAAAGTCTCAGGATACAAAATCAATGTACAAAAATCACAAGCATTCTTATACACCAACAACAGACAAACAGAGAGCCAAATCATGAGTGAACTCACATTCACAATTGCTTCAGAGAGAATAAAATACCTAGGAATCCAACTTACAAGGGATGTGAAGGACCTCTTCAAGGAGAACTACAAACCACTGCTCAAGGAAATAAAAGAGGATACAAACAAATGGAAGAACATTCCATGCTCATGGGTAGGAAGAATCAATATCGTGAAAATGGCCATACTGCCCAAGGTAATTTACAGATTCAATGCCATCCCCATCAAGCTACCAATGTCTTTCTTCACAGAATTGTAAAAACTACTTTAAAGTTCATATGGAACCAAAAAAGAGCCCATATCACCAAGTCAATCCTAAGCCAAAAGAACAAAGCTGGAGGCATCACACTACCTGACTTCAAACTATACTACAAGGCTACAGTAACCAAAGCAGCATGGTACTGGTACCAAAACAGAGATATAGATCAATGGAACAGAACAGAGCCCTCAGAAATAATGCCGCATATCTACAACTATCTGATCTTTGACAAACCTGACAAAAACAAGCAATGGGGAAAGGATTCCCTATTTAATAAATGGTGCTGGGAAAACTGGCTAGCCATATGTAGAAAGCTGAAACTGGATCCCTTCCTTACACCTTATACAAAAATCAATTCAAGATGGATTAAAGACTTAAATGTTAGACCTAAAACCATAAAAATCCTAGAAGAAAACCTAGGCATTACCATTCAGGACATAGGCATGGGCAAGGACTTCATGTCTAAAACACCAAAAGCAATGGCAACAAAAGCCAAAATTGACAAATGGGATCTAATTAAACTAAAGAGCTTCTGCACAGCAAAAGAAACTATCATCAGAGTGAACAGGCAACATACAAAATGGGAGAAAATTTTCACAACCTACTCATCTGACAAAGGGCTAATATCCAGAATCTACAATGAACTCAAACAAATTTACAAGAAAAAAACAAACAACCCCATCAAAAAGTGGGCAAAGGACATGAACAGACACTTCTCAAAAGAAGACATTTATGCAGCCAAAAAACACATGAAAAAATGCTCATCATCACTGGCCATCAGAGAAATGCAAATCAAAACCACAATGAGATAACATCTCACACCAGTTAGAATGGCAATCATTAAAAAGTCAGGAAACAACAGGTGCTGGAGAGGATGTGGAGAAATAGGAACACTTTGACACTGTTGGTGGGACTGTAAACTAGTTCAACCACTGTGGAAGTCAGTGTGGCGATTCCTCAGGGATCTAGAACTGGAAATACCATTTGACCCAGCCATCCCATTACTGGGTATATACCCAAAGGACTATAAATCATGCTGCTATAAAGACACATGCACACGTATGTTTATTGCAGCATTATTCACAATAGCAAAGACTTGGAACCAACCCAAATGTCCATCAATGATAGACTGGATTAAGAAAATGTGGCACATATACACCATGGAATACTATGCAGCCATAAAAAATGATGAGTTCATGTCCTTTGTAGGGACATGGCTGAAATTGGAAATCATCATTCTCAGTAAACTATCACAAGAACAAAAAACCAAACACCGCATATTCTCACTCATAGGTGGGAATTGAACAATGAGATCACATGGACACAGAAAGGGGAATATCACACTCTGGGGACTGTTGTGGGGTGGGGGGAGGGGGGAGGGATAGCCTCGGGAGATATACCTAATGCTAGATGACGAGTTAGTGGGTGCAGCGCACCAGCATGGCACATGTATACATATGTAACTAACCTGCACAATGTACACATGTACCCTAAAACTTAAAGTATAATAAAAAAAAATTAAGTAATAAAAAAAGAAAATATAATATGTTGAAAATGCAGTTAATATTCTTAACTTACGAAACATCATAGCTTAGCCTAGCTTACCTTATACTTGGTCGGAACACTTATGCTACTCTACAGTTGGGCATAATTATCTAACACCAAGCCTGTAATGAAAGCCTATAATTTTATAATGAAGTGCTACATAACACTAGCCCAGGCTAGAGTGCCATGGCACAATCACAGTTCACTGCAGCCTCAACCTCCAAGGCTCAAGCTATCCTCTTACCTCAGTCCCCAAGTAGCTGGGACTACAGGCATGCACCAACAGGCCTGGCTAATTTTTCATTTTTTTTGTAGAGACAGGATTTTGCCAGTTGCCTGGTCTCAAACTCCTGGGCTCTAGAGAGCTGCCTGTCTCAGCCTCTCAAAGTGCTGGGATTACAGGTATGAGCCACTCAAAGTGCTCTCAAAGTGCTGGGATTGCAAGTATGAGCCACTGTTCCTGGCCAGGTTTTGTTTTTGTTTGTTTTAGATTCCTTGGAACTTTTTTACATAAACAAATTGTATCATCTGCAAATAGAAAGTTTTATTTTTCTCCTTTCCAATGTACATGCCTTTGAGTTCCTTTTCTTTCCTTGTCTCTACAAAAAAATTGAAAAATTAGCCAGGCATGGTGGTGCATGCCTGTAGTTCCTTTTCTTGCCTCCTTGCATTGATGAGAACTTCTATCACTATGTTGAATATGAGTGACTTTTTTCCCCCCCAGAGATGCTGATTCTCGGCTGGGGCCCAAGCATCAACAGTTTATTGTTTTTTGTTATACAAGCCACCACCCATGAGTTCGAGAAATAACTACAGTGAATCATTGTTGCAGTCATTCCTTAGGAAAGGAAATTTTGCTCATGTTTCATGGTTGCTTACTGAGTCCTTGAGTGTGTGCAGTTCTTTTTTTTTTCTTCAATTTTTAAGTTTCAATAGGTTTTTGGGGGAACAGGCGATGTTTGGTTCCATGAATATGTTCTTCAGTGGGGATTTCTGAGGTTTTGGTGCACCCATCATCCAAGCAGTGTACACTGTGCCCAATGCATAGTCTGTTATCCCTCACCTTGTCCCACCCTTTCCTCTGAGTCTCCAAAGTCCATTGTATCATTCTTATGCCCTTGTGTCCACATAGCTTAGCTCCCACTTATGAGTGAGAACATGTGATACTTGGTTTTCCATTCCTGAGTTACTTCATTTAGCATAATGGTCTCCAATTCCATCCAGGTTGCTGCAAATGCCATTCTTTCATTCATTTTTTAGGGCTGAGTAGTATTCTAGGAGATACATCTATCTATCTATCTATCTATCTACCTATCTATCTATCTATCTCACAATTTTTTTATCCATTCATTGATTGATGGGCATTTGGGCTGCTCATATTTTTGCAATTGTGAATTGCATTTCTATAAACATGTGTTTCCAAGTATCTTTTTCATATGATGACTTCTTTTCCTCTGGGTAGATACCCAGTAGAAGGATTGCTGGATCAAATGGTAGTTCTACTTTTAGTTCTTTAAGGAATCTCCACCCTGTTTTCCATAGTTGCTGTACTAGTTTACATTCCCACTAGCAGAATAAAAGTATTCCCTTTTCACCACATCCATGCCAACATCTATTTTTTTTTGATTTTTTGATTATGGCCATTCTTGCAGGAGTAAGGTGGTATCGCATTGTGGTTTTGATTTGCATTTCCCTGATCATTAGTGATGCCAAGCATTGTTTTCATATGTTTGTTGGCCATTTATATATCTTCTTTTAAGAATTGTCTATTCATGTCCTTAGCCCACTTTTTGATGGGATCGTTTGTTTATTTCTTGCTGATTTGTTTGAGTTCCTTGTAGATTCTGGATATTAGTCCTTTGTCGGATGCAGAGTTTGCAGATTTTCTCCCACTCTGTAGGTTGTCTGTTTACTCTGCTGATTATTTCTTTTGCTGTGCAGAAGCTTTTAGTCTAAGTTCCATCTATTTATCTTTGCTTTTGTTGCATTTGCTTTTGGGTTCTTGGTCATGAAGTCTTTGCCTAAGCCAATGTCTACAAGGGTTTTTCCGATGTTATCTTCTAGATATTTATGGTTTCAGGTCTTAGATTTAAGTCTTTGATCCATCTCGAGTTGATTTTTGTATAAGGTGAGCAATGAGAATCCAGTTTTATTTTCCTACATTCGACTTGCCAATTATCCCAGCATCATTTGTTGAATAGGGTGCCCTTTCCCCACTTTATGTTTTTGTTTGCTTTGTTGAAGATCAGTCGGCTGTAAGTATTTGCCTTTATTTCTGGGTTCTCTATCCTGTGCCATTGGTCTATGTGCCTATTTTTATACCAGTACCATGCTGTTTTGGTGACTATAGCCTTATAGTATAGTTTGAAGTCAGGTAATGTGATGGCTCCAGATTTGTTCTTTTTGCTTAGGCTTGCTTTGGCTATGTGGGTTCTTCTTTTGGTTCCATATGAATTTTAGGATTGTTTTTTCTAGTTCTGTGAAGAATGATGGTGATATTTTGATAGGAATTGCATTGAATTTGTGGATTGCTTTTGGCAGTATGGTCATTTTCACAAAATTGATTGTACCCATCCATGAGCATAGGATGTGTTTCTATTTGTTTGTGTTATCTGTGATTTCTTTGAGCAGTGTTTGGTAGTTTTCCTTGTTGAGATCTTTCACTTCCTTGGTTAGGTATATTTCTAAATATTTTACTTTCTTTTCAGAGCTATTGTAAAGGGGTTGAGTTCTTGATTTGATTCTCTGCTTGGTCACTGTTGGTGTATAGCAGCACTACTGGTTTGTGTACATTGATTTTTTTATCCTGAAACTTTACTGAATTCATTTATCAGTTCTAGGAGCTTTTTGGAGGAGTCTTTAGGGAGTTCTTTAGGTTATATGATCATATGATCAGCAAACAGTGACAGTTTGATTTCCTTTTTACCAGTTTGGATGCCCTTTATTTCTTTCTCTTGTCTGATTGCTCTGGGTAGGACTTCCAGTACTATGTTGAAGAGAAGTGATGAGAGTGGGCATCCTTGTCTTGTTCCAGTTGTCAGGGGGAATGCTTTTAACTTTTCCCCATTCAGTATAATGTTGGCTGTTTTTCATAGATGGCTTTTATTACCTTGAGGTATGTCCCTCTATGTGTGTTTTGCTGAGGATTTTAGTCATAAAGAGTTACTAGATTTTGTCAAATGCTTTTTCTGCATCTATTGAGATGATCATATGATTTTTCTTTTTAATTCTGTTTATGTGGTGTATCACATTTATTGACTTCCATATATTAAGCCATCCCTGCATCCTTGGTATGAAACCCACTCGATCATTATCTTTTTGATATGCTGCTGATTTCAGTTAGCTAGTATTTTGTTGAGGATTTTTGCATCTATGTTCATCAGAGATATTGGTCTGTAGTTTTCTTTTTTTGTTTTGTCCTTTTCTGGTTTTGGTATTAGGGTGATACTGTCTTCATGGAATGATTTAGGAAAGTTTCCCTCTTGCTCTGTCTTGTGTCAGTAGGATTGATACCAATTCTTCTTTGAATGTCTGATAGAATTCAGCTTTGAATCCATCTGGTCCTGGACTTTTTGTTGTCAATTTTTAAATTACCATTTCAGTCTCACTGCTCGTTATTGGTTTGTTCAGAGTTTCTATTTTTTCCTGGTTTAATCTACAAGAGTTGTATATTTCCAGGAATTTATTCATTTCCTCTAGGTTTCCTAGTTTTTGTGTGTAAAGATTTTCATAGTAGCCTTGAATAATCTTTTGTATTTCTGTGGTATTGGTTGTAATATCTCCCATTTTGTTTCTAATTGAGCTCATTTGAATTTTTTCTCTTCTTAGTTAATTTTCCTAGTGGTCTATCAATTTTGCTTATCTTTTCAAAGAACCAGTTTTTTGTTTCATTTACCTTTTTTATTTTTATTTTTTGTTTCAATTTCATTTAGCTCTTCTCTGATCTTTTTTATTTCTTTTCTTCTTCTGGGTTTGGGTTTGAGTTGTTTTTGTTTTTCTAGTTCCATGAGGTGTGACCTTAGATTGTCTGTTTGTGCTCTTTCAGACTTTTTGATGTAGGCATTTAATGCTATGAACTTTCCTCTTAGCACTGCCTTTGCTGTATCCCAGAGGTTTTGATGGGATGTGTCACTATTATCATTCAGTATAAAGACTTTTTAAATTTCCATATTGATTTTATTATTGACCCAATGATCATTCAGGAACAGGTTGTTTAGTTTCTATGTTTTTGCATGGATTCAAGAGTTCCTTTTGGAGTTGATTTTCAATTTTATTCCACTGTGATCTGAGAGAGTATTTTATATAATATTGATTTTTAAAAATTTATTGAGTTGTTTTGTGACCTATCATATGGGCTATCTTGAAGAATGTTCCACGTGCTGATGAACAGAATGTATATTCTGCAGTTGTTGGGTAGAATGTTCTGTAAATATTTAAGTCTATTTGTCTATGGTATAGTTTAAGTCCATTGTTTCTTTGTTGACTTTCTGTCTTGATGACCTGTCTAGTGTTGTCAGTGGAGTACTGAAGTCCCCCACTGTTATTGTGTTGCTATTATCTCTATTCTTAGATCTAGTAATAATGTTTTATATATTTGGGATCTCCAGTGTTACATGCATATATATTTAGGATTATGATATTTTGCTGTTGGACTAGTCCTTTTATCATTATATTATGTTCCTGTTTGTCTTTTTAAACTGTTGTTGTTTTAAAGTCTACAAGAATAACTACTCCTCCTCACTTTTAGTTTACAAGAATAACTACTCCTCACTTTTGGTGTCCATTTCCATGGAATGTCTTCTTCCATGCCATTACATTAATTTTATATGAGTCCTTATGTGTCAGGTGAGTGTCTTGAAGGCAGCAGACACTTGGTTGGTAAATTCTTATCCATTCAGCCATTCTGTATCTTTTAAGTGGAACATTTAGGCCATTTACATTCAATGTTAGTATTGAGTTTTTGCCTGAATACCTTGTCTTTTTTCATTATGTTATTGTTTTATAGGTCCTGTGAGAGTTATGCTTTAAGGAGGTTCTATTTTGGTGTTTTTCAAGGATTTGTTGCAAGATTTAGAACTCCTTTTAGCAGTTATTGTAGTGCTGGCTTGGTGGTGGTGAATTCTCTCAGCATTTGTTTGTCCAAAAGCCCTTTATCGCTCCTTCATATATGAAGCTTAATTTTGCTGGATACAAAATTCTCAGCTGATAATTGTTTTGTTTAAGGAAGCTAACAATAGGACCCCAATCTCTTCTAGCTTGTAGGATTTCTGCTGAGAAATCTGCTTTTAATCTGATAGGTTTTCCTTTATAGTTTGCCTGATGCTTTTGCCTCATAGCTCTTAAGATTCCTTCCTGTGTCTTGACTTTACATAACTTGATGACTATGTGCCTAGATGATGATCTTTTTGTGATGAATTTCCCGGGTGTTCTTTGAGCTTCCTATACTTGGATGTCCAGATCTCTAGCAAGGCCAGGGGAGTTTTCCTTGATTGTTCCCTCAAATATGTTCTCCAAACTTTTAGATTTCTCTTCTTCCTCAGGAACACTAATTATTCTTAGGTTTATTCATTTAATATAATCCCAAACTTCCTGGAGTCATTGTTCATTTTTAAAATTCTTTTTTTCTGTGTCTTTGTCAGATTGGGTTAATTCTAAAGCCCTGTCTTTGAGATCTGAAGTTCTTGCTTTTACTTGTTTGGTTCTATTGCTGAGACTTTCCAGTGCATTTTGCAATTCTCTAAGTGTGTCCTTCATTTCCAGAAGTTGTGATTGTGTTTTATTTAGGCTGTCTATTTCACTGGAGATTTTTCCATTCATATCCTTTATTGTTTTTTTGATTTCATTAAGTTGGACTTCATCTTTCTCTGGTGCCTCCTTGATTAGCTTAATAATTGACCTTCTGAATTCTTTTTTCTGGCAATCCAGATATTTCATCTTGGTTTGGATCCAATGCTGGTGAGCTAGTGTGATCTTTTGGAAGTGTTAAAAAAACCTCGTTTTGTCATATTACCAGAATTGTTTTTCTGGTTCTTTCTCATTTGGGTGGACGTCAGAGGGAAGACCTGGGATTTGGCTGCTGTTCATATTTTTTGGTCCCATGGGGTGCTCCCTTTATGTGGTGCTCTCCCTTCCATCTGGGGATGAGGCTTCCTGAGACCTGAACTGCAGAGATTTTTATTTCTCTTCTGGGTTTATCCACCCAGTTGAGCTACTGGGCTCCAGGCTGGTATTGGGAAGTGTCTGCACAGAGTCGTGTGATGTGACCCATTTGTAGGTCTCTCAGCCATGGATACCAGCACCTATTCTGGTGGAGGTACCAGGGGAGTGAAGTGGACTCTGTGAGGGTCCTTGGTTGTAGTTTTTGTTAGTGTACTGGTCTTGTTCTGGTTGGCCTCCAGCCAGGAGGTGGTGCTTTCAAGACAGCATCAGTTGCAGTAGTATAGAGAGGATACAAGCTTACCCTAGGGTCACCTAGATAAGTATTCGGGTTTCTCAGATGGTGGGTGGGGCCCTAGAGCTCCCAAGAGCTTATGTCCTTTGCCTTTTGCTACCAGTGTGGGTAGAGAAAGACCATCAGATGGGGGCAAGTTTAGGTGTGTCTGAGTTCAGACTCTCTTTGGGTAGGGCTTGCTGTGGCTGCTGGTGGGGATCGGGGTGTGGTTCACAGGCCAATGCAGTTACGTTCCTAGGGGGATTATGGGTGCCTCTGCTGTGTCATATGGGTCATCAGGGAAGTGGGGGAAAGCCAGCAGTTACAGGCCTCACCCAGCTTTCTTGCCACCCGAAAGGCAAGTCTTACTCCCACCATGCACCCCCAACAGCACCGAGCTTATTTTGAGGCAGCTGGGGAGCAAGGCTGAGAACCTGCCCCAGGCTACAAGCCTCCCTGCTGGGAAAGCAAGCAGGGCTTTCAGGTTTCATGCCTCCCTGCCTGCTGCAGCTTCTGTGCTTCTATCTGTGCTCCCTGTTTGACCCTTTCCCCAAGTTCTGTCCAGGAAACCTCACTTTCAGTTGAAATTGTTACAAAATTAAGCTGGAAGTTTCCTTCTTCCTGTGATCTTTCCTCAATTCCATTGGGAGCCCTCCCCAAACCCCTCTGCGAGATGAAATCAGAAATGTCTTCTCTGGGGACCAAGAGGGCTCTTTCCGCTGCTTCCTGTATCCCCATATTTTGTTTGACTCTCTAAATTCATTTCAGTTCCAGGTAAGGTCAAATCCTTCATCCATGATCTGAACCTTCAGGGTCCCCAGTAAAGATGTGTCTTCGAGGGTGGATTTTTCCTCTTTTCATACTTTGGGAACTCACAGTTTTTCAGCTGTCTCAGAGCCTGCAGCAGCAAGCTGCTTCCTTCGAAGGGTCTGTGGATTCGCTTGGCTTGCCTAATGTGTTTCTGCAGTAGTTCTTGGAGCAAAGCTTCATGATGTGAGTGTCCACATACTGCTCTGTCCATTCAAGTGAGAGCTGCAAGTTAGTACTGGCTCCTATCTGCCATTTTTCTAATTTTCTCCATGAGTGGCATTCTTGACTCGCTCCTGAGATCTTCAGTGAAAGCATTTAGTCTGTCAACTTTTAAGTATAAGGTTCGTGTAGGGTCCTTTGCAGGTAGATGCTCTTTATCAAGTTAAGGGGAATTTCCCCTCTATTTTTTGGGGAGTTTTAAAAAATCATGAATAGTTGTTTAATTTCATCAAATTTTTATGCATGAATTGATATAATGATGTGATTTTTCTTCTTTAGCTTATTAATATATTGGATTACATCACTTGAGTTTTAAATATTGGATCAGTCTTGTATATCTAAAAGAAAATCCACTTAGCATAGCTTTGGTTATTTTTATGTGTGCTGAATTCAATTTGCTAATATTTTGTTATTATTGTGTTTGTATTCATGAGGAATATTGATGTCTAGGTTTTCTTTGTGCTGTCTTTGTCTGGTTTTGGTATCAGGGTAGTATATGCTTCCTAAAATGAATTGAGAAGTTATAATCCTCTTCTATATACTGCAAGAGATTGTGTACCATTGGTGTTAATTTTGCTTTAAACATTTGTTAAAATTCTCCAGTGAAACCATCTGGGCCTGGAGTAAAGGTGTTTGGCATTGTTACTGTGGTCACTGATGAGGAGGTAGAGGGAGGATTCACAGCCAAGTTGCCATGATCTTGTCGTTATGGAGACAGACATGCTGGGCTTCATCACAAGGCTGTTTTTCTCCAGGTATGATGTTGCTGTGGAAACACAAAGCCCAAATCCTCAAAGAACACTCTGTTCTAGTCCCAGCTGCTGTATCCATCTGCGTTGTATCTCATTAGCAGAAGAGCCTAGTGAGATAGGAGTTGCATCTCTGCTCATCCAGATCTCTAGAGAAGGGATCTACCCCTGGACTTTTTCCTGGGTAAGTGGGAATCTTTGGCTATTTTAAGGTAAACTTTGCTAAATTGGATGGAAACAAAATCTTCCTGTGCTGTGTCGTTTTTCAAAATGACTGCTGGGAATTTACACTTAATGGGTGTTCATTTCACTCTAAGTTGATCCACCTTAGAATCAACCTTTCAGCCTTATTTTCAGCACATAGATTCTTTCAACACCAGCCTCTCTGTTCCCAGAAATGGGAATGATCATATTACCTCACGACTAATGTCTTCTGTGGTCAAGGAAGCAAGATTTTCAATAGGGTATACGTGGGCTGTGGCATCCCTCCACAGTAGTGGCACTGACGCTGGAGTCTGAGCCCAGGTATTGACGTGGCCCAAGGCTAGCTCCCCAATGGATCACAGAGTTTCTCAATAGTACTATAATGTGGTAGATACAATCTCATGGTTAAGGGCATGGATTTTTGTGTTAGATGGTTTTAGGTTGACTCTAGAGAGAGGGAGAGATCCATGGAAAAAGGGTCTCATTATAAAAAGTTATTTACTTTGCCACTTAGAAACAGCAGTGATGGCTGGGTGCGGTGGCTCACGCCTGTAACTCCAGCACTTTGGGAGGCTGAGGCTGGCAGGTCATCTGAGGCCAGGAGTTCAAGACTGGCCTGCCCAGCATGGAGAAAGCCCATCTCTACTAAAAAAACAAACAAACAAAAAACAACATTAGCTGGGCATGGTGGTGCATGCCTGTGATCCCAGCTACTTGGGAGGGTGAGGCAGGAGAATCACTTGAACCCGGGAGGTGGAGGTCACAGTGAGCCAAGATTGTGCCATTGCACTCCAGCCTGGGCAACAAGAGTGAAACTCAGTCAAAAAAAAAAAAAAAAAAAAGACTTCTGCTTTTCATTGTGGTTACTATTGTTGAAATTAAACTTTGCCAATGAGTTAAAATTTCTAAAGTCAATTCCTTATATTTTACTACCTGCATCTCTCAGAGGCATCGGTTAGATTAAGGGATCACGGTCAATTTTCAGAGAAAAGCAGTATTATTAATCAGGGTGCAATCAGGAAAACATAAATCATTCTAGGTATTTCAAACAGAACAAGATTTAATAGGGGCACAAGGTGCCTACAAATATCACTGAGAGGGCTGAAGGAGCAAAAGTCAAGAGGACAACTACAGCTAGGGTTGGTTCATCCAGGGAGCCAGATACTGATACCACTACTGATTACCACTGGGAGGTCAGGAACCAGTAGGAGACCCCTGCTGGCCTCATAGCTCTTCTGCAGTTCTAAAAGGGTGAATTTCAAGGGAACATGGAAGCTGTATGTGACTCCCTGCCCCTCCAAGTATCTGAAGCACACATATCTGTTAAAGCTAGCAGAGGAAGAAGAGTAATTCTACCCTTTTTCTGCCTTCTAAGTCTTGTGTGAGCATGCATATCTGATTGTTGTAAAATAAACCACATCCAGTGCCTGGCTGGCAATTGAGTACGTGACATTAAGTTCCCAAGATTCCAGCCGTGAGGGAGAACAGAGAAAGGAATGGAACAGCATAGAGGGCCAATAGATTATTAGCTATCTGATTATTCATTTTATGTGCACAGTCCCCAGTACCCTAGTTCTATTTCTCAGCACTTATAGTTGTGAATTGAATTGCGATGTTTGTCAAGCGACTGTTTCTAACTAGTGTGTTATAATCACGATTTTGCCCTGTGTGGCTTTACATATTGAATAGAGAAATTCATGATGATATTTAAAATAGATTGTTTGATTTTGAGTCAACTAGAAGTCAGCATATATTTAGTGAAGGCTGAGAACCCAAGACCCAGTGATTACAATGCCATTAACTATATGGCATGGCAAAATAACAATAACAGTAGCAATGACAATGATAACAATAATAATGTTGATGATAATGATAGCGACTGCTTATCTTTACTGTTAGCCCTTGTTCTAAGTGCTTTGCACTTACAAACTCATTTGATCCTCACCACAATCATACACAATAGATAACGTTACTATTTTTATTTTATAGATAGATGAAGGCACTTAAGTGTGAAGTGGTTAAATAAATTTGTCAATTTCACATAGCTAAGAAGTGGCAGAATCAAGATTTGAATCCCAAACCAGCTCTCAACCAACACAAAACACATAGAAATTCTAGCAGTCATAATGGGATTTTTATTCATTTGTTGCCTTATTTTTAATATATCTTATTGAGTGCCACTGAAGCATGAGCTTTCCCTGACTCTTCTTTCTGCTTACCACTGGTATTCTGTGATGAAATTAGTGGTTAATATTTACTGAGGGATTTCTATGTGCCAGGCACTATGCTAAATGATTTGCAGGTAATATATAATGTAATCCTCAAAACTACTTTATGAGGATGAGGGGTTAAATAGTCTATCCAGCATCAGACAATGAGGATGTCCATAGTAGTACATGGATTCAAACCCTAGAGCTACACTGGCCAATTTGGTAATTTCTAGCTAAATGTCAAGATTGAGCATGTGGCTAGTGTGAAATGTGGCTATAATATGCTGTAAGTATAACATACATACTGGATTTCAGACTTTTCACACTGTAGTGCATTTGGGAGATGCAGTGGTGACTGTAGTGTAAAGACTTAAAATCTCATTTCCAGCCTCAGTCTCTTCCTAGGAGTTCATATAATTGTTACTGAAGCATGTTGGCTACAAGGATTGGAGAAAATGTTATTAAGTGTAAAGGACTTGAGTTGGCAGTAAGGTGGGCTGGGGTGTTGGGACTTTGAAAGGATATGATAAACTTGTATTTTTAGAAATGCCAGTGACATTTTGGGGTCAGCAAGCAGATCAGTCTTGCTGAAAGGATGTATTACAGTCAGGGTTTATTTATTACAAATCATCCACCCTAGCTTAAGCTAAAAGGGGGAAATTACGGGATAAGTGCAAGGCTATTTCCTGCCAAACAGTCAGATAGTACAGTGGGATCTCAGGTAGGACTGGAACCAAGACTTTGAAACATGCCAGCAACAAAGGAAACCACTCTCTGTTTTCCTGGAGTTGCTGAGTCTAGCAACTCACTTTCCCTCTCTGATTTATTGTTCTCTTTCTATGTTGGCCAGCTTATTTTGCTTCTCTAAGCACATGATGAAAATTGGCCCCACAGTACAAACTAGGCTAACTATAATTGCTAGGTCCCCATTCAAAATTCTCTGGAGGCAGAACCTGATTGGTGGATTTTGGTCAAATATTCTTTCTTGGTCCAATTAATGAGTCAGAGTATGCAAATTAAATAATATGACTGCTATAGAAATAACTGCCTCTAATTTTTTATCTACTCTTGTATCATACTAGACAACTTGCTCAATTCTCTCAAAATAATTAAAAAATATTTTTGCAACTCCATAATTATGCCACAGCTCTTAACCTAATAAAGCAATAGAGTTTGAGATTTTATTTAAGAACGTTCCTAATTCAGGTGTTCTGAGAAGCCCTCTTGGCTTTGGCCAATGTATGTATCTTTTATTTTTCCCATCTTTTATGTATAAAAATCAACTGCACTGTGACATCGTGGATAAACCTGGAGGACATTATGTTAAAGACAAATACTACATGATCTCTGGAATCTAAAAAAACTTGAACTCATAGAAACAGAAGGTAGAGTGGTGGCTACCAGTGGCTGGGAGTTGGGAGATAAGGAAAATGTTGGTCAAAGAATGCAAAATTTCAGTTAGATAGTATGAATAAGTTCAAGAGATCTATTGTACATTATGGTGACTATAGTTAATAACAATTTATTGTATACTTGGAAATTGCAAAGAGAGATTTTAAGTGTTCTTACCACAAAAAATGATGTATGTGAGGTAATGCATATGTTAGATTTAGCCATTCCACAATGTATACATATATCAAAACATCATGTTGTACACCATAAATATAGAGTTTTTTTTCAATTAAAAATCAATGGAATTGACAGCTTTGTTCTCTCTCTTTCTATTCCCCCCAATACTCCTACATTCTGCTCACATATGTAGGTAGTTTTATAATATTTTATCAGTTTGTTTTTAGGTAGAGTTGGACTATGAGGTTCTGGAAGGCAAGCACCGCTCTTACTTGTCTATACTTGCATAATATACCTTCCATAAATATGCTGAATGAAGAAATGAACAAATAAATGACACTATATTTTCCATACAAAAAAGGAAAGGTTTTACATTTTATAATCATTTGTTTAGTCATTTTTTTTTCTAATCTACCAATATTGGCTTTTAAATAACTTGTGCTTTGTGCTGTCTTTCTTAAATGGGGAAAATATTCATGTAAGATGATTCTTAAATACTCAAAACTCATTCATGTAAGTGATGAGACTTGTCAGTTGCATTGCGCCTTTGCTCTTGAAGGGCTTTTCTCAGTAGGGATCAAACCCTACTGAAATGCTCTACAAATGGCTTCTCTGAAGGGAGCCTCTAAACCAGAGAAGATTGATTCAGTCCCCTGTAGATCTCTGTCTTCTGACAGATTTCTGAACGTTTTATGCAACTGTTAGAAAACTGATGGCTTTGTGCAACCCTTTCTCACTATTTGTACCTGGTTAGTCTACGCATTCTTCTTAGCCATGTTCCTGGGCATGATTATTGCCCAGAAAAACTCAAGATGAAGTGGCCAATTGAAAGTCTGCTGCTATAGGTTTACCTGCAGAAGTGGGTATTTTTGGATTATTTAGCTGTCTACAGCATCAGATTTCCTGGACAATAGCCAAATCTCTGCTTCACATTATGCTATGGAACTGAAACTCAAGAGTAAAATTACACTGCTGCCAATTTTGGGGCCTTGAAACCTTGACAGTAATGATTAAAAACTGTTAACAGTCCAAATTCTTCAGCAGCTTAATGCTATAAATATTAAGTCAAACATTCAAAGGTTTCTAATATAATTTATCTTCTGTACTATCTTTGTTATTAGAGAAAGAGTTTAACTGATTCATATATTATATGTAAATAAACCACATTGAAATTGCTGTATTATCACTTCAGTGAAAAATTGGCTACTTTTATCCTCAAACTAAGAAAATTTCCATCTTTTTTTTTTTTGATGGAGTTTTTGCTTTTATTGATCAAGCTAGAGTGCAGTGGCACAATCTCGGCTCACTGCAACCTCCACATTCTGGTTCCAAGCGATTCTCCTGCCTCAGCCTCCCAAGTAGCTGGGATTACAGGCGCTTGCCACCACGCCCAGCTAATTTTTTTGTATTTTTAGTAGAGACAGGGTTTCACCATGTTGGTCAGGCTGGTCTCGAACTGCTGACCTCATGATCCACCCGCCTCGGCTTCCCAAAGTGCTGGGATTACAGGTGTGAGCCACTGCGCCTGGCCTGAAAATTTCCACCTTGATTGCAGAAAGGGCGCCAAGTCATTCATGAACGATCCACCCCCATGACCCAAATACCTCCCACTAGACCCCGCTTCCAACACAGGAGGTCACATTTCAGCATGAGATTTGGAGGGGACAAACATCCAAATTATATCAATGGGTAAAGTCACAGTGTTCCCAAGCTATTGCTAAGTATTCTGGTGCAGCCTCCTGTGTCCTCAGGGGCAGGAAGGGGCCCACCTTCCACTCTTGCTTCCTGTCATGTCTCTGTGCTGGGCCTTTTCTATGTCTCAAGGTTCCACTCTCTCCATACCAGGGCTTTGTCTTTGGCATAGGATACTTGTGGAGGCTTTGCATTCAGTTTTCTTTGCAGCTCTGCTACTTTTACAGTTAAATCCCATACCTGTTTTTCAGCACAGACTGCAACATTTAAGGTCTTTATAAACTTTACAAGGGAAACATTCTTTCACCGTATGCCTTGAATTTCTAGTTAGCTAATCTGAGACCATTATTTCTTTTGTCAAAGTTTATAAATCTATTAAGTAAAACTAGACAGCTTCATAGCCATTGTAATTATCATGGACTCCCACGTTGTTCAAGTGTCACTGGAGCACATATGCCCCGATTTGCCTTCCATTTGCTCCTTACATCAATCCACCATAGAACATCTTAATACGTGTGATGCTATGCATGCCAGGGGTCTTTACCTCCCAACTTACCAACAGCCATGTGATCTTTATCTCTGTCTGACCATGAGAGATCTAGTCCCAGAATATCATCCTGAGGAGCTGTTTTGTAGGGCCACTTTCAATAGCAACTCTCTTGGCCTAGATTCTCCTGGAAAACAGTGCCTGAGATAAGCGCTTGTAATCAGGATGTTTAAATTAGAAAGCTTAAAAGTGGGACATGGAGGAAGCCAATCCAAGGGTGCATTATGGTTTCCAGTGTGGAACACGGAGGTTTGATCCTTCCAGGAAACTATTGAGGAGCTCTGTAAAATACATCTCAGAATCGATTACCTCTTGTCTCCCATTGGTCAGGATTTGCTCCCTGGTGTTAATTCCCTTCCATTTCTAATCATTTGTGTGACCAGATTGGCTCATTTGCAAATACCTCACATGGTTAGGCAGTGGTAGAGAAGCCCAGGGGCTGAAGGTAAGCAGTATCTTTGGGGGAGTTAAAGTGCTGTCAGGCTACATCTGAGTACAGTTGATTGCTTCAGTAATGACTGGAGTAAAAAGGTGGCCTTAGAGGAGGTGAACTGGGGCAGAAGAGGTGCAAGATACAGATATGATCTTGTTCTGTGGCTCTAATAAATCAATGACATAAGAGTCAAACAGAAGAATGCTTCCTAAAGACTGGGTTGGTGAGCATAAGTCACACCACATATGGGACATTAATGAACCAGTCTTGGTTTGGATGCTTCTATCAATCATTCACAAATCTTGGTGTATAGACTCAAGTTCACATTATTACACAAATGTCTCGGTGCTTTATCTAAACTAATGCCTAATGACATTCCTGTGGCTAGCACTCAACATGGATATGTGGATATGGATCTATGTTTGGTGTAATACTCATGGGGTTGCTGATATTTTTCAGGACTGTGGGGGTATAAAAGATGCTCCTCTATGGGCCAGGGAAGGTAGAAATGAGCTTAATTGAACTCTAATTGAGAAAAGAGTCCAAAGCAAAGATATATGGCTTCAATAATGAAGATAAATTTAATCAGATCTTCTTGGGCCTATATCACATTTCCCACTGTATGATATTCTTGACCAGGGGAAACAGGAGGAGATAGAAGAGGGAGAGTGTGTGTTGTTTGGAGATGGTCCACAGATGATTCTGGAACACCACCACCCCCTTTTATTATAAGAATACTGAAGGGAGTAAAATTGCCCAGTGGTTAGCTGGAGTTTCATGGTGTTTGCTCTTACCATGCTCATCAGGTTCTTGCAGCAATATCCAAGGCCGAGAGAGGCAGCGTGGAATGAAGGGAGCCATGGAAAAAGCTTCTGCAATGCAGTGATAGGATCTGATTAAGGAACAGGCAGAATATTTGCACAGATTTCTGTGTTATGTCAATTTTTGGAAACCCACAACCTCCCTGTTGGCTTCTTAGTCACATGCACTAAAAGCATCCTCTCCTCCCACCACTAAAGGGCCTGAAACTGACTATGCTTTCCTAAACCTGAATCTTGAGGCTGGCAACAGGGCATTTTCTACACTGCAGATCATCTGCATGCATTGGGAGTCATGCTTGCCACCTATCCAGCCTGGGTGGCCTCCTGGGATGTTTCCCTTGGCAGGAGTATCTTACAGCTGGGCTGATTATTAGTGAGTTTCTGAATTATTTATGTCAATGTTCTCTTTCATTAGTGTGAATTGTCATGTATTGGTTGTAATCAAAGTGATTTAGGTTTGGGAAACAAAAGAGTGAGATACGTTTTTTAGTTTAATGTTATAATCTGTTGGGTTTTGTTATTGTGCTTAAACCCAATAATAATACTGTTAGGAGATGCAGTTTGGTGTGTTAGAAGGGACCCTGGACTTGGAGCCAGGAGATCTGGGTTCCTGGTTCTGTTCTCCCATCCTAGGCTTGGGCTTACAGTACCTTAGTGATCACCTTGTCTAATGTCTTGATAGTTCAATTGAGCAGAGGCCAGGAGCTTAGTGGTAGAACCAGAAGTAGATATCAGGTGGCTGAATTTCCTCTTTGCTCTATTCTATATGATCTTATTGACCTGTTGTTTATTTATTTAACTTTTTGAGGTTTCAGATTTATCATCTTTTAAAATATTTACAGCTATGGACTGAGTTATGTCCTTCTTGCAAATTCATATGTTGAAGCCCTAGTTCCCAATGTGACTGTGACTGTATTTGGAAATAGGGCATGGAGGAGGTACTTAAATGAAGTCATATGCATAGGGCCATAATCCATCAGAACTGTGGCTTTATAAGGAAAAAAAGAGAAAAGGATCTATTTCGCTGTCTGTCATGTGAGGACACAGAGAGAAGGCAGCCATCTGCAAGTCAGGAAGTGAGCCCTCACCAGAAACTGAGCATGCTGGCACATTGATCTTGGATTTTCAGATTCCAGAACTGTGAAGAATACATTGCTGTTGTTAAAGCCATCTAATCTGTGGTATTTTGTTATGGTAGCCCAAGCAGACTAAACAGGGTCCTAGAATAGACCATAGACCATCAGAAGTAGAAAGTAACTTGTCTTAGTTTGAGTTCTTCCAAAAGCAGACCCTGAGATGGGGATTAGAATAAAAACAGTCTGTTTGGCAGGTGATTCCAAGGAGCAATGTTGAGGCATGTATGGGGAAGTAAGAAAAGGAAGGAGGAATATAGGAAAGCCAATAGTAGGTTATCAATATGGGCAACTGGAGCTCAGTATCACTGAAAACCCTTTGAAAGACTGTGTGGAATGTGTCTCAGAATTTTCCTATTGAAGGCCGAGGAAACTGTGATACTAATATGTCAACTCACTGCCCAGTGAAGGTACTAAATTCTTGGCACTTTTGGGCTGTCTGGCACACACCAGCCTAGCAGGCATGTTTTCATGCCATTAGGCAGAACTGTGTAGCAGGGCATGCATGGGAACTGTCTCAAGGGACCTCTGGGTTGTACAGAAGGGACATGAACACATACGGACAATGTCTACCATAGCAGTAATCTCACACTTTAAGGTGATATGGTTTGGCTCTGTGTCCCCATCCAAATCTCATGTTGCAGCTCCTATAATCCCAACGTGTTGTGGAATGTGGGAGGGACCTAGTGAGAGATAATTGAATCATGGGGGTGGGTCTTTCCCATGCTGTTCTTGTGATAGTGAATAAATCTCACGAGATCTAATGGTTTTAAAAACAAGAATTTCCCTGTGAAAGTTCTCTCTCTCTCTTTGCCTGCTGCCATCCATGTAAAATGTGACTTGCTCCTCTTTGCCTTCCACCATGATTGTGAGGCCTCCCCAGCCATGTGGAGCTGTAAGTCCATTAAACCTCTTTCTTTTGTAAATTGCCCAGTCTCGGGCATGTCTTTGTCAGCAGTGTGAAAGTGGACTAATACAGAAGTGAACACCAGACATTTGGAGGTCTCATTAAAATACAGATTCTGATTTGTTAGGTCTGGAGTGGGACCCAAGATTCTGCATTTCTGATAAGCTCCCAGTGATGGCAATATAGCTCATCCATGGGCCAGACCTTGAATAGCAAGGAATTACATACTGTCTCATGAATTCAGCTCAGCTTAACAATATTTGTTGAACATTGGCTGCACTGCATACGATATGCTGTGCTTGACATAGGGAATAGTGAGACAGGAACACAGGGATCAGGTGTTACATTCACCTTACAGGCTATTTACGAGTTCATCTTGTTTTGATTGTCCATGATTAAATTGTGCATAACAAACATATTTATTTATTTTTTCTTAAGAAACAGAGGAAGGCAGGATTCCTGAATTGTTTCTGTTTCTTAGACAGAATTTCAGCCTGTTAAAATGATAGAAACCGTCAACACAAATCTTCTTCTAGGTATGTGACCCAATCTTAGTAGCAGCCTCTCTGGGACCATGACAGGATTTTCATAAAGCCCTTGCTGACTTTAACATTTTAAAATAAAGAAAAAACTAAAGTTGTAATAAAAATAGCAACATTTCTGTAGTACTTCACCCCTTACAAAGTGCTTTCCACCACATTATCTCATTATGTCCTTTGCAGGCCTGAGAGAAATAATCTACAAATGGCATTTTAAAATAAATGTGTTGCACATTAAGGCAGGTACATTACATAGCTGGGTACATTATATTCTAGATCTAATGATGATGAAAAATGACTATGAAGAAGGCTGCCTATAAACATATACTGTGTCCTACCACACTTGAATAAACTCTACATTAGCTTGAAAAAGGCCGTTCAGACTCACTGTGGTTAGTTTCTCAGTTTAAAATTTTCCAAGTCAAAGTTGAAATGTTTCTACAAGGGTCTTACAAATACCTTTGCTTTCTGTGCAGATCTTTGTTTGTCCACCTGGCTTTTTAGTCTGTTGGAAGGCTTTGGGCCATCTATAAGCCCACTCTCAGGCCAAGTGCCATGAATATGGCTCATGCACAATGGGCATGGTACACAGCTGTCATTCTCTTTTGCTGGACAGCCAATAGGTTTACAGTCAAATGAGAAAATATAAATGAGATGGTAAAGACTCTAGACATTGTAAAATGACCTGCTATAATGACCTTTGTAAAGATTTAGCTGTATATTCCCATGAACTCTAATCATGTCTATCAGATGCTATCAATTGTTATGCCTAATTTATAGTTATACCTAAATAAAAATGTAGATTAAAAATAATATTAATGATTTTATTTATAATAATTTCAATAACCTTGAAATATTGAATAAAAGGGAAACAGATGGATGTTATTCATAAATATTTTATCCATGAGAATGCTGTTTGCTCTAAGAAATGGAATATTTACTAGAGCCTAAAAACAAGAATTCATTATTCATACAACACAAATCTGGAAATAAATAGTTCTGAGGTTTGCTGATTCAGCAATGTAGTTGTCTGGGTTTTGGGTCAGCTTCTCTGTGATTCTTTTAGCTTTCATCTCATGGTTACAGAATGGTTGCCATAGATACAAGCATCACGTCCTCACACAAGTGAATTCAAACAGGAAAGGGATGTTTCCTTTACAATTTTTCTTTTAATCATGGAGAAAAACCTTTCTGAAAAGTTCTTAGTAAGTCCCCCTCAGGACCTTTTGGTTATAAGTGAGTGATATGCCCACCTCCACACCAATCACTGGTAGAGGAAATGGGATTAACGTGATTGTCTTCGCATTCTTGAATGCTGGGTTAGAGACAAAACTTCCTTAAGTACATTACTTCCTCAAATATAAACAAAGTAAGAGTTGTTAGTAAGGAACAAAAGGGAAATAGCTTTTGGGTAAGCCAGCAATATTTTCTGATGCACATATTTTCTATTGATTCTTTAAAGGTTTTTCTGTTGCCTTCTGTGATGGTTAATTCTATGTGTTAACTTGACTAAGCCAGAGGATGCTCCGATGGCTGGCCAAACATTACTTCTGGGTGAGTCTGAGAGTGTTTCCAGAAGAGATTAGTGTTTGAATCAATAGGCTGAGTAAAGACAATCACCCTCACCGATGTGGACCGTGGAGAGGCATCATCCAATCCGTTGAGGGCCTGCACAGAACAAGAAGGCAGAGAAAGGGAGAATTCACTGTCTGTGGTTGAGTTGAAACATCCATCTTCTCCCTCCCTTGGACATCAGTGCCCCTGGTTCTTGGGGCACTTTGGACTTATACCATTGCCCCTCTCATTGTCAAGCCCTGGAATTTAGACTAAGAGACACCTCTGACTTTCCTGGTTCTCCAGCTTCCATGATGACAGATAGTGGTACTTTTAGCCTCCATAACAATGTGAGCCAGTTCCTATAATAAATCTCCTTTCGCATATGTCTTTGTATCTTTTTCTTTCTATTTCTCTGGAGAACCCAAATAATATACCTTTCTAATAAAATGGTGACAAATCCAGGGATTAGAATCAAAGACTGAGATTGAAAACCTTACCTCTTACTGAGTTCTAGAGAAGTATAAAAATATTTTGTGAGATAAGCTGGTTTTCTTGGTGGTTTGAGTTTCTCATAAAATGGAAAACTTCCTGTCCAGAGCTCAGCTGTAGTATGCGTCCCCACCATATTGCTGCATGCTAGAAGAAGAAATGGCACGAGAGTAAAAGTTACTATGAGGAGTTTTTTGGTGAAAATTTCAGGAAAATTTGGGAAGTAATATGAGGGAAAAGAGAATTTAAACTAGTGCCGCTGTAAATAGGTATCTACCTCTTTCACATATTAAAAAGCACAGCTTAGAATGTGAGTTAACCTAGAACTGCTGTCTGTTTGATACTCTGTGTCTCCTTTTACCATTTTTCTGGGAGTTGTGGCTTTAGTAGGGCCATATTCTCATTGTTGATATTAAGGGGTAGGCATAGTATTCCCACTCTACCTTCCATTCCCAAATAAAAAGGCAATCTAGGCCTGCCTGTGGAAAGGTCTTATGGAATAAAGGATGTTGGAACCTCAATAATCAAGGTAGTCTCAAGTCTCAAGATGGCTGCTGAAGCTTCAGCCATCATATCCACATTCCAGCATTCAGGAAGGAAAAAAAAAGAGAATAAGAAGAGGCCGAGGGGGAGTGTTAGCTGGTTTCTTAAGAGTGATTTTCAGTAACTGCCTCATGACATTAATCAGACTTTAGTCAGGTTTCCCACCTGGCTATAGGGGAGTCTAGGCATTGTAGCCTTTATTTTGAGTGGCCATGTACTTAATTAGCAATCCTACTGCTATGAAAGAAAAGGAGATCGGTTGGTGGCTGTCAATATGGTCTCAAAGGAACAGCTCCGGTCTGCAGCTCCCAGGGAGATCAATGCAGAAGGTGGGTGATTTCTGCATTTCCAACTGAGGTACCTGGCTCATCTCACTGGGACTGGTTAGACAGTGGGTACAGCCCATGGAGGGCAAGCCAAAGCAGGGTGGGGTGTTGCCTCACCAGGGAAGTGCAAGGGGTCAGGGAACTCCCTCCCATGGCCAAGGGAAGCCGTGAGGGACCGTGCCATGAGGAATGGTGCACTCTGGCCCAGACACTACGCTTTTCCCATGATCTTCGCAACCTGCAGATCAGGAGATTCCCTCGGGTGTCTATGCCACCAGGGCCCTGGGTTTCAAGTACAAAACTGGACAGCCATTTGGGCAGACACCAAGCTAGCTGCAGGAGGTTTTTTTTCATATCCCAGTGGTACCTGAAATGCCAGTGAGACAGAACCATTCACTTCCCTGGAGAGGGGACTGAAGCCAGGGAGCCAAGTGGTCTAGCTCAGCAGATTCCACCTCCATGGAGTCCAGCAAGCTAAGAGCCACTGGCTTGAAATTTTCACTGCCAGTACAGCAGTCTGAAGTCAACCTGGGTGCTTGAGCTTGGTGGGGAGAGGGCTGTCCACCATTACTGAGGCTTGGGTAGGCAGTTTTCCCCTCACAGTGTAAACAAAGCCAGGGGAAAGTTCAAACTGGGTGGAACACATTGCAGTTTGGCAAAGCTGTGGTAGCCAGACTGCCTCTCTAGATTGCTCCTCTCTGGGCAGGGCATCTCTGAAAGAAAGGCAGCAGCCCCAGTCAGGGGCTTATAGATAAAACTCCTATCTCCCTAGGACAGAGCACCTGGGGGAAGGGGTGGATGTAGGTGCAGCTTCAGCAGCCTTAAACGTTCCTGCCTGCCAGCTCTGAAGAGAGCAACAGATCTCCCAGTAAAGTGCTTGAGCTCTGCTAAGGGACAGACTGCCCCCTTGAGTGGGTCCCTGACCCCCACACCTCCTGAATGGGAGATACCTCCCAGCAGGGATTGACAAACACCTTATACAGGAGAGCTCTGGCTAACTTCTGGAGTGGGTGCCTCTCTGCTATGAAACTTCCAGAGGAAGGAACAGGCAGCAATCTTTGCTGTTCTGCAGCCTCTGCTGGTGACACCAAGGCAAACAGGGACTGGAGTGGACCTCCAGCAAACTCCAGCAGTCCTGCAGCAAATGGGCCTGACTGTTAGAAGGAAAATTAACAAATAGAAAGGAACAGCATCAACATCAACAAAAAGGACATCCACACAAAACCCCATCCGAAGGTCACCAACATCAAAGACCAAAAGTAGATAAATAAATGAAGATGAGGAAAAATAAGTGCAAGAAGGCTGAAAATTCCAAAAACCAGATTACCTCCTCTCCTCCAAAGGATCACAACTCCTTGCCAGCAAGGGAACAAAATTGGATGGAGAATGAATTTGACGAATTGACAGAAGTAGGCTTTAGAAGGTGGGTAATAACAAACTCCTCCAAGCTAAAGGAGCATGTTCTAATCCAATGCAAGGAAGCTAAGTAAGAACATTGAAAAAAGGTTAGAGGAATTGCTAACTAGAATAGCCAGTTTAGAGAGAGCATAAATGACCTTATGGAGCTGAAAAACACAGCACAAGAACTTTGTGAAGCATACATAAGTATCAATAGCCAAATCAATCAAGCAGAAGAAAGGATATTGGAGATTGAAGGTCAACTTAATGAAATAAAGTGTGAAGACAAGATCAGAGAAAGAAGAATGAAAAGGAACAAACAAAGCCTCCAAGAAATATGGGACTATGTGAAAAGACCAAACCTACATTTGATTGGTGTACCGGAAAGTGACAGGGAGAATGGAATCAAGTGGAAAACACTCTGCAGGATATTATCCAGGAGAACTTCCCCAACCTAGCAAGACAGGCCAACATTCAAATTCAGGAAATACGGAGAACACCACAAAGATACTCCTCAAGAAGAGCAACCTCAAGACACATAATCGTCAGATTCACCAAGGCTGAAATGAAGGAAAAAATGTTAAGGGTGGCCAGAGAGAAAGGTTGGGTTACCCTCAAAGGGAAGCCCATCAGACTAACAGCAGATCTCTGTGCAGAAAGCCTACAAGCCAGAAGAGAGTGAGGGCCGGTATTCAACAATCTTAAAGAAAAGATTTTTCAACCCAGAATTTCATATCCAGCCAAATTGAACTTCCTAAGTTAAGGAGAAATAAAGTCCTTTACAGACAAGCCAATGCTGAGGGATTTTGTCTCCACCAGGTCTGCCTTACAAGAGCTCCTGAAGGAAGCAGTAAATATGGAAAGGAAAAACTGGTACCAGCCAGTGCAAAAGCATACCAAATTGTAAAGATCATTGACACTATGAAGAAACTGCATCAACTAACAGGCAAAATAACAAGCTATCATCATCATTACAGGATCAAATTCACACGTAATAATATTAACCTTAAATGTAAATGAGCTAAATGCCCCAGTTGAAAGACACAGACTGGCAAATTGGATAAAGGGTCAAGACCCATTGGTATGCTGTATTCAGGAGATCCATCTCATGCGCAAAGACACACATTGGCTCAAAATAAAGGGATGGAGGAAGAATAACCAAGCAAAAGGAAAGGAAAAAAAAAAGCAGGGGTTGCAATTCTAGTCTCTGATAAAACAGAGTTTAAATCAACAGAGATCAAAAAAGACAAAGAAGGGCATTGCATAATGGTAAAGGGATCAATGCAACAAGAAGAGCTAACTATCCTAAATATATACCCACCCAATACAGGAGCACCCAGATTCATAAAGCAAGTTCTTAGAGACCTGCAAAGAGACTTAGACTCCTACACAATAATAGTGGGACCAGACGGATTCACAGATGAATTCTACCAGAGGTACAAACAGGAGCTGTTATCTTTCCTTCTGAAACTATTACAAACAATAGAAAAAGAGGGACTCCTCCCTAACTCATTTTAGGAGGCCAGCATCATCCTGATACCAAAACCTGGCAGAGACACAACAAAAAAAGGAAATTTCAGGCCAATATCCCTGCTGTACATAGATGCGAAAATCCTCAATAAAAAACTGGTGAACTGAATCCAGCAGCACATCAAAAAGCTTATCCACCATGATCAAATTGGCTTTATCCCTGGGATGCAAGGCTGGTTCAACATACGCAAATCAGTAAACATAATCCATCACATAAACAGAACCAATGACAAAAACCACATGATTATCTCATAGATGCAGAAAAGGCCTTCAATAAAATGCAACAGTCCTTCATGATAAAAACTCTCAATGAACTAGATATCTATGGAACATATCTAAAAATAATAAGAGTTATTTATAACAAACCCACAGCCAATATCATACTGAATGGGCAAAAGCTGGAAGCATTCCCTTTGAAAACTGGCACAAGGCAAGGATGCCCTCTGTCACTACTCCTATTCAACATAGTATTGGAAGTTCTGGCCAGGGCAATCAGGCAAGAGAAAGAAATAAAGAGTATCCAAATAGGAAGAGAGGAAGTCAAATTGTTTCTGGTTGCAGATGACATGATTGTATATTTAGAAAACCCCATTGTCTCAGCCCAAAATCTCCTTAAGCTGATAAGCAACTTCAGCAAAGTCTCGGGATACAAAATCAATGTGCAAAAATCACAAGCATTCCTATACAACAATTATAGACAGAGAACCAAATCATGAGTGAACTTTCATTCACAATTGCTAGAAAGACAATTGTGAAAAACCCCTACAAATCGTTGCTCAAGGAAATAAGAGAGAACACAAACAAATGGAAAAACATTCCATGCTCATGGATAGGAAGAACCGATATCATGAAAATGGCCATACTGCCCAAAGTAATTTATAGAGTCAATGCTATCCCCATCAAGCTACCATTGACTTTCTTCAGAGTCAGAAAAGCTACTTTAAATTTCATACAGAATAAAAAAGGAGCCCATAGCAGAAAAAACTACTTTAAATTTCACACAGAACCAAAAAAGAGCCCGAGTTGCTTAGGACTGTCTAAGCAATCGTCTAAGCAATCCTAAGCAAAAAATTGTCTAAGCAATCCTAAGCAAAAAGAACAAAGCTGGAGGCATCACACTATCTGACTTCAAACTATACTACAAGGCTTCAGTAATGGTACTGGTACCAAAACAGATATATAGACCAATGGAACAGAACAGAGGCCTCAGAAATAATGCCATACATACACAACCATCTGATCTTTGACAAACCTGACAAAAACAAGCAATGGAGAAAGGATCTCCTATTTAATAAATGGTGTTGGGAAAACTGGCTAGCCATATGCAGAAAACTGAAACTGGACCCCTTCCTTACACCTTATACAAAAATCAACTCAAGATGGATAAAAGACTTAAATGTAAAACCTAAAACCATAAAAACCCTAGAAGAAAACCTAGGCAAAACCATTCAGGACATAGGCATGGGCAAAGACTTCATGACTACAACACCAAAAGCAATGGGAACAAAAGCCAAAATAGACCAATGGGATGTAATTAAGCTAAAGAGCTTCTGCACAGCAAAAGAAACTATCATCAGAGTGAATAAGCAACCTATAGAATAGGGGAAATTTTTTGTAATCTATCCATCTGAAAATAAGCTAATATCCAGAATCTACAAGGAACTTAAACAAATTTACAAGAAAAAAGCAAACAACCCCATCAAAAAGTGGTCGAAGGATATGAACAGACACTTCTCAAAAGAAGACATTTATGCGGCCAACAAACAGATGAGAGAAAGCTCATCATTGCTGGTCATTGGAGAAATGCAAATCAAAATCACAATGAGATACCATCTCATGCCCGTTGGAAAGGCAATCATTAAAAAATCGGGAAACAACAGATGCTGGAGAGGATGTGGAGAAATGAACACTTTTACACTGTTGGTGGGAGTGGAAATCAGTTCAATGGTTGTGGAAGACAGTGTGGCAATTCTTCAAGGATCTAGAAACAGAAATATCATTTGACTCAGCAATCCCACTACTGGGTATATACCCAAAGGATTATAAATCATTCTACTCTAAAGATACATGCACATGTATGTTTATTGCAGCACTATTCATGATAGCAAAGACACGGAACCAACCCAAATGCCCATCAATGATTGACTGGATAAAGAAAATGTGGCACGTATACACCATGTAATTCTCTGCAGCCATAAAAAAGAGTGAGTTCATGTCCTTTGCAGGGACATGGATGAAGCTGGAAACCATCATTCTCAGCAAACTAACACAAGAACAGATAACCAAACACCGCATGTTCTCATTGATAAGTGGGAGTTGAACAATGAGAACATATGGACACAGGGAGAGGAACACCACACACCAGGGCCTATCAGGGTGTGGGAGACTAGGGGAGGGATAGCATTAGGAGAAGTACCTAATGTAGATGATGGGTTGATGGGTGCAGCAAACAACCATGGCACATGTATACCTATGTAACAAACCTGCGCATTCTGCACATGTATCCCAGAACTTAAAGTATAATGAAAAAAAAAAAAAAAGAAAAAAACGAAGTGTGTATATTGAGGGAACAACACAAGGGGGGTTACTTTCAGGTTGAGACTCCTCTCTGTAAGTGGGAAATGGACTGGCACTTTTATGTTTTTACTTTTTTTCATGTGATTTGTTTAGCATGGCATGTCCTTTTGTTCCCCTTGCTTCTCACGTAACTCCTCCTAACTCCTTCACTGTCTACTAATATTTTACCCACCTTCAAGGCTCTATTCAATGCCACTTCCTGAAAAGAGCCATCTTGGGTTCCACCAATTAGAACTAACTTCTCCTTCTGTGCTCTACAGCACTTTTGCTCTACTCTTATTATAGCAAATTGTTCATTTTGTTTCACATTATCAGCAGTTATTTACTTTTTCCTTTAGATTATAAATTTCCTGAAGGCTGGTTCTTGGATTTAATTATCTCCAAATACATACAGTGCCTACATGAAAGAGAAATAAGCTCATATCTTATTTAAACCAATGTAATTTTGTACTTTTTACCACTCACAGCCAAATATAATCTGAACTAATATAAGATCCTTTCCTTTTCCTTTTACAGAAATGGGCACCACTCTATTTCTAAAAAGGGCTAGAACATTAAATGAATGTTAGTGAATGGAAGGAGATTGGGAAATATTTTTAAATTGGTACTATGTTGTGTTCTCAATTTTCAGTGTTAGAGGGGCAGAAGGGGTGGAAAGGAAGAAAGTGGGCTTCGGGATCTGGAATGCCTGATTGAAAGTCTTGGTTGAGTGACTTATAGATGTCTGATCTCAGGTAAGGAAATTATTTTTCCTAAGCCTGAGTTTCCAGATCTGTACAACGAGAATGAAAGCATTTACTTCGTAAGGTTGTTTTGAGAATTAGATAAGATGTCTGTAAAGAGACTGGCCCTTAGGTATTGTACTCAATTTCTGATTATTATTATCATCCTGCTATAGATTTGTAATGATTAAGGAAAAAGTTCTATGTTGCCCTATCCCAGAGCCACAAGACCCCCTAACTGATTACACACTTGTTAGGGGTTCTTGAAAGGAGATTTGCCATAGAAAGCAAGAAATGTTATTATAGGTGACATAAATTGAGGCTGTATTATTTATAACCCTGTAGCTGAGATAATATTTGGCATATTGACATGGACAACATTCCTCCAACATCCATTTAAAAATCTCCAGATGAAAAACTTGGACATAAAGTACAAGCACTCATTGATGTTCTTAATAGTTACAGCGACATGTAGGGTAATAATAAAAATGATGAAAGTGGCAATTCGATTGAAATGAGGGCTGAAGCATACCTATCAAATTGGATCCATAGTTAAAACAGTCTGGGATTTTCATAGTTCTCTAAGGAGGAACAGTTAAATTCCAGATTTTGTCTTTGTTGGTGGCAATATAGAAGTTATGCATATCACAGACCAAAAGCAATCAGTGACACAGCTGTCAGAACTTCAAGGTCAGAATAAAAAAGGAGATGCTATAATTTTAAGGAAAATTGGGGAAGCTTATGTAAAGACTTGGTTAAAAAATGACTTGTGGACTCTTCAAAGCATAGAAGTAACTTTTTTGATTATGCAACATTTAAAGTCTCCATGAAGCATTTGGTATACTTTGAGGATAACATCTAACACATATATAGGGCTTTTCAGTTTACAAAATGCTTTGACACTATCTTAACTCATTTTATGATTATTATTAGTTTTCTATAAACTCAGTGGTTTAAAATAACACACATTATTTTCTCACAGTTTCTGTGGGTCGGGAGTCTGAAAACAACTTAACTGGACCCTCTGCTTAGGGTCTCACAAGCTGTAATTAAGGTGTCAGCTAGGCTGCATTACCATATCGTAGGCCAACTGGGAAAGAACTTTCATTCAAGCTCATTCAGTTTATTGGCAGAATTAATTTCCTTGTGGTTGGAGGGCTGAGAGCCCTGATTTGTTGAGCCCTCAGCTACTAAGCCTTTAGCTTCCTGGCTAGCATGACTTCCTGGAGGTGGCCATCAGTTTCCAGTGGCCACTTATAGTACCTTGGCATGTGGGCTTTCTCAACGTGGCTTTTGACTTCATCAAGCCAGCAAAGAGTCTTCAGAGAAAGTCTACTAGCAAGATGGAATCTTTATAACTAATTATGGAAGTAACCTTCTGTAACTTTCACCATAATCTCTTGGTTAGAAGAAAGTCACAAGTTCTGCTCACACTCAGTGGGAGGAGATTAAACAAAAGCATAGACACCAGGAGGCCAGGATCATAAAGGTCCACAAATGAGTCTGTCTGCCACAATTATTCACACAGTCTTTTGAGATAGGCTGGGTAGATGTTCTTACATCTGTTGTGCAGTTGAAGACATTGATGTTCAATTGGAAAGGTTAAATAAACAGATGCTCAAGATGACACAGTTAATAGGAGATAAGATTAGACTCAACTCCTAGTTCCACGATCCAAATGTCAGTGTCTAGCCATCTTATATATCTTTGTATGTACCCATCCATTTATTCACTCATTCAACCATACTAAGCCAACGTTCTTTTCACTACATCAAGATACTTCTTGAAACAGAATTCACTGTAGTGATGTCAGCAAGATGATTGACTAGAAATGCCTGGCACTCATCCTTCTGCCACAAGAAAGGACCAAGGCAATGAATAAACAGCTAAGATTGAGTGGTGTGTTGAAGGCAGAGAATTGGAGGGCAGTGGGGGAATGGAGATATACCTGTGGTAATTGTAAGTCCAGGAGGACAACAAGGAGGCATCCAACCTCTGCAACCTTGTCTTCCCTGCTTGGATCAGATCTGCCTGGAGTCACTGGGGATTTCCTGTTGTGGGAAAAATAAGATCTCCACCTGTCCACATTACCATTGTAAACACTACAGTGCCTACAACAGGAGAATCTCACAGTTGTTGAAAGTCCTGAGCCCGATTTGAAGAGCTGCCAGGAATTCACACAGCTGCATTGTCCTCGATTAGGAGCACAAGGTTTGCAATCCTCACCCACATCCATCCACAGTGAACCAAGTTGTTGCAGTTTTGTACCATATTGAGACCAGAGAAACCTCTGCTCTGGGGTGCCCTGCTCAGGGTGTCAGTAGCCATTATAGCCTGCTAGCACTGGGGTTCCATCTTCACTTCATCAAGTCTACAAGGGTAGCTGAATGCCACAACTCCAGTAGTGCAGAGCTTGGGCCCAGGATGAGCTGACTCTGGTTCTGCACATCAGTGAAACAAACTATTGTTGCCTTAATTTCCAGCTGGAGGAACAGTCTAGCAGTCCCAGTCAGGGTGAATACCCCTGTGAGCTGGCCAAACTGTTGCATGCCTTCCCCTAAGTGGGAGAGGCCCCTGAGCTGACATACTCCTTAGCTGGTGGAACAACTACATGCCTGAGCTCAGGACCTGAGAAACATCTCTCTTTTATCCCATCCTCCACAGATAAGCTTCTGGCTTGCCCAATAGCCCTGTGCCAGCAACCAGGGCCTGAGAAACAGAACCACAGGCTGACCAAGCAGCCTTGTGCCTGGATCCTAAGCCTAAAAAACACCCCTTCATCTGCTGCTCAGATGAAGACACTGATGTTCAGTTGGAGAGGTTAAATAAACTGATGCCTAGTAGACATACCCCTAGGCCAGCCAATCATCCTTATGCCTACATACTGGGCCTAAGAAAAAGCCCTGTGAGCAGCCCTCAGCAGACACACATAAAGACCAGCCAAGAAGTTGTGCAGCTACGTCCCAGGCCTGAGAAACATCTGCATGGCTTGCCCCTGGCAAACAGGTCCCCAAGGCTGGCTGTGTAGCTGGGGGCTCATGTTCCTGGTCTGTGAATAGTCTCATGGCCCTAACTCCAGCCCTAACTCCAACCCACCATGGGCATGGATATGTCCTTGAACTGAGAAACAACCTGGCAAACCCATCACTGGCAAAGCTGCACACTGCTGCCACAGACTTTCTAAGCCTAGGCCACTAAGATACTTGCAAATGTCACTAGTATGGATTACAGCTGAAGAAACTACATAGAAACTATACTATTGCATTTGCCTAGAACTAAAACCAATGCACCACACCGAACCAACACCCCAAGACCTATTTATATGAATGAGTCTTTTCCGGTAGAACCTACTCTATACAATTGTCAGAAGTGACTTTTCTAGCAGATGCATAGAAATCAACATCAGGGCACATCACAAGTGAAAAAGCAAGTAAGGAATTTAATAATTCTCTAGTAACAGATCCCAATCATAAAGAAATATACAAAGTTCCAGGAAAAGAATTAAAAATAACAATCTTAGGGAAACTCAGTGAGATACAAGAGAATATAGATAGATAGTTCAATAAAATTAGGAAAATAGTTCATGACTTGAATGAGAAATTCAACAAAGAGATATCATGAAAAAGAATCAAACAGAAATCCTGCAGCTGAAGAATGCAATAAATGAAATAAAAATACAACAGAGCAGAAAGAAACAAAATTGAGACTGAAAAAATGCAAAAGATCAATTAAACAAAACTTTTTAAAGTAAAAGATAAACAAAAGTAATATACCATTAACTAGACTAAGAAAAAAGGGGAGAAGAGCCAAATGAATAAGATTAGAAATGGAAAAGGAGATGTCACAATGGGTACCACAGACATACAAAAAATTATGAGACTACTATGTACAGCTATATACCAATAAACTTGAAAACAGAACAGAAATAGATAAATTCTTGGACATGTACAATCTACTGAGATCGAATCTAGAAGGAATAGAAGACCTGAACAGACCAAATACAAGTAACAACATTGAATCAGTAAAAAAAAAAAAAAAAAAAAAAAAAAAAAAAATCTTCCAACAAAGAAAAGTCCAGTACTGAATGGCTTCACTGATGAATTCTACCATTTAAGAAAGAATTAATACCAGTTCTTCTCAAAAAATGGCATCAGAAGGAATCTTCCAAACTTACTTTACAAGGGCAGCACAACCCTGATACCAAAACTACACAAGGACACAAAGTAAAAATACAACTATAGGCAATATCCTTGATGAACAAAGATGAAATCTCAACAAAATACGAAAAAACTGAATTTAACATCACATCAAAAAGAAAATATACCATGATCAAGTGGGAATTATCCCAGGAATGCAAAGATGGTCCCACATATGCAAATACATAAACATGATTCATCACATCAACAGAATGAAGGTCATAAACTATATGATCAGCTTATTAGATGTAGAAAAAGCACTTGATAAACATTCCTTTATGATAAAAACTTAATAAATTAGGTAAAGAAGGAAAGTACCTCAACACGATAAAGGCCATATATGACAAACCTACATCTAAAATCATACCGAATGGGGGAAAAGCTGAAAGCTTTTCTTCTAAGAACTGGAGCAACACAAGGCTGCCTACTTTCACCACTCTTATTCAACATAGTATTGGAAGTCATAGCCAAAGCAAGTAGACAAGAGAAAAAAATTAAGGGCATCCAAATTGGACAGGAGGAAGTCAAATTGTCCTGTTTGTTTGCAGATGACATGATCTAAATATATAGAAAACACTGTAGACTCTACCAAAAAACTCAGAACTGGTAAATGAATTTAGTAAAGTTGTAGGATACAAAATCAACATGCAAAAATCAGTAGTGTTTCTATATACAATTAGTGAACGAGATAGAAAAGAAGTCAAGGAGGCAATCTCATTTACAATAACTATGAGAAAAAAAATACCTAGAGATAAATTTAACAAAGGAGGTGAAAGATGTCTACAAGAGAAACTACAAAACACTGATGAAATAAACAGAAGAGGATATAAAAAATTTGAAAAATCTCCCATGCTCATGTATTGGAATAATTACTATTGTTAACCATACTACTCAAAGCAATCTACAGATTCAATGCAATCCTTATTGAAATACCAATGACATTCTTCATAAAAATAGAAAAAAAATCCTAAAATTTATATGGAACCACAAAAGATCCCAAATAGCCAAAGCAATCCTGAGCAAAAAGAAAAAAGCTGGAGGCATCACAGTACCAAACTTCAAAATATTGTACAAAGCTATTGTAACCAAAAGAGTTTGGTACTGGCATAATAACAGAAACATGGAACAATGGAACATAATAGAGAGCCCCCAGATTAATTCATGTATCTTCAGCTAATTGATTTTTGAGAAAGATACTAAGACTACTCATTAGGGAGAGGAGAATCTCTTCAAGAAATGGTGCTGGGAAAATTGGATATCTATATGCAGAAGAATAAAACTAGACCTCTACCTTTCATCCTGTAGAAAAATCAACCAAAATGGATTAAATACTTAAATGTAAGACCTAAAACTATAAGACTACTAGAAGAAAATGTACGGAAAATGCTTCAGGACATTGGTCTGGGAAAAGATTTTATGAACAAGACCTCAAAGGCAAAAGCAGCAAAAGCAAAAATGAACAAATGAGATTACATCAAACTAAAAATCTGCACAACAAAACAAACAAGCAAAGGAAGAAAATATTTGCAAACTATTTTTCCATCAGGGGATTAATATCCAGAATATATAAGAAACTCAAACATCTCAACAGCAAAAAATCCAAACAATCCAAGTAAAATATGGGCAAATGATCTGAATAGATATTTCTCAAAAGAAAACTTACAAATGGCTAACAACTATTAAAAAATGCTCAGCATCACTAATCAACTGGAAAATGCAAGTCAAAACCACAGTGAGGTATTATCTCATCCTAATTAGAAAGGCTATCATAAAAAAGGCAAAAAATAACAAATGCTGGTGAAAATGCAGACAAAAAGAAACTTACAACAGTTGGTGGAAATGTAAACTAGGATAACCACTGTGGAGAACAAGTATGGAGGTTTCTCAAAAAAACTACAAATAGAACTATATGATCCAGTAATTCCACTACTGAATAGTTATCCAAAGTAGAGTAAATCAGTATATCAAAGAGATATCTGCACCTCTATGTTTATTGCAGCACTTTACAATAGCCAAGATATAGAATCAACCTAGGTGTACAACAACAGACAAATAAAGAAAGAACATATGGAATATATATACGCACAATGGAATACTCTTCAGTCATAAAAGGTAATAAAATCCTGTCATTGATGGCAACATGGATGAAACTGGAGGACATTGTGTTAAATGAAATAAGCCAAGAACAGAAAGGTAAAACTGTATGTTCTCACTTATATACAGAAGCTAAAAAAAGTTGATCCCATAAAAGTAAATAATAAAACAGAGGATACTAGAGGCTGAGAAGGGTAGGGGAAAGGAAGGATAGATGGATATTTGTTACAGATACAAAATTACAACTAGATAGAAGGAATAAATACTAGTGTTCTCTCGCACTGTAGGATGACTACAGTTAACAATAATAAATATTTTCAAATTGTTAGAAGGAGAATATTGAATGTTCCCAACACAAAAGAATGATTAATGTTTGAGATGATGGATACGCTAATTACCCTGATCTAGTCATTATATGTATTGAAACACTATGTACCCCATAAATATGTACAATTTTTATTTTTTTAATTTTTTTAAAATTTTAAATTTTTTTTGTAAAGACAAGGTCTTGCCATGTTGCCCAGGCTGGTCTTGAAATCTTGGGCTCATGTGATCCTCCCACTTTGACCTCCCAAAGTGTTGGGAGTTACAGGCATGAGCCACTGTCCCTGGCCAATTTTTATATTTCAATTAAAAAAATAAAAAATATTTCTTGTGTAAATGTGTGCAATATTCAGCAAACTCATCTCCTTGAACCTGGCAGAATTACCTCTTTGTCACTATATTATACAGGTTAGGCTAGATTCTCTGTGGTAACAAGGCAACTCCAAAATTTCAATGGCTTTTAACAAGAGAAGTTTACTTCTTGTTCATACAACATATCCAGTGAAGGTCAGCTGGATGCTCTGTTGCGTATCTTCCTACTTGAGAATCCAGGCTGATGTGATGTGTAGCCACCACCTTGAATGCTGTTAATCATCCTGCTGGAGGGAAAAGAGAGCTCTGGTGGGTTTGGCAATGGCAATTAAATGCTCTAACCTGGAAGTAATATGTACAATATCTGCTTAAAACTCATGGGACAGAATTAGTGACATGGCTCTACCCAATCATAAAGGAGCCAGAAAGTCCAATTTAACACTTTCCCAGAAATGGGGATACCCAGAAAGGACTGGTATATAATTGGTGAAATAATTACTACCACACCCATGACACTAGCCATAATGAACTGAATGTTTATGTCCCCCTCTCCCCCAGTTCACTTGTTGAAATCCTCAACTTCAAAGTGATAGTATTAGGAGGTAGGGCTATTGGGATGTGATTAGGTCATGAGGGCAAAACCCTCATGAATAGGATTAGTACCCTTATAAAAGAGATCCTGGAGAAATCCCTTGCCTCTTCCACCATGTGAGGACACACAGAGAAGGCACTATTTATGAACCAGAAAGCAGCCCCTCAGCAGACACTGAATCTGTTGGCACCTTGATCTTGGACTTCTCAGCCTCCAGAACTGTGAGAAATAAATTTCTGTTGTTTACAGGCCATCCCATTTGAGGCATTTTTTTTTTATAGCAGTCTGAATGTACTAAGAGCCCCTTGGATCTTTGCATTGTTCATGGCCTTAGTTCAAAATCCATCAGCTGACCTTTCTTTTTTTTTTATTTATTATACTTTAAGTTTTAGGGTACATGTGCACATTGTGCAGGTTAGTTACATGTGTATACATGTGCCATGCTGGTGCGCTGCACCCACTAACTCATCATCTAGCATTAGGTATATCTCCCGATGCTATCCCTCCCCCCTCCCCCCACCCCACAACAGTCCCCAGAGTGTGATATTCCCCTTCCTGTGTCCATGTGATCTCATTGTTCAATTCCCACCTATGAGTGAGAATATGCGGTGTTTGGTTTTTTGTTCTTGCGATAGTTTACTGAGAATGATGATTTCCAATTTCATCCATGTCCCTACAAAGGACATGAACTCATCATTTTTTATGGCTGCATAGTATTCCATGGTGTATATGTGCCACATTTTCTTAATCAAGTCTATCATTATTGGACATTTGGCTTGGCTCCAAGTCTTTGCTATTGTGAATAATGCTGCAATAAACATACGTGTGCATGTGTCTTTATAGCAGCATGATTTATAGTCCTTTGGGTATATACCCAGTAATGGGATGGCTGGGTCAAATGGTATTTCTAGTTCTAGATCCCTGAGGAATCAACACAGTGACTTCCACAGTGGTTGAACTAGTTTACAGTCCCACCAACAGTGTCAAAGTGTTCCTATTTCTCCACATCCTCTCCAGCACCTGTTGTTTCCTGACTTTTTAATGATTGCCATTCTAACTGGTGTGAGATGTTATCTCATTGTGGTTTTGATTTGCATTTCTCTGATGGCCAGTGATGATGAGCATTTTTTCATGTGTTTTTTGGCTGCATAAATGTCTTCTTTTGAGAAGTGTCTGTTCATGTCCTTTGCCCACTTTTTGATGGGGTTGTTTGTTTTTTTCTTGTAAATTTGTTTGAGTTCATTGTAGATTCTGGATATTAGCCCTTTGTCAGATGAGTAGGTTGTGAAAATTTTCTCCCATTTTGTATGTTGCCTGTTCACTCTGATGGTAGTTTCTTTTGCTGTGCAGAAGCTCTTTAGTTTAATTAGATCCCATTTGTCAATTTTGGCTTTTGTTGCCATTGCTTTTGGTGTTTTAGACATGAAGTCCTTGCCCATGCCTATGTCCTGAATGGTAATGCCTAGGTTTTCTTCCAGGGTTTTTATGGTTTTAGGTCTAACGTTTAAGTCTTTAATCCATCTTGAATTGATTTTTGTATAAGGTGTAAGGAAGGGATCCAGTTTCAGCTTTCTACATATGGCTAGCCAGTTTTCCCAGCACCATTTAATAAATAGGGAATCCTTTCCCCATTGCTTGTTTTTGTCAGGTTTATCAAAGATCAGATAGTTGTAGATATGCGGCGTTATTTCTGAGTGCTCTGTTCTGTTCCATTGATCTATATCTCTGTTTTGGTACCAGTACCATGCTGTTTTGGTTACTGTAGCCTTGTAGTATAGTTTGAAGTCAGGTAGTGTGATGCTTCCAGCTTTGTTCTTTTGGCTTAGGATTGACTTGGTGATATGGGCTCTTTTTTGGTTTCATATGAACTTTAAAGTAGTTTTTCCAATTCTGTGAAGAAAGTCATTGGTACCTTGATGGGGATGGCATTGAATCTGTAAATTACCTTGGGCAATATGGCCATATTCACGATATTGATTCTTCCTACCCATGAGCATGGAATGATCTTCCATTTGTTTGTATCCTCTTTTATTTCCTTGAGCAGTGGTTTGTAGTTCTCCTTGAAGAGGTCCTTGACATCCCTTGTAAGTTGGATTCCTAGGTATTTTATTCTCTTTGAAGCAATTGTGAATGGGAGTTCACTCATGATTTGGCTCTCTGCTTGTCTGTTGTTGGTGTATAAGAATGCTTGTGATTTTTGCACATTGATTTTGTATCCTGAGACTTTGCTGAAGTTGCTTATCAGCTTAAGGAGATTTTGGGCTGAGATAATGGGGTTTTCTAGATATACAATCACGTCATCTGCAAACAGGGACAATTTGACATCCTCTTTTCCTAATTGAATACCCTTTATTTCCTTCTCCTGCCTAATTGCCCTGGCCAGAACTTCCAACACTATGTTGAATAGGAGTGGTGAGAGAGGGCATCCCTGTCTTGTGCCATTTTTCAAAGGGAATGCTTCCAGTTTTTGCCCATTCAGTATGATATTGGCTGTGGGTTTGTCATTGATAGCTCTTATTATTTTGAAATACGTTCCATCAATACCTAATTTATTGAGAGTTTTTAGCATGAAGGGCTGTTGAATTTTGTCAAAGGCTCTTTCTGCATCTGTTGAGATAATCATGTGGTTTTTGTCTTTGGCTCTGTTTATATGCTGGATTAGATTTATTGATTTGTGTATATTGAACCAGCCTTGCATCCCAGGGATGAAGCCAGTTTGATCATGGTGGATAAGTTTTTTGATGTGCTGCTGGATTCGTTTTGCCAGTATTTTATTAAGGATTTTTGCATCAATGTTCATCAAGGATATTGGTCTAAAATTCTCTTTTTTTGTTGTGTCTCTGCCTGGCTTTGGCATCAGAATGATGCTGGCCTCATAAAATGAGTTAGGGAGGATTCCCTCTTTTTCTATTGATTGGAATAGTTTCAGAAGGAATGGTACCAGTTCCTCCTTGTACATCTGGTAGAATTCGGCTGTGAATCCATCTGGTCCTGGACTCTTTTTGGTTGGTAAGCTATTGATTATTGCCACAATTTCAGCTCCTGTTATTGGTCTATTCAGAGATTCAACTTCTTCCTGGTTTAGTCTTGGGAGAGTGTATGTGTCCAGGAATTTATCCATTTCTTCTAGATTTTCTAGTTTATTTGCGTAGAGGTGTTTGTAGTATTCCCTGATGGTAGTTTGTATTTCTGTGGGATCAGTGGTGATATCCCCTTTATCATTTTTTATTGCATCTATTTGATTCTTCTCTCTTTTTTTCTTTGTTAGTCTTGCTAGCGGTCTATCAATTTTGTTGATCCTTTCAAAAAACCAGCTCCTGGATTCATTAATTTTTTGAAGGGTTTTTTGTGTCTCTATTTCCTTCAGTTCTGCTCTGATTTTAGTTATTTCTTGCCTTCTGCTAGCTTTTGAATGTGTTTGCTCTTGCTTTTCTAGTTCTTTTAATTGTTATGTTAGGGTGTCAATTTTGGATCTTTCCTGCTTTCTCTTGTGGGCATTTAGTGCTATAAATTTCCCTCTACACACTGCTTTGAATGCGTCCCAGAGATTCTAGTATGTTGTGTCTTTGTTCTCTTTGGTTTCAAAGAACATCTTTATTTCTGCCTTCATTTCATTATGTACCCAGTAGTCATTCAGGAGCAGGTTGTTCAGTTTCCATGTAGTTGAGCGGTTTTGAGTGAGATTCTTAATCCTGAGTTCTAGTTTGATTGCACTGTGGTCTGAGAGATAGTTTGTTATAATGTCTGTTCTTTTACATTTGCTGAGGAGAGCTTTACTTCCCAGTATGTGGTCAATTTTGGAATAGGTGTGGTGTGGTGCTGAAAAAAATGTATATTCTCTTGATTTGGGTTGGTGAGTTTCTGTAGATGTCTATTAGGTCTGCTTGGTGCAGAGCTGAGTTCAATTCCTGGGTATCCTTGTTGACTTTCTGTCTCGTTGATCTGTCTAATGTTGACAGTGGGGTGTTAAAGTCTCCCATTATTAATGTGTGGGAGTCTAAGTCTCTTTGTAGGTCACTCAGGACTTGCTTATGAATCTTGGTGCTCCTGTATTGGGTGCATATATATTTAGGATAGTTAGCTCTTCTTGTTGAATTGATCCCTTTACCATTATGTAACGGCCTTTTTTGTCTCTTTTGATCTTTGTTGGCTTAAAGTCTGTTTTATCAGAGACTAGGATTGCAACCTCTGCCTTTTTTTGTTTTCCATTGGCTTGGTAGATCTTCCTCCATCCTTTTATTTTGAGCCTATGTGTGTCTCTGCACATGAAATGGGTTTCCTGAATACAGCACACTGATGGGTCTTGACTCTTTATCCAATTTGCCAGTCTGTGTCTTTTAATTGGAGCATTTAGTCCATTTACATTTAAAGTTAATATTGTTATGTGTGAATTTGATCCTGTCATTATGATGTTAGCTGGTGATTTTGCTCGTTAGTTGACGCAGTTTCTTCCTAGTCTCGATGGTCTTTACATTTTGTCATGATTTTGCAGTGGCTGGTACCGGTTGTTCCTTTCCATGTTTAGTGCTTCCTTCAGGAACTCTTGTAAGGCAGGCCTGGTGGTGACAAAATCTCTCAGCATTTGCTTGTCTGTAAAGTATTTTATTTCTCCTTCACTTATGAAGCTTAGTTTGGCTGGATATGAAATTCTGAGTTGAAAATTCTTTTCTTTAAGAATGTTGAATATTGGCCCCCACTCTCTTCTGGCTTGTAGGGTTTCTGCCGAGAGATCCGCTGTTAGTCTGATGGGCTTCCCTTTGAGGGTAACCCGACCTTTCTCTCTGGCTGCCCTTAACATTTTTTCCTTCATTTCAACTTTGGTGAATCTGACAATTATGTGTCTTGGAGTTGCTCTTCTCGAGGAGTATCTTTGTGGCATTCTCTGTATTTCCTGAATCTGAACATTGGCCTGCCTTGCTAGATCGGGGAAGTTCTCCTGGATAATATCCTGCAGAGTGTTTTCCAACTTGGTTCCATTCTCCCCATCACTTTCAGGTACACCAATCAGGCGTAGATTTGGTCTTTTCACATAGTCCCATATTTCTTGGAGGCTTTGCTCATTTCTTTTTATTCTTTTTTCTCTAAACTTCCCTTCTCGCTTCATTTCATTCGTTTCATCTTCCATCGCTGACACCCTTTCTTCCAGTTGATCGCATGGGCTCCTGAGGCTTCTGCATTCTTCACGTAGTTCTCGAGCCTTGGTTTTCAGCTCCATCAGCTCCTTTAAGCACTTCTCTGTATTGCTTATTCTACTTATACATTCTTCTAAATTTTTTTCAAAGTTTTCAACTTCTTTGCCTTTGGTTTGAATGTCCTCCCGTAGCTCAGAGTAATTTGATCGTCTGAAGCCTTCTTCTCTCAGCTCGTCAAAGTCATTCTCCATCCAGCTTTGTTCCGTTGCTGGTGAGGAACTGCGTTCCTTTGGAGGAGGAGAGGCACTCTGCTTTTTAGAGTTTCCAGTTTTTCTGTTCTGTTTTTTCCCCATCTTTGTGCTTTTATCTACTTTTTGTCTTTGATGATGGTGATGTACAGATGGGTTTTTGGTGTGGATGTCCTTTCTGTTTGTTAGTTTTCCTTCTAACAGAGAGGACCCTCAGCTGCAGGTCTGTTGGAATACCCTGCCGTGTGAGGTGTCAGTGTGCCCCTGCTGAGGGGTGCCTCCCAGTTAGGCTGCTCAGGGGTCAGGGTTCAGGGACCCACTTGAGGAGGCAGTCTGCCCATTCTCAGATCTCCAGCTGCATGCTGGGAGAACCACTGCTCTCTTCAAAGCTTTCAGACAGGGACATTTAAGTCTGCAGAGGTTACTGTTGTCTTTTTGTTTGTCTGTGCCCTGCCACCAGAGGTGGCGGCTACAGAGGCAGGCAGGCCTCCTTGAGCTGTGGTGGGCTCCACCCAGTTGGAGCTTCCTGGCTGCTTTGTTTACCTAAGCAAGCCTGGGCAATGGCGGGCGCCCCTCCCCCAGCCTCACTGCCGCCTTGCAGTTTGATCTCAGACTGCTGTGCTAGCAATCAGCGAGACTCCGTGGGCGTAGGACCCTCCAAGCCAGGTGAGGGATATAATCTCGTGGTGCACCGTTTTTTAAGCCCGTCGGAAAAGCGCAGTATTCGGGTGGGAGTGACCCGATTTTCCAGGTGCCGTCCGTCACCCCTTTCTTTGACTCAGAAAGGGAACTCCCTGACCCCTTGCGCTTCCCAAGTGAGGCAATGCCTTGCCCTGCTTTGGCTCGCGCATGGTGTGCGCACCCACTGACCTGCGCCCTCTGTCTGGCACTCCCTAGTGAGATGAACCCGGTACCTCAGATGGAAATGCAGAAATCACCCGTCTTCTGCGTCGCTCACGCTGGGAGCTGTAGACCGGAGCTGTTCCTATTCGGCCATCTTGGCTCCTCCCCCAGCTGACCTATCTTACCCTCTGCTCCCAGATCTGTTCTTGACAGCCCAGGCATTTGACCTCTCAACTTACTTATTTCTTCAGACATATATCTGTTCTAAAACCTGAGGTTTGCAAGTGATTCTCTAGGTCTGGTTTCTGCTTTTTTTCTTGATCGCAATTTTTACTTTTTATTCTTAATGACATTGTTTTCAGTCATTCTGGCTAAACATTTCACCATGTCTTGCTGCAGCCTTGGGCCCTAAACCTTGACTCAGATCCCACAAGCCAATGCCTCTATGAAGTTGAGCTAGTCATTAATAACATCATAATGAATGTCACATGGAGAGAATAATATGATTATATTATTAAGTATTCCCCTGAGCTGCTTTCTTCAGAGATACTGTGGGGACTGAACTAACTTTAATTAGCAAGTATCATATAAAAGGAAACATCAATGGAAAAAATGGATCAAAGGATTAAACATGACTGAACCCAGCAGGAAAGCGTATCTGACCATTCTCAATGTGGATAATCATGTGAAGAAAGGTGAATAATACAAACTTAGGTGCACATCTATTTTGGCTCAATGTGAAAGCTGCAACAAGTGAGCTAAAATGTTAATGACATGGTAAATCATCGTAGAAAAATATTGTATTAGTACAACATCTCCATGGCTGCCTTCACTGCTGTAACAATGTACTAAAGAATAAAGAAGCAACTGGGCTTAATATGTTCACAGTGGAAGAAACATTTTTCGTCCTACAATCTATTTTATTTCATAATTTTAGGCATCTCTATTGACTCATAGACTAAACTGCACTCAACCTCATTGTGCATAACTTTCATTGCCACTATGGCATATAAAATAAACTTGCCTGAGAACAGGGAAAGTGGTGGGTTAGGAGAGACAGGAATTCTGGGGAACATCTCCTTTATTAAGACAAAACCCACAATCTCTAAGATTTAGCCCCAGGTAGAGAACATGTTGGTCAAGAGGTGACTGGATCGAGTAAGCCTCTTTTGCCTCTGACATTCTCCCATTTTAATTGTGCCTATAGTCTGACCGTGCAGCCCTTGATCTCTGTGGCTCTTCCGGTTTAGGTTTAAGGCTCCGACTCACACCTAAGCAAAGGCCTTTCCTTTAGTTTTCCCTAACACAGCCGAGACAGGAACATATATATATATAAACTTTAAAGAACAAACAGGCACATAAACCTTTATAGTTTACACAGTAGAGGTTTCTGATCCTTTCTATAGTTTGGTTGTTCCTAGAGCTTGTCAGCCCAGCAACCTTACATTCCCTGTCTTGCTGTCTTAATCTGAGTTCTCCTAGAAGCACACACCAAAATGTGGCTCTGCGTTTAATTGGATTTGAGAGGTTATGCAAGAAAGTATTTTTAGAAATGTACTGCAAACTTCTCTGTCCCCAAGTCAATCTCCTTATTTCTGTTCCATTCAAATAAGAACATTGGCTGGTTTAAGGAACAGATTCTAAGTGACATTTTCTGGTGGGTAAAAACTTTTCTAACGTTCCTTAAGTCCAGTATATGGGCATTTGTTGTTTTGGTCCTCCAGTGTCTTTTCTTTTAGGAAACTGCTCCTCCCCTAATTATACGTAGTTCAGGAAGCCTGGCCTCCACTCCCTTGGCAACTAACACAAACCTGCCCAGCCACACATGGGGCTCCAATCTCAGGTCATGTGGGTTTGCCTGTCATGGACCCGTACCTGAGCCAGGCCAATCAAAGTGTTTCTCAGGAATTAGGAATTTCACACATAAAACCTGGAGAGATAGCACATGCTCTTTCTTTCTTCTTGGACTGTGAGCTGTACAGATGCAAGTCCTGATTGACTGTCTATGGCAGTAGATTTTTTTTTTCAACTAGGCTGGAGTGTAGTAGAGTGATCATAGCTCACTGCAGTCTTGAACTCCTGGGTTCAAGGGATCTTTCTGCCTCAGCATCCCAAGTATGGGTCCACAGTCACATGCCACTAGGTCTGGCTAATTTTTTATTTTGTTTTTATAGAGACAGGGTTCTCACTATGTTTCCCAGACTGATCTTGAACTCCTGGCCCTCCCACCTTGGCCTCCCAAATGCTGGGATTACAGGCATGAGCCACCATGTCCGGCCTTATTTCTTTTTATTATGAAATAATATTCCATCATATGGATATACCACATTTTATTTTTCCATTCATTTGTTGAACATCTGGTTTGTTTCCACCTTTGGCTATTGTAAATAATGCTGCCATAAGCATTCATGCTCATGTTTTTGTATGGACATATATTTTCATTTCTCATGGTATATGCTTAGGAGAGGAATTGGTGGTTCATATGGCAACTTTATATTTAATCTTTTCAGGAACTGTCGGACTATTTTCTTAATGGTTGCACCATTTTACATTCCTACCAGCAGTGTATGAGGGCTCCAATTTCTCCACATCCTCACTAACGTTTGTTAGTATCTTACTTTTTTGATTCTAGTCATCCTAGTGGGTATGAAGTGGTATCTCATTGTGGCTTTGATTTGAATTTCCCTGTGACTAATGATGCGGACATCTTTCCATGTGCTTGTTGGCTGTGTGTCAGTCTGTTTTGGAGAACTGTCTATTCATATTCTTTGCCTATCTTATAATTGAGTTACTTGTCTTTTTATTATTGAGTTGTAAGAGTTATTTGTATTTTCTATATACAAGGCCCCGTCAGATATATAATTTGCAAATATTTCCTCCTGTTCTCTGTGTTGACCTTTCATTGTCTGATGATGTTCCTTGTTTTCCAGTTATTAGCATAATTATGCAGAGGAGATTTTAATGTCCTTCGTTTCATCTCTTTTTATGTATTTCTATACCCATGGAGTCTAGAGTCAAGCAGAGACCTTTTGATCAAAAAGTACCTAATTACTTTTCTAACCCAAGAAAAGTGTGAATCTTAGAGGACAAGTTTTGAAATAAAAAGAGCTTCATCTGAGGCTTTGCCTTGGTCTTCTGATTTAGGAAGGGACATGATAGGAAAAGAAAAGCCTTTTCCCAGAATGCTTTACATTTTATCTTCATAACATGCATACAACTTTGTTTGGAAATTCCCAGAATATTTAAATTACTTGTATACTAAGTAGTATTTACAAAACTTATGGATTGTTTCCAGATCAGAATGTGCAGTCAAAACACTTGACGGCATGAACAAAGAGGAAAAGGAAAACAACAAACCTCAGAATAAAACCCCAGAATAAAGGAGTGACAACTACTCTGTCAAGTATATTTACCCAATTAAATGATATATAAGTCATTCAATAAACAGCTTTTGTGCATTTTGATGTGAAAGGCCCCATGTTAGTTGCTGTTGTGGTGGTGGTGGAGGGAGTGTGTGGAACAGGGAAGAATACATGGGAAGAAGTCTGCCCTTGAGTTGACAGCTTGTCATAGAGGAAGTTAGGTAACAACACAGGCAACAAGAGTGGAAAGTCAAATGTTGTAAATGCAAATAAAAGGCTGCAAACAATATGGAGCCACAGCAATTGGAGAAATCTTATCCAGCATAGGGAATCAAGAGAGACCACAAAGGAAGTTCTGAAAAGATTCAGCATTTAGCTGTGTCTTGAAGTTGCTTAGGGATACTGTCAGTGTTTGCGGAGTTTGGAGGATAGGACTGAGAGTTCTGCTAGAGTCCAGGGCATGTGCAAGGGAGAGGCTGGAGGAGAGGTTGGAAAGGCTGCTTATCTGAGAACAAAAAGGGCTGGGAACACTATCTAGAGCCCTTGCCCATAATTATTAAGACAAGGAGAGGCCTGGCATGGTGGCTCATGCCTATAATCCCAGCACTTTGTGAGGCCAAGGTGGGTGGATCACTTGAGGTCAGGAGTTTGAGACCAGCCTGGCCAACATGGTGAAACCCTGTCTCTACTAAAAATACAAAAATTAGCCAGGTGTGGTGGTGCACGCCTGTAATCCCAATTACTTGGGAGGCTGAGGCAGGAGAATCACTTGAACTTGGGAGGCAGAGGTTGCAGTGAGCCGAGATTGCACCACTACACTTCAGCCTGGGAGACGGAGTGAGACTTTGTCTCAAAAAAAAAAAAAAAAAAAAAAAAAAAAGACAAGGAGGAGCCACCGAAAGTTGTTGAGTTGAGCAGGAGAGTGTTTGGAGTAGTTCTTTGGGAAGATGCATTCGGCAACTGGAGGTAGGATAAATGGAGAGAGACTGTATATTGGGGGGTGGGTGTCAGTGAAGAGTTGGTTCTTCAGGGACAGTATGTGTGACCAGTGTGAAATCAGACGTTGAGTTAAAGGACAGCTCTTGTGGAGCTATAGGCTGCCTAAACTTAACACCAGCAACTAGCCAGTACTCCTTGGCTGAAGTTGCCACTCTGTTATCAGGAAGGCGTGGCAAAGCCAGAAGAAAAGATGAAAGCAGATGCAAGACAGGCAGCATCCATTGTCCCCACACTCAAAAGTAATCAGATGTATTAAGTCACACGGGAGCTTTACAATCAGTGCTGGGGCTTTGGAAGTGCCAGTTGGCAGAATAAAAGATTGCGTGCAGTTGGCTGTGCTGAAACAGATTCACCTCTCAGGAGGGCCTTCCCAGGGAAACGGGGGTGGCAGAATGGAGTGGAAAGATGCGAAGAACGAGGTGGGGAGGCAGGGGCCCTCCTGCCATCTGAACTGCCTACACATCACATCAAAGCTGTGGGGGTGAAATGTGGCAGCTCCAGCCACCTGGATCTCTCTGACAGGGCCACAGAGCAGAGCCTCAGCCTCTTCACCTGTAAAATGGCAGACATCTTGAGGATTAAATTAAACAATGCACATGCAGCCCTTGGCAGAGGGCCTGGAACACAGCAGACAGTTACTGTTCCCTACGGATGCTCCTGGAACAATGTAACATGCCTGTGGAGCCAGGGGAGGACTCTTCATCTCAGAGCCTTGTCCTTCTGTCCTTGGAAAGAGTAGGGACACCTGGTGGTTTTACAGTTGAGGTAGTAGTTGACACAACCATTTGAGTTAATTTGATGCCACTACTTCGTGGTTCTGGCACAACACTACCAGCCAAATTGCTATACCTACTGTGCGGGCTTCCCATTCCCTTCACTGGCCTGGCCTGACTCCTCTAAGTGCTTCTTCCATATTTCCTGTACTTCCTCTTCCTTCCCTTCAAGAAACTCTTGGCCTAGTGCTGAAGGCTCAGGAATTTGACAACCTATTCTGGGACTGCTTGTGGTTTTAAAAGTGCAGAAGAAGGTAGAGAATGTAATTGCACAACATTTTGGATAGACATGGAAAGTTTGGGAGGCAGTAAGGCAGGAACTAAGTTTATAAGGTGGACTGACTACCTAGGGCTTCTGGGCAACTTAGGGGTCAGGCTACTGGCAGGCTCCTTCCTTCCTTCTCTTGCTCCCCACCACCCTGTCCTCCTACCTGTCCTTCTTTCCACAGTGTGAAGAATAACACAGACCCCGCCTTGCAGCAAGCTGTAGGAGGGAGAAAAACATGCATGCAAGTGACCTCAACTGGGAGTGACAAGTATCCTAGAGGAAACTCAGATTGTCTTAGTCCTTTTTGCACTGCTACGACAAAATACCTGAGAGTGGGTAATTTACAAAAAACAGAAATTTATTTTCTTTCAGTTCTGCAGGCTAGGAAGCCCCAAATCAAGGCAGGTTTGATCATCTGGTGAGGGCTGCTCTCTGCTTCCAAGATAGCACCTTGTTGCTGTATCTGCTGGAGGGGAAGAATGCTGTGTTCTCACATGGTGAAAGATGGAAGAGCAAGAGACTGAAAGTTGCATGAAGCCTCTTTTATAAGGATCTTAGTCCATTCATGAGGAAGGAGGCCCTTGTGGCCTTCTCACCTGTTAAAGGCCTCTTAATACCATCACTTTAGCAACATCTGAATTTTTGAAAGAGTCCAGTCAAATCATTGCACAGGTGATAAGAAATGTGAGTTCGAGTGGGGAGTAATGACTGTGTAATGAAGGGTTCTGGAAGACTTCAAGGAGGAGGTGGCTATGAGGCTGGGGTCTGAAGGATAGGTAAAACTTAGACATTTGAAATAAAAGGGGAAGGCAACACCTTGAAGAAGAAAGAAAGGAAAAAGCCATGGTTGTATAAAGGGTTGAATCCTTAATTTTGTCAGATTTCTAAGTGTGTGAAGGGAATTGAGGGCCAGGTTAGGGGAGGAGTTTGGAAGTGAGGGTGGGCATTTTGGAGTCTATAACATTAGGGAGGTGGTAAGTATATTATAAGAACCATAGTTTAGGAAGTAATATTAGTCCATCAACATTACGTAGAATGGATGAGGAGGTGGGGACATGTGGGGGAGAAGGGAAGCAGAGAGATGGCATGAGAGTATTGCAGTGGTCCAGGAAGAGCTATTGGTATGAACTCAGGACTGTCAGGGCAAGGAAGAGGAGTTAGAATGGATAGGCTGCATGCTACAGAGTTAGAATTAGTAGATACTGGTTACTGGCTGAAAATTGGGGCTATGCAGGAAAGAGGAATCCAGAATGACTTTTCTGCCTTTTCCCATCTGGGATTGCCCAACACTGCTCATTCCTGAAGGACACTGGCTCCTTTAGGCTGAGCAAATTGTCCTACAATTTCCCCTTCTATGGGCTCTGCCTTTCTTCCGTTCTCCATCCCTACCCACCACCCAATCTGAGGATGCTGTTTAAATATTTCTCATTTATCATCATAGCCATAAGCAGAGAGAGAGGTATTCTGGGTTTATAATGGACATGCCAGTTTTTACTGCAACTTTTCTTGATGAGTTCCCATTTAGAAAGGTTTCACAGTGCCTTACTGATAGGAAAAGAAGTCTTCTCCAGAGTACTTATGCCAGTATATGGATTATTAGGTTGTGCTTATATTTTTGGTGGGGTAGGAGGGGAAGAAAAGATGTTTATTTAGGGGCATTGTTGAAAAAAGTCGTGGGAGTGTGATGATTTTTCACTTATTTCACTGTGATGTCCTCTTCAGAACAAAAATCAGGACTTGGGCAGCCACTGGGTGTCTGCATTGATCTGCCTGCCCAGTTTCCATGGGGATTTTCCCATTTTCTCCCTCCATCTACCATCTAGGCCTCGCTTGAGTCCATATGGTGACAGACAATACACCAAAAATCCCATTTCCTTTAATGTTTCTCTTGTTGGTATGCTAAACATTTTCTTCTTCCCTCCTTCCATTTATTTATCTCTCATTCTCTCTTTTTTGCTCCTCCAGATACAAACATATATAAATGTATCATTTCAAACTTTTTTGAGGGCAGGCATGCTTAAAACCATTTGGTGTTGGGTATGATGATGGATGAGGATGCACTGAGTCTGTGTTGTGGCCATCTCTGTGGCCTGGGCTCATGTCTTCTTCAGTCTGGGATCTAGGCTGAGAGGCAACCTCAACTTGGTCTTGTGGTGGAGGAAGAAGAGCAATGATGGACTCAGGCAGTGAACTTCAAGCTTCTGCTTAGAGGTGGACATGTCACTTTTTTTCAGCATCTGTCACTTGAACCCAGACATAATGCCACATATGTTAAGTGTTTGTTTGTCATTATTGCAGCAGCATATTTCTGTATCTTCCAGTTTTCTCTAGGTTATACTGCAGTGAGGACACCCCCAAATCTCAGTAGATTACGAGAACACAGCTCTAATTCTTGTTACATGCTCTACTTTGCCAATGTGCCAGCTCTGGGTCAAAGAGAGCTCTTAGCTTGTGACCCTGCTCAAATGTCTTTATTTTGGTGTCCAGGGTAAAGGAATAGCCCTTGGGCTCTTGGAAGAAGGAAAAGCACCTCAAACTTACTTTTATTTTACTTCTTTTTTTTTTTAACAGAACTCGTTGTCCAAACTGTGCTAGGGCACACACAGTTTTCCTCTCCCTCATCCTTTTTCCTTATGAGATCTCCATCTTGGAATGTTGGCCTATACCAGACAGACTAGGATAATGGAAAAGACTATTTGGAAAAAGGAAAAAATAAAAGATTTAGAGTGTCCGGTGGCTTGAGAATGCTTTTAGTCTTGCTACAAGAATCAGTGGTGTTAGCCAAGGTTTATCTTGCGGACATTTCACTTTGAGAGTGGAAGCAGAATTCTTTGTTCTTTATCCTCTCTCCTCCCAGAAAGACTGCATGCGCAGTGTCTCCTCCCCAGCTCACCCTCCCCCTTTGCCAGGGCGACAGGGAGAAGAGGTAGAATCCTGGTGGGAGGGAAGTGTGTTGAAAAGATGGAGGGGACTATGAGTGGGGCCTGGGGAGAAGAGGATGAGGGAGGGAGCCCAGAGAGTCTGGTTTCTTTGACACTCACCCCTGCTAGACTTAGGATACAGGGGATAATTAAAGAGCTGTTTTGCTCAGCTTCTAGTCTCGGTGTATGTGTGATTACCTAATTGTAGGGGCTCTGTTTCTGAAAATGGTTGTACTTTGATGCCCTTCAAATAGTTAAGGGCACAGGCACACAGTCCCAATGCGTTACTCAGATGAACATAAGGGCCGCTTTGGTGAGGGAGTGGAAGACACCACCAATCTTCCAGACTTCCAGTTCTGCAGAATCCTGGGACTCTGATAAGTGCAGTTTCAACATCTAAAGAATAAAGTCATAATTTTGTGGTCCAATATTATAGAAACATTAAATACGACTTCTAGGAAAAACATTAGTTTTATATTTCTGTGATTGTTGGAAAATGAGGAGGCATTATAACACTATCTTTTGAAGAATTCCAGAAGAGGGAGGACATGGGCTAGAAGTCAATGATTACCTTATATATAGCTTATGCTTTGATAGGGATAAGTACTCTAAAAAGGGAAGATTTTGTTGTTTGGTCTTATCAGCCACTAAAAAGTTCTAAAATACCTCGTGGGCTTGGAGAAGCAATTTTTTTTAAAAAGATCCACTTTCATAGCATTTTATTCATAAACACTGAATGAGTTTTGGTTCTCATGAAAAATAGTCAGTAGAGGTGGTGGATTTGGAAAAGAACCTGGAGGAGACCAGCAAGGAAGCTGCATGGACAGGGGAGAGACCATTTTTTCCAGGCTGAGGGTGGCTTTGTAGCTGGCTGCAGCGAATGAAGCCAGCACTGCTGGCTTGAGCTTGTTTTCATGGCATAATTAATGTGAGGAAGTGTCATCTTTTCTTGCAAGTGGGTAACCTTGGATCATGAGCTCTGAACTTAGGAAAGGAAACCACACACAAATGGGTAGAATTGAGGAAATCCCTCACCTCACAATGGCCCTTGGGGAGGTATGTGGTCTGTGAAACACAGAACTGTGCAAGGCAACCTGGAAGCTTAAAGGGTTTCTCTTGCCTCTTGCCAGCTGCCAGCTCTGAGAAACCAGGGCTTGTGCTTTCCTACTGAGCTTCCTTCAGAAAAACAAGTGTCTTGTGTTTGTATGGGAGAAAAAAGAACATTCATTTCTCTTACTTCTGTGAAGATGTGTTAACTAGTGAGGAGGAGGAGGTGGCATCTTTTTATGAGGATTGTATTGGCAGCTCAGGGGTAGCACACAAAGAAGGGGTTAACAGATTTGCCTTTGAAAGGTGACTAACCATGCATTACTGTTCTCAGCTGAGAGAAAGCCAGGGCTGATTGCTACAAAGGTCAATGCCAAATTTAAATACATCCTTTTTGGCAGGGGTTGAAATCCTAGTCTCTGATAAAACAGACTTTAAACAAACAAAGATCAAAAGAGAAAAAGAAGGACATTACATAATGGTAAAGGGATCAATTCAACAAGAAGAGCTAACTATCCTTAATATGTATGCACCCAATACAGGAGCACCCAGATTCATAAAGCAAGTCCTTAGAGACCTACAAAGAGCCTTAGACTCCCACACAATAATAATGGGAGACGTTAACACCCCACTGTCAACATTAGACAGATCAATGAGACAGAAAGTTAACAAGGATATCCAGGAATTGAACTCAGCTCTGCACCAAGCAGACCTAATAGACATCTACAGAACTCTCCACCCCAAATCAACAGAATATACATTCTTTTCAGCACCACACCACATCTATTCCAAAATTGACCACATACTTGGAAGTAAAGCACTCCTCAGCAAATGTAAAAGAACAGAAATTATAACAAACTGTCTCTCAGACCACAGTGCAATCAAATTAGAACTCAGGAGTAAGAAACTCACTCAAAACCACTCAACTACATGGAAACTGAACAACCTGCTCCTGAATGACTACTGGGTACATAATGAAATGAAGGCAGAAATAAAGATGTTCTTTGAAACCAACGAGAACAAAGACACAACATACCAGAATCTCTGGGACACATCTAAAGCAGTGTGTAGAGGGAAATTTATAGCACTAAATGCCCACAAGAGAAAGCAGGAAAGATCTAAAATTGACACCCTAACATCACAATTAAAAGAACTAGAGAAGCAAGAGCAAACACATTCAAAAGCTAGCAGAAGGCAAGAAATAACTAAGATCAGAACAGAACTGAAGGAAATACAGACACAAAAAACCCTTTAAAAAATCAATGAATCCAGGAGCTGGTTTTTTGGAAAGATCAACAAAATTGATAGACCACTAGCAAGACTAATAAAGAAAAAAAGAGAGAAGAATCAAATAGATGCAATAAAAAATGATAAAGGAGATATCACCACCTATCTCACAGAAATACAAACTATCATCAGAGAATACTATAAACACCTCTATGCAAATAAACTAGAAAATCTAGAAGAAATGGATAAATTCCTCAACACATACACCCTCCCAAGACTAAACCAGGAAGAAGTTGAATCTCTGAATAGACCAATAACAGGCTCTGAAATTGAGGCAATAATTAATAGCCTACCAACCAAAAAAAGTCCAGGACCAGATGGATTCTTGGCCGAATTCTACCAGAGGTACAAGGAGGAGCTGGTACCATTCCTTCTGAAACTATTCCAATCAATAGAAAAAGAGGGAATCCTCCCTAACTCATTTTATGAGGCCAGCATCATCCTGATATCAAAGCCTGGCAGAGACACAACAAAAAAAGAGCATTTTAGACCAATATCCCTGATGAACATCGATGCAAAAATCCTCAATAAAATACTGGCAAACTGAATCCAGCAGCACACCAAGAAGCTTATCCACCATGATCAAGTGGTCTTCATCCCTGGGATGCAAGGCTGGTTCAACATACACAAATCAATAAATGTAATCCAGCATATAAACAGAACCAACGACAGAAACCATATGATTATCTCAATAGATGCAGAAAAGACCTTTGACAAAATTCAACAAAGCTTCATGCTAAAAACTCTCAATAAAATAGGTATTGATGGAATGTATCTCAAAATAATAAGAGCTATTTATGACAAACCCACAGCCAATATCATACTAAATGGGCAAAAACTGGAAGCTTTCCCTTTGGAAACTGGCACAAGACAGGGATGCCCTCTCCCACCACTCCTATTCAACATAGTGTTGGAAGTTCTGGCCAGGGAAATCAGGCAGGAGAAGGAAATAAAGGGTATTCAATTAGGAAAAGAGAAAGTCAAATTGTCCCTGTTTGCAGATGACATGATTGTATATCTAGAAAACCCCATCGTCTCAGCACAAAATCTCCTTAAGCTGATAAGCAACTTCAGCAAAGTCTCAGGATACAAAATCAATGTGCAAGAATCACAAGCATTCCTATACACCAATAACAGACAAACAGAGAGCCAAATCATGAGTGAACTCCCATTCACAATTGCTTCAGAGAGAATAAAATACCTAGGAATCCAACTTATAAGGGATGTGAAGGATCTCTTCAAGGAGAACTACAAACCACTGCTCAATGAAATAAAAGAGGATACAAACAAATGAAAGAATATTCCACGCTCATGGGTAGGAAGAATCAATATCGTGAAAATGGCCATACTGCCCAAGGTAATTTATAGATTCAATGCCATCCCCATCAAGCTACCAATGCCTTTCTTCACAGAATTAGAAAAAACTACTTGAAAATTCATATGGAACCAAAAAAGAGCCCTCATTGCCAAATCAATCCTAAGCCAAAAGAACAAAGCTGGAGGCATCATGCTACCTGACTTCAAACTGTACTACAAGGCTACAGTAACCGAAACAGCATGTTACTAGTACCAAAACAGAGATATAGATCAATGGAACAGAACAGAACCCTCAGAAATAATGCTGGGTATCTACAACCATCTGATCTTTGACAAACCTGACAAAAACAAGAAATGGGGAAACAATTCCCTATTTAATAAATGGTGCTGGGAAAACTGGCTAGCCATATGTAGAAAGCTGAAACTGGATCCCTTCCTTACACCTTATACAAAAATTAACTCAAGATGGATTAAAGACTTAAATATTGGACCTAAAACTATAAAAACCCTAGAAGAAAACCTAGGCAATACCATTCAGGATGTAGGCATGGGCAAGGACTTCATGTCTAAAACACCAAAAGCAATGGCAACAATAGCCAAAATTGACAAATGGGATCTAATCAAACTAAAGAGCTTCTGCACAGCAAAAGAAACTACCATCAGAGTGAACAGGCAACCTACAGAATGGGAGAAAATTTTTGTAATCTACTCATCTGACAAAGGGGCTAATATCCAGAATCTGCAATGAACTCAAACAAACCTACAAGAAAAAAAAAACAGCCCCATCAAAAAGTGGGCAAAGGATATGAACAGACACTTCTCAAAAGAAGACATTTATGCAGCCAAAAGACACATGAAAAAATGCTCATCACCACTGGCCATCAGAGAAATGCAAATCAAAACCACAATGAGATATAATCTCACACCAGTTAGAATGGCGATCATTAAAAAGTCAGGAAACAACAGGTGCTGGAGAGGATGTGGAGAACTAGGAACACTTTTACCCTGTTGGTGGAACTGTAAACTAGTTCAACCATTGTGGAAGTCAGTGTGGTGATTCCTCAGGGATCTTGAACTAGAAACACCATTTGACCCAGCCATCCCATTACTGGGTATATACCCAAAAGATTATAAATCATGCTGCTATAAAGACACATGCACACGTGTGTTTATTGTGGCACTGTTCACAACAGCAAAGACTTGGAACCAAGCCAAATGTCCAACAATGATAGAATTGGTTAAGAAAATGTGGCACATATACACCATGGAATACTATGTAGCCATAAAAAAGGATGAATTCATGTCCTTTGTAGGGACATGGATGAAGCTGGAAACCATCATTCTCAGCAAACTCTTGCAAGGACAAAAACCAAACACTGCATGTTCTCATTCATAGGTGGGAACTGAACAATGAGAACACATGGACACAGGAAGGGGAATATCACACTCTGGGGACTGTGGTGGGGTGGGGGGAGGGGGGAGGGATAGCACTGGGAGATATACCTAATGCTAGATGACGAGTTAATAGGTGCAGCGCACCAGCATGGTACATGTATACATATGTAACTGACCTGCACAATGTGCACGTGTACCCTAAAACTTAAAGTATAAAAAAAACCAAAAAAACAATGAGAACACATGGACACAGGAAGGGGAACATCACACACCGGGGCCTGTTGTGGGTTGGGGAGGGGGTAGGGAGAGCATTAGGAGATACGCCTAATGTTAAATGACGAGTTGATGGGTGCAGTGCCCCAACATGGCATATGTATACATATGTAACTAACCTGCACATTGTGCACATGTACCCTAAAATTTAAAGTATAATAATAAAAAAATGCGTCCTTTTTTGAGATCATATTCATAACATTTTACTCATAAACATTGAATAACTTTTTATGTTTCTTATGCAAAATAGTCATTAACATTTTAATTTATCACTTATGGATTATAATTATGTTGTTGTAAATATGGACACTCTGAAGAGATCCTGCTGAGGGAAAATGAGCTTTTTTTCCTAGCAAAAGGAAAAAAAAAACAGAGGTGATTGATCCTACTCAACGATTCCAAACAACGGGCTTTGCACTTGAGGTGTGTAGGAGAAGATTCTGTCCAAGAAACGTCTGCTTAGTAGTCGTTTTGGGCTATTAAAAAAAGAAAAGTAGCCATAACATTAAAAAACTAAAGAAACATGTCATAATTAAAATTGGTTATAATTATTCACATGCAGAAGTTTAAGTAGTATATTGGACATTTAAAAAACTTGGAGTTCTTTCTTCAAACAAAATCATATGGGAAAGGCAAACATACAAGGCATCAAAGAAGAGCTGCTCTGGGTAAGGGAGACTGGTGCCTAGCGCCCATCTTGTCTATGACTCCCTCTGGAGTGACCATCGAGGTACCTCTGTAGACCCCTGGATTTTGAAGATTCCAGTTTCAACATAGTAGGTTAAAGAGCAGGTTTTGGCCAGGCACGGTGGCTCATGCCTGTAACCCCAGTACTTTGGGAGGCTGGGGCATGTGGATCGCCTGAGGTCAGGAGTTTGAGACCAGCCTGGCCAACATGGTGAAACTCCGTCTCTACTAAAAATACAAAAATTAGCCGGGCACGGTGGTGGGCGCCTGTAATCCCAGCTACTCAGGAGGCCGAGGCAGAAGAATCGCTTGAACCCGGGAGATGGAGGTTGCGCCACTGCACTCCAACCTGGGCAACAAGAGTGAAACTCAGTCTCAAAAATAAATAAATAAATAAATAAATAAATAAATAAATAAATAAATAAATAAATAAGTAAGTAAAAAAAAAAAATAAAATGCACGTTTTCCTTGAACCCTGAGCCCATAGGTTTTGGCTGATAGCGTTCAGGTCCTGAGGGGCTGATGGGATGACACGAAGCATTTAGTGTTTGGGCACAGGAAGTATGCACCTTCCTGCCCAGGCTGTGCGTGTCCTGAGGTCTGGCACAGGCTGGGATTCTGGAGCTGAGGTAGGGGTGGTGCTAATCCATTTTGGTAGCTGTGGAGCAAAGGGGAATGGAAACAGCATCTTACGTGAGGGACAGTCCAGGTTCCACAGTCCAGTTCCTTTGGACAAGAACTGTCCAATTATAAAGCCCACAGGGGGTTGGCGATGAAGGAAGGACAGGGCCTGAAGCAAAGGATCTGCCATGGAGATTAGGTAAGACTGGGCTAGGGCTCTGGGAGTGGGGAGAGAAGGCAGAAGCTGGGTTTTGGGTTGGAAGAAGAAAGTCTTTACTGGGCCCTGTGGTCTTGCCTGTGGGTAGGGAGGGAGCTGAAAGGGCCCCAGGGAGGCTGGAGAGGGTTCTGGCTATGGGGGGATGTGGGTTGAGCCCCCTTACTTGACAGTCCCTGTTTGGGGATCTGGAAGGCATTAGCCAGGGGCCAAGATTGCTTATATTATTGGTAAGTATCACCCTTTCCCTTTCCCTCACTCACTTAGGATGGTGATCTGATCAAAGATGGGCTTCAGAACTTATCTTTGACAAGAATTCAAAGTGATTTTCCCCATTGCCCATTTGTATATGCCTTGTATCATTGAGACTTTAGTCTTTTGGCAAGTTTCCTTCCCATATTATTCTGAGGGTTGGGTATGGTCATGGGCTATGGAGCAGTCCGCCATCCCCCAGCCTAAAGTCATGCGTACCCAAGGACTCCTCCTAAAGCTGAGTGGATGGCAGGGGCTAACTGCTGTAAGTGTAAAAGTTAGTACTGTCACCCTGTTGTGTGCCTAGGTGGTCATCCCCTAGGGCCACCAGAGAGGGAACAAATGGATGGTGAGGTGGAAAAAAAGCTTCAGAATCCTCATTTTTTTTTTCCACCTAAGGTTTAGAAATTGTGTCCTTTCAGAGGTATCTTAAAGACAGGGTCCTCCACTGAGACCCAACATGAAAGGCTCTGGAGAAGATGAAAGCTTTCATCACTCACACCAGCCTCACACCACTGCGATGAACTCATGCCTCCCCTGAGGAGTTCTTTATCCTTCCTGCTGCCTGTGGCTTACATAAAGCTGTGGAGAAAAACTCTTAAAACTGGCATGTCATCTCAATGTAAGGCTAGAAAACACTAACAATAGAATTCTAAGCACAGGATCTGCCACAGAGATTAGATAAGACTGGGCTAGAGCTCTGGGAGTGGAGACAGGAGGCAGAAGCTGGGTTTTGGGATGGAAGAAGAGTCTTTACTGGATCCTGTGGTCTTGCCTGTGGGTAAGGAGGGAGCTGTATGGACCCCAGGGCTGCTGCAGAAGGCCCTGACTGTAAAGCCATGTGGGTTGATCCGTTCTGGCCCTAATCTTTTGGCAGTTTAGAGAACAGGGGCTAAGAGCCTAGAGTTGAGTATTTCCTGTTTTTCAGGACTGGGGCCGTCTGTAGTGGATTTGAGGCTTCTGGAGCCATGTTTGCAGATCTCTCTGGGATTCTGGGGTTTGGGAGTGGGGAAAGGGGTATCTAAATGAGGAACTAGTTTCCTTGGGCATTGAGCTTGCTAAGAGGCTTGACTGGCTTTTAACAAGTTGGGGTCACATTTGTAAGACCCAGATGCTTTAGGAAAGATCAAGTAGAGGCCCCAAATCTCAAGAAATATCTGAAGTTGATTGACCCAGATCTGTCCAGAGAAAACCAAGTGTGATTTAAAGTTAGTTAAGCTTTAGGAAACTCAGAAGAGACAGGTGGGTCCAGCTTACTTTGATGAAATCTGGATTCCATTTCTTAGATCTTGAGGCTACAAAGAGACTTGGGGAGATATATTTCAAGGTCATGTGGCAAGTTGGTGGCAGAGTCAGGTTTAGAGCTTCTGGCTCTTGGGTGATGACTAGTCCAGTGATTTTTCATCCTTGTGGAACTGTGCTACCTCTACCTCCACTTGACTCTATTATATGCCCCAAATTTGTCTTTGTCAGAACAAAACTTCTCTCTGTCTCCCTCTCTGCCTGTCTCCATCCTTTCCTTTCTCTCTCCCTTCCGTTCTTCCTTTCATTAACCTTCAAACATTTGATGCTTATCATGTGCTTGAACTATGCTATCTTTGGAAAGACAAAAATGAGTGACACACAGTCCTGCGATCTTAAGACTTTTTTTTTTGTTGGCAGAATTCTTTATTTTTCTTGAAAGCAAAGATTATTTTATCTTTGTGGCAGAATCAATATTGACTGATGATATTGATACAGAATCAATATTCACAATGATGCATACCTGCTTTGTTCTTTTATAAATTATACTTTAAGTTCTAGGGTACATGTGCACAATGTGCAGGTTTGTTACATAGGTATACATGTGCCATATTGGTTTGCTGCACCCATTAACTCGTCATTTACATTAGGTATTTCTCCTAATGCTATCCACCTATAAGTGAGAACATGTGGTATTTGGCTTTCTGTCCTTGTGATAGTTTGCTCAGAATGATGGTTGCCAGCTGCATCTATGTCCCTACAAAGGACATGAACTCACCCTTTTTATGGCTGCATAGTATTCCATGGTGTATATGTGCCACATTTTCTTAATCCAATCTATCATTGATGGACATTTGGGTTGGTTCCAAGTCTTTGCTATTGTGAATAGTGCCACAATAAACATACCTGTGCATGTGTCTTTATAGTAGCATGATTTATAATCCCTTGGATATATAACCAGTAATGGGATCTCTGGGTCAAATGGTATTTCTAGTTCTAGATCCTGGAGGAACCACCACACTGACTTCCACAATGGTTGAACTAGTTTACAGTTCCACCAACAGTGTAAAAGTGTTCCTATTTCTCCACAACCTCTCCAGCACCTGTCGTTTCCTGACTTTTTAATGATCGCCCTTCTAACTGGTGTGAGATGGTATCTCATTGTGGTTTTGATTTGCATTTCTCTGATGGCCAGTGATGATGAGCATTTTTTCTTGTGTCTGTTGGCTGCATAAATGTCTTCTTTTGAGAAGTGTCTGTTCATATCCTTTACCCACTTTTTGATGGGGTTGTTTTTTTCTTGTAAATTTGTTTAAGTTCCTTATAGATTCTGGATATTAGCCCTTTGTCAGATGGACAGATTGCAAAAATTTTCTCTCATTCTGTAGGTTGCCTGTTCACTCTGACGGTAGTTTCTTTCACTGTGCAGAAACTCTTTAGTTTAATTAGATCCCATTTGTCTATTTTGACTTTTGTTGCCATTGCTTTTGGTGTTTTAGTCATGAAGTCCTTGCCCATGCCTATGTCCTGAATGGTAATGCCTAGGTTTTCTTCTAGGGTGCTACAGTTTTAGGTCTAACATTTAAGTCTTTAATCCGTCTTGAATTAATTTTTGTACAAGGTGTAGGGAAGGGATGCATTTTCAGCTTCCTACATATGGCTAGCCAGTTTTCCCAGCACCATTTATTAAATAGGGAATCATTTCCCCATTTCTTGTTTTTGTCAGGTTTGTCAAAGATCAGATAATTGTAGATGTGTGGTGTTATTTCTGAGGCCTCTATTCTGTTCCCCTCGTTTATCTCTCTGTTTTGATAGCAGTACCATGCTGTTTTGGTTACTGTAGCCTTGTAGTATAGTTTCAAGTCAGGTAGCATGATGCCTCCAGCTTTGTTCTTTTGGCTTAGGATTGTCTTGGCAATGCGGGCTCATTTTTGGTTCCATATGAACTTTAAAGTAGTTTTTCTCAATTCTATAAAGTCATTGGTAGCTTGATGAGGATGGCATTGAATCTATAAATTACCTTGAGCAGCATGGCCATTTTCACACTATTGATTCTCCCATCCATGAGCATGGAATGTTCTTCCATTTGTTTGTGACCTCTTTTATTTCATTGAGCAGTTGTTTGTAGTTCTCCTTGAAGAGATCCTTCACATTTCTTGTAAGTTGGATTCCTAGGTGTTTTATTCACTTTGAAGCAATCATGAATGGAAGTTCACTCATGATTTGGCCCTCTGTTTGTCAGTTATTGGTGTGTAGGAATGCTTGTGATTTTTGCACATTGATTTTATATCCTGAGACTTTGCTGAAGTTGCTTATCAGCTTAAGGAGATTTTGTGCTGAGACGATGGGGTTTTCTAGATATATAATCATGTCATCTGCAAACAGGGACAATTTGACTTCCTCTTTTCCTAATTGAATACCCTTTATTTCCTTCTCCTGCCTGATTTCCCTGGCCAGAACTTCCAACACTATGTTGAATAGGAGTGGTGAGAGAGGGCATCCCTGTCTTGTGCCAGTTTTCAAAGGGAATGCTTCCAGTTTTTGCCCATTCAGTATGATATTGGCTGTGGGTTTGTCACAGATAGCTCTTATTATTTTGAGATACATTCCATCAATACCTATTTTATTGAGAGTTTTTAGCATGAAGCATTGTTGAATTTTGTCAAAGGTCTTTTCTGCATCTATTGAGATAATCATGTGGTTTTTGTCATTGGTTCTGTTTATGTGATGGATTATGTTTATTGATTTGCGTATGTTGAACCAGCCTTGCATCCCAGGGATGAAGCCAACTTAGTTGTGGTAGATAAGCTTTTTGATGTGCTGCTGGATTAGGTTTGCCAGCATTTTATTGAGGATTTTCACATTGAAGTTTATCAAGGATATTGTTCTAAAATGCTCTTTTTTTTTTGTGTCTCTGCCAGGCTTTGGTATCAGGATGATGTTGGCCTCATAAAATGAGTTAGGGAGGATTCCTTCTTTTTCTATTGATTGGAATAGTTTTAGGAGGAATGGTATCAGCTCCTCTTTGTACCTCTGGTAGAATTCAGCTGTGAATCCATCTGGTCCTGGACTTTTTTTTGGTTGGTAGGCTAGTAATTATTGCCTCAATTTTGGAGCCTGTTATTGGTCTATTCAGAGATTCGACTTCTTTCTGGTTTAGTCTTGGGGGGGTGTATGTGTCCAGGAATTTATCCATTTCTTCTAGATTTTCTAGTTCATTTGTGTTGAGGTATTTATAGTATTTTCTGATGATAGCTTGTATTTCTGTGGGATCGGTGGTGATATCTCCTTTATCATTTTTTATTGGGTCTATTTTAGTCTTCTCTCTTTTCTTCTTTATTAGCCTTGCTAGTGGTCTATCAATTTTGTTGGTCTTTTCAAAAAACCAGCTCCTGGACTCTTTGATTTTTTTGAAGGGTTTTTGTGCCTCTATCTCCTTCAGTTCTGCTCTCATCTTAGTTATTTCTTGCCTTCTGCTAGCTTTTGAATTTGTTCGATCTTCTCTAGCTCTTTTAATTGTAATGTTAGGGTGTCAATTTTACATCTTTTCTGCTTTCTCTAGTGGGCATTTAGTGCTATAAATTTCCCTCTATACACTGCTTTAAATGTGTCCCAGAGATTCTGGTATGTTGTGTCTTTGTTGTCACTGGTTTCAAAGAATATCTTTATTTCTGCCTTCATTTTATTATTTACCCAGTAGTCATTCAGGAGCAGGTTGTTCAGTTTCCATGTAGTTGTGCAGTTTTGAGTGAGTTTCTTAATCCTGAGTTCTATTTTGAATACACTGTGGTCTGAGAGACAGTTTGTTGTGATTTCTGTTCTTTTACATTTGCTGAGGAGAGCTTTACTTCCAACTATGTGGTCAATTTTGGAGTAAGTGCGATGTGGTGCTAAGAAGAATGTATATTCTGTTGATTTGGGGTGGAGAGTTCTGTAGATGTCTATTAGGTCCACTTGGTCCAGAGCTGAGTTCAAGTCCTGGATATCCTTGTTAACCTTCTGTCTCGTTGATCTGTCTAATATTGACAGTGGGTGTTAAAGTCTCCCATTATTATTGTGTTGGAGTCTAAGTCTCTTTGTAGGTCTCTAAGAGTTGCTTTATGAATCTAGGTGCTCCTGTACTGGGTGCATATATATTTAGGATAGTTAGCTCTTTTTGTTGAGTTGATCCCTTTACCATTATGTAATGGCCTTCTTTGTCTCTTTTGATCTTTGTTTGTTTAAAGTCTGTTTTATCAGAGACTAGGATTGCAACCCCTGCTTTTTTTTCGCTTTCCATTTGCTTGGTAGATCTTCCTCAATCCCTTTATTTTGAGCATATTTGTGTCTTTGAACATGAGATGGGTCTCCTGAATATAGCACACAAATGGGTCTTGACTCGTTATCCAACTTGCCAGTCTGTGTCTTTTAATTGGGGCATTTAGGTCATTTACATTTAAGCTTAATATTGTTATGTGTGAATTTGATCCTGTCATTATGATGTTAGCTGGTTATTTTGCTCGTTAGTTGATGTGGTTTCTTCCTAGCATTGATAGTTTTTACAATTTGGCATGTTTTTCAGTGGCTGGTACTTGTTGTTCCTTTGCATGTTTAGTGCTTCCTTCAGGAGCTCTTTTAGGGCAGGCCTGGTGGTGACAAAGTTTCTCAGCATTTGCTTTTCTGTAAAGGATTTTATTTCTCCTTCACTTATGCAGCTTAGTTTGGCTGGACATGAAATTCTTGGTTGAAAATTCTTTTCTTTAAGAATGTTGAATATCGGCTCCCACTGTCTCCTGCCTTGTAGAGTTTCTGCTGAGATATCCGCTTGTAGTCTGATGGGCTTCCCTTTGTGGGTAACCCAACCTTTCTCTCTGGCTGCTCTTAACATTTTTTCCTTCATTTCAACCTTGGTGAATCTGACAATTATGTGTTTTGGGGTTGCTCTTCTTGAGGAGTATCTTTGTGGTGTTCTCTGTATTTCTTGAATTTGAATGGTGGCCTGCCTTGCTAGGTTGGGGAAGTTCTCCTGGATAATATCCTGCAGAGTGTTTTCCAACTTGGTTCCATTCTCCCTGTCACTTTCAGGTACACCAATCAAATGTAGACTTGGTCTTTTCACATAGTCCCATATTTCTTGGAGGCTTTGTTAATTTCTTTTTACTCTTTTTTCTCTAAACTTCTCCTCTCACTTTATTTCATTAATTTTATCTTCAATCACTGATACCCTTTCTTCTCCTTGATCGAATCGGCTATTGAAGCTTGCGCATGCATCACGTAGTTCTTGTGCCATGGTTTTCAGCTCCATTACATCATTGACGGTCTTCTCTACAGTGTTTATTCTAGTTAGCCGTTTGTGTAATGTTTTTGCAAGGTTTTTAGCTTCTTTGTGATGGGTTTGAACATCCTCCTTTAGCTTGGAGAAGTTTGTTATTACTGATCTTCTGAAGTCTACTTTTGTCAGCTTGTCAAAGTCATTCTCCATCCAGCTTTGTTCCATTGCTGGTGAGGAGCTGTGAGCCTTTGGAGGAGAAGAGTTTCTCTGCTTTTTAGAATTTTCCCTTCTAATAGTCAGGTCCCTCAGCTGCAGGTCTGTTGGTGTTTGCTGGAGGCCCAGTTGAGACCCTGTTTTCCTGGGTATCACCAGCAGAGGCTGCAGAATGGCAAATTTTGCAGAATGGCAAATATTGCGGAACAGCAAATATTACTGCCTGATCCTTCCTCTGGAAGCTTCATCCCAGAGGGGCGCCCACCTGTATGAGGTGTCAGTCAGCCCCTACTGGGAGATGTCTCCCAGTTAGGTAACACAGGGTTCAGGGACCCACTTGAGGAGGCAGTCTGTCCATTCTAAGAGCTCAAACACTGTGCTGGGAGTACCACTGCTCTCTTCAGCGCTGTCAGACAGGGATGTTTAAGTCTGCAGAAGTTTCTGCTGACTTTTGTTCAGCTATGCTCTGCCCCCAGAGGTGGATCCTACAGAGAGAGCAGACCTAGCTGAGCTGTGGTGGGGGGCTCCACCCAGTTTGAGCTTCCCTGGCTGCTTTGTTTACCTACTCAAACCTCAGCAATGGTGGACACCCCTCCCCCTGCCAGGCTGCTGCCTGGCAGGTCCATCTCAGACTGCTGAGCTAGCAGTGAGCAAGGCTCCGTGGGTGTAGCACCTGCCAAACCAGGCACGGGATATAATCTCCTGGTGTGCATTTGCTAAGACCATTGGAAAAGCCCAGTATTTGGGCAGGAGTATCCCATTTTTCCAGGTACCATCTTTCACAGCTTCTCTTGGTTAGGGAAGGGAAATCCCATGACCCCTTGTGCTTCTGGGGTGAGGCGATGCCCCACCCTGCTTCGGTTCACACTCTGTGGGCTGCACCCACTGCCAACCAGTCCCAATGAGATGAACCTGTTACCTCAGTTGGAAATGCAGAAATCACCTGTCTTCTGTGCTGATAACCCTGGGAGCTGCAGACCAGAGCTGTTCCTATTCGGCCATCTTGGAATGGAATCTGCCATCTTAAGTCTTAAGCTTTGAATAATCCTCCATTGATAAAGTGGGGACAGCTTCACCCAGAGTCTTATGAGATCAAGGGTCTTTGTAGCCCTCATTCCATTACCATTTACTACGGGTCATATCCAGGAGGCAAGAATCAAGTCTAGAACCAAGCACGTATTTATTTGCATATGAGTCTGTGCTTCTGATAGAGTTGATGAGGTGGAATCTCAGCCAGTGGAAATGTCTCAACAGGGACACTTATCTTCCATCCACAAAGCCGTGTGAACTTCCCTCTCACCTATCTATGATCATGGTAGGTGACTTGCCCAGACATGGGATGGTTGGGAGTTGGAAGGAAGTGAAGGGGAGAAGGATGGGATGTGGTGAAAGCCTGGGTAGCAGTAGTTCTGCAGAGACAAGGTAAAGCCAGGACTGATTGTCGTGGTAGACTCTGGGAATCCAAGACAAAGCAATCTGAGTAAGGGTGTAGTGAATTCAGTGGACAGTGAGGAATAAGCTGGAACCATTGTCAGGAGCCAGAAAGGAAGCAGAAGCCAGTGGCCACAACAAACATGGGTCAAAGACAAGTCTGCAGCAACCATGGCAGTCCCTGATCCAGGACAGCCATGTTGGGGAAAGATAGGCCTCAGGAAAGAAAGCTTGTGTTCTTGCCTGAGGCTCAGCCAGATGGAGGTCCCAAATTTTGAGGGTAGGGGCCTGTGGAATGAAACAAAGAGCATACATGCAGTCTCAAAGCTTTCTGCGGCTCCCTGAAGGTTGTCATGGCTACTGGGCTATAAAGAAGGAAATGTAGATGGGTTCCCAGGAAGGGCATCAACTGCAGAAAGTTGCTTGTGCCTTCTCCCTCTCTGACTGCACAAGGCAAAGAGAAAACTCTCCATGGGCATTTATTTCATCAGAGAAATAATTTAAAACCACTTTATAAGGCAACAGAAGAGCAAATGCATAGCACAGTGGCATGTCTGCAATTTCAGAGCTTTCTTTTTTTAAAAAAGATTGCTATGGTGTTCTCCTCATATAGTAATCATGGGTACTGGTGAAGGTGGTAATGAAAAAAGCTCATCAGAGGAGAGCAGTGAAGAAAGACGTTTCTTTTGAAAAGGTGTTTCTTTAGGCTTGTTACCTGTATTCAGGCTTGAGAGATGTGGGTAACTATGTTCTCCCATGGTTCCAAGTTCTTTTACAGATCATATTCTTTCTATATCTCACTCTCCGGAGGTTAGAACCCAGGAATTCAGAGTACCAAGACTAGGGTTGATCTGTTTGTTTGCCCACTAAATATTGGTTGAGCACATAAAAGGTGGGTGCCAGGTATTCAGATGTGAATATAATATGACTCTGAATTTAAGGAGCATACAATCCAGTTGAGGAGACAGATATTGCATACATAATAATACAGTTATGCAGCTCCCTTACAAAGGTCTGAGCTAAATGCCCTAACACCATAAAAAGAGAAGTGCCTACCTCCACCTAGGATGGAATGGGGAAGGCTTCAATGAGAAAGTGACCTTTGAGCTGAATCTTGAAGGGTGTTAGGCAGACAAAAAGGGAGTAGTATTCCAGGCAGAAAGAAGGAAATTTGTAAAGACAGAGGTGTGGAAAAGGTAGATCATTTTCAGAGAGTTTGGTATGACTGGAATCCAGGGGAATTTAGAGGTGAGAAGGAATGTGGCTGAAAAGATAGGCTGGGACCACCTCATTACAGCTCTATGTTCCATGTTGAGGCACTTAGATTTTATTCTAATGGTCATGCTACAAACTAACTTGTGTCCCCTAGCCTGCAGTGTGATAGTATTTGGAGATAGGCCTTTGGGTGGTAATTAGGATTAGATGAATTCATGAGTTTGGGGCTCCCATGGTAGAATTAGTGCCATTATGAGAAAAGGAAGAGAAAAGGAGAGAGAGCTTTCACTATGCCATGTGTGGACACAGGGATAGAGTGATGTCTGCAAGGCAGGAAGAGGGTCCTCACCATAACCCAACCATGCTGGCAACCTGAAAGTCTGGAGAATTCTAGCCTTGAGAACTGTGAGAAAATAAATTTCTATTGTTAAAGCCATCCAGTCTATGGCATTTTCTTATGGCAGCCTGGGCAACAGGTCAGCTGGCTTAAAATATATTTTTGGGGTGTGTGCATGTGTAATTTTTACTTTTTAAAAGCCTTTTCAAAACATGTGCAGAACCCTAATATATAGATTTCACTTAGAACACATATCTTTCTGTTATCTAAATTACTGATGAAGGCAAACAATCTAATAGAGAGAGTAGGAGAGTCCATTCTTTATTTGATAATATTGGCTGGGTGTAGTGGCTCACACCTGTAATCCAGCACATTGGGAGGCCAAGGCAGGAGGATTATTTGAGCTCAGGAATTTGAGACCAGCCTGGGCAACATAGCAAAACATCATCTTTACAAACATAAAACAATTAGCTTGGCATGGTGGTATTACAGGAAAGGGATCTTGATCCAGATCCCCCCAAGAGAGGGTTCTTGGATTTTGCATAAGAAAGAATTCAGGGTCAGTCCACAGAGCAAAGTGAAAGCAAGTTTATTAAAAATGTAGAGGAATAAAAGAATGGCTACTCTGTAGACAGAGAAGCCCTGAGGGCTGCTGGTTACCCACTGTTATGGTTATTTCTTGATGATATGCTAAACAAGGAGTGGATTATTCATGCCTCCCCTTTTTGGACCATGTAGGGTAACTTCCTGATGTTGCCATGGCATTTGTAAACTGTCACGGTGCTGGTGGGAGTGTAGCAGTCAGGGTGACCAGAGGTGACTCCCGTGGCCATTTTGGTTTTGGTGGGTTTTAACTGGCTTCTTTACTGCAAACTGTTTCATCAGCAAGGTCTTTATGACCTGTATTTTTTGCTGAACTTCTATCTCATTCTGTGACTTAGAATACCTTAACCATCTGGGAATGCAGCCCAGTAGGTCTCAGTCTCATTTTACCCAGCTCCTATTTAAGATGGAATTGTTCTGGTTCACACACCTCTGACATTTCCTCCCTCCCTTTTATAAGAGAACCCTTAATCCTAAGGGTTGCAGAAGGGTGAAGATCCATGTTCTGTAACTTCTTCAGGCTGTATTGGGGCAACGATATTCTTGCCTAACTATTAGGGTCTCTTGTATTTGGTGAGGAGAGGAGCACAGTCAGAAAGCATCAGTATGGTGAGGGCCATTTATAATTCCTTGACAAAAGGTGGTATCTGGAAGATATTAATAAGTACTCAATTTAAGAAAACATTTGGTAAGCTTATCCTTATTCCTGCACAAGGAGTACAACAGCAATGTATCCATCACAGTAAAGCAAAATAGGTAAAATTATTCCAAGTAAACTGAATTAGAAGGCCTTCCATGAACTGGGCAACTGTTGGAACCAAGCTGATATGGGATTGCTAGATGATTCCAGTACATGCCCAGAATTAGAATACTGATTTAGATTTTTACATTACCCTTTTTTCTTCTGAATAGCAGTCAGAGATCACTGGTTGGTTCACAGGAATAAGCTGTGTTAGCCTAAATAGCAGAAACAAACTTAAAAACAACTGATGAGACTAGAATTTAATAACAAGTGTACCACAGTTTTTGAAACATAATTTTTCTCTCTCCAGTTTCCCATTTTTACTAAAGACAAATCATGGTAAAAGTGATTTGCTTTATTATACTTGGCCTGATTATTTGTATAAAGTGCAGAAAGAATAATTATTTGCCATATGGCTTTTTAATTGGCTTTGATAGAACTCTGTTCCTTAAGGAATCCCAGATAATACTTTTTTAGAGCCAAGCCCTACCATAGGTTTGAACCCTCAAATACCTACGAGTCAAGTAACTTCCTCTCCTCTTGGGTCCCAAGATAACTTGGGGCTCCTGGACATGTTTGAAAGTGACATTCTTTACTTACCATAGGTCAGAAACCCTGTACAGGAACTGTGGAGACAAGGTATGAGGCCAGTTCCCCAAAAGGCTTTTATTGGCTTTACAAGTCAAGTTTGATTCCTTAAAGGAAGTCATGCCATTCCAGTCAAAGCCTTGTTAAAATAACCAGTTTCTCCAATTGTGTCCTGTTGCAAAAGAAAACAGTTTCTAACTTTTGCTTAGGTGTTGGGTAGACTTGGCTTTAAGTTTGACCTCCTTCGACATCTGTAGTCATCCTTACATTTACCAATAAAAAGGGAGCTGTTTGATCCTGTGAAGAGACTTGTTGGCTCCCATACAAAATTCATCACACTGATTACAGATAGGGATCCTCCCTCTAGCTGTGTCCTCAGATTGTGTGGCCAGAGAGATGGAATCAGATGGACAAGAAAGACTTGCTGGGAGCTGCATTGTTAGGCTGGGGGGCGGTGGCGGGGGTGAAGGGGAAGAATTTCCTACTCCTCCCTGAGTTGATCAATGTGCCTGCTATTGGTCTGTTTTCTTTCACATTCATTTCCCATCCTTTCCCTGCTCTGCTCTGTATTACGGGGACTTATTTTTTGGATAGGTTTGTCCAGTTGAATTCCAGATAGATTTGGCCAGTGAGAGGCACTGGCAGAAGACTGTAGGGGAGGAGGGAGGGAGGGAGAAGTCAGTATTTCTTCCTTTCTTGCCCTGTGCTGGGTGAGGCTCATCTCCCATGAGACAGCTTCCTTTCATGATGCCCAGCTTCCACATGGCAGTCCTTGCCCTGGTCCTACCACCTCCTTCTGGGCTCTGAGGACTCCTCTTCCTGTGCAATGCTTCCTGCCCCAGGATGGTAGTGGATTCTTGCTCTGCCCTCATGATTACTTCTTTGCTTCCTAGGATCTTCTATTAACTGTTTAATCAAATCCCCAAATTCAATTTCCTCTGTTTTTTTTTTTTAAGATCCTCCGTGGTTTCCATTTCTTACAAGGACCTTGACTGATATGATATATAGTTTGTATATTGGGTTCTAGGAACCCCCAGATTTTTTTTTCAACAATTCAGCAAATATTTATTACGCTTCAAATGTCTCCCAAACACCAAGAACAAGGCTGAGTGAGGAAGAAGAGACTAAAGGAATGGACATGAAAACAGGCAAGACACACTCCCTGCCATATAGGAACACGCAAGCTGGACATGGAAGCCAGGACATGCACAAGGGAGCTACGTGGCCAGTGGTGAAGAGCACAGACATGGGAGCCAGTGTGTGGGTTTCAGCCCTAATTCAACTTTTTTCTTTCTTTCTATTGAGGCAATCTCTCACTCTGTTACCCAGGCTGGAGTGCAGTGGTGCAGTCATGGCTGACTGCAGCCTCAACTTCCTGGGCTCAGGTGATCCTCCAACCTCAGCCTCCTCAGTAGGTGGGACTATAGGGGCATGCAAACACACCTGGATAATTTTTTTGGATTTTTTTTTTTAAGTCTGTCAGATCAGTTGGTTCTTTTTTTTATTTATTATACTTTAGATTCTGGGATACATGTGCAGAACGTGCAAGTTTGTTACATAGGTATACATATGCCATGGTGGTTTGCTGCACCCATCAACTTGCCATCTACATTAAGTATTTCTCCTAATGTTATCCCTCCCCTAGCTCCCCACCCCCTGACAGGCCCTGGTGTGTGATGTTCCCTTCCCCGTGTCCATGTGTTCTCGTTGTTCAACTCCCACCTATGAGTGAGAACATGTGGTGTTTGGTTTTCTGTTCTTGTGTTAGTTTGCTGAGAATGATGGTTTCCAGCTTCATCCACGTCCCTGCAAAGGACATGGGCTCATTTGTTTTTATGGCTGCATAGTATTTCATTGTGTATATGTGCCACATTTTCTTTATCCAGTCTATCACTGATGGACATTTGGGTTGGTTCCAAGTCTTTGCTATTGTGAATAGTGCTGCAATAAACATACGTGTGCATGTGTCTTTATAGTATAATGATTTATAATCCTTTAGGAACCCCCAGATCTTAGGCGATCAGCTTAAAAAGTCCTGCATTTTCTGGCCCTTCTCTAGCTCTCTGATGTTGTCACTTACAACTTTCCATCATGCTCTCTTCTTGTCTGGCACATTAATCTTCTTTTTGTTTTATGACAAGCCAAACGCATTCCCTGATCAGGGTATTTGCATTTTTGTCCTCTCTGCTTAGAAAGCTTTGCCCAGATCTGCATAAGGAGCATCATTTCTAAATCAACTGGTTGTCTAGTTTCACAGATGCAATGCATCTACTCTAATGTTCTGTTCCATTGGATTGGATAATAAAGAGTTTTCCAAATTAGCTTCTTTGCACATCCTGTTTCCAAAAAGCAAACATGCCAACACTTTCTTTTTGAGAATATACTACAAGTATTTCAGAGTTCTTTATAGTTTTGTGACCCTTTGATAGCACAGGACTTTAAAGTTTACACACCAAAAATAGCTGTCAAATTTCATGCAGGCATTAACAAATCTCAGCAGTTAAAAAATCTCTATTTTGTTTTTAGTTTATAATATTTTCTGGGTTTATTGTAAAATGATTTTTGTTTTGGTCAAATGCCTTAATTGGAGAACAGTGAAAACATTTGGCAGAGCTTGTTTTATAAGTAGAGAAAGCTATGATTAGAGGAGGCCAGAAAGGGCCCCCTGATACAGCATGTTTTGCCTGAAGGTCTACGATTAGATTTCCATGTGTCTGAAATAAATCATACTTTTAAAATGCAACTGCTATTTGGAAAAGTCATATCAGCCTTTCTCCTAATGTTGTAAAATAGTTCAATTAACTTTCTTTTTGTCTTCTGAATAGATTAGATTTCGAGGAACTAAGAGTTTTGGAGGGAATGTTAAATGCAAGTAGGGTTGATTTTTCTGGAACAGGTAATTTTCCAAAGAAGGCTGAACCAGGGTATGGTGTGTGTGTGTGTGTGTGCGTGTGTGTGCGTGCACATGCATGTGCATGTGTTTGTTTGCCTGCAGTTTGGGTAAGCAGGTGGCAAAATGGCAGTGGGAAGAAATCAAGGCTTTTTACTTACTGTTGTGCCCAGGTTGGTCTCTAGAGGATGGGATCCTCTCCAGACGACTAAATATTCTGGTCTATGGATGATATGTTTTATTTTACTGCCTCTTGCCCCTCTCTCCCAAACAAAAATTCTACTTTGTAAATCCATAACTTCGATAAAGAGAACAACTTCCTGGATTGATTGAAGTTAGGTTTCTCACCTTGTTTACACATTCCAATGAACATTTATGCCCATTAATATAGCAATTTCCTTTAGGGATTGACTGTAAGTGAGTCATTAATAATAAATATTCAAATCTCTTTCCTGAATTTACAGGGGTTGGGGAAGTGGTTAAGGACTAACCTAGGGAAAAAAACCCCAACTCTCTTACATTTGGTATACGTAAATAAATTTATATACGCTGTCTTCAATCTGAGAAAATCAAGATGCTATGATACCAGCAAACCCCAGACTAGATGGCTATTTCAATATCCAGCATGTTTACTTTGGACATGGAACAGCTGTTCATAAAGCAATTTACATTCAACAGGTGCACCATGGCTCTAACTAATTGATGTGAAAGATACAGTGGAAATAATCTGAAGAGAATGCCATTCTGCTACTCTCTCCTAAACCACCCAAAATTTCTAAAGAAAATGCCAGTTTACAAATTATTTTTTAGACTGTTACATGTTTAATGACTGTTTGCTTGATTGTCTGGAACTAGGACGTGATTTGCATCTAGATAACAGTCAAGACTGCATTTCAATTTTTCTTACCACCCATGTAATAGCTGAATGGAGAACGGAGAATAAGCTAGTGCCTTTTTTGTACGTATCTTCCTTCTTGGATTAATGCATTTCATATAAGAAGTTGATTTTTGATATGTTGGGGCTCATGAAACTCAGAGTAATTGAAAAGGGATAATATTTTAGTCGAATGGCTGACATATATTTTGGAATTTGCAACAACTGTTCTTGTCTTCTTTTTTAGAAATTATTGTGCAGTCAAATACTGCTGGTCAAAGCCAAAAAATCTCTTATTCCAGGTTAAATTTTCCTCTGTGCCCAGGTTCTACTAATTAGTAAATCAGGAAATGTTTATTGATTCTCTTCTATGTCCTGAAGGTATGCTAGAACTCTGGTGTTTGTTGGTCTTTCAATTGTGAAGTATTGAAATCTTATAGTGAAGGAGGTTGGTTGATTTAGAAGGTATTCAAACAGTGAGATTACATTTGTGAAGCCGTCAAAGTAGGGTTTGATTAGACCTTAGGCTTTGTGGGTTCAGGTACTTGATTTGTCAGTGATTGGGTCTTTTGGGGATTGCCTCATGCAAACAAAACTAACAAGAGATTGTGTATATCCTCAACTGAACAAGTTGTTTGTGGCCAACACTTCCCGACCTTCTTAATTTTTTTAAACTTTGACTACAGTGTCTGGAAATCCACAGGTTTTCCCAGCCTCCTTTATAGGTAGAGATAGTCATATAACCCAGTTGTAGTCAATAAGATGAAATGAAGGCCTGCTGAGGGCTTCTGGAAAAAACAACTTTCCTAATAAAAGGGAAAAATGAGGCTTAGAGCTGTAGCAGCCATCTTGTAAGTATGGGGTAACAAGCACAAGGACAACAAGCCAATATGCCAAGGATGGTGGAATAAAAGATAGGTTGAGCTTGCATCCTTGTTGATGTTTTTGAACCACTGTACTGGCCTGGACTGCATTTTTCCAGATTTCATGTTATGGTAATTAAATGTCTGTTGCTTAAACCTTACTGGTTGAGTTGTTTCTTATAGCCAAAAAGCATTCCTGACTGATTTGATGTCCAACACTGAACTCCTTCTTTCCTTATGTTTCCTAAATTAATAGTGTTCACTCAGTTTCCCAAGTCAGAATCTTGAGTATCTTTTTCAATTCCTTCCTCTCATTCACCCTGCCCCCTTAAATACAGGGACATTTCTTGCTCATCCTTTTATTTCCAATCCCAAGTACAATCCCTGGTACTCAGAAGACACTCAAACCATGTTTGTTGAACTAAATTAAATTAGAGTGACCAGATATTTAATGTCATAGATTAGCACATGGGTACCAAGAAAAGTGAAGAGGATAACATATTTTATTTAGGCCTTGGTAAGTTCTAAATAAATTCCCTGCCTCTTTGTCAGAGAATGTCTTTCTACTGACTAAAAATCTTTTCTTCCCTAGATTCTGTTTCTTTCACATAGACATTGTCAGATGAGCGTTGTTATATTTTTCTTTTTAGACCCTTGTTTTAAGTTTTTCTATGTTGAAATTCCTCTTTCATGACATTTCTGCCCCTTAAGTCAATATTATTGATTACGCTACAATCAGTATTGCTCTTCCTACTTTTATCCTGGCATTCTGCATCTTTATAATGGCTTCTGGTAATGTCTGTTCCTCTTCTCTTAAATTGGTTGATTGTATTAGTCTTATTCTCAGAATCTTAAGTAGCTTCTGTCTTTCCGTGTACATGGCCAGGATACAATGACAAGTCAAGGAGTTCACTGTTTTGTGGTGAAATAAAGGGAACACCAGATTTTAAGTGAAAAAAAACAAAAAACAAAAAAAAAACCAAAAGCAAAAACCCAGAGTTTGTGTAGCAACTCTCTTGCCTCCTATAAGTACGATTTTATCCATTTTAATTACTCCAGTCAGTTCTTTTTCTTTACACATACAATGGGAAGTAGCGTTATACCTATCCTGTCTACCTCACAAAACTGTTGTAATAATCAAGAGCCCTGCTTGATTGGACTTTTGTTATTTGTCTATTATGGGGTGCAGTGAATACTACTTGAACAATGTACATTGAGCAGGATTATTATGGAATGAAAGAAGATGAATTCCCAAAGGAAGAAATGTTGGACAAACAATAAATACATGTCCAAAAGAGTTAGCTTCTAGAATCCAGGCATGCTGTGCTATCTCTCATGCTGGAGGAAAGTTGCCAGTTTACTTTTATTTATGTGATGCAAAAGTTAGTGGAAGAACGGAGGGGATGTTAAATTATTTTCAGAGATATAAAAATCCTTGGTAAAGCTTCAAGTTCCATTTAGCTTTTCCCAGGAGGGCCAGACTTAACTTCCAACCTCAGAATCAAAGAGGGATCTAAGCCAGACCTCAGGTATAGTAAGCAGAACTGAAATGAGACCTTTGTTGTCTTAGTTAACTCAGTCCACTGTAACAAAATACTATTAAACAGCAGAAATTTATTTCTCACAGTCTAAGCTGAGAAGTACAAGATCAGGGTCCCAGCAGATTGGGTGCCTAGTGAAGGTTGGTTCAAAGATGGCTATATTCTTCTTGCATCCTGATGTGTGGGGGATAGAGAAAGAGAGATGGAGCAAGCTCTTTTCTTACAAGGGTACTAATCCCATAATAAGAGTTCTACCTTAATGACCTAATCACCTCCCAAAGGCCCCATCTTCAAATACTATCACACAGAGGATTAGGGTTGCAACATTTGAGGCTACACAAACATTAAGTATATAGCATTTGTTCAACATTCTCATGCTACAATAAACAAACTGAGATTCAAAAAAGGGAAATGAGGGGAATTCCTGAAGGAAGAAATGTTGGACAAACAATAAATACATGTCCAAAAGAGTTAGCTTCTAGAATCCAGGCATGCCGTACTATCTCTCATGCTGGAGGAAAGTTGCCAGTTTACTTTTATTTATATGATACAAAAGTTAGTGGAAGAAGGGAGGGGAGGTTAAATTATTTTCAGAGATATAAAAACCCTTGGTAAAGCTTTAAATCCCATTTAGCTTTTGCATCCAATCACAGAGCTAATCAGTGTAAGATGGGGACCTAGATCCTAGGTCCCTTAGCTGCTGTGCTGAGAGATCCAGCCATATCACAATCAGTTGTAATGTATTTCCAATTAATTCATTGTTAATAAGAGTTTAGGAAATGAGATTTTTGAATGATTTACTTTTTTGTTTTAACAACATGAGAGCAAATTCAAGGTTATCCCTACATTCATGGTAATGTCCTGTACTTATATTTCATTATTTCTGGAAGGAAAGAAAAGGTGATGAGGATTACAGTGAACCTTGGATAGGTCCACGGGAGTATTTTGTATATATGACCATCAGCTCTGTCTCAACAAGAAAAGTCTAAATACTACAATGTCAGCCCATATAATGTTCAAGAGAGCCTCTGAGAGCCTTTCCTTATGTAATATTTTTTCCTCTAAAGGAAAAAAAGTGACTTCTTTTCCCTGGACACAATGTTGGATTGAGAAAGATTGGTATGCCTCTGAGCACCACTCAAGAGACATCAGCTATTTTTTTTTCTTTTTTTCTTTTATTATTATTATTATTATACTTTAAGTTTTAGGGTACATGTGCACAACGTGCAGGTTTGTTACATATGTATACATGTGCCATGTTGGTGTGCTGCACCCATTAACTCGTCATTTAGCATTAGGTATATCTCCTAATGCTATCCCTCCCCCCTCCCCCCACCCCACAAAAGGCCCCGGTGTGTGATGTTCCCTTTCCTGTGTCCATGTGTTCTCATTGTTCAATTTCCACCTATGAGTGAGAACATGCAGTGTTTGGTTTTTTGTCCTTGCGATAGTTTGCTGAGAATGATGGTTTCCAACTTCATCCATGTCCCTACAAAGGACTTGAACTCATCCTTTTTTATGGCTGCATAGTATTCCATGGTGTATATGTGCCACATTTTCTTAATCCAGTCTATCATTGTTGGACATTTGGGTTGGTTCCAAGTCTTTGCTATTGTGAATAGTGCCGCAATAAACATACGTGTGCATGTGTCTTTATAGCAGCATGATTTATAATCCTTTGGGTATATAGCCAGTAATGGGATGGCAGGGTCAAATGGTATTTCTAGTTCTAGATCCCTGAGGAATCGCCACACTGACTTCCACAATGGTTGAACTAGTTTACAGTCCCACCAACAGTGTAAAAGTGTTCTTATTTCTCCACATCCTCTCCAGCACCTGTTGTTTCCTGACTTTTTAATGATTGCCATTCTAACTGGTGTGAGATGGTATCTCATTGTGGTTTTGATTTGCATTTCTCTGATGGCCAGTGATGATGAGCATTTTTTCATGTGTTTTTTGGCTGCATAAATGTCTTCTTTTGAGAAGTGTCAACATCAGCTACTTTTTTGTCTCCTTTTTTCCATCTGGAGTCTCAGATCTCGCTGAATACTTCTGTTACAAACTTCACTCATACCTTTATTTATTTCATAAATATTTAGAGAGCCTATATGTGTCAGACACTAAAAGGTATAGATTACCAAATAAAGGGATGTTTTACTAATGTTTTATACTGCTATATTTTAGGTTCCAAAAGTGAGTAAAAATAATTTTTATTAAAAAAATTAGAACAGTAGACTATGGTGTGCTATTTTCATGATTAGCCTTCTTTGGCAAGCTATGCTGTCAGACACATTAAAGCACTTAGTGGAATAGAATACATTTAAGTGGGTAGTCAATAAATATTGATGATGATGATGATAGCATTCGCAGTGAAAAGTATGAAGTAACCATGGCACTTTGCAATTTGTGGTAAACAATGGCAATTAGCAACTTCTGCTGTTGTTGTCTTCCAGGCAAGTGCCTGAAAACATTAATTAACTGGAGAGATTGCTGCAAAGTTTCTTGGTAACAGGCAGCCTTTAATCAGCCAAGCAGTGGAAATCGGTATGAGCTGGATGTTTAGAATAAAGCATTAATTGTATGAATTACAGTGTTTCATCGTAATTATAAGTCATCAAAGAGGAATCCCTTGGGAGAGAAATATCTGTGGAGGCTATTATGGAGAGGTCAACGTGGTACTGAGGACTGGCCAGGGTCAGTGTGGACTCTAGTGTTTGCTTTAGTCACCATTAAAAAGTATCTGTGCTGAATCATGATGGCATTGGATCTCAGTTGTCCCATGGCTTTTGTTGTTGTTGTTGTTGTCAGTCAGGTACTCCGAGGGCATGGGTAATTGATAACAGGACTTTGAGTCAAGTACAAAGGAAGAATAGCTGCTCTAATAATGTTGCCCAGGAACTTGAATCTGTTGGCAAACCTGGGGCTCGTTGTGTTCCCATCTCACATAATTATTTGTTGAAAGGATAGATGAATTCTTTCTTTCCAGATTACTAGGGTAATGGGATCCTTGGCCAACCTAATAGGCTCAGATTTTGTACATAAATCTATAAAATCTTATATAATGTGTCCTGACAAAATTTTTACTAAGCCCATTTTCTTTATTTCTAAATTAGTTTGCACAGGGAGATACTTTAAATCATATGTCAAGCAGAACAAGATCACTTGATATGAATCTGTCCTTCCAAGTCTTGGGCAAGAACCCATCCAGATTTGCATCTTTGGAGTATTTATTTCAGATTAGGACTTGAATAACAATGTGAAACATTATCAATATTGTTGTTGTTACTTGCCACATCTGCTTTTTGAGGGAGGTGCAGCCAGGGCAGGAAATGATAAACTTCATTGGGGGTAGGGCTGGATTTGGGCTGAAGTCTGTGTTGGCATAGAATCAACTCACTGGGATGAGAGATGATGTAAGTGGGCCCAGGATTCCACCAGCGGAGAAGGGAAGAATGACCAGACACAAATTATATCACAGTAATTTTTTCCCCTAGAAAAAAACATTATTTTATAGTTATGTCATGCTTTACAATAGCTTAGGTGCCCAGACCCAACTCAAATGGCTCCAACAGCTGCCTGGAGAAGGCAGCTAATCTTCACAACCTTTCAAAGGGGCAGCTTTTTACTCCTTTTCACAGATGATAATAGACAAGGCACTTTACAAAAGCTTTGCATGAATGATGATCTCATTGAATCCTCAAAACAAACCTGTTAGGTAGATTGTATTACTATCTCCATTTCACACATGAGAAAACTGAGGCTTAGAGATGTATGTAAATTGCCTAAAGATTCACAGTCACCCCAAGCAGTCCTCCCTGAGAACCCATGTTATCATGCTGACCCTTTGTTGACCAGATGAAGGAATGAGGCTCAGAGAGGTTCAGCAAATTACTTAATGTCACACAGTAAGTAGCAGAGTTAGGATCAAACTTAGGTCAACTATTTCTAAGTCTAACGTTACACCTTTTCTCATCCCTATGAACTTGAAGAATAAAATATATCAACGGAGTATCACGGTGGTGTATTTATCATTTGAAACAGCTCCCTAAGTGAGTCTGATAGACATAATTTCCATTTATATTCTCTAGAAAGTAGAAACTTAGGCAAATCTTATGTGCTAATGCTTTCTTGGGAGGTGCAATTCCAGGATAACAAGAGTAAGGAAAGAAGGGGCTTGGGGCATGGAGGGAGGCTAAGTAGATATAAGGTGACCACACCTTCATGAGGAAACAACCAGGTGCTCAGTCATGTAGTATGCCTCCAGCCAAGCCATAGAAAACCCACAGCACCTCAGAGAAAGGAAGTAAGAAGAATTTCTCTGATGGCTTTTTCCTGTTTTCTGTCTCTTAACATTTGCCCCATAGGGCACTGGCTCCCTTGCAGTTCTGGTTTTGTATCTGGACTCTGTGGGCAGCTTCTGGAGAAGCTAGAGCTTCTGTGGACCTGGATGGGTTGAGGTGGGCACCTGAGCTGCTGTTGCTCCTGCCAGAATCTGGTCTTCACCCAGGGCAAGGCTAAGTAAGACAGCTACCAAGGGTAGAAGATGAAGTGGCTGCGGGCCTGCCTAGGAGGCCGACAAGGCTAAAATGATCTGTAAGATGCATAAGCTCTGTCTCTGTCCTCTGACACCTGGCTCTCATGTGGCAGTACTGGGTCTTCAGTTTTGTAAGACCAAGATGCCCCTATTTTTTTCTCTGACATGGGAGGTACACATCACTTGGTCAAGGAATCCACATAAGTTGCAATCTCCTAAAGACACTTAAAGAGGGTTAATGAACTAAGCCACAATTCCTACTGCTGTAGCTGATCCCAATAATATAACTGATATTCTCATTTTAGATTTCTTGTCTCCCCAGGAAAGCACATTTGCTGGTCTTGGTTGCTAGCCTGGTAGGAATTCCAGTTTCATCATCACTAAGTGGTTTGAGTCCTTAGTGGCTTTGTCTGTGGTCTATAATAGTTATTAGAAAACAATATAAGTATTAAAGGATACCCTGCGATTCCTCTGGGTTTGAGACATAACCCTTTCTATTCTATGATGGAGTAGACATCCCAACTCCTCATGGTAATCAGTATTGATTACCTCAGCAAGAAGTAACTTTTCTTTGCCTGGTTGTTCATGGGCATGATTCCAAAGTGGCCAGGTGGTAATGGTTATTGCTTTCAATTCAGTGGAATCCTTATTTTGTCACTTGGTTGAAGTGTTCTTCACCTCTTCCCATCCCCCATTCCAAATAAGAACTAGGGACTCCATCTTGGCAGAGCTTAACTTTTCAGGACAAGAAAGATAAATTCTGCTAGGAAGCGTAAGGGTGAGAGGAGCTACATCCACTTTCACCCATTGATTCCTAGATTCATGTAGTTTAGCTATTGGAGACACAGTACCATACATAGGCCTTTGATTTAGGGCATATGCAGTTGACCCTTGAACAACATGGGTTTGAGCTGCTTGGGTCCCCTTATATGTGGATTTTCTTCCACCTCTGCCACCTCTGAGATAGCAAGACCAACCTCTTCTCTTCCTCCTCATCTTCAGCCTACTCAATGAGAAGATGATGAAGATGGAGACCTTTATAATGATCCACTCACACTTAATGAATAGTAAATATATTTTCTCTTCTTTATGATTTTGTTAGTAACATTTTCATCTCCCTAGCTTATTTTATTGTACCAATAGAGTATATAATACATATAACATAAAAACATGTGTTAATTGACTGCTTATGTTATTGGTAAGGTTTCTGGTCAAGAGTAGGTCATTAATAGTCAAGTTTTTGGAAAGTCAAAAGTTATTCACAAATTTTCAACTGTGTAGGGGTCAGTGCCATTAACCCCTACATTGTTCAAGGATCAACTATATTATATCCTGGAGAACAGTGCCCCAACCCTATAAAATGTTATTCCCATGCAGACTCTTCAACTGAGTCTTCAGTAAGCTCCTCCACTGTTCTGTCAGGCTGGCTGTTTCTGGTAATGGGGTAGATAGTAGGACCAGGAAATCCTATGGTCATGGGCCCACTCTTGTACCTCCTTAAGATGAGAGGTTTGAGAAGACATAATGCAGAGTGCCATGTTGAGATTAGGCATCCTATAAACTCCCAGTTGCTGGAGCTGGCAGAGGCAATGAAGGCAGGGAAGGTGATATGAAGTAGGTATAGATTCTGATAAAGATGAGCTTCTGTCCCCTTAAGGTGGAGATGTCCAGTGATGAATGGTGTCATATCAAGGGCTGTGTGTTGTTCTCTTCATTGAGGGATTGAGCACTCAGCAGTGGCAGTTGCTGGCTTAGACTTGGTGGAAGGGAATCTATGTTGTTGATCCTGTGTAGACCTGCCATCCCTGCTGCCATAGCTGCTTGGTTCAAGGGTCTCTTGAGGCTTGGCTGACTTCCATAAAATATGTGATTCCATTCATCTGATGTTTGAGTTCCTCTTCTGCAATAGATAATTTCTGGTAAGCATTCATGTGAGACACAAACATCCACATTTTGTGCCCACTCCCATAAATCCATCCATAGACCTCACCACAATTCGTAGTAACCAATCTTTCAGACTTATTGCCTTCAGTGCTCTGAAAATTCAGCCAAGGCATTTGTTGATGTCTAAGTGCCTGTTTCATCCATATCTCAGGCTAATTCTCTAATCAAGTTTACAGCTTGGAAATCTCCTCACTGGGAGAATCTCTCCTCATCAGTGTTTTCTGGGGCTTCTCTGAGTAGGGCTGTATTGTGGTGGTGGTACATTTCTAGCTAGCACCAACATAACTGTGAACTGGGCCTAAGTCTTTTCTTCTTCTGATGTTTGTTTATAGAAAACTCTTCACGAAGCCATAGGTATGGATGGAAGAAAATGCACCAGTCCAATAGCAGTAGGAGCCTGGGTATTCTATGCATTTGAGTATCTCACATCTTCTGGATCTGCCTAAACCCAGTCGCCAAGTACCACAGATATTGTGACTTACTGATTCCCCCAGCTCATCAAGCCTACCTCCGGTTGTTTTGTCACGTGGTGTTCCAGGTGGGTGCCCAGTCTCCAGCTAGTAGCATGTCAAGAGCTGTTTTTCAAACTGAGAGTAGTTCTCTGACAGAGGTCATGGTCTTGGTCCAGAGCCATAGGGATCTGCACTGCAGTGTCTAGGGATGCAACCCTGCTACCCCTCATTCCTTTTTGGATTATCCTAACTGTGTTTATAACTGGCTTGCTCTTCTGAACATAATGTCATCATTGCGTATGACATCACTATAAATTATTGGAAAGGTCCAGGGCCCTTTATTTGTGACCATTTAGAGAGTATTGGCATTTTATTTTAGAGCCATTTTGTCAAGCCCATCAAATAAATTAACATATACATTTCATTTGGAGGAAACAACATGTTTGCACCTCAATACGGACAGAAAAAGGGAATGAGGACTGAGAAAGAGAGAAAGAGGAAGACCATTTTGCAGTTTATCAAGATGTAATAACACCCCTTATAATCCTCTTAATCTGAGAAGGCTGGAGTGAGAAAATGCATTAGAGGAAAAGTATTAGCTTAGCAGACACAGATAATGTACAGGCAGATCTTTACTGTAGGCTGAAGTCAGTGGTCACGCATGTTAAGATCCTGTTTGGGCAGGGAACTGTGAGTGGTGCACTTACTTTGTTCAGCGCATTCTGCCTCATTGTGAGTGTGCACGGCATTTCTTTATGAGAGGCTGTGTGATCCCCAATGCTGCCACCCCCTTCCCATCCAGTTCTGGAGCATCTCCCTCCCAGATATACTCTCTTCACCTTGATATACCTTGCTTCCCGCAGAGCTGTCTTCTTTCCATGACCCCAACCCTAATCCCCAATGCCCACTCCTTCTTTTTGGCCCTTGGTATCAGTCATTGAACTGCATTTGGTTTTCCCCAGGATGAATCTGGAATAAGAAAAGATGAATTGAAATGCTGCTCATTGGTCCAACCTCAGGAGCAAGTATCTACACTACAATTATATCTTTTATGTCAACATACTTCCTGGGTGTTTTCATGGAGAGGCAGCATAGTATAATGGCTAAATTAATGAGTACTGAAACCAGATTGCCTGGTACCAAATCCCAGTTCTATTGCTTAGCTGTGTGACCTGGCGCAAGCTTTTAACCTCTCTGTTTCTCAGTTTTCTTATCTATAAAATGAGGAAAATATTTGACATATGTTTATATATGTTATTCTATAACATCTATATTATACTGTGGGATTTTGTGAAGATTAATAACTTAATGTCTATAAACTACTTAGAAGAGTGCCTGACATACCCTAAGTGCCTTATAGGTTTACTATTCTTTCCTCTTATTATTATGCTAAAAGTCAAGATGTTTTCTCTTTTTCCAGTTGCATTTCAAAAAAGATACTCTTTTGCTATCTCACATGGTTTGAAGCCAGGCTTCAGAAAGCAAGGGGATATAAACCATGCTCAAAATTGGAGGTGGAGGGGAGAAAACAAATCTAATTAATAGAAAAAGCCCTGGCAAGCTCATACGTAAAGTGGTAGGAGAGACTAGAACACTTTGTTAGGCTGGAATGTGAAGACATCTTAATTTTCCTAAGAGCACTAATGAAGCTGCATAGCCAAGGGTGGACATATAAATGATTTATTCTGGTAAGCTTGATCATGACTGCATTAATCATTTGAATACTTAATGATTTACACACTTGAAGAAAGGAAGGCTGGGAGGTCTCAGAACACTGTTAGATTCTTCTCCAATTTTTTATCATTATTTGTTATTTCCATTTTTAAGTGAAGGAAAAAGTTAAGTTACTCTTTTATTTTCGAAGATAATGTGTTTGGTATATTGCAATGTTTTTACATTATGAAGATGTTCATAACAAGTTAACAAACACCAAGAGATAAAATTTTCTTTCACTTTATGCACTTAAAACAAAATTAGAGTTTTATTTTGCAGTTTCATTTGAAGAGGAATTAAAATTCAAGAATAAGCTCAGCATGTTGCTATAGATGGAGAGAGGACTGAGGATCAATCAGCTGAATTTCATGAGTCCATGGTGCCAAAGATGGTTCATTACTACATGCATTCAGATGTCCTCCCATAGACACACACGTACTAAGAGCAAAAGAACTTATTTATTTACTTTTAAAAGGCCTCTGTTCAAATGAAGTTTTGAATTTCAAAAGGAAGGAAAAAGCAAAGCTGTTTCGTATTGACATTTAGTAAGTACTTAAATGTTTGTTTGATATTTCAATTCGGTTAAGCTATATTAACTAGTTATAGATCATGCATATAAATGATTGCAATTATTCTTTCTCGTATACATGTCCCTTTGCAAAGGGGCTCTGTAGCTCCTTTCTTCAGGAAGTGGAATCTATCTCCCCACTCTTCGAATATGAGCTGGGCTTGCAATTTCTTTGACTAATGAAACACAGTGGAAGTAATACTGCTCCAGTTTCAAGTCTAGACCATAGGAAGCCTTCCTTACTTCAGTCCCTTTTGGAACCCCCTAGCCACCATGAAAAGCCAGTTGGCTTCTGTTCAAATAAAGTTTTGAATTTCAAAAGTAAGGAAAAAGCAAAGCCATTTCATAGAGTATTGACTTTAGTAAGTACTTAAATGTTTGTTTGATATTTCAATCAGGTCAAGATATAACTTGATGTAGATCATGCATAATGTAAAACATGGCTTCATAATGTAAAAAGATGGCTTTTTGTGGGGGCTAGGGGGATCCAAAAGGGACTGAAGTAGGAAGGGAACCAGAGGCTCACTAAATACCACATGGCCCAGCTGCCCTGGTGACAGGTAACTATCTGCCAGACATGTGATTGGGATCATCCTGGCCGGGGCTACCCAGAGAAGCAGAGCTGCCTAAATCTGACTTGCAGCTGCAAAAGCGAGTCTAGCCAATGTCAGAAGAACGATCCAGTTGAGCCCAGGCCAAACTACCAACCTGCAGAATAAGTAAATGGAAGTTGGTATCTGGCTTGGAAGAAGAGCTAACATTTTCTGAGTGCTTACCATGTGGCTCTATTTGAAATGTTTTGCAGTTATTGACTCAGTCCTGATAATGACCGTGCAATAGGGTTGCAGGTGAAGAAATTAGCCCCTGCTCATTGATAATGAGGTAAAGACCAAGGTAGACACAGCCAAATTTCTTTGCAGACTTTCTCAGCTGAGATTTCTCTAGAGTCGGGCTGGCAAACTTGTCCTGTAAACAACAAGATAGCAAGTATTTTAGGTTTTGGAGGCCATATAATCTCTATCACAACTATTCAAACTTACCTTTGCAGTGTGAAAGTAGTCATACATAATATGTAAGCAAATGAGCCCAGGGTTCCAATAAACCAGGTGGTGGGCTGGATTGAGCCTGTAGATTTGCTCTTCTCACCCCACTGTAGAAATGAAGCACTAATGACATAAGACACCCATTGAATGTAATAAATTAACCTATCTCCTATGCATCTAGCATGGTATCTAAGTCTGTATCATACTTTAGAGAGTTGATGAAACAGTCACACAAGTCATTTTCAGCAGGCTTTAATTCTCCCGTAGAACTTCAGTTGAGAAAGGCATGGATGCCAGTTTCATCTTAAATATGGTACCTTTTGTGATGTGGGTGAGCAATGGATGATCTGTTTTTGTGTCCATTTCCAATGGGAGGAACAGATCCAGTCCCAGGAGAATAAGGAAGAGGCTTTTCTTTTTTTTATTTTTTATTTTATTTTATTTTGTTTTTTATTTATTTATTTTTTAAATTTTATTATTATTACACTTTAAGTTTTAGGGTACATGTGCACAACGTGCAGGTTTGTTACATATGTATACATGGGCCATGTTGGTGTGCTGGAAGAGGCTTTTCTAGAGACCCAACAAATTTCTCCTGGTGCCTCAGCTGGAATGTGTCACATACTCATTTCTGAGCCAAGTCATAGCAAGAGGACTGGATTGCTCTGGCTGGCTGGGACTACTTAGTTCCCACTCGTGGAATTGCAGTTGGATCAATAGTTACTTAACTGCTAATTGACACAATTTTTAATTTTTCCTCTCACTTGAATGATAATTCAAACTAATTTTCTGTTAAAACTCTGAGTGTATTGCTCCACTGTCTTCTTGCCTCCAGTAGTGTTCTTGTGAAGTCTAATGCTAATCTAATTTTTGTTATTTTGAAGTGTAATTTTTAAAGATTTTGGATGTTAACGAAATTTTTGTGTTTATTCCTATTGTCAAATTTTATTATGATTTGACTAGGAGTGGGTCTTTTTTCACATTTATCTTCCTCAGTAATCAGTGGGTTCTCTGTACATGTGAACTCATGTCATTCTTTGGCTCAGGAAAATTTTCTACCATTATTCATTTAAAAAAATTTCCATTCTTCAATTTTGTCTTTCTTACCTTTGAACTTCTATGATATGGATATTAGGCCTCCTCTTATCTTTTCTCCTTGTCTTGAACTGCTGTTATGGGTTGAATTGCTGCACCTTAATCCAGCATGACTAGTGTTCTTGTAAAAAGAAGAAATTTGGACACAGACACACACACAAGGAGAGCACCATGTGAACATGGAAACAGAGGTCAGAGTGGTGCATTTACAAGTCAAGGAATGCCAGAGGTTTCCAGCAAACCACCAGAAGCTAGGAGAAAGGCATGGAACAAGATTCTCCCTCACAGCCCTCAGATGAAGGCAATCCTGCCAACACTTTGATCTTGGGCTTTTAGCATCCAGAACTGATACAATAAATTTCTGTTGTTTAAGCCACCCAGTTACTGCAGTGCTAGGAAGCTAATAAAACAGTGTTTACATTCTTCATTTAATTTTCTGTTTCGCTGTGATCCAGAAGAATTAGCCCTCTTAGCTCATTAATTTGTTCTACAACTGTTCTCAGCCATTTATATTTTCATTTTCAATACTTATAATTGGTTCATTTTTGTACCAGCCTGTTCTTATTTAATGAATACAACAATTTTTTCCTGTATCAGCCTTTTTTCCTTTGAGATGTATTAGATAAGATTATATTTAGCTGCAAGTAACATAAATTACCACCAACTGTAGCTTAAACATGTAATGGGTTCATTTTTGTTGTGAATTAAGAAGTCTAGGAAGGAGCATCCAGGGACCCGTTTCCTTCCATCTTTTCATGCTACCATTCTGAGCACATGCACCTCATCCTCAGGTATGCAAGATGGCTGCATACCTTAGCACTGGGTATACATTTTAGGCCAGAGAAAGGAGACAAAATAAAAAAAATTGATGTCTATATTAGTATAACTGGTGCGTATGACAAAAATCTAAAATTATAGTGATGTAAAGCTTATCTAGTTCTTATATTAATGAAATCTGGAGAGCTGACATTCTACCACATGACACCAGGAACCTATGCTTCTTTTATGTTTTTGTTCTGTCATTCAAAACCTGTAGTTCTTTCAATATAATTCATCTTGGTTGCTCAAGATCCAACCATCATTTCTTTATCTGAGCAAGCAAAAAAGTGGAAGAAGAGGAGGGGATAAATGGTCCTTTTATAGTTTCATCTTGGAAGTTGTCCACCACACATCTGATTATGCCACCACACATTTGATTATTGCCCAGAACTTAGTCATGTAGTTACACTTAGCCACTTAGGGGGCTGCAAGGGTAAATGTAGTCTATATTTTTTCTCACTTGGGTGGCCATAGGTCTGGCTAAAATCAAGGGTTTCAAAATGAATACAGAAAAGAAAAATGAATATGAGGAGACAACTAGCAGGTTTTGCTATAATTAGGAAAGGAAATGCCCAAAAATACTCAGCAGACTTCTATCTCACCAGCCAGATCTATATCCTCTCATATGCTTGAGCAGCAGTGTTCTGGTCAATCAATCAGTCACTGAAGGTTCTGGTAGTAAGGAAGAAAAAGAGAATGGATATTGGGTAGGTGTCTAGCAAAGTCTGCCACACTTGTATACAAGTTCCTCAATTTGTGGAGAGATGTTCCCTTCATGATATTTATTTTTCTTTTTAATTTTTTGGGCATTTTTAATTGATATACTATAGTTGTACGTATTTTTGGGGTACATGTGATATGCTGATGCTCGTATACAACGTGAAATGACCAAATCAGGGTATTGAAATATCCATCACCTCAAACACTATCTTTTCTTTATTTTATTTTATTTTTATTATTATACTTTAAGTTCTAGGGTACATGTGCACAACGTGCAGGTTTGTTACATATGTATACATGTGCCACGTTGGTGTGCTGCACCCATTAACTTGTCATTTACATTAGGTATATCTCCTAATGCTATCCTTCTCCACTCCCCCCACCCCACGACAGGCCCTGGTGAAACACTTATCTTTTCTTTGTGTTTGGAACATTACAATCCTTCTCTTCTAGCTATTTTGAAATATAGAATACATTATTGTTAACTATAATTTTTCTGCTGTATGATTAAATACTGGAACTTATTTTTTCTATCTAATGGTATTTTCATAGCCACTAACGAACTTATTGCTGATTCTCAGTTATACAACCCCTCCTCTTTCAGTTGGCATGCTAATTTCTGAATGTCAGATTCCTTTGGTGTGTCTACGAATGTTTCATCTGCTTACCACAGACTGCCTACAGTGATTTCAGGGCAGAAGGACTGTCTGTAAGGCAACATGGCCTGGTCTTCTGGTTGTGGAGAATTCACCCTCCAATCTGGGTTCTGCCCAAGAGCCCATGCGTACTGCCCAACCTGGGGGCTAATGACTCCACTAGTCTACCACCTGCTCATCAGGGAGAAGGAGTGACCTCTTAGATGGTCATTTATTGGTGCTTGGACAAATCTTCCCAAGAGTTCATCTCTAGGGTCCCTTAGAGTCCTCTTTATTTCCTACCACAGAACTTGGGGCATCCCTGCAACAGTTACCACCTTTTGCAGAAGTTCTCTAATATACAGATTTGGGGCATTGTTTTTGATTTTAAATTCACTCTCATTTGTGTTCTATACACAGATATTTCTCTTAATTTCCAGTCCCCTGAGGGTATCTCTATTGTAGATAAAACAACAACAAAAGATTTTCTGTCATCTCTCGGATTAGGGGCAGACCTGCCTGTGTACTCAGCCCAGTCACCCTCTTGGTTCAATCCTTCATTATAATTCTCTACTGTACATCAGACAATAAGAGGTTAAACATAACGCTGATGTCATAATGGGTGTATTCGTTTCCTTTGGCTACTGTAACAAATGGCCACAAACATGGTGGCTTGAAATAGTAGAAATTTATTTTCTCACAGTTTTGATGGCCAGAGTCTGAAATCCAATCTGCAAAGTCTAGGGGAGAACCCCTCCTTTCCTCTCCCAGCTTCTGGTGGCTCCAGGAGTTCCTTGGTTGTGGCTGCATCACAACAATCTCTGTCTTCACATGGCTTTCCACTCTTTGTCTTCTCTCCTCCTTTTATAAGGCTTCTTGTCACTGGATTTAGAGTTTACTTGGATAATGCTATCTGCAAAGACCCTTTTCCAAATAATGTCACATTCACAGGGTCTGGGTATTAGGATGTGAATATATAATTTTTGGGGCTGTAATTCAACCTACTACAAGGGGCTACCCCCAGGCAAATAAGTTGAACATTTGGCAAATAAGGTTAAAAATACTCTTGTGTTATAATTGACAGCGTGAAGTATCTCCTGGAGTAGGTAAACATTAACATTATATATCACAGAATGAATACCAGCTCCCACGCATTCTTTAAAACTCTCTCCAAATTCTCTCACTTTGTTACCTTATCTGTAGAGGTAGCTTATAAAAAAGCAAAACAAAAAAATATTCACTTTCCAGAAATCTTTGACTGTCACTATTTGTAGTATCCTCATGTTCTGAGAAGACTGAAGACTAGATCATAGCAATAAAATAAGTTGTTCTTTTCCTTACGTGGACTCTAAATCCTATACCAGCATTCACCCAGTGATTATACATGATTTCCTCTTGTGAGGCTAGAGAGAAAGCCATAGAAAGAATTGAACAATAGTGAACCCACGTTGGCCCTTTGCACTACAGGTGACTCCATCACAAGTAACACTTTTCAAATTCATGCCCAGCTGCTATCATCCCTCAGTAGCTGATTCCCTCAGCAGCAGTCTCTCTGGGGCTCTGGTTTAACCTAGCTTGGGGGTCATTTCTGTCTTTTACAAGAGGCAGTCGCATCTTGCTATGAAAATTTCTTACAAAATAGTCTAGATTCTCTGCTCTCCTCAAATACTATCTATGGGATGCTTTTATTCCCCCACCTGGGGACAACTTGCAGGTAGATGGAAATAGGTGTGACTGGACTTTTCTGAGGCAGATTTGTCAGTCATCTAGTGTTCATAGGTAGTGCTGATAAGAAAATTTTCTCAAGGATGTGCAAGGTTCCTTGGGGAACAGGGAAACTGGGTTTGGGATGGTCAGAACACTGGGCAGCGTCTGACATTTCTGGCCCAACACTAGGACTAGTGCCTTCTGATTTCCACCACTCCAAAGGTGGTGAAGGTGCTGCGGAACTGAAGATGGGTTGTTTCTGATTAAAGAACCCACTTTAGCAAGAGTTTGTGGTGCTCCACTTTCTCCTCTCTGGGACACCACTGGGCAGAAGTGAGGTGCGCCGCAGGGACTATGAAGGCTGATGTTAGCTAAGGCTTAATAAGACTTAACACCCTGGAGAAACAGGGAAACTGGGTCTTCAATCCATTTCATTGCTCACGGTTCTCTGAGCCTCGAAGTAGGAGAGACAGCCAGAGAGTGAACTCCATTTATTAACAAGATGACTCAAGACTGATGGAGAATATGCAGAAAACTGAAACTGAACTGCTTCCTTACACCTTATACAAAAATTAACTCAATTAACACACCAGGGCCTGTTGGGGGTTAGGGGGTGAGGGGAGGGAACCTAGATGATGGGTTAATATGTGCAGCATATCACTGTGGTATGTGTATATCTATGTAACCAAAACCATAAAAACCCTAGAAGAAAACCTAGGCAATACCATTCAGGACATAGGCATGGGCAAAGATTTTACGGTGAAAACTTCAAAAGAAGTTGCAACCAAAACAAAAATTGACAAATGGAATCTAATTAAGCTAAAGAGCTCCTGCATAGCAAAGAAACTATCATCAGAGTGAACAGGCAAACTACAGAATGGGGGAAAATTTTTGCAATCTACCCATCTGACGAAGGTCTAATATTCAGAATCTACAAGGAACATGAACAAATTTACAAGGTAAAAACAAACAATTCCATCAAAAAGTGGGCAAAGGATATGAATTGACAGTTTTCAAATGAAGACATCTATGTGGCCAACAAATATATGAAAAAAAGCTCAACATAACTGATCATTAGAGAAAGGCAAATCAAAACCATAATGAGATACTCTCTCACACCAGTCAGAATGGTGATTATTAAAAAGTCAGGAAAAAATTGATGCTGGTGAGGTTGTGGAGAAACAGGAATGCTTTTATGCTGTTGGTAGGAATGTAAATTAGTTCAACCATTGTGGAAGACAGTGTGGTGATTCCTTAAGGATCTAGAACCAGAAATAGCATTTGACCAAGCAATCCCATTACTGGATATATACTCAAAGGAATAGAAATCATTCTACTATAAACACACATGCACATGTATGTTTATTGCAGCACTATTGACAATAGCAAAGACTTTGAACCAACCCAAATGCCCATCAATAATAGACTGAATAAAGAAAAATTTGGTACATATATACCATGGAATACTATGTAGCCATAAAAAGGAATGAGATTATGTCCTTCGCAGAGACATGGATGAAGCTAGAATCCATCATACTTAGCAAGCTAACAGAGGAACACAAAACCAAACACCACATGTTCTTACTCATAAGTGGGAGTTGAACAATGAGAACGCATGGACACAGGGAGGGTAACATCACACATCAGGGCCTGTTGGGTAGGGGGTGAGGGGAGGGAACCTAGATGACAGGTTAATAGGTGCAGTAAACCACCATGCATATACCTATGTAACAAACCTGCACTTTCTGTACATGTATCCCAGAACTTAAAGTTAAAAAAAAAGACTCATAGAGAAATTATTACATACATGGAACAAAATGTTATATGGGGACTTTCTCTCTGGGTAAGGATTTTGGCCAAACCTCAAAGCAGAGAACACTTTTATAAAGGCCACCACTGAGCAGGGTTTCCTAAATTATCAGTTAACTGGCCATGCTATCACCAACTACCACCCCCACCTACCCACATCAGCCTGTATAAGAAGACTAGAGAGAGAGAGTCACCTGAGAACTGGGTCTTTCAGAGGGTGCTATGCTTGTGATGGGATTTACCATCTTATACCAGAAGCCCAGGAGTGGGGACAGTGATAAGATCCTCATTATTAAAGATCAGGATCTACCAGTGAGTGGGGGCCTAGCTTTTTATTCCATTTGCACATTACCTGGGACAGTGGAGATGATGACCTGCCCATGTTTCTACCTGAATGGAGGAAAAGAGAATTGGAAAGAAATGGCAGGGCTGAATGGGGCATGGGCTGAACTTGCAGGGGTCAGCATGACAGGGCTGATGAGTTACCTGTGGCTCATCTGGACCTCGCTTAGGGTGCTTAAGCCATTTACTGGTACTTTACTCACCCAAGGGGTCATCAGCTGAACCTTTCAGAACTGCAGCAGCAAAGGCTGTGGGGTAGGTCACTGGTGGTGGTAGGTGAGGAGTGGGGCTGGGAAAGATTTTCAGGCAGAACTGGATGTCCCCCATCAGGGAGTCATGCCAGCCATGAGCCTTGGTTAGCATTGGGATGCTTGCTTATCCCTTCTGTGTTACAAGCTCCAGGAGCCTCAAGTCCAGCATGCTTTAGAAGGGAAAATCTTGAATTATATATAAAGTTGAAGCTTTTAATTGCACTGGACTAAGTTTTAGCAAATGAAAATATTTGTAAACAAACGGCATCTGATTAAGGCACCAGAAAGGGGGAGCCCACCTCATAGGGTTAAAAGTAGTGACTAGAACTTTCCATGGGTAGGTTAAATTGTACAGTTTACCACTTTTGTTTGTATCTGTATCAGTCTTTTTTCATGCTGCTAATAAAGACATACCCAAGACTAGGTAATTTATGAAGAAAAAGAGGCTTAAAGGACTCACAGTTCCACGAGGCTGGGGAGGCCTCACAATCATGGCAGAAGGCGAAAGGCACATCTTACATGGCGGAAGGCAAGGAGAGAATGAGAGTCAAGCACAAAGGGAGACCTCTCATAAAACCATCAGATCTCATGAGACTTATTTACTACCATGAGAACAGTATGAGGGAAACTGCCCCCATGATTCAATTATCTCCCACCAAGTCCCTCCCACAACATGTGGGAACTATGGGAGTTACAATTCAAGATGATATTTGGATGGGGACACAGCCAAACCATATCAGTGTCTAAGTCAATCGTGGGTTTGAGTCAGGGGAGTCACGGCCGAGGCTCATACTAAAGTTCTCTGGAAATCATAAGGCACTTTTTAATGAAGCAGTTTAATCATCTTCTAATGCAGTACTGAAAAATAGTTTCATTTTCTGTCTTATTTGTCTTTTGAAATAAGTAGCTCTTGCAATTATTGTTTTGTTCTATTTTAGTAATCATTATTTTCTACTTTTATTGTATGAATTTCTTTTTATTATTTTTAATATTAATTTTGTTTCTTCTTTGCTTCTTCAGCTCAATAGTTAATTTATTATAAGCCCTTTTTTAACAATGCAAAACTTTGGTGGTATAAATTTTCTTCAGATAACAGTTTTGATGGCATTCAGACATTTTAGGATGTAGTAGTGTGATTATATTTTAGCATCAAATATTGTGAAAGAGTTTATTCTCCTCTCTTGCCTGAGAGTTACCAAGGAGAATGGACTTTAATTTTTAAGTGGTTGAATTTTATTTCTTTCAATTTCAAAACTTTCAGTTTTTGGCATTATAACCAGAAAAGGTGCTTATGTGATTTGTTTTTTAGAATTTATAAAGACTTTCTTTGTAGTGTACTGTGTTGAAAAATAAGCTCTATTCTCTACATAGAGTTGAAAGTTAGTTACTAGCATTTAAACTAGGCTTACTAATGACAGAAATCAGATCCCTTTTGTGATTATTTTTGCTCAGTTGATCTGTTGAAAATTGAGAATGGTCAGTAAATTCTTCTACTGCTATTATACTTGTGTCACTGTAACCTTGCTTTATTAAACGTTTTTCCTTCATACATAGATGGTTCATGGAAATAATGTCCTTAATTTTAGTTGTATGCTTCATCAATATAAAATCACTCAGTTTGTCCTGAAATTATTGAAAATCAGGCAGCAGTATAGTAAGTTTTTGTTGTAAAATTTTAAAGTGATATAGACGTGCATGAGTGGAAGTCAACATCTTTTTATTTTACTCCTATGAATTCCCTTTCCCTGATATACTATTACTAAAGGTTTGTTGTATAATCTTCCAGACTTAAAAAAACCCATATAGCAATAATTATTTTTTTCATATTAGATTCTGTAATCTACTTTTAAAATTCAGTAACATGATGTGGATACCTGTGCCATCTTTTAATGGCTACACATTACTTAATTGTATGGATTTACCATAATTTGTTTAACAAATTCCCTTTCCAGTGAGTGTTCAAGTTAGCATTTTTTTTTATTTTTACATCTTGAATTCTGTTTTTGTCTGTGAAATTTGTGAAGTTTTGTGAAACCCTGTTCCTTATTTTTGAGTCTGATATATTTTTGCCCATTTTTTAAAAATACTGATTTTGAAAACTTAAACATATGTTTTAAGCTCTCTCCTCAAATGTCACCTTATCAGTGAGGTTTTCCCTAAGCATCCTTTAGAAAATAACACTCCCCTCTTCCACCCCACCCATTTCTGATTCTTCTTTCTTGATGTGTTTCTACATGGCATTTAGCAGCCTCTGACATTAGTTCGTAGATTTATTGTTATTGCTTGTTCCTCCCTGCCCCTCTAAACTAGAATGTAAGCTCCATGAGGGAGAGACTTTTATCTATTTTGTTCATTACTGTATCCTCAGTGACTGCTATAATGTCTAACATGCAGCAAGTACTCAATACAAATATTATTGAATAAATACATAAATCCCTTTAGTTTTAAGCCGTTTATTTATTTTTGTAAATACAAAAATTATTGAAGTTCATAAGTTTAGCTTTGGCCTCAACATTCAGCTAAAATGTGCCATTCAAACTATGGCTTTGGTTTCATATTTTGGAAGACAAAGTCACCACATGTCTACTTCAGTGTCTTTTCTAGAGTCCTTGAACTGACGGCTTCTGGTTTACTAGCTTGCTGAGAGATGCCTGGACCTCAAACAGCCAACAACATAGCAAATCTGACTGAAGAAATATTCTTAAAAGGAAAATCAGTAAAATATCATGTATTGCTATTGACTATGGAAAAAAAAACATGGTGAAGGGTATGAATGAATTGAAGACCTAGAAGATATGATGCTATGTTCACACCCTTCACTTATGTGTTCAGAAAAGAATTACAGCTGGAGCACCATCATAAGATTAGTAGTTGTAAGGTAATGGACCACTAATTATTCTTCAGTCAGTGACAAACATGACATCTAAGAGGTTTTAGAACTCTGTCAAATATCTATACAAGACGGATGTGCAAATAGGATGGACAAGTGGCTACTACGTGTTTAAAAGTCTACCTGAACACGTAACAATACCAAAAAGCGGGACTTACAATCACTTTTTTTTTTTTTTGCAGACAAAATAGCTCACTTGCTGGAACCTGCTGAAGAAGTAACCTAACTGATGTGCTTGAAAGTGCAAATATTTCTTGCATGATACATGCTATAAAAATTCATTTCTTATTCAGCTCGAGGGAAGATGCTGAAATTGCTGTGCATCCAATGAAAGCTAAGGTGCAAATGGAAATTTAGAGACTATTTTTTTATCTTGCAATTCAGTCATGATGTTCTATTGCCACGTTTCAAGATCAAAGATTTAAGGGTAAATTAAAGTAGTAAGTTCATGCATAATATTAAAAATAAAAATATAAGTGAGAGCAAAAAAATTTGATTCTCCTGAAAATGTTAAAAAAGCATCATCTTCAAGCAATGCACAGAGATTCTGTTTGTGAAGTTGCTTCAGTGAAATTGTATAATCACTGTTGACCAAAGATTTAACTCCAGAAGGTGGAAATGAGACAAGACTTTAATCCGGTTGTTTAACTAGAGTGGAAGGGCAACATCACTACCAGCAATAGCCTATTCTGATTAGAGTTGGCAAAAAAAAAAAATCTTCCTCTTTTTCTAACTTCAGTTGAAACTGAGGGTCTACTTGGCTTTTTAAATATGTAGTACACTAACCATAAGGGCAATCTGATAATCAACAGAGCTGAGAACTTACTATTTCTGTACTATGATGTCAACTTTAAGCATTTAAGAAGCAATATTTTAAGGAATCAAGTTGAAGTGATGATTCAATTTATTTTGTGGAGAAAATTTCAGATTTTTCCTAGTCTCAAAAAATTTGTTACGTGATGGTGACCTTTAGCTTTGGTTTTGACCTCCTCATGAAGATTGAATTCAAGCTTGGCCCTTTAGCAATGGGCCAATGCGACATTTCTATTAACTCTTGAGTAAATACAAACGAATGCTCATGAAATATATGTAAGGCATAAGTAATCAAAATACAAGAAACATCAATTACCTACCATCCAATTTAAGAAAAAGAACAACACACCATTATTAAGTCCCTTTCTTGCATTCCCTCCCTTGTCCCATCCTTTTATCCTAGAGATATCGTCTCTTCTGTACTTTATATTCACCAGTTCTTTTACATTCTTTATAGTCATATGACCTAGTGTGTTTGAATTGCTGGACAATATATTTTTAGTTTTCAATTTTGTATAAAGAGAATCATACTTTTGTTTTTCTGTAACTGAATTTTTTAATATTATGTTTCTCAGATTTAACTATATTGTAGCATTCAATCTTATTGCACTATAGTATTTTATTGTATAAACATTCCACAGTTTACTGATTCACTCTACTCATTATAAATGTGTTGTTTCAATTTTTTAAACTGTACTATTACACATAGCATATGAACATTCTTATGTCATGCATCCTTAATGTATAAATGAAAGAGTTTTTCTAGTGTGTATATGGGGGTAGTATGGGGAAGCAGTGTGGGCAGTGATAGAGAGTGAGGTTGGAAGTCAAGTTTTATTTTTTCCTCACAGGAATATCCAATTATCACAACTATCTTCTCCTTATTCTTATGAGTATCATATCTAAAATATACCAAGTGCTCATTTATCAATCAACCTGCATCTAGTCTTTCTACTCTGTCCCATTGGCTTATTTGTTTCTTGGGGCATCAATACAATAGTGAGTCTTTTAATCCATGAGCATAGTATATCGCTCCATTTACTTAGGTCTCTTCTAATGTCTTTTAATGAAATTTTATAAGTTTCCCTATCAGAGATACTGCATATTTTGTCTCCCTGTCCCTGTGAAGATATTCGAAGCATGGCTCAGTCTATTGGCTGCCTCTTCAAGATAGGCCCACATGCCTGTGGTAAGTTGCCAGAATCACATTTTTAGATTTCTATTTTTTTGTAGATCTTGGCCCAGTAACTCCACACTCTCTTTTTAGCTTTGTGATACTTCAAAGAAAATGATTTTTATAGTTTGCCCAGATATTTTCATTTCCTTCAGCAAGAGAGTTGGCACAAATTACCCAGTCTGCCACCACTGGGATGAAGTCCCCAGATCTTCTTTGTATTTTTTATTTTCAAGATTTTTTCAGTTTATCTCTTCTTCTTTTTCTTCTTTTTGAAAATCTCTTTTGCATCATGCTTCACTTACTTTTTGCTTTTTTTTTTCCTGTTTGCTTCAAATTTCTCTCAGTTTCTCTGGTGGTCTTTTCTTTTCCCCTCTCTTGGTATTTTATTACAAATTGAGGCATATTTTATGACCAAGATAAACAGAAATGAGCTTGGTTGACGCTAAGGACATTAGCACATTCCTAAAAATAAAACAACAATCTCATGGGGATTCAGCCCAGATAAGAACATTTATTTATTTGAGACATATGCATGACTCACATGAAAACTCATAAAGAAAAAATGAAGAGACAGTGTGGTAGCGTGGAGAGAACTTGGGCTTCGGATTAAGATAGACTTGGACTTTAGTCTCTCTCCATCACTTGACAGCTATGGAGACATGGGCGAATCTAAGAACCGTGATTTGTTAATTTAAGTTTACTTTTTTCCCAACTTTTGGCAGGTTAAGAGACATATATTTTATCAGTTTAAGCTGCACATTTGCTGTAATGTTCCTTAGATTATACAGTGGACAGAAAAGTTTATTTCTTTGAAGAAGGAAATACCACTGTAGATACTTTATTTGAAGTATAGGCTATCACATAGTGAAGAACGTTTTTCTTTTCTTGTTTCCAAAATACCAAATTTTATTAAAATAAATGTTATATGCACTTCAAATGTTAACTATTAAAATATACTAGCAGTATAAACGTACTATTTATTTATGAAGGAGAGGATTTTTCTAAACCAGACCAAGATAAAAAGTAACATATTGTCACCTACTTGAATTCTAACAAATGTACTTTTCTAAGGAATATATTTTAAGATTAAATTTTAGCAGATTGGGTATTTAGTTTTTCTCCTCCCTCTTTCTCTCTTTTTCCTTAAAATAGCATTTAGTTTTCAAAATTGAGGACTCCTACCTGTTGCTTCTTTCACTTGTACAACCTGTATATGTAGTACCATGTAAAAATAGTTCTGTCAGAAAGACAGATGCCATTATATTCTTGTATAATACTTTATATTTTTTCTAATGATCTAATTGCTTCTTTCTTTAACTTCCCTAAGATCACTAGGGAATCTGTACAATCTGGAGTAAGGAAAATGTAAGGACTTACAGTATAATTTTGTTATTTTTGGAAGCTTAGTTCAAAATTCTAATTTAGCACCCAATGTCATCTTTGGATACTGTGTGCCAGTCCAGAAAACTAGCACCTTTTGCTCAGAGCCAAACTGACAGAGACATGCTCAAATAAATTCACATTCCCATTTTAACTAATAATTCAGCAGGAACCTGAGTTTGCAAACTGGTAGAAATAAGAAAGAGGGAGTGGGTGTGGGTAAAAGAATGGGTTAGAGACCTGGCGCAGGTGGCTCACGCCTGTGATCCCAGCACTTTGGGAGGCCGACGTGGGCAGATCTCGAGGTCAGGAGATTGAGACCATCCTGGCTAACACGGTGAAACCCCGTCTCTACTAAAAATACAAAAAATTAGCCGGGCTTGGTGGCACACACCCGTAGTTCCAGCTACTTGGGAGGCTGAGGCAGGAGAATCTCTTGAACCTAGGAGGCAGAGGTTGCAGTGAGCTGAGATCACGCCACTGCACTCCAGCCTGGGTGACAGACAGAGACTCCATCTCAAAAAAAAAAAAAAAAAAAGAATTGGGTAGAAAGAATATTTTATATCTTATTAAAATGGGAGTGCTGATGCTTCAGACTGACTGAATAAAAGCTTGCCCTTGAAGTTGACCTTGGAAATGTGAAACTCTCCAGGAAAAAAAAACAAAAACAAAAACATAAACTTTGAAATCCCACTGTGGTGAAATTAACAGATAAGGTTGTAGTCCTTCCTGGTGTTTACAAAGAACAGAGATCTTTATGATTAATGACAACTCTCTTTTAGCAGGTCACTTCTCAAGTCCTCTGCTTCCTGGAAAGTAATATTTATCTTAGAGAAGTTTCATTTCATAATACCCTGTCTTTTGTTGTCGATCTGTTAAATGCAGGCGCTTCCATTACAAGGATCCACCAAGGGAAAGGACAAAGATGATCATGCAGCCAACAATAATGTTCATTTATTTATTTTCTCCAGATTCCAAAAGCACTAAATAAATGAGGCAAATTAGAGGATGAATGTTAACGTTTTTGACATAAATTGAACTTAGTGGTAGATGATAGTTTTCTTTGGAGACCTTTCAAGATCAAATCCACCCATATTTATCACATCTGGTTGCATTGCTTACTATCAAATAGCATGATATAATTTTATGGACATTGTAAACTCACTTTAGGTATGGCCTAATACAGCCCACTTCTTTGAAGGCAGCATGAAGTTCCAGGGAAAGAGGTATTTCAAATCATAATAATCAGGACATACAGATAGAATGTAATTCCTGCCTTATAATTAGTGAATCTAACCTCTGAAGTACTCACCTTCCCAGAAGTAATTGCTCTGTTTGGGTTTCGCTAACAACAGGGAATTTTAGGCCTGTGGGGGTGATGTCTTTGATTCTTTCAGTGACTGCAGAGCACTACTGGAATATAGCAGGCAAGACCAGTGATGCTGAGTGTACTGCAAAACATGAGGCTTTCTCACAAATGAGGAATTGTTCTTCCTAAAGTGTAATAACATTCCTTTTGAGAAAACTGCAGAAAAAAGATGACAAGAACCATAGAAACTCTATGTATACTCATTGTCTCAGACACCAGTTCTGTGTTGTAAACCTTCCTAAAATTTGGTGTATTAAAACAATGCTTTATTATTTCTCATGATTCTGTGGGTTAACCAGGGTCAGCTGGGCTGTTCTTTTGCTCCATGATGTGATGCAGCTGAGAACACTTGTGCAGCTACATTTAGCTGAGAGCTCAACTAGGATTGGCATATTCAAGATGTCTTCTCACATTTATGCAGCCAACAGACATATGAAAAAATGCTCATCATCACTGGTCATCAGAGAAATGCAAATCAAAACCACAGTGAGATACCATCTCACGCCAGTTAGAATGGCGATCATTAAAAAGTCAGGAAACAATAGATGCTGGAGAGGATATGGAGAAATAGGAATGCTTTTACACTGTTGGTGGGAGTGTAAATTAGTTTAACCATTGTGGAAGACAGTGTGGTGATTCCTCAAGGATCTAGAACCAGAAATACCATTTGACCCAGCCATCTCATTGCTGGGTATATACCCAAAGGATTATAAATCATGCTGCTATAAAGACACATGCACACTCATGTTTATTGTGACACTATTCGTAATAGCAAAGACTTGGAACCAATGCAAATGTCCATCAATGATAGACAGGATAAAGAAAATGTGGCACATATACACTATGGAATACTATGCAGCCATAGAAAAGGATGAGTTCATGTCCTTTGCAGGGACATGGATGAAGCTGGAAACCATCATTCTCAGCAAAATATCACAAGGACAGAAAACCAAACACTGCATGTTCTCACTCATAAGTGGGAGTTGAACAATAAGACATGGACACAGGGAGGGGAACATCACATGCCAGAGCCTGTTGGGGGGTGGAGGGCTGGGGGAGGGATAGGGTTAGGAGAAATACCTAATGTAAATGATGAGTTGATGGGTGCAGCAAACCACCATGGCACATGTATACCTATATAAGAAACCTGCACATTGTGCACATGTGCCCTAGAACTTAAAGCATATATATATAAAAGAGATGTCTTCTCATTTTCCAGAGTCTCTCTGTATGTGCCTTCTCCTTATTCTATATTCTAGCTTTAGCTTCTTCATGGAGTGGTGATGGGCTTCTAAGAAGGAGTTTTCCAAAAATGCAAAACTGGAAGCTGCATGGGCTCTTATAGGCTAACCTTAGAAGGCACTTGTCACTTCTACCTCATTCTTTTGGACAAAGCAACTCACAGAGCCAACTCAGAATCAGATTCAAAAGGAGGGTAAGTAGATGAGAGGATCCACCAAGCCTCATTGCAACAGGCATATGAATAGAAGGGTTTGTTGCAGCACATTTAGAAATGATTCTTACACACATGACAACATTTAATTCTTTGTGAGTTAGAAATTAACCATAAGTTTCATTTCATAGAAGAACAAACTGTGGCTTTGAGATGATAAGTGACATGCCCAAGACAACACCATTCACTGGTAAGTGGTGGGGCTAAAAGTTGGGTTGCCTGATCCCAAGTCCTTTTGCCTTCCTTTATTTTTTATTTTCTTAGAAGTTATTTCAGGGTTAGGCAAAATAAATGAGGCTTGTAAATTTGGTGAGTCCTCCGTTTTCAGTGGCTGTTGAATATCTTCCGGACTTTCTTCCCAAGATATCATGCAAATTGCCCATGGTCCTTGTACTGTGGTGTCCCATTTATGTCCCACTTCCTTGGGCTGTACTCCAGGCTTTGTAGTCTCCCCAATCCCTATTCCTGTTCAAATTATGACGCTCTCTTCTCTGTCTTGCTGTTAGCTAATACTGGACCAGAGAGCAGCTAATATTCTGACTCAAATTGTCACCTAAGTATAGTAATTGTTTAATGTTTCTGTCTACCCAGTATCTGTTTTCCCTTTGGTAACAGTATACCAATTTTCCCTGGGGGATCCATTTCTTTCTTTGTTTTGTTTCATGTGGTTCAAATGACACTGAATGTAATCCCTGCTCCAGGAGTGAACAGTTGACTGAGGGCTGGCTAATTAGAGGCTTGCATTTCTCTTGTCATAGTCATTGGTTTGCAGATGAGCACATGACCCCAGCTAGGACAATGAAAAGTCACTAAAAGTAAATTCTGTTCAGGTTCTTTGTAGAGGGATACAGAGAAAGAGCATTTTCCTTCCTACTGATGAGATGAGAGGTAAGCCTGGAGCTTCTTGGAGCCATCTCATCTCCACGGGCAATAGCCTGTAGGAGAATGAAGCCATCAGAGGAAGGCAGAGGGGTTAGTGGGGATGAGGGCAGTGCTGGTCCAGTAGCATCATCTGAGACCCTGGGAAGGGCCAAAGCCAAATCTATGCCTGGATTTTTGAGGATGGTAGCAAATTAATTCCTTTTTCTGCTTCAACTAGGAATTCCATTGTGATTCAAATGACAAGAGATCCCAGGGTAGTATAAGGATAAAACTTTAGATAAATACAAAGTATGGTATAAGATAGGGAATTGTATTAACAAGAAACAAAATAGCAGTAAGAGCTATTAGACTGTAATCCTTAGGCAGCTGAAATTATAAGTGTACATTTTGTTTCTGAAGGCACATTTCTAGTTCATTGTCTTGTACACAATAATTACTAAAACATCAGTCTTAAATCCCAACCCACGGAACACAGAGTCTTTCCTGAGGAGACGGCAAATAGGTTTTTTTCTCATGTGCCAACTCTGATAATTTCTAGTGCCTACCTGGGGCATAGACTGAAGAAGACTCCTGAAGGCTGTCACAGGCTATGGGAAGAGTGAAGGAGTAGGAGTGTCTGCTATGGGTGAGAGTGGTGCATCAAAGTTGCGTCTAGTTTCCAGTATATGGTGGTGACCTCTGGTTGTGAAAGAAAAGACAGAAGAGCTGCTTTTTAGTGTTTCGAATTTTTCCTTTCTTACTAGCCTGGTACCTTGGTTAGATAATTTGTTAGATAATTTTAGTTGATTCATTTGCTTAGCTACCTAAAGCCTTTGGTCTCAATATATGTTTAGGAGTCAATGTTCAGTTAGGTCATTTGGCATCTATGATAAGAGGTAAAACTTACCCAACAGAAAAATATTTTCTACTATATTATTTAGTTGGTTTGTGTTAGGTAGAAGCTGAGTTCCACATAACCCATGGAGGCCTGGTGTACTCTTGCCAATTCCTTATCCCATACCCTGTGAACTTTAGGAAAGGCAGCGTCACAGCCTGTGTTATTAACTCTCATGACCTCCTGAAGTGGAGAATGTTCTAGTGGCATTTTTCAGAACCTCATTTTGGTAGGCAGAATGAAGTTCCCTCCCAAAGGTATCCACATCTGATTCCTGGAAACTGTGAGTATGTTATGTTGCATGGCAAAGGGGAATTAAGGTTGCAGATGGAATTCCGATTGCCAAATAGTTGACTTTAACTTAGAGAGACTGTCCTAGATAGTCTGAATGGGTCCACTGTAATCACAAGGGTCCGTAAAAGTGGAAGAAAAGGAGAGAGGAGGGCAGAATAATGTGAGGTGAGAAGGACTCGACCCACCATTGCTGGCTTTGAAGATAGAGGAAGGGGGCCATGAGTCAAGAAGCTGGAAAACGCAAGGGATGGATTCTCCTCTAGAGCCTGAGAAATGAATGCAGTCCTGCCAACACTTTGATTTTAGCCCAATGAGACCTAACCTGCAGAATTTTGAGCAGACTTCTAACCTACAGAATTGTAAGATAATACATTTCTGTTGTTTTAAGCCACTAAGTTTGTGGTGATTTGTTATGGTGGCAATAGGAAATTAATACAAATTTCTCTGCAGTGAGATAAAGCTCTATTAAATGCAAGTTGAGTCATAGAATTATAGAGCTGAGTGGGATCTCAGAGGTCTTCAGGCCAATCTTAATTCCCCATACATGAATCTCTTTTACCATATACTTGATAAATGGCTTTCCAAGCTGCATAATCATGTCAACAATGACAGCTGCCAATGTCCAGAGGTGATTCATTCTAATGAACTGTCAGAATTCTGTCCTATAGGAGGCAGAAATGGACCTCCCTGTAGCATTCCTTCTTTAGTTCCAGTTTTGTTTTTTAGAGTTGCACAGAACATTTTCAAGTTTCTTGTTTACAAAAGATAGCTGTTTAGCTGTTTGAAGATTTAACCATGACCTCCTGAGCATGAATATCCTCATGCTCTTCTTGTGGATTCCACAGCACACGTGCCCTAGTGACTAAAACTACACCAAACCTGGCAGATGTGGTATAACCAGCAGACAGCCTGCAGATGCTTACTGGTCTCCTCTGTTCTGAATATCCCCCCTGTGTGTTGTATTCACTTTGTCAAGAGCATATCTGCTACAGTGCCCAATGCTGTATAAACAGCTTTCTTTCCCTCCATGATGTAGACTTCCCTTTCTCTTCTCCAAACCTCTGAGGGTTCTGCTTTGCACCTGATAGATGCCTGATATAAATATTTACTTTTGAAACATGCTATCATTTTCATATCCTTCATCTTTCTTATCTGTTTCCTTGTATGATCTGTTCCTGGGGGTGAAGGAGGAGAGGAGATAAAACTAATTCTGCGATGTAGAGGACAGAGCATATTTTGTGGTAAAGACCTGGATTCAAATTCTGCCTTTAATGTTTACTGGCTCTAGACTGCAGGCAAGTTTCTTAGTATAGCATGGACCTCCGTTTTCTCATCTTGGAAATGGTGAAGAATAATTCTTATTTATAGGATTGTGGTGAGAATTAAATGAGGTTGCCTATGTAATATGCAAAACAAAGTCCTTGCCAAGATTTAGTATCTTTTTTCTCCTGCTTCTCCCAACACATCTGACTTTGTTCCTCCTTTATCTTATACAACTAGAGAAAATAAAATCTTGAGCTGCGGGTTCAAACTCAGAGTGCTCAGGATGGCCACTGTGTTCTGGAGGAATAGCAGATTTGTATGAAGTTGCAGAGCTTGGACTGAACCTTAAAGGCTGTGTGGAAGAGAGTTGAATAGCAGGGATGACTAGCAAAGTTTTGTGCCCTGACTTTGAAAGTTATGTTCATTTTTTTTTTCTGTATTCCTTTTTTTTAAAATTGTACTTTAAATTCTGGGATACATATGCAGAACGTGCAGGTTTGTTACATAGGTATACATATGCCATGGTGGTTTGCTGCACCCATCAACATGTCATCTATATTAGGTATTTTGCCTAATGCTATCCCTCCCCTTACCCCCCACCTCCCAACAGGCCCCAGTGTGTGATGTTCCTAACCCTGTGTCCATATGTTCTCATTGTTCAACTCCCACTTATGAGTGAGAACATGCAGTGTTTGGTTTTCTGTTCCTGTGTTAGTTTGCTGAGAATGATGGTTTCAAGCTTCATCCATCTCCCTACAAAGGACATGAACTCAGTCTTTTTTATGGCTGCATAGTATTCCATGGTGTATATGTGCCACATTTTCTTAATCTGGTCTATCATTGATGGGCATTTGGGTTGGTTCAAAGTCTTTGCTATTGTGAATAGTGCCACAATAAACATATGTGTGCATGTGTCTTTATAGTAGAATGATTTATAATCCCTTGGGTACATACCCAGTAATGGGATTGCTGGGTCAAATGGTATTTCTAGTTCTAGATCCTTGAGGAATCACCACACTGTCTTCCACAATGGTCGAACTAGTTTACACTAGTACCAACTGTGTAAAAGCATTCCTGTTTATCCACATCCTCTTCAGCAGTTTCTTGACTTTTGAATGACTGCCATTCTAACTGGCATGAGATGGTATCTCATTGTGGTTTTGATTTACATTTCTCTGATGACCAGTGATGATGAGCTGTTTTTCATGTTTTGGCCACATAAATGTCTTCCTTTGAGAAGTATTTGTTCTATCCTTCACCCACTTATTGATGGAGTTTTTTTGTTCTAGTAAATTTGTTTAAGTTCCTTGTAGTTTCTGGATATTAGCCCTTTGTCAGATGGATAGATTGCAAACTTTTCTCCCATTCTGTAGGTTGCCTGTTCACTCTGCTGACAGTTTCTTTTGCTGTGCAGAAGCTCTTTAGTTTAATTGGATCCCATTTGTCAATTTTGGCTTTTTTTTTTCCATTGCTTTTTGTGTTTTAGTCATGAAGTCTTTGCCCATGCCTATGTCCTAAATGGTACTGCCTAGGTTTTCTTCTAGGGTTTTTATGGTTTTAGGTCTTACATTTAAGTCTTTAAACTATCTTGAGTTAATTTTTGTATAAGGTGCAAGGAAGGGGTCCAGTTTCAGTTTTCTGTATATGGCTAGCCAGTTTTCCCAACACCATTTATCCCACCATTTATCCCCATTAATGGGGAATCCTTTCCCCATTTCTTGTTTTTGTCAGATTTGTCAAAGTTCAGATGGTTGTAGATGTGTGGTGTTATTTCTGAAGCCTCTGTTCTGTTCCATTGGTCTATATATCTATTTTGGTACCAGTACCATGCTGTTTTGGTTACTGTAGCCTTGTAGTATAGTTTGAAGTCAGGTAGTGTGATGCCTCCAGCTTTGTTCTTTTTGCTTAGGATTGTCTTGGCTATACAAGCTCTTTTTTCTGGTTCTATATGAAATTTAAAGTAGTTTTTTCTAATTCTGTGAAGAAAGTCAATGGTAACTTGAAGGGGATACAATTGAATCTATAAATTAATTTGGGCAATATGGCCATTTTCATGATGTTGATTCTTCTTATCCATGAGCATGGACTGTTTTTACATTTGTTCATGTCCTCTGTTATTTCCTTGAGCAGTGGTTTGTAGTTCTCCTTGAAGAGGTCCTTCACATCCCTTGTAAGTTTTATTCCTAGGTATTTTATTCTATTTGTAGCAATTGTGAATGGGAGTTCACTCATGATTTGGCTCTCTGTTTGTCTATTATTGGTTTATAGGAATGCCTGTGATTTTTGCACATTGATTTTGTATCCTGAGACTTTGCTGAAGTTGCTTATCAGCTTAAGAAGATTTTGGGCTGAGACAATGGGGTTTTCTAGATACACAATCGTGTCATCTGCAAACAGTGAAAATTTGACTTCCTTTCTTCCTATGTCAATCCCCTTTATTTCTTTCTCTTGTCTGATTGCCCTGGCCAGAACTTCCAATACTACGTTGAATAGGAGTGGTGAGAGAGGACATCTTTGTCTTTTGCAGGTTTTCAGCGGGAATACTTCCAACTTTTGCCAATTCAGTGTGATATTGGCTGTGGGTTTGTCATAAATAGCTTATTATTTTGAAATATGTTCCATCAATACCTAGTTTATTGAGAGTTTTTTTTAGCATGACTGGGCATTGAATTTTATTGAAGGCCTTTTCTGCTTCTCTGGGGATAATCAGGTGGTTTTTGTCATTGGTTCTGTTTATGTGATGGATTACGTTTATTGATTTGCGTATGTTGAATCAGCCTTGCATCCCAGGGATGAAGCCAACTTGATCATGGATAAGCTTTTTGATGGGCTGCTGCATTTGGTTTGCCAGTATTTTATTGAGGATTTTTGCATCGATATTCATCAGGAATATTGGCCTGAAATTCTCTTTTTTTTGTTGTGTCTCCACCAGGTTTTGGTATCAGGATGATGCTGGCCTCATAAAATGAGTTAGGGAGGAGTCCTTCTTTTTCTATTGTTTGAAAGAGTTTCAGAAGGAATGGTACCAGCTTCTCTTTGTACCTCTGGTGGAATTTGGCTGTGAATCCGTCTGGTCCTGGGCTTTTTTTGGCTGGTAGGCTATTTATTACTGCCTGAATTTTAGAACTTGTTCCTTGCCTATTCAGGTAACCTTCTTCCTGGTTTAGTCTTGGGAGGGTGTATGTGTCCAGGAATTTATCCATTTCTTCTAGATTTTCTAGTTTATTTGCATAGAGGTGTTTATAGTACTCTCTGATGGTAGTTCGTATTTCTGTGAGATCAGTGGTGATATCCTCTTTATCACTTTTTATTTTGTCTATTTGATTCTTCTCTCTTTTATTCTTTATTAGTCTGGCTAGTGGTCTATCTATTTTGTTAATATTTTCAAAAAACCAGCTCCTGGATTCATTGATTTTTTGAAGGCCTTTTCGTGTCTCTATCTCCTTCAGTTCTGCTCTGATGTTAGTTATTTCTTGTCTTCTGCTAGCTTTCAAAATTATTTGCTCTTGCTTCTCTAGTTCTTTTAATTGTGACGTTAGGGTATCAATTTTAGATCTTTCCCGCTTTCTCATGTGGGCACTTAGTGCTATAAATTTCCCTCTAAGCATTGCTTTAGCTGTGTCCCAGAGATTCTTGTATGTTATGTCTTTGTTCTCATTGGTTTCAAAGAACTTATTTATTTCTGCCTTCATTTCATTGTTTACCCAGTAGTCATTCAGGAGCAAGTTGTGCAGTTTCCATATAGTTGTGTGGTTTTGAGTGAGTTTCTTAATCCTGAGTTCTAATTTGATTGCACTGTGGTCTGAGACATTATTTGTTATAATTTCTGTTCTTTTGCATTTGCTGAGGAGTGTTTTACTTCCAATTATGTGGTCAATTTTAGAATAAGTGAAATGTGCTGCTGAGAAGATTGTATATTCTGTTAATTTGTGGTGAAGAGTTCTGTAGATATCTGTTAGGTTTATTTGGTCCAGAGCTGAGTTCAAGTCCTGAATATCCTTGTTAATTTTCTGTCTCATTCATCTGTTTAATATTGACAGTGGGATGTTAAAGTCTCCTACTATTATTGTGTGGGAGTCTGTCTCTTTGTAGGTCTCTAAGAACTTGCTTTATGAATCTGGGTGCTCCTGTATTGGGTGCATATTTATTTATGATAGTTAGCTCTTCTTGTTGCATTGATCCCTTTACCATTATGTAATGCAATTCTTTGTCCCTTTTGCTGTTTGTGGTTTAAAGTCTGTTTTATCAGAGACTAAGATTGCAGCCCCTGCTTTTTTTTTTTTTTGCTTTCCATTTCCTTAGTAGATCTCCCACCATCCCTTTATTTTGAGACTTTGTGTGTCTTTGCATGTGAGGTGGGTCTCCTGAATAGAGCACACTGATGGGTCTTGACTCTTTTTTTTTTTTTGAAACGGATTCTCACTCTGTCACCCAGGCTGGAGTGCAGTGGCGCCATCTCGGCTCACTGCAAGCTCCACCTCCCAGGTTCACACTGTTCTCCTGCCTCCGGAGCAGCTGGGACTACAGGCGCCTGCCACCACGGCCGGCTAATTTTTTTTTTGTTTTGTATTTTTGTAGAGATGGGGTTTCACTCTGTTAGCCAGGATGGTCTCGATCTCCTAACCTCGTGATCCGCCTGCCTTGGCCTCCCAAAGTGTTGGGATTACAGGTGTGAGCCACTGCACCTGGCCGTGTCTTGACTCTTTATTCAATTTGCCAGTCTGTGTCTCTTAATTGGGACATTTATTCAATTTATATTTAAGGTTAATATTGTTATGTGTGAATTTGATCCTGTCATTTTAATACTTGCTGGTTATTTTGCACTTTAGTTGATGCAGTTTCTTCATAGTGTTGACGGTCTTCCCAATTTGGTATGTTTTTGCAGTGGGTGGTTCTGGTTTTTCCTTTCCATATTTAGTGCTTCCTTTAGGAGTTCTTGTAAGGCAGGCCTGGTGGTGACAAAATCCCTCAGCATTTGCTTGTCTGTAAAGGATTTTGTTTCTCATTTGCTTAATAACCTTAGTTTGGCTGGGTATGAAATTCTGGGTTGGTCCAGAGCTGAGAGTTGAACATTGGACCCACTCTCTTCTGCCTTGTAGGGTTTCTGCAGAGAGTTCCGTTGTTAGTCTGATGGTGTGTCTTGGGCTTGCTCTTCTTGAGGAGTATCTTTGTGGTGTTCTCCGTATTTCCCGAATTTGAATTTTGGCCTGCCTTGCTAGGTTGGGGAATTTCTCCTGGAAAATATCCTGAAGAGTGTTTTCCAGCTTGGTACCATTCTCCTGTCACTTTCAGGTACATCAATCAAACGTAGGTTTGGTTTTTTCACATAGTCCCAATTTTCTTGGAGGCTTTGTTCATTCCTTTTCATTCTTTTTCTCTAATCTTGTCTTCATGCTTTATTTCGTTAAATTGATCTTCAATCTCTGATATTCTTTCTTCTGCTTGATTGATTTGGCTATTGATATTTGTATATGCTTCACGGAGTTCTCATGCTGTGTTTTTCAGCTCCATCAGGTCATTTATGTTCTTCTCTAAACTGGTTATTCTAGTTAGCAGTTCCTGTAACCTTTTATCAAGGTTCTTAGCTTCCTTGCATTGGGTTAGAACATGCTCCTTTAGTTCAGAGGAGTTTGTTGTTACCCAGCTTCTGAAATCTACTTTTATCAATTCATCAAACTCATTCTCTGTCCAGTTTTGTTTCCTTCCTGGCGAGGAGTTGTGATCCTTTGGAGGAGAAGAGGCATTCTGGTTTTTGGAATTTTCAGACTTTTTGCTCTGGTTTTTCCTCATCTTTGTGGATTTATCTACCTTTGGTCTTTGATGCTGGTGACTTTTGGATGGAGTTTTTGCAGGTGTGCCCTTTTTGTTGCTGTTGATGCTATTGCTTTCTGCTTGTCAGTTTTCCTTCTAACAGTCAGTCCCCTATTCTGCAGGTCTGCTGGAGTTTGCTGGAGGTCCACTCCTGACCCTGTTTGCCTGAATATCACCAGCAGAGGCTGCAGAACAAGAAAGATTGCTGCCTGTTTCTTCCTTTGGAAGCTTCATCCCAGAGAGGCATCTGCCAGATGCCAGTCGGAGCTCTCCTGTATGAGGTGTATATCCACCCCTGCTGGGAGATGTCTCCCAGTCAGGAGGCAGAGGGGTCAGGGACCAACTTGAGGAGGCAGTCTGTCCCTTAGCAGAGTTTGAGTGCTGTGCTGGGAGATCCACTGCTCTCTTCAGAGCAGGCAGGCAGGAACGTTTAAGTCTGCTGAAGCTGTACCCACATCTGCCCCTTCCACTGGTGCTCCATCCCAGGGAGATGGGAGTTTTATCTATAAGCCCCTGACTGGGGCTGCTGGCTTTGTGTCAGAGATGCCTTGCCCAGAGAGGAAGAATCTAGAGAGGCAGTCTGGCTACTGTGGGTTTGCTGCACTGTGGTGTGTTCTGCACCCAGTTCAAACTTCCTAGTGGCTTTGTTTACACTGTGAGGGGAAACCCCCCTACTCAAGCCTCCGTATTAGCAGATGCCCCTTCCCCCACCAAGCTGGAGCATCCCAGATGCACTTCAGACTGCTGTTCTGGTAGCAAGAATTTCAAGCCAGTGGCTCTTAGCTTGCTGGGCTCCATGGGGCTGGGATCTGCTTAGCAAGACCACTTGGCTCCCTGGCTTCAGCCCCCTTTTCCAGGGGAGTGAATGGTTGTGTCTCACTGGCTTTCCAGATGCCACTAGGGTATGAAAAAAACTCTTGCAGCTAGCTTGCTGTCTGCCCAAACAGCCACCCAGTTTTGAGCTTGAAACACAGGGCCCTGGTTGTGTAGGCGCCCGAGGGAATCTTCTGGTCTGTGGGTTGCAAAGATTGTGGAAAAAGTGTAGTATCTGGGCTGGACAGCACTGTCTCTCAAGGCACTGTCCCTCATGGCTTCCCCTGGCTATGGGAGGGAGTTCCCTGACCCCTGCACTTCCCGGGTGAGCCAACACCCCACCCTGCTTCTGCTCACCCTCCATGGGCTGCACCCAGTGTCTAACCAGTCCCAATGAGATAAACTGGGTACCTCATTTGGAAATGCAGAAATCACCCACCTCCTGCATTGGTCTCACTGGGAACCGCAGACCGGAGCTCTTCCTTTTAGGCCATCTTGCCAGCTTCTCCTGTCTGATGTTTATTTTTAAGCCTTCTGCAGACAAAGCTACTAGTATTCCCTGTAGGAAGGAACATTTTGTTTACAACTCATTAGTTTTGAAATCTAGTTTAAAGGAGATGGGACATGGCTTGACTGCTGTGATAAGACAAACATGGAAAAAAAAAGGGCTAATGTTTAAAATACCTGGGGCCTGAGCAGGGACTTCTTCCAGTATTTGCAAACTGGTAGAGTTCATTTAAAAACTTTCCTTAGGGAAATTTAAAAAATTAACACAGGCCAGGTGCAGTGGCTCACGCCTGTAATCCTAGCCCTTTGGGAGGCCAAGGCAGGCGGATCATGAGGTCAGGAGATCGAGACCATCCTGGCCAACACGGTAAAACCCCGTCTCTACTAAAATACAAAAAAAAGTTAGCTGGGCATGGTGGCACATGCCTGTAGTCCCAGCTACTCAGGAGGCTGAGGCAGTGGAATCGCTTGAACCTGGGAGGCGGAGGTTGCAGTGAGCTGAAATCGTGCCACTGCACTCCAGCCTGGTGACACAGTGAGACTCAGTCTCAAAAAAAAAAAAAAAAAAAAAAAATTAACACAGCAGGCCAAGGTTGGGTAATGATGGTACCACATCATTACCCAACTGATTACTACTGATGGTACCACATCACCATGATGATGGAAAGCTAGACTAGGGAACATTCAGAATGGCCAGCAAAAGTGGATTCTGGGAGAGTTCTATACTCTATAGGTCTATCAAGATTTAGTTTCTGTTTAAGTTCTCCCAGAATTCATGCTTTTTATATGGCTTGGCAAGCAATTATTTTATTTTTTTCATGTGAAATCATAATCTGGGACATTATTTTGGAAGGCATGCCAGTAGCTATTCTTTGGTCTACTCGGCCTCCGCTAGTTTTATTTTTAACCCTCTCTTGATTATTTCTAAACCCCTTAATCATGAAATCTCATTTTCTTTTATTAGGAGGGATTTATTCACAAGGTAGACTCAGACCTACATGCCATTCTTTAATATGTATTGCTGAATGCTGAGATGGTCCCGCAAGCATTAGCAAATGCTTCTGAAACAAGATACACAAAATATGTAGAAAATGAAGAAACTCAAGCCTGAGTACATGATTTGATAAATCAGTTCAGTTTTATAAATGCTGCAGAAATTCTTTTGAAAATAATAGTGACAGCAACAACAACAGGACTGATAACAATGACCTCTGACTGGGTTCCTAGTGATATGTTAAGTGCTGAAGATAAAATAATGAACAAGCTAGCCTAGGTCACTGTTGTTATGAAATTATGTCCCAGTATGGGGGACTATCCCCTTCATGACCACTAATAAGTAGATAAATAAATGAAGTAATTAAAGATTGTATAACCATGATAAGTGCAAAAAAGAGAAGAGGTTGAGATTTAATGGGCTGTGATGGGTGACAAATGCTTTTAATAGAGTGGCTATGAAGAGCTTCACTGAAGATTATCACTTAAGCTAAAACTTGTAGAAAAGAAGGAGTTTATATTTTAAAATGTAGGTAGACATAAATGTGAGGCAGAGAAAATAGCATGTCCAAGGGCCCTGAGGCAGTGAAGAGCTAGGTATATTCAACAAACTGAGAGAAGGCTGAGGAGGCTGGAGCACATTGAGTGTGGAGGAAAAAAATTAGGCTGGAGAGATTTCAGCAGGTCAATTATATTTGTACTGGTTTTACCCTTAAAAACAAGTACCACTTTATTTCCTCCTACCCATCTGTCACTTCCAAATTGTCCTAACTCTTGCCAAGTCAGGGGAATCAAAGAATCAGTCCACCGCAAATACTGTCAGTCTGCCTGACTTTAGTCTCTGCCAAGCAGAGTTGAGGCTGTGAAACTTTTATCTATAAACTCAGTTTCATCTCAAAAACGTACACTAATCTTGACTTCTGGTAGAGGGGTTTTAAGGAGAAATTGTCTGGGACTTTAGGACTCTGTCTCATATTATATTCATTGATGGTCTCACTCTGGTTTTGTGTCTGTTCTGATAAATAGCTTTTGCCTTCTCTTGAAGATCTGGTCTCAAATAATTTGTAAACTCATTCATTCATTCATTTATTCAGTTTGATTGAGGGACCTACTCTAGGCAGGGCATCATCTAAGGCCCTTTAGATACACACACGAATAAGATGGCTCTCTCCTCTGGGTCCTCACAGGGTAGCAGGGGAGGCAGACACTGTGGGACAATGCAGGGAGAGGGAGATCAGGGAACAAGGATAAGCAAACTTAGCCAAACTCAGGTAGCAATACGAGAATAGTAGGGTAGGGAGTAGGGAAGAGCACCTTACAGGCGGAAAAGACAGCAGGCACTGAGGAGGCAAGAAGTAGCGTGGCCTGAATGAAGAACTGTAGGTAGCAACTGGATCCTGGCCACATCTCTGTCACTCCAGGATTTGGACTGAGATTGTCATCCCAGGCATCAGCGATGCACCTGAACTCAGGACCTCTTCCCTGTGCCCGTGTCCCTCATACAGACTTGCTGGCCTTCCGAGCCTGCTGTGGGATCCCCTACTGTAATATTCTGGTCATTTATGAGGGCACTTGTGGCCTTATGCCAATTCGGGCAGCTCTATGATCCCTTGTGGTCTCTTGTGATACTGTTCTGCACTTCCTCTGGCATTTATGGGGAGACTTTCTGACTCCTAGAATGTTCTGTCCTCTTCTTGCTATTTATTAGGTCATCTGGGGGTTGAGTCAGAGGAGCCCTGGCCCTGATTGCACCCCAGAGGAACATTTTCCTTGGCTCTTTGTGGTGGAAAGAACGCAGCTTGCTGGAGGAGGGTTTCCATTGCCCTCCTCTCTTCTCTGCTCTTGTACAAGGCTTGCATCCTTTGAGAGTGACAAAGTCAAAAAGAGTGAGAGGTGAGGAGGACACAGGCAGTTTGACAGCGAAGAGAGCATCTCTGCTTAAGAAAAAAAAACTGGGTTTGAAAGGCCAGGACTAAAACTAACAGTACTGCTTATTCCTGTGTGTCCTACCCACAAAACAAACCAAGAAGATGACCCCTAGGGCACAGTCAGCTGGGTGTAGGGCAGAAATGTGGAGATAGAGAAATTCCAAGGACAACTCTGCAGCAACTGACTTGTACTTTTTTCTTCCCAGAAAGGCCCAGCAGGCAGGAGGTCCTGGAAATAAAGCTCCAGAATAATCACTCTGAAGACAATGCAGCAGGAAGAAGGGACCAGGACCTCCTGAGCAAAGCAGACTTTCAGACAGATTTAAGTGACAATTGATGTTTTTTCCTTTCTCATCAATTCATTTATTCACTGACCCATCCACTCATCAGTCCATTGAACAACAACAACAACAAAACAGATTAGCTTTTGTGCCAGGCACTACATTAGGTTTTGCAAATATTTCTTTTAACAAAAGAGCAAGTTTCCTGAGCTCACCGAAGTGATACACTGAATGCTTGTATGCCTATATGCTTAGAGGAGCAGATATTATAAACAATGGCAGTATAAAATGAGGTAAATAGCACAAACAAGCTTTACCATGTTCATTGGGTACGCACAGCTTGGGCAAATGCCATACCCTGGGATCAGGGAAAGCTTCCTGAGGCAAATAATTTTTAAGCTGAGACCAGATAGCAAAGTGTACACAGGATGGGGAAGAGTGGGCAGGGAAAGTGTTCCAAAAATTAGCAGCAATGTATGCAAAGGCCTGAGAGCAAAGGGATATGACTTTTCAAGGAGAAATCATCCAAGGCAGAATAGTTGATAATAAGGAAAATGATGGCCAGGTTCTGTTGATTATTTCTGAGGATGGAATAAGTATGGGAACACTGCGAGTGAATCTTAGCTTGGTGTAGGAAATGCTGTGGTGCCCACATCAATGCCCAAGACCACCAGTGATTTTAGCCTCAGCTCTGGTAGGCAACTCTATGTGAGCTCATACTCACTGTAGGCTGCTGGAATCCCACCTCAAGCTCTCAACTTGTGTTTTCTTTCATTCTGCCCCAGATCCTTCTTCAGCTGCAGGAGGAGCTTACTGAAGCAATGCAAGAGAGTTAGTGCCCCGGGGCCAAACTTTAGCCAATAGGGATTGGAACTGGTGGATAGATGCTCCACTGTCTTTCAGGTGGCCTATTTTGGGAGGCATTCTGTACCCTTCTCAGGAATTGCAGTGGAATTGAGCCCCTGTGTACACCACAGTGTGCTTGATGATGACCCTTGGCATTGGTGCGCCCTCCTTTATGACTCTCCCAGTCCCTCATTCCTGCTTCCTGGGATCAGCTCCCAATAAGCCACCTGTACTCAAGTCCAACTCTCAGGCTGTGCCTTGGGAAAGCCCAAACTTAGACAGTTGGCCACCTAAGATCAATTACAACTTTCTGTAACTGTTAATTAGATCTTCCTTTTATCAAGTGCTGCATCTTAACTGTGTTCCTCAAGTACTTGTGATACCACCTGCTCTAAAGAATGCTCCGCTGTTCACTCCATTTTTGCAGGTGGGTGAAGCTAAGGCTCAGCCCACCTCAAACTAAGACCAGGATGAAAGCTCAGGACTTCTGATTTCAAATTGAATACGTTCTGGACTGCTTTATTTTTGGGCATGCATATTTCTTCTCAAGGGAATGACTAATACTGTGTGCCCATTCCCTGAGTTTTTTTTGTTTTTTGGAGATGGGGGTCTTGCTATGTTGCCCAGGCTGAACTCAAACTCCTGGGCTCAAGCTATTCTCCTACCTCAACCTCCCAAGTGGCTGGGGCTGCAGGTGCATGCTGCAACATCGGGCCCCATTCCCTGAGCTTTAGTCTACATATTTTGTTAGAATTAATTCCTGCAAAACAATAGTCCAGTCAAATGTGAAGCATTTGAAAATACTATTTCATCCTCATTCATGATTTTTTGGAGTTATCTATGCACACACATACAAGCACACCTCAGTATATTTTAGGGACCTCTGAATAAGAGAATTCAGAAGTCATCTTGTTTCAGAAATGCTGACTTTCATAACCAAGTCCATGTCTGAGACACAAAGTCTTTGACTGCAATTGCTGAATAAGACTCAACAATAGGGTAAGACGTGTATCCCACCCTGCCAAAGTTCAGAGAGATGTTCTGGGTTTCAAAAGAGTCTTTTGGTTTATATTTTTTAGGGGAAATGCAGTAGTTTCTATGATGTTGAAAATATGCTAAACTAATTCCTGGGCTGATTGCAATTTGACTGGGTGTGAGTGGTTCAGCTCCTTGCAAATTCTCATCATTAGCATAGCAATGAGATTCTCAGGGTCTACTTTCTCTTTTCTCAATTCTGCCTTAAATTCCCAACTTATACTGAAATAAAAGAAAATCCACTGGCCTTACTGGAATATCAGAGAGAAGAATGAAATAGAAATTTTGGCTCTCAGGGCCATTTCAGTTTGTCATTTTGTGAAATTAGAGACAGATGGGTGATGTCTGCATGTTGTGGGAAATTCTGTCCTACATTCCAGCCAATGCTGGGAGCTCTGGAAGAGGACAGAGAGGAGAAAGAGAAAGCAATTTGGATGAGGCAGAATACATGCTAATTCTGTGACAAAGATAGCATCAAATCTGCAAACATTAATTCTAGGCAAGTCTTATTCTTAGCCAGCTTGCTTTCCCTTTTCTAGCTTCCACAGTATTAAGCGAATTTAAACTGGGTGCTAATGGAAGATAATTCAGAAGTCATCTGGTTTGTCTTCTACTGTAGGACATCAGTTTTATAAGTGATAGGGGAGGAGAAGGGGCCAATGGTGGCCCAGTAATTAAACTGTATTTACAGCAAATTATAACTAATTTTGAGTTGATCAAAGTTACTCCAAATACTGAAGTAACAGAGAGTGCTGGTGGTATTGTGTGGGAAGAGGCTATTGTGTGGAAAGAGTTGGGATTTGGAGAAGAATGGGGCTCCATGACCTAATGTGTCTCTCTACAAATCATTCTACCACTTTTCTGGGGTACCCTGGGACTTCTGTGATCATATGTTCTGGGGCTGAGGTTAAAGAGGTCAGGTGAATCTCCATGTCAGAGTGGAAAAAAAACACAGACAGTGGGGAGTTGTAGGATGGCTGGCAAGGTACTAAGGAAGAACAAAACTTGGATTCAGATGTAAACATATAAAAACGACCTAGTTACTAAACACTGAGGATTTATGAGCCCAAAACTGCTGGGGTAGAGGCTGGAATGACCCTGGCATGGTCTCTGCCAGGTACAGAGACCCTGGCATGGTCTCTGCCACTTAGATTTCTGATCAGAAAGCAAGAAAGCAAGCTACAAACAAATCTAGGCTGAGGAATCTGTACAAGTGTTGGCTGAAAGAACATAAAGAGAAGCTTTAGAAGGAAAAGACAAGGTCATCTTAAGGTCGAATTACAGAGGCAATGAGTTAATTTCCATGGAAGGGAAGTAGAAAGTAGCTGTGGGGTCCAACTTCTTTTCTTCTTTCAGCCTCAATTCTTTATGTGTGAAATAGGAATAAAAATTCCCATGTCTCATAATGGGAATGAAAATCAAATGAGATGGGTCAAAGTGTTTTGTAAACTGTAAGGAAAGATGGTTCTGAACTTACCAGGAGATTTCACTGGATCTCTTGCTAAGTAGACCAGAGGAGAAAGGTCTTTGATCACTAATTGATCAAAATTATTAGGCAGGGATGGGAGGCACACACCCTATTGATTCGAGGAAGGTCTCTTCCCCGAGTAGATCCCAAAAGGTGCTAATTGACTACTCTGTAGTTACAATAATAGGATGCCTTCTAATATGTATAATTTTTCTTATTCATATTAGTTTTACTTTATTAATATCATCTTATAAAGTTCTAAAAGCATCACTTTTAAATTATATGGATTTCTTTGAGAATTGAATAGAAACTGTTGGCCCTTTTCTCAGGAAAACACCTAGATAGGTTATTCCCTACTTCACTGTCACACCCAAAATTTTGATGCTCTGATCGGGCAAGCTAGGCAAGCAGCCTCCTTTGCAGAATGCCATCCTGTCTCATTTCTGCCAGGCTGCCATGAGTGTGATATACAACTAGCAGGCTAAGGGGTGAACAATCTATGGCAGACAGGGTGTGGTTGGATCCAGCACATCACCCTTACAGGAGGAGAGTAAAATGGAAGACAAGTGAATTCTCAGTAATGGTTGTGAAACCCCTGCTTCCTTCCTGGGCTACTCGTGAAAGGCCTGACTACCAGATGGGAACCACTATAATACATCATACAACCTGGAATAATTTGGTAGGTTTTTAAGAAGCATACGTATATGTGGAAGGAGGTCTTCTTAATGGGCTGAATGAAAATAATAGCAGCATGTCATTCTTTCACGATGAACTATTTCCCCACTCCTTTTATATGAAGGATGCTCATTAGAAAGTAGCAAAGATAAAGGGTAGGTTTTGGTCTATAATTGAAGTGCACAAGGGGTCCTAATGATACCAGAGGAGGCATAGAACATAAAGTTGCTACTGTGTCATGCCCACCCTTCCCAACTTCTTCTACTCCTCCCGGCTGAATAATGGCTTTGTGAACATAAGTTATTAGGAATCAAAAAACTTTCAAACACATCATCACTCTCTACTTTAAAAAATTAGTGTGTTCCCATGTAATTGTTAGCAATTCTTACATAGATCCAAGAGACACTGATTTGCTTCCACTAAAAATATCTCCTTTATAGGTTTGTTAGTTCACCTCAAATATTTCTACCATTGGGATCCTATCTTTAAAATAAAATATTGAAAACCTATGCTAAAATTTTATGTACTTTATATAAATGTAACTTACCATTAGTTGTTAATACCTTGTTAAGAATTGTTTAGTCATATTGGCTTGGAAGGTAATAAAAACAGAGAATTTTGATGAGGCCAACTCATGAAGAAAGGTTCTGAACTTAGGAGATTTCATTGGATCTCCTCCTAAGCAGATCAGAGGAGAAAGGTCTTTGATCACTGGTTGATCAATATGCTGACAATGGTGGGTTAAGTGGAAGGTGGAGGATGGGAGAGTGAAGTGTGTAGATATTAAGACAAATACAATATGGTTTCTTACTTTAATGAGCTCACCATCCAGTAGGAGAGCTAGACATTAAAAAAATATTAAAAATTTTGTTTAAAGTAGATAATTTCAATGTAATATGATACATGCAGAAAGAAACACATAGGCACCACCTGCTATGGAAACTAAGGAGATTCCCAAACCAGTCTGGAGTTGGATAAAGTCGTAGAAGTTTTGTTGGAGAGATGAGCCTGACCCGAGTTTTTGTCTGTTTCTTTTTCAAAGCCAGGTTTATTGAAGTAGAATTTACATATAGTAAGATTTATCCCTTTTAGGGGTACAATTTTATAAATTTTGACAAATATATATAAGTTATATAACCACCATCAAAATATAGAATATTTCCATTATCCTAAAATGTTTTCCTGAGCCTTTCTGTAGTCAATTACTTTCCTTCACACTCAGCCCCTGGGAACCCCTGATCTGATTTCTACTCCTATAATATTTTTTCTTTAAAAAATTTTATTTTCTTTCTTTCTTTCTTTTTTTTTTTTTGAGGCAGAGTCATGCTCTTTTGCCCAGGCTGGAGTGCAGTGGAATGATCTTGGCTCACAGCAACTTCCACCCTCCGGGTTCGAGTGATTCTCCTGCCTCCTTCTCCCAAGTAGCTGGGATAACAGGCATGGGCCACCACGCCTGGCTCATTTTTGTATTTTTAGTAAAGATGGGGTTTCACCATGATGGCCAGGCTGGTCTCAAACTCCTGACAAGAGATCCACCAGCCTCAGCCTCCCAAAGTGCTGGGATTAGAGGCGTGAGCCACTGCGCCTGGCCAAATTTTTAATTTTTTGGTTTTCTTGTTTATTTTTTATTTCCTTTTATCTTTTTCCCACACATTCTGATATCCCTATAATTTTGCCTTTCCAAGAATGTCCTATAAAAGGAATCAGAGAGCATTTAGCCTTCGCATCAAGCCACTTTTATTCAGCATAATGCTTTTGAGATTGATCCATGTTGTTACATGTATCAGTAATTTGCTCCTTTTTGTTGCTGAATAGTACTTCATTAAATGCATGTACCACAGTTAGTTTTCTCATTTGTCAGTTGGAGGCCATTTGGGTTGTTTCAGGTTCTGAGGAATTGTAAATAAAGCTGCTATAAACATTTGTGTCCTGGTCTTTGTGTGGCATATGCTGTCATTTCTCTTGGATGAATACCTAAGAGTGAGATTGGTGAGTCATATATTAAATATACGCTTATAAGAAACTCCTTGTTTCCACCAGCCATGTATGAGAATCCCCAAGGGGAGCTTATCTTTATTGAGGTGCAGAAAGAAGATTTATGGAAGACTTTTTTGGCCTGTCATCACGTAAGCTGAGACCCAAAAGAGAGAAGTTACTGTAGCAAAACAGGGAAGAGGAGTTAGTAAGGCAAACGGGCTGAAGAAGAGCATTCCAGGCAAAAGGATTCGCATGGGCAAAAGTTAGCAAAGATGCTTTTAAAAATAAGGATGCCAAGTGTCCGTTTTATGTGACAATATGCAAATTCCTGGTGATATTTGCAGGAGCAGTTTCAGTGGAGTGTGGTGGGTGGAAGGAAATTTAATGATGTTGAAGAGTGAATTGGATGTGAGAATGTGAAGGGAAGTATCTAGACCATTCTCAAAAATGTTGGCTGGTGAGTGAAATGGAGAGAGGGTAGGAGTTGGAGGTAGCCCACAGGGACCAGGAGAGTTAAGAGTTGCAGAGGGCTGGGAAGGATGATGGTTTAGACAGGAAGGGGTTACATATGCAGGCAAGGGAGACAGCAAAAACAGGCTTGGGGCAGAAAAGAGAAGAGAAAATAATGTAAAGGCAGCACTTGACCTGGTTGTCTGACATCTTATTCTTTGCACTGTAGGCAAGGGAGAGAGGTAGAGACACAGCAGAAAGCTGAGGCCATTCCTCTCTGATTTGTCTCCTATTTATTATGAAAACTAAAGAAGACAAAATAGAAGGAAAAGTAGATTCCAAATGGAGAATTTGGAAGTCCTGTCTAGGCTCCCCCTTAAAAAGGCAGGTTCGTAGAACTATATAATAGGTTTATATCTAAAAAAATTAGTACATGTTTTTGGTAAATATAATTTAAATACAATAAAGTATATAAAAATCCCTCACAATCCTACAATTTGTTATTAACATTTTGTTGGATTTTCTTCCAATCTTTTATTTCTTCATATGCTTTTCATGTAACAGAGATGTTACTGTTTATGGGACTACATGCAAATATATTGTTCAGCATATTACTTTAATTAATTAGTGTATCACTTATTACTTTATACATACCGGAATAGAGCTCCATGAGCCCAGGAGCCATGCTGTCTTGTTTACTATTCTACCTGTGTCCTCAGCTCTAACCCTATGACTTGCACATGTTAAATGTTTCACCTAGGGAACAGGGAAAGTTTGGATGGTTTGAGGTGGGATAGGAACTAGACTGTATTTAGTGATCACTTGGAGAAAGGAGTATGGGGAAAAAGAGGTCCATCCCTGGCTCCTGACTCAGAGCAACTGAGTAGATCTGGGGTCATCTACTGAGATGGGAAAGAAGGATGGTTTGGAGAGATGATTAGGAGATCAGTTTTGGACATTTAAAGTTTGACCTGTCAAAAGGAAATGCAAATAGAATGCTAAGGAGGCCATTGGACATAAAGTTTTTTTTTGTCTTTTTTTTATTATTATACTTTAAGTTCTAGGGTACATGTGAACAACGTACAGGTTTGTTATCTATGTATACATGTGCCATGTTGGTGTGCTGCACCCGTTAACTCGTCATTTACATTAGGTATACCTCCTAATGCTATCCCTCCCCTCTCCCCCACCCCACGACAGGCCCCGGTGTGTGATGTTCCCCACCCTCTGTCCAAGTGTTCTCATTGTTCAATTCTCACCTATGAGTGAGAACATGTGGTGTTTGGTTTTCTGTCCTTGTGATAGTTTGCTGAGAATGATGGTTTCCAGCTTCATCCATGTCCCTACAAAGGACATGAACTCATCTTTTTATGGCTACATAGTATTCCATGGTGTATATGTGCCACATTTTCTTAATCCAGTCTATCATTGTTGGACATTTGGGTTGGTTCCAAGTCTTTGCTATTGTGAATAGTGCCACAATAAACATATGTGTGCATGTGTCTTTATAGCAGCATGATTTATATTCCTTTGGGTATATGCCCAGTAATGGGATGGCTGGATCAAACGGTATTTCTAGTTCTAGATCCTTGAGGAATTGCCACGCTGTTTTCCACAATGGTTGGACTAGTTTACAGTCCCACCAACAGTGTAAAAATGTTCCTATTTCTCCACATCCTCTCCAGCACCTGTTGTTTCCTGACTTTTTAATGATTGCCATTCTAACTGGTGTGAGATGGTATCTCATTGTGGTTTTGATTTGCATTTCTCTGATGGCCAGTGATGATGAGCATTTTTTCATGTGTCTGTTGGCTCCATAAATGTCTTCTTTTGAGAAGTGTCTGTTCATATACTTCACTCACCTTTTGATGGGGTTGTTTGTTTTTTTCTTGTAAATTTGTTTGAGTTCATTGTAGATTCTGGATATTAGCCCTTTGTCAGATGGGTAGATTGTGGAAATTTTCTCCCATTCTGTAGGTTGCCTGTTGACTCTGATGGTAGTTTCTTTTGCTGTGCAGAAGCTCTTTAGTTTCATTGGATCCCATTTGTCAATTTTGGCTTCTGTTGCCATTGCTTTTGGTGTTTTAATCATGAAGTCCTTTCCCCATGCCTGTGTCCTGAATGGTATTGCCTAGGTTTTCTTCCAGGGTTTTTATGGTTTTAGGTCTAACATTTAAGTCTTTAATCCATCTTGAGTTAATTTTTGTATAAGGTATATGGAACGGATCCAGTTTCAGCTTTCTACATATGACTAGCCAGTTTTGCCAACACCATTTATTACATAGGGAATCCTTTCCCATTTCTTGTTTTTGTCAGATTTGTCAAAGATCAGATGGTTGTAGATGTGTGGTGTTATTTCTGAAGGCTCTATTCTGCTCCATTGGTCTACATCTCTGTTTTGGTACCAGTACCATGCTGTTTTGGTTACTGTAGCCTTGTAGTATAGTTTGAAGTCAGGTAGTAAGATTCCTCCAGCTTTGTTCTTTTGGCTTAGGATTGTCTTGGCAATGCAGGCTCTTTTTTGGTTCCATATGAACTTTAAAGTAGTTTTTCCCAATTCTGTGAAGAAAGTCATTGGTAGCTTGATGGGGATGGCATTGAATCTATAAATTACCTTGGGCAGTATGGCCATTTTCACAATATTGATTCTTCCTATCCATGAGCATGGAATGTCCTTCCATTTGTTTGTGTCCTCTTTTATTTAGTGAGCAGTAGTTCATAGTTCTCCTTGAAGAGGTCCTTCACGTCCCTTGTAAGTTGTATTCCTAGGTATTTTATTCTCTTTGAAGCAATTGTGAATGGGAGTTCACTCATGGTTTGGCTCTCTGTTTGTCTGTTATTGGTTTATGGGAATGCTTGTGATTTTTTTTTTTTTTTTTTTTTTTTAGTATTTATTGGTCATTCTTGGGTGTTTCTTAGAGAGGGGGATTTGGCAGGGTCATAGGACAATAGTGGAGGGAAGGTCAGCAGATAAACATGTGAACAAAGGTCTCTGGTTTTCCTAGGTAGAGGGCCCTGCCACGTTCCGCAGTGTTTGTGTCCCTGGGTACTTGAGATTAGGGAGAGGTGATGACTCTTAACGAGTATGCTGCCTTCAAGCATCTGTTTAACAAAGCACATCTTGCACCGCACTTAATCCATTTAACCCTAGTGGACACAGCACATGTTTCAGAGAGCACGGGGTTGGGGGTAAGGTTATAGATTACAGCATCCCAAGGCAGAAGAATTTTTCTTAGTGCAGAACAAAATGGGGTCTCCTATGTCTACTTCTTTCTACACAGACATGGTAACAATCTGATCTCTCTTTCTTTTCCCCACATTTCTCCCTTTTCTATTCGACAAAACCGCCATCATCATCATGGCCTGTTCTCAATGAGCTATTGGGTACACCTCCCAGATGGGGTGGCGGCTGGGCAGAGGGGCTCCTCACTTCCCAGACGGGGCAGCCAGGCAGAGGTGCCCCCACACCTCCCAGACAGGGCGGTGGCCGGGCGGGGGCTGCCCCCCACCTCCTGGATGGGGCAGCTGGCTGGGGGGGGCTGCCCCCACCTCCCAGACGGGGCGGCTGGCCAGGCAGGGGCTGCCCCCGCTTGTGATTTTGCACATTGATTTTGTATCCTAAGAGTTTGCTGAAGTTGCTTATCAGCTTAAGGAGATTTTGGGCTGAGATGATAGGTTTTTCTAAATATACAATCATGCCATCTGCAAACAGGGACAATTTGACTTCCTCTTTTCCTAATTGAATCCCCTTTATTTCTTTCTCTTGACTGATTGCACTGGTCAGAACTTCCAATGCTGTGTTGAATAGGAGTGGTGAGAGCGGGCATCCCTGTCTTGTGACAGTTTTCAAAAGGAATGCTTCCAGTTTTTGCCCATTCAGTATGATATTGGTTGTGGATTTGTCATAAATAGCTCTTATTATTTTGAGATACATCCCATCAATACCTAGTTTATTGAGAGTTTTTATCATGAAGGGCTACTGAATTTTGTCAAAGGCTTTTTCTGCATCTACTGAGATAATCATGTGGTTTTTGTCTTTGGTTTTGTTTATATGATGTATTACATTTATTGATTTGCATATGTTGAACCAGCCTTGCATCCCAGGGATGAAGCCAAGTTGATCGTGGTGGATAAGGTTTTTGATGTGCTGCTGGATTCGGTTTGCCAGTATTTTATTGAGGATTTTCACATCGATGTTCATCAGGGATATTGGTGTAAAATTCTCTTTTTTTGTTGTGTCTCTGCCAGGCTTTGTTATTAGGATGATTTTGGCCTCATAAAATGAATTAGGGAGGATTGCCTGTTTTTCTATTGGTGGAAAAGTTTCAGAAGGAATGGTACCAACTCCTTTTTGTACCTCTGGTAGAATTCAGCTGCGAATCTGTCTGGTCCTGGACTTTTTTTGGTTGGTAGACTATTAATTATTGCCTCAATTTCAGAACCTGTTTTTGTTCTATTCAGGGATTCAACTTCTTTTGGTTTAGTCTTGGTAGGGTGTATGTGTCCAGAAATTTATCCATTTCTTCTAGATTTTCTAGTTTGTTTGCATAGAGGTGTTTATAGTATTCTGTGATGGTAGTTTGTATTTCTGTGGGATCGGTGGTGATATCCCCTTTAACATTTTTTATTGTGTCTATTTGATTCTTCTCTCTTTTCTTCTTTATTAATCTTGCTAGTGGTCTATCAATTTTGTTGATCTTTTCAAAAAAACAACTCCTGGATTCATTGATTTTTTGAAGGGTTTTTTGTGTCTCTATCTCCTTCAGTTCTGCTCTGATCTTAGTTATTTCTTGCCTTCTGCTAGCTTTTTAATGTGTTTGCTCTTGCTTCTCTAGTGCTTTTAATTGTGATGTTAGGGTGTCAATTTTAGATCTTTCCTGCTTTCTCTTGCGGGTATTTAGTGCTATAAATTTCCCTCTACACACTGCGTTAATTGTGTCCCAGAGATTCTTGTATGTTGTGTCTTTGTTGTCATTGGTTTCAAAGAACATCTTTATTTCTGCCTTCATTTCGTTATGTACCCAGTAGTCATTCAAGAGCAGGTTCTTCAGTTTCCATGTAGTTGTGTGGTTTTGAGTGAGTTTCTTAATCCTGAATTCCAGTTTGATAGCACTGTGGTCTGAGAGACAGTTTGTTATAATTTCTGTTCTTTTCATTTGCCGGGGAGTGCCTTCCTTCCAACTATGTGGTCAATTTTGGAATAAGTGTGATGTGGTGCTGAGAAGAATGTATATTCTGTTGATTTGGGGTGGAGAGTTCTGTAGATGTCTATTAGGTCCACTTGGTGCAGAGCTGAGTTCAATGCCTGAATATCCTTGTTAAGTTTCTCTCTTTTATCTGTCTAATGTTGACAGTGGGGTGTTAAAGTCTCTCATTATTATTGTGTGGGAATCTAAGTCTCTTTGTAGGTTTCTAAGGACTTGCTTTATGAATCTGGGTGCTCCTGTATTGGGTGGATATATATTTAGGATGGTTAGTTCTTCTTGTTGAATTGATCCCTTACCATTATGTAATGGCCTTCTTTGTCTCTTTTGATCTTTGTTGGTTTAAAGTCTGTTTTATCAGAGAATAGGATTGCAACCCTTGCCTTTTTTTTGTTTTCCATTTGCTTGGTAGATCTTCCTCCATCCTTTATTTTGAGCCTATGTGTGTCTCTGCATGTGAGATGGGTCTCCTGAATGAATACAGCACACTGATGGGTTTTGACTCTATGCACTTTGCCAGTCTGTGTCTTCTAATTGGAGGATTTAGCCCATTTATATTTAAGGTTAATATTGTTATGTGTGAATTTGATCCTGTCATTGTGATGTTAGCTGGTTATTTTGCTCTTTAGTTGATGCAGTTGCTTCCTAGCATTGATGGTCTTTACAATTTGGCATGTTTTTGCAGTGGCTAGTACCAGTTGTTCTTTTCCATGTTTAGTGCTTCCTTTAGGAACTCTTGTAAGGCAGGTCTGGTAGTGACAAAATCTCTCAGCATTTGTTTGTCTGTAAAGGATTTTATTTCTCCTTCACTTATGAAGCCTAGTTTGGCTGGATATGAAATTGTGGGTTGAAAATTCTTTTCTTTAAGAATGTTGAATATCGGCCCCCACTCTTCTGGCTTGTAGAGTTTCTGCCAAGAGATCCGCTGTGAGTCTGATGGGCTTCCCCTTGTATGTAACCTGACCTTTCTCTCTGGCTGCTGTTAACGTTTTTTCTGTCGTTTCAACTTTGGAAAATCTGATAATTATGTGTCTTGGAGTTGCTCTTCCCGAGGAGTATCTTTGTGGTGTTCTCTGTATTTCCTGAATTTGACTGTTGACCTGCCTTGCTAGGTTGGGGAAGTCCTCCTGGATAATATCCTGCAGAATGTTTTCCAACTTGGTTCCATTCTCCCTGTCACTTTCAGGTACACCAATCAGAAGTAGATTTGGTCTTTTCACATAGTCCCATATTTCTTGGAGACTTTGTTCATTTCTTTTTATTCTTTTTTCTCTAAACTTCTCTTCTTGCTTCATTTCATTCATTTGATCTTCATTCACTGATACCCTTTCTTCCACTTGATCAAATTGGCTACTGAAGCTTGTGCATTCATCACGTAGTTCTTGTGCTATGGTTTTCTGCTCCATCAGGTCATTTATGGACTTCTCTACACTGTTTATTCTAGTTAGCCATTCATCTAATCTTTTTTCTAGGTTTTTAGCTTCTTTGCAATGGGTTTGAACATCCTCCTTTAGCTCGGAGAAGTTTGTTATTACCGATTGTCTGAAGCCTTCTTCTCTCAACTCGTCAAAGTCATTCTCCATCCAGCTTTGTTCTGTTGCTGGCGAGGAGCTGCATTCCTTTGGAGGAGAAGAGGTGCTCTGATTTTTAGAATTTTCAAATTTTCTGCTCTGGTTTCTCCCCAACTTTATGGTTTTGTCTACCTTTGGTCTTTGATCATGGTGATGTATAGATGGGGTTTTGGTGTCTATGTCCTTTCTGTTTGTTAGTTTTCCTTCTAACAGTCAGGACCCTCAGCTGCAGGTCTGTTGCAGTTTGCTGGAGGTCCTCTCCAGACGCCGTTTTCCTGGGTATCACCAGTGGAGGCTGCAGAACAGCAAATATTGCAGAATGGCAGATGTTGCTGCCTGATTCTTCCTCTGGAAGCTTCATCTCAGAGGGGCACCGGACTCTATGAGGTGTTAGTCAGCCCCTACTGGGAGGTGTCTCCCAGTTAGGCTACTTGGGGGTCAGGGACCCACTTGAGGAGGCAGTCTGACTATTCTCAGATCTCAAACTCTGTGCTGGGAGAACCTCTACTCTCTTCTAAACTGTCAGACAGGGACGTATAAATCTTCAGAAATTTCTGCTGCCTTTTGTTCTGCTATGCCCTGCCCCCAGAAGTGGAGTCTACATAGGCTGGCAAGCCTCCTTGAGGTGTGGTGGGAGATTCCTGGCTGCTTTTTTTACCTACTCAAGCCTCAACAATGGCGGATGTCCTTCCCCCAGCCTCACTGCCGCCTTGCAGTTCGATCTCAGACTGCTGTGCTAGCAGTGAGTGAGGCTCCACAGGGGTGGAAGTCTCCAAGCCAGGTGTGGGATATAATCTCCTGGTGTGCTGTTTGCTAAGGCCTTTGGAAAAGTGCAGTATTAGGGTGGGAGTGTCCCAATTTTCCAGGTACCATCTGTCATGGCTTCCCTTTGCTAGGAAAGGGAATTCCCCGACCCCTTGTTCTTCCTGGGTGAGGTGAGCCCCACCCTGGTCCGTTGGCTGTACCCACTGTCTGACAAGCCCCAGTGAGATGAACCCGGTACCTCAGTTGGAAATGCAGAAGTCACCCGTCTTCTGTGTCACTCATGCTGGGAGCTGTAGACTGGAGCTGTTCCTATTCAGCCATCTTGGAACCTCCAGATAAAGGTTTTAAACAGAGATATCTGGGTGAAGAAAAATATCTGAGAGTTGTTGATATGTGGATAGTAATTGAATCTGTGAGGTAGGGTGAGTCTGCCTAGAGGAAGGGTGTTAAATAAAGAGGTAAAGGGCTTAGGAAAGAGGAGGGCCAACAGTTTAAAAGACTGGAGGAGTAGGAACAGTAAAGGAGGAGACAAATAAAAACCAGATAAAGGGGGAAACATTTTAGAACCCAAAAACAAGAATCTTTTTCTCATAGAAGCTACTCATTGAGAGTACTTCTCCTGAGAGATCAGGAAAAAAAATGGTTGAAAGTTGCCCATTGAATTTTACAACCTCTAGGTGATCATTGATGGCCCTGGTGAGAGCAGTTTTGGTGTCATGGTGAGGTCAGAAGTGGTCTGGGGCAGGTAGAGAAACTGGTGGAGACAGCATGCTGCTCTTCAAGGTCCTAGAGCCCACTCCCCAGAGCCCATGCCTCACTAGGTGCAGGGGAGATGGGTGGTTAATGGATGTGGGTGAGCATGAATTGTGGCAGCTGTGTTTCTGGAGGAGGGCTGTCATGAATTTTCCTGTTGGCTGTTATAATTTTTATAGGGGTAATTTGTTTTGCTTTGTGACTTTTTAAGAATTTGCACTAAAAGAAAAATGAGAGGCTTTCCAGGGACAGCTTCTTTGACAGCCCAGCAGCACCACACACATCCTGAGAAAGTTAAGGCTTAAAGGGGATGAGAAAAATTTACAGGAAATTTATTAGTTGTGTTTCAAGCTGTGCACAGTGCAACAGACTAACAGTATATTAATATCTTCCTGGGAGGCTGCCATTCACCTAGCTGCAGAATTATGGAGATAAAAATGGTCTGTGAAATGAGAAACTCACTCAGGATATATAGTGGGGCTGTTGGAAGAAATGACCCTAACACTCATGACAAACTTCTGGCTTTTTACAGAGAATAATTCTTCAGAGAAGCCAGCCTATTCTTAAAAAAGTTGCTGAGGAGCAATGCTGCAGGGCTCACATAAGAGTAATTGTGACACTGTCTTGTCTGAACAAATGGGAGTTGCTGACCTGGGAAGGTAAATATAGATGCCCCTAGAATTAGGAGAACTGACAATTTCAATTTAATTTTTTTCTTGACTTTGGTGGACACCATGATTTTTTTTCTTGCATATTTCACTTTCTAATTGTGTTTCCCTCAACTTAACATGAAAATAAACTTGCTTCATCAAAGTACACCTGTTTGGATTGAGTGCAAAGCACCCAGGAACTTCTGAAGGATGGAGAGAATCCAATTTGGGTTGTTTTAATTTTCCTATGGAGATTCTACAACAAGGAAAATCCATAGGCAGATGATCTATAAATGACTGTGCAGTGGGTGGAGTAATCCAGGTCTTTTAGCCTGTTCTTGCATTGCTATAAAGAAATACCTGAGACTAAGTAATTTATAAAGAAAATAGGTTTAATTGGCTCATGGTTCTGCAGGCTGTAAAAGAAGCATGGTGCCAGTAACTACTTCTGGTGAGGGTGTCAGGAAGCTTATAATCACAGTGCAAGGCAGAGGGGGAAGAGATGTGTCACATGGTGAAAGTGGAAGTGAGAGAGAAGGAGATACTTCCACACTCTTTTAAACAACTGTATCTCGTGTGAACTCAGAGTGAGAACCCACTGTCACAAGGAGGGCACCAACCCTCCTTGTAATTCAGAAGATATCTGCTCCCATAATCAAAACACCTCCCACCAGGCCCCACCTCCAACATTGGGGATTACATTGCAACATGAGATTTGGAGGGGACAAACATGCAAATCATATACTTCCATCATCCCACCTCTGGCCCACCAAATCTTATATTCTTCTCATATCGCAAAATACAATCATCCCTTCTCAGTAGTCCCCCAAAGTCTTTACTCATTTCAGCCCCAACTCAGAAGTCTGAAAGTCTAAAGTCTCATCTCTAATTCAAGCCAAGTTTCTTCCACCTATATCCTGTAAAATCAAAACAAGTTATTTTCTTTCAAAATACAATGGTGGTATATGCATTGGGTAAACATTCCCATTTCAAAAGGGTGAAATCAGCCAGAAAAAGGGGCAATAGACCCCACAGAAGTCTGAAACCCAGGAGGGCAATTATTAAATCTTATGCTCCAAAATAATCTCCTTTGGTTTCAAGTCCCACATCCAGGGTACACTGGTGCAAGGGATGGGCTCCCAAGGTCTTGGGTAGCTCTGCCAATGTGGCTTTGCAGGGTGCAGCCCCTGTGGCTGCTTTCTCCAGTTGGAGTAGGGTGCCTGTGGTTTCTTCAGGCTAAGAGAGCAAGCTGCCAGTGGATTTACCATTCTCAGGTCTGGAGGGTGGCAGCCCTCTTCCCACAACTTCACTAGGCAGTGCCCTGGTGTATACTCTGTGTGGGGGCTTCAGCTCCACATTTTCCTTTGGCACTGCTGTAGTAGAGTTTCCCTGTGGGGGTTCCACCCCTGTAGTAGGCCTCTGCTGGGCACCCAGGATTTACCATACATCCTCTGAAACCTAGGTGGGAACTGTCAAGCCTCCTTCACTCTTACATTCTGTGTGTCCATGGAATTAGTGCCGCATGGAAGCCACAAAGGCTTATGGTGGCTTGTGCTCTCCTGATCAGCCACCTGAGCCATAGTTGGAGCCCTTTGAGCCTCAGTTGAGCTGGAGAGGCCTGAATGTGAGGAGCAACATCCTGAGGTCGTGCAGGGCAGTGGTGTCCTGGGCCTGGCACCCAAAATTATTTTTTCTCCTAGACTTCTAGACTTTTGATGGGAGAGACTGCCTCAAAAACTTCTGAAATGCCTTTGAGGCCATTTTCCCAAAGTTTTGGATATTAGCATTGGCTCCCTTTTAGTCCTGCTAATCTCTTTAGCAAGTAGTTGCTCCACAGCCCACTGCAAATTTCCCACACTTTTATGCTCTTCTTCCCTTTTAAATATAAGTTCCAACTTTACATCATTTCTTTGCTCCTGCATCTGAACATAGGATGTTAGAAGCAGCTAGGCCATATCTTGAATGCTTTTTTGCTTAGAAATTTCTTCCACTAGATACTCTAAGTCATCGCTCTTAAGTCCAACCCTTCACAAATTCCCAGCACGTAGTCATAATGCAGCCAAGCTCTTTGCTAGGATGTAACACAGATGACCTTTACTCTACTTCCCAAAAACTCTTATTTCCATCTGAGACCTTGTCAGTCTGGACTTTACTGTCAGTATCTCTATAAGTATTTTGGCCAAAACCATTTAACCAGTCTCTAAGCAGTTCAAAGTGTCCTTTATCTTCCTGTCTTCTTCTGAGCCCTCCAAACTCTTTCAACCTCTGCCTGTTACCCAGTTCTGAAGCTGATTTTATCTTTATAGCAATACTCCACTCCTTGGTACCAATTTTCTGTATTGGTCTATTTTTGTATCACTGTAGGAAAATATCTGAGGCTGGGTAATTTACAAAGAAAAGATGTTTAATTGGCTCATAGTTCCACAGGCTGTGAAGGAAGCATAATGCTGGCCATCTGCTTCTGGGGAGGCCTCAGGAAACTTTAATCATGGCAGAAGGTGAGGGGAGAAGCAGGCATGTCATTTGGCAAAAGTGGAAGTGGGGTGGGGAAGTACCACACTTTTAAGCAACCAGATCTTGGATGAACTCATAGTTTGAACTCATTACCATGAAAAGGGCACCAAACCATTCATGAGGAACCTGCCCCTATGACCCAAATGTCTCCCATTAGGTCTGACCTCCAACATTAGGGATCACATTTCAACATGAGATTTGGAGGGGACAAAAATCCAAACCATATCACCAGTGGTGACAGCAGAATATGTAAAGAAAGTGACATAGAGCTCAAGAATCAGGAACTGAGCTGATAGCTAGGGTACAAAGGTGTTCCCAGACTAAGGTCCAACCATTTGGAATGTTTTACTCCTTATTCATCAATGAGTACGACAGATGAGTTTATCTAAAAATTCCTAAACACATTTTGTTCTGTGGACTCATTCAGTGCCACGGTCTGTAAGTGGTTGCTTTAATTAAGAGTTTTCATGTGAACCTAAAAATTATTTTAGAATCTAGGAATATAAATTAATTCCGAGACCCACCACATATGGAAAACAGGAATATGTCAAAGATTTGTTAAGAGGTTGCATAGGGGTTACTGAGCCTTCAGGCCTTGATTATTAGCAGTCTTAGCTATGAGAGCAAGGACCAATTTTCTAAAAGTCTCTAAAATACTGCATAATTGTGGAATTAAAAGATAGAAGCAAGCAACAAAAGTGCACTTCCTAAACATGAGTGGTCCCTCCTGAGTCTCTTAGGTAAAACAATTTTGATTTTATTTTAAAATGCCATATTCTTACATATTTTTTTGATGATGTCTTTTTAGGACTCTTTTGATCTCAAACATTGTGTTGTGCTCAAAGGAACCTCCATGATGGAATTAGTTTCAGAACACAGACTTGAAAATGAGCCCTAGATTTAAAAATGGGAATATGTTTAGCAGCTAAAGCCATATGAAGCGTCACTCCACTTTTAACGCTTTTTCTTCCTAATCTCTCCTTTAAAGGCAAACTCTTAAGACGAAGAATTTCCATACATTTGTCAAATGCCTTCAAGTTGAAAGTCTCATCAGAATCCTAATGGATGCAGAAATAACACCAACTTTCAGATTAAATAACTACCTCAAACTCTAAGTTATAGTTTTTGTTGCTGGAAAATTATCTGATTCTCATACCTCAGTGGTTTGGAAAAACCAATAAAAATCAAATGATATGACTGCTATGTAGTTGGCTTACTTTAAAATTTGCCTTAGGATTGGATAATCAATAAAATCTATTTATTATATATCTAGTTGAATGAGAACCATACTCTGAAATAAGGTTTATTTATTAGGCAGTTTATTCACATACATTTCATAATTAAAAAAATTTTAAAGTGTATATGCACAGATAAACATACATTTGGACATATATTCAAATACACACACACAGAGGGAGAGAAAGAGAGACTGCAAATTAGAGAGGAAGATAAGAGCACCACAGGTAGGGCATACTTGCAGGTGCACACTTAATTGCAGATTTTCTGAATTATGTTCTTTATTCTATCAAATCATTCAGGCAAACATTTCTTTAGTCCTCCTGGTTTCAGTGACATTAGAATGCATCTTAAGAGCTTGTAGGAGATTTGCCCTGTCCCCACTGGTCTTTGGGATAATTACTTTGGATGATTTTCCTTAATCCTTCTCCTTGGTGATTCTGTAGGGTGCCTCAGTATGCCTCTTTGCTGACATTCTTCCTGATTCTTGTAATTGCTTCCTGCTCTGTGCTCCTTTGTCAGAGACCCTGAGGCGAGATGAGGAATAGTAATTGTCACTGATCTCATAACTTGTCCTCAGAGAAGCAATGCCATAAACAGGCCTCATATTTAAAATACTACAGTATGTATTTCTGCCAAGTAATGTACTCAGGGTTTAAATATAATGCATGTTTTTCCAAATGGTGGGCATTAAGGGGGAGTTTAATGTACTCAACAAGGACACAGACATTTGAGAAGTTGGGTCATTTTTCAGGGGGTACAAAAGATGTTGCTCAGATAGGAAGAAATGCAGGGAAAAATAAAGATGTCAAAAATTTTGTTTTAGTAGTAGTATTGTTTTCTACCCAAGAATTACAGAACCTAAGGGTTGAAGGAACACTTTCGAACGCTGTCTAAACTCACACCCAATGCTTGAACCCCTCTGAAGCAGGTTCACGGTGCACTGGTATCAATCCTAGGGGAGGACTCTAAATATCTCACCACACTACACCTTGGGCTGTCCCAATTTCTATCACTTGCAGTAGTCTGGTGAGACAGAGCACTCATACACAAGTTACACAAAGCAGGTTTATTCCTTATAGATAGGCAGCAAGGGACAACAGATGCCTAAGATTCGTGATGAGCTGGTCCGCCCAAGGCTCAGGAAAGCTGCCCAAGACAGATGGAATCTTGACTGTGTGTGCCCCAGTTGCACTGAAGCTGAGGGACCCTGAAAAACAGCCCGCCCTGGGTTTCATATCCTAGGGGTAATGTGACTTGCTGGAATAAAAATTTGGGGAGGTCAGTGGCTGTGAACAGCATTTTCTTCCTGGGGCATTTTAAGTGGCTCAGCACAGGTTATAAACAAATCAAACTTTGAGTTGGTGGTAGGTAATGGGGAGAAAAGCAAAAATTAACTGAGCAGCTCCTGTGTGCAGAGAACCATGCCCAACAGTGTGTGGATGTCAGGGTGCACACAGGTGTAGGCTGGGCCCTTCTCATAAAAGTTTGAAACTCACTCACCCATGGAGTAGTCCAAGGGTGGGATGAACAGAAAACACTCTCTCCCAATAGCTGGGTTGATAAGTGAGGGGCAGGAGAACAATAAGGGAAGTGTAGAGCAATTCCACAGAGACCCTGGCCTTTGGCTGCAATGTCTATGTGTACACGTACGACAACAAAAAGAGACAAGCATGGCTGTCTTTAGAGAAAAGTCCTGAGATGGTGGGGGACGGGAAGTAAAGTCAGACCACCATGGGCTTAAGCCTAAATATCTAGTGAAAGCAATGACTGTTGTTCCTTTTGTGTGTTCTTTGTCAGAGCATAAAGAGAATACAGCTGTTCTGTCTGCAGAATTTCTTTTCTTGGCCCCGTGAAAAATGATATCAGAGTATTTCATTTGTCTTCCATTTTTTGAAGCTGAAGCAGTCCAGTGTTTCCTTAGCCTGATCAAATGTCCCTTGCAACAATATTGACTTAGACGATGACAAATAAAGATATTTTCTCTAAGGTAAAAGCCTGTCACTCATGACATTAGAACAGGTATGGGCTAGCTGGAAATGCCTCTTTTAACATTGCTAACATGAAGAACAAATGGATTTGAAAAATGTACGTGCTCTTGGTGAATCTTTCTTCCATGTAAAATACAATTTATTTTAAATTCAGAAGGTGATCTATTTTATAGACTATAAAATGCTATGATTAAATTTCATAAAGCCAAGCGCTGGTATATTATTACATAAAAAAGACGATAACAACATTTTTCTTTTCACTTTGCTTTAAAAGCCAGAGGGGAAAAGAACTACCAAAAAATATAGACTTAGCATCCAGGAACATTATAAAGAAGGTGTCTAGATTAAGCAAAGAGTGCTAAAAAAAAAAGGCATTTACTAATTTGGGTATGCTCTTCTGAAAGTGTCTACACAAAGCCACTTTCCTTTTCAAAAATGTGCACTGTGCTTCAGAGAGCGCTTGTACTTTTGGTTTTGCACAGGTTTCCAACACCATAACCAGGGATGGATAAAACGCCTTGGGCACTCTTGCAAGGATCATGGGACTGAAGAAACTTCTCTTGACTTATTTCTTGTTCCCATCCTAACCTCCTCCTAGACCTTCTGTCTTCTAAGTTTGTTACTAATCTTTTTCTACTCTATATCATCCGTTAGTTTTGATGTGTAGCACTTTCCCCTGTGATGCGATTTGTATTTGATATTTCCACTGCCTCATGCCACACTGTATTCGATGATTTCCAGATCTGGTGGACATCCAGAGACTTTTACATTGAGACAGCCTCCTGTGGATGGCATTCCTGCAGCATCCTTCCTTCTCTCTTGAGCAGAACTTAGACAAAAACAAGCACATTTGCAGCAAGTTTTAGGGCATTAAGGAAAAAAAAAGGATTGTGGCAAAGGATACGTTGCTAGGTGAAGTAAATACTTATAGATAGAAAAGAAATCCTGTGGATTATGTGTTGTTTGTTTTTTTTTTTACTATTAAAGCACTTCAAGGTCAGAGAACAACCAGATCAATGTGAAATCAAATGAACTATTAAAAATAATAGAATTTAGTAAGGCATTTGTATACAAGATAAAGATATGAAAATCAACAGTTTTTCTCTGTTCTGGCAAAAAGCATCTAAAAGTGGAAATGGAAGAAAAGTTCCATGTTTGATATAGCAACAATATCCATAAAATACTTAGCAATAAAGATAATAAGATATAGGACTTATATGAAGAAAATCATAAAACTGTTATTGAAAGACATAAAGCAAGAGCTGAACAAATGGAAAGACACACCATGTTCTGGGATAGGGAGGCTTAAAATCACAAAACATCAATTTCATCAAAATTAATAGATAAATGTACAATTCTCAGTAAAATTCTAAATGCGTTTTTTCTTTATATAATTGAAAAAATAATCTTAAATTTTATATGGGCTAGGTGCAGTGGCTCATGCCTGTAATCCCAACACTTTAGGAGACTCAGGCAGAAGGATCGTTTGAGGCCAGGACCTCGATACCAGCCTCAGAAACATAGTAAGACCTCCATCTCTGCAAAAAATAAAAAAAATAGCTGGACATGGTGGTGTGTACCTTTAGTCCTAGCTACTCAGGAGGCTGAGGCTGGAGGATTGCATGAGCCCAGGAGTTTGAGGCTGCAGTGAGCCATGATTGTGCCCCTGAACTCCAGGCTTGGGGACACAGCTAGACCCTATTTCTAAAAACAAAGTTTATATGGAAAGACAAATAGTCATGAACAGAAAATTTTTTGAAAAAAAAACTAACCAAAAGTGACTGCTTCTCAAATATCAGAACATACTATAAAGCCACAGTAGGAAAATAGATGTTATTGCTAAAATAATAGACCAATAGCTCAGAAAAATTGAAGAAAGAATCAGAGTAGAACCGAGTACACAGGAGAATGTGCAGAATTCACCCAAAATATATTTATTGCAAGCTCTCTATATACGAGGTTTTTATTCTAGGCATGGAAAATTTAAGCATTGCTATGTAGATGAGAAAAGGATAGATTATTTAATAAATGAATCTGGTGTAACTGACCATTATGTGCAGAAAAATAAAATTAAACCTCTCCTATGTTCTATATACAAATACATTCCAGTGTCAAAGTATAGTTTTTAAGAAGTTAAAAACATAACTCATATAAATATAGGTTTGAAGCAGGTCAAAGATTTATTTAGTTCATTAATGAGGGAACCAGCAGATGGTAAAGCTGGTTCAAAAAGTATTTGGAGAACAGAGATTTATATAGTTAGTCTAGGACAGGCAGGCTGGAACAAGCATACTAAGAGACGAAACTGGTTAATGTTCCTCAGGGAAATAAAACTGTAAGTTGAATTATTTCTCCATTTGACAGAAATAATTTGCACTCTATTGGAGAAAAACCTACAAATTTACATGAAAAGGCACAGAGTCTGGGTCCTAATCAATAGTAAACAGCAAGTCAAAAGTGCTACATCTTCTGGTCTCTAGGGCCAAGAGATTTAAATAATACTCTAATGGACCTGTTAGCATGCTAGTATGACAGTGAAAGCATAGGCAGTCATTCTTTTGCTGTATTTCCAAGTTTTGGCTATTAAAATGAATACCAGATATATTAAAGAATTAAGTATAGACAATAAAGCAATTAAAAAAAAAACACCTGCAGGGAGTGAGGAGATTTAAAACAAGACAACATTCAGAAGCTATAAAACATAAGCTCTATAAAGTTGGGGAAAAAGTTTTTGCATGGAAAAAGATACTATAAACAATATCGATCAATAAAAGTTAGATTTGGAAAAATATTTATAATGTAGGGATGAGCAGAGGGTTAAGTAAAAAGAGTTCTTACAGATTGCTAAGACTGTAAACACTCAATGGAAAAATGGGTAAAGGGTATTCAGAGGCAACTACTGAAAAAATGAAGATGTTCAAATTCACTACAGACCAGGGAAATACAAATTAAAGTAACAATGAGATAACATTATACCTGACAAAATACCAGAACTTTAAGAGTGCTATTTCCTGCTGGTGGGCATGCAGGGGAAATAATATTATCATACTCTGCTTATGGAAGTCGAAATTGTTATAAACTTTTGGAAAATAAACTAAGAAAAGCTATTAAAATAAAAAATACACATACCCCTCAACCCAGAAAATCTCAATTCTGAGAAACTTTTTGAAAGAAAAGCACCAGGTATAAGAATGTTCAAGGACATTTATCAATAGGGAATGCTGACTAAATTATGAAATATTCATCCTTTATAATATTATGCCTTGATTAAACAAAAAAGAATTGGACCTATATCAGATGATTGGAAGGGGCTTCCATGAGTTGTTATGAGAAAAGCATGATACAGAAAAGTTTATATAATCTCATTTTTATAAGACAAAAATGCAATTTCCATCACATATGTTTGTGTGTATATAGATGCTTATGTATAATTATATCAGCATGAAGAGAAACATATAAAGATAAATTTCCTAGGCAGTTAATGTGGATAACAAGGGAAGAGAGAGAGAAAGAAAACCAAGCAAATTAAGAAAACAAAAATAACAAGGTGCACTGCAACAAATGCAGTCAGGCCTGGGCTTTAGGGTACAGATGCAAAAGCCTCTATTAGGAAGGTTTTCTGTGTGCTTTGCCTGTGGAATATCTCTTTCCTTTTGCCTGTCCATCACACAAGATCTGACTTATTTTTGAATTTGGATTTGTGTCTCTTTAAAATGCTAAGATGAGCCTTAAGCTGGGTACAGGAAAACCAGTCATATTCAGGTTCCAGGCTGATGAGAAAACAGGCTCAAGGGCTTAAGTCACTTTCCAAAAGTCACTTCCTTTTTTGGCTCTGTAAGATGAAGTGATTTCATTTGTCAAGCTCTGAAATTCTTTGGGGAAGAGCAAGCTGACTTATTTCCACACAGGTGAGGCAAACTGCTCTGCCTTGATGTTTTTCTGTTCTTTACTTCCCGGGCAGCTGCCACTGCAGGGGCTGAAAATAACCCCGGGACACTGAATTAGAGAGGTATCCCATCACTGTGGACCTGGGAGCCAGAGTCCTGCCTCTGCTATCTTACTGTCAAGGAGGAAACAGCTTAGAACAGGCTCTTTCTTCCCAGGACAACCCACACTACACAGGTGGCCTGATTTGGGCTGGATGAAGCAGATCCTGCACCTGACATTTCCAGAGCCTCTCGGGGCACAAAGCCCCTTATTGCTGTGAAGGGAACTTGACAACATTCTAATTTTCTGATTTTAAAAGTAATGCAGGTTAAATATAAGATATTTAAACATTCAGTGAAGTATATCAAGGAAAAATTAATTTTTTTTGTAATCTCATGTGGAGAGATCACAACTTTTAGTGTTTGGTATATATAGGTTCTGTCATTTTTTTCCCCTTTCACTTTTATTGCATTTATTCATTTAACAAGTATTTCTTGAGAATTGGTTATGTGCTAGGGACTATGCTTGGATAAAGAAGTGAGTAAGGTAGAGAAGTTTCTGCCCTAATATAGTATATTTGAGTCTATTTTTTTTAAAAAAACATGGTTATCATACTATAGATATATTTAATATCCTGCCATTTTTACTTAATATTGATCACCAGGGTACTCCAAAATCTCTACAGTAGTCTTTGTGACATCAATTGTAATGTGTACATGTATCACCTCCTCCCTCCATTTAACTCCCTGAGGTTGAATGGGTGGTGCCATTTTCTTGCAGATCTACTTCTTGGCCACTCTTGATTTTGCCAGGACAAGCAACAGAGACAAGCTGAATCCAAAAATGTCCTTCCTCAGGATTTTTGAATTGAGAGCCAGTGAGCATTTCCAATCTGGGGATGGAGATAGGAGACTTTGAAGGGTGCAGCAGTCAGATCTGTTGTTAAGCTGGCATAGGAGAAAATGAGACTGAAAGATAGACATTGGTAGAAGTGTGTGTGTGTGTGTGTGTGAGAGAGAGAGAGAGATGGAGAGAGAGAGAGAGAGGGAGAGAGAGAGAGAGAGAGAGAAAGAAGTAGAAAAAGAGAGAGATTCAGAGGGAAAGAAGAAGAGATATATAGAGAGAGATAGAGAGAGAGATATTGAGGCCAGGCATGGTGGCTCATGCCTGTAAACCCAGCACTTTGGGAGGCCAAGGCAAGAGGATCACTTGAGGGCAGGAGTTTGAGACCAGTCTGGGCAACATAGTGAGACCTCATCTCTACGAAAACAAAAACAAAAAACAAACAAACAAAAAATTTAGTTGGGCATGGTGGTGCGCACTTATAGGTCTAGCTACTCAGGAGGCTGAGGCTGGAGGATGACTTGAGGCCAGGAGTTTGAGACCAGCCTGGGCAACATAGCGAGAACCTGTTTCTACAAAATTTTTTTTAAAATTTAGCTGCACATGGTGGTATGCACTTACAGTCTTAGCTACTCAGGAGGCTGAGGTGGAAGGATGGCTTGAGCCTCGGAGTTCAAGGCAGCAGTGAGCTATGCTCACATCACCACTGCACTCAAACCTGGGCAACAGAGCAACACCTCATCTCTGAAAAAAATTAAAGAGAGGATTTTGTTCCAAGATGGCCAAATAGGAACAGCTCCGGTCTGTAGCTCCCAGTGTGATCAACACAGAAGATGGTGATTTCTGCATTTCCAACTGAGGCACCTGGTTCATCTCATTGGTACTGGTTAGACAGTGGGTGCAGCCCATGGAGAGTGAGCCAAAGCAGGACGGGGCATTACCTCACCTGGGAAGTGCAAGGGGTTTGGGGATTTCCTTTCCTAGCCAAGGGAAGCTGCGACAGACTGTACCTGGAAAATCGGGACACTTCCACCCAAATACTGTGCTTTTCCAATGGTCTTAGCAAACAGCACACCAGGAGATTATATCCCGCGCCTGCCTGGCTCAGTGGGTCCCATGCCCATGGAGCCTTGCTCACTGCTAGTGCAGCAGTCTGAGATCGACCAGTGAGGTAGCAACCTGGCAGGGGGAGTGGTGTCTGCCATTGCTGAGGCTTGAGTAGGTAAACAAAGTGGTTGGGGAAGCTCGAACTGGATGGAGCCCACCACAGATCTGCAAGGCCTGCTGCCTCTGTAGACCCCACCTCTAGTGGCAGGGCATAGCTGAACAAAAGGGAGCAGAAACTTCTTCAGACTTAAACGTCCCTGTCTGACAGCTCTGAAGAGAGCAGTGGTTCTCCCAGCACAGTGTTTGAGCTCTGAGAACAGACACACTGCCTCCTCAAGTGGGTCCCTGACTCCCATGTAGCCTAACTGGGAGACACCTCCCAGTAGGGGCCAACTGACACCTCATACAGGTGGGTGCCCCTCTGGGATGAAGCTTCCAGAGGAAGGATCAGGTAGCAATATTTGCTGTCCTGCAGCCTCCGCTGGTGACACCCAAGCAAACAGCATCCAGAGTGGACCTCCAGCAAACTCCAACAGACCTGCAGCTGAGGGACCTGATTCCTAGAAGGAAGACTAACAAAGAGAAAGGAATAGCATCAACATCAACAAAAAGGACATCCACACCAAAACCCCATCTGTAGGTCACCAACATCAAAGACCAAAGTTAGCTAAAACCACAAAGATTGGGAGAAACCAGAGCAGAAAAGCTGAAAATTTTAAAAACCAGAGAGCCTCATCTACTCCAAAGGATCGCAGCTCCTTGCAAGCAATGGAACAAAGCTGGATGGAGAATGACTTTGATGAGATGACAGAAGTAGGCTTCAGAAGGTTGGTAATAACAAACTTCTCTGAGGTAAAGGAGGCTGTTCGAACCCATCGCAAGGGAGATAAAAACCTTGAAAAAAGATTAGACGAATGGTTAACTAGAATAAACAGTGTACAGAAGACCTTAAATGACGTGATGGAGCTGAAAACCATGGCATGAGAACTACGTGATGCACGCACAAGCTTCAATAGCCAGTTCAATCAATGGGAAGAAAGGGTATCAGTGATTGAAGATCAAATTAATGAAATAAAGGGAGAGGAGAAGTTTAGAGAAAAAAGAGTAAAAAGAAACATCCAAAGCCTCCAGAAAATATGGGACTATGTGAAAAGACCAAATCTATGTTTGATTGGTGTACCTGAAAGTGACAGGGAGAATGGAACCAAGTTGGAAAACACTCTTCAGGATATTATCCAGAACTTCCTTAACCTAGAAGGCATGCCAACATTCAAATTCAGGAAATACAGAGAACACCACAAAGATGTTACCTCCTCAAGAAGAGTAACCCCAAGACACATAATTGTCAGATTCACCAAGGTTGAAATGAAGGAAATGTTAAAGGCAGCCAGAGAGAAAGGACGGTTAACCACAAAGGGAAGCCCAAGACACTAACAGCGGATCTCTTGGCAGAAATGCTACAAGGCAGAAGAGAGTGGGGGCCAATGTTCAACATTCTTAAAGAAAAGAAATTTCAACCCAGAATTTCATATCCAGCCAAACTATGCTTCACAAATGAAGGAGAAATAAAATCCTATACAGACAAGCAAATGCTGAGAGATTTTGTCACCACCAGACCTGCCATACAAGAGCTCTTGAAGGAAGCACTAAACATGGAAAGGAACAACTTGTACCAGCCACTACAAAAACATGCCAAATTGTAAAGGCCATTGATACTAGGAAGAAACTGCATCAACTAACAGACAAAATAACCAGTTAACATCATGAGAGGATCAAATTCACACATAACAATATTAACCTTAAATGTAAATGGACTAAATGCCCCAATTAAAGACGCAGACTGGCAAATTGGATAAAGAGTCAAGACCCATCACCGTGCTGTATTCAGGAGACCCATGTCATGTGCAGAGGCACATATAGACTCAAAATAAAAGGATGGTTTTGCATATGTTGCACCAGCCTTGCATCCCAGGGATGAAGCCCGCTTGAACATGGTGGATAAGATTTTTGATGTGCTGCTGGATTTGGTTTGCCAGTATTTTACTGAGGATTTTTGTATCGATGTTCATCAGGGATATTGGTCTAAAACTCTCTTTTTTTGTTGTGTCTCTGCCAGTCTTTGGTATCAGGATGATGCTGGCCTCATAAAACGAGTTAGGGAGGATTCCCTCTTTTTCTATTGATTGGAATAGTTTCAGAAGGAATGGTACCAGCTCCTCCTTGTACCTCTGGTAGAATTTGGCTGTGAATCCATCTGGTCCTGGACTTTTTTGGTTGGTAAACTATTGATTATTGCCTCAATTTCAAAGCCTGTTATTGGTCTATTCAGAGATTCAACTTCTTCCTGGTTTAGTCTTGGGAGGGTGTATGTGTCGAGGAATTTATCCATTTCTTCTAGATTTTCCAGTTTATTTGCATAAAGGTGTTTATAGTATGCTCTGATGGTAGTTTGTATTTCTGTGGGATCAGTGGTGATATCCCCTGTATCATTTTTTATTGGTCTATTTGATTCTTCTCTCTTCTTTACTAGTCTCGCTAGCAGTCTATCAATTTTGTTGATCTTTTCAAAAAACCAGCTCCTGGATTCATTGATTTTTTGAAGGGTTTTTTGTGTCTCTATTTCCTTCAGTTCTGCTCTGATCTTAGTTATTTGTAGCCTTCTGCTAGTTTTTGAATGTGTTTGCTCTTGCTTCTCTAGTTCTTTTAATTGTGATGTTAGGGTGTCAATTTTAGATCTTTTCTGCTTTCTCTTGTGGGCATTTAGTGCTATAAATTTCCCTCTACACACTGCTTTGAATGTGTCCCAGAGATTCTGGTATGTTGCGTCTTTGTCCACATAATCCAGCATATAAACAGAACCAACAAAAAAATCATATGATTATCTCAATAGATGAAGAAAAGGCCTTTGACAAAATTCAACAGCCCTTCATGCTAAAATCTCTCAATAAATTAGGTATTGATGGAATGTATCTCAAAATAATAAGAGCTATCTCTGACAAACCCACAGCCAATATCATATTGAATAGGCAAAAACTGGAAGCATTCCTTTTGAAAACTCGCACAAGACAGGGATGCCCTCTCTCACCACTCCTATTCAACATAGTGTTGGAAGTTCTGGCCAGGGAAATCAGGCAGGAGGAGGAAATAAAGGGTATTCAATTAGGAAAAGAGGAAGTCAAATTGTCCCTGTTTGTGAATGACATGATTGTATATCTAGAAAAATCCATTTTCTTAGCCCAAAATCTCCTTAAGCTGATAGGCCATGTCAGCAAAGTCTCAGGATACAAAATCAATGTGCAAAAATCACAAGCATTCTTATACACCAATAACAGACAAACAGAGAGCCAAATCATGAGTGAACTCCCATTCACAATTGCTTCAAAGAGAATAAAATACCTAGGAATACAACTTACAAGGGACGTGAAGGACCTCTTGAAGGAGAACTACGAACCACTGCTCAATGAAATAAAAGAGGATACAAACAAATGGAAGAGCATTCCATGCTCATGGGTAGGAAAAATCAATATCGTGAAAATGGCCATACTGCCCAAGGTAATTTATAGATTCAATACCATCCCCATCAAGCTCCCAATGACTTTCTTCACAGAATTGGGAAAAACTACTTTAAAGTTCATATGGAACCAAAAGAGAGCCCGCATTGCCAAGTCAATCCTAAGCCAAAAGAACAAAGCTGGAGGCATCACGCTACCTGACTTCAAACTGTACTACAAGGCTACAGTAACCAAAGCAGCATGGTTCTTGTACCGAAACAGAGATATCGACCAATGGAACAGAACAGAGCCCTCAGAAATAATGCCACATATCTACAACTATCTGATCTTTGACAAATCTGACAAAAACAATAAATGGGGAAACGATTCCCTATTTAATAAATGGTGCTGGGAAAACTGGCTAGCCATATGTAGAAAGCTGAAACTGGATCCCTTCCTTACACCTTATACAAAAATTAATTCAAGATGGATTAAAGACTTACATGTTAGACCTAAAACCATAAAAAACCTGGAAGAAAACCTAGGCAATACCATTCAGGACATAGGCATGGGCAGGGACTTCATGTCTAAAGCACCAAAAGCAATGGCAATAAAAACCAAAATTGACAAATGGGATCTAATGAAACTAAAGAGCTTCTGCACAGCAAAAGAAACTACCATCAGAGTGAACAGGCAACCTACAAAATGGGAGAAAATTTTTGCAATCTACTCATCTGTCAAAGGGCTAGTATCCAGAATATACAATGAACTCCAACAAATTTATGAGAAAAAACAAACAACCCCATCACAAAGTGGGCGAAGGATATGAACAAACACTTCTCAAAAGAAGACATGTATGCAGCCAAAAGACACATGAAAAAATGCTCATCATCACTGGCCATCAGAGAAATGCAAATCAAAACCATAATGAGATACCATCTCACACCAGTTAGAATGGCAATCATTAAAAAGTCAGGAAACAACAGGTGCTGGAGAGGATGTGGAGAAATAGGAACACTTTTACACTGTTGGTGTGACTGTAAACTAGTTCAACCATTGTGGAAGTCGGTGTGGCGATTTCTCAGGGTTCTAGAACTAGAAATACCATTGGACCCAGTCAATCCATTAGTGGGTATATACCCAAAGGATTATAAATCATGTTGCTATAAAGGCACATGCACACATATGTTTATTGTGGCACTATTCACAATAGCAAAGACTTGGAACCAACCCAAATGTCCAACAATGATAGACTGGATTAAGAAAACGTGGCACATATACGCCATGGAATACTATGCAGCCATAAGAAATGATGAGTTCTTGTCCTTTGTAGGGACATGGATGAAGCTAGAAACCATCATTCTCAGCAAACTATCACAAGGACAAAAAACCAAACACTGCATGTTCTCACTCATAGGTGGGAATTGAACAATGAGAACACATGGACACAGGAAGGGGAACATCACACACCGAGCCTGTTGTGGGGTGGGGGCAGGGGAGAGGGATAGCATTTCGAGATATACCTAATGTTAAATGACGAGTTACTGGGTGCAGCACACCAACATGGCACATGTATACATATGTAACTAACCTGCACATTGTGCACTTGTACCCTAAAACTTAAAGTATAATAATAAAAAAAAGAGGATAATAAATCAGAAAAAAAGAAAATGTACTAAACATTTATATTTGACTAATGTAATTCCTTACAGCAATAAACAGTAAAACATACCAATTAAAAAAATAAATAAAAAAATAAAGGGATGGAGGAAGATCTACCAAGTAAGTGGAAAGTAAAAAAAAAAACAAAAAAAACAAACAGGGGTTGCAATCCTAGTCTCTGATAAAACAGATTTTAAACCAACAAAGATCAAAAGAGACAAAGAAGGCCATTACATAATGGTAAAGGGATCAATTCAACAAGAAGAGCTAACTATTCTAAATATATATGCACCCAATACAGGGGCTCCCAGATTCATAAAGCAAGTTCTTAGAGACCTACAAAGAGACTTAGACTCCACACAATAATAATGGGAGACTTTCACATCCCACTGTCAATATTAGACAGACCAATGAGACAGAAGCTTAACAAGGATATCCAGGAATTGAACTGAGTTCTGCACCAAGCAGACCTAATAGACATCTACAGAACTCTCCACCCCAAATTAACAAAATATACATTCCTCTCAGCACCACGTCGCACTTATTCCAAAAATTGACCACATAGTTGGAAGTAAAGCACTCCTTAGCAAATGTAAAAGAACAGAAATCCCAACAAACAGTCTCTCAGACCACAGTGCAATCAAATTAGAACTCAGGAGTAAGAAACTCACTCAAAACTGCACAACTACATGGAAACTGAACAACTTGCTCCTGAATGACTACTGGGTAAATAACGAAATGAAGGCAGAAATAAATATGTTCTTTGAAACCAATGACAACAAAGACACAATGTACCAGAATCTCTGGGACACATTTAAAGCAGTGTGTAGAGGGAAATTTATAGCACTAAATGCCCACAAGAGAAAGCAGAAAAGATGGAAAATCCACACCATAACATCACAATTAAAAGAACTAGAGAAGCAAGAGCAAACACATTCAAAAGCTAGCAGAAGGCTAGAAATAACTAAGATCAGAGCAGAACTGAAGGAGATGGAGACACAAAAACCCTTGAAAAAAATCAATGAATCCAGGAGCTGGTTTTTTGAAAAGATCAACAAAATTGATAGACTGCTAGCAAGACTAATAAAGAAGAAAAGAGAGAAGAATGAAATAGACACAATAAAAAATGATAAAGGGGATATCACCACTGATCCCACAGAAATACAAACTACCATCAGAGAATACTGTAAACACCTCTATGCAAATAAACTAGAAAATCTAGAAGAAATTGATAAATTCCTGGACACATACACCCTCCCAAGACTATACCAGGAAGAAGCTGAATCCCTGAATAGACCAATAACAGGCCCTGAAGTTGAGACAATAATTAATAGCCTACCAACCAAAAAAAGTCCAGGACCAGACGGATTCACAGTGAAATTCTACCAGGGGTACAAGGAGGAACTGGTACCATTCCTTCTGAAACTATTCCAATCAATAGAAAAAGAGGGAATCCTCCCTAACTCATTTTATGAGGCCAACATCATCCTGATAATGGAGCCTGGCAGAGACACCACAAAAAAAGAAAATTTTAGACCAATATCCCTGATGAACATCCATGTGAAAATCCTCAATAAAATACTGGCAAACCAAATCCAGCAGCACATCAAAAAGCTTATCCACCACGATCAAGTTGGCTTCATCCCTGAGATGCAAGACTGGTTCAACATACGCAAATCAATAAATGTAATCCATCCCATAAACAGAACCAACAACAAAAACCACATGATTATCTCAATAGATACAGAAAAGGTCTTCAACAAAATTCAACAGCTCTTCATGATAAAAACTGTCAATAAACTAGGTATTAATGGAATGTATCTCAAAATAATAAGAGGTATTTATGACAAATCCACAGCCAATATCATACTGAATGTGCAAAATGGGAAGCATTCCCTTTGATAACTGGCACAAGATAGGGATGCCCGCTCTCACCACTCCTATTCAACATAGTATTGGAAGTTCTGGCCAGGGCAATCAGGCAAGAGAAAGAAATGTATTCAATTAGGAAAAGAGGAAGTCAAATTGTCCCTATTTGCAGATGACATGATTGTATATTTAGAAAACCCCATCGTCTCAGCCCAAAATCTCCTTAAGTTGATAAGCAACTTCAGTAAAGTCTCAGGATACAAAATCAATGTGCAAAAATCACAAGCATTCCTGTACACCAATAAGAGACAGAGAGCCAAATCATGAGTGAACTCCCATTCACAATTGCTACAAACAAAATAAAATACCTAGGAATACAACTTACAAGAGATGTGAAGGGCCTCTTCAAGGAGAATTACAAACCACTGCTCAATGAAGTAAAAAGGGACACAAACAAATGGAAGAACATTCCATGCTTATGGATAGGAAGAATCAATATTGTGAAAATGGCCATACTACCCAAGGTAATTTATAGATTGAATGCCATCCCCATCAAGCTACCAAAGACTTTCTTCACATAATTGGAAAAAACTACTTTAAAGTTCATATGGAACCAAAAAAAGAGCCTGCATTGCCAAGACAATCCTAAGCAAAAAGAACAAAGCTGGAGGCATCACACTACCTGACTTCAGACTATACTACAAGGCTACAGTAACCAAAACAGCATGGTACTTGTACTAAAACACAGAGATGGACCAATGGAACAGAACATAGGTCTCAGAAATAACACCACACATGTACAACCATCTGATCTTTGACAAATCTGACAAAAACAAGAAATGGGGAAAAGATTTCCTATTTAATAAATGGTGGTGGGAAAACTTGCTAGCCATATGCAGAAAGCTGAAACTGGATCTGTTCCTTTCACCTTATACAAAAATTAATTCAAGATGGATTAAAGACTTAAATGTTAGACCTAATACCATAAGAACCCTAGAAGAAAACCTAGGCAATACCATTCAGGACGTAGGCATGGGCAAAGACTTCAAGACTAAAACACCAAAAGCAATGGCAACAAAAGCCAAAATTGACAAATGGGATCTAATTAAACTAAAGAGCCTCTGCACAGCAAAAGAAACTACCGTCAGAGTGAACAGGCAACCTATAGAATGGGAGAAAATTTTTGCAATCAACCCATCTGACAAAGGGCTAATATCCAGAATCTACAAAGAACTTAAACAAATTTACTAGAAAAAAACAACCTCATCAAAAAGTGGGTGAAGGATATGAACAGACACTTCTCAAAAGAAGACATTTATGCAGCCAGCAGATACATGAAAAAATGCTCATCATCACTGGCCCTCAGAGAAATACAAATGAAAAGCACAATGAGATACCATCTCATACCAGTTAGAATGGCGATCATTAAAAATCAGGAAACAACGGCCTGGAGAGGATGTTGAGAAATAGGAACACTTTTACACTGTTGGTGGGACTGTAAACTAGTTCAACAAATGTGGAAGTCAGTGTGGCAATTCCTCAAGGATCTAGAACTAGAAATACCATTTGACCCAGCCATCCCATTACCAGGTATATACCCAAAGGATTATAAAGCATGCTAATATAAAGACACATGTACATATATGTTTATTGTGGCACTATTCACAATAGCAAAGACTTGGAACCAACCCAAATGTCCATCAATGATAGACTGGATTAAGAAAATATGGCACATATACACCATGGAATACTATGCAGGTATAAAAAAGGATGAGTTCATGTCCTTTGTAGGGACATGCATGCAGCTAGAAACCATCATTCTGAGCAAAGTATCACAAGGACAGAAAACCAAACATCACATATTCTCACTCATAGGTGGGAATTGAACAATGAGAACACTTGGACACAGGGTGGGGAACATCACACCATGGGGCCTGTCATGGGCTGGGGTGCAGGGGGAGGGATAGCATTAGGAGAAATACCTAACGTAAATGACGAGTAATGGGTGCAGCAAGCCAACATGGCACATGTATACCTATGTAACAAACCTGCACGTTGTGCACATGTACCCTAGAACTTAAAGTATAATAAAAAAAATTAGAGAGAGAGAGAGAGAGAGTGAAAGGCAATAGTCCTAAAATCCTCCCAGCACTGGGCTCTGTGCTCTGCCTGACTTCTTGGCTGCCTGTCCTTTGGACACCTGAGTTTGACAATGTATTCTGCTTTTGTTTAAGCTATTTTGACTTTGGTTTCTGTCACTGGCCATTATGAGACTTGCCTTCTAAAAGAGCAATATATACTTGTTTATTTATATTTTGGACATAGCTTTAGTTTCATTTAGTGTCTTTTTTTGTTTTTAGTAGGAATTTGAGGGAGTAAAAAAATGGAAAGAAAACCAATGATGATGTGAATATAGAGGCCGCATCATTTAGGCAGTATTTAGTCTTGCTCATAGGGATCACCTTGAAGCTGGAAGTTATAGGACTGAGAAATACCTCGAGTTAGCTACCATCAAACTTTCTAAAACCACAGAACCCTTTGAAATACTATCCAAGTTTACACAACTCAATTCATGATAAAAAATAAAAAATAACAATTTGCTAAAACCTTTATCCAATATAGTCCCTTGAAAATCTTGATTTACTAAAAAATGTGAAAAAAGGAAGAAGGAATTATTATTACCCTCAAGTAAAATATTGATGGTGGTTAGAAGTAACCAGTTAATCATCATGGAACCCTCAGCAAACTCCTTCCAGACCCATATGTGAGGGCAAAGAGGTTAAAGAATACAATTTGAAACCCATGGCACTCCTGGATATGGTCCTAATCAGAAATCAGCAGCTCTTGCTTTCAGGGACTTAATTCTATCCCTGCTTTGCTCAACCCTCTGCCTATATACAAAAATCAATTGCAAAGAAATGTATTCATATATGTGCAAAGCACAAGTGTTCAAATACTTCTTTCTGTCACAAATTCTGAGTCTAATCTTACTAATCAATGTGCATAGGTCAGTTTCTCACAGGTGTTTCACTGGAAAGCTGTTGGCAACCACATAGCCATCAGGGGATCCAGGAAGGTCCGTTTTCTCTGTGCTCACCCCATGTCTTTGAATGCAAAATGAGGTGTAGGCTATCAAATTACTTAATAGGTCATGTAATCCATCACTGCTGTTTGAAACCCTCAATTATGTACAATTATGTAGAGTTTTATGAAACTATGGAGATGTAAGGCAGAGGGAAGAAAATCCCCTCTGATGTAAATGCAAAAAAACGACAGGTCATGAGATTGTAGGTGGCCTGGGGAGAATCAGGCATTTCTAACATGTAATGGCTTGTGGGAGAGGATTAGGTGTCTGATCTTATTTTCAGAGCAAACATGCAGGAGCAGCTGCATCATGCCGGCTTCAAAGGCAAACAGGCAGCTCCGTGACTAGGCCCACACCGGGAATGTCATGGTACTAATGACTTCCATTCACTCTTAAAATAACATAACAACTTCTTCCTGAAGTTGAGCTATTTGATCCTCTTTCCCATCGTTGTCAGGAGACTGAGATTTGTCCTGTGGGAGGAGCATGATGAGTCCCATGCCAAGCGATGAGGCCAGGGGAGCTTGTTTGCAGAGGTATCTGCATTCCCCACTTCCTGTTTATTGGTGTCCTTCAAGTCCCTGTACCCTGGGTCTGTGGCTCCAGGCTTCTCAGAGCAAGAGGCCCAATGCCCTGCCTATGCCCTGAACCCTCAGTCTAATGCACTCAATCTTGGCTTCCACTTGGGGGCAGAAGAGAAACAGTTTACCGTACATTGACTCATTAAATTGGATATTTTTGGTTGGTAACTGGCAATACCCCTTTGGCCATGAACCAGCACCTCTATATGTCAGTCATTTCAGTTGGAAGTTCCAAATGTAATGCAAACTGTTGTAAGCAAAAGGAGATCTTTTAAAAAAAATTATTTAGGGAAGGGTTCATGGGTAGACTTTTAGTTAAAGCTAAATCTAGGGATAAAAAATAATGCCACTAAGGAGATACCACAAGAAGAAGGGCTGGATGCTGGCCAGGCCGAAATAATAGATGCCCATCACTGTCATATCCTACAAAAAATGAATGAACAAGACCGACAAGAGCTTAGAGCAGAGTGGGGATCCACATAATGCACAATTGCAATGTGGCATGAGAAATATTAAGATGGAGAATTACTATGATCTATAGAGCACATGGGAGGAGCACCCAGCCTAGTTGAGAGCAGCGTAGGGTCAGGGAATACATGCGATTCCAATGTATACTTTACAGAGTAAATGGCATTGAAGTAAAGTGTGTGTTAGAATTAGATGAGAGGTGATTAATGAAGAAGGGTGAGGGCAGAGAGTGATGAGCATCTTCTTTCTCACATGTAACTGCCAGGTCATCCATCTAAGAGTGATAGTGTTTTCTAAATAAGAAATAAAGACACATTGTGTCAAAGGTACAAACATATTTAGAGAGATGAAGACTGTGCCAAGAAATTTAGGCTGTATCATCACCATCTCTTTTCCCTCTGCTCTTCTCTTAGGAAACTAAACAGCCAGTCTCATAAGTGGGCCCTGCTCTCAGGGCTGAAAGGGAATGAAGAAATTGCACCAATAGTTGGTCAGATGCTTTTCTTATTTGCTCAGTTAATCCTCACTACCATTCCATGAGGTCAGTACTATTTCCAATGTATAGACATAGATGAAATAAAATAAAACGGCCAAAAACAACCTAGGAAACAAAAAACTCCAAGCATTTAGAGACTTAAGTAACTTAAGATCACGCAGCTAGTCAGTGTAGGAGCTGGGGTTCAAACCTTGTTGTGCCTGGTTCAGGATACCTGATTCTATTACTCTGTCTCTAAGGAAATATTCTAAATTTTATTGGAGTCTCTTGGAGCTCTAATTTTGGTTGTTTAACTAACATGAGATTCTAATCATAAAAATTTAAATTCTGGTAGGTAGAGAGCCATTTTGATATTTTGAGCAAACCAGTTGGAAAGGTATCCACCTATTCAGTCAAAGCATGATAATCAATGCTGCTTGCCTTATTCTCTTTCCTCTGGCAGGAGTTTTCTGGCAGGAGTTCTCAAATTGTACGCCACTATATTTTGCTCAGTATGAAACTGAGCGCTTAGCTTCCCTTGAACAGAATTACACATCCATTTACTTGCCATAGCTTCATAATGGATAACATACATCTTTCTCCCCCCATCACCTTGATTTTGGGGATGGGCCATATGCCTTGCTTTGGCCAGTGGATGAAGTCAGCTTTGAGATGAGCAGATGCTTGAAATGTGCTTTGTGATTAGATTTGCTTCTCTTGCATTCTGGTGATCTGCCACATGAAGAATATGTTCCCTTTTTCTGGGACCTAAAATATGACATCGGAGCAGACCTACAACCCACAGTCTGGAGCAGTGCCCGGCTGACCTGAAGCAGGAGGAAGAGCTGCTCAGCCAAGCTCGCTCGGGCTACATTAGTCAAACTGCAGCTTCCCTGCCATCCCAGAAGCATGTGTATAAATGCTTGTAATTGTAAATTGCTGAGTTTGGGGAAGTATTGTTATATAGCACTATTATAGAAAGAGCTGGATAATGTTATCAGTGAATAATGTTACCTTTTACCACAACCGAGTATACTTACCACCTTGAAAATTTCAGTCAGATATAACTTTGAGCTCAGAGGGTTGTGGGGTGCATATAGAGTATAAGTGAGTATAATTTGCTATTACTGTAAGCTAAAATGGCATTGAAAATCTTTTGAACGCTTACTGGAACGTGTGAGAACTTTGTCACATGAGTTTATAAGGAAGTAAAGTAAGAACAAAATTCTTCTAAAACGTATTCTCTACAACAAGATTGAGGAAATGATTGGATAACTGAGTGAGTTTTATAAATCTTGTGAGACATTTTTCCACTCATAGTAATGATCATGTTGTAGTTGCTTCTGGCTTATTTGGTGTTGCTTTGAGGTTTTTAGTCCCTTCTTGTATGTGGACAAACATTCCTGTATTCATAAGTATGCTGTGAAAGTAAAAAGGTGGAGGACTATTCTTCTAGTGTAAGATTTTTATAAGTTGTTGTAAAAGCTCTTATTAGTTGCTCTACTGATTAAACAAAATTATCTACTTCTTATTTTACCTGAATAATACAACGATGACTGGAAATGTGTAAGGAAAAGAGAGATCAGACTGTTACTGTGTCTATGTAGAAAGGGAAGACATAAGAAACTCCATTTTGACCTATACCCTGAACAATTGCCTTGCCCTGAGATGCTGTTAATCTGTAACTTTGCCCCAACCTTGAGCTCACAGAAACATGTGTTGTATGGAATCAAGGCTTAAGGGATCTAGGGCTGTGCAAGATGTGCCTTGTTAACAAAATGTTTACAGGCAGTATGCTTGGTAAAAGTCATCGCCATTCTCCTGTCTCGATAAACCAGGGCCACAATGCACTGCAGAAAGCCGCAGGGACCTCTGCCCTGGAAAGCCGGGTATTGTCCAAGGTTTCTCCCCATGTGATAGTCTGAAATATGGCCTTGTGGGATGGGAAAGACCTGACCGTCCCCCAGCCCGACACCCATGAATGGTCTGTGCTGAGGGGGTTTAGTAAAAGAGGAAGGCCTCTTGCTGTTGAGGTAGAGGAAGGCCACTGTCTCCTGCCTGCCCCTGGGAACTGAATGTCTCAGTATAAAACCCGATTGTACATTTGTTCAATTCTGAGATAGGAGAAAAGCTGCCCTGTGGTGGGAGGCGAGACATGTTGGCAGCAATGCTGCTTTGTTATTCTTTACTCCACAGAGATATTTGGGCAGAGAGAAACATAAATCTGGCCTACGTGCACATCCAGGCATAATACCTCTCCTTGAACTTATTTGTGACACAGATTCCTTTGCTCACATGTTTTCTTGCTGATCTTCTTCCTATTATCACCCTGCTCTCCTACCGCATTCCTCTTGCTGAGATAGTGAAAATAGTAATCAATAAAAACTGAGGGAACTCTGAGACCAGTGCTGGTGCAGGTCCTTGGTATGCTGAGTTCCGGTCTCCTGGGCCCACTGTTGTTTCTCTATACTTTGTCTCTGTGTCTTATTTCTTTTCTTAGTCTCTCATCCCACCTGATGACATATACCCACAGGTGTGGAGGGGCAGTCCACCCCTTCAGAAAGGCATATGCTTCTATTGCCTGGGAGTTAAATATGGAAGCTATGGTGTGCTCAGGTTTCCATTTGGATACCGAATTACTTTTCTTTTCTTTTTTCTTGGTTTTATAAACATTTCATGTACTGATATTTGTTGTTAATTTATCTTGAAATATGTTGAACAGACAGACCTTTTAAATTAATTCATTCAAGATATATATTGAGTACCTTTTCTGTACCAAGTACTGTGCTAGGTCATAGGTATGAAACGGTGAAAAAGATAGATATAATCCTTGCCCACAAAATGCCTAAGTGGGTTTTAACTCAGATTGCACATTAAAATATTATTATAATAAATAATAAGAGAACATTAAAAAGAGATTCTGATTTCATTGGAATGGGATGGGGACATCAGTATCAGTATTTAAAAAGCTACCCAAGTTCTAATAAGTAGCCAGGTTTGAAATCTGAAGTTTAGCAGGTATTGACATTTTTTTTAATGTTACTGTTGACAAGGCACTGTACTAAGCACCTTGCGTGTAGAGCTTACTCTATCCTTAGAGTGTCTGGTGGGGTGGATATTACAATGCCTCCTTTACTGATGACTGGTTAGTTTACTTTTGTAAAGCAAATAGAGTTTACAAGAGAGACAGGATTCTAACACAGATCTGTTTTAACCATTGTGCTGCAACGGCTTTGAAATACAGTTTGTGTGAAATAGCCACAAATAATTAAAGTAAAAGTTAATGCAATAAGAGCTTATCAGAAACCAGATAAAATATTTCTGAAAAAATGATATAAATCAATGGAGAAATATGAAGTGATATTGATTTATAAAATCTATCAATCGATTTATAAATTTATAAAATCCTAAAATCTGTTTTGTTCATTTTTCAGGAATTTTACATACTTTAGAGGCTTAAATTTTCATGTGCAAATTCCTTTCTTCCTTCCTTTTTCTTTCTCTCAATAGTGAACCTATACTGGAGAAAACTGATGAGTCTATGGTAGATGTTGAGTGACTGTGTGTATGTGTGTATACTCATTTACTTGTCAGATTTAGTCATTGAAAAGCTTCTCCACTCAACTTTGATTTGAGAAACTTTTAGGTCACCATATAAATTCTCAGGCTGAAATTTGTAAGTGTGCTAACTCAAGTTTAATATTACCTAGCCTGATGATTTCAGGCAAGAATATTAAGGGTTAAAATTCCCTTTCTTATATACTCCTGTGTTGAGGAATTAAGAATGTACAGTCTTTTTCAATACCAAACTAGCCTTAAACCAAATGCAAAACATCAAAGTGCTCTGAAAAGTGAAGGCTAAATTCTTTTCAAAGAGGTGTTTGTGGGGCAGACAACGTAAGCCACGATCATTCTTTGTTCTCAGTAACCTGCCCCATCTGTTGAATAGGATATGTTACTGGTACAGGAGGAGATAAATGGACATATGCTTAAATGCTTACACTGAGCCAGAATAGAATTTTCAGCCATATTCTTGTCACTAAGCCTGCCACACCAACATTTGTAGACAAGAGTGTCAAATTTACATCAAGCTGTTGTCATCCAAGATAGAATTGTATATTTCAAAACACTGGACAAATGTTTTTCCATCAGCTGCTGGCTAAACATTTTGTTCCTATATACATCTATGCATAAACATGTACACACACCAGGATTCACAGGCAAGGCAAACTACATTGCAGATCTCTGGTTACTGTGACCATCATAGACAGATTCTGTAGAAAAGTAGTAATTTTAAATTCAATAAATTGATTCAAATTATAATATCATCTGTTTCCACCTTTCCTTTCATGGAGTGGAAGATAATCAGTAATTAGTTGTACCTTCTTTCTTAAGTCATACAACTTTATTTGACGTCAACAGAGGCATGCTTCTTAAGAGAATTATCTTCCTTTTACACTTTCAGCAAAAACTGTATCTAATTTTTATTGTCTATTTCGTAGGACAATGTGGTTGTTTTTCTTCTCTATTCTTTTTAATGATGATAGTGTTTGATGGGGATGGGAGGAATAGCTGTGGAAAAGTTTACCAGCAGAAATCGACATTGAAATCTTTCTACTCCAATTTCTTTCACACTGGGAAATGCTGTAATAGCAAGTTTTATCCTGGACAAATAGAAGCAGCCACATGTTTCTGAAGAATCTTTTTAAGGAGCCATGTATGTTTCTAGTACTGTGTGCACTCATGGTTGAAGTTTTCATGAGGATTCTCTGGAAACAGTAGTGGTTCCTCTTTTAACATTTGTTTTAGTGGATTGGTTCATAGCATTTTCCAAACTGCAGTCTATTCTCCACCATTGACTTTTTTCCTTTCTATATGCCTAAGTCTATATCATAAACATTTCTTTGATAGCTGGGCATACCCTGATTTCATTAATAGCTTCTAGAACTTTTGCAATACCAAGACAAAAATAAGAACCTAGAAAATACCTGGCAAAAAATGAACCATCAGTATGTTAAAAACCAATTAAGTCAGTAAATTGAGGAAAGAAATAGATGTGAAAGGTACTTCTGGCCTGTAGTGTCACCTTTCATCAGTAAGTGCCACTACCAAACACATGATAGTACTCTTGCCTCTAACTTTTTTGATTCTGAAGTTCACATAACTTTAATTTTCCCAACTTAATTCTGAAAGTTGATAATTAAGCTTACTGAACATGCTTTATGTTTAGGGATGCTTGAACCGGACCCTCAGATAAAGGGAGAGCATCTTTTTAGTCCTATGTTGTACAGGCACTTGCTCCATCTTCATCCATCAACATCATCAATACCCCAGTTGCTGATTTTGTCATTGCTATACTTACTGAGCCACTGATATGTCCTAGACATAAGCACTTAAAATATTTCATTTAATCCTCACCACAAGCTTATTAGGTGCATATTACTATTTTTATTCTATACATGAGAAAGTGGAGCCTTTATAAAGATTAAGTCATAGGTCACCAGAAAACATCTAATAAATGACAAAGCTGGAATATGAACAACATCAAAACATTCCCATGGCCAAATAGATGCATCAAAGAAGCAAAGTCAAGATGGCTGGTCAAAATCACACTATCAAGCTGTCGTCATCTCCATGAGATGTGAGCTGTGGGCAGGTGTTTTCTAGAAGTGCAAGGAAAACGTTTCTGTGATGCTGACTAATTTAAAGTTACTATATTTGTTATTCAAAAATGAGTTTTAGGGTGAATTTGAATAAGTTCCTTGAAAAAGCTCAGTGAAAACTCTGAAAGATAAAAGTGCTTTTTCTGTGGATGTTTTTGTAAACTAGAGCAAACATTTAATACCCTAAATCCTTCTAATGCTACAGAATTATTCATAACAGAGTTAAAAGGAATGACTTATGCCTGTAATAGTCAAAGCAAACCTGGATATGCATGGAAATCTAATGGTGTTCTTATTTCAAATGTTAGACTGGAAATTAATTTCATCAAATATTACACTTTGGCCAAATACCATGTAACTTCACATTTACTAATGTATAAACTTGATGAATTAACTTGAAATTGACACTATTTCAAACTCTTTTATGACTGTTTCTTTTTCCTATTATCTTTGTCTATCAGTTGGCATTGGCTACTTTCTAAGGACTTCAATTTGCTTTCCAAAATAGTTCAACTTTTAAAGTTAAGCACAGTGATTTCTCTTGCATTTTTGCATTCCTATATATAGTGAAGTAGAAGAAAACACTATAAGGAAAATACCTTGCAAAAATGTATTTTAAACATTGTATATTACTACATATTTATTTCTTTAAACATTGTTATATGTTATATATGTGTTATATATATGTATATCTATACATATAACATACAAATGTGTGTTGGTACATACACATTTATATGTATGTACACATACACACAAAAGTATATGTGTAACATATATACCCAAATGTATAACATATATATGTATGTTGTATACATATATGTATGTATATACATATATGCATATTATATATATTTGTTTGTATAATGTATATGTGATATATAGTTCTTTAAACATTGTTATAGTAACATTTCTTTAAACATTGTTATATGTTTAAATATATTTAATATATAAATTAAACATAATATATTTAATATATTAAATGTATTTAAACATTGCTATATGTTACTATAACAATGATTAAAGAAATATGTACCAAGCTATTAACAGTATTTGTCTCAGAGTAGCATAACTTACTTTTTCTAGTATTTGCTTACTGGTATTTTAAATTTTTCTACAATGAATTTAAATTATCTTGAGAACAAAGAAAACTCACTCCATAAAGATCTTTGGGAATAACTGGATTAAAAAGGAAGTAAAGAATTGGATGGGGAGATAAATTAGAGCTAAAGCAGGCTTAGAACAAGAGTAGATTTGGCTCCCAAAGCCTACATATGTGTCCTTTCAGCTTGAATTTACAGCCTCTATCTAAGGGAAACACTCATCAGCCTTTTTTCCATTTCTTGTCTCCTAACTCTGCCGGAAGTACCCACTTCTTGCTATAGAGGTGAAAATTCCAGTGCTTGTTTTCCCTGCCTCCTTGCAGTTTGAGTTTGGCCATGTGAACTCTCCTTGTTAGTGGTCCCTGAGGGGATCTTCTGGGAATGTTCTCAGGGAGGGACTTCTGGGAAAGATTTTCCTCCTGATAAAAAGAGATGGGTGAGAAAAAAATGTTATTTTTTTTTGGCCTTTGGATGTGGCTGTGATGTTGTGGTCTTCTTGAACCACGAGGGAACAAGCTTGACATCAAAAGCCAGCCAACTGGCTGAGATTGGTAGACCAGGAAAATTAACAAACAAAAAAACAAACAAACAAACAAACAAACAAACAAACATACATACTTGTGTCCTTGATAATGTCATCAAGCTACTGCAGCAATGCTTGAATTTCTCTGGGCAGAACGCAGTGCTAAAACATACAGTTGAGGCCATGGTGGTTGGGGTGAAGGGAGGGTTCAGAAATAGGCATAGGGGAAATGAAGATTTCTCTAAGCTATGCTAAATAGAGCACATTGAAAGGAAGTTACCCAGAGATTTTTCCATTGCAACCATTCAAATTATTTGACATTTTGGAGATCATGGTGAGACACACAGTGGGAGGCCATAAAGAAGTTAAAGAAAGACCAGAATTTAATTAATATAAAACATATTGAAAAAGATTCCCAACTTTCTCTAGCATTACACCTCAAAATTTCAAGTATACTCCTTTATCGCAGGTTGTCAGTATATTTTATCTTCATCGATTGAGAAAATACATGATAACAAAAGATACTGTTAATACGATAATGTTTTTATGCAATTTTTTATGTTCTCAATTACAACAGCACTTCCATTTATTAAAAAATAGTTCAGAGGAGTAAGAGACAAATTGTGTGTGCAGTCTTTGGACAAAGCTTATTGCACATACCCATCTGTGGCTTCTCCATAGACCGTAGGTTGGAAACCCTCATCTTACAGGAATGTCTATAGTCAGTTGTGGATGAGAAAGCAGTATTGTAATGGAGAAAATTGAAACTATTCATTATTTTATGTAAGTAGAGCAATGGGGCTGAATTCTGGTTCCTTAAAAGGAATTCCAAATGAAACTCCTTATTCTTTTTAAAAATTATTTTACTTTAAGTTCTGGGATACATGTGCAGAACATACAGGTTTGTTACATATGTATACATGTGCCATGGTGGTTTGCTGCACCCATCAACCCATCATCTACATTAGGTATTTCTCCTAATGCTATCCCTCCCCTTGCCTCCCAGCCCCCAACAGGCCTTGGTATGTGATGTTCCCCTCCCTGTGCCCATACATTCTCATTGTCCAACTCCCACTTATGAGTGAGAATATGCAGTGTTTGGTATTCTGTTCCTTTGTGAGTTTGCTAAGAATAATGGTTTCCAGCTTCCTCCATGTCCCTGCAAAGGACATGAACTCATTCTTTTTCATGGCTGCATAGTATTCCATGGTGTATATGTGCCATATTTTCTTTATCCAGTCTAACATTGATGACCATTTGGGTTGGTTCCAAGTCTTTGCTGTTGTGAAAAGTGCTGCAATAAACATACGTGTGCATGTGTCTTTATAATAAAATGATTTATGATCCTTTGGGTATATACCCAGTAATGTGATAGCTGGGTCAAATGGCATTTCTAGTTCTAGATTCTTGAGGATTCGGCAAACTGTCTTCCACAATGGTTGAACTAATTTACACTCCCACCAGCAGTGTAAAAGCATTCCTATTTCTCCACATCCTTACCAGCATCTGTTGTTTCCTGACTTTTTAATGAATGCCATTCTAACTGGTGTGAGATGGTATCTCATTGTGGTTTTGATTTGCATTTCTCTAATAACCAGTGATGATGAACATTTTTTCCCTATGTTTGTTGACTGCATAAATGTCTTCTTTTGAGAAGTGTCTGTTGATATACTTTGCCCACTTTTTGATAGGATTGTTTGTTTTCTTCTTGCAAATTTGTTTAACTTCCTCATAGATTTTGAATATTAGCCCTTTGTCAGACAGATAGATTGCAAAAATTTTCTCCCATTCTGTAGGTTGCCTGTTCACTCTGATGATAATTTCTTTTCTGTGCAGAAGCTCTTTAGTTTAATTAGATCCCATTTGTCAATTTTGGCTTTTGTTGCCATTGCTTTTGGTGTTTTAGTCATGAAGTCTTTGCCAATGCCTATGTCCTGAACGGTATTGCTTAGGTTTTTTTCTAGGGTTTTTATGATTTTAGGTCTTATGTTTAAATTTTTAATCCATCTTGAGTTAATTTTTGTATAAGATATAAGGAAGAGGTCCAGTTTCAGTTTTCTGTATATGGCTAGCCAGTTTTCCCAACACTATTTATTAAATAGGGAATCCTTTCCCCATTGCTTGTTTTTGTCAGATTTGTCAAAGATCAGATGATTGTAAATGTGTGGTGTTATTTCTGAAGCCTCTTTTCTGTTCCATTGGTCTATATATCTGTTTTGGTACCAGTACCATGCTGTTTTGGTGACTGTAGCCTTGTAGTTTAGTTTGAAGTCAGGTAGTGTGATGTTTGTTCTTTTTGCTTGGGATTGTCTTGAGTGTACAGGCTCTTTTTTGGTTTGATATGAAATTTCAAGTAGTTTTTTCTAATTCTGTGAAGAAAGTTAATGGTAGCTGATAGGAATAGCTTTGAAACTATAAATTACTTTGGGCAGTGTGGTCATTTTTACTATACTGATTCTTCCTATCCATGAGTATGGAATGTTTTTCCATTTGTTTGTGTCCTCTCTTATTTCCTTAAGTAGTGGCTTGTAGTTCTCCTTAAAGAGATCCTTCATATCCCTTGTAAGTTTTATTCCTAGGTATTTAATTCTCTTTGTAGCAATAGTGAATGGGAGTTCACTCATGATTTGGCTGTCTGTTTGTCTATTATTGGTGTACAGGAATGCTTGTGATTTTTGCACATTGATTTTGTATCCTGAGATTTGCTGAAGTTGTTTATAAGCTTAAGGAGATTTTGGTCTGAGATGATGGGGTTTTCTACATATACAATCATGTCATCTGCAAAGAGAGATAATTTGTCTTCCTCTTTTTCTATTTGAATATGCTTTATTTCTTTGTCTTGCCTGATTGCCCTGGCCAGAACTTCCAATACTATGTTGAATAGTTTTCATGTTGTGCTGTTTTGTGCTATGTTGTGCTAGTTTTCAAAAGGAATGTGTCCAACTTTTGCCCATTCAGTATGATATTGGCTGTGGGTTTGTCATAAATAGCTCTTATTATTTTGAGATACGTTCCATCAATACCTGATTTATTGAGAATTTTTAATCTGAAGTGGTGTTGAGTTTTATTGCAGGTGTTTTCTGCATCTATTGAGATAATCATGTGGTTTTTGTCATTGGCTCTGTTTATGTGATGGATTATGTTTATTGATTTGTGTATGTTGAACCAGCCCTGCATCCCAGGGATGAAACCGACTTGATTGTGGTGGATAAGTTTTTGATGTGCTGCTGGATTTGGTTTGCCAGTATTTTACTGAGGATTTTCGCATCAATGTTCATCAGGGAGATTGGCCTGAAATTTTCCTTTTTTGTGTGTGTCTCTGCCAGGTTTTGGTAGCAAGATGATGCTGGCCTCATAAAATGAGTTAGGGAGGACTCCTTCTTCTTCTATTGTTTGAAATAGTTTCAGAAGGAATGGTACCAGCTCCTCTTTGTACCTCTGGTAAAATTTGGCTGTGAATCATCTGGCTCTGGGGTTTTCTTGGTTGGTAGGCTATTAATTACTGCTTCAGTTTCAGAACTTGTTATTGGTGTATTCAGGGATTCGGCTTCTTCCTGTTTTCGTCTTTGGAGGGTATATGTGTCCAGGAATTTATCCATTTCTTCTAGATTTTCTAGTTTATTTGTGTAGAGGTGTTTATATTATTCTCTGATGGTAGTTGGTATTTTTGTGGGATCAGTGGTGATATCCCCTTTATCATATTTTATTCTGTCAACTTGATTCTTCTCTCTTTTCTTCTTTATTATTCTGGCTAGCAGTTGATCTATTTTCTGAATCTTTTCCAAAAACCAGCTCCTGGATTCATTGATTTTTTGAGGCGTTTTTTGTGTCTCTATCTCCTTCAGTTCTGCTCTGATGTTAGTTATTTCCTGTCCTTTGATAGCTTTTGAATTTGTTTGCACTTTCCTCTCTAGTTCTTTTAATTGTGATGTTAGGGTGTCAATTTTAGATCTTTCCCACTTTCTCCTGTGGACATATAGTGCTATAAATTTCTCTCTAAACACTGCTTTAGCTATGTCCCAGAGATTCTTATACATTGTATCTTTGTTCTCATTGGTTTCAAAGAACTTATTTATTTCCGTCTTAATTTCATTATTTACCCCAGTAGCCATTCTGAAGCAGTTTGTTCAGTTTCCATGCAGTTGTGCAGTTTTGAGTCAGTTTCTTAATTCTGAGTTCTAATTTGATTGCATTGTGGTCTGGGAGACTGTTTATTTATGATTTCTGTTATTTTGCATTTGCTAAGGAGTGTCTTACTTCCAATTATGTGGTCAATTTTAGAATAAGTGCTATGTGGTGCTGAGAAGAATGTATATTCTGTTCTTCCTGCTTTCGTCTTTGGAGGGTATATGTGTCCAGGAATTTATCCATTTCTTCCAGATTTTCTAGTTTGTTTGTGTAGAGGTGTTTATATTATTCTCCGAAGGTAGTTGGTATTTTTGTGGGATCAGTGGTGACGTCCCCTTTATCATTTTTTATTCTGTCTATTTGATTCTTCTCTCTTTTCTTCTTTATTATTCTGGCTAGCAGTCGTTCTATTGGGGTGGAGAGTTCTGTAGATGTCTATTAGGTCCACTTTGTCCAGAGCTGAGTTCAAGTCTTGAATATTCTTGCTAATTTTCTGTCTCATCGATCTGTCTAATATTGATAGCGGTGTGTTAAAGTCTCCTACTATTTTTGTGTGGGAGTCTTAAGTCTCTTTGTAGGTCTCTAAGAACTTGCTTTATGAATCTGGGTGTTCCTGTATTGGGTGCATATATATTTAGGACAGTTAGCTCTTATTGTTGCATTGATCCCTTTACCATTATGTAATCCCCTTCTTTGTCTTTTTTGATCTTTGTTGATTTAAAGTCTGTTTTATCTGAGACTAAGATTGCAACCCCTGCTTTTTATTGCTTCCCATTTGCTTGGTAAATCTTCTTGTATCCCTTTATTTTGAGACTATGTGTGTCTTTGCATGTGAGATAGGTCTCCTGAATACAGCACATGGATGGGTCTTGACTCTTTATCTAATTTGCCAGTCTGTGCCTTCCAATTGGGGCATTTAGCCTGTTTACATTTAAGTTTAATATTGTTATGTGTGAATTTGATCCCATCATTATGACGCTAGCTGGTTATTTTGCCCATCGGTTGATGCTGTTTCTTCATAGTGTCGATGGTGTTTCCATTTTGGTTTGTTTTTGCAGTGGCTGGTACTGGTTTTTCCTTTCCATATTTAGTGCTTCCTTCAGGAGCTTTTGTAAGATAGGCCTGGTGGTGGAGGAGGAGCCAAGATGGCCGAATAGGAACAGCTCCGGTCTACAGCTCCCAGCGTGAGCAACGCAGAAGAGGGGTGATTTCTGCATTAACATCTGAGGTACCGGGTTCATCTCACTAGGGAGTGCCAGACAGTGGGCGCAAGCCAGTGGGTGCGTGCACCGTGCACGAGCCAAAGCAGGGCGAGGCATTGCCTCACTTGGGAAGTGCAAGGGGTCAGGGAGTTCCCTTTCCGAGTCAAAGAAAGGGGTGATGGACGCACCTGGAAAATTGGGTCACTCCCACCCGAATATTGCGCTTTTCATACCGGCTTAAAAAACGGCGCACCACGAGACTATATCCCACACCTGGCTCGGAGGGTCCTACGCCCACGGAATCTCGCTGATTGCTAGCACAGCAGTCTGAGATCAAACTGCAAGACGGCAGCGAGGCTGGGGGAGGGGCGCCCGCCATTGCCCAGGCTTGCTTAGGTAAACAAAGCAGCCAGGAAGCTCCAACTGGGTGGAGCCCACCACAGCTCAAGGAGGCCTGCCTGCCACGTAGGCTCCACCTCTGGGGGCAGGGCACAGACAAACAAAAAGACAGCAGTAACCTCTGCAGACTTAAGTGTCCCTGTCTGACAGCTTTGAAGAGAGCAGTGGTTCTCCCAGCACGCAGCTGGAGATCTGAGAACCGGCAGACTGCCTCCTCAAGTGGGTCCCTGAACCCTGACCCCCGAGCAGCCTAACTGGGACGCACCCCCCAGCAGGGGCACACTGACACCTCACATGGCAGGGTATTCCAACAGACCTGCAGCTGAGGGTCCTGTCTGTTAGAAGGAAAACTAACAAACAGAAAGGACTTCCACACCGAAAACCCGTCTGTACATCACCATCATCAAAGACCAAAAGTAGATAAAACCACAAAGATGAGGAAAAAACAGAACAGAAAAACTGGAAACTCTAAAATGCAGAGCGTCTCTCCTCCTCCAAAGGAACGCAGTTCCTCACCAGCAACGGAACAAAGCTGGATGGAGAATGACTTTGACGAGCTGAGAGAAGAAGGCTTCAGACGATCAAATTACTCTACGCTACGGGAGGACATTCAAACCAAAGGCAAAGAAGTTGAAAACTTTGAAAAAAATTTAGAAGAATGTATAACTAGAATAAGCAATACAGAGAAGTGCTTAAAGGAGCTGATGGAGCTGAAAACCAAGGCTCGAGAACTACGTGAAGAATGCAGAAGCCTCAGGAGCCAATGCAATCAACTGGAAGAAAGGGTATCAGCAATGGAAGATGAAATGAATGAAATGAAGCAAGAAGGGAAGTTTAGAGAAAAAAGAATAAAAAGAAATGAGCAAAGCCTCCAAGAAATATGGGACTATGTGAAAAGACCAAATCTATGTCTCATTGGTGTACCTGAAAGTGATGGGGAGAATGGAACCAAGTTGGAAAACACTCTGCAGGATATTATCCAGGAGAACTTCCCCAATCTAGCAAGGCAGGCCTACGTTCAGATTCAGGAAATACAGAGAATGCCACAAAGATACTCCTCAAGAAGACCAACTCCAAGACACATAATTGTCAGATTCACCAAAGTTGAAATGAAGGAAAAAATGATAAGGGCAGCCAGAGAGAAAGGTCGGGTTACCCTCAAAGGGAAGCCCATCAGACTAACAGCAGATCTCTCAGCAGAAACCCTACAAGCCAGAAGAGAGTGGGGGCCAATATTCAACATTCTTAAAGAAAAGAATTTTCAACCCAGAATTTCATATCCAGCCAAACTAAGCTTCATAAGCGAAGGAGAAATAAAATCCTTTACAGACAAGCAAATGCTGAGAGATTTTGTCACCACCAGGCCTGCCCTAAAAGAGCTCCTGAAGGAAGCGCTAAACATGGAAAGGAACAACCGGTACCAGCCACTGCAAAATCATGCCCAAATGTAAAGACCATCGAGACTAGGAAGAAACTGCATCAACTAACGAGCAAAATAACCAGCTAACATCATAATGACAGGATCAAATTCACACATAACAATATTAACTTTAAATGTAAATGGACTAAATTCTCCAATTAAAAGACACAGACTGGCAAATTGGATAAAGAGTCAAGACCCATCAGTGTGCTGTATTCAGGAAACCCATCTCACGTGCAGAGACTCACATAGGCTCAAAATAAAAGGATGGAGGAAGATCTTCCAAGCAAATGGAAAACAAAAAAAGGCAGGGGTTGCAATCCTAGTCTCTGATAAAACACACTTTAAACCAACAAAGATCAAAAGAGACAAAGAAGGCCATTACATAATGGTAAAGGGATCAATTCAACAAGAAGAGCTAACTATCCTAAATATATATGCACCCAATACAGGAGCACCCAGATTCATAAAGCAAGTCCTGAGTGACCTACAAAGAGACTTAGACTCCCACACATTAATAATGGGAGACTTTAACACCCCACTGTCAACATTAGACAGATCAACGAGACAGAAAGTCAACAAGGATACCCAGGAATTGAACTCAGCTCTGCACCAAGCGGACCTAATAGACATCTACAGAACTCTCCACCCCAAATCAACAGAATATACATTTTTTTCAGCATTACACCACACCTATTCCAAAATTGACCAATAGTTGGAAGTAAAGCTCTCCTCAGCAAATGTAAAAGAACAGAAATTATAACAAACTATCTCTCAGACCACAGTGCAATCAAACTAGAACTCAGGATTAAGAATCTCACTCAAAGCTGCTCAACTACATGGAAACTGAATAACCTGCTCCTGAATGACTACTGGGTACATAACGAAATGAAGGCAGAAATAAAGATGTTCTCTGAAACCAACGAGAACAAAGACACAACACACCAGAATCTCTGGGACGCATTCAAAGCAGTGTGTAGAGGGAAATTTATAGCACTAAATGCCCACAAGAGAAAGCAGGAAAGATCCAAAATTGACACCCTAACATCACAATTAAAAGAACTAGAAAAGCAAGAGCAAACACATTCAAAAGCTAGCAGAAGGCAAGAAATAACTAAAATCAGAGCAGAACTGAAGGAAATAGAGACACAAAAAACCCTTCAGAAAATTAATGAATCCAGGAGCTGGTTTTTTGAAAGGATCAACAAAATTGATAGACCGCTAGCAAGACTAATAATGAAAAAGGAGAGAAGAATCAAATAGATGCAATAAAAAATGATAAAGGGGATATCACCACTCATCCCACAGAAATAGAAACTACCATCAGAGAATACTACAAACACCTCTATGCAAATAAACTAGAAAATCTAGAAGAAATGGATAAATTCCTGGACACATACACTCTCCCAAGACTAAACCAGGAAGAAGTTGAATCTCTGAATAGAACAATAACAGGAGCTGAAATTGTGGCAATAATCAATAGTTTACCAACAAAAAAGAGTCCAGGACCAGATGGATTCACAGCCGAATTCTACCAGAGGTACAAGGAGGAGCTGGTACCATTCCTTCTGAAACTATTCCAATCAATAGAAAAGGAGGGAATCCTCCCTAACTCATTTTATGAGGCCAGCATCTTTCTGATATCAAAGCTGGGCAGAGACACAACCAAAAAAGAGAATTTTAGACCAATATTCTTGATGAACATTGATCCAAAAATCCTCAATAAAATACTGGCAAACCAAATCCATCAGCACATCAAAAAGCTTATCCACCATGATCAAGTGGGCTTCATCCCTGGGATGCAAGGCTGGTTCAATATACACAAATCAATAAATGTAATCCAGCATATAAACAGAGCCAAAGACAAAAACCACATGATTATCTCAATAGATGCAGAAAAAGCCTTTGACAAAATTCAACAACCCTTCATGCTAAAAACTCTCAATAAAATAAGTATTGATGGGACGTATTTCAAAATAATAAGAGCTATCTATGACAAACCCACAGCCAATATCATACTGAATGGGCAAAAACTGGAAGCATTCCCTTTGAAAACTGGCACAAGACAGGGATGCCCTCTCTCACCACTCCTATTCAACATAGTGTTGGAAGTTCTGGCCAGGGCAATTAGGCAGGAGAAGGAAATAAAGGGTATTCAATTAGGAAAAGAGGAAGTCAAATTGTCCCTGTTTGCAGACGACATGATTGTATATCTAGAAAACCCCATTGTCTCAGCCCAAAATCTCCTTAAGCTCATAAGCAACTTTAGCAAAGTCTCCGGATACAAAATCAATGTACAAAAATCACAAGCATTCTTATACACCAACAACAGACAAACAGAGAGCCAAATCATGAGTGAACTCCCATTCACAATTGCTTCAGAGAGAATAAAATACCTAGGAATCCAACTTACAAGGGATGTGAAGGACCTCTTCAAGGAGAACTACAAACCACTGCTCAAGGAAATAAAAGAGGATACAAACAAATGGAACAACATTCCATGCTCATGGGTAGGAAGAATCAATATTGTGAAAATGGCCATACTGCCCAAGGTAATTTACAGATTCAATGCCATCCCCATCAAGCTACCAATGCCTTTCTTCACAGAATTGGAAAAAACTACTTTAAAGTTCATATGGAACCAAAAAAGAGCCCATATCGCCAAGTCAATCCTAAGCCAAAAGAACAAAGCTGGAGGCATCACACTAGCTGACTTCAAACTATACTACAAGGCTACAGTAACCAAAACAGCATGGTACTCGTACCAAAACAGAGATATAGATCAATGGAACAGAACAGAGCCCTCAGAAATAACGCCACATACCTACAACTATCTGATCTTTGACAAACCTGAGAAAAACAAGCAATGAGGAAAGGATTCCCTATTTAATAAATGGTGCTGGGAAAACTGGCTAGCCATATGTAGAAAGCTGAAACTGGATCCCTTCCTTACACCTTATACAAAAATCAATTCAAGATGGATTAAAGATTTAAATGTTAGACCTAAAACAATAAAAACCGTAGAAGAAAACCTAGGCTTTACCATTCAGGACATAGGCATGGGCAAGGACTTCATGTCCAAAACACCAAAAGCAGTGGCAACAAAAGACAAAATTGACAAATGGGATCTAATTAAACTAAAGAGCTTCTGCACATCAAAAGAAACTACCATCAGAGTGAACAGGCAACCTACAAAATGGGAGAAAATTTTCGCAACCTACTCATCTGACAAAGGGCTAATATCCAGAATCTACAATGAACTCACACAAATTTACAAGAAAAAAACAAACAACCCCATCAAAAAGTGGGTGAAGGACATGAACAGACACTTCTCAAAAGAAGACATTTATGCAGCCAAAAAACACATGAAAAAATGCTCATCATCACTGGCCATCAGAGAAATGCAAATCAAAACCACAATGAGATACCATCTCACACCAGTTAGAATGGCAATCATTAAAAAGTCAGGAAACAACAGGTGCTGGAGGGGATGTGGAGAAATAGGAACGCTTTTACACTGTTGGTGTGACTGTAAACTAGTTCAACCATTGTGGAAGTCAGTGTGGCGATTCCTCAGGGATCTAGAACTAGAAACACCATTTGACCCAGCCATCCCATTACTGGGTATATACCCAAATGACTATAAATCATGCTACTATAAAGACACATGCACATGTATGTTTATTGCAGCATTATTCACTATAGCAAAGACTTGGAACCAACCCAAATGTCCAACAATGATAGACTGGATTAAGAAAATGTGGCACATATATGCCATGGAATACTATGCAGCCATAAAAAATGATGAGTTCATGTCCTTTGTAGGGACATGGATGAAATTGGAAATCATCATTCTCAGTAAACTATCGCAAGAACAAAAAACCAAACACCGCATATTCTCACTCATAGGTGGGAATTGAACAATGAGATCACATGGACACAGGAAGGGGAATATCACACTCTGGGGACTGTGGTGGGGTGGGGGGAGGGGGGAGGGATAGCATTGGGAGATATACCTAATGCTAGATGACGAGTTAGTGGGTGCTGCACACCAGCATGGCACATGTATACATATGTAACTAACCTGCACAATGTGCACATGTACCCTAAAACTTAAAGTATAAAAAAGAAAAAAAAGATAGGCCTGGTGGTGACAAAATCCCTCAGCCTTTGCTTCCCTATAAAGAATTTTCTTTCTTTTTCACTTATGAAGGTTAGTTTGGCTGGATATGAAATTCTGGGTTGAAAATTCTTTTTTTAAAGAATGTTGAATATTGGCCCCCTACTCTTTTCTGGCTTGTAGGATTTCTGAAGAGAGATCCACTGTTAGTCTGATGGGCTTCCCTTTGTGGGTAACCCAACCTTTCTCTCTGGCTTCCCTTAACATTTTTTCCTTCATTTCAACCTTGGTGAATCTGACAATTATGTGTCTTGGGGTTGCTCTTCATGAGGAGTATCTTTGTGGTGTTCTCTGTATTTCCTGAATTTGAATGTTGGCCTGTTTTGCTAGGTTAGGGAAGCTCTCCTGGATAATATTCTTAAATGTGTTTTCCAACTTGCTTCCATTCTCCCTGTCACTTTGAGATACATCAATCAAATGTAGGTTTGGTCTTTTCACATAGTCCTATATTTCTAGGAGGCTTTGTTTAATCCTTTTCATTCTTTTTTCTCTAATCTTGTCTTCATGCTTTATTTCATTAAGTTGATCTTCAATCTCTGATATCCCTTCTTCCACTTGATTGATTTGGCTGTTCATATTTGTGTGTGCTTCACAAAGTTCTTGTGCTGTGTTTTCCAGCTCCAACAGTTGATTTATGTTCCTCTCTAAACTCATTATTCTAGTTAGCAGTTCCTGTAACCTTTTATGAAGGTTTTTAGCCTCCTTGTATCTGGTGAGAACATGCTCCTTTAGCTCAGAGTAGTTTGTTATTACCCACTTTCTGAAGGCTACTTCTGTCAATTTGTCAAACTCATTCTCCATCCAGTTTTGTTCTCTTGCTGGCGAGTGGTTGTGTTCCTTTGGAGGAGAAGAGGCATTCTGGTTTTTGGAATTTTCAGCATTTTTGAGCTGGTTTTTCCACATCTTCGTGGATTTATCTACCTTTGGTCTTTGATGTTGGTGATCTTCGGATGGAGTTTTTACATGGTCATCCTTTTTATTATGTTGATGCTATTCCTTTCTGTTTGTTAGTTTTTCTTCTAACAGGCTCCTCTGTTTCAGGTCTGCTGGATTTTGCTGGGGGTCCACTCCAGAAGCTGTTTTCCTGGGTATCACCAGCAGAGGCTGCAGAACAGCAAAGATGGCTGCCTGTTCCTTCCTCTGGAAGCTTCATCCCAGAGGAGCACCCGCCAGATGCCAGTGGAATCTCTCCTGCGTGAGGTGTCTGTCAACCCTTGGAAGCACCGGGGTCAGGGACCCATTTGAGGAGGAATCTAGAGAGGCAGTCTGTCTACAGCGGTTTTGTCAAAACTCCTTATTGTTTAACTAAGAAAAAAAAATCCCCCAAACAGTTTCTGACTTTTGTTTCCTTGGTTCATCTTCCTCTCATTGTATCACAGGGCTACTTGATTGTATTTCAGTATTCAATTTATATATTTCATATTCTGCTGAATGCATAGAATATAAATTAAAAATTCTTTTTCTCAAGCAAGTCAATTCCTATGTTGTCTATCTAATATAGGATTTATTTACCTCAGCACTACTGACATTTTGGGTTGGACAATTATTTGTTGTGGGGGAGCTGTCCTGTGCCTTGTAGGGTATTTTGCAGCATCTCTGACCTCTACCTGCTAGATGCCAGTAGCACACCCCATATGTGACAACCAAAAATGTCTCCAGACATTTCCAAGTATGCTCTCGCGGGCAACCTTTGATTAGGCTGTCAAACTCCCTGTAATAATTTTCTAGTTCCTTAAACAAAGAATATTTGTACAACATATTGAGACATGCATAAATGGTACATAGTAATAATAATAGTCAATATTTATTGAATGCATACTCTATGTCAGACATCGTGCTAAGTACATTAAAACCATTATTTTGTGTAATTCTTATATCAAAACTATGAAATAAGCTATTAATATATTATAACCCTCTCTGATCTTCCCTACCATTCTTTACCAGAACACAGAGAGTGTAAGCAACTTGATGTAACGAATATGATGAAGGCAGGTTTTCAATTCAGGCAAATGGACTACAGAATAATGCTCTTACTACCTATGACATAAGGTGTCCCTGATAACGTATGGCCTAAGGGGTAATATAGCCTAAGTAAAAGGAGCAGTGCCTGGATGTACTTAAATTAAATTTATTTTTTCCCTCCTGTTTTCACACAGAAGGACATATATTAGCTACAGTCTACCTCCTCACTTATTCCCATCTGTTGGGTATTTGGGATGAGAACTAGGGATGCCCAGCTCTGCCCCATTTTCTCTTTTTTCTCTTTGAAGTCTAGCCACCCACAGAAAGTATCACTCTTTCCCCTTTGAACCTCCTGCCATAAATTGTCTAGGGGCAATTACAGGACTTTGAGTGGACCAGCACAGCCTTTGGCTGGTGGTGCTCTGTTTAATCTGGGGTTTGTTTTTAGGAAGCCCCTTATTATTACACATCTGGGGCACTGTATAAGTCTGTTCTTATGTTGCTATAAAGAACTACCAGAGGGCCAGACTCAGTGGCTCACACCTATAATCCCAGCACTTTGGGAGGCCAAGGCGGGTGGATCACCTGGGGTCAGGAATTTGAGACCAGCCTGGTTAACATGGCAAAACCTCATCTCTACTAAAAAAATACAAAAATTAGCTGGGCATGGTGGTGCATGCCTGTAATCCCAGATACTCAGGAGGCTGAGGCAGGAGAATTGCTTGAACCTAGGAGCTGGAGGTTGCAGGGAGACAAGATCACGCCACTGCACTCCAGCCTTGGTCAAACATCAACAACAAAACTACCAGAGACTGGGTAATTTATAAAGAAAAGAAGTTTAATTGGCTCACAGTTCCACAGGCTATATAGGAAGCATGGCTGGGGAGGCCTCAGAAAACTTAAAATCATGGTGAAAGATGAATATGAAGGAGGCACGTCTTACATGGCCAGAGCAGGAGGAAGAGAGAAAAGGGGGAGGTGCTACACAGTTTTAAAACAACCAGATCTCATGAGAACTCATTCACAGTCATGAAAACAGCAAGGGAGAAGTCCACCCCATGATCCAATCACCTCCCACCAGGCCCCTCCTCCAACATTGGAGAATACAATTCATTCGACATGAGCTTTGGCTGGGCACACCAATCCAAACCATTATCAGGCACATTTTCTCCTCTCAGCTTTATCAGCCATAAAGGTGATATCTTGCTCTGTGCCATATTCCTTGACTCTTCTAATTTGTTCAGAACTCAGCAGGAGAAGTTGGGTATATTAGTTTTCTATTGCTTCTGTAACCAGTTACCAGCAACTTAGTGGCTTAAAATAATATGAATTTGTTATGTTACAATTCTAGAGGTCAGAAAGCAAAATGGGTCTTACGGGGCTGAAATCAGGTGATTGCTGGCTATATTCCCTCTGGAGGCTCTGGGGGAGGAGAGACTCCTTTTCCTGGTCTTTTCCAGCTTCTGGAGGCTGCCCACATTCTTCTAGAGGCTACTCACATGGCCCCTTTTCTCACTTTCAAGTCCAACTGTGTGGCATCTTCAAATCTCTTGGATTCTGAGATTCTGCCTCTCCTTCCCATCTTTTTAGGACTCCTTTGATTACATTGGGCCCACCTAAATATTCCACAAACATTTACCTAGGTCAAGATGCTTAACAGAGTCCCTTTTGTCATGTAAGGTAAGATACTAACAAGTTTCAGGAATTAGAATATGAATATCTTTTGGGTGGGGGGAGCATTATTCTGCCTTCCAACAAGGGCATTATGAATTGATCACTCCTCAACTCCCTGATTGTAGTTTACTTATTGGAAGTCTGCCACCAAAAAATGGACTCACTCAGATGACTAGTTAGTTTTTTGTTTTTAAATATTTAGATGCAGCCCAGGATTGAGCTAGGCCCAAGGCAAGAGGCCTGACTTCTGTTTCTTTGTCATTAGTTTTGCTTGTAATTGTTCAGCTAAAGGTTCTTACTGCCATGCCATCTGACCAGGTTATATTCACTAAATTATGTAGGAAATTTGCAATGACTCAGGAAAGTCAGCGCTACTTGGTAGAGCTGCCACTTGTATGTGTTGCAAGTTAGATTGTTGACTTTCTTATCTCTTTAATGGCAATTTTTACTTACTTTCTTCTAGGTGCCGTAGACAGGAGTGAGATAAATGAAAAGTGTGTATGTGTATATATATATATATGATATATATGTGTGTATGAGAATATGCATGATTTATTTTATTTTATTTATTTATTTATTTTATTTTTCCATAAGTTATTGGGGTACATGTATTGTTTGGTTACATGAGTAAGTTCTTTAGTGGTGATTTGTAAAATTTTGGTGCATCCATGACCCGAGAAGTATACACTGCACCATATTTGCAGTCTTTTATCCCTCACCCCTGCCACTCTTCCCCCCACGTCCCCAAAGTCCACTGTATCATTCTTATGCCTTTGCATCCTCATAGCTTAGGTCCCATGTATCAGTGAGAACGTAACAATATTTGGTTTTCAATTCCTGAGTTACTTCACTTAGAATGATAATCTCCAATCTCATCCAGGTCACTGCAAATGCTGTTAATTCATTCCTTTTTATGGCTGTATGGCGTTCCATTGCATATATATACCACAGTTCCTTTATCCACTTGTTGATTAATGGACATTTGGGTTGGTTCCATGATTTTGCAATTGTGAATTTTGCTGCTATAAACATACACGTGCAAGTATCTTTTTTGAATAATGACTTCTTTTCCTCTGGGTAGACACCCAGCAGTGGGATTGCTGGATCAAATGGTAGTTCTACTTTTAGTTCTTTAAGGGATCTCCACACTGTTTTCCATAGCGGCTGTACTAGTTTACATTCCCACCAGCAGTGTAGAATGTTCCATGTTCACCACATCCATTCCAACATCTACTGTTTTTTGATTTTTTGATTATAGTAATTCTTGCAGGAGTAAGGTGGTATCACATTGAGGTTTTCATTTGCATTTCCCTAATTATTATTGATGTTGAGGATTTTTTTTGTATGTTTGTTGGCCATTTGTATATCTTCTTTGGAGAATTGTCTATTCATGCCCCTAGCCAACTTTTTGATGGGATTGTTTGCTTTTTTCTTATGGATTTCTTCGAGTTTGCTGTAGATTCTGGATATTAGTCATTTGTCAGACGTATAGATTGTGAAGATTTTCTCCCGCTCTGTGGGTTGTCTGTTTACTCTGCTGACTGTTCCTTTTGCTGTGCCAAAGCTCTTTGATTTAATTAGGTCCCAGGTATTTATTTTTATTGCATTTACTTTTGGGTTCTTTGTCGTGAAATCGTTGCCTAAGCCAATGTTTAGAAGGGCTTTTCCAAAGTTATCTTGTAGAATTTTTACAGTTTCAGTTCTTAGGTTTAAGTCCTTAATCAATCTTGAGTTGATTTTTGTATAAGGTGAAAGGTGAGGATCCAGTTTCATTCTCCTACATGTGACTAGCCAATTATCTCAGCACCATTTTTTGAAAAGGGTGTCCTTTCCCCACTTTATGCTTTTGTTTGCTTTGTCAAAGATCAGCTTGCTGTAAGTATTTGGTATTATTTTTGGGTTCTCTATTCTGTTCCATTGGTCTATGTGCCTATTTCTATACCAGTACTATGCTCTTTTGGTGACTATGGCCTTATAGTATGGTTTGAAATCAGGTAGTGTGATGCCTCCAGATTTATTCTTTTTGCTTAGTCTTGCTTTGGCTCTACTGGCTCTTTTTTGATTCCATATGAATATTAGGATTTTTTTTTTCTAGTTCTGTGAAGAATGATGGTGGTATTTTGATAGGAATTGCATTGAATTTGTAGATTGCTTTTAGCAGTATGGTCATTTTCACAATATTGAGTTTACCCATCCATGAGCATGTGATGTGTTTCCATTTGTTGGTGTCATCTATTATTTCTTTCAGCAGTGTTTTGTAGTTTTCTTTGTAGAAGTCCTTCGACTCCTTGGTTAGGTATATTCCTAAGTATTTTTTTTTTTGTTTTTTGTAGCTATTGTAAAATGGGTTCAGTTCTTGATTTGATTCTCTGCTTGGTTGCTGTTGGTGTACATAGAAGAGCTACTGATTTGTGTATATTAATCTTGTAAGTGGAAACTTTGTCGAATTCTTTTATCAGTTCTAGGAGCTTTCTGGAGGAGTCCTTAGGGTTTTCAAGGTAAATGTTCATATCGTCAGTAAACAGTGAGTTTGACTTCTTTACCAATTTGGATGCCCTTTATTTCTTTCTCTTGTCTGATTGCTCTGGCTAGGACTTCCAGTACTATGCTGAAGAGGAGTGGTGAGAATGGGCATCCTTGTCTTGTTCCAGTTCTCGGAAGGAGTGCTTTCAACTTTTCCCCATTCAGTATTATGTTGGCTGTGGGTTTGTCATAGATGGCTTCTATTACATGAAGGTGTGTCCCTTGGATGCTGATTTTAAAGAGTTTTAATCATAAAGGGATGCTGGATTTTGTCAAATGCTTTCTCTACATCTATTGAGATGATCATGTGATTTTTGTTTTTAATTCTGTTTATGTGCTGTATCATATTTATTGACTTGAGTATGTTAAACCATCCCTGCATCTGTGGTATGAAGCCCACTTAATCATGGTAGATTATCTTTTCGGTATGTTGTTGGATTCAGTTAGCTAGTGGTTTGTTAAGGATTTTAGCATCTATGTTCATCAAGGATATTGGTCTGTAGTTTTCTTTTTTGGTTATGTCCTTTCCTGGTTTTGGTATTAGGGTGATGCTGGCTTCATAGAATGAATTAGGGAGGGTTCCCTCTTTATCTTGTGGAATAGTGTCAAAAGGATTGGTATAAATTCTTTTTGAATGTCTGGTAGAATTCTGCTGTGAATCTGTCTGGCCCTGGACTTTTTTTGTTGGTAATTTCTTAATTACCATTTCAATCTCACTGGTTGTTATTGGTCTGTTCAGGGTATCTAATTCTTCCTGATTTAAGCTAGGAGGGTTGTATTTTTCCAAGAATTTATATATCTCTTCTAGGTTTTCTAGTTTATGTGCATAAAGGTATTCATAGTAGCCTTGAATGATCTTTTGTATTTCAGTGGTGTCAGTTGTAATATCTCCTGTTTCGTTTCTTAGTGAGGATATTTGGATTTTCTCTCTTCTTTTCTTGGGTTAATCTTGCTAATATCAATTTTATTTATCTTTTCAAACAACAAACTTTTTGTTTCACTTATCTTTTGTATTCTTTTTTATTGTTTCAATTTCATTTAGTTCTGCTCTGATCTTGGTTATTTCCTTTCTTCTGCTGGGTTTGGGCTTAGTTTGTTCTTGTTTCTCTAGTTCCTTGAGGTGTGACCTTAGATTGTCTGCTTTTGCTCTTTCAGACTTTTTGATGTAGGTGTTTAGGGCTGTGAACTTTCCTCTTAGCACCATCTTTGCTGTATCCCAGAGGTTTTGATAGGTTGTGTCATTATTGTCATTCAGTTAGAAGAATTTTTTAATTTCCATTTTGATTTCTTTTTTGACCCAATGCTCATTCAGGAGCAGGTTATTTAATTTCCATGTATTTGCATGGTTTTGAAGGTTCCTTTTGGAGTTGATTTCCAGTTTCATTCCACTGTGGTCTGAGAGAGTGCTTGATATAATTTCAATTTTCTTAAATTTATTGAGGCTCATTTTATGGCCCATCATATGGTCTATCTTGGAGAAAATTCTATGCACTGTTGAATAGAATGTGCATTCTGCAGTCATTAGATAAAATGTTTTGTATATATCTGTTAAGTCCATTTGTTCTAAGGTGTTGTTTAAATCCATTGTTTTTTTGTTGACTTTGTGTCTTGATGACCTGTCTAGTGCTGTCAGTGGAGTACTAAAGTCCCCCACTATTATTGTATTGCTGTCTATTTCATTTCTTAGGTCTATTAGTAAGATTTTAAATAAATTTGGGAGCTCCAGTGTTAGGCGCATATATGTTTAGGATTGTGATATTTTCCTGTTGGACAAGGCCTTTTACCATTACATAATGTCCCTCTTTGTCTCTTATAAACACTGTTGCTTTAAAGTTTGTTTTGCCTGATATAATAGCTACCCCTTCTCACTTTTGTTGTCCATTTGTATGAAATGCCTTTTCCCACCTCTTTACTTTAAGTTTATGTGAGTCCTTATGTGTTAGGCAAGTCTCCTGAAGGCAACAGACAGTAGGTTGGTGAGTTCTTATCCATTCTGATGTTCTGTAACTGTTTTTTTTTTTTTTTTTTTTTTTTGAGATGGAGTCTTGCTTTGTCACCCAGGCTGGAGTGCAGTGGCACGATCTCAGCTCACTGCAAGCTCTGCCTCCCAGGTTCATGCCATTCTCCTGCCTCAGCCTCCCAAATAGCTGGGACTACAGGCACCTGCCACCACACCTGGCTAAATTTTCGTATTTTTTTTGTACAGATGGGGTTTCACTGTGTTAGCCAGGATGGTCTCAATCTCCTGACCTTGTGATCCACCTGCCTCAGCCTCCCAGGGTGCTGGGATTACAGGTGTGAGACACTGAGCCTGGCCGATGTTCTGTAACTTTTAAGTGGAGCATTTAGGCTATTTACATTCAATGTTAGTATTGAAATGTGAGGGACTGTTGCATTCATCATGCTCTTTGTTGCCTGCATACTTTGTTTTTTTTTTGTTTTTTAATTTGCATTTTTATTTTATAGGTCCTGTGTGATTTATGCTTTGAAGAGGTTCTGTTTTGAAGTGTTTCAGGATCTGTTTCAAGATTTAGAGCTCCTTTTAGCAGTTCTTGCAGTGGTGGCTTGGTAATGGTGAATTCTTTCAGCATTTGTTTGTCTGAAAATGACTGTATCTTTCCTTCATATATGATGCTTAGATTCACTGGATACAAAATTCTTGGCTAATAATTGTTTTATTTGTGGAGGCTGAAGATAGGGCCCCAATCCCATTTAGCTTGTAAGGTTTCTGCTGAGAAATCTGCTGTTAATCTGATAGGTTTTCTTTTATAGGTTGCCTGGTGCTTCTGTCTCACAGCTCTTAAGATTCTTTCCTTTATCTTAACTTTGGATAACCTGATGATGATGTGCATAGGCGAAAATCTTTTTATGATGAATTTCCCAGATGTGCTTTGTGCTTCTTGCATTTGGATGTTTAGGTCTCTAGAAAAGCGGGGGAAATTTTCCTCTATTATTCTCCCAAATATGTTTTCCAAGCTTTTAGAATTGTCTTCTTCCTCAAGAACACTGGTTATTCTTAGGTTTGGTCATTTAACATAATCCCAGACTTCTTGGAGGCTTTGTTCATATTTTCTTATTCTTTTTTCTTTTTCTTTGTTGGATTGGGTTAATTCGAAGACCTTGTCTTTGAGCTCTGAATTTCTGTCTTCTACTTGTTCAATTCTATTGCTGAGACTTTCCAGAGCATTTCACATTTCTTAAAGTGTTTCCAAAGTTTCCTGAATTTTTGATTGTTTTTTCTTTAAGCTATCTATTTCCTTGAATATTTCTCTTTTGTGTCTTGTATCATTTTTTGGATTTCCTTGCATTGGGCTTTGTCTTTCTCTAGTCCCTCCCTGATTAGCTTAATAACTAACCTCCTGAATCCTTTTTCAGGTAAATCAGGGATTTCTTCTTGGTTTGGATCCATTGCTGGTGAACTAGTGTGATTTTGGAGGGGTGTTGAAAAGCCTTGTTTTGTCATATTACCAGGGTTGGTTTTCTGGTTCCTTTTCATTTGGGTAGGCTCTGTCAGAGGGAAGGTCTAGGGCTGAAGGCTGTTGTTCAGATTCTTTTGTTCCACAGGGTGTTCCCTTGATGTAGTACTCTCCCCCTTTTCCTATGGATGCGGCTTCCTGTGAGCTAAACTGCAATGATTGTTGTCTCTCTTCTAGGTCTAGCCACCCAGCAAGTCTACCCGGCTCCAGGCTGGTACTGGGGGTTGTCTGCACTGAGTCATGTGGTGTGAACTGTCTATAAGTCTGTCAGCCATGGATATCAGTGCCTGTTCCAGTAAAGGTGTCAGAGGGTGCAATGGACTCCTTGAGGGTCCTTAGCTTTGGTGGCTTAATGCTCTATTTTTGTGCTGATTGGCCTTCTGCCAAGAGGTGGTGCTTTCCAGAAAGCATCAGCTGTAGTAGTGTGCAGAGGGACCACGGGTGGGTGGGGCCCTAGAATGCTCAAGATTATATGCCTTTGTCTTCCACTACCAGGGTGGATAGGGAAGGACCCTCAGGTAGGGGTGGGGCTAGGTGTGTCTGAGCTCAGACTCTCCTTGGGTGGGTCTTGCTGTGGCTGCTGTGAGGGATGCAGGTGAGATTCTCAGAGCACTGGAGTTGTGTCTCTAGGAGGATTATGGCTGTCTCTGCTGAGTCATGCAGGTTGTCAGGGAAGTGGGGCAAAGCTGGCAGTCACAGGTCTCACCCATCTCCCATGCAAACCGAAGGGCCGGTCTGACTCCCACTGTACTCCCAGGAACATCCCTGAGTCTGTTTCCAGGCAGAGGGTGAGATAGGCTTGAAAACTTGCTTGAGGCTATCCACCTCCCAGCTGCAAAAGAAAAGGACTTTAGTTCTTCCCCCGCCTGTGAAGTCTGCACTCTGGATTTGCACCCTCCCCTGAGTTCTGGCCAGGAGGCTTTCCACCCTGTTCAAATTGTTACGAAGTTCAGCTAGAGAATTCCTTCTCCCTGTGGAGTTTTATGCGCTGCTCCTCTGGCCACCCTCCTGATGGATCCCTGTGGTGTCAGGCAGGAATGGGCTGCTTGGGGACCCAGCAAGCCCCCAGGGCCTTTTTGCTGCTTCCTCTACCCCTGTATTTCGCTTGGCTAACTTGATTCAGCTCCATATAAAGTTGGAAACTTCTCCCACAAACAGACCTTCAGCTTCTCCAGTGGGGGTGTGTGTTAGTAAAGGAGAGTCTCTGTTTCCCACTTCCCTAGCTGGGGCACTCACAGTATTTGCAGTGTCTCCTGGGTCCTGTAAGAACAGTTCTCTTCTTTCAGAGGGTCTCTGGGTGCTCTCGAAATTGCTGGTTTGTTCTTGCAGTAGACCTGGAGCTAAAATTCACAATGCAAAACTCCACATGCTGCTCTGTCTGGAGCTGCAATCTAGTCCTGCCTCCCGTCTGCCATGGAATATGCATGATTTTTGAAGTCAGGATATTTATCATGTTTAGCATGTTATTTGCATAAATAAAAGGGAACCAACTACCAATATCCAAGACAATGAGAAAAAGACCTTGAAGGCATTTTGGAGACCTTTGTAGTAGCCCCTGTCAACACAGGCATAGAGTCCTAGGAAGAAAGAATGGTTTCATGGGCCAGGCATGGGACCTCACTGCCCTGTGCAGCCTCAATACACTGCTTCCTGCATCCCACCCAATCTGGCTCCAGCCTCAGTTGAAAGGGCCCCATATATAGCTTGAGTGGCCTTCTGAATTGCACCACAGTAAGCCTTGGTGGCTTCCCTGTGGTGTTAAGCCTGTAGGTGCACAGAGTGAAGCCTTGGCAGCCTCTGCCTAGATTTCAAAGGATATATGAAAAAGCCTGGGTGCCCAAGTAGAAGCCTGCTCCAGGGGTAGAGCCCTCACAGAGAACCTCTACTAGGGCAGTGTGGAGGGGAAATGTGGGGTTGGAGCTGCCACACAGAGTCCCCAATAGGGCACTTTCTAGTGGAGCTGTGGGAATTGGGCCACTGCCCTCCAGATCCCAGAATGGTAGATCCACCAGCAGCCTGTGCCCTGAGCCTGGAAAAGCTGCGGACACTCAACTACAGCTGTGAGAGTAGCCTTGGGTGCTGAACCCTGCAAAGCCACAGGGGTGGAGTTGCCAAAGGTCTTTGGAACCCACTTCTCTTATCAGTTGCCCTGGACGTGGGACATAGAGTTAAAGAAGATTATTTTGGAGCTTTAATGTTTAGTGACTGCTGTGTTTCAGTTTTGTGTGAGGCCTGTAGCCCCTTTCTTTTAGCCAATTTCTCCCTTTTGGAACAGGAATGTTTACCCAATGCCTATAACACCATTGTATCTTGGAAGTTAATAACCTGTGTTTGATTTTACAGGCTTATAGGTGAAAGAAACTTGGCTTGAGTCTCAGATAGAACTTAGGAGTTGGGAGATCTCAGTTAATGTTGGAATGAGTTAAGACTTTAGGGGACTATTAAGAACGTATGATTGCGTTTTGCAGTGTGAGAAAGACATGAGATTTGGGAGGGAACAAGGTGGAATGATATTATTTGGATATCTTTCCTTACTGAAATCTCATTTTGAAACGTAATCCCCAATGTTAGAGGTGGGGCCTGGTGGGAAGTGTTTGGATCACGGGGGTCGATCCCTCACGAATGGCTTGGGCTATCTCCTTGGTAATAAGTGAGCTCTTGCTCTGAGTTCACATGAGATCTGCTTATTTAAAAGTGTGTGGCACCTTCCCTCCTACCCTCTCACTCTCATTCCTGCTTTTGCTATGTGACATGCCTATTCATCCTTCACCTTCTGCCATTAGTAAAAGCTGCTTGAGGTCTTCCTAGAAACCAAGCAGATGTCAGCATATCACACTTCTCATAAAGCCTGTAGAACCATGGGCCAATTAAACCTCTTTTCTTTATAAATTACCCCATCTCAGGTTTTTTTTATAGTAGTGCAAGAATGGCCTAATACACCATGTCCCTCCTTCTAGGAGCTGGAATGTTCTGACTCCTAACTGCACTGTGGCTCCACAGCCTTTCCTATCCTGCAAAGAGTCAGATGAGTTAGGCTTGTCAGAATGGAATGTTGAACAGTCAGTGTGAGGAATTGGGCCACGGCAGTAGATTAATCAATAAGTTTTCCATAAAAAGAGAGAGCTATGAATAGTGATAGGAGGATAGGGGATGTGGCCTTAAGGAGCAGACAGCCCAAGGGAAAGTGTTATGTAGAGTCTCACCCTGAGGCTGGGGTGAGCCAGGAGAAATGGTGCCACCTAAGATTAGCTAGTAAGGACAGGATACCAGAAGGGCCACTACTGAAGGTGATGCAAGAATGGGTTGCCAAGGTGAGGGGTGAGGGAGGTGGTTGAAAGGATATACATGTGTAGGATGGTTGAGGCAAAGAGGAGAATGATGTTACTGACTGGGGAACTTAAACACCAATTATTGAGTGATTCTGGACTTTGCCATGAGTGATGTTTGCTGTGTCACTCCATTTCCCGGGTGCCTGGTGCCTGTCTGAGAGGTGGGGCTGATGTTGAAATGAGCTATGGTAGACTGAATAGGAAAATGAATGCAGTTCATTCAGAGAATGCTCCCTTCCTGGAGCAAGGATATCTGATGTAGACTATTAAGTTCTTTCCTATTTGGTGTTGTAACAACGCTTTATTTTCAGCAAAGCCTTGAAAAGTGAGGAAGATACAGAATCCATGCTTGGGGGAAATGTGGCAGGAGATGGCACCATGGACAAGCGCCATGGGCTTGGCCCTGAAGCGATGGGGACTTGAGCTGGCTGTGAAAGGAGGCAGGCAATCAGAAGAGACTGTTACTCTCCCTCACTGTCCTAAATCTTTGAAAATGTAAAGGATGCTGCTGAATTTTCTACAATTTTGTGGGATGTGAGCACAGTTATTTTGTTTGAATAATAATGAAAAGGATGTTTCCATAAGGTGGAGTGCTTGGGGGATTTGAATTATATTACTAATTCTATAAGAATAATGAAGTGGATATTAAAAACCAGTGTTTTAATACAGCATAACTGCTTACTTCTAATTAATTGTGAAATGTAATAATGTGGTAAAATTATAAATTTTACTAGCTTTAAGCAGGTCCCCTGACCATAACTGAAAAGGTATGAGCATCAGAGAAAATAATAAAAATCAAGAATTACAACATATTGAACTTTAAAGGAATTGTTAAGTTCCACAGGGATTTTTTAAAATGGTTGAAGGTGAAGAAAAAGCTTTGTTTTACAAAAGAATGGCAACTAATACATGTGGAAGGAATGATTGCATTAGAAAATCATAATTTTGCCACCAACACTATAATAGTCAATATAGGGAAGACTCATTCATGGATACATAAATAAATAGGTGAAAAGTTTTCAGGGAAAAATATTCACATCATCTGAAAGGATCATTTATTATTTTATTTATTATAAGGGGAAAAAAGCATCTTTACAATAAAGAAATATGGCAAATTCCTTTTTAACCAAATGATCAAACTTAGCATCATAAAAAATGAGACATTATCTGCCTCCTAATGTGATGTACTGTATTCAACATTACTTGTATAATGCTGTCAAAATCTTGCCAGAAATGTTTAACCTGAATTAAATCATAGGGAAATTATCAGGCAAATCCAGCTTGTGGAACATTTTACAAAACAACTGACTTTTCAAAAATGCCAATGTGATAGAAGACCAAAAAGGCGGGGAGCTCAGGGGGTTGATACGAAGAACTGTTTTGGATGAAAGGAAACTAGAAAGATGTGGCAACAAAATGCAATGTGTCATTTTCGATTGCGTCCTGGAATTACAGAAAGAAAAACAGATTTAAAGACTTTATTGGACCAATCAGAAAAGTTTGAACATGGACTATATATCTGATGATATTGTGTGAAAGTTAAATACTTCGAGTATAATAATAGTATTTTGCTTATGTAGGAGAATGCTCCTATTATTGAAAGATCAGTGAGGAAATATTTAGGGTGGAAGTATAACATCTGCAATTTTTTTCAAATGGTACTACACGTACACACACCCATACACATACACATCGAGAGAGTGAGATAAAACTAAGATGACAAAATGTTTAAAACTGGGTAATCTAGAAGACATGTATATGGATGACTTATACTATTCATTCAATTTTTCTGTAAGGTTGAAATATTTCAAAATAATAGGTAGTATCCAAAGTAGGCTATCTGAAACCAGGTGGTTTCAATAAATTATCAAGACACAATACTAGTGTCCTGTCAAAAATATTCCTGTAATTCCTATTCCGCCAGAGTGTCCTGACAGGTATTCTATTACATGTCAGTACCACCAAAGGGGAAAGTACAGCAAATGAATTAGTTATTGTCTGCAGACACTTGCTGTTATGGCTGGTTTGCAAACGCTTGGATTAGAGGGTTTAGAAAAAGAATAAATAAACAAAATTTCACAAGCTTATCCTAGTTGACAGCCCCAGCTGCTAAAGGCCTAACCCTAATGAGATGTGGGGCAGGCTGCAGTGGTGACAGTAGCTTCTGCACAAGGTCCTATTTGTGTCACAAAGGCAGGTTTCATGCTTTGAGGGGGCTGCACAAAACATGCATACCGAAGAAAGGCAGCAAGAGGGAACTAAACAGAAAACCAATCAAGTTGAATAATCTCGATATAATAGATAAATTATTATTTTTGTACTTACCGAGATCTGCATTCTTTCTTGATATAGATTCTGAGTAAAGACAGTTTAAAGAGTTAGGGTTTTTTTTTTTCCCGCTTCACTGGGAAAGACTTTATCTGGACTTCATTTTTACACATACCATGAAAGCCAATTGAGAAAATAATGAAGAAATGCAAAGTAAGTGAGCGTTTTTTATGTTGACTGTTATAATTTTATGTAATAAACTGCCCTATACAAAAGTTCCCTGAGAGCTATTGTAATCCAGAAAAGTGGATTACTGTGCTTCTTTATGACTCATACGGGAAATCTGGTCTGGCCTAACTGAGCCAGACCAGCTGCGCACAGCGGTCAGACGTGGGCCCTGCATTGGTGGGAAAGAGACTGTCTATGGGCTTCTCAGTGGTGGTATCAGCCTTTCCCTTTGATCTCTCGAGTTTGTCCTTAACAAATTCTGGGGCCTAAACTTTCTCTTAAATTTTGCTCTGCAGGCCTGGGACTGTCCTTGTTCAGGGGATTGTGATGGCATAGTGTATTTGGTGGGGTTGGACATAATTCTATTCAGCCAATTCATAATCTGGGGGGTTGGCCTCAGCCCTTGGGCTCCCAAGTGCCACACCCCCTTTGGGAGGTGTCCGTAGGGCCCACCAGACCTGGCCACTAGGACATTGGAGAGAGTCCTGGTGAAGCAGAATGTTTTTACATGGCTCACTTCAAAGTGTTTCATTAAAATTGAAAAAAAAAATGCTGTTTCTATTTTTTGTTTAAATTACTGAGCAATGTGTGCCATGGCATTCCCAACTCCCATTTCACATCCCTCTTGCCCTTCACCTTGACCCTGAGCCTCACTCACTCCCAGCTCTGAGACAAAGAGAGGCTATCGGTTGTCCCAATAGCTTGGTAATTTTTTAAAGACTGAAATTTTAATGGTTTGTTTTATAGGCCATGTTAAAGTGACCACATCAAAATGTGGGCTGAGTTTTAGGTTTCCATGTAACTCTTGACATTTTTTTTTTCTTTCTAAAAATTTGTCTTGGGCTGGAGAATGGACCTTCCTTGACACCTCAATCAAAGTTCTTTTTGTTTATTTACATAATCCTTTCTGGCACTGAGACTTAGCCCCAAACCCCAGATTAGCCCCTGCTGGTCCTTCTTGGTGCTAGTTCCCATATCCTGCACTCCCCGCTTCCCTCCCAGACTCCGTGCCCTCTGGTGGGATCTTGCCATACCTGGGCAGACATGTTGGAGCCTCCCTGTTGTAACCAGTACTGTAGGAGGTTAGGCTTTCTGGTACTGAGTACTGTCTGCTGGTTTGAACCTCTCAGTGATGTCCACTGCTTGGTTTGTGCTGTGATTTTGCCAACCTGCTTTCCTGCAGTTGGCCTCTTAGGCCAGGAGAATTCCCTCCAGCCCTGACATATAGCATGGATTCCTCCCAGTTCTGATTTCCTCCAAGTTGAGACCTTGAGTGGGAGGAATCCACATGCTGATGTCAGGCTAAATTGAAAAACTTTGCTGAAGTCTTTGAAATCCATTGGGAATAACAAGGTATGCTACAGAACAGAGGAACATTTTGACGATTTGACCAACTTCACTTGCCCCCTCAAGTTACATTGGTTGAAATCCTCAGGAATAACAAAAAAAAGGGAAGAATACAAGGAAGGTAGGAAGAGAAGAGAGCAAAGAGGGAGAAGACACAAGAATATAACATCTGTGGGTGGTGTGAAGTTATTGAAACATTAGCTAGAGTTAGAACTTAAAAATATGGTGTATCAACAGGTCACCGTGTTGCCTATTCCCAGCTCAAGCACTTAACACCAAAACCTGATAAAGTCAAGGAGTCTGGATCTGATTCTGGAGGTGGAGGCTGCCTACAATCACCATTAACTCCTCTTCTTGATGAGAATGATGGTTTCCAGCTTCATCCATGTCCCTATAAAGGACATGAACTTATCATTTTTTATGGCTGCATAGTATTCCATGGTGTGTATGTGCCACATTTTCAGCAAACTATCGCAAGGACAAAAAAACCAAACACCGTATGTTCTCACTCATAGGTGGGAATTGAACAGTGAGAACACATGGACACAGGAAGGGGAACATCAAACACTGGAGCCTGTTGTGGGGTGGGGGTAGGGGGTACGGATAGCATTTGGAGATATATCTAATGTTAAATGACGAGTTACTGGGTGCAGCACACCAACATGGCACATGTATACATATGTAACTAACCTGCATGTTGTGCACATGTACCCTAAAACTTAAGGTATAAAAAAAAAAAAGACACAATGAGCAAAGAATAGTCTCAAGAATAGTCTCTTAAATAACTGGTGTTAAGGAAACTGGATATCCACATGCAAAAAAATAAAACTGGACCCTGTCTTACACCATACACAAAAATCAACTCAAAATGGGTTAAAGATATGAAACTGAAACACCTAAAACTGTAAAACTTTTAATAAAAATCATAGGGGAAAAGCTCCTTGATGTATGCCTAGGCAAATATATTTTTGCTATCTCACCAAAAGCACAGGCAAAAGCAAAAATAAACAAGTGAGACTATAAACTAAAAACAAAACAAAACAAAACAAAACTCATTTTCTTCTATCTTTAGAGGGAGGTATTCTTAGGGTAGAATCCAGCTCCTCCACTTTGGTACTTTAAGGACCAAAATAAAGTACAAAATAAGTGCATGTAGAAACACTCTGTCTTCCAGGAGAGAAGGTTTTAAACTGTGTCACAATATATAGCGACAGAAACCAGCTCTAGCTAATTCCAGCAGAAAGAGGATTTATTAAAGCAAATATAGATGGCCTTAACAAGTGAAAAGATGATAAGCCTCCCTCATAATAAGATAAATAAAATTTAAAACTACACTAAACTATTACTTTCGCCTATCAGATTGGCACAAATCCACAGATTGGACAACATACCCTGGTAAAACTGTGGGGAAATAGGCACTCTCAGATGTTGCTGGTAGCGGTGCAAAATGATAAGCCCATGCCATGGAGGACAGTTTGGCAATATTCATCAACATTATAGATGCACTTATCCTTGGACCCAGCAATCCTGTTTCTAGGAATTTCTTCTAAAAACACACTTACTACGTAAAAAAATGACATACACAGCACTGTGCTGTTTATCACAGCAAAATATTGGGAACAGGCCAAGTAAACATTAATAGGTATAGGCTAAAATAAACTGTGGTATGGATCCACACCATGGAAATCTATGCTCTATACCACTGTAAAAGAGAATGAGCATGCTCTCTTGTACTCACATGGCAAAATGTCAAAGGGCAAAGGAATGCACATCTACACACATAGTGTATAGACAGCATGCCACCTTTTGTGTAACAAAAAAGAGTGATAAGAATACCGATTTCTACTCATATCTGCAAAAAACAATGCTGGAAGCATCCATACACTTTAAGAGTGGTTACTTAGAAGTTGTGAGGGCCAATGAGGTGCACTGGGAGAGGAACCGAAACTTCTTCATGTGTATGTACCTTGTATTGCTTTGAATTTAGAACATTGTGAATAAATTTAGAACATGAAATAAAAAGATACTGTGATTTCCCAGGGGACCTAATAACCGGGCCTAGAGGCTACTCATTGAGAAACAACAGACCAAATCCCTCTGCCAGCTGTGTGAAATAAGCCACACATAATCCATTCTGAGGCTGGCAGCAGTGGTGGCCACAATGACATCCAAAGGGGCAAGGTGGCTGTAGTTCTAGTGGCAGCATCCGTGTTCAGTGTCAGGGATATGAGCAGAATACGACAGCGTGTGTGTCTTCACTGCGGCACACAGATGGAAGGCAGAATGTCAAGCGAGAGGCTGACCCCCTCAGCTGTTGGGCTGCAGGAGACACTAGGGCTGGAGCCCCCAGGCTGGCTGTTTGTAACAGCAAACAACCTCAACTATTTTCCACGCTCTATATTACAAATAGTGTCGTTTTCTAAATGTCCTTTCTTTTAAAAAAGTTTGGGAAGCAATGGATTAGGCAGCAAAACTTTTGTAAAAAGGACCCCAGCTTGCCTCCAGTGAGGATAAAAAAATCACAAGGATCAAAGCATTCTGATTTGTTAAATTTAAAGATGTTTATTTGTTCCAATGTGCTTAGAGTGGATTTATTGCTGTTGATGTTAAAGTACTCAGCGCTCCACTCCAGAGGCTGGTATCCAAAGAAATGGCTCCACTAAAGCTGCTTTCCACAGAAGGTTATTTACCTGAGGGGTCACATTAGTGAGTGTCTTCCCCAGATATACAAGGAAACTTTGGGAAGCGTGACACTTAACTTTCTGTAGTCTCTCACTTAAAGGAAGGTACAGAAAAAATAAGTTTTGATGGAGGGGGTGGAGGAAAGCCAACATAAGATGCACCAGAGTGGACTGTCTCAAAACACTCTTTAATTCTCCTACTGTAGCCCATATAGGTCCACCTCCCAGGGTACAAAGTGAGGTGGAGATGGGTTAGTAATTGATTTGTGCAGGGAGAGGGCAAATTGAAGATATCCAGCACAACCTCAAAAACTACAGAACAGTGCTAGTTGCATACAGTTGTGTTAGCTTATTGAGTGAGGAATGCTACCATTAACAAAATCTCTTCTTGACTATTTTGACTTTTATTCTCTGTTCTTTCACCAATACTGTCAAAGGATAGAGAAAAAACAGGAAGAGAAGTCCTTTGCCCTGACTCCAAGCCAATTCTCATACTCTTGATAGGTCTGTTCTGGATTTCACTCATCTGTCCATTTATCCATCCATCCATTTTTCCAAACATCCATACAATAAGCATATTTTTTCAAGCATTGGCACAATTTATTTTGTACCAAGTTCTATGCTGGGAACTGGGTATAAAAGAGGGGAAAAGTACTCAGTGCCTGCTTTCAAGAATCTTGAAGTCTTATGTCAAAACAGACATGCAAATAAATGATTATAATGTGATAAATATTAAAATTATAGACATCCATATAAAGATCATGGAAAAGTAAGGTGTAAACCTTCACAGTGAAGAAGTGATGCTGGAGTTTATACTGGAGTAGGAGCTTCTTATATGGCTCCTTTTGATGAATTAGAAAAAGGCACCCTGTCTGGGAAGACAAAATAGACAAAGGTAACCCTGCCACCCTGGACACAGTCTTGAGCCAGATGCAAGCACTGGTGAATCAAATTCAGGCTGAACGTCTCCTCCCAGGCCAGGATAATTTGTGCATCCTTCAGATTGTCCAGCTTTATGCGGCAGCTCTGTCCCTTAGATCTAATTCTCCACAGGCTGCTATATCAGGACTTCCCTTTCATTGGCTTAGTCTAAGGTCCTCCCAGAAAAGTGGATAGGTAGGTGGGTGGGGGTGGATATCAGCTTAACTCCCTCAAAACAAGGAATAAAAGAATTTTTTTTTGAGCCAGGTGGTGCTGATGTAAACTGTTATTTTTACTGCTTTGTCAGTGTGCCAGCAGATTATAAACAATCTGAACTTGCTCTCTATATGAGTGAATTCACATCTCAATACTTCTGTTGTTTCTTCCCTTTTTCCTTTTGAAGACTTGGAATAAAACTTCCATAGAATGAAGCAAATTTGATGTCCTTATTTTATTTCTTTTTTTGTCAGTAAACCATCAGGCAAAAGGATGCAATCTAAGGGAATTTATTGACACAGTCTTGTTGGAAATTGTGGTAGAGATTTAGAAAGCTCAGTCTCTGCAGTTGTTTATGAATATGGTAGTCCCCCTTATCTCCGGGGAATATTTTCCAAGAGCCGCAGTGTATGCCTGAAAACATACACTGCTTTTTTTCCATACATACCTTCCTGTGATAAACTTTCCCCTTTTTACTCAAAGGAAGCACTTTATGGCTTCTCTTTGGCATACCTGAATTGCCAGCATTACTACTTTTGTGCTTTGGGGCCATTATTACATAAAAAGAAGGTTATTTGAGCACAAGCACTGTGATACTGAAGTGGGTGATCTGATAACCTAGACAGCCACTAAGTGACTCATGGGCAGGAAACAGCACAAATACTCTGGACAAAGACAGGATTCTTGTCTTGGGCAGGAGGGAGCAGAGCACAAGATTTCCTCACACTACTTAGAACAGTGTGCAAATTAAGACTTAGGAATTGTTTATTTCTGGAATTTTTCAGTTTACATTTTCCATCCAAAGTTGACTGTGAGTAACTGGAATCTCAAAGGTAAACCGCAGGTAAGTGGGGACTACTGTCACTGCAGTGAGTTGCAGTGTTCCATTATTTTTTATTTCACAGGATGTTAGTGTTTGCGTATAGGGAAGGTGCTCAGCTTATGTAAACTAATAGAACCCTTTATGGTGGCCTGGTCAGGAAACAAAACACCATTTGAAATGATTGGAGTCATTTCTTACACATTTCCCTGTACTTGCAGCAGTGAGAAACTGGGCCACACCTTTGAGTGTCATTTTTTTTTTTTTTTTGGTATTATTCAATACATTTCTGACACAGGTTTTGGTTCAGATACATAGCTTCTCTCTACACAATGTGAATGATCATTGTGTTTTATTTTAATTCTATCTTTTCTGTCCAAGAGCTCAAAGGGAGACAAATCAGTTTTTCCATTCAGAAGAGTAGGAATGCGCAAAGTGAGAAACACTGGGGGAACATGGGGGAACAGAAGGCAAAGGAGACAGAGGTGTTCAGGTTGTTACCACAGGGTGCGGTGGACAGCAGACAGCTTTCTTATGGGCAAGTCACATGGGCTCTTGAGACTTAGCTATCTGTAACATTACCCAAATTAGAATGGGATTCGTTGCATTGCTTTCTTATGTCTTTGGCTTGATGCCAGTGTCCAGCATGCTCAAGAAATCTGTTTGTGAAAAGCAAGACAATAGTCAGCAAAGAAATGGATTCCATTCTTGGACAATGGAATTTTTATTCTTACTTTAGAAGGTATAATTTCAAGTGGCACCCCTGGTATTTGTGTTCATTCACAAATTTTGATGATGTTCTATTAAGACCCATGTTTCTTGCTTTTTCTTTAGAGAATAGTTGCCTCCGTAGCTTATGACTTCTTCCGCTGTACAAGGCAAAAGTTGGTCATTTTCTGGTCAATTTGTTCATTAACAACAAACAACAGTTTAAATCTGTCAGGTGGGAAATCCACATTGCCTAAATTAGCTGGATAACTGCAAAGACTCCTCTTTCCTTGAGACCGTTAGAAGTGTCTCTCATTGTTTGCGAGTGGCTGGCAGTCTTCAACACCATGACCCCCATACTACCTTTGACACCTACTTTTTAGCACACTGCAGCTCTGCGCACATGCCTGTAACCTATTATAAATGAGCACAATTTGAGATGAGTTGGTTGGAAAAAGAAGAGTAAATTTCATCTTCCTAAACCTATAATTTCTGATTTGGTTTAAAATTGGAAGGATTTAAATAAAATCTAGCTAATCAACAAATATTTAATGACTTCAACTATGTGCCAGGCACAAGAGTATATAGCAACGGACTTTGAGACAGGGGCTCAGTTCTCATGAAACTTGTCATCTAGGGGAAGAAGACAGACAACAACTATAAAATAAACAATGCAGTTTCAGATGGTGATCAATACTGGGAAAAAATGAAATAGAGTGATGTGCCCGTGGGAAGCTATTTTACGTTGGGTGGTCAGGGAAAGTCTTTTTGAAGAGGTGACTTTTGATTTCTTAAGCTATGATTTATTGTTATGATTTATATGATATTGCTATGATTTATTTCTATGCTAGCCTGAGTTTTATTTCTATTAACTCATTCAATCTACACAGCAGTCATATGAGAAAGTACTATTGCCTCCTTTCTATAAAAGAGGAAACTGAAAGATCCATTTGGAGACTTGACCGGGAACACACTGATGGGCAATTGTAGAGCCAGATTTGATCTCAGGGAATTTAGCTGCAGAATCTGTGCTTATAATCACTACATATATTGCCTGCCTTAAGCTGAAACCTGAAGGACTGAAAGAAGCCAGCCAGGTAGAGTTGAAAGCAGCTGTGTTAGGCAGAGGTAAGAGCCAGTGGAAAGTTTCTGAACAAGAAGGAGTTTGTGGAGTCTGAGGAGCAGATCAAAGACCACTGAACAAAAGCAGGAGCAGTGGGTGATGAGGGCTCAGAGCTCGGCAGAAGTCAGACCATGTAGGGCCTTGCAGTTCTTGGTAAGGAGTTTAGATGTAATTCTAAGGAAAGCCATTACAAGAAGGGAAGCAGTTCTGCCTTTAGACTGAACTAGAGGGGCCCCTGTCCTGGGCTCCATGCTTTAGTAAAACACACACACACACACACACACACACACACACACACACACACGTGCATGCACATGAGATTCTTCAGGCTCTAGGCATTGTTTAACAGTGAAAATGGTGATACAAATGATAATCTATAATCTTACATTAAAATGGTTTTAATACTTTCTGCAAAGCAATAATTATATGCAGCCTCATTAAAACATTTTAATGTAGTAAATACAATTTGAGATTTATTTTTGAATCTAAATGTTAACTTAAGAATTTTATTGGCTGGGCATTGTGGCTAACACCTGTAATCCCAGTGCTTTGGGAGGACAAGGTGGGAGGATCACTCGAGGCCAGGAGTTTGAGACCAGCCTGGGTAACACAGTGACATCCTATCTCTAAAAAAAAATAATTTTATTGACAATCCGGTTTGCTACTGTCTCAGCAGGAGAAAATTTCTTCAAGTTGAAATTAATAAGAAAACAAACTAAGAAGAATAACTCAAAAGGTGGTTTCATTTGACATTACTGTCACTAGAACATAAATTATGTGCAAATATTGATTATAACAATATAATTACTGATTATGCTAAAATGAAGGCAAGAAAAAATAAATTTTATTTCATAAATAGATAATAATTTGTGGACTATGTATACCTTATTACTCTTACAAACATTGCTGGCCCATCAATGGAACACTCAGAGATGTGTAATAATAATCTAATTTAGTCATCTTTGATATTTTGCCAGCTTTTACTCATGTGAAAACCATACAGAGCTCCTCTGATTTTTTGTTGTTAGACACAGACATTTCTTTCTCTTTTTTTTATTATTCTACTTTAAGTCCTAGGGTACATGTGCACAACGTGCAGGATTGTTACATATGCATATGCCATGTTGGTGTGCTGCACCCATTAACTCGTCATTTACGTTAGGTATATCACCTGATGCTATCCGTCCCCCCTCCCCTCACCGCATGACAGGCCCCGGTGTGTGATGTTCTCCACCCTCTGTCTAAGTGTTCTCATTGTTCAATTCCCACCTATGAGTGAGAACATGCGGTGTTTGGTTTTCTGTCCTTGTGATAGTTTGCTGAGAATAATGGTTTCCAACTTCATCCATGTCCCTACAAAGGACATGAACTCATCATTTTTTATGGCTGCATAGTATTCCATGGTGTATATGTGCCACATTTTCTTAATCCAGTCTATCATTGATGGACATTTGGGTTGGTTCCAAGTCTTTGCTATTGTGAATAGTGCTGCAATAAACATACGTGTGCGTGTGTCTTTATAGCAGCATGATTTATAATCCTTTGGGTATATACCCAGTAATGAGATGGCCGGGTCAAATGGTATTTCTAGTTCTAGATCCTTGAGGAATAGCCACACTGTCTTCCACAATGGTTGAACTAGTTTACAGTCCTACCAACAGTGTAAAAGTGTTCCTATTTCTCCACATCCTCTCCAGCACCTGTTGTTTCCTGACTTTTTAATGATCGCCATTCTAACTGGTGTGAGATGGTATCTCATTGTGGTTTTGATTTGCATTTCTCTGATGGCCTGTGATGGTGAGCATTTCTTCATGTGTCTGTTGGCTGCATAAATGTCTTCTTTTGAGAAGTGTCTGTTCATATCCTTCGCCCACTTTTTGATGGGGTTGTTTTTTTCTTGGAAATTTGTTTGAGTTCTTTGTAGATTCTGGATATTAGCCCTTTGTCAGATGAGTAGATTGCAAAAATTTTCTCCTATTCTGTAGGTTGCCTGTTCACTCTGATGGTAGTTTTTTTTAGCTGTGCAGAAGCTCTTTAGTTTAATTAGATTCCATTTGTCAATTTTGGCTTTTGTTGGCATTGCTTTTGGTGTTTTGGACATGAAGTCCTTGCCAATGCCTATGTCATGAATGGTATTGCCTAGGTTTTCTTCTAGGGTTTTTATGGTTTTAAGTCTGACATTTAAGTCTTTAATCCATCTTGAATTAATTTTTGTATAAGGTGAAAGGAAGGGATCCAGTTTCAGCTTTCTACATATGGCTAGCCAGACACAGACATTTCTTAAAATAGGAGGATGGAATATATTTTATATAACAGGTATTAGCTAGATCTATTAATTTAAACATTTAAATAAACATTAGGTAGCCTCCATTTGTCCCTCTGCCAAGGCCTGCAAACATAAGGAGTGGACCTAGGGAAGTGACAGGATCTGATTTACATTTTTAAAAGATGAGAAAAAGCAGCAAAATGATACTTATTTCTAAAAGTGGCATTACCTGATTTATGCTTTCAGAAGACAAAAAATGCCATATTCATTTCTGAAATATACAATTTTAAAAAATGTTCTTTCATTTATTGATTTTTTTTTCTTGAAACTTCAGATTAGACATTTAGTATGGGGTAGAAGAAATACGTACTTTCACTTAATCCTTGTAGTACAACATATCAAGTCGGAGTTCTTGGATGCTGACTTCCTATAGCAGTGATTCCTAGTGCTGCACCTTACAAATGCTTGTGGAGTTTATAAAGCGTACGTTTGCCAGGGGCCCCGCCCCAGAGATATGAGTTAATTGGTCTGGAAAAAACTTTTTATAAGAACTCCTAGGTCATTCTTACGTGAGGTCAGTGTTGAGAACCATTGCTTCAGTGGTTCCTTGCTCTGTCTTAAAACTGGCCTCTTACCCCTTGTTTGGCAATTTCAGTGATTTGTTCCCCCTCTTTTCTTGTTTAGGCTTTTCTGGTAGGAATCATCTCTTTATTCCCCTGGCAATTTTCTTTCTTTAAGTGGGTACAAAGGAAATTATTATCACTTTATTGGACCATGCTTAGAGGAAATAATAAAATCATATGAGGGCTAAAAATATATTGACTTAAGATGCCACCTCAATGAGATTTGAACCTGTAACCTTTTATACCAGCCCCAGGGAAAGACATAGGATGTGATTAAAATATTATTAGACAGAATAAATATACAATGTATAAGTATAAATTCACAAATCTGGATTTACATTACACATGAGATTCTGTTCACAGAATCCCAGGACTAACATGTGGCCATCCATGCCAGGGTTTCTCTGAATACATTTAATGTTGGACTCAGGACAAAGTTCCTTCCCAAACTTTATAGCAAACTGAGTGATGATTCCATTATGAAGCACAGAGCACCTGAGCCTATAAACAAGGCGCACCAGAGGGACGATAGGCTGGCTGGGAAGACTTTCATGAGAGAGAATCATAAAACTGCTTTGAGAGACCTCTGCTAAAAAATATGGCTGTGGTTAACGTGGTTGTTGCCCAAATTCTAAGCAACAACCTTTTGTGATCTGAGGCAGTAAATTCCTTTTATTATCATAAACAATAAGTCTCTTGAAAGGACAGAGTCAAGGAAGCTTCAGAGTACAAGAGGTCCTCTGTGTACTGATTTCTTGTTTATAGGCCCTTACTAGCAGTTTGCATTAGGCTTTTTGATATTTTTTTCTTTTTATTGAACCCTTTCACTGCATGTTGTCTGTTCACGTATGTTAATTTTTTTTCTCAAAGTTTTCCCATTCCTGCTAGCAAACTACCATCTTCCACTGCCAGAATTGTTACAACAGCCTCCTCATGCTCTCCCTATGCCCTGTCTTTGGTCTGTTTAATCTACTCTTTACGTTTCACCATCATCATCTTTCTTAAGTGTAAATGTATTATGTACCTCTTTTGCTTAAAAACCTCATTTATTCCCCATTGCTCCTAGGTTAAAATTTAAATCGCTAAAGAGGGCTGACAAGGCACTTTATAACCAGTTCTCTTCCTACTCTGTCACTTCCTCTCCTCCCACTCAGTCCTTACCCTCTACTCCCTCCTTACCAGTTTAGGGTGATCCACTAATATCCTGCATCAGAATTATCTATGATGCTTGTTAAAAAAAAAACCCCAGATTCCCGTATTCCATTTGACACTGATTAAATCAGAATCACTGGGATTTCCTAAGGGGAGTCTTCTAAGTGCCAATTTGAGAACCACTTGCCAGGCTATTGAAATTGCTTAATAGAGATGAAACACAAGCCACCTGGATTGCAGTGGATGAAATATGGCCAGGGCTGCTATTAAAGGATGATTTCAAAGATGAGAGAGGACTTGTTGGGCAAGAATATTGACTACTCTCTGTGGCTGCTGTGTCTGACATTACCACATTTAGAAATCTGAGAGTCCTTAGGATATACCTTTGAACTTTTTTTTTTTTTGAGACAGAGTCTGGCTCTGTCACCCAGGCTAGAGTGTAGTGGCGTAATATCCACTCACTGCAAACTCTGCCTCCGGGGTTCAAACGATTCTTATGCCTTAGCCTCCCAAGTAGCTGAGATTACAGGTGCATGCCACTGCACCCGGGTAATTTTTGTATTTTTAGTGGAGATGGGGTTTTGCCATGTTGGCCAGGCTGGTGTCAAACTCCTGGGATCAAGTGATATGCCTGCCTCAGCCTCCCAAAGTGCTGGGATTACAGGTGTGAGCCACTGTCCCCGGTCTGAATGCCATCTTTTAAAATACAAGCTATCTTAGACACTTAGCTTGCAAAAAGGCTTTAACTTAGATTTTTAGAGAGCTGGATAAAGTACAATGAAAAGTGCATGGGATTTAGAGTCAGGTGACTTGAGTAAGGTTTGAATTTGCCTTTATTGATATTTCCACCTTGGGCAAATTATTTTAATCTCCTGAACTATAGTTCCCACTTCTGTAAAATGGACTAATAATATTTGTAGGTTTCAGTGAAGTGAAGAAATGTTTTGTAAATTGTCAATTGCCATCACTCAAGTTGGTGGTTATTCTGTCTCTTTCTTTAAATTTGAGTGAAGAAAGGGGAGAGAACCCAGGGATGGCAAGTAACGGGATGTTTACTATTCAGAAAGTATTTTGATGTGAACTTCAATAAAAGCATGATAAATCCAAATTTGTGGAATATAGCTAAAGCAGTGCTTAGACAAAAATTTTTGGCACTAAAGTTGAAAATGTTTTCTCTTGAAAAGAATACTGTTAAGAAAATGAAAACACAAAACACAGATTGGGAGAAAATATCTGCAAAACATGTAACTGACAAATGACTTGTATCTAGAATATATAAAGAACTCCTACAATGAAAGAATAAGAAGAAAAATGATCCAATAAAAATGGAAAAAGATTTGAACAGACTTCATCAAAGAAAATATATGTATGGCTAATAAACACATGCAAAGATGCTCAACATAATTAGTTGTTATGGAAATGCAGAATGAAACCACAATGTCATATTACTACATATTTAGCCACTTGAATGGCTAAAATTAGTAAGATTGACTATATCAAATGTTAGCAGGATGTGGAGCAACCAAAATACTCTCATCTACTGATATTGGGAATGTGAAATAGCACAATCACTTTGGAAAATAGATTGGCAGTTTCTTAAGATGTTAAACATATGCCATACACCTAACCCTTCAACTCCTAGGTATTTACCTAGGAGAAATAAAAGCATATGTCCACAGAAAGATTTGCATTCAATTGTTTAAAGCAGCTTTATTTTAATGCCCCAAACTTTAACCAACCCAAATGACTATCAACATATGAAAAGATAAACAAATTATGATCCATTCATATAATGGAATATGATTCTCCAATCAAAAACAACTATCAATACATGCAACAATATACATAAATCTCAAAATAAATCAGCTATATAAAAGAGTAAGACAAAAAAGAATATATACCATGTGATTCCATTTATATAGGATTCCAGGACATGCAAAGTAATCTCAGTGATAAAAATTAGATCAGTAGTGGCCTGGGTACAGGGCATAAGGAAACTCTTGGGTGTCATGATTGTGCTCATTATCTTGATTATGAAGATGGTTTCATGGGTGTATACGTATGTCAACATTTATCAAATTGTACATTTTTAAATAGGTGGCTTATCGTATGCCAATTATAACTCAACAAAGCCATAAAACACAATTTTAAAAAACAGAGCTTGCATTATGGAGTCATATGACCTAAGTAAATCTTTTTTTTTTTGGTTTATATCAGTAATAATTTTTTTTATTATACTTTAAGTTTTAGGGTACATATGCACAATATGCAGGTTAGTTACATATGTATACATGTGCGATGCTGGTGTGCTACACCCATTAACTCGTCATTTAACACTGGGTATATCTCCTAGTGCTATCCCTCCCCCCTCCCCCCCACCCCACAACAGTCCCCAGAGTGTGATGTTCCCCTTCCTGTGTCCATGTGTTCTCATTGTTCAGTTCCCACCTATGAGTGAGAATATGCAGTGTTTGGTTTTTTATCCTTGCGATAGTTTACTGAGAATGATGATTTCCAATTTCATCCATGTCCCTACAAAGGACATGAACTCATCATTTTTTATGGCTGCATAGTATTCCATGGTGTATATGTGCCACATTTTCTTAATCCAGTCTATCATTGTTGGACATTTGGGTTGGTTCCAAGTCTTTGCTATTGTGAATAGTGCCGCAATAAACATACGTGTGCACCTGTCTTTTTAGCAGCATGATTTATAGTCCTTTGGGTATATAGCCAGTAATGGGATGGCTGGGTCAAATGGTATTTCTAGTTCTAGATCCCTGAGGAATCGCCACACTGACTTCCACAATGGTTGAACTAGTTTACAGTCCCACCAACAGTGTAAAAGTGTTCCTATTTCTCCACATCCTCTCCAGCACCTGTTGTTTCCTGATTTTTTAATGATTGCCATTCTAACTGGTGTGAGATGGTATCTCATTGTGGTTTTGATTTGTATTTCTCTGATGGCCAGTGATGGTGAGCATTTTTTCATGTGTTTTTTGGCTGCATAAATGTCTTCTTTTGAGAAGTGTCTGTTCATATCCTTCACCCACTTTTTGATGGGGTTGTTTGTTTTTTTCTTGTAAATTTGTTTGAGTTCATTTTAGATTCTGGATATTAGCCCTCTGTCAGATGAGTAGGCTGCGAAAGTTTTCTCCTATTCTGTAGGTTGCCTGTTCACTCTGACGGTAGTTTCTTTTGCTGTGCAGAAGCTCTTTAGTTTAATTAGATCCCATTTGTCAATTTTGGCTTTTGTTGCCATTGCTTTTGGTGTTTTGGACATGAAGTCCTTGCCCATGCCTATGTCCTGAATGGTAATGCCTAGGTTTTCTTCTAGGGTTTTTATGGTTTTAGGTCTAACATTTAAGTCTTTAATCCATCTTGAATGAATTTTTGTATAAGGTGTAAGGAAGGGATCCAGTTTCAGCTTTCTACATATGGCTAGCCAGTTTTCCCAGCACCATTTATTAAATAGGGAATCCTTTCCCCATTGCTTGTTTTTCTCAGGTTTGTCAAAGGTCAGATAGTTGTAGATATGCAGTGTTATTTCTGAGGGCTCTGTTCTGTTCCATTGATCTATATCTCTGTTTGGTACCAGTACCATGCTGTTTTGGTTACTGTAGCCTTGTAGTATAGTTTGAAGTCAGGTAGCAACCTAAATAAATCTTGACTCTGCCACTGACTGATATTTTGACCTCTGGCAAATGATTTTAATCTCTCTGATTCTCAGTTTCTTCATGTGTAAAATGGGACTAATACTGTTGGTAGGTTTAAAAGAAGTGAAAGAATCTGTTAACTGTTCAATGGCATCAGTGAAGCTGATAGTTCTTGTCTCTTTGTTGGTCTCTGTAGAAAGAGGAGGGTAAAGAACCCAGGAAAAGCAGATGAGGGGATTTTTGGAATTAAACCTCATCTCACATGCTTTGAGATTTGTCACCTTACTTTTCGTTTGGTGGCAAGTTAAACTAAGCAGAAAGGCTTAGTTTCTTATTTCCTTCTTATTTCTTATTTTCTCAGAAGAGTCACAGGGCGGGCAATAAAGATTTCCACTTTGAAGCATGTGGGGTTTGAAGGGGGTTCTATCACTGTATCCTTGTCTGATTTTATAACCTTTCTCATCCCTCTTCAAAGTGTTTATGACAGAGAAAACATAAATTTTCAATGATACGGATCTCTGGCCTGTGGGCTATTACTTTAGATGTCAGTTGTAAGGACTTGTTCTAGTGAACATGATTTGACTTGTGCTATATCCAAATTGATGGAACTTTCCATCTATCTGTATTTTTCTCTATCACTTTTGAAGTATAGTATTATTGTTCATTGTCTATTTAAAACTATTTGGTAAAAATTATTATTTTTTTGAGAATGTTGTCAAACTTCTTAGGCTGAAAATAATTGAATTACAAAACACCGTTCCTAGCAAATGGCAGATAAATTTGATCACTCTTGTGATTAAGGTCTATATTTCTGATGTTCAGAAAGAATGAATGTAGCCACACAAAAAGATTTAAAACAATAGTCAAAACTTGGAAATGATGGAAATACAGCTGCCATGAGGAAGGCTGTAAAATCAATGTAAGTGGGTTATATATGCAAAGTTAAAATAGCTCCTAGACCTGTAAAAACAGACTATAATTTGTCAAGGGCACTAAAAGATACATGTATAGTACATGTGTATTTATATTATATTTTATATAGTGTATATATACACATATACTATATAAAAATATATTGTATATACATATGCTATATACTATTAATATATTGTATATTGCATATACTATATAAAAATATATTGTGTATACATATACTGTATACTATTAATATATTGTATATTATGTATACTATATGCTATTACATATACTTTATTACATATATTACATACACTATATGCTATTACATATACTATATGCTATATGTATATATATGTTATTACATATACTATATGCTATATGTATATTAAATATACTATATGTTATATGTATATTACATATACTATATGCTATTACTAATTTAGTAATAAATTAGTAATAAATTTTTTTTTTACTAATTTATTTATTAGTAATTTATTACTAATTTAGATGGGACCCTCTGAGCCAGGGGTGGGATATAATCTCCTGGTGTGCCGTTTGCCAAGACCATTGGAAAAGCGCTGTATTAGGGTGGGAGGGACCCGATTTTCCAGGTGCCATCCATCACCACTTCCCTTGGCTAGGAAAAGGAATTCCCTGACCCCTTGTACTTCCCGGGTGAGGAGATGCCTCACCCTGCTTTGGCTCACGCCTGATGGGCTGCACCCACTGTCCTGCCCCCACTGTCCGACAAGCCCCAGTGAGATGAACCCGGTACCTCAGTTGGAAATGCAGAAATCACCCCTCTTCTGCTTTGCTCACGCTGGAAGCTGTAGACTGGAGCTATTCCTATTAGGCCATCTTGGAACTGCCCCCCACAACAGTCTTTTTTATCTGGCCTACTGCAAAAGCATCATACTTGGTGTCTGACTTTTCTTGCCTCACAGTAATCTATGCTACAAAATGATTCCTTTTGTATAAATTTTTTTAAAAATAATTATTTTGAACAATCTCAAATTTATAGAAAACTTGCATAGTACATAAAACTCAGTTTCTGAACCATTTTAGACGAAGTTACCAATATGAATCTGGTCACCGCTTAATGCCTTAGTGTGTGTGCATTTCCTACAAACAAGGGAATTCACCTATATAACCACAATACAATGATCAAAACCAGGAAATTAGCACTGCTACGTTACTACCTTTTAATCCACAGACTCCTTTCAAGTTTCACCAGTTTTCCTAAGTTGTCATTGTAGTACAGGGATCCAACCTGGAATCATGTGTTGTCATGTCTCTTTAGTTTCCATCAATCTCTTGATGTGAAATGGTTCCTCAGTCCTTTTTCTTTTTGACTTTCATAACTTTGCCACTTTTGAAGATTACAGGCCCGTTTTCTTTTTAAATGTTCCTTAATTTGCTTTGCTGATGTTTCCACACGATTCGATTTAGGCCATGTATCTTTGGCAGGAATACTGAAGAAATAATACTGTGCCTTTTGTGCTGCATCCCATCAGGTGCTGCACACTTTTGATGTGTCCCTGTGCTGATGAGGGTCACTCAGATCATTTGTTTAAGTTGGCATCTGCCAGGCTTCTCCAGCCTGAGGCTATCCTCTTCTCCCTTGTAATTAGTATCTTGTGGGGAAGTGCTTTCAAATTATGTAACTATTCTGTTTTAATCAAATCTTCAATTATCTATTTATTCACTTATTTATATCAGCTTGGACTCATGAATTTCTGTTTATTCAGTGGATTACAATTGCTGCTATCATTTATTGTTCCTAGTTGCTATTAATTATTCCTAATTGTGGCTAGTGAGATCTTCTTCAGGCTGGCTTTTGTATCATTCTGGAATACCTTCTTGCTATCTAGAACAATAAGATGTTTCAGAATCTTTCCTTGCTCCAGCTCTGGAAGCAGCCATTTTCCCAAGGAGCCATGATTCCTTTGAGAGAAGAATAATAATCGGAAGCCACATCTGGGAAGTAGGTGCACTCATTGCTGTTGTGGTGTTGCTGATTCCAGGTCTTCTCAGTGGACAGAACTAGGGTTTCTCTATACACAACCACACCCTCATTTATTTTTGTGTCTATCTATATGTACTAAAATCCATGGGTTGATAGCAGTGTCTCCAATTCTCACCCAATACTACAGGGTTACTATAGTTTTCTTTCTTTTGTAATCACTTCTCTGAGACTGAGAAATCTGGCTCCCTTTATCCTTAATATTTTAATTCAATTAATCCCTCTCTCTGAGCTCATTGTCTGCCACTCTCTCAGTTTCTCCTTACTCTCCAACCACACACGACTTCTTTCTAGTCTTCAAGCCAACCTGGCTCATTCCTACCGCAAGGCCCTCAAAAGCCTTGCTATTCCTTCTGCCAGAAAGCACTTCTCATTGCTTGCTCCTTTCCAGAGCCAGTGTCTCCATCTTTTCTGACCCTTACTGGACTCCTTCTCGCTTGCAGTTACTGTCTGTCATGATACTGTTGTCAAAGGAAAACTCAGAGATGAATCTGAGCTTTAAGAAAAATATTTTTACGTCCAATCTTGGAAAGAATATCCAGCCTTATAGTTATAGTTGCTATTTAAAAGGAAAAAATTTACAAAGTTACAATTAGCACATTCATTATTCTTATCTGAAAAACAGATTTCTTCACATTATTGTCTTATCTGCAAGGGTCATTACCTGTCTGCATATGTCAGTGTTGCAAAAGTCAGAGTCACAGTTGTTTTCTTTAAGGAAAAATTTAAAATTTATTTTCTTGGGGACTAGAGTTAGGATGTTTCACAATTTTGTGCTTTATCTCAGAATGCAGCATTCTTTCTCTGACTGTGGTGCATGATGCATGTGCTTAGGTCTAATGGCTTTTGGAAGTCTAGAGCAAGAAGCCAGTTTTGCTTTCTTTTCTTATTTTATGTTTTTCACAGCACTTATTGCTACTAGAAACTGCTCATTTCCTCATTTCTTTGTTCAACTATTGCTGGCTTTCTATCCCACTAGAATATAAACTCCATGGTAGCAGAGATTGTTAACTCACCTGCCTATTTTTATTTCCTTAGCACCTCAGACAGTGTCTGGTACACAGTCAGCTCTCAATACATGTTGAATGAATGAATGAATAAATGAGTTTCTGAATACTTAAGGCTGAGACTCAGGCCATGGTTAATGAAAAATGGCCAATATTACTATTATTATTATTATTAATTTTTAGAGCAGTAGTTTTCCCCCAGTGACACCCTCAACCTCAACATTTGGGATTTACTGTTTATTATGTGTCAAACAGAAATCTTTGCACTTTTGCAGGAGAGAGTGAGTGAGGCTGTTGTTCTTCTCTTTCATGTTACTGTTAGATCTGCAGATATGAATTTCCTGTGGTCTGAGAACATAAGACTCTTGGAAGGACATCATGAAAAGTCAATTCTGCTGGTGACATTTCTCCTCTTCTCTATTACTTTGAGACTTGAGTATAAGATGTGTTTTTCTTATAAATTCTTCTGGGAACATTCTTTTTTTCTTTTCTGCTGTGTCAACTCCAAGTGAAGCCACAGTTCTCCTGGGCTGCCATCATGGCTATTTCCTCACCTTAGGCTGTAAAGGATCCTAGGAGAGAATTATATGATTTTCAGTGTAAATCAGGCAGCAGGAGCAGATCAACTGCTTATTCATTCATTCATTTAATTTTGTGATCCTAATTTCCCAAAACAGATCAACTATTAGATTTGAAAGGGCTATTTCCATTAACTGATTGTGGTGATAAAAAACTGACAAGGGGAACATTTCTGTGATCCAGAAGCAGTTTCTAGAAGATGGTTTTATTCTAGCCTTTCCAGCTGGGCTCTTCAGAGTGGTAACGAGACTCCTTTGTGCTCATTACTCACTTCTGCAGGCACCTGGAGGAATATTTACCTGATAGCTCTTTCTGCCTGTTCTTCATTCTATATGGGCTCTTAAGAAAAGAGACTATTAGCTTTGTCTTATGTGGTATTTACCTTACTTACATTGACCTGGATTTGACTTTTTGACTAAGGTCTTCAGTGATCTCTATCTAAAATAATCCCAGTTCACCCTTGTAGCAAGAAAACTACATTTCCGCCAAACAGCTCTCAGCCACTCTGTATCCTTAACTCTGGCAGCTTCCTTTTTCAGAAGAATCTACACCTCAAATTGCAGGTATGAGCAGAGGCTCTGGAATCGGATTGTTACTGTTCAAACTCTATTCGAACCCTGTGTGATCTTGGGTAATTCATTTGTCCTCTTTAAATTCCAGTTTCCTCATTAGTCAAAATGGGGTAGTGTGAAGATTAACTAAAGTAACTTTGGAAATATTCTTAACACAAATCTGGCATGTGGTATGTGCTAAATATGACCATTTTGTCATTGTTTTTAAAATCATTCACCTTTTGGGTCTAAACCCCTCCTCCTAGGGGCTAGGATTCTATCATGTATCAGCTTGAGCTAAGTGTTAGCTGAACCTTTTGTTTTGCACTCCCACAGTATCCTTTAGAGATCTTTAGAGACCTTGGCCACCATTCTTATAATGCAGTATTATGTAGGGTGGCATGCAGCCAGCATGCCCATGAGCACTGGCCAACATCCCTTCTGACTGGTTCATGTCCATTGTGTGAGGAGTCCAGTAAGGGTCAGAAAAGATGGAGACACTGGCTCTGGAAAGGAGCAAGCAATGAGAAGTGCTTTCTGGCAGAAGGAATAGCAAGGCTTTTGAGGGCCTTGCGGTAGGAATGAGCCAAGGTGAGACAAGGTGAGAATGTCCTTGTCTTAAGGGCTTGCACTGAAACTTCTCATAGAAAGAGAACTATCTTTGCTTAGAAAAATATCTGATGAATCACTTGGGGTAGGTGAGATCCTGAGAGTATGGGATGGCAGGAACTAAATAAAAAAAGAATAAAACTGGATGGCAATTTGAGGGTGGGAGGAAGGATAGTGTGGCGACAAAATACTATTGTAATTATTGTATACGTGCAAGCAATCTATTCTCATTGTATTTCCAGTCAAAATTATTCTTTTGCTTAGGAGATTCAGGCAGTGAACCCTTCCAGGGCTTATACTTTCCAAAGCAATGATTGAGAGTAGTCTCAGTCCTCACTTGAGTCCTCGTACTGATCATCTTTTCAGGGTAGCAATACACATGCCTTAGAGCAGAAAATATCTTCTTTAGGAGTTTTTTACTGGGGCTTACCAATCCATAGGTCCCAGTTTCAATGGTGACTATAGTGTTTTGGAAATGTGCCTGGATCATCATATTAATGGTTCCTTATATTTACATAACCTTTTAGAGTTTGCAAAGGGCTATGCACACCAGCTTGTGAATAGAGGTATCCTTAACTTCATTTTGTAAGTGAGAAGCTGTCTCAGAAAGGCTATTTGATTACTCCCTGCCCATGTCACCAGATTCAAGGTGGTTTAAATTAGAACTCAGGCTTTTAAACTTATTTTTTATCGTTTTTTTTTCAATATGAAGGGATGTTCTTCATCATCTAAAGTAGTCCTAATGTCTGCAAACTGTTACCCAGAGAGAAAAACAGAGATAGTTTTGAGCTATTTTGCATATCAAAGGAATTAGTTCTCTCTATTTAAGATCAAAAGTTTATCTGCCCAAGTTCAATACAGACTTCTAGTGCTAATCTGATACATTTTCCTTATTTGAATCACTTTGGAATTTGTGATTTGCTTCTGTCAATCAAATAATCTAATGAAAACAAAACTATAGACCCCCATCCTTGGAAAATTCCAGCAAGGCCTCCTTTCTGAATTAAAAGACGCTCTTTCCCTGGACTTTCCGTCTCTCCTCTCCTCACAGCTCAGGACAAGACTTGACCTGGTGCCGGAGTGCACTCCCTTTCTGAATTAATAGGGAAATGCCAGTGGCTGCTTCAGTTGTTCTAAATCTTCTGCCCTCTGTTTTTATCCTGTTTATGTGATCATGAGATAACAAAGCTATGGTTCATAATGCCTTAGAAGACAAGGTATTTGTAGAGGAAGGGCTGGTGCATGGTACAAAAGGAGGTCAGACAAGGGAAGAAAGAGGCAGCAGCAAGGGGGGAAACTTTTCCTTGTGAAGAAACCCAATGGGAGCAGAAACTAGAAACCTCTTCTGCAAAACCTTACTATAACTGACTTTTAAGGAAACTGGACCTGAGACTTTAAAAACACTAATAGAGCTAGAATTTCAGTGCTAGGATAAGGATTTGTTGAAATTATTGTCTTAACATTTGGATAGTGCGAGTGAGAGAGCTAAACTAGAGAGAATGGCTGTTTGGTAGTTGTATTTGAACACCTTTACCCTGGTGAAATGAAAAGGTTAAGACAACTTTAAACACGTTCCTGAGGTGTCATTTCCACACACTGGAGAATCTGGCTACATAAAGTCCTAAAGATCATATTGGGGGTGGTGTGTGTCCAAGTGGTGGGCTGACTCTTGATCACAGATACTCACATTTCCTATTAGAGATGGGAAAGGATCAGACAAACATGGTCAAGGGGACAGTTTGGGAAAGTTAACAAACCCCAGAGGACGTTTAACTTCAAATAGCACAGTGCACTTAAAAATACATGTGTGCATTATTTATACATAAGTTCATTTAACACTTTCCCAGGGTTCTTTCCTTTAGGTATGTGTGTGAATGTGTGGAGAATGAGAAACCAGACACTACTGGGTAGGGTTTCATATTGTTGTTGTTGTTATTTTGTAGCTTTAAAAGAATATCTAACTTTGGCATTGCAAATTGATTTGTCAACCTTGCTTTACTATCCAAATTGAAAAACAGAGAGGAAAGGAGAATGACCCCAAAAAAGAGTGCTCTTATGGCATTTCCTGATTTCAGCAGTACAGAAACAGTTTAGTGCATCAAGATTCTCAGAGTAAATTTTATCTGTTCCCATCACTCTGCATATGTAATTAATGACTGCAAAACCTTTTGAACAAAAAAGAAGCAATACCTATTAATGTTAATTAAACAATGTATAGATTTGAAATGTTATCTTTCAAAGCTTTCAATCCAATGCTAAATGATGCCAAGGGTCTTCCAAAGCAATTAGGGGAAAGAAACAGATCAAGTTAACCTTCATCATCTTCACTAATTAATATTTATTGGGTGCCCAGACATCTTGCTTGGCTTTGAAATAGAAAATGAATCTGGAATTTTATGATAGTTGATGAAATACTTATGAGTTCAGTGACAAGGTAGAAAAGGGAATAAATGTACTGCTTGAGCATGCTATGAATTATTTGAAGATTTTTGGAATTTAGTGAGCTGATCTCATTAGCAGGGTACTGAGAATCCCTAATGGGTTATGTTTCTGAAATATCAATTTATTTCTTTATGAAGAAATTACAGTTGAACTGTGGCAAGATTTTTGGCAAGTATTTGAATGTTAGCAGCTACCCTTCTCTCCAGTTCTCTATAATTCAATTCAATTCAACTCAATTCAATTTACCTTTACTATACACATGTACCAAGATCTGGTGCTAGACTTTTGTAGGGGAGCTATGAAATAGTAAAATAAGGTCATCTTCTCAAAAAAAAAAAAAAAAATCTGGTGGTTGAGATATTTGGGTCCTAGTCTATTTCTATCATTTCCTAGCTGTGTAAGGTTGGGCAAGTTACTAAACTTTCCAAAGCTTCAATTTTCCTACTGAAAAATGAATTTAATACTGGAGTAGTATCTATTTCATTGGATTATTGGGAAGATTACATAAGATGCTGCACGTGGTTGGCATATGGATTTTTTTGATAAAAGCTATTATTAATAGTAACAATAGATATTTCACAACCTTCTGAGGAGATGAACAATCACTCATTCAACACACATGCCATGCCTACTCTGTATCAGGCCCTAAGTTTAGAGAGAGAAGATGCACTTATGTCCTCTTGGCTCTCAAGAGGTTTGGAGTCTAGAGGGAAGACAGTTATGCAGCCAACCACAGCTGAAAAGGAAGCATGTACAAGTGATATAGGAGCTTGGGGCAAAGGCAGTACATCAGTTGGGATGCTTTGGCTAAAACCCCAACTCAGATTGTCTTAAACAATTAGAAACTTTATTATTATTATTATTTTAGAGACAGGATCTCACTCTGTCAGCCACTAGTTTGCAGTGGCATGATCATAGCTCACTGTAACCTCAAACCCCTGGGCTCAAGCGATCCTCTGGTCACAACTTCTGAGTAGCTAGGACTACAGGTGCATGCCACCACACCCAGCTAATTTATTTTATTACAGGTGTGAGCCACTGTGCCCAGCCAGAAACTTTAGTATTGCACATAACAGAGAACTGAGAGTTTCTGCTGCTCAGTGATGCCATCAATGATTTGGTGTCTTTCTATCTGCCTGAGAGATAGAAAGCAAGGCGAGTCACATCTTGAATAACTCATAACTTGATTTGAAGTTGTGTGTAGGTCACAACTTAAGTTCCAGTTCACTCTTTGAGAATGTTTCCAGGTTGTAACACTAGGAAGATGTCAGATTGAGGAGAAAATATTTTTATGTTTCAGTACAGTTAGGGCTTTCTGAACAAATTTTACTGACACTTGGAATCTGACCTGAGAGCAAGTTTTAGAAGTTAATTTACAACTGTATAGATAGTGAGAACTCCAGAGAGATTTAACTAACCACAAAGATTTGTGTGTACATTTCAAGAGAGGATGAAGCCTGGGACTTGGAGACGTCTCTGAGTTGTAAAACTGGAGACACTGGGATTATCTTTTCTCTGGAGAGTTATTTACATTCCAAAAGGTTAGAGTAAGATATTTCCAAGGACACTTTCAGAAGTGGAAAAGGAGACATCTGCTTCTTTTTCTTGAATAAAACAAAGAAAATTTATTTTTGTGTCTCTCACTTATGGGGTGATCTGTCACTCATTCAAGAAAATTTTTCATATCTGGCTCTCATTGTGTCAATGTAGACATGGAGGAACAATGCTGCAATGTTAATCTGAGTATTGATCATGCTGTGAGTGTCACAAGATGTCTGTCTCTGATCCAAAACCTCAGTGTGGATTAAGAAAAAATTAGTAAAGATAAATATTAGAAATGCAGCAGAGGGGAACCTAGCCAGAGTTTGGCAGACTCCCTAAGTCAAGGAAACAGAGAGTCTGGGGAGACCAAGGTGGTTAGCATTTGTAAGACAAAGTGAAAAAGAAAAGATGGCTGCACAGAGGTAGAACCCTGGAGATTTGCAAAGCTTCTCTTTGAGTAATCAGCAGATTACTGATCAATGTTTTTTGTGTGTGAGGAAACTACTCAAGAGCAAGAAAATAACAATCCAAAATGATTAGAAAATATTGCCTGGCATGCACACATGTTCAAGAATATTGCTTATTCCCAAAACCCAGAATTAAAAAATCCGTAATTTATGAAGCATTGGGGTGAATACTCAAGAAGATTGTTCTTCAGTAGTGAGGAATAATTTGGCCCAGACGGGAGTGCCATTTGAGGCCGGCCTAGCAAATCATACAAGCAAGACCTAATCAAACTGTTTCCAGGTAACTACATTGTATCCCAAAACATAGCTCATGAATATTTATAGAAATATAAAAATACTTGCATCTAGCAAGTAAAATCACAATGTCTATCATTAAAACAAAGATTACCAGGCTTGTGAAAACAAACAAACAAAAAAACATGACCGATAATGCAGAAAATAATCAAAACCAATCTGGAGCTGATACAGTTGTTAGAATGAGAAGACAAGTACATTTAGACAATTATTATAACTATATTCCATATGTTTAAAGAGTTAAGGGGAGAAATGCAAGATATTAAAAAGCAACTATATTGAACTTCCAGAGATGAAAACTATAATAATTAAGATAAAAAAGTATGGTAGTAGTGGCAGATTATACATGAGAACAAAAGATAAGTAAACTTGAAGATACAGTGATAAAAATTATCTAAAACGCCACCCGAGAGAAAACTTTTTTTTAAAATTATAAATGAAAACAGTATCAGTGAGCTGTGGGAGAACTTTAAGTAACTAATATACATGTAATTGAACCTCCAAAGGAGAGAAGGTATTGGAGTGGGGAGAATATTTTTTTAATTGCTGATTTTTTCTAAATTTTTATTAGATGTATAATAAATAAATACTATATAATATACTAGAAATAAAATTTGACCACAAGAAACATGGAGAAAGCTACAAGGCACATAATAATAAAGTTGCTCAAAACCAATGATGAAGACAAAGTCTTAAAAGCAACCAAAGAACAAAAGATATGTTAAATACAGATGAACAAAAGATAAGAGTAGCAACAAATTTCTTGTCAGAAACAAGGAAGGAACTGGTATCAGTATCTTTAGGAAATTATATGTCATGAGTATTAGTAACACTAAGGGCACGGGGAGAGAATGAGGGCACAGGGAGGATGTTTAGGTTATATCATTATTCTAATATTTGTAGATTGTATACAGATGGTTCTCAATTTATGACTGCTTGAAGATTTTTCAGCTTTATGATCATGCTAAAGTGATGTGTATTCAGTGAAAATCATACTTCAAGTACCCACACAACCATTCCGTTTTTCACTTTCAGTACAGTATTCAATAAATTATGTGTGATATTAAACACATTATTATAAAATAGACTTGTGTTAGATGATTTTGCCCAACCGTAGGCTAATGTAAGTGTTCTGAGCACATTAATGGTAGCATAATCTAGGCTATGATGTTTGCTAAGTTAGTTGTATTCAATACACCTTTGACTTAACAATATTTTCAAGTTACAACAAGTTTATCAAAACATAACCACATCATAACTGCAGCAGCATCTGTACTAGTATTCATGCCATTACACAAAATAATTTTTAAAAGTTGTATTTAAGTTACTTAATTCTATTAAATTACTTAAGTCCATGAGTGTTTTATTTGTGATTTCTTCACATCTTGTGAGGATAGATTAAAAGCAGAATGTTAACTTTAGCAACTCAAAATTTCACAGTGATAAAGGACTCAATCATACTCGTCAATATTTATAAAAAATAATTTTTTAAAAAAATTTTATTTTATGCATTTTTATGCACTTTAATTCTTTGCTACCCTGTACTGTATTATTCTCCTACAATAGGCTTTTACACATCTAAACATGATTTTGCCTTCCACAATATGTATTTTACCTATGCTTCTTTTTTTGTTTAATTATACTTTCAGTTCTGAGATACATGTTCAGAACGTGCAGGTTTGTTACTTAGGTATATACATGCCATGGTGGTTTGCTGCACTCATCAACCCGTCATCTACATTAGGTATTTCTGCTAATGCTGTTGCTCCCCTAGCCCCCTGCACCCCCCACCACACAACAGGTTCTGGTGTGTGATGTTCATTTCCCTGTGTCCATATGTTCTCATTGTTCAAGTCCCACCTATGAGTGAGAACATGAGGTGTTTGGTTTTCTGTTCCTGTGTTAGTTTGCTGAGAATGACCATTTCCAGTTTCATCCATGTCCCTGCAAAGGACATGAACTTATCCTTTGTTATGGCTGCATAGTATTCCATGATGTATATGTGCCACATTTCCTTTATCCAGACTGTCACTGTTGGGCATTTGGGTTGGTTCCAAGTCTTTGGTATTGTGAATAGTGCTGCAATAAACACATGCGTGTATGTGTCTTTATAGTAGAATGACTTATAATCCTTTGGGTATATACCCAGTAATGGGATTTCTGGGTCAAATGGTATTTCTGGTTCTAGATCCTTGAGGAACTTCTACACTGTCTTCCACAATGGTTTAATTAATTTACACTTCCACCAACAGTGTAAAAGCATTCCTATTTCTCCAGATTGTCTCCAATATCTGTTGTTTCCTGACATTTTAATGATCGCCATTCTAACTGGCATGAGATGGTATCTCATTGTGGTTTTAATTTGCATGTCTCTAATGACCAGTGATGAGCTTTTCTTCATATCTTTGTTGGCTGCCTAAATGTCTTCTTTTGAGAAGTATCTGTTCATATCCTTCACCCACTTTTTGATGGCATTGTTTTTTTCTTGTAAATTTGTTTAAGTTCCTTGTAAATTCTGGATATTAGCCCTTTGTCAGATGGATAGATTGCAAAAATGTTCTCCCATTCTGTAGGTTGCCTGTTCACTCTGATGATAGTTTCTTTTTATGTGCAGAAGCTCTTTAGTTTAATTGGATCCCATTTGTCAATTTTGGCTTTTGTTGCCATTGCTTTTGGTGTTTTAGTCATGAAGTCTTTGCCCATACCTATATCTTGAATGGTATTGCTTAGGTTTTCTTCTAGGATTTTTATGGTTTCAGTTCTTATATTTAAGTCTTTAATCCATCTTGAGTTAATTTTTGTATAAGATGTAAGGAAGGGGTCCAGTTTCAGCATTCTGCATATGGCTAGCCAGTTTTCCCAACATCATTTATTAAATAGGGAATCCTTTCCCCATTGCTTGTTTTGGTCAGGTTTGTCAAAGTTCAGATGGTGGTAGATGTGTGGCATTATTTCTGAGACCTATGTTCGGTTCCATTGGTTTATATATTTGTTTTGGTACCAGTACCATGCTGTTTTGGTTACTGTAGCCTTGCAGTATAGTTTGAAGTCAGGTAGCATGACGCCTCCAGTTTTGTTCTTTTTGCTTAGGATTGTCTTGGCTATATGGGCTCTTTTTTTGTTCCATATGACATTTAAAATAGTTTTTTTTAATTCTGTGAAGAAAGTCAATGGTAGCTTGATGGGGATAGCATTGAATCTGTAAATTACTTTGGGCAGTATGGCCATTTTCATGATATTCATTCTTTCCACCCATGAACATGGAATGTTTTTCCATTTGTTTCCCTTATTTCCTTGAGCAGCGGTTTGTAGTTCTCTTTGAAGAGGTCCTTCACATCCCTTGTAAGTTGTATTCCTGGGTATTTTATTCTCTTTGTAGCAATTGTGAATGGGAGTTCACTCATGATTTGGCTCTGTTTTTCTATTGTTGGTGTATAGGAATGCTTTTGATTTTTCCACATTGATTTTGTATCCTGAGACTTTGCTGAAGTTGCTTATCAGCTTAAGGAGATTTTAGGCTGAGATGATGGGGTTTTCTAAATATGCAATCATGTCATCTGCAAACAGAGAAAATTTGACTGCGTCTCTTCCTATTTCAATCCCCTTTATTCTTTCTCTTGCCTAATTGCCCTGGCCAGAATTTCCAATACTGTTTTGAATAGGAGTGGTGAGAGAGGACATCCTTGTCTTGTGCCAGTTTTCAAAGGGAATGCTGCCAGCTTTTGCCCATTCAGTATGATATTGGCTGTGGGTTTGTCATAAATAGCTCTTATTATTTTGAGATATATTCCATCAATACCTAGTTTATGGAGAGTTTTTAGCATGAAGGGGTGTTGAATATTATCAAAGTACTTTTCTGCATCTATTGAGATAATCATGTGCTTTTTGTCATTGATACTGTATATGTGATGTATTATGTGTATTGATTTGCATATGTTGAACCAGCCTTGCATCCCAGATATAAAGCCAACTTGATTGTGGTGGATAAGCTTTTTGATGTGCTGCTGGATTTGGTTTGCCAGTATTTTATTGAGGATTTTCACATCGATGTTCATCAGGGATATTGGCCTGAAATTTTCTTTTTTCGTTATGTCTCTGCTAGGTTTTGGTATCAGGATGACGCTGGCCTCATAAAATGAGTTAGGAAGGAGTCCCTCTTTTTCTATTGTTTGAAATAGTTGCAGAAGGAATGGTACCAGCTCCTCTTTGTACCTCTGGTAGAATTCAGCTGTGAATCTGTCTAGTTCTGGACTTTTTTTTTTGGCTGGTAGGCAATTAATTACCGCCTCAATTTCAGAAGTTGTGATTGGTGTATTCAGGGATTTGACTTCTTTCTGATTTAGTCTTGGGAGGGTGTATGTGTCCAGAAATTTATCCATTTCTTCTAGATTTTCTAGTTTATTTGTATAGAGGTGTTTATAGTATTCTCTCATGGTAGCTGATATTTCTGTGGGATCAGTGGTGATATCCCCTTTATCATTTTTTATTGTATCTATTTGATTCTTCTCTCTTTTTTTCTTTATTGGTCTGGCTAGTGGTCTACCTATTTGGTTAATCTTCTCAAAAATCCAGCTCCTGGAGTCATTGAATTTTTGAAGGGTTTTTTTGTGTCTCTATCTCCTTCAGTTCTGCTCTGATCTTAGTTATTTCTTGTATTCTTCTAGCTTTTGAATTTGTTTGCTCTTGCTTCTCTAGTTCTGTTAATTTTGATGCTAAGGTGTCGATTTTAGATCTTTCCTGCTTTCTCATGTGGGCATTTAGTGGTATAAATTTCCCTGTAAACACTACTTTAGCTGTGTCCCAGAGATTCTGGTATGCTGTGTCTTTGTTCTCATTGGTTTCAAAGAACTTATTTATTTCTGCCTTAATTTTGTTATTTACCCAGTAGTCATTCAGGAGAAAGTTGTTCAGTTTCCATGTAGTTGTGTGGTTTTGAGTGAGTTTCTTAATCCTGAGTTCTAATTTGATTGCACTGTGGTCTGAGAGACTGTTTGTTATGATTTCTGTTCTTTTGCATTTGCTGAGGAGTGTTTTACTTCCAATTATGTGGTCAGTTTTAGAATAAGTGCTATGTGGTGCTGAAAAGAATGTATATTCTGTTGATTTGGGCTGGAGAGTTCTGTAGATGTCTATTAGGTCTGTTTGGTCCAGAGCTGAGTTCAAGTCCTGAATATCCTTATTAATTTTAAGTCTTGTTGATTTGTCTGATATTGACAGTGGGGTATTAAAGTCTCCCACTATTACTGTGTGGGGGTCTAAGTCTCTTTATAGGTCTCTGAGAACTTGCTTTATGAATCTGGTTGCTCCTGTATTGAGTGCATATATATTTATGATAGTGAGCTCTTCTTGTTGCATTGGTCCTTTTACCATTATGTGCTGTTTTTCTTTGTCTTGTTTCATCTGTGTTCATTTAAAGTCTGTTTTATCAGAGACTAGGATTGCAACCCCTGCTTTTCTTTTCTTTCTTTCTTTTTTTTGCTTTCTATTTGCTTGGTAAAACTTCCTCCATACCTTTATTTTGAGCCTATGTGTGTCTTTGCACATGAGATGGGTCTCCTGAATACAGCACACTGATGGGTCTTGACTCTTTATCCATTTGTCAGTTGATGTCTTTTAATTGGGGCATTTAGCCCATTTACACTTAAGGTTAATATTGTTATGTGTGAATTAGATCCTGTCATTATGATGCCAGCTGGTTATTTTGTGCATTAGTCAATGCAATTTCCTCATAGTTTTGATGGTCTTTACATTTTGGTACGTTTTTGTAGTGGCTGTTACCTGTTTTTCCTTTCTATATTTAGTGCTTCCTTCTTGAGCTCTTGTAAGGCAGGCCTGGTGGTGACAAAATCCCTCAGCATTTGCTTGTCTGTAAAGGATTTTATTTCTCCTTCACTTATGAAGCTTAGTTTGGTTGGATGTGAAATTCTGGGTTGAAAATTCTTTTCTTTAAGAATGTTGAATATTGGCCCCCACTCTCTTCTGGCTTTTAGGGTTTCTGCAGAGAGATTGGAGAGATCCACCGTTAGTCTGATGGGCTTCCTTTTGTGGGTAACTCGACCTTTCTCTCTGGCTGTCCTTAACATTTTTTCCTTCGTTTCAACCTTGGTTAATCTGATGATTATTTGTCTTGTGATTGCTGTTCTTGAGGAGTATCTTTGTTGTGTTCTCTGTATTTCCTGAATTTCAATGTTGGCCTCTCTTGCTAGGTTGGGGAAGTTCTCCTGGATAATATCCTGCAGAGTGCTTTCCAACTTGGCTCCATTCTCCCTGTCCCTTTCAGGTACACCAATCAAGTGTAGGTTTGGTCTTTTCAGAAAGTCCCACATTTCTTGGAGCCTTTGTTTGTTCCTTTTCATTCTTTTTTCTCTAATTCTGTCTTCACACTTTATTTCGTTAAGTTGATCTTCAATCTCTGATATCCTTTCTCATGCTTAATTCAGCTATTGATACTTATGTATGCTTCATGAAGTTCTTGTGGTGTATTTTTTAGCTCTATCAGGTTATTTATGTTCTTCTCTAAACTCATAATTTTATAATTTTAGTTAGCGATTCCTCTTACTTTTTTTCGTGGTTCTTAGCTTCCTTGCATTGGGTTAGAGCATGCTCCTTTAGCTTGGAGGAGTTTGTTATTACCCAGCTTCTGAAGCCTACTTCTGTCAGTTCTTCAAACTCATTCTCTGTCCATTTTTGTTCCTTTGCTGGCAAGGAGCTGTGATCCTTTAAAGAAGAGGTATTCTGGTTCCTGGAATTTTCAACCTTTTTGCACTGGTTTTTCCTCTTCTTCATGGATTTATCTACCTTTGGTCTTTGCTGCTGTTGACCTTTGGATGGAGATTTTGTGTGGACTTCCTTTTTATTGATATTAACGCTATTCTTATCTGTTTGTTAGTTTTTGTTCTAACAGTCAGGCCCGTCTGCTGCAGGTCCACTGGAGTTTTCCGGAGGTCCACTCCAGACCCTGTTTGCCTGGGTATCACCAGCAGAGGCTGCAGAACAGCAAAGATTGCTGCCTGCTCCTTCCTCTGGAAGCTTCATCCCAGAAGGGCACCCACCAGATGCCAGCTGGAGCTCTCCTGAATGAGGTGTCTGTTGACCCCTGCTGGGAGATGTCTGCTAGTCAGGAGGCACGGGGGTCAGGGACCCACCTGAGGAGGCAGTCTGTCCCTTAGCAGAGCTCTAGTGCTGTGCTTGGAGATCTGCTCTCTTCAGAGCCAGCAGGCAGGAATGTTTATGTCTGCTGAAGCTGTGCCCACAGGCACCTCTTCTTCCAGGTGCTCTGTCCCAGGGAGATGGGAGTTTTATCTATAAGCCCCTGACTGGGGCTGCTGCCTTTCTTTCAGGGATTCCCTGCCCAGAGAGGAGGAATCTAGAGAGAGAAAAACATTCATTTTTAACTATTGTGGGTACATAATATGTGTATATATTTATGAGGTACAGGAGACATTTTGATATAGGATGCAATGTGTAATAATCACATCATAGAGAATGGGGTATCCACCCCCTCAAGCATTTATCCTTTATTTTACAAACAACCCATTTGCATTCTTCTAGTTATTTTAAAATGTACAGTTAAGTTATTATTGACTATAGTCACTCTATTGTGCTATAGAATAGTAGGCCTTGTTCATTCTTTCTAACTATATTTTTTTGGATTCATTAACCATTCTTCCACCCCAACCCACTACTACCCTTCCCAGCCTCTGGTAACCATCCTTATACTCTCTGTGTCTATGAGTTTGATTGTTTATATTTTTAGATAAAAATAGTTTGCAATAAAGACATAATAAAGAATATGAAGAAAATAAAGTATTGCAGAAAATGGAGAGACTTGAAATACATTTTTGTCACATAACCAATCTAAAAATATGTACTCTGTTAGAATCTTTTCAGAAGATGAATCTTTATGAGTCTATGAAGATTAAACATTAAAATAAAATAATTGTTAAAACATTTGTTGGGGGGTGGAGCCAAGATGGCCGAATAGGAACAGCTCCGGTCTACAGCTCCCATTGTGAGTGACATAGAAGACAGGTGATTTCTGCATTTCCATCTGAGGTACCAGGTTCATCTCATTAGGGAGTGCCAGACAGTGGGTGCAGGACAGTGGGTGCAGTGCACCAGGCATGAGCCAAAGCAGGGCGAGGCATTGCCTCACTCAGGAAGTGCAAGGGGTCAGGGAGTTCCCTTTCCTAGTCAAAGAAAGGGGTGACAGATGACACCTGGAAAATTGGGTCACTCCCACCCTAATACAGCGCTTTTCCAACAGGCTGAAAAAACAGCACAGCAGGAGATTATATCCTGCACATGGCTTGGAGGGTCCTACACCCATGGAGTCTCACTGATTGCTAGCACAGCAGTCTGAGATCAAACTGCAAGGTGGCAGCGAGGCTGGAGGAGGGGAGCCCGCCATTGCCCAGGCTTGATTAGGTAAACAAAGCAGCCGGGAAGCTCGAACTGGGTGGAGCCCACCACAGCACAAGAACACCTTCCTGCCTCTGTAGGCTCCACCTCTGGGGGCAGAGCACAGACAAACAAAAAGACAGCAGTAACCTCTGCAGACTTAAGTGTCCCTGTCTGACAGCTTTGAAGAGAGTAGTGGTTCTCCCAGCACGCAGCTAGAGATCTGAGAACAGGCAGACTGCCTCCTCAAGTGGGTCCCTGACCCCTGAGAAGCCTAACTGGGAGGCACCCCCCAGTAGGGGCAGACTGACACCTCACACAGCCGGGTACTCCTCTGAGACAAAACTTCCAGAGGAACGATCAGGCAGCAGCATTTGCGAATCACCAATATCTGCTGTTCTACAGCCATCGCTGTTCTGCAGCCACCACTGCTGATACCCAGGCAAACAGGGTCTGGAGTGGACGTCTAGCAAACTCCAACAGACCTGCAGCTGAGGGTCCTGTCTGTTAGAAGGAAAACTAACAAACAGAAAGGACATCCACACCAAAAACCATCTGTACGTCACCATCATCAAAGACCAAAAGTAGATAAAATCACAAAGATGGGGAAAAAAAGAGCAGAAAAACTGGAAACTCTAAAAAGCAGAGCACCTCTCCTCCTCCAAAGGAATGCAGCTCCTCACCAGCAACGGGACAAAGTTTGACAGAGAATGACTTTGACGAGTTGAGAGAAGAAGGCTTCAGACGATCAAACTCCTCCAAGCTACAGGAGGAAATTCAAACCAATGGCAAAGAAGTTAAAAACTTTGAAAAAATATTAGACGAATGGATACCTAGAATAACCAATGCAGAGAAGTCCTTAAAGGAGCTGATGGAGTTGAAAGCCAAGGCTCGAGAACTACGTGAAGAATGCAGAAGCCTCAAGAGCCAATGCGATCAACTGGAAGAAAGGGTATCAGTGATGGAAGACAAAATGAATGAAATGAAGCAAGAAGGGAAGTTTAGAGAAAAAAGAATAAAAAGAAATGAGCAAAGCCTCCAAGAAATATGGGACTATGTGAAAAGACCAAATCTACGTCTGATTGGTGTACCTGAAAGTGACGGGGAGAATGGAACCAAGTTGGAAAACACTCTGCAGGATATTATCCAGGAGAACTTCCCCAATCTAGGAAGGCAGGGCAACATTCAGATTCAGGAAATACAGAGAACGCCACAAAGATACTCCTCGAGAAGAGCAACTCCAAGACACATAATTGTCAGATTCACCAAAGTTGAAATGACGGAAAAAATGTTAAGGGCAGCCAGAAAGAAAGATCGAGTTACCCACAAAGGGAAGCCCATCAGACTAACAGTGGCTCTCTCGGCAGAAACTCTACAAGCCAGAAGAGAATGGGGGCCAATATTCAACATTCTTAAAGAAAAGAATTTTCAACCCAGAATTTCATATCCAGCCAAACTAAGCTTCATAAGTGAAGGAGAAATAAAATCATTTACAGACAAGCAAATGCTGAGAGATTTTTATCACAAACAGGCTGGCCCTAAAAGAGCTCCTTAAGGAAGCACTAAACGTGGAAAGGAACAACCAGTACCAGCCACTGCAAAAACATGCCAAAATGTAAAGACCATCAAGGCTAGGAAGAAACTGCATCAACTGAAGAGCAAAATAACCAGTTAACATCATAATGACAGGACCAAATTCACACATAACGATATTAACTTTAAATGTAAATCAGCTAAATGCTCCAGTTAAAAGACACAGACTGGCAAATTGGTTAAAAAGTCAAGACCCATCAGTGTGCTGTATTCAGGAAACCCATCTCACATGCAGAGACACACATAGGCTCAAAATAAAGGGATGGAGGAAGATCTACCAAGCAAATGGAAAACAAAAAAAGGCAGGGGTTGCAATCCTAGTCTCTGATAAAACAGACTTTAAACCAACAAAGATCAAAAGAGGCAAAGAAGGCCATTACATAATGGTGAAGGGATCAATTCAACAAGAAGAGCTAACTATCCTAAATATATATGCACCCAATACAGGAGCACCCAGATTCATAAAGCAAATCCTTAGTGACATACAAAGAGACTTAGACTCCCACACAATAATAATGGGAGACTTTAATATCCCACTGTCAACATAAGACAGATCAATGAGACAGAAAGTTAACAAGGATACCCAGGAATTGAACTCAGCTCTGCACCAAGCGGACCTAATAGACATCTACAGAACTCTCCACCCCAAGTCAAGAGAATATACATTTTTTTCAGCACCACACCACACCTATTCCAAAATTGACCACATAGTTGGAAGTAAAGCACTCCTTAGCAAATGTAAAAGAACAGGAATTACAACAAACTGTCTCTCAGACCACAGTGCAATCAAACTAGAACTCAGGATTAAGAAATTCACTCAAAACCACTCAACTACATGGAAACTGAACAACCTGCTTCTGAATGACTACTGGGTACATAACGAAATGAAGGCAGAAATAAAGATGTTCTTTGAAACCGAAGAGAACAAAGACTCAACATACCAGAATCTCTGGGATGCATTCAAAGCAGTGTGTAGAGGGAAATTTATAGCACAAAACGCCCACAAGAGAAAGCAGGAAAGATCCAAAATTAACACCCTAACATCACAATTAAAAGAACTAGAAAAGCAAGATCAAACACATTCAAAAACTAGCAGAAGGCAAGAAATAACTAAGATCAGAGCAGGACTGAAGGAAATAGAGACACAAAAAACCCTTCAAAAAATTAATGAATCCAGGAGCTGGTTTTTTGAAAGGATCAACAAAATCGATAGACTGCTAGCAAGACTAATAAAGAAGAAAAGAGAGAAGAATCAAATAGACGTAATAAAAAATGATAAAGGGGATATCACCACTGATCCCACAGAAATAGAAACTACCATCAGAGAATACTACAAACACCTCTACACAAATAAACTAGAAAATCTAGAAGAAATGGATAAATTCCTGGACACATACACCCTCCCAAGACTAAACCAGGAAGAAGTTGAATCTCTGAATAGACCAAAAACATGCTCTGAAATTGTGGCAATAATCAATAGCTTACCAACCAAAAAAAGTCCAGGACCAGATGGATTGACAGCCAAATTCTACCAGAGGTACAAGGAGGAGTTGGTACCATTCCTTCTGAAACTATTCCAATCAATAGAAAAAGAGAGAATCCTCCCTAACTCATTTTATGAGGCCAGCATCATTCTGATACAAAAGCCTGGCAGAGACACAACAAAAAAAGAGAATTTTAGACCAATATCCTTGATGAACATTGATGCAAAAATCCTTAATAAAATACTGGCAAACCAAATCCAGCAGCACATCAAAAAGCTCATCCACCATGTTCAAGTGGGCTTCATCCCTGGGATGCAAGGCTGGTTTGACATATGTAAATCAATAAATGTAATCCAGCATATAAACAGAACCAAAGACAAAAACCATATGATTATCTCAATAGATGCAGAAAAGGTCTTTGACAAAATTCAACAACCCTTCATGCTAAAAACTCTCAATAAATTAAGTATTGATGGGACGTATCGCAAAATAATAACTGGTGTCTATGATAGACCCACAGCCAATATCATACTGAATGGGCAAAAACTGGAAGCATTCCTTTTGAAAACTGGCACAAGACAGGGATGCCCTCTCTCACCACTCCTATTCAACATAGTGTTGGAAGTTCTGGCCAGGGCAATTAGGCAGGAGAAGGAAATAAAGGGTATTAAATTAGGAAAAGAGGAAGTCAAATTGTCCCTGCTTGAGGATGACATGATTGTATATCTAGAAAACCCCATTGTCTCAGCACAAAATCTCCTTAAGCTGATAAGCAACTTCAGCAAAGTCTCAGGATACAAAATCAATGTGCAAAAATCACAAGCATTCTTACACACCAATAACAGAGAAACAGAGAACCAAATCATGAGTGAACTCCCATTCAGAGTTGCTTCAAAGAGAATAAAATACCTAGGAATCCACCTTACAAGGGATGTGAAAGACCTCTTCAAGGAGAACTACAAACCACTGCTCAAGGAAATAAAAGAGGATACAAACAAATGGAAGAACATTCCATGCTCGTGGGTAGGAAGAATCAATATTGTGAAAATGGCCATACTGCCCAAGGTAATTTATAGATTCAACACCATCCCCATCAAGCTACCAATGACTTTCTTCACAGAATTGGAAAAAACTACTTGAAAGTTCATATGGAACCAAAAAAGAGCCCACATCACCAAGTCAATCCTAAGCCAAAAGAACAAAGCCGGAGGCATCACACTACCTGACTTCAAACTATACTACAAAGCTACAGTAACCAAAACAGCATGGTACTGGTACCAAAACAGAAATATAAATCAATGGAACAGAACAGAGCCCTCAGAAATAATGCCACATGTCTACAACCATCTGATCTTTGACAAACCTGACAAAACAAGCAATAGGGAAAGGATTCCCTATTTAATAAACGGTGCTAGGAAAAATGCTAGCCATATGTAGAAAGCTGAAACTGGATCCCTTCCTTACACCTTATAAAAAAATTCATTCAAGATGGATTAAAGAGTTACATGTTAGACCTAAAACCATAAAAACCCTAGAAGAAAACCTAGGCAATACCATTCAGGACATAGGCATGGGCAAGGACTTCATGTCTAAAACATCAAAAGCAATGGTAACAAAAGCCAAAACTGACAAATGGGATCTAATTAAACTAAAGAGCTTCTGCACAGCAAAAGAAACGACCATCAGAGTGAACAGGCAACCTACAAAATGGGAGAAAATTTTCGCAACCTACTTGTCTGACAAAGGGCTAATATCCTGAATCTACAATGAACTCAAACAAATTTACAAGAAAAAAACAAACAACCCCATCAAAAAGTGGGTGAAGGATATGAACAGACACTTCTCAAGACATTCATGCAGCCAAAAGACACATGAAAAAATGCTCATCATCACTGGCCATCGGAGAAATGCAAATCAAAACCACAATGAGATACCATCTCACACCAGTTAGAATGGTGATCATTAAAAAGTCAGGAAAGAACAGGTGCTAGAGAGGATGTGGAGAAATAGGAACACTTTTACACTGTTGGTGGGACCGTAAATTAGTTCAACCATTGTGGAAGTCAGTGTGGTGATTCCTCAGGGATCTAGAACTAGAAATACTTTTGACCCAGCCATCCCATTACTGGGTATATACCCAAAGGATTATAAATCATGCTGCTATAAAGACACATGCACACGTATGTTTATAGCGGCACTATTCACAATAGCAAAGACTTGGAACCAACCCAAATGTCCAACAATGATAGACTGGATTAAGAAAATGTGGCACATATACACCATGGAATACTATGCAGCCATAAAAAATGATGAGTTCATGTCCTTTGTAGGGACATCGATGAAACTGGAAACCCTCATTCTCAGCAAACTATCGCAAGGACAGAGAACCAAACACTGCATGTTCTCACTCATAGGTGGGAATTGAACAATGAGAACACATGGACACAGGAAAGGGAACAGCACACTCCAGGGCCTGTTGTGGGGTGGCGGGATGGGGGAGGGATAGCATTAGGAGATATGCCTATGCTAAATGACCAGTTAATGGGTGCAGCACACCAGCATGGCACATGTATACATATGTAACTAACCGGCACATTGTGCACATGTACCCTAAAACTTAAAGTACAATAGTAATAAAATTAAAAAAAGCAAAAAAAACACCCCCAAAATTTGTTAAAGCTTGTCTACAATTTTCAATAGTTAAAGATGAAGAATTTTTGAGGTATGCACATGAATCTTAGATAAAAGTTCCTTTTAAAAAACACATACTAAAAATTTCTTCCTGAATTCTAATCTCCCTTGAACACAAAGGCAGTCACATCATTAAATATACTAGTTTTGTAAATTATACATAAAAAATTTGGGCATGCAGAGACAACCAGATGTCTTTTTTTTTAAGGTATGACTTCCTGGTGGATTAATGATAAATTCAACTCTGTTCCTGTTTACTAGTTTGCCGAGAGATGTTGGGTCCCTTATGGTGAACAACAGAGTGAATCTGATTGAAGAAATGTTTATCGAATAGAGAAAAAAATTGTTACATATCTGATATTGACAATAGAACAAACATAGTGAAGGCTATGTGTAATTTAGGTACCACAATCAGTATTTTGTTCACATCCTTTAGTTGTGTGTTCAGAAAGTAATTATAGCACAGAAGAATATAACAAGATTATTAAGCCCTAAGGAGGAGAGAGTGGGTCACTGTCGACATTCTTCTTCAGCCAAAGCAAGTTTTATGACCTTCAAGAAATTTTTGAACTATCTTGTCAAGGACTTATCAAGGTGTTCCAATAGGATGGGATAGTAACTATACATGTTGAAAAGGCTACTTGAACAAAATAAAGGTTTAATGTTATATTTGATGGACAAAAATATCAACACAACAGGATTTACTAACAGCCAATGGTTTGTTTGACCAGAAAGTAGTTTGCTTTTGGAGCTCACTGAGGAAATTATTAATCTGAAATATCTTGCACGTGCAAATATTTCTTACATGATACCGTACATTGTCCTCTAACATTTGACTACAGAGAAGGTGCTGAGATGGGTGTTCATGCGGTAAAAACTGAGATGCAGATGAAAAGTCAGAGCTAACTTTGTTATTTTGAAAGAAAATTGCCTTGTCCTATTGCCACATTTCTAGATCCAAGGTTTAAGGACAGGTTTTTAAAAACAGATTGTGTGAAACAGTAAACTCATGCAAAAATATTAGAAATATCAGATATCAGCAAGAGCAACACCCTTATGAAAATGGTCCAAAAACATCTTCTTCAAACAATATCCAGAGTTTGCAGGATGGGTTCAATGACATGTATCACTACTATAAACCAAGCTATTAAACCCAAGAGTGGAGGAGGAGATAAATCTCTAACCATGTGAGCTACTATTAGAAAGGAAGGAAAGCCTTAGTGGTGATGTCAGTATCGCAGTGCCTACAATGGAAAGACTTGCTTTCAAATTACTTTGTTTGTCAATCACACTCAGCTCAAAGTGAGATCCCTTCGGGATTGTAAATGTACACTGTAGTGACTACAAGAGCACTCTACCAGTGCTAACAAATTATTATTCTTGTATTATATATCAAACTTTAAAAATTTGACTACTAGATTTTTAAATAATAAAGGTAAAATAGTAATCTTTGAGATCAAATATCACATTTACTGTTTATCCCTGGAGCTCATTTAATGTTGGTTTTAGCCTAATATTAATTTTAATAGCTAAAAGATGATGGTGGTTTGGAGTGAAATAGTGGCATTGAAGGAAATGAGAAGCAATTAGATTCTGAATACATTACAAAGTAGCTCTGATAATATTTTTAGATGATTAGGTGTGGTATGTGACAGAAAGAGGGAGTCCAGGATGACTTGAAGGTCTTTGGCCTGAGCAACTAGTTGAGTAGAATTGTCATGTCTGAGCAATGGAAGACGGCAAAGACATGCTTTGGATGGTGAATGAGAAATAATGAATGCAAGAGTTTGGTTCTGAACACGTTAAGTTTGAGGCTTCTAGCTGCCTTCTCAGGCTCTTTTGGTGACTGTCCTGACATCTCCAATTCAACACATCCAAGATGGAACTACTTGTCTTCTCAAACCTGCCTTACTTAATTATTTTTTCCATTTCAGTTGATGGCAACTGCATCTTTCCAGTGTCTCAGACCCAAAACCTTAGAGTCAACTTTGAATTCTCCCTCCTTCCTTCCCTCCTGGCCTTCCTTTCTACCTTTCCTCTTCTTCTCTCCCCACCACTTTGCTCTCTCTTTCTCTGTCTGTAAGTACTTGTGGAATGTTGAACATTGGGCCTGACTCTTCTAAAGCACTAATGTCTTTGATTAGGATAATACGAACTCATGTGGGAAGCTTAAGCTGACTATTAATTTGTTACCCCTTTAAATGAATACTTAAGCAAGAAATATTTAGGCTATGCTTATTTAGAGGGGAGGCTGAGTCTTGTAGGGTGGTATTTGGGAAGGATGAAAAAGAAGGAGTGGGGCTCAAACTTTCCTTTCTTATTTAAGGCAATTTAACTCTGACTCTACATGTATCTGAAACAATCCACAAACGAAGCTCTGCAGTCACAGTCACCTTCCCTTGAGCAGGGCTGTCACTCAAACATGCCCTTTGTGAGTTTCACTGCATTCCCTGCAAACTGGGGTTTACCTGTTTACCCCTATCCTGTATGCTTCCTGAGATGCCATCTGGCAGGTAAAACCTTTTCCTTTTTGGGATATTCTCAGTGGTGGGGTGGGGGGTTGGTGCCCCTTAGAAATTGGGGGCCCAGGAAGCTGGCCGTGTCTCTGCACTTGGCCACAGGAGCTCTAGTCTTCTGGTGTCACCTGTTCAGTCTGATCATTTGAAAAGTTTTAATTTGCTTTTTTTAACATGCTGCTCTGAGAGCTCCCACTTCTTTTCTTTACAGGTCTCAGTGGGAAAACAGTAGTATCTGTGAAAAATATTGTTATACTTGAGACGGAAGACACTCCCTGTGCTCCAGGCTTTCTTCAATGGTAGGACACTCCTGCCAGTTTGGCTCATCTTTCTGGAGGGACATATTCTCATTTCTCCCCTCTTACTTGGGCTCAAGTTGGGAGCTCCTTTTTAACCATTTTTATATCAAATCTGTACTTTACTCTCGAGTAACTTGCTATTCCTAGCAAGGTTTAAATAAAATCTAATGTGGACTAGAACAATTTCTTTGTCTTTCTTTAAAAATGAGATGTTGTTAATACATGTAAACAGTTGAACAGTAAAACTGGTTTCTTTGTGGGCAAACACATTTGCAAAAAGAGGGTGAAATTGTATTTCCTACCATTCAGAATTATTCTAAGCTCACATGAGATGAAATAGTAACCTTTTCCATTTTACAGAGGAGACCTTTTACTGACCTGGAAAGAAGTCATCACAGGGAATAGAATGACTTCTTCTAAATGTAGAAATTGAGGAGGGAAGGTGCGTGTGGTTTTAACTTCTTTGTTCCCTGGAAAACTGCCCACTGGGTTCCTTTCCATTGTGTGTGAAACAGAGGTCACTTGGACTCCCTGGGAAAAAGGCATCCAATGCCCTCGGGCTGCCTGTGGACCCTGCCCTGCTGTTCCCTGACACCTGCCCCCTCCCACTCCCACTTAGGCTGAGGCTGGGGAGCTGGTGGGAAGACGCTGAGAGGAGAAGCTCGCAGATTCTTCAGGAGTTTGAACATCATTATTGTCAGCAGGAGAAAAGACATTCTGATTCTTTCTTTTCTCACCCCTCATATATTCCCAACCTTCCTTTTCTCTCACCAACCTTAAATCCTGTATGGCCCTCACTAGCCCTTTTCTCCTTATGAATCTTTAGTCACACACAATAAATTGAAAGTAACAAGGGCTTGGAGCTGGTTAAATATTTCCATTACTTGTCTCTCAGGAGGTGCACTGGAGGGAAAATTCTAGAAAATTCCTCTTATTACCACCACTTTCTGTGAATCATCATCCCACCTCTCAATTACTGGATTCTTTTTTAGAATCCACATTTCTCTGGCACTGACTTCCAGCTGCTAAGGCAGGTCATTAACTCCTGTGAGTTGCCAAGGAGGAGCATCCCATGCCTTCTTGAATAAAGTCTAATCCTCTACACCTGTTGTCTGTCGTTTCTTTCCTCTTCTCTTTTGGCACCTTAGGATTTAAAAATCCTGTTGTTAAGAATTTCCTCAGAGGACAGAGTCTGGAACACCCTGTGTGGACAGGACCCATGGTTACCACAGAGGGAGAACCTGAGAGGGAGCCAGGGCATGGAGTTAGGAGAAAGAGAAAAGTAAGAGAATTTTTGTCCTTGGAGACATTAGAGAAGTTAGGTTTAGGATATGAGAAGCGGTGTGTGCTCAAATGAATATTATCCCACTTGGCTTAATAAAGTAAAAGGGGATAAAAAGTAAAGAGAGAGACTGTCTTTCTCTACTAACAGGGCAGTAGGCCTGTGAGGAGGCAACAAGAACATGAAAACTTTTTCTGGAACTCCACCTGAGCCTGCTTTGGGAAAACAAAAACATGTGTCTTTCTTTTCCGTGTTTCAGAGTTGCTGGGTAGGAGGTGGTATGCGTTATGCCCCTAGCCTGGACTGGCCTTTCGTTTTTGGAAATTGTTACCCATTTTCTTCTCTGTTTTGCTTTAAATTGAGATGATCAGCTGGCAGGCTTGGAATCCTTTACTTCCTCAGTTGTTGCTCTCTCTAGGAGGTCACTGATCCCACTCCAGGGCAGACAGTTCATAAGAGTGCTATCTTGAAAACCAGTTGCCTAAGAATAAGACCAAGTAAAACATCTAGATGAAATAATGAAAAATATTATACAATGTTTACGTTGTACTTGGGAATGATGTAATTAGGACACCATCCATACCCTTCCATATCCCCCATTAGACAGCAACTTTCTTCAGAGGATAGGGGTTGATATGTCATGTAGTTACCTTTTTGTTGTTAGGATGTTAAACATATTTTCTCTTTAGTGTACTTTAAAGTTAAGCTACTATGTGAATTTAGTGAAGTAGACAGTAGCATGGTGAGCTATATTTTTTGCTTTCCTTACTGGCGAGTTAAAATTGATTATTTAAAATGTTTTAACTTGAAAAAAAAATACCCTTGTGATTTTAGCATGTGCTATTGCTTTCAATGTTTCAACTCATCAGGGCACAGTACTGAACCATGCATAGCCAGAATAAGAGAAGATAAAGTATTTGGTGACTCTTGCAAAGTTGGGGAGACATGATCTCCCTAATCTCCCAAATGAATCCTGAATGGTTTTTCCTTGTGATACTTTCAAGCTTCCCTTCTGGCTTGTGGAACAAATAATTGGGCTCCTAAAATTAGTTTGGTTGTAAAATAATAATAATGATAATTCCCCCACATTTTTCATAAAATTTATTTATTTTCTAAACAACTAATAAATAATTAGAGTAGTTAATGGATGCACATGTTACCAATTCCAAAAGTACAAAGATGTTTCCAATGGATGGCAAGTTTCCTTCCCATTCCTGTCCCTGGAACAAACTAGTTTTTCTCCTCTGATGTAACCACAGTTACCCAGAGAAGCAGTTTAAAAATATAAGTAAAAAAATTATTTACAATCTCAGCTATTCCATTTCAAATTGGAAATAGCCTTTTTCTGGCTGGGCATGGTGGCTCACACCTGTAATCCCAGCACTTTGGGAGGCCAAGGCAGGCTGATCACTTGAGGTCAGGAGTTCAAGACCAGCCTGGCCAAAATGGTGAAACCCCGTCTCTGCTAAAAACGCAAAAATAAGCCAGACGTGGTGGTAGGTGCCTGTAATCCCAGCTACTCAGAAGGCTGAGGCAGGAGACTTGCTTGAACCCGGGAGGCGGAGATTACAGTGAGCTGGGATTGTGCCACTGCACTCCAACCTAGGTGATAAAGTGAGACTCCAGCTCAAAAAAAAAAAAAAAAAAAAAAAAGAAAGAAAGAAAGAAAAGGAAATAGCTTTTTTTGCCCTGAATGACAATTGCAGAAATGGTTTCTAGATTACTTTGATAGTCCTTATGTGTTAGTATTCCTTGCCTCTCTCATATAACTGTCTCTAATGGTACTCCAGAGCTCCAAATAACCCCTATTTTAGGATAATCCCTAGGAATTTCTTAAGGATATTAAATGTGTCTCCTACGCCAAACGAATCATGAGTGATTCCTTCTGACTTTAGACTCATGGACAGAAAATTGAACTTCCTAATTCAGCCCAAGTGCAAAGTAATTAAGGCTTAAAACAGGAAGAGATTTTTGAAAATCACAGGAGTCCAATTTGACTCTTGCTCTCTGTTAAACATGTTTGAAATGGCCTCTTTCATTTTAATAGCAGTTTGTAAAAATGTTTTCCGTCAGGTTAATTGGATGTCTTATCATCTCTTTTCTTCTGGGAATTCTAGGGAAAGGAGAATATGGTTTACAGTATTTTCTAAGGGGTCTTTGTCATCAATATTGCAGTTTCTAAAGGTAGCATGGCTTAGACTTCCCAACACACTCACTTGTTTCTCTTGTTGTACTGGAGCTGTTAAAGGAGGGAGTGACTGAATAGAATGGAGGAGACTAGATTTGCTGCTCTATGACCTCCATTTAGTTTGTGCCTAGGCTTGAAGTCAGGCCATTTAAAACTATGTCCAGAGCATTCTTTTCTTCATAAGAAGGCCCTACTTCAATGAAACTATTTTACCAACATTAATTGACTGAGCCTAACCTGAGGGAAGGGAAATTGCCAACTTTAATCCTCTCTAGCCTTGCTGTATCACCTGAGTTGGGTGTGAGGGAATGGGGTGGGGGAAAACAAAATTGAGAATCACTGATGAAGGTTCCAGCCCAGGGACACAGGCTCATTAAAAAACAGGGACCTGATTGTAAGACTGCAGAATGATTTCCCTCCTCCCATACCTTACCACCATAGCAATAAGACTCATATAACAACAGGGAATTACAACTGCATGCCTCAGGCCTTATTTAAGAAAAAATCTCTAGGGAAACCCAAAGACAATAGGGGAGGCTAAAACACCAGAGGAAATTTTAATATTCAACATTTACAGCTACAGCTGTAAATGTGATGTAATGTAATCACACTGTTAACAATGTAAACATCACATTGAAGGTCTATTTACTTCAGTTCTTTTATCTAGTACATTACATCTGGCTTTCAACAAAAAGTTGCAAGGCATGCAAAAGATAAAAAGCAAAACAAAACAAAACACAAAAACCCAAAAGACAAAAAGCCAAAGCCCGCAAACCAAACTCCCTTCCCCTGTCCCCCCACGGAGTTTGAAGACACAGTAAGCATCAGAACCAGACTCAAATATAGCACAGATTTTGGAATGATCAGACCTGGAATTTAAAATGAATAATGTCCAGGGCTTTTAGTTGTACTTAGTAAGAAAAATAGGAAAAAGTATGTCTTCCATCTTCCTAGAATTGGAACTCTTAATTATAACTTTAAAAAAAGTTTATTCTGTTTCCCTGCATGATCTTTGAGTCCTCTGAGTTCCTGTTTCTGTTTATTTATTTCTATTCTTTCTTTTATATTAAAGACTTTTTTCAGAGGAAGGTAATTCCTGGCTGTCTATGCCTATTGAGCATTATAAAACTAAGAAGTTGCTGGGTGTGGTGGCTCACACCTGTAATCCCAGCACTTTGGGAGGCTGAGGCCAGTGGATCACAAGGTCAGGAGATAGAGAGCATCCTGGCCAACATAGTGAAACCCCATCTCTACTAAAAAATACAAAAATTAGCTGGGCGTGGTGGCATGTGCCTGTAATCCCAGCTACCTGGCAGGCTGAGGCAGGAGAGTCCCTTGAACCAACGAGTCGGATGTTGCAGTGAGCCGAGTTTGTACCATTGCATTCCAGCCTGGTGACAGAGTGAGACTCCATCTCAAACAAAACAAAACAAAACTAAACTAAACTAAACAAAACAAAACTAAACTAAGAAGTTATGTCAGGGAGAGGGGTGGGACTTTCCGTTCATTGCAAGATTGGGGGGTAGAAATGCAGCCATTTCTTAGGAGAGGTACACATTTATCAAATGTCAATTTTTGAAAGTCTTATTTCTTAGGATTATAATTTCTTTTGTTGTTTTCACAGAGTCATCATCAAATGTCCTGCCTGGGGTTAAGCCTGGCTTTTAGTCTGGTAGTAGCTGAAAGAGAAAGAAAGTAATGTCTTACTCTTCAGTATTCAGACTTTTACTTAATCTATCTGCTTTTAGCATAGCTGCTAACCATGCTCTTCCCTCCAGGACTGTGCTATAGTTCCTGTGTTTTATGGCCAAAGGCAATAGGGGCAGAGGGCTGCTTTCTGATCTTTGATAATCAGCCCACACAGGTCACAGCTGAGACATCAATTGTTCCTACAGGAAAGTCAATGTTGGTAGACAATTCTCTACCCCATGATTTCTTGTGTTCTAGTGTCTTATGAGTAAAGGCACTGATAGCTTTTGATCTAGATGATTGATCTTTTCAAGGATGTTTGTATAGCAGGCAGTGTTGGAAGATAGAGACACTTGTCCCTCTTGGGCAGACAGAAGATTTATTTGCTGCCCAGTATAATAAAGATGGTGGCATTCTCCAGGACAAAGGTTGGGGAGGTTTCCTTGTAGCCTCTTTACAATATTGGGGCATCCTAAGATTGGAGATCCTCAACTGTGATACAAAGCCACTATAGGTGCAGTATCCACTTGTGCCATTCCATGTAGCCCCAATGAACGTGAGAGACAAAGGTAATTGATGTAAACATGAAGATCATGCTGCCTGCTGTGCTGGAAACAAAGAGTCCTTTGCCTCTGACCCAGAAGACTCGTGTCTTTTGCCAACATACAGAAGTATGCTGTTGAAGTAAACTGTGGAAATACAACTTGTAAGATTTGAAGTAGGGTAAAATCAAAGACACTTAATTCTGTGATTTTCTCCAGTGCTACAAACCATGTGTGGGACTCAGGAATCTTTATGAGGCTTCTTGTGTTTCTATATTCCTAGCTATCCCACACAGCTCTTCCTCTTCTGGTCTTGCCACTGTCTTAGTATACAACTAGAAGACTGGGCCTGAATCCTGTCACTCTGGGACACACAGACTCTACCTATTTTTCCTGTCGTGGTTTTGGAATACCTTTCTTAAATATGAAAGAAATCCTTCTTCTTTTGTGTTCCTTCAAGTTGCTCCTATTCTCACAAATTCTCATATCCTAAAGATTTAGATTTTGCAAAACAAAAGCCAAACAGTCTTCCAATACTTTTTTACTTGCAACTCTACCATTCAGCTTTTCTGAGATAAAGAGTGGCCTCTTTGATGTTTGAGTATGAGGCCCAAAAAGGGAAATATAGGGAGAAAAAGGCTGACATAAATTAATATCTCAAAATATTTTTCAGTCACATTTATTTTGTGTTTGACAAATGCCTCTAGTTCTCACTTAACTGTCTTTCTCACATTGCCAGAATCCGAGGAACCCCCCCACCCTCTTGTGGACTTTCTCATGGGGGCTTAGTAATTATATAATCACGTTCTGAAACCTGTAATGGGGAAAGTGGTAGGAACAGTGTGGAAAACCTTGTCTCTTCCACCCCGAGATCTCTGCAGCCACCCTTCCCTTCCTGCTTTACTCCCGTGTATGTTTGTACCAAGGGATCTTGCTATTCAGAGGTCTACACAGGGCCAAAGCTTGATACATTCTGGAACAGTTGGATCCATCAGGCTTCTTCCAAGCACAGTGGAGTTCTTTGAGCATAAAACAATGGAGAAGCAGGAGATGGGTGAAGGGCACAGATTTTCTAGGAAAACAAAGCATGAAATGAGGCAGAGATGGTGCAGAGACATTAGGTTCATTTGGCAGATTGAGGAGGGGAAAGATTGAAACATCATTCATTGAATTTGAGCAATGTTGGGACTAGGAAGGTGGAGGAGAGAAGAATCATTCATCTGTCATGGCTCCTTGGGGAGGTGATCTCTGACCCCAATCCAGGGTGACTGTGGCAGTAGGGAGTCATTCTTAGAACTCAGCCACTGCTGGAAAAAAGTATGAAAATGAAAGCTGGGAGGAGGACGTTAAAGAGGCTTTTAGTTATGTCATTTTTTAAAATGTCCTTCAACTGGCCCTGTGACTTCCTGAAGGAATCGGTAGGTCTGTGTTATCCTGTTTGACATTACCCATGAAAAAATAAGTCAATGTTTTCCCCACTTCAAATTGAGACATTTAGTAATGCCACAAAATTTAGGCATTTAGTGAAGATTTTTTTGGTCTATGTTTTGAGAAAACTTTCAATATTTCAACAGTTAAAATAAACAACTAATTCTGAGCTATTTAACCTGAGTCTTAATTTCCAGATTGTCCTCATGACTTTTGGAAAGTCATCTTCTGTTAGGGATTCCTGCACATGGAGTGATCAGATTTCACTATCTTGAGATATATCCACTTGAGATATATCCTCTAATCCATGGACAGAAAATTGGGCTCTCTACTTGAGCTTAAGTACAGAGAAATGGAAGGACTAATATTAAAACGTGACTAATAAAGTAGAATGAAAATTCTTTATGAGTCTAATCTAAATGTCTCCTTTTGACTAAAATATTTGAGTACATCTCATCTGTTCTTTTTTCAAATTGAATCAGGTGTATTATACTACTTTTTTAAAAAAACTTTTATTTTAGATTCTGGGGTACTTGTGTAGGTCTGTTATATAGATAAACTTGTGCCATGGGGCTTTGATATACAGATTATTTCATCACCCAGGTACTAAGCCCAGTACTCAACAGTTATTTTTTCTGTTCTTCTTCCTCCTCCCACCCTCCACCCTCTGGTAGAGCCCAGTGTCTATTGTCCCCTCTTTGTGACCACGTGTTGTCATCATTTAGCTCCCACTTATAAGTGAGAACATGTGGTATTTGGTTTTCTGTTCCTGTGTTAGTTTGCTAAGGATAATAGCCTCTAGATCCATCCATGTTCCTGCAAAGGACATGATCTCATTTTTTATATGGCCACATAGTATTCCATGGTGTGGATGTACCACATTTTCTTTTTTTTGGTCTTCATTTTTAATTTTTTTTATTGTGTGGATTTACACAAAAGTATTGCAGACAAAAGAGAATGCTTAAACACTGTTGGTAGGAGTAGAAATTAGTTTAACCATTGTGAAAAACAGTGCGGCAATTCCTCAAAGAACTAAAAACAGAGCAACCATTTGACCTAGCAATCCCATTACTGGGTATATATTCAAAGGAATATAAATTGTTTTACCATAAAGACACATGCACATTTATGTTCACTGCAGCACTATTCACAATAGCAGAGACATGGATTCAACCTCAGTGACCATCAATGGTAGACTGGATAAAGAAAATGTGGTACATATACACCGTGAAATACTATGCAACCATAAAAAAACAAGATTATGTCCTTTGCGGGAACATGGATGGAGGTGGAGGCAATTATCCTTATAAAACTGATGCAGGAACAGAAAACTAAATACTGCATGTACTCATAAGTGGGAGCTAAATAAAGTGGGAGCTAAATGGGAGCTACATAAACACATAGAATGGAACAACACACACTGGGGCCTATTGGATGGTAGAGGGTAGAAGAAGGGAGAGAATCAGGAAAAATGAAAAGACATACCATATGCATGGCCATTTTAACAATACTGATTCTTCTTATCCTTGAGCATGCAATGTTTTTCCATTTATTTATGTCATTGCTGATTTCTTTGAGCAGCGTTTTGAAATTCTCATTGTGGAGAACTTTCACCTCCCTGGTTAGCTAAATTCCTAGGTATTTTATTCTTTTTGTGGTAACTGTAAATGGCATTGTTTCTGACATTGCTCTTGGCTTGGCTATTGCTGGTGTACAGGAATGCTAGTAATTTTTGTATGTTGATTTTGTATCCTGAAACATTGCTAAAAATATCAGCTTAAGGAGCTTTTGGGCCAAGGCTATGGGATTTTCTAGACATATAGAATCATGTCATCTGCAAACAGGGCTAGTCTGACTTTCTCTCTTCCTTTTTGGATGACTTTTACTTCCTTCTCTTGCCTCATTGCTCTGGACAGGACTTCCAATACTATGTTGAATAGGAGTAGTGAGAGAGGGCATCCTTATCTTGTTCTGGTTTTCAAGGGGAATGCTTCCAGCTTTTGCCCATGCAGTATGATGTTGGCAGTGGGTTTGTCATAGATGGCTCTTATTATTTTGAGGTATGTTCCTTCAATACCTAGTTTACTGAAAGTCTTTAACATGAGCGGATGTTGAATTTTATCTAAAGTCTTTTCTGCATCTACTGAGATTGATCATGTGGTTTTTGTCTGGTTCCATTTGTATAATGAATCACATTTATTGATTTGGGTATGTTGAACCTACCTTGCATCCTGGGGATAAAGCTTATTTGATCATGGTGGATTAGCTTTTTGACATGCTGCAGGATTTGGTTTGCTAGCATTTTGTTGAAGAGCTTTGCATCAATGTTCATCAAGGATATTAGCCTAAAGTTTTCTTTTTCTGTCGTGTCTCTGCTAGGTTGTATCAGGATGATGTTGGCCTCATATAATAGTGGGAGCTTTTAACACCCCACTGTTAATATTAGACTGCTCAATGAGCCAGAAAATTAACAAGGATATCCAGGACTTGAACTCAGCTCTGGACCAAGTGGACCTAATAGACATATACAGAACTCTGCACCCCAAATTAACCCCAAATCTGCACTCCAATATACATTCTTCTCAGCACCACATCACACTTATTCTAAAATTGACCACATAATTGGAAGTAAAACACTCCTCAGCAAATGCAAAAGGATGGAAATCATAACAGACTCTCAGACCACAGTGCAATCAAATTAGAACTCAGGATTAAGAAACTCACTCAAAACCACACAACTCCATGGAAACTGAACAACCTGCTCCTGAATGACTACTGGGTACATAACAAAATGAAGGTAGAAATAAAGATGTTCTTTCAAACCAATGACAACAAAGACACACTGTACCAGAATCTCTGGGACACATTTAAAGCAGTGTGTAGAGGGAAATTTATAGCACTAAATGCCCATAAGAGAAAGCAGAAAAGATGGAAAATTGACACCCTAACATCACAATTTAAAGAAATAGAGAAGCAAGAGCAAACAAATTCAAAAAGCTAGCAGAAGGCAAGAAATAACTAAGATCAGAGCAGAACTGAAGGAGATAGAGACACAAAAACCTTTCAAAAAAATCAATGAATCCAGGAGCTGGTTTTTTGAAAAGATCAACAAAATTGATAGACTGCTAGCCAGACTAATAAAGAAGAAAAAAGAGAAGACTCAAGTAGAAGCAATAAAAAATGATAAAGGGGATATCACCACCGATCCCACAGAGATACAAACTAACATCAGAGAATACTATAAACACTTCTATGCAATTAAACTAGAAAATCTAGAAGTGGATAAATTCTTCGACACATACACCCTCCCAAGACTAAAACAGGAAGAAGTCAAGTCCCTGAATACACAAATAACAGGTTCTGAAATTGAGGCAATAATCAATAGCCTACCAACCAAAAAAGCCAAGGACCAGACAGATACACAGCTGAATTCTACCAGAGATACAAAGAGGAGATGGTACCATTCCTTCTGAAACTATTCCAATCAATAGAAAAAGAGAGAATCCTCACTAACTCATTTTATGAGGCCAGCATCATCCTGATACCAAAACCTGGCAGAGACATAACAAAAAAAGAAAATTTCAGGCCAATATCCCTGATGAACATCCATGTGAAAATCCTCAATGAAACACTGACAAATCGAATCCAGCAGCACATCAAAAATCTTATCCACTACGATCCATTCGGCATCACCCCTGGGAAGAAAGGCTGGTTCAACATACACAAATCAATAAACATAATCTGTCACATAAACAGAACCAATGACAAAAATAACGTGATTATCTCAATAGATGCAGAAAAGGCCTGCAACAAAACTCAATAGCCCTTAATGCTGAAAACTCTTAATAAACTAGGTATTGATGGAACATATCTCAAAATGATAAGAGCTATTTATGATAAACTCACATCTAATATGATACTGAATGGGCAAAAATGGGAAGCAATCCCTTTGAAAACCAGCACAAGACAAGGATGCCCTCTCTCACCACTCCTATTCAACACAGTATTTGAAGTTCTGGCCAGGCAATCAGGCAAGAGAGAGAAATAAAGCGTATTCAATTAGGAAAAGAGGAAGTCAAATTGTCTCTGTTTGCAGATGACATGATTGTATATTTAGAAAACTGCATTGTCTCAGCCCAAAAATCTTCTTAAGTTGCTGATAAGCAACTTCAGCAAAGTCTCAGGATACAAAATCAATGTGCAAAAATTACAAGCATTCCTATACACCAATAATAGACAAACAGAGAGCCAAATCCTGAGTGAACTCCCATTCACAATTGCTACAAAGAGAATAAAATACCTAGGAATCCAACTTACAAGGGATGTGAAGGACCTCTTCAAGGAGAACCACAAACCACTGCTCAGAAAGTAAGACAGGACACAAAAGAATAGAAAAACATTCCATGCTCATGGATAGGAAGAATCAGTATCATGAAAATGGCCATACTGCCCAAAGTAATTTATAGATTCAATGCTATCCTCATCAAGCTACCATTGACTTGCTTCACAGAATTAGAAACAATTACTTTAAATTTCATATGGAACCAAAAAAGAGCATGCATAGCCAAGACAATCCTAAGCAAAAAGAACAAAGCTGGAGGCATCATGCTACCTGACTTCAAACTACACTACAAGATTACGGAAACAAACAGCATGGTACTGGTACCAAAACAGATATATAGACCAATGGAACAGAAAAGAGACCTCAGAAATAACACCACATATCTACAGTCATCTGATCTTTGACAAACCTGACAAAAACAAGCAATGGGAAAATGATTCCCTATTTAATAAATGGTGTTGGGAAAACTGGCTAGCCATATGCAGAAAGCTGAAACCGGGTCCCTTCCTTACGCCTTATACAAACATTAACTCAAGATGGATTAAAGACCTAAACATAAGGCCTAAAACCATAAAAACCCTACAATACACCTAGGCAATACTATTCATGGGCAATACCGTGCATGGGCAAAGACTTCATGACTAAAACACCAAAAGCAATGGCAACAAAAGCCAAAATTGACAAATGGGATTTAATTCAACTGAAGAGTTTCTGCACAGCAAAAGAAACTATCATCAGAGTGAAGAGGCAACCTACAGAATGGGAGAAAATTTTTGCAATCTGTCCATCTGACAAAGGGCTAATATACAGAATCTACAAGGAACTTAAACAAATTTACAAGAAAAAACAAACAACCCCATCAAAAAGTGGGCAAAGGATATGAACAGACACTTCTCAAAACTAGACATTAATGCAGCCAACAGACATATGAAAAAATGCTCATCATCACTGGCCTTTAGAGAAATGCAAATCAAAACCACAATGAAATACCATCTCACGCCAGTTAGAATGGCAATCATTAAAAAGTCAGGAAACAACAGATGCTGGAGAGGATGTGGAGAAATAGGAAAACTTTTAAACTGTTGCTGGGAGTGTAAATTAGTTCAACCGTTGTGGAAGACAGTGTGGCGATTCCTCAAGGATCTAGAACTAGAAATACCATTTGACCCAGCAATCCCATTACTGGATATATACCAAAGGATTATAAATCATTCTACTATAAAGACACATGCACACGTATGTTTATTGCAGCACTGTTCACAATACCAAAGACTTGGAACCAACCCAAATACTCATCCATGATAGACTAGATAAAGAAAATGTGGCACATGAACACCATGGAATATTATGCAGCTATAAAAAAGGATGAGTTCATGTCCTTTGCAGGGACATGGATGAAGCTGGAAACCATCATTCTCAGCAAACTAACACAACAACAGAAAACCAAACACCACGTGTTCTCACTCATAAGTGGGAGTGGAATAATGAGAACATATGGACACAGGCAGGGAAACATCACACATTGGGGCCTGTTGGGGGGTGGGATCCTGGGGCAGGGATAGCATTAGGAGAAATAACTAATGTAGATGACAGGTTGATGGATGCCGCAAACCACCATGGCACATGTGTACCTATGTTACAAACCTGCACATTCTGCACATGTACCCCAGAACTTAAAGTTTAATAAAAAAAAAAATGGTGACCAGGCACAGTGGCTCACACTTGTAATCCCAGCACTTTGAGAGGCCAAGGTGGGTGGATCACCTGAGGTTAGGAGTTCGAGACCACCTGACCAACATAGAGAAACTCTATCTCTACTAAAAATACAAAATTAGCTGAGTGTGGTGGCACATGCCTGTAATCACCGTTACTCAGGTGGCTGAGGCAGGAGAATCGCTTGAACCTGGGAGGCAGAGGTTGCAGTGAGCCAATGTCATGCCATTGCACTCCAGCCTGGGCAATAAGTGCAGAACTTTGTCTCAAAAAAAAAAAAAAATTGAAGGAACATCAGCCCACAAATTGAGGAAAAAACAGTGTAATAACTGTGATAACTCAAAAAGCCAGAGAGTCTTCTTTTCTCCAAACCACCACACTAGTTTTTCAGCAAGCATTCTCAACTAGGCTGAGAATGCTGAAATGAGAGAAATAGAATTGAGAATATGGATAGGAGTGAAGATCAATGAGATTCATGAGAACATATAAATCCAATCTCAGGAAGCTAAAAATCACAATAAAATGATGCAGGAGCTGACAGGTAAAAGAGCGCTTATAGGAAACAAAATTGAACAACCTGATACAGCTGAAAAACACTCTACAAGAATTTCATAATGCAATCACAAGTGTTAATAGTAGAATAGACCAAGCAGAGGAAAGAATCTCAGAGCTTGAAGACTGTTTTTCTGAAATAAGACAGACAAGAATAAAGAGAAAATAATGAAAGGGAACTAACTTCCAAGAAGTATGGAATTATGTAAAGAGACCTAGTCTACAGCTCTTTGGTGTCCCTGAGATGGGGAGAATGGAAACAACTTGGAGAACATATTTCAGGATATCATCCATGAGAACTTCCCCAACCTAGCTAGAGAGGCCAACATTCAAGTACAGGAAATACAGAGAACCCCTGCAAAATACTGCACAAGGAGATTATCCCCAAGACACTAATCATCAGATTCTCCAAGATTGAAATGAAAGAAAAAATGTTAAAGGCAGCTAGAGAGAAAGAACAAGTCACCTACAAAAGGAAGTCCATCAGACTAACATCAAACCTCTCAGGAGAAACGCTACAAGCCAGGAGAGACTGGGGGCCTATATTGAAAATTCTTAAAGAAAAGAAATTCCAACCAAGAATTGCATGTCCAGCCAAACTAAGTTTCATAAGCAAAGGAGAAATAAGATACTTTTTAGACAGGCAAATGCTGAGGGAATTCATTACCATCAGACCTGCCTTACAAGAGCTCCTGAAAGAAGCACTAAATATCAAAAAGAAAGACCATTAGCAGCCAATACAGAAACACACTTGGTACACAGACCGGTGACACTGTATAGCAATCACACAAAGAAGTTGGCACAATAAACAGCTAACAACACAATGACAGGATTAAATCCATACATATCCATGCTAACCTTGAATGTAAATGGGCTAAATAACCCAATTAGAAGGCACAGAGTTGCAAGCTGGATAGACAAGCAAGGCTCAATGGTATGCTGTCTTCAAGAGACTCATCTCACATGCAATGACCCCCATAGGCTCAAAATAAAGGATGGAGAAAAATCTACCAAACAAATGAAAAAAAAAAAAAAGCAGAAGTTGCCATCCTAATTTCAGACAAGACAGACTTTAAATCAACAATGATCAAAAAACAAAAGAAGGGCAGTAGATAATGGTAAAGGGTTCAATTTGACAAGAACACCTAACTATCCTAAATATATTAGGTGAGTGAAAAGTAATTGTGGTTTTTGCATTGTTGGAATTTACCATATGAATTGGAATACATTCTTAAGTAAATGTGGTCATGTTATACATCATTTTAATGGCATTTCTCCCTTTATGTTTTTTTTTTTTTTTTGCTAAGGACTTATTACTTGCTGTTTATTTTATGTTTATTTTAGATTATGGAAATGATGTTAGACAAATGGCAAATTCAAGTGATTTTCTTATTCTAGTTCAAAGTCGGTCATAAAGCACTGAAGGCTACTCACAACATCAACAATGCATTTGGCCCAGGAACTGCTAATGAACATACAATGCAGTGGTGGTTCAAGAAGTTTTGCAAAGGAGATAAGAGTCTTGAAGATGAGGAGCATAGTGGCCAGTCATCAGAAGTTGACAACAACCAATTGAGAGCAATCATTGAAGCTGATCTTTTTACAACTAAGTAACAACCAGCTCAGTGGTTGGACTTAGAAGAAGCTCCAAAGCACTTCTCAAAGCCAAACTTGCACCAAAAAAATAGGTCATGATCACTGTTTGCTGGTCTGCTGCTGGACCTCCACTACAGCTTTCTGAACCCTGGCAAAACCATTACATCTGAGAAGTATACTCAGCAAATCAATGAGATGCACTGAAAACTGCAATGCCTGCAGCCAGTATTGGTCAACAGAAAGGGCCCAATTCTTCCCCATGACAACACCCAATGGCATGTTCCACAACCAGTGCTTCAGAAGTTGAACAAATTGGGCTATGAAGCTTTGTCCCATCTGCCATATGCACCTGACCTCTTGCCAACTGACTACCACTTCTTCAAGCATCTTGACAACTTTTTGCAGGGAAAACATTTCTACAACCAGCAGGATGCAGAAAATGCTTTCCAAAAGTTCATTGAATCCTGAAGCATGGATTTTTATGCTGCAGAAGTAAACAAACTTATTTCTTATTGGCAAAAATGTGTTGATTGTAATGGTTTCTATTTTGATTAATAAAGATGTGTTTGAGCCTAGTTACAATTATTTAAAATTCATGATCCAAAACTGCAATGACTTTTGCACCAACCTAAATATATGCACCTAACACAGGAGCACCCAGATTCATAAAGCAAGTTTTTAGAGACCTTCAAAGAGACTTAGACTCCCACATAATAATAGTGTGAGAGACTTCTTCACCCCACTGACAGTATTAGATCATCAAGGAAGAAAATTAACAAAGATATTCAGGACCTGAACTCAACACGGGACCAAATGTTTCTGATAGACATCTACAGAATTCTCCACCCCAAAACAACAGAATATACATTCTTCTCTTCCACATGGCACATACTCTAAAGTTAACAATACAATTGAATTTAAGGCAATCCTCAGAAAATTCAAAAAATCAAAATTATACCATCCATACTTTTGAACCACAGCACAATAAAAATAAAATTCAATATGAGTAAAATTACTCAAAACTATAAATTTACATGGAAGTTAAACCACCCGCTCCTGAATGACTTTTAGGCAGATAGCAAAATTAAGAGGGAAATCAAAAAGTTCTTTAAAACTAATGATAACAAAGATACAACATACCAGAATCTCTGGGACACATGTAAGGCAGTGTTAAAAGGGAAATTTATAGCACTAAATGTCTACATCAAAAAGTTAGAAAGATCTTAAATTAACAATCTAACACCACACTAAAAGAACTACAGAAATGAGAGAAAACTAACTCCACAGCTAACAAAAGGCAGTAAATAATTAAAATCAGAGCTGAACTGGAGATTGAGACGCAAAAAAACATTCAAAGCTTCATCCCAGAGGGGCACCCGCCAGATGCCAGCCATAGCTCTCCTGTATGAGATATCTGTCGGTCCCTGCTGGGAGATGTCTCCCAGTTAGGAGGCACAGGGGTCAGGAACTCACTTGAGGAGGCAGTCTGTCCCTTATCAGTGCTTGAACGCTGTGCTGGGAGAACCACTGCTCTCTTCAGAGCTGTCAGGCAGGGACGTTTAAGTCGCTGAAGCTGCGCCCATAGCCTTGCCTTCCACCAGGTGCTCTGTCCCAGGGAGATGGGAGTTTTATCTATAATTCCCTGACTGGGGCTGCTGCCTTTTGTTCAGAGATGTCCTGCCCAGACAGGAGGAATCTAGAGAGGCAATCGCCCTTGCTCAAAAAATCTAGGTGTTTTGCTGCTGTCTCCTGTCGCTTCAAATTTCAGGGCTCTTTTCTTTGCTCCAGACAGGTAATAAAGTCTAGCTTAGAGGTAGCAAGACCCTGGCAGACAAGTTTTCTGTAGTTCTCTAACATCACATCCCTATACAGATGCTGCTAAGCAGAGTCCAGACAGTCCTGCTCTTCTGGGGAGAATTCTATGGCCACATCCCTTAATGTCAACACTCCCTGCAGGTCACAGAATAACAGGGATGTGGTAGAGTTCCATAGGAGCTCCCGGAGTGGAGGACTGGTTCCTTCAGTCTTTGAAGTTGTTGTCCTTTGGATGAATTTTTTTCTTTTATTTTGTTTGATGACCTTGGTGGTTTGATTGTGGTATAAGGTGGATTCAGGCAACTGTCTTCATTAGTGGAAGAGTTTAGGGGGCCAGGGCTCAGCTCAGGATTATTGGGCTGTGTGCTCTTACTCTGGGGGATTGGTATCAATTCAGGCTTTGATCTCTGGCTCCTTGAGGCTAGGAACCCAATGGGTTGGAGGGCTTGAGGTACTCCCGGACCACCGGTCACACCACTCTGATAGGTTTCCCAGCCAAAGCACTTCGTAGTGTGGTGGCAGTCAGATCTGTTCTTGTTCTTCCTCCTTCACACATGCCAGCAGCAGCGGCAGCAGTGGCAGTGTGGCAGGGTTCATGTTCATTGGTTGTGGCAGGGTGCTAGCAGATGCCGGGGTGCCAGCCTCTGTGCAGATGTTCACAGAAGTGGTGGCGACAGTACAGTTCATGGGGGCAAGGAGCCCCTGGCAACTGTGCAGGGATTCACACTGGTGGTGGTGTTAGCACAGGGGTGGGCTGCTGGTGGGTGCGTAACTGTGCACCTTTTGTTTGCATTCATGCTGGCGGCAGGGTCTGCTCAGGACTAGGGGTGAGTTCACTGTTTTCTGTGCTTAGTTTCATTCTGGTGGCCCTGGCACAGTGGCAGGGCACTGGTGGGGGTGTGTCTGGTGGGCTCTGTTCCCACCAATGTGCTGAGGACAATGGTGGTGCAGCAGGGGAAGTAGGGGTGGGGGGCACACACACCAGCAGAAGTGGCATGGCAGCATTCACTCGCACATGTGTACTGGCAGGGAAGGGAAGGCTAAGTCTGGCAAAGTGATGGGGGGTGGCCGTGGGCAAGTGTCTGAAGTCAGGGCAGCACAGGGAAGGCTGCAGTGTGGGGAGAGCATGGGCAGGCTGGCTTATGTCCACAGGGCTTCTCTGCTAGAGCACTCTATCAGTCAGTGTTGGTTTGCCAGTGCAGGAGCTATGATGTGGGCCCTCAGGAGGCACCTGGAGGCTGCTCTGCAAGCAGGTGCGGTGTGGCTGGGGCCCTTGGAAAGGCCAGCAGACCAACGCATGCTCAGGTCAGACTGGCCCCATCTCATGGGCAAGACTGCCCTTCAGAGTTCGGGTCCAACAGTTCCCCTAGGGCTAAAGTCTAAAGTCTCTTATAGGAGCAAGTCAAGCCTAGGGGGATGAGCATTCCTGGCCAAGTGAGTGTCTGTGGTGGTTGAGGGGTCTCCTTCTGCCAGGTTTCCAGGGGTCCATGGCGAGAGTGGGTTGCCCCTTGCCTGTTCAACACACCCCCTCTGCAAGAGTCGTTGGGGGTCAGGAATGAGTCCCGGTGCCTGGTAGCCCCATACAGGGTTTCCAGGTTACTTCCCCTTCAGCCCATCCCCTGTGTCTTCCTTTTGTCTGCTTTCAATGCCTTCCCTCTGAAGATCTGCTAGAAGTGCACCAGTCTTCCTGATGTCTCAGTTGCTTGGTGCCAGATGTTCCTCCTGGCTGCATCTAGTTGGTCATCTTGGAGCAGGAATCACATCTCATCTTTTCAATAGATTTTGGGAATATTTTCCAGGTTTGACTGATACCTAGTCTTTACTCAGTATGCGTCCCAGAGAAGAAAGAAGATGAAATAAACACAGTAATTTGATTTCAGTTCTCTCTAGTGCTCCTAAGCTTCTGAGTCTCCTTGCTCCTTGTCATTGGTGATGAATCTCTAGTGTTGGTCTCCTGCCTTGAACCCAGGTCTGTGGTTCCTACCTCTGTTATAAGGTAATTCTCATATATTTTTATGTCAGCAAAATATTTCTAATTATTCTACCTTACTGAGGTCTTGTTCCCCCAGAGGAATGCCAAAGAGAAGAAAAAAAGCCAGTACTTGGGGAAGAAAAATCTTGTCTTGCTTCTCTAGGATATCTGGAGTTTGTGTGTTTTCTCCTGAGCCATGGCCAGACAACCAATAAAAAACAAAGTACTGGCATGTAGGGGAGGCTGTGGAGGGAGCAGAAGGAGGAAGGAGAATTTTTTCTAAGAGGTCTGTATGAGTTTGCTGGGGTAGCCATAACAAAATACCCCAGACTAGGCTGGGCGCTGTGGCTTATGCCTGTAATCCCAGCACTTTGGGAGGGTTAGGCTGGTGGATCACCTGAGGTCAGGAGTTCGAGACCAGCCTGGCCAACATGGTGAAACCCTGTCTCTACTAAAAGTACAAAAATTAGCTGGGTGTAGCGGCTTATGCCTGTAGTCCCAGCTACTCAGTAGGCTGAGGCACAAGAATCACTTGAACCCAGGAGGTGGAGGTTGCAGTGAGCCGAGATCATGCCACTGCACTCCAGCCTGGGCAACAGAGTGAGACTGTCTCATTACAGTCTCAAAATAAATAAATAAATAAATAAATAAATAAATAAATAAATAAATACTCCAGACTAGATGGCTTAAACAACAGAAATGTATTTTCTCACAGTTGTGGAGGCTAGAGGTCTAAAATCAAGGTGTTGGCAGGATTAGTTTCTTTCTAAATCTCTCTCCTTGGCTTGTGGATGGCTGTCTTTTCCCTTTGTCCCCACATGGTCTTCCCTCTTTATGTGTCTGTGTCTTAATTTCCTCTTATTATAAGAACACCAGCTATATTGGATTAGAACCCACCCATAAGAGCTCAATTTATCTGAATTACTTTAAAGTCTCTATCTGAAATACATGCAGCCACATTTTCAGGTACTGGGGGTTAGGGCTTCAATCTTGTATATAATTTTGGGGGGACAAAGTTCAGCCCATAACAGATGACTGGGTTGGAGTTTGAGGAAAAATAGGAAACTGGTAAAGCCATGCAGTTTCCTTTGCTTGCTGGGAAGAGAAGAGAAATTCACCTGTCCCAGGTCTGGGGAAATTTTGTAACCTTAGGTCTAATAGCTTTACTCACCCCTCTACCAGTAAAATTTAAGAGCCCATATACATTGCATATACATTGCATATACCTTTAAAAATATATTTATAGGAGAGAGGTGGGAAGAAGTAAATATACATTCATCAGAATGTCACCTCCTTAGAAGAAAAAGGGGTGAGCTGATAGGTCAGGTAGGATGATTTGTTGTGATGTGAATGCTATGATTTGTGGTGAATGTTTTTTTCTTACAGTGCTACAGAAAGAAATATGGTTTTTTCCTGGTGTCTTTTAAACTAGAGATGCTACTGGAGAGCACAGTGACTTTTATATTTTAGATATGAGAAGAATTGACCATTCCAATTACTTTAAATCAGTAGTTCTTCCTGCCTCTAGAGAGTCTGATTTAATTTTCTGGGTCCCCCAGTACTGGTATTTAAAACAATCTTCCCTGGAGATTCTAATGTGTACCTAGAGTGGAGGACCAACAAGTATAGTCCGTTGGATTCTCTGCTTCCAGCTTAGTAGAGAGCCACATGAAGCCCTGTAGCATTTGGGAAAGGAGGAAATTCCTCCACCAGAATTCCTACAAAGAGGGAGACGATCTATCCCTGGAGAAATTCTAGGTTGACTTTCCTTTATGATGCATTGATGACTCACTTAAGGCTTGAGGGACACAAATTTTGTCTTCTTCAGCCTAGCTGAGCAAAAATTAATGCTAAGTTTAATTGAAGCTTACAAGAATAAAACATGTTTTCTGTTGCTCTTATTAAACATGCATAATGGCCCCTTTCTCACATAATAGAAGTTTACAGAAATGTTTCTGATGCCAGTTTTCCCATTCCTTTGAGGTGGACATTTTCTCCTGTTCCATGTTTTCAGGCTGACTTCACTTTGCAGGAGAGAGGGTCTGAGGGCAAATGCTTCAGACCTGTGGTGAAGGAAGAAGAGAGGAAGCTCTTGTTCCCTAGACATCATCCCATTTCCATCTGGAAAGCACGTTCTACACCTTCCTTCCAAGTTTCTATACATAAGCTAGCGAGGTCCTGGGCCCGCTAGATCCACTGAGACACTGGAGAAAACAAAGAGCAGAGTTTGTGGCAAGTGTGGAAAGGGGATGTGGTGAATTTTCTTTGGGGCAGGAATAGACTTCATGGGCCTAGATAACTATGTTACTCCTCTTCTTTCAGCAGTGCATAGACCTTTAGTTTTAAGGGTTATGAGAGTTTGGGAGCCTTCCTTGAGGAAGTAAGCAATGACCCCAGCCGAAAATCTAAGACAAGGAACATGTTGCAATCAGATATTGATTTTGAAGGATTATGGCATTATCTGTTCTTATCATAAATAGGTAAAACAAAATCCTCACTGATATTTGTGGGAGTTGAGATGGGACAAAAACTCTCACCCGGGGTCTTCTTTCAATTTTTCTCTAGCACAGGAACGTTCTTAAATGCAGAGTCATGTTAAGTTTCCCTTTCACTCTTTTCTCCTAAAAATCATTTTAGTTTCACAGCCATTTTCCTGTATCCCTAGTATTTTGCAAGATCGGTATGTCCTAAGTAGACTTTAAGTTTGAAAAGGCAGTTGTTTATAATGCTGGAAATAAATTTGCACTTTGAAATTAGAAACCCTGGTGTGCTGATTGTGACAAACCATTGATGATCTCCAGCAGAGGCTCTGCAGAGCCCATTACTGCACAGCCTGGAGCAGGAGGAGCCTTTGCGTGGCAAGGGAAGGAGCTTTGCACCAGTAGCCTCTGTCTATGGGAGGTGTTCCTGTCTAAAGGCCAGAGAGTTAGGATCCTTGAGAGAGTCTGAGTGTAAAATAGAGATTATACTTAATGTAACTTTGAAATTCTTAAATACTCTATAAGAATCCAACTCCCATTCAGAATATTTGAAATGATCCCTTTCTCTCTGAATCTGGATGTTGGAATGCTTCCCAGATAAATTTGTTGCCTATTTTGGGTTTGATGTTCTCTCTTGCTATCACTGCCAGAAGTGTTTTCGGGGCTCAGATTCTGAGGTTTCACTCCCGTGATGCCTGGATTGTAAGACAGTGGGATTTTCTGCTCACAGGGCTTGGTAATGTTAGGGAGATTTTTTTTCTCCGGGTTTTTGGTAGGAAAAATGCAGTGAAATTGTACTGCTGCTGCCTGCCCTTAATCCATAAAAGCAATCAACTCATTTTTTGTGTGTGGCCATTTTGACAAAGCTACTGTAACCCATGGGAAATTCTGGTTTGGCCTAAAATGAAACCATGAAATGTTTAGACATTTTTTTTTCTCCATTCCTCAATCCTATTCAAATCCTAGGTCTTTTACCTATTCACTTTATCCTGTCACCTCCATAGGCTATCATGGAAAAAATTTGCATACAGTATTGGTTAATATTTTTAAAATTTATTTTTTTGACTTGCCTAGTTGTGTAGGAGCAATATATCTGTATTAAATGTTCTATTTCCATTTTTGTTCCAGATTGCAGTCTCTCCCAGGTTTGTGCAGGGAAAGCTAGCTGCCTTTTTAAAGAACTGTCAGCAAAGCCAGAGTCTGTCTGAGATGCTCAGCAAGAGCTGGAATTTCATAGCTTCCCACATGAGACCAGACCCTCAGAGAAGGTGGAGCAATGTCAGGAGCAAGAAGTAGACAAAGAAATTTTGACTTTGGAGAGATCAAGAAAGCTGTTCATCAGTGTTGGTGATGGGAACTTGGGGGTTGACAAGAGGAGTTTAGACTATTTCTTTTCTTCATCCTCATCATTCCTATGGATTTTGTTAAAAATGGTGTGTAATTTGAGAAATAAAGCATTCCTTGTTTCCTCATTTGATGAGCCACCTCTGATTCCTGGACAGAAAAGGGACCACAAAAAGTGAACCATCCGTAGACCACATTTATGTTCTGGATTTGCTTTTGAAAGATAATCACACAGTATTGTGAACCTTCCCTTGCTGCTTTGGGGAAGAATCAGAGAGGAAAGAGTTGAGAGATCTCTACTTTCTTCAGGTGGTGATAGCTCTCAAAAGGGTGGAGGCTGAGCAATATATAGTGTGATGTTTTCACCCTAAAAAGTTAGGGTTTAGTTTAGTTTTCCTGCCCCCCCCTTGATTGTTCTTCAAATTAAGTCAGTAAGTGAGTATAGACAAATAAGCAAAAGTGTCTTGATTTTCATGGAAAGAAAATTTTATTATTTTAACTATTTTACAATGAAAAGTTCAAGTTAACTCTCCTTGTACTGTTCATCCTGATTCTCCTCTTTCCAGATTTTCAGTGTAAGGAGTATAGGCTTGAGCCTTTTATCACTAGTCATGGAAAACAATCCTCCCTCAGGGACATCATTGCTATGGGAGGGAGAATGTGTGACAGAGAAGAGCTTCTATGTCCAGACTAAATCCCATCTGGGACATATCCAGGCCTCACCCCGACCCTTGGACAGAGAAATGGGCATTTAATAGAGCTCATATATGGAAGAATGAAAGGACTAATGTAAGTTCAAAATCAATGAAAGTAGATCAAAATTCAGCAGGAGTTCAACCTAAGTCCTCTCTTTTGCTTACAACTTTTAAAATGAGCTTTTCCTCATTATGAAGAGTGGACATAAAGTAGCCTCTTGCCTTTATGGCTCACAGACAGAATCCATAATCAGATTATACTATCAAATTGTAAAATAGTAATTTTTAATCAGTTTTTACAATATATCTGTCCATGAGATTTTAATCTTTTCGCCTTCCCCTTCCAACACATCATTAAAATGAGACCATTGAGATTCCTCTATCCTTGTAGAAATACCAGCTTGGGTCAGTTTTAATCATAGACCGATGGTATATTTACAGAGAAACAACAAGGTCAAGAATCAACTGTGTTCTAGTTCCAGAACCTGGATTTTCTTTCTTTCTTTTTTAGATTTTAATTTTGTGGGTATATTGTAGGTGTATTGAACCTGGATTTTCATGGTGAGACTTTTCTTTTTAAAAAATAACACATTATTATTTATGAAACTAAAGAACTAAAAAGCATGCTCAACAACAACAACCACACAAAATTGGAAAAAGAAAACAGAAGGACACAACAAAAAATCTCTCCAGGGAAATTTTTGTAGGATGGCTTATTTTGAACATAGTGCCGTGTTACAGCTCCTAGATACCCGCAGGAAGTGCAGGGCAGTTTGGAGGCAGATTCAGTGGTAGGAGGGAGGAATTCCGTTCTTCTTGATTCTTTTTTTAAAATTTCAATAATTTTTTTAGGGAATAGATGGTGTTTGGTTACATGAGTAAGTTCTTTAGTGAGGATTTCTGAGGTTTTGGTGCACCCATCCCCCAAGCGGTGTACACTGTACCCAATGTGTAGTCTTTTATCCCTCACCCACCTCACACCCTTTCCCTCAAGTCCGCAAAGTCCATTGTATCATCCTTACGCCTTTGCATCCTCAAAGCTTAGCTCCCACTTATGAATGATAACATACGATGTGTGATTTTCCATTCCTGAATTTCTTCACTTAGAATAATGGTCTTCGATTTCATCCAGGTTGCTGTGAATGCCATTATTTCATTCTTTTTATATATATATGTGTGTATATATATATACACACATATCTGTGTGTATATATATATACACACAGATATGTGTATATATATATACACACAGATATGTATATATATATACACACACGGATATGTATATATATATACACACACGGATATGTATATATATATACACACGGATATGTATATATATATACACACGGATATGTATATATATATACACATAGATATGTATATATATATACACATAGATATGTATATATATATATACACATAGATATGTATATATATATATACACATAGATATGTATATATATATATACACATAGATATGTATATATATCACAATTTTCTTATCTACTTGTTGATTTATGGACATTTGGGCTGGTTCTATATTTTTTGCAATTGTGAATTGTGCTGCTATAAACATGCATGTGCAAGTGTCTTTTCATATAATGACTTCTTTTCCTCTAGGTAGATACCCAGTAGTGGACTGCTGGATCAAATGGTAGTTCTACTTTTAGTTCTTTAAGGAATCTCCACAGTGTTTTGCATAGTGACTGTAGCAGTTTACATTCCCACCAGCAGTGTAATAGTGTTCCCATTTTTACCACATCCATGCCAACATTTATTATCTTTTGATTTGTTTATTATGGCCATTCTTTTTTTTTTTTTTTTTTGAGACTGAGTTTCGCTCTGTCGCCCAGGCTGGAGTGCAATGGCACAATCTCGGCTCATGGCAAGCTCCGCCTCCCGGGTTCACGCCATTCTCCTGCCTCAGCCTCCCAAGTAGCTGGGACTACAGGTGCCCACCACCACACCCGGCTAATTTTTTGTATTTTTAGTAGAGATGGGGTTTCACCGTGTTAGCCAGGATGGTCTTGATCTCCTGACCTCGTGATCCACCTGCCTTGGCCTCCCAAAGTGCTGGGATTACAGGCATGAGCTACCTCGCCCGGTCCGATTATGGCCATTTTTGCAGGAGTAAGGTGGTATCACATTGTGGTTTTGATTGGCATTTCCCTTATAATTACTGATTAAGAGCATTTTTTCATATGTTTGGTGGCCATTTGTCTATCTTCTTTTGAGAATTGTCTATTCATGTCCTTAGCCCACTTTTTGATGGAATTGTTTGTTTTTTTCTTGCTGATTTGTTTGAGTTCCTTGTAAATTATTGTTATTAGTCCTTTGTCAGATTTATCAATCGCAAAATTTTTCTCCCACTTTGTGGGTTGTCTGTTTATTCTGCTGATTGTATTTTTTCTGTGCAGAAGCTTTTTAGCTTAGTTAAGTCTCATCTGTTTATCTTTGTTTTTATTGCATTTGCTTTTGGGTTCTTGGTCATGAAGTCTTTGCCTAAGCCAATGTCTAGAAGGGTTTTTATAATGTTATCTTCTGGAATTTTTATGGTTTCAGGTTTTAGATTTAAGTCTTTGGTCCATCTTGAATTGATTTTCATATAAGGTGGGAGATGAGGACCCAGTTTCCTTCTTCTACATGTGGCTTGCCAACTATCCCAGCACTATTTGTTGAATAGGGTATCCTTTTCCCAATTTTTGGTGGCTTTGTCAAAGATTAGTGGGCTGTAAATATTTGGCTTTATCGTTGGGTTCTCTATTTTGTTCCATTGGTTTATGTGTCTATTTTTATAACAGTGTCATGCTGTTTTGCTGACTATAGCCTTGTAGAATAAAGTCAGGTAATGTGATGCTTCAAGGTTTGTTCTCTTTGCTGAGTCTTGCTTTGGCTCTGTGGGCTCTTTCTTGGTTCCATATGAATTTTAGGATTGGTTTTTCTAGTTCTGTGAAGAATAACAGTGATATTTTGATGGAAATTGCATAAATTTGTAGATTGCTTTTGGCAGTACAGTCGTTTTCACCATATTGATTCTACCCATCCATGAGCATGGGATGTGTTTCCATTTGTTTCTGTCATCTATGATTTCTTTCAGCAGTGTTTTGTAGTTTTCCTTATAGAGGTCTTTCACCTCCTTGTTAGGTATATGCCTAAGTATTTTATTTTATTTTATGCAGCTATTGTGAAAGGGATTGAGTTGTCGATTTGAGTCTCAGCTTGGTTGCTGTTGCTGTATAGCATAGCTACTGATTTGTGTACATTAATTTTGTATTAATGTACACTGAATTTTAAAACTTTACTGAATTTTAAAAAATCAGATCTAGGTGCTTTTTGAAGGAGTCTTTAGGGTTTTCTAGGTATGCGGTCATATCATCAGCAAACAGCGACAGTTTGATTTCCTCTTTATTGATTTGGATGTCCTTTATTTCTTTCTCTTATCTAATTGCTCTGAGTAGGACTTCCAGTACTATGTTGAATAGAGGTGGTGAGAGTGGGCATCCTTGTTTTGTTCCAGTGTTCAGGCAGAATGCTTTTAACTTTTCCTCATTTAGCATTATGTTGGCTGTGGGTTTGTCATAGATGGCTTTTATTACATTAAGGTATGTCCCTTCTATATTGATTTTGCTGAAGGTTTTAAGCAAAAAGTGATGCTGGATTTTGTCAAATGCTTTTTCTCTGTCTATTGAGATGATTATGTTATTTGTTTTAAATTCTGTTTCTGTTTATGTGTTTATAAATTCTATTTATTGACTTGCAGATGTTGAACCATCCCTGCATCCCTGGCATGAAACCCACTTGATCATGGTGAATTATCTTTTTGATATGCTGTTGGATTCCATTAGCTAGTATTTTTTTTTAACTTTTGCATCTATATTCATCAGGGATATTGGCCTGTAGGTTTCTTTTTTGGTTATGTCCTTTCTTGGTTTTGGAATTAGGGTGATACTGGCTTCACAGAATGATTTTGAGAGGATTCCCTCTTTCTCTATCTTGTGGAATAGTGTCAATAGGATTGGTACCAATTATTTTTTGAATGTCTGATAGAATTCAGCAGTGAATCTGTCTGGCCCTGGACATTTTTTTTATTGGCAATTTTTAAATTACCATTTCAACCTCACTTCTTGCTGTTGGTCTGTTCAGAGTTTCTATTTCTTCCTGGTTTAATCTAGGAGAGTTACATATTTCCAGGAATTTATCCATCTCCTCTAGGTTTTCTAGTTTATGCACTTAAAGGTATTCATAAGAGTCTTGAATGATCTTTTGTGTATCTGTGGAATCAGTTGTAATATCTCCCATTTTGTTTCTAGTTGAGCTTATTTGGATCTTCTCTTTTTTTTTGGTTAGTCTTGCCAGTGGTCTATCAATTTTTTGTTTATCTTTTCAAAGAAACAGTTTTTTGTTTCATTTATCTTTTGTATTTTTTGTTTGTTTCAATTTTATTTAGTTCTGCTCTGATCTTTGTTATTTATTTTCTTCTGCTGGGCTTGGGTATGGCTTGTTCTTGTTTTTCTACTTCCTTGAGGTGTGAGCTTAGGTTGTCTATTTGTGCTCTTTCAGACTTTTTTATGTAAGCACTTAAATCTATGAATTTTCCTCCTAGCACAACCTTTGCTGTATCCCAGAGGTTTTGATAGGTTGTGTCACTATTATCATTCAGTTCAAAGAATTTTTTAATTTCCACCTTGATTTCATTGTTGACCCAACAATCATTTAGGAGCAGTTTGTTTAATTTCCATGTATGTGCATGCTGTTGAGGGTTCATTTTGGAGTTGATTTCCAATTTTATTCCACTGTGGTCTGAGTGAGTACTTGATATAATTTCAATTTTCTTGAATTTGTTGAGATTTGTTTTGTGGCCCATAATATGGTTTATCTTGGAGAATGTTCCATGTGCTGATGAATAAAATGTATATTCTGCAGTTGTTGGGTAGAATGTTGTGTAAATATCTGTTAAGTATGTTTGTTGTACAGTATAGTTTAAATCCATTGTTTCTTTGTTGGCTTTCTGTCTTTATGACCTGTCTAGTACTGTCAGTGGAATATGGAAGTCCCCACTATTATTGTATTGCTGCCTATCTCATTTCCTAGGTCTACTAGTATTTGTTTTATTAATTTGGGAGTTCCAGTGTTAGGTGCATATATATTAAGGATTGTGATATTTTCCTGTTGGACATATCCTTTTATTATATAACATCTGTCTTTGTCAGTTTAAACTGCTGCTGCCTTAGTGTTTTTTTTTTTTTTTTGGATAGAAGAATAGCTACCCCTTGTTGCTTTTGGTGTCCATTTGCATGGAATAAGGTAAAGGTAAATCCCTTTACCTTAAGTTTATGTGAATCCTTATGTTTTAGGTGAGTCTCTTGAAGACAGCAGATACTTGGTTGGTGTATTCTTATTCATTCTGCCATTCTGTATCTTTTAAGTGGAACATTTAGGACATTTACATTCAACATTAGTATTGGGATGTGAGGTACTATTCTATTCATCATGCTATTTGTTGCCTGAATATCTTGTGTTTTTTTCTTTAATTTTTATTGTTTTTTTTTTGTAGGTTCTGTGAGATTTACACTTTGAGGAGGTTCTATTTTGGTGTATTTTGAGAATTTGTTTCAAGATTTAGAGCTCCTTTGATCAGTTCTTGTAGTTCTAGCTTGTAGTGGTTAATTCTCTCAGCATTTGTTTATCTAAATAAGAGTATATTTTCTTCATAAATGAAGCTTAGTTTCACTGCATACAGAATTCTTGTATGCAGCTGATAATTGTTCTGTTTAGGAGGCTGAAGATAGGGACTCAATCCCTTTTAGCTTGTAAGGTTTCTGCTGAGAAATCTGCTGCTAACCTGATAGGTTTTCCTTTATAGGTTATCTAATTAGTGCTTTTAACTCATGGCTGTTAAGATTCTTTCCTTTGTCTTGACTTTAGATAACCTGATGACTATGCCTAGGTGATGATATTTTTGTGATAAATTTCCCAGATTTTCTTTGAGCTTCTTGTACTTGGATGTCTGGATCTCTAACAAGGTCATGGAAGTTTTCCTTGATTATTCCCTCAAATATGTTTTCCAAACTTTTACATTTCTCTTTTTCCATGGGAACACCCAGTATTCTCAGGTTTGGTCATTTAACATAACCCCAAACTTCTTGGAGGCTTTGTTCATTTTTTAATTTTTTTTGTTTTTTTTCTTTGTTGGATTAGGTTAATTTAAAAACCTTGTCTTTGAGCTCTGACATTCTTTCTTCTGCTTGTTTGATTCTATTGCTGAGAGTTTCCAGTGCATTTTACATTTCTCTAAGTGTGTCCTTTACTTCTAGATGTTGTGATTGCTTTTTATTTATGCTATCTATTACACTGATGATTTTTCCCTTCATATCTTGTATTACTGTTTTGATTTCATTAAGTTGGACTTCACCTTTCTCTGATTCCTCCTTGATTAGCTTAATAATTGACCGTCTGAATTCTTTTTCTGGCAATTCAGGGATTTCATCTTGGTTTGGATCTATTGCTGGTGATCTTTTGGGGGTGTTAAAGAACCTTGTTTTGTCATATTACCAGAATTGTTTTTCTGGTTACTTCTCATTTGGGTAGGCTGTGTCAGAGGAAATATTTGGGGCTCAAGGGATGCTGTTCAGATTCTTCTGTCCCATGGGGTGCTCTTTTGATGTAGTGCTCTCCTCCTTTCCCTGGGGATGTGGCTTCCTGAGAGCCAAACTGGAATGATTGTTATTTCTCTTCTGGATCTAGCCACCCAGCAGAGTTGCCAGGCTCTGGCCTGGTACTAGGATTGTCTACACAGAGTCCTGTGATGTGAACCATCTTTAAGTCTCACAGCTGTAGACACCAGCACCTGCTCTGGTGGAGGTGGCAGAGGAGTGAAACAGAGTCTGTGAGCGTTCTTAGTTGTAGTTTTGTTTATTGCAGTAGTTTTGTGTTGGTTGGCCTCCAGTCAGGAGGTGGCACTTTCAAGAGGGCATTAGCTGAGGTAGTAGAGGGAGCATCAGGTGGTAGGTGGGGCCCTAGAGCTCCCAAGAGGTTAAGTCCTTTTTCTTGGGCTATCAGGGCAGGTAGATAAAGACCATCAGGTGGGGGCAGGGTTAAGCATGTCTAATTTCAGACTCTCCTTGGGCGGGTCTTACTGCAGTTACTGCGGGGGAGGGGGGGTGTGGTTCTCAGGCCAGTGGAATTCTGCCCCCGGGGGATTATGGCTGCCTCTGCTGTGTCATGCAGGCCACCAGGGAAATGGGTGAAAGCTGGCAGTTATAGGCCTCACTCAGCCCAAAAGGCTGGTTTCACTTTCACTGTGCTCCCTCAACAGCACCAAGTTTATTTCCAGGCAGTGGGTGAGCAGGGCTGAAAAGCTGCCCCAGGCTACCAGCCTCCCAGCTGAGAAAGCAAGCAGGGCTTTTAGATTTCACCTCTCCCCACCTACCATGGCTTCTGTGCTGTGATTGCACTCCTGATTCAACCCCTCCCCTGATTTCTGTCGGGGAAACTTTGCATTCGGTCGAAATTGTTACAAAGTTCAGCTGGAAGTTTCCTTCCCTGTGTGGTTTCTTCCCGGTTCCTCTGGCAGCCCTCCCCAAGGACTTCTGTAAGACAAAGTCGGAAGTTACTTCCTTGGGGACCGAGAGCCCACAGGGGTCTTCCTACTGCTTCTTCTACCCCTGTATTTCACTCAGCTCTCTAAATTTGTCTCAGCTCCAGGTAAGATCAAATCCTTTACCCGTGATCTGGAACTTCAGGTTCCCCAGTGAGAGTGTGTGTTTGGGGGCAGACAATCCCCCTTTCACACATTGGGCACTCACAGTTTTTTGGCTGTCTCCAGGCGCCCTGCAGGAGCAATCTGCTTCCTTCAAAGAGTCTGTGGGTTATCTCAGCTTTCCTGTTCTTCTTGATTTTTGAATGTGTAAGGGTAACTCTAGAATTTTTCTCATCTTTGAATAGAGGACATGAAATTTTCTCTCCATGGTCTAGGGAGAGTTATGGCTCCAGGAAAGAAGAGAAAATGTATTATATTTCCCACTTCTCTTCTATCTTTGCAGGAAGGCAGGGATTTCAACCTGGGCAACAAGTCCACAGAACATGAGATTTCTGAAGGTGAGTCACATAGAACATTGACTGGGTTGAACTCAGGTCTGGACAACAATTAAGTACTGTAAATCTCTTGGAGGATATAGGCTTATTTCTTAAGTTATTATTACATATAAATGATAATATATGTAAAAAATATATAAATAATGATAATATATATATTTATATGTAAATGATAAAATAAAATATATATTTTATAAAATAAAAGATATATCTTTGATAAAATAAAATAAATGTAAATGATAAAATATATTTTTCAACCTAAAATTGCAATATATATAGTTGACCCTTGAGCAACACAGGTTTGAACTTCATAGGTCCACTTATAAGTGGATTCTTTTTCCATAAACGCATTGAAAAATTTTTTGGAGATTTTGACAATTAAAAAAAACAAACAAACTGCAAAGCATAGCAATATAGAAAAAATCAAGAAAAAGTATGTCATAAATGCATAAAATATATGTAGACAGTAGTCTATTTTATCACTTACTACCATAATATACACTAATCTATCATTAAAAGTTAACATTTATCAAAACTTACATACACAAACACAGACTGTATATGGTGCCATTTGTACTTGAGAGAAATGTAAACAAATAAAAAGATGTAGTGTTAAATCATAACTTCATAAAATTAACTGTAGTGCATACTATACTACTGTAATAGTTTTATAGCCACCTCTTGTTGCTATTGTGGTGAGCTCAAGTGTTACAAGTATCCACTTAAAATGCCACCTAATGCTAATCATCTCTTTGTAAGCAGTTTGTCTCTCCAGTAAATTGTGTATCACAGTAAAAAGCTGTCTCTCAAGTTTCTTGTTTATTTTTCATCATGTTTAGTACAATATAATACACCTTGAATAACACCATGGGACTCACATGAAGTGTGACTAGTGATGCTGGAAGTGCTTCCAAGAAGCAGAGAAAAGTTATGACATTACAAGCAAAAGCTCAGTTGCTTGATAAGTCCCATAGCTTGAGGATGTCAGGTGCAGTTGCCCACCATTTCAGATAGGCAATTCATCTTGTAAACAGACGACATAAACTTACAGTATTGATAAATACAATCCACTACTGCAAATTTATTTTCACATCCTTATGATTTTCTTAATAATGTTTTGTTTTTCCTATCTTACTTTATTGTAAAAATACAGTAGGTAGTATATATAACATACAAAATATATGTTAATCAACTGTTTATATTATCGGTAAGCCTTCCAGTCAACAGTAATCTATTAGTAGTTAAGTTTTGGGGGAGTCAAAATTATATACACATTTTTGACTGCACAGGGGGTCAGTGACCCTAACCTCTATGTTGTTCAAGAGCCAACTGTATATTTCTTTCTGTTATCTCTCTATAGTGAAATGCCTTTCAGTGGAGAAAATAAATAAGTATGTATATACACTGGGAAACTTATCTATACACATAGAGAGAAGTGTTTTACTAATGAGATATTCAATACTACCCAAGTTAACTCTCGTATACTACTTCTTGTAATTTTTCCTTGCTTTTTCTACTTCCAGGTGTGTGGGATACATCATGGTTACATAAAAATCCTTTCACTATAGTTCCTGCTTCCCTATCTTCAAAATGATTCCCTGAAGACTTCCGCCATGACGGTCTAAAGCCTAACCTCTGAACTGTGGATGGAAAATTGAACTCCTTGATGTGATCTCTGCACATCATGCAACCCTAAACCTAAATATATTCTCTGTGTGGGAGCCCCATTATTTTTAGTCTAATACATTTTAAGTCATCTTAAAAAATTATATTTTGTTTTCTTTTATATGGTCGATTTTACCTTGTTTTCTTTGACTATTACTTGTTGTCTTGTATGAGATTCTACTGGTCTCAAGGCTTAAACCTCACAATCTTCAGGGTCTGATGGATTTCTCTCTATTTTCTAAGTTCCCTGGGATATGTTTGATGAGTTTTTGTGGCAGAGAAGCAGAGAAAGGAGAAAGGTGATGTCTATACTACTTCCTTTTTCTCCCCAGCCACAAATGCCAGAGTCTATAAAGAGACCCTGAGAAGCAAGCTCTGTGCAGAGTCACTTCTAAGAAATACCAGGATAAAATGTAGGTGAGAGACATTTGTGTGAAAAAAGGGATGAGAGAGAGGAGGAAGGATTGAGAAAATTTTCAAGGCAGAAAGGGACCTATATCTTCTAATTTGGCAAAATGGGAGAGGTAGGTAGGAGATGGGAATGCTCTCTTATCTATCTCGCCTTTTGGATGGAGATTAATAACACAACCCAGGAGAAAGTGATCCTTAGGAAGCCCAAATGACTGAAAACAGCCCTCGAGTATACCAATTGGACAAGTTGGGGTGAAGGAGACCTAGTTATTGTAATACATAGGTAGAGATTGTGGTTGTGAGACTGTTGGGTGATTAACTCATAGATGTTCCAAAGTCATCTGTCAGCTAAAATAGCTGTCATTAGGAATGCTTGAAAGGTTTCAAAGAATACTTCAGTAGCAATGAGCATACCTAGGACCTAGATCTGGGCTTCTAAATCTCATTCTCCACTAAAAGAATCTGGGTCTCCTTGCACAAGTGGCTGATTCCAGGTCCAGGGCGTGAAAAGTACAAAGTGAACTTGGAACATTTCTGTGCCACAAAGCAAGAAAGTGATCAAAGAATAAAGGGGACATGTTGCAAAGGACCCAGGAGCTTGCTTAAAGAGGCTTCCATTACCTACATTTGAGATAATCTGAGTATCATCATGACTATTGATGATAATGGAATATAACCCAGATAACAAAATAAAAATCTGTAAGTCCATACTAATGTAAGTAAATAAATGAGGAAATAAATGATGGAGAAGTGAACTCTTTTCCTTATAGTAGAATCCCAAAGAATAAAGATAGAGAAAATGATGGACTTGGAAAATCACCATTTGGCAGTCCCTATAGTAATAATTGTTTCAGGTAAAAATAAACAGATTCGAAAATCAGAGTATGATGAAAACCAGGATACTTAATATACATTGTCTCAAAGTATATCTCTACAACATATTTATTAATTTCAAAGAAAAAACTTTCTTTACATTGGATAAACCTGATAGAAATCACCTCGACTATATGATCAAAGTTCACATCACCAATAATGGGACACATAGACATCATGTGCTTCCTGAGAAGGACATAACAACATTTCTATGATATTTCTGTCAAAAATGCATAATCTGAATCTAATCATGAAGGGGTAATCAGACTAACCCAAATCAAAGGTTTGTCTACACAATAACTAGTTTGAATTATTCAAATACTGAGATCATGAAATAAAAGAAAGAATGAACTGTTTCAGATTAAAGAAGAACAAACAGACATGACAACCAAATGTAACTTGTGATTCTGGATTTATCCCTGGACAATGTAAAGCACATTAGTGGGGCAACTGGCAAAATCTGCATATGTAATTTGTCTACAAATTGTCCACAAATTGGATAATAGTTTTGGTATTGGTAATGGTAATGATATTATATCAGTGTTAATTGTCTGATTTTGGTAATTGCACTGTGATTATTGAAGAGAATATCATGATTTTTAGAAACTACAACTGCAGTATGTAAAGCTAAAGAAATATTCTGTCTGAAATTTGCTCTCTGGGACCTATATCTTCTAATTTGGTGAAATAGGTAGGAGAGGTATGTAGGAGGAATTTGTTTTAGGAAACAAATTGTATATCTTTGTATATGTGAATGACAAAGAAAGTGTGATAAAATGATAATACTAGAGGAATACTTGAGATGCACATGGAAATTCTTTATATTATTATTACAACTTTCCTGGAAGTATAAAAGTATTCCAAAATTAAAAACTGCCCCATGTCTTAGTCTGTTTTCTGTCGCTATAGCAGAGTACCACACACTGGGTAATTTACAAATAATGGAAGTTTATTTGACTCATAGTTCTGGAGGCTGGAAAGTCCAAGATCAAGGGGCAGCATCTGGTGAAGGCTTTCTTGCTGTGTCATAACATGGTGGAAAGCATCACATGGAGAGGAAGGACAGGGGAGGGTTAAAGCATGCATGAGACAGAGAGAAAAGGAAGACTGAGCTTCTGAGTTAGCTAACTCACTTTGTCAATAATAGCATTAATCCATTGTGGGCTTCGCCCTCATGGCCTAGTCACCTCTTAAAGATCCCACTTCTTAATGTCATCACAATGGCAATTAAAGTTCAACAGGAGTTTTAAAGGGAACATTCAAACCATAGCACCTTATAAAGACTTTACAGAGGCAGGTTTAAAAGTATGTGTCAGCTTTGAGGTAAGATAGTTTTGCATGAGTTTGGGCAGGAGAATATGGGGACAGGTTAAGCTTTGGAGCCTTGCCTCCTGGAGAAAATTACATTATATTTATTTTGTAATCAAAAGCCAAATGAGTTTTTAAAAGAGTAAAATTTACCCTTCAAGTTTAACAACAACAAAAATATCAGGTTTAACAATGTGAATATAGGATGAAAGTGATTTTGAAATGTAAAAACAGTTAGAAGGCATATCTGTGTTCAAAGTGAGTTCTAATACTAGAAACCAGATGTATGCATCCTCTTACTGCCATTACTATGATGTTGTCTAAGGCCTGGAGAGTCAGACAGAGGGATACACAGAATTAAATCAAACGTCATTTAAATATCTATAAGATTTGTCATGGGAACCTACAGCAAGACTGAAAGGTGATCAGAATGGAACCAGGCAGTAACTGAATTAGTAAAATTTAATAAATCACTCAGATTGTCTCAGTGAGGATATTGCAGGCTTAAACCAGTTTGAAGAAATAGAAAATGTGTAACTTGAATTCTGGGGGCCATAAAACTGACTTATTTGGAGGGCATGGGCTTGTATTCCCTAATGGCAGAGTGACTCCATAGGAGAGTTCCTCTTACTTATTAGTGGCCTATGGAGAGTCAGCCTGGCCAAAGCCTCTGGCCAGTGAGAAACCTGAGCATGCCAAGACAGTCACCACAATTCATTTGAGATGATAAACTTTAACTTGCTTTCTTTAGTAAACAAAATTTGTTTTACAAAAGGGAAGCATCGATTAATCTTAGAGATAATGACTTGAACCCACAATATTAATATTTTTCTATTAATTTAACTATAATGGGCACATTTGGATTTAAAGAGAATTGGATGTATTGTAAACATATATCCTTGTGATTCCAAGTTAAAATATGTAGTTTAGTAACTTATTTGATTTACAATTCTTAATTTGAAATGCATAAGATATTTTACTAAGTTTATCGTGTTGATTATTTAAGAGAGCTTAGAATTCACCGAATTTTAAGTTTGGTATATTGAATTCAGTTAAATATTTAAGTGGTTCAAAAAATTTTCCTGGTAGTAACATTAAAAAAAAGCGTGGCCAGGCGCGGTGGCTCATGCCTGTAATCCCAGCACTTTGGGAGGCTGAGGTCAGTGGATCATGAGGTCAGGAGATCGAGACCATCCTGGCTAACACGGTGAAACCCTGTCTCTACTAAAAATACAAAAAAATTAGCCATATATATATATATATATATATATATATATATATATGTATATATATATATATATATAGTGAGATATATATATAGTGAGATATATATATATAGTGAGATATATATATATATCACTATATAGTGAGATATATATAGTGATATATATATATAATTTAAAAAGATAATTTAATCAAATATATAAATGTAATAAAAATGTCTAAGGGATCTTAAGTTTATAAAAGAAACCAAACAAATTCACCTGATCAAAGATTAATGAAATATTTGATTTGAGTTCTTGAGGGTAATTGTTAGAATTTGCTATTTTAATAAATAGAATAAAACTTGTAAATGGAAATTAAAAGCTTAAGGAAAACAATATCTTTGAGTTGATAATGTTTAATAAATGGGATATTAATTAGAAAAAAAAACCTGAATTAAAGCAGCAACTCAAAAACACAAACAAAACATGTTGATACCTACAGTAAATCTCAGATAAATGTATTTGAGAAAATTTATTTTTAAAATGGAAAGCAAAATTATAGACAAACCATGAACAACAGTGAACTAAAATACCCACTAGGATATTTAAAGCTATATGCTGTATACCAAATGCTCAAAAGAAATTTGCTATTGGTGAAGCAAGCTATACAGTACATGTACAATGTATGTAAATGCATCTTTCCTTTTTCAAACCTATGTTTTATCTCTAATTAGTTACATTATGGGACATAAACAAGGAAGAAATAAGAGTACAAAACAGATATAATACAGTTGATCATGGTATCCGTAGGTTTTGCATCTGTGGATCCAACCAACAATGCATCAAAAATATTCAGAAAAAAAAACTAATAAAAAATAACAATATGACAATAAAAATAATACAAATTAAAAAATAATATAGTGTAACTACTATGTTGTAGCATTTACACTGTAGTCAGTATTTTAAGTAATCTAAAGATGATTTAAAGTATATGAGAGGATGTGTGTAGGTTATATGCAAATTTATACACACCACTTTATATAAGAGACTTGAGAATTCATGAATTTTGGGTTCAAGGGCCCTGGAACCAATCTTCCATTCAGTTACCAAGGGGTGACTACATATCACCATCATTTAGAATTGTAGAATTTTGGCAATAGATAAGCTAAATAGAAATCAAGAAAATTGACACCAGGTAAAAACTTTGGTAAAGTCCTATATGAAATTAATATAGAACGTCTGGAGAAAAATTATTTTTTGGCAATGAAGTCGCTGCTTTTACATGAAGCAAAGAAAAACACAGCTTTAAGGTAAAATGTATACATTTTTGAGCATGCACTTTAGAAAGGAAAACAAAAAGAGATTAGAATGAAGGGAACATAACATCTCTCACATAAGGCTAAACATAAATTAAAGACAGAAGTAAATTTCTTTAAAAAGAACACAAAATTGGCAAGTGTATTAGAAGGTAGATTCAGCTGTGTGTAAAAGAGACTTCAAATTACTGTAGATCAAAAGTTTTATATTATATCGTACTTACATGTAGTCCAGAGATAGAGGGTCTGGGGCTGGTAGGGCTGGCTTTGCCCTGTTAGATTCTCTGGAGACCCAGGCTTATTCTCTTTTGCTGCTCCATAGCTCAAGGATATTGCTGTCATCCACATGGTCCAAGTTATCTGGCCACCATATCCACTTTTGAAGCAGTAGGTCAGAGTGGGGGAGAAAAGGGATACCTCTTCCTTTAATGACTCAATCTAGAAGTGGGATGTGTCACCTATGCTTACCTCCATTGGCCAGAACTTATGGCTACACCAAGCTGGAAGAAAGGCTAAGAAATAGTCTTTATTTTGGGGGCTGTGTGCCCTACCAAAATTCTATTGCAATGGAAAAAGATAAGAATAGTTATTGAGGAACAATTAGTAGTGTTTGTGACAGTAAGAAAACTGAGATTGAAAAAGGAAGAAAAAAACACACCTGAAGAGAGAAAGTCTCTTTGGCACACTCATCAAGACTGCTGGACTCTGAGGTCAATATTGCTAAATTTTCCTGTATTAGACCCTAGATTAGGGGTGGGGAAGAGAAGGGGATTTCTGAAGATTTTGTGGCATTACACAAGCTGTATAAGTAAAAGACTCTTAGAGACAGAATTAGCTTGTGATTCAGCTGAGAAGTGACATCTATTGTGAGAGTCATTTCTAGAAATTTACAACCACCTCTGTCTACAGGAAGCTTGGCCTGCTATACCCACAGCCTGAATGTGGGCTGGGATAAGGTCTGACACCATGGTGCTGGCTTTGGGTGTGATTCTGGGGAAAAGAAAGAAGAAGCAGTAGGTAATGTATTTTACATGATTAGAATCTTCTGAATGAGACTGACAGGAAATAAGAATGTTTCAGCATAAAAGAATCATTCCCCTGAAAGTGAGGAAGGAGTGTCTTGGAATAATGAAAACAGCAAACATTGAATGTATTTTAGGAATTGTTCAGAGGTTTTGCATGAACTCATTTCATAACAACTATGAATTAGGTAATACTATTTCTACTTTGTAGATGGGTAAAAAAAGAGTTATTAACTAATTTGCTCATAATCACACACATAATACACTATCGAAGCTGGAATTTGAACCTAGGCATTTTGGCTCCAGTATCTGTGCATATAACTGCCTAACTACTATCTCAGTAACCTTTTCTTAAGAATGGAAATTGGCCGGGCACGGTGGCTCATGCCTGTAATCCCAGAACTTTGGGAGACTGAGGTGGGTGGATCACAAGGTCAGGAGACCAGCCTGGCCAATATGGTGAAACCCCATGTCTACTAAAAATACAAAAAAGTTAGCTAGGCATGTTGGCAGGCACCTGTAGTCCCAGATACTCGGGAGGCTGAGGCAGGAGAATCGCTTGAACCTGGGAGGCAGAGGCTGCAGTGAGCCAAGGTCGTGCCACTGCACTCCAGCCTGGGTGACAGAGCGAGACTCCGTCTCAAAAAAAAAAAAAAAAGGGAAATTACTTCATGTACATTGCTCAGTGTTAGGAAACATGGTTGTCACACTTAAAGCATAGGTAGAATAAGAGTTAGCTGGAGGATTACAAGGGTAAAGGAGTTTAGGAGGAAACAATACAGCATTCAGGGCTATAAACTGTATGTCCTGTAGTGAGGAGCATCAAACTAGAGTTGAGGGAGTCCAGACTAACCAGCATAATTAGATGTTTTGGTCGTTTTCTATTTCAATGACAAATATGTGCTTAATATGAACAGGGCACTTTGCCAAGTGCTAGAAAATTTTAGTTTTGTAACTTCTCTATGCCTTGGCTTTTGCATCTGTTACATGGAAACACCTCTTCTTCCCACAGGCATGTTTCAATAGGAATAAATGCTTGAAAGTTTTTGGAGAATTTAATCACAGCATTTAAAGTAGTTATTCCAAGCAGTCACATTTGCTTAGTAATAAGAAAAGGATTGCCCATACAAGAACACCTGTGTTTGATTAATTCCAGAGGACCAGGCAAAAATGTGTCACAATGAAGAGGAGACGAACAGAGAAATGTAGAAGGACATAATTCTACTATAGAG